>NC_000008.11:124464222-125714222 GCF_000001405.40 Homo sapiens | reverse complement strand
ATAAATTTCACATTAAAAATGCTGCAAATGACAGATTGGAAAGATTAAAAAGAAAGGCAATATTTTGTTTACTAATGATTGCAAACAACAAGGATTTATTCCAGGGGTTCCCAATCTTTTACCTAGGTACATATAATTCTTCGTGTTTTATTCAGAATCCATTATTTTATACTTGATTCTGCCTCTTCATTTCTCCTACTCCACTGAACTTCCCTGCTCACCCTCAGCTGATTGATAACCTCATCTCAATGTCACTGAGGAAATAGAAACCATAGGTGGCAGTCCCCAAACTTCTCTCACTTCCCTAAATTTACTAACCCACCTGCCCTGGACCCATTTTTTTACAAGCTCAAACCCTTACAGTCACATTTACAAATGACTTTTCCTGGCCTCCCTTTTTGTAACTGGTGTTTGAAGATTTTCTTCCCAACGTTGTGCTCAGCAGGTCTCCTCCATCCCACTAACAATGTCATTAACACACAAGTGAACAGGTGCAGCTGCCTCTTACCCTGGCTCCCTGACTTCTGTCATTTTCCCCCAAATCACTCTAGCAACAACAGACAATCTAATTTCTATTTTTAAAAAGGTAAATGAAAGAAAATGAATCATGCTCTTCAGCTCCAAAGCCATCCACAATCCCTCCTGCCCATCATATGAAGACTAAACTTGGTGTTGGCCATGCAAGCCTCCAGCTTCCCCCCAGCCCTGTCCTCCACTGCACTCCTGCCTTTCCAGGATATCCTTTCCCTGCAGACTTGCTCATTGAAGGACCCCTTCCTGGGAACTGCCTACATCTCCTCCCTCTCTCCCAAACTCCCATGAACTTCATCTATATAAAGGATTTGGGGGCCTCACTCATTGTATTAGTCTGTTTTCATGCTGCTGATAAAGACATACCCAAGACTGGGAGCAATTTACAAAAGAAAGAGGTTTAATAGGACTCACAGTTCCACGTGGCTGGGGGAGACTCACAGTCATGGCAGAAGGCAAGGAAGAGCAAGTCACGTCTTACATGGATGGAAGCAGGAAAAGAGAGAGAGCTTGTGCAGGGGAACTCCTCTTTTTAAAACTATTAGAGCTCATGAGACTTATTTACTATCATGAGAACAGCATGGAAAAGCCCTGTCCCCATGATTCCATTACCTCCCACCAGGTCCCTCCCACAACACGAGGAAATTCAAGATGAGATTTGAGAGGGGACATAGCCAAACCACATCATTCTGCCCCTGGTCCCACCCAAATCTCATGTCCTCACATTTCAAAACCAATCATGCCTTCCCATCAGTCCCCCAAAGTCTTAACTCATTTCAGCATTAAATCAAAAGTCCACAGACCAAAATCTCATCTAAGACAAAGTAAGTCTCTTCCGCCTATGATCCTGTAAAATTAAAAGCAAGTTAGTTACTTCCCAGATACAATGGGGATACAGGCATTGGGTAAATACAGCCATTCCAAATGGCAGAAATTAGCCAAAACAAAGGGGCTACAGGACCCATGCAAGTCTGAAATCCAGCAGGGCAGTCAAATCTTAGAACTCTGAAATGATCTCCTTTGACTCCAGGTCTCACATCCAGGTCACACTGATGCAAGAGGTGGGTTCACATGGTCTTGGGCAGCTCCACCCATGTGGCTTTTCAGGGTACAGCCTCCCTCCTGGCTGCTTTCACAGGCTGGCATTGAGTGTCTGCAGCTTTTCCAGGCACACGGTGCAAGCTGTCAGTGGATCTACCATTCTGGGGTCTGAAAGATGGTGGCCCTCTTCTCACATCTCCACTAGGCAGTGCCCCAGTAGGGACTCTGTGTGGGGGCTCTGACCCCACATTTTCTTTCTGCACTGCCCTAGCAGAGATTCTCCCTGAGGGCCCCACCCCTGCAACAAACTTCTGCCTGGACATCCATACATCTTCTGAAATCTAGGCAGAGGTTCCCAAACCTCACTTCTTGACTTCTGTGCATTCACAGGCTTAACACCACGTGGAAGCTGCCAAGGTTTGAGGCTTGCACCCTCTGAAGCCATAGCCCAAGCTCTACATTGGCCCCTGGGAGCACCTGGGACACAGGGCACCAAGTTCCTAGACTGCACACGGAGCAGGAACCCTGGGCCCAGCCCCAGAAACCACTTTTTCCTCCTAGACCTTTGGGCCTGTGATATGACAGGGGCTGCTGTGAAGAACTCTGACATGCCCTAGAGGCATTTTTCCCATTGTCTTGGGGATTAACATTCAGCTCCTCGTTACTTATGCAAGTTTCTACAGCCAATTTAGATTCCTCCTCAGAAAATTAAATTTTCTTTTCTTTCACATTGTCAGGCTGCAAATTTTCCAAACTTTTATGCTCTGCTTTCCATATAAAATGGAATGCCTTTAACAGCACCCAAGTCACCTCCTGAATGCTTTGCTGCTTAGAAATTTCTTTCTCTAAATACCCTAAATCATCTCTCTCAAGTACAAAGTTCCACAAATTTCTAGGGCAGAGGCAAAATGCCACCAGTCTCTTTGCTAAAACATACCAAGAATCACCTTTACTCCAGTTCCAAACAAGTTCCTCATCTCTATCTGAGACCACCTCAGCCTGGACTTTATTATCCATATTACTATCAGCATTTTGGGTAAAGCCATTCAACAAATCTCTAGGAAGTTGCAAACTTTCCCACATTTTCCTGTCTTCTTCTGAGCTCTCCAAACTGTTCCAACCTCTGCCTGTTACCCAGTTCCAAAGTTGCTTCCACATTTTCAAGTATCTTTTCAGCAGTGCTCCACTCTACTGGTAACAATTTACTGTATTAGTCTGTTTTCATGCTGCTGATAAAGACATACCCAAGACTGGGCAATTTACAAAAGAAAGAGGTTTATTGGACTTACAGTTCCATGTGGCTGGGGAAGCCTCACAATATGGCAGAAGGCAAGGAAGAGCAAGTCACGTCTTACATGGATGGCAGCAGGCAAAGAGAGAGAGCTTGTGCAGGGGAACTCCTTTTTTTAAAACTACCAGATCTTGTGAGACTTATTCACTATCACAGAGCAGCACGAGAAAGACCCGTCCCTGTGATACAATTAGTTCCAACCAGGTCCCTCCCACAACACATGAAAATTCAAGATGAGATTTGGATGGGACACAGCCAAATCATATCACTTATAAAACACTTTATGAGTGATTTCCTTAAGCAGCAAATCATTATTCTTTCTTCAAATATTTATTGTGCATTTTGACCTAAAGACCTCTATTAGAATATATATATACCTTTTAAAACATGGGTTTGAACTGGGTAGATTCACTTATATGTGGATTTTCTTCTGCCCATGCCATCCCAAGATAGCAAGACCAACACATCCTCTTCCTCCTCCTCTTCCTCCTCAGCCTACTCAATGTGAAGACAAGGATGAAGACTTCCATGATGATCCACCTCCACTTAATGAATAGGAAATATATGTTCTCTGTCTTACGATTTTCTTAATAATATTTTCTCTAGCTTCCTGTATTGTAATAATACAGTATATAATATATATATAACATATAAAACTAGGTGTTACTCAACTGCTTATGTTATTGGCAAGGCTTTCAGTCATCCACAGGCTACTAGTAGTTAAATTTTGGGAAAGTCAAAAGTTATATGAAGATTTTTGACTGCACAAGGGGCCAGTGCCCTAACCTCCTACATTGTTCAAGGGTCAATAGTAGGTAGGTAGATACATCTGTGTAATATACATATATCAGCCCTATTTATAATAACCAGAAATTAGAAACAACCCAAATGAGTAGAATGGACAAATATATTATAGTTTATATATAGAATGAAATACTCTACAGTAGAGAAAATAAACAAGCAAACATAATATAGAATGTATACATCATTTTATCCATACAAAGTTTGAAAAAAGCAACACTAATCTATGGGGTTAAAGGTCAGGATACTGGTTACCATTGGCAGGATAAAGGGAGGAGTTGGTGACTGGAGTAGGGCTTTATGGAGGCTTCTAAAACAATAGTGGTTCTTCTTTATCTGGGTACTGGTTACAGGGCATGTTCCTTTGTAAAAATTCATTAAGCTGTATACTTATGATCTGTGCACTTTTCTGAATTCACCAAACTTCAACAAAATATCCACTTTAAAAATGCAGCAAGTATCCACTATGTGCCAGGCACAGGGTTAGAGCCACTGGGAACACAAAGAAAAAGGTCCCTCAAGGGCCAGAAGCCTGGTGCAGAAGGCAGGTGAGCAACCGCAGCAGGCATTACAGCACAGCAAGAGAGCAGTGACTGAGGTGAGCGCAGAGTGCAACCCACTTCAACTCATTCAACCTCAGTTTCCCCATCTGTAAAATAGAATCCTATTTCCTCCTTCATTGGGCTGCATACGGATTGTCTTAGTCCATTTTGTGTTGCTATAAAGAAATACCTGGGGCTGGATAAAATACAAAGAAAAAAGGTTTATTTGGCTCACAATTTTGATGGCTGGAAATTTGAGAGGAAGCAAGAGAGAGGGTGGGATGGAAATGTCAGGCTCTTTTTAACAATCAGTTTTCACAGGGACTAGTAGAGCAAGAACTCACTCATCCTGAGGGAGAGCATTAATCAGTTCATGAGGGATCCACCCCCATGTCCCAAACATCTCCCACAAGGGCCCAACTCCAACACTGTGGAGCAAATTTCAACTGAGGTTTGGAAAAGACAAACATTCAAACTATATCAAGGATCCAGAAAAAATCCAAAATATAATATGGATGAGCATGCCCCACAGAGTGCCTGGAGCATAGCAGGTGCTCAACAAAGATTACTGTCTCTGCATCCAATTCTCAGCAGGGATATTTCAGGAAAGCTCTAAAGGTGATGGCTTCTTACTCTCGGCTTCCATCCCCATTCACACATAGGTAGACACACTCAGACACACATAAACACACATATACAGACGCACTACTAGTCATGGCCTCTTGGATTAAGACACTAGCAGAAAATATATATTAAACTTCAAAGATCTTCTTGGTCCTTTTCTCTCATTTCTAAAAATTCCTGGGTTTTCATAATCACTCACCTGCAAAGTCCTGAACTGATCCCAGTCAGAAGACACACTGATTTCCCCTGTTGCTCAGTGGGCAGGCCCAAAGGGCCACCAAGAAGTCCCATCAGAGGCATTGGTAAGGCTTTAGGTCATCCACAGGCTACTAGTAGTTAAATTTGGGGGAAATCAAAAGTCATATGGAGAATTTTGACTGCACGAGGGGCCAGCGCCCTAACCCCCTACATTGTTCAAGGGCCAATTGTACCCAGGTTGACCTACCTACAGTTGGAATACCTATGTAGAAATATCTACATAGCCCAAGCCATGTTGTGTCTGGCTAAGAAACAGATGGCTTCTTCTCCATGCCCTCTCTTTTCACCAGGACGGGAGAGCTTTTCAACCTGATGAAAACATCTATGTGAAATCCGTTCATGTTTAGGAATGAATGAAACATAGATGGGCTGCACTGGGTTTGGAGGCTGTGGCTCCAACTGGTTTCATGTGACAGCAGTCATGATCCCCGATGGCTAACTCAGACAGTGACCTCAGTCAGCAGACTATAGAGTCACTGCATGATCATGAACAGGTCCCCAAAGCTGTGGGCAGGATGCAGGACACTCCCGTCTGAAACCATTTGGGAGGCATGAGTATGGTAAATTGAGCCATGGATGGAAAGGGAAGTCACCACACTGGTCGGAAGCCTGCATCTCTGTGCCAGGAGACAGGGAAGCACCTTCACCCTTGTGGTTCCTTCTCCAATAGCTCTCAAGCCCCACCCCTTTTTTGCATCTCCTTTCCCAATACCCAAGCCCTCATCGTCCCTCAGCTGTACATCTAAAATTACTCCTCTTCTGTCTTCCTTATTCCGTTCTTGCCCTACAAGCTCCAGCCCTCAAACCACCAAGCTCTTCCCACACTTGGCAGTTTGCCCTGACTGGAACATTCCATGCCTCTCTTCACCTGGCAAAATCCATTCATCCCTCAGATCTCTGTTTCAACATCACATTTCCAGAGTCTTTAGTGACCCCATCCCCTGTCTAAACTAGATTTCTATGCTGTCACTTCTCCCCAATAACCATCACAATTTGCAAGTACCTATTGATCTGCATATTTGTTTGCATGTATGACTCCTTTACTGCTAGACTGTAGACTCCATGAGGTTAAAAATGTGTCTCTTACTCACCACTCTGTCCTCAGGGGCTAGCACGCTCCCTCAAACACAGTACATGGTAAATATTATTTCACAGATTGGATGATTGATTAATTGATGGTTCTCTGCAAAGGAAACACTGCCAAACAACTCTGAGTTATAAAATAGAAAGGCTTTTTCTTTCATTAGTAAAAGAGGTTTGGGAGGCAATGAAAGAATTATGCTGCTTTTTTAGCTCAAAGTTACAGGTGCTGTATGGCATGAGCACAGCACCAGATAAACTTGTTCCTGCCACACACAAGCTGTGTGGCCTTCTGAGAGTGACTTTGCCTCTCTGAGCCTCAGTTTCTTTCAGACAATGTGAAAAATAATGTAGTTTTGAGTTGTTGATAGAATCAGATACAATAAAGGATATGAAAGCATTTAAAGACTCTTATAGCACTGGAGAGTTCATGGAGCTTAAGTTAAGGCAGTAATAGGGGAGGTGGAGAGTACTGGAAGTGTGCAAAGCTCAAAATATGCACTATGCTATGATGAATAGGGTCGCCCCATAATTCATGTACACCTAGAATCTGTGAATGTGACCTCATTTGAAAATAGGGTCTTTGCAGATATAATCAAGTTAAGATGAAGTCATGCTGGATTAAGATGAGTCCTAATCCAATGATTGATGTACTTATAAGAAGATAAAAATTTGAACACAGAGACACAGAGGAGATGGCCATGTGAAGATGGAGGCAGAGATTGGAGTGCTGTATCTACAAGCCGAGGAACACCAAGGATCTGCAGCCACCACAGGAAGCTAAGAAGAGGCAAGAAGAATTCGCTAGAACCTTCAGAAAGATCATGGCCCTGCCAACACCTTGACTTTGTCTGCTGTTTTAAGCCACTCAGTTTGTGGTAATTTGCTGGCAGCCCTAAGACATTATATATAATATGCATACACTTGCAATTTGCCATTGTGAATATCTACAGGTGCCACCTGCACCCCACCTTTGCCCTAGTAAGTAAGCCTTTGTAACCAAGGAAACAGCTCTAGTGCTTGGCCTTAAAAAGCTACCATGAAGATCTCTCTGCAAAAGAAAAAGAACAAAGATGAATTGTTTCTCTGGAACTGCCTGCTCCTTGGATGATGCTTGTCAATCTTCATGCCCTAGTTCCCTGCTTGCATAGAATGCCAACCAAGGCTGTGGTGCTTGCAGCCGATGCCAGCTTTCTCTGTCACCTGAGGTCTAATCAACAGCTGGTGTCCTCCCTTCTGCCACTTACTGCAAACCATTGGTGGGGAAATTCCATCACAGGTTCAAACTGACTGAGAAATAACTGGCCAGGAATTATTTTTATTTGCAGCCGAGGTGTGTGCTTCTATACAAATTACCAGTAAGGAGAAACTAGCCAGAACATCTTTGATCACCTTCCCAGCAGGACACCTTTATTGCATGTTAGAGATCAAAGATCAGAACTGCTGTCAACACTCAGCACTGACAGAAGGGAACCCCCAACTCATCCCCTAAACCCACAACTGGGCTTGTACCTTCCTCTGATGTGGTAAGGGGAAGTGCAACTTCCCTACATCTTCTGTCATGAGAACCAATTTTTCCCCAACTATTTCTGGCTTCTTGCCACTTACCCTCCCCATAGAGGTGGAATGGATTTCCCAGTCCATGTACAACAGTCATTGGTCCATATTTCTCAATAGGGAGGAGACAATTCATCAAAGGTGGTGAGTGAGGGTCACTGGTCCCTTTGTCTTTCCTTCTCCACCCAGACCTGTAGGCAGCAGTGACTTGAGAAAGTGTGGACTGCTCTGCAGAACAAAATTTACCTTGTGAAGACAAGACTGTGGATGGGAAATACGCAAGCCGTTTGGGCTCTGTGCTGCAGCCTCCACTGATCGTCAATAATAAAGGTGGCATTTGGTCTCCATATCTTAGTCAATCAGTTCAGAACCTGAGTGATAAAAAGGAGTGCTCTTTCTTGGGCCCCTCAATGATCCTGAGATACAATCGATTCTCTTTCTTCATGATAGTTATGTTCTATAAAGTTGTTGCAAACACTGAATTTGCAAACCCTGAACCATCACCCCCAAGGGAAATGTGTGTTTGTGTGCTGTGTGTATACACACAATACGCATACACATATATCTATATCTATAGGTAGGTATACACACAATACACACACACACATATATCTATACCTATAGGTAGGTATACACACAATACACACACCCATATATCTATATCTATAGGTAGGTATACACACACACATCTCTCTCATAGATTATAACCTTAGTTCCTAAAAACAACTCATCCTGGTAGATTCTATTTTGTTTATTTTACAAAAGAGAACTGAGATGCAGAAGTGTTAAGTGACTTGTTTGAGGCTGCCCCACTATCAAGGGCAAGAGTGAGGACTCAAACCTGATGCAACTGGCCAAGCATTGGAGCTTCTGGCGCCATGTGGCACAGCCCTCTGCATCTCCACATTCTGCTTGTGTCTGTATGAGAGCTGAAACAAGGAGGCAAAGCATTGCCTTGTTCAACCTCAGCTAGGAATGTGCACATTCGGAAACTTAAAATTTTTGCCATTCTGCTCATGTCTGCAAATGACCACAAAAACACATGAGTATTGATTTGGGAATTACAAAATCAATTTCAGCAAGTAGGAAAATTCACAAATACGGAATCCATGAATAATGAGAGTTGACTGTGCATTGTATTGCTGCTCCTCATTATTCACTGTCCTCGCAATTGGAGGATTCTACATCTGTCCACTGCTATGTGACTTGCAGTTCCTCCCTGGGGGAAGAAGGATACTTCTCTGTCCATTGTCATCAGGCCTGGCCATGTGACTTGTTAGACCAGTAAAATGCAAGTAGCAGTGACATACGCCAATCCTAGGAGAACCTCTAAGAATCATCTCATGGTTTTATGCACTTTCTTGTTCTTTTTCCCCTGCCACGAGAACAGCAAGTTCCAGATGGGGCTGCTCCTTCAGCCCGGATCCTAGAATGATGATGCATAGATCGCAGTTGTCATGTAATATAACTGAGAAATATACCTTTGGGCTCATAAGCTATTGAGATTTTGAGGTTTGAACAGCAGCATAACCAAACAGAAGATATACACCCCAGCTGTGATAAATACACACTCTTGCTGTAACCTGTATCCTGCGGGTTAGATAATAAATCCTCTTTTGTTTTAGTAGTGGTTGGTTAGAACTTTACTTTTTGCTTTCTACAAACCAATAAAAAGGAAAATTCAACCAATATGGTCTCAAAGACAAATAATGGGTCAAAAACAAAAAGCAGAAATTCATCCCACAGTAGCCTGGTGTGCCAGTCCAAAAGACAGGGAAATTGTGAATCATTACCAATGAAGTATAAAGGGAGACAGTGCAGAGAAGGCTGGGAGAGCCTTCAGCCAGTGATGCTTGTCTCACATCTGTGAAAGAAGAGAGCAAAGGAAAGACTGGGGAGGAAGAGGCTCAGGCAGCAGTTCAGAGAAAGTTTCAACCACATGGATGGGGAGTCCCAGAGCCAAATGAAAGCCAATGAGAGCCAAAGCTGCTCATTGGGGTATCCCAAATTGAGCAGGATCCCCTACCAAGCTGTCATGGGCTGGGAGCAACCTGCAGAAAACACACCCTCAGCTCATGGGGCTGCCACTGGGGCTGTTGACCCACTATGCTCCCTACGGCACATTCTCTTGAAGGAAATCTGAGCAGTGCATCTCAATGGGCCTCACACCTGGGAAGAGTTAGAAGAGGAGGCTTGTGCTTTAAAATAAAGACTTGTCGGTGGGGCCCAAATTGATATGAAAAATGGGTCAGATAGAGGTAGAAGGTGGGATGCAACTCTGGAGGGGGGTACTCAAACTTCGGACCAGACTGAAGACTAGCTGAAACGGGGAAAATGTGAAAGCCCCTCTCCATAAGACACGCCCATCAGTGCCATGTCAGTTTACCAATGCCATGGCAACACCCAGAAGTTATCACCCTTTTTCTAGAAATTTCTGCATAATCTGCCCCTTAATTTGCTTGTTACTAAAAGTGGTTATGACTACAGAAATGCCCCTGAGCTGCTCCTCTTGACACACTGCCTGTGGGGTAGCCCTGCCCATGGGGTAGCCCTGCTTGCAGGAGCAGGCACAGAGCTATAATTCCATTGCCTCGACAAAACTGTTTTCTTCTACCACTGACTCACTCTTGAATTCTTTCCCGAGTGAAGCCAAGAGCCTTCCTGGGCTAAGCCCCAGTTTTGGGGCTTGCCTGCCCTGCAACAAGATAAGGAATATATTAGAGATAAAATCCAAATGACATGTCTCCCACGGCCCTTTACTTGCTATCTCTAACACATGAAATAGACTCAACACCTAGAATACATTTCTATGTCTACAAAGCACTTGAGAATCATGTCATCCTATTACCCATACTAGCAAAAATGAAGAGGCAGTTGCTCCTTCCAAGAGGAGAAAGAGTCAGGTTTAGCCACTCATTCAAATTACGCAGCAAGTCCAGGCAGAAGCAGAACTTAGATGATGATCCTGTAACCCCTAGACAGCCTCTACTTTCTTCCCAGAAGACTTGTGCAGATTCTCCAACCAAAGAAGCATGAACTTGACCGTTCCTGCCGACGCTCATGCTTCTCCTCCTGACTTGGAGGATGTATCCATATAGAATCCATACAGGGTCACAGTAGCTACTCCCAGCTTCTCATTTCACATAGAAAACAAATGCCACCCAGACTCAGAGAAGATGATGCCCAGGACCACACCATCAAACGGAGACAAGACCCCAGAAACTCCAAGTCTATCCAGGATTACAGAGAGGAAGCTGAGGCCTGGATTACAAAACTCTGCATGTGCTATGGTGTTCATTCATTCACCTGACACATGCTTATTGAGCATCTACTACGATTAATGCCTTAGGCCCTGGGAATATGGGTAAAGACAGTCACTGGAGACCCTGCCTTCCTAGAACTTACCTTTTCAAAGTCTTCCCAGGTGTGGCTCAGAAGCGCAGCTCCAGGATCCCCTGGTTTGGTTCTAAATCTACTGATGTGAAAGCACAGTCTTTCCCTGCTGTGTGTGAGCTTGTGATTTTTTTCCTACGTCAGTGAGGTCAATTACACTCCCGCAGTTTTGCAGCAAAGCTTTTTGAGACTCTCCAGTCACTGCTCTTATTAATTACTGTATCAGCTGTTTTACATACCTTAATTATTTCCCCATGGCACAGACAATGGCCTTTTTTGAGATTTTTTTCCTTGCTTTTTCTGGTAAAAATAGAAAATATGAATATGTATGTACTTTTTAAGGTTTTTCAGAATTTAAACACGACATGAGCGCCACCTGCTGGTTAAAATGAGACATATCTGCACTGATTCCTGTGATCTCAACTTTAAATATCCTACTATTATTACGTTGGTGCAAAAGTAATTGCGGTATTCCCATTACTGTCATTTATTTTTAAATAATATTTTAGGATACCATTTAAGCACCTACTGTATTCCTCTGCCAAGTTCCTTAATCCTCACAGTATAATTAATAACTCTAAAATATCATAAATATCATAGCTGATACTTGGTAAGAACTTATTTTATACATTATCTCATAAAATCTTCACAACAACCCTGTTTTTAAAGTGATGTTTCTAACTGAATTTCAAAGATTTGGAAATGGACACAGAGAGAGGAAGTGACTTGCCCAGGAAGTGGGTGGCACAGCCAAGATTTGAATTCCCGTGGGTCTACCTTCTATTCTGCTCTGGTATTATATAATAAGCTCAGCAAAATAAGGTACAGGGGTATTGAAAGTTCACAGGGCCCTTCCTCTATTCTTCCTGTATTAACTTTTGCACCTTCCACACCTCCCCCTTCTTCACTGGGGAGAGGAACTACTCGACTCCTGGCTACAGGCAGCCACCCTCTTCTGACTCCCTAGTACTGGCTGGTCCTGCCATTAGCTTTTCCTGCAACTCCAAAAATAGTAGGCATCACATTGCTAATCCTTCTTGGTGTCTCCCAAACAGCGTTTTGTACGCATCATTGATAATTCATTGATGTCGAAGGAGTGATTAAGAACAGAGGAATCCCAAGACCAGAGCCATTCAGAGTCAGGCAGGTAGGGTTGGGCACTCCACCCTTTAGAGAAAGTTATTAAGCCTCTTTAAACTTCAGTTTTTGACTGGGCACGGTGACTCACACTTCTAATCCTAGCACTTTGGGAGGCCAAGGCAGGTGGATTATCTAAGGTCAGGAGTTCAAGACCAGCCTGGCCAACATGACGAAACTCTGTCTCTACTAAAAATACAAAAATTAACTGGGTGTGGTGGCATGTGCCTGTAATCCCAGCTACTCGGGAGGCTGAGGCAGGAGAATCACTTGAACCCAGGAGGTGGACGCTGCAGTGAGCTAAGATCATGCCACTGCACTCCAGCCTGGGTGACAGAGTGAGACTCTGTCTTAAAAAATAACAATAATAATAAATAAATAATAAATTTCAGATGTCTCATCTCTAAAATGAGGATAATAATCCCAAGCTCTATACTATAGTTTGGATGTCTGTCCCACCAAACCTCATGCTAAAATTTGATCCCCAATGTTGAAGATGTGGCCTAAGGAGAGGTGTTTGGGTCATGAGAGCAGATGCCTCATGAATAGATTAATGCCCTCCCTCGAGGATGAGTGAGTTCTCATTCCTGCAGTGGCTAGTTGTTAAAAAGAGCCGGGCACCTCCCTTCCCCCCATCACTTCCTCTGTCACCATGTGATCTCTGCATACACAGACTCCTATTCACCTCCCACCATAAGGGGAAGCAGCCTGAGGCCCTCACAAGATGCCCAATCTTGAACCTTCCAGCCAGCAGAATCATGAGCTACATAAACCTCTTTTCTTTATATGTTACCCAGCCTCAGGTATGTCTTGGTAGTAACACTAAATGCACTGAGACACTCTGAAATGTTCAGTGATGATTAAAGGGGAATCACACGGGAAAGTGCTGCATTCAGTATTCCCTTTGCGTTTGCCAAGGAAAGACCTTCAACAGTATGGCTTTATGAACCATAAGTTTCTCCATAAACCCTGAAGCTAATGGAAACCAGAGATGTAAACACTTACTGTAACATGCTATAGGAATATACACTGCTATCATTATTAGACAAAAAGAATTGAGATTCCACAATGATTTTTCAATTTCACTATTTATTGAGTAGTCTTGCGATCCAGGCAACCTGCTGGGGGCAGTGGAGGGCAGGATATTCAGCATGCACCACGGCCTTGTGTCTGAGTCACTTACTACCCAGCAGAAAGACTGTACTCCTTTCATTTCTCTCAAGCTGACACAACTGGGACCGATGGGTAGTTGGAAAGAAACCAATTTCAGCTCAGTGTGAGAAGTAGCACAGTATAGCAGTGAGGGTGCAGCATCAAAACACCTCTCTGTTCTTCTGACTCTGCTTTTACCCTGTGTGTCCTTAAACAAGCTACTAACCCTGTCTTCCATATGAGTATCAGCCCAGATAACGAATATAAAAAAGGACTTGTAAAGTGCTAAGCAAATATTGTAGCAAAGACTGCTATTATTCTTCAATTTCATATTCCCCTTCCTCCACAGCTAGAAACATGGCTGTTCAGAATAAAGACTACATTTCCCAGACTTTCTTGCAGATCAGGAGTGGTCATATGACTTAAGTTCTGCCAATGGGATGTAAACAGAGTATCATGTGGAAGATTCCCTTTGCTTCTGGGAAACTTTTTGACAGACAGCTGGCCCACTCATTGGGCCCCCTTCTTCCCACCTTCCTCCATCTGTGTTTGGAAAGTGAATGTCACTCCTGAAGCTCTATCTTGGGTCATGAGTACAGTGGCTAAGCCCTGGGCAGAGTGGAGTAGAAGGTCTAATGGTGCAGGTCCCTGAGAACTTTGTGGAGCAGAACCTTCATGGCAGGATTAGATTAACTGTGGATATTTACATGAGAGATAAATAAATAGCTATTTAAGCCACTGTCATTTTGAGTTTTCTATCACTCACAACTGGACCTAATTCTAACCCACATAAATATGGTTTGCTATCATTACTAATGGCATGCCAAAATGCCCTTTCTAACAAGGGATATTATTCAATAGAATGGGATGGACAACATCAACTCCCAGTGAAAACAACATTATAGGAGAGACTGTGCAAGCTTCCTTTAAGGTTATTACAGAACAGAATCTTCCCTCAGCTGGAATCCAAGGACCAGCAACCCAGTGGGCATGAAACCTATGTGCAGAGTAGGATCCATGACAGAAGTCAAGCCATATCATGAATAATTCATGGAAAATATATTCCCAAAGCACCTACTATGTGCCAGATGCTCAGGCTGCGTGAGAGCTGAGATACGGTCCTGCTCTCAAGTGGCTTACAGTCTGGTGGGAGACACATAATGGCAACACCATGGCATCCATGCACTAAAGAACACATTTCAGGTGCTATGGAAATGTGACAGTGGAAAGACACTGGCATTCTGGTAAGGAACCAAGCAGAAAATCAGGAAAGATTTCTTAGAGGAGCATTTAAGCTTGGTCTTGACCAGACACGGTGGCTAACGCCTGTAATCTCAGCATTTTGGGAGGCTAAGCAGGTGGATCACCTGAGGTCAGGAGGTCAGGAGTTCGAGACCAGCCTGACCAACATGGTGAACCATGTCTACTAAACCAACCATCTCTACTAAAAAATACAAAAATTATCCAGGTGTGGTGGCATGTGCCCATGTGCCTGTAATCCCAGCTACTCAGGAGGCTGAGGCAGGAGAATTGCTTGAACCCAGGAAGCAGAGGTTGCAGTGAGCCAAGATCATGCCATTGCACTCCAGACTGGGCAACAAGAGTGAAACTCTGTGTCAAAAAAAAAAAATAAAGATGGAAAGACATTTAAGCTTGGTCTTAATGGAAAAATGGGAGTTATCCAGAAAGAGAAGAGAGGAGAAAACATCCCAGCCAGAGCACAGAGCGCAGAGGCAAGAAAATGTTGGTTGGAAACCCAGAGCAGATGCCACAGTGCCACAGACCACAGAGTAGCCCCGGAGGGAGTGGCCAGCCCAGGTGAACCCCATGAGCCTTCCCAGGTTTCACTTGCAGGGTGACTCAGAGGATGACGTGGAACTGCTGTGGGCTCCCCAGTGGTTTTTTTCACAGAAGCAGCTTCTGCATTTCAGGTCATTGCAGTGAGTAAGGACACAGACAGGCTTTATAGATAGAAAGTGAGACTATATCAAAGTGCTCAAAGCAGGAAGAGAGAGATGTGGGGCAAGGAAAAGAGAGGAGAGCAGCATTGATTCCATTTTCGGAGACAACACAAAAGGCAGGCCCGCTACCTCCTTGCCTGTTCTGCTCAGTGAAGAGAGAATCTCAACCCCCAGCTACGTGTCCCCAAAGGGTCAAATGGGATCATCACAGAGCCTCCCCGGGTGACTTGGCCTTGTCTTTTACACAGAACTGTAGCATCCCCTGCCACAGAGTATTTGGACAAGGCTTTGGGGCTTCTGAGAGCCATTCCCCACCATGCCCTGCCGTCCTGGGAGCATGCCTACCAGAAATCCAGGACACAATTCACGTCTTCTCGGACCTGCACACACTCAGCCGCTGGCCCGGCTGGAACTCAGCTGAGCCCCTATGTGGACGGTTCAAGAAAAACAATGCCTGACAGAATGAAACCTCACTTCCTCATGTGTAACCTGACATGAGGGCTTTCCCCACAACCCTTCATGGAAGCACAGGTTTCCACACTGCTTAGATGAGAAACAGAGGTTTGAAGTAATCATGCCAAAGCTCAGGCCAAGTCAGTGATGCTCTTGTCACTGTGTTGTGGCTGCTAGGAGGAGACGGTATCTGTTCCTGACCCAAAAAGTCCCATTTCACATTTCACAAGTCATATATGACTAAAGATGATCACTGTCAGCCCCCCAGCTCAAGGACAGGAGCATCTAAAATAAATCATCTACCAGACACTAACATAAATCATTTCATTTCAGCCTTACCATGACTACGATAAGGTCAGAATCATGACACCAATTGTACAGACATTGGGGGAGCTAAAAGTGATTTATCAAAGATCCAAGAACCAGTGACAGAAGATGGCATCCCAAAACCTATGCTCTTTCCACTACCATAGAGAGCACCATTGTGAACAATGCAGATTCCTGGGCTCCACCCCAGACCAGCTGGATCAGAATCTCTGAGGGTGGAACCCACCAATGTGCTCTTAAAAAGCCATTTCTGGCTGATCCCAGTGGCTCATGCCTGTTATCCCAGCACTTTGGGAGGCTGAGGCAGGAGGATCACTTGTGGCCAGGAGTTTGAGGTCCAGTGAGTCAGTGAGCTATTATTGCACCACGGCACTCCAGCCTGGGCAACAGGATAAGACCCTGTCTCTAAAAAAATAAAAATAAAAAAATAAAAAGTCATTTCTCTCCATGATTTGCGTAAGAAGAGTGATTTATGCCACATTTTTATGAAAGTGTAAGACGAGTGATTTATGCCACACAAAATTCCAGCAATACTAGGCAATGGCCCAAGATTTGTCACTAGAGCACGTGGCCTGGGAGGCTGATTCACAGAGTTAAGAACATGGTATCTGGAGCCGGGTTGCTTGGGTTTGAAACCTGGCTCTGCCACATACTAGCTACGTCACCTGGGGCAAGTCACGTATTCTCACTGGGCCTCAGTTTCTTCCTCTGAAAAATTGGTGTCAAAATAGTACATACCTGTATGGTTGTCTGGGAGATTGAATGAGTTAAGTTTGTAAAGAGCTTAGAACAGTGTCTGCCAGAGAATAAACACCCAAAATATTGTCATTACTGTTATATGATTAATTGTCCAAAATGACACAGGAAAGAGGAGAATTCTTGATACTGTCCCTGAAGGAGGAGGTCAAAGGGCAGAGTTTCAAAGTATTCGGCTGGATAAAGAGAAAAGAGATGAAATAACTAGCTCTTTCTTTAGTTTCTAGGCTGGTTCTTACGACACTGTTTATTCCTTGGGAAATGTCACCAGGAGCAAGTCACTGCAGTTGAGACGGGTCATGAATCGTTCTGCAGGGCTGAATCACAGCCGAAGCGTGGCCCAGGATGGTCAGGTGAGCCCTGTGACGGTTCCTGTTGCTTAAGCGCTGACTCCTTTCCCAAAAACTGAGCTGTGTTTGCTTTTGTTGGCCACCAGGGGGAAACAAATAGGACTTCCTCGACCTTACAAAGAATGAAAGGTCTGTTTTTGTTGTTGTTTTTTTTCCAACTTTTAAGTTCAGGGGTACAAGCACAGGTTTGTTACACAGGTAAACTTGTGTCATGGGGGTTTGTTGTACAGATTATTTCATCACCCAGGTATTAAGCCCAGTACCCATTAGTTATTTTTCCTGATCTTCTCCCAACTCCCACCCTTCAATATGCCCCAGAGTGCACTGTTCCCCTCTATGTGTCCATGTGTTCTCATCATTTAGCTCCCACTTATAAGTGAGAACATGCAGTATTTGGTTTCCTGTTCCTGCATTAGTTTCCTAAGGATAACAGCTTCCAGCTCCACCCATGGTCCCAGAAGTTCTTCTTAAACTCCTTGATAATTTGGACTATTTCCACTGCTTTGTTTTCACTCGTGTTATTTCTTCAAATGGCCCTACTTTCAACTTTTAGCTTGTTGTCAAGCTCCCAGCTGAATACTTCGTGGTAAAACTAACTCAAGCCAGATACTGTGCTGAGGGCCATGGGAGATAAGAAGAAACATAAGGCATTGTCCTTCCCTGGAGGGCAAGGGGGCATAAGCAATGCCTGCTGTGCACCAGACACTGTGCTGGGTGCCTAACATAAATTCTCTCATTTAATCCTTGCAACCACTACGATGCGGAAGGCCTTATATATTCATTGGTCAAGGCTTGGTTCCACAGGAATAATATTCAAGGCACTATTATTAAGCGCCAGGCACTGTACTGAGCCCCTTAGGAGGATTTTCTCATTAACGTCTCAGAATTACCCAATGAGCAGGTGCTACAATTATCTTCATTTTAAGCAGAAGAGACAGAGGCTTAAAGAAATTAAATAACTTACCCTCACCCAAGAACACAGAGGTAATAAGATAGATGGAATTCAGATATGAACCCACGGAGCCTGGTTATAGAACCAAAGCCCCCATCCTGGCCGCCTCACTGGTCCTGCCACAGAGCCTTTGACCCCTGCCCACAGAGCATTCTTTCTTCTCTGAATTCCAGTTGCATTTATAGCTTAGCTACTAGGGATTTGTATTTATTTCTTCTCTCTCACACGCAGGTAAATTTCACTCTCTGATCTTATTTCACTCGCCAGCCCCTTTCAGGAAAAGGACAAGTTCCTTGAAGACAGTGACCCTATCTTATTCTTCTTTCTATGTAGCTACCTTTCATCGAGCACCTACTGCGTCTGGCATTATAAAGGGCACTTTCATTGTTTAGACTTGTTCCCAGTGACACTGGGAAGTACATGTTATTATTCATATTTTATAGATGAAAGATTAAGGCTCAGATGTTAGGTGACTCTAGGCCAATGTCACCTAGCTTCCAGCTAGAAAATGCAGGACCCCTAAGCCTATGATCTCCCCATTGCCCTAAGCTACTGTGCTCCCCTCTGCTTTGCATAGAACTGCTCTGAGTGGAAGGAGGCCTCTGAACATGAACTTGAAGACATCCGCTGGAGTCCTTGGTCAGTGATTGACTAGTTATGAGACTTGAGCAGGTCACTTCACCTCCCTGAGACTCAAGTCAAACACATAATCTGTCAGTTCCTGCCCTGGTACAGTTCCCAGACTTGGGCCATCTGCTGTCCTCAGTCCTGCCCTGCTACCTCTTGGAAACCATGTTTGAATGTCACTCGTCTAAGACCTCCTTTAGGATAAGAACCTGGTCCTATTCAGCACAGAGCCCAGCACACAGTGAATACAATATATGCTCCATGAACAAATGAACCAAGAAACAAACCAGGAAACTGACACATGAAGTCCCCGATGCACTCTGGGGACTGGCTTGACCACTTCCCACCGGCATTCTGCCCTCAATTCCATCGTGCAAATTTAAACAATAAAAAAGCACTTTGTGAATTTTTAACAAGCTTGAAATATAGTAGATATCATGCTGCCTCTCTCTTTTCTGCTCTCACTCTTTTTTCTTCCCAACAATTAGCCCTGCCTATTTGAGGAGAATTCCACTAGTATTAGGGTATCCCACAGCACCTTCCCCTTTGGAAGCCTATGGAGAGTGATAATACTCGATCTCTCCCTTCAATCTAACACACTGGTGAGGGCCTGAGCGATGGTCTGTCCGGAACTCTGAGGCTGGCTCAAAGATGCAGGAAGGGTGTAGACATTTTTCACTGTAGGGATGATGTCTAGAGTCCAGCACCAGCTAGAGTCAGAGGTGTGATCCGCAGAGCCAGTGGAAGTATTCTAGCAGTACTTCTGATGCTGACTTTGAGGCTGGCCTCGACTTTGCCGCTGCCCGGCCACCCTGGATTTCTAGCTGGTGCTCCAGCCTGCTGCCAATTCTGTAAGCTACCCAGTACACTTCCAGTGAATTTGAAATGTAGGCAGAGTCCATTTCCGCAGCTTGCAAAGTGGCAAAAGCTAGCTAGATGCTTCCCAGCCTCATTTCCTCTTCTGCCCAGACACACAAGACCGCATTTCTTCTCCTTTCTTGCAGCCAGGGTAGTGTCATCCTGACCAATGGGGTGATCATAAGACACACTGAGCTATCACCATATTCTCTTCCCCTTTCATAGTGACTTTGGAGGCCACTTGGTTAAGAAGACAATGTCACAAAATGGAAAGAGCTAGATCCCCATATCACCACTTGGAGAAGAGACACCCTAAATGGGCACACGACTATCATTGAACCATGAAATAAATCTTTAATCATTAAGGCTGTGAGGTTCAATGGTATTTGTAAAAGGATCTAGAGTTCCTCGCTCCGACTAACAGACCACCAACAACCCTGACTAATTTAATCATCATTATCATTGGTGTTGCCATTATAAGCATGGCTATTCATATAGTAGATATTCAATAGGTCCTTTATTGCTAGAAAACAGGTCTTGAGTTCCTATGAGGCACCCACATTTTACTGAGTATTGGAGAGCCCAGTGTCTAAGGTGAGACAACTGAAAAAAGATACGGGTGTGATTTGTGTAACACCCAGCACATAGTAAGTGAGAATATTTTTATTATTAGGATGCAGTAGAACACAGTGGTAAAGAATATGGGCCAGGCACGGTGGCTCACGCCTGTAATCCCAGCACTTTGGGAGGACAAGGTGGGCAGATGATCCGAGGTCAGGAGTTCGAGACCAGCCTGGCCAACATAGTGAAACTCTGTCTCTACTAAAAATACAAAAATTAGCCGGGCATGGTAGCGGGTACCTGTAATCCCAACTACTCCAGAGGCTGAGGCAGGAGAATCACTTGAACCTGGGAGGTTACAGTGAGCCGAGATCACACCATGCTTTAAATTCCAGCACTAAGAGTTAGCGCAGTTCTCCAAATGCAAGCTCACTGCCCTGACTTGGGCCCCCTTTCAGCTTGTCTGGGGATGCGCTAACTCTGAATGCCTGGCCTCAGAGGGCTGGTACAATGGAAAGTGCTCGGCTGATGAACGCTACATGCCCAGGTCTGACTCTTGGCCCCACCACTTGCCAAGTCACTTACCCTCTTTCACCTTCAGTTTCCTTGTCTGTAAAATGGGCCTAAGCACACCTTCCTCAATGTGAGGATTAGGATAAGGCCTGTGTCTAGCAATCTAAAGAGTAGCTCTCTGTCCCTTCTCTTCTGCCTTTCCCTGACATGAGGCCAAAAGAGTGATAACCCAGTGGAACACCCAACCAATCAGCAGTTGTCGTTGTTGTTGTTTGTCTTATGCCCAGATAGGGATTGGGGGTTGGGAAACAGGTGTGTCACAGCTTCATGATATGGAAATGCCCTGAGGCCTTTGTTTATAAATACAGATCCTTGGACTGCACCCACAGAGAGCCCATAGATCTGGATTTTTAACCAGCTTCTAGAGAATAGTGGCCCCGGTGGTCACCAGGCCACCCGCTAGGGCGCACTGCCCTTCAGTCATTGATTCCAACATCACAATATCCACCATATCTTCAAACCATCTCATTATTTTTAACTCAGATTTTATACATCATTTTTATTCCAATCAACATGCTTTTGTAACTTTAAATAATCTGTTTTTAAATATCCTTTATACCAGTACCACAAATGCAAATATATTGAAAGGAAATATGACAGGCTGTTTAACAGGAACATGGGCCCTGGAGCCAAAATTGTCTGATAGAAACCCCATCTCCACTGTTTGCCAGCTATGTAAATTTAGACAGTTTGTAAGACTCCTTAAAGTTTCTGTGTGTCAACATCCCCATGTGTACAAAGGGGATAATAAGAATATCTAAAGATAAGGCTGTTGTGATGATTAAATGCTTTGCTGTAAAGCACTTACAACAGTACCCAGGACAAAGTAAGCCCTCAGTAAATGTGAGATATTCTTTTTTTTTTTTTTTGAGATGGAGTCTCATTCTGTCACCCACGCTGGAGAGCAGTGGCGCGATCTCGGCTCACTGCAACCTCCACCTACTGAGTTCAAGCAATTCTCCTGCCTCAGCCTCCCAAATAGCTGGGACTGCAGGTGTGCACCACCATGCCCAGCTAATTGTTGTATTTTTAGTAGAGATAGTGTTTCACCGTGTTGGCCAGGATGGTCTCGATCTCTTGACCTCATGATCCATCTGCCTCGGCCTCCCAAAGTGCTGGGATTACAGGCGTGAGCCACCACACCCAGCCCAAATGTCAGTTATTCTTGTTGTGACAAATAATTAAATAAATAAATAAATAAATAGTATCACTTGCTACAGATAGAAAATAACCACCAAAAAATGCATAACTGTGAAAAGTTATTAAAAGTTCATCCACGCACCATCAAAGGCATCTGTGTGTCATCAGTAGTATACATTCCACACTCAGGCAAACACTGTTGCAGAAAGTGCCAAGAAACTCTACCAAGTGGTGCTGTCACCGGGCAAACTAACTTGGGAGTTACTCTGGTGTTGCTTTAGACTTAATTCTGAGGTTTCCATTAACCTGAGAGCTGCATGTGTCCAGGGAAAATTCCCTTTGGAATCCACTGTTTTGGTTCATCCAAAAGCAGCTGGAAAACATCTGTGCCCAGGGATTAGGAACTGATTCCTCCTCTGTGGGAAAGAAAGCAGTCTCTCAAAGCGAGCTGCTCAGCAACAGGCTCATTAGCACTTTGTACTTCTTGAGGTTTGTTTATCTACAGATCTCAACATGCCTCAAAACATTCATTAATGCTCACAACACCCGGTCAGCCCAGAATCACAGTCCCCATTCTGCAGATGGGAAAATTGATAGAAAGGGCTATTAAGTGACTGCACTCTTAAGTGACTGAGCCATTAAGGCACTGTTGAGCAAAAGAAGAGTTGTGGCAAGAAGAAAAGTGATGACTCCTGAGGATCCGGGCCTGCAGTACCACCCCACTAATCAAGCATTCGCCCTGGGATGGAGACACGCAGATGGCAGGAGGCCACACGGTTCCCTTTATTGTTCCCATGACAGTGTGGGAACAGGATGGCATCTTTGGAGAGAATTCCAGAAGTGCCAGGCACTGGGCATTTCATACATTTTTACTGGATGAATATGTGGAGGGAATTTTCACGAAGGAGTCCAATTTCTCCTTCCCATCCAATTTCCCACAAGAGGAGTGAAGATAATTCCAGCAGGACCTAGAGCTAAGCCAGATTTGGTTGGGAAATTTATAGCCCAGAATAACAAACAGGTGCGTAGATAGTGTCAGGAAAGGAGGCCAAGAACATGAAGGCATCGCATCCAGGGAGTAAGATGAAGAATAGAACCAGAAAGCAGGACCATAGCTTGAAGCTATGGAAGAGGTTTAAAACAAGTTGTGAAGATGAGATGTATAAAGAATCTTCGAAATGTTCATTTCTTTTAACTCAAAAAAAAAAAAGTTAAGGAATCTCTTCAAAGCAAATATTAGGAAAATTATATAAAGGTTCCTATACAGTTGTATAAAAATATCTGTAAATATATTGTTTTAAAAGTGTAATCCAGGGCCAGGCGCAGTGGCTCACGCCTGTAATCCCAGCACTTTGGGAGGCTGAGGTGGACAGATCACAAGGTCAGGAGTTTGAGACCAGCCTGGCCAACATAGTGAAACCCTGTCTCTACTAAAAATACAAAAATTAGCTAGGCATGGTGGCACACACCTGTAATCCCAGCTACTCAGGAGACTGAGGCAGGAGACTCGCTTGAACCCAGGAGGCGGAGGTTGTGGTGAGCCGAAATGGTGCCACTGCACTCCAGCCTGGGCAACAGAGCAAGACTCCATCTCAACAACAACAACAAAAAAAGTGTAATCTATACTAACAAAAATTAGAAATAGGCCGGCTACAGTGACTCATGCCTATAATTGAGGATTTTGGGAGGCAAAGGCAGAAGGATCACTTGAGCCCAGGAGTTTGAGACCAGCCTGGACAATAAAGTAAGAATTTGTCTCTACCGAAAAATGCAAAAAAAAAAAAAAAAAAAAAAAAAAAAAATATATATATATATATATATATATATATATATATATATATAAAATCTAAATATTCAGAATTAGGGATCGATTTAAAGAGGTTATGTTACGCCAATACTACAAAACCATTAAAAATATTTTTAAGAAAATTTAATTATATAAACAAGATCATAATAAACAAGTGAAACTTCAGGATACAAAATAATTAACGCAATCATAAAGATACCAGTATTTTATACTTAAAGAAAAACTGGAAGAACATAGCATTAAAGTATGTAAATAATTTGGTTGGTGGAATTGTGTGCTTTAAATGCATATATATGTATTTACTAAAATGTCAACAATAAGCATGTATTATTGTAATTTAAAATATTAATTGTTTAAACTTTTACTGTGAATATTATTGAGACTTTACCTACGGACTTGTTCTACCCAAGTGAAGGCTATGAGGTTCTAAAACAGATCCACAGACTTAAAGAGGCAGATTGTACCTGTTGTCTGGCTACTCCATGGTGTCCGAGTAGCCAAGGTGCTCCCAGCCCTCTACATTAATGAAAGGCATCACAGAGCATGAGAATGAAACCTGGAATCAGAGTCAAGAGAACTCCCTGGTAGTCCCAGGTAACTCCCTTATCCACTCCATAGCCTTGAGCAAGGCACTTCATTTCAGATTCCTCATCTAAAATGGAAATAGCAATGCAAGTACTGACAACTTCCCAGTGGCATAGTATGTAGAAAGCATGTTCAAGTGGGAGTTGCATCCCCATAGGGATGAAAAAAACAGCATCCTAGACCTTGTCCCAAAGAACAACTTCAGAGCTCATCCTTGGTCAGGTCTGCCCATCCATGTGCATTCTCTCCCTCTATCGGCCACCCAGTGAGAATGGATGTCCACAATTGTGACCTTGGAGTCATGTCTAGCTCCCAGAGGACTTTCAGACTCATCTAAGAAAGACTAAATCAGGAATGGGATTCTTAAAAAGGTATAGGCCAGGCGCAGTGGCTCACACCTGTAATCCCAGCTACTTAGGAGTCTGAGGCAGGAGAATTGCTTGAACCCGGGAGGCGGAGGTTGCAGTGAGCCGAGATCGTGCCACTGCACTCCAGCCTGAGTGACAGAGCCAGACCCCATCAAAAAAAAAAGAAAAAGAAAAAGAAAAAACAAACAAAAAAGCGCGTATAAGCATCCGTGTTCATCATGGTTTCTTAGTGAGTAGGGATGTTTTAATTAGCTGAAACATCCCATTTCCTGACTCAACTAGATTAATATGTGCTATAGGCTGAAAGAGTCCCCAAAGTCCATGTGTTGAAAAATTAATTCTTAATGCACCAGTGTTGAGAGGTAGGATCTTTAGGAGATGGTTAAGTCATGAAGGCTCTGCCCTCATGAATGAATTAATGCTGTTATGTCTCCCAGAAGTGGGTTCTTGATAAAGGAATGACTTTGGTCCCCTTCTTTCTCTCTCTCTCTCTCTCACACACACACACACACACACACACACGCACGCACACACACACATACGCTCTCTTACCCTCCTGCCATGGGATGACACAGCAAAAAGGCCCTCACCACATGTGAACCCCTCGACCTTGGACTTCCCCACCTCCAAAACTGTAAGAAATAAATCTCTGTTATTTATAAATTACTCAGTCTTAGGTATTCTCCTATAGCAACTCAAAATGGACTAGGACAATATGAAAGAACCACTGGTAACAAGTAGTGGAGCATACTGGTTGCTTTAAAGAGCATTACTCATATTCAACTGTTAGCACACATCTGTGCAGTACCAGGAGCTTCATCTTCCAGTGAGTCCTTCCTCAGAGAAGTCCCACTGGCTTGCACTTTTTGTATTGCATGATTTCTTGTAATAAAATGGCCAATACATTTCTGACTACATAGAATACACACTGATGCATAAGTGTTGCCTGATAGTCTGCATGTATCTATGTCCCTAAGCTAATAGTTTCTTTAAAAATTAATGGTGGAACACTAGCTACAAAGAATGATAATTACAAGAAAAAGATGGTCCTCAAATCATTTTGGGAAATGAACTTCACAAGGCAATATACAATAAAAGGTCACTGTGATGACCATGGAAGCTTTTTTCATTACCCAGGATCTGGGAACACATTTTGGTCAACATTGCTTTGAGGTCCTGTGATGTCTAATGGCACCCAGCTAGCTTTGTCTTCAGAAAGCTCTCCTCCAATTTGTAACTACCTAGTAAATATTCTTCAAGACAAAGTCTTCACAAAATACTCCAAATTAAGCATAGATGTGGTCAAGCCCTGGAGAATGCCCAGGGAATTCCTGTATCCACCTTTGTCCCCAGGGACCCATGATTCTGTGGCATCTTCAGTAATTAATTCACTGACAACCCACCACCACCAGCAGCACTACACATGCACATAGTGGTAACTGCTCGTGGAAAAAAAATTCTTTTGAGTGGTATTTTCTTACCTTGTACAATTGTTTTGCTCACTGAAATGTATGTATTAGCAACTTCAGTCTCCACAGAAGCATCAAACCATGAAACAATCACTGGATAAAAAGTCAAGACCTCAGGGCCATGACTTTGGATAAATGGCTTAACTTCTCTGGCCTCAGATTCCTCATTTATAAAGGAGGAAGTTAGACTTCCTTAACTTTCCTTAACTTTCTTCAAACTTAGACGCTATCCATTTTCACTGAACAAGATATAACAAATCCTCAGAGCTGGGGTTAATAGAAAGGGGGCTTAAGCCATGTGCAGGGTATATGCCAGATGCTTCATATACGTGACTACAGGTAATGTTCTCAACATATCATGCCCATTTTACAGGTAGGAAAACTGAGGCTAAGAGCAATAATTTGCCCAAAGTTACAAAACTGAGAAGTGGCAGAATTGAAATAAGAACTCAGATCTGACAGCTACAGTATGCTGACATGCTAAAGACGTGAGGTGCAGGGCATGCCCGCAAGCCCTCTCTCTGTGATCCACATTGCAGCTACTGCTCTGCCTGTGCGCACACCATTCAGGCTGCTTTCTTTATCCACCTGTTTTAGGAGCTTCATAAGGCTCTCACACTTGGGGATGCCTCATCTCAGTGAGATGAAAATATTAGAACACTAAGAGAAAGACACCAGTCAGAAATTTCACATACCCTTTGTCTCCCTCTAGAATGCATAATGTATCCCACACTGATTTCAGACCTCTTGCTAAAGAAAGAAATCTTCAATGTCTTCAGTACCTGGTTCCTAAGCCCCAGAGATTCCCTGGTTCTTGGGTCACCCCAGGGATGGGAGTATGGTTAGCTGACAACCTACATAGTAAGACGTACAAGAATTATTGGGCATGCTTAGCAAAGATGCATGGTGGGGTTAAGGAGACAGAGGAAACAGATAACACTATTCTGCAGTAAACATCGTGGGCCCATGGAAAATTCAATCGCAATTTTATTTTGTCTCACTTGGAAAACAACGGAACACTTTTCCTTGATTCTACTACTGATGGAAACATTCATGGCAAAAAGGGCAAGCAGGTGGGCTTCCTAAAGAGAAGTGCCTTCAGCAAGGATGCCCTGTCTGGTGTTTGTTGACCTCTGTGCAAATGCAGAACCCATCTTCAGGAAATGGGGCTATAGACTTGACATACCTGGTTTAAGAACAGTGGCCATGACCTTTCATCTCATCTGGGATCCCACAGGAAGGAAAAAACCATTCCAGGGCATTCCAGGGCATTGCCAGAGACCACAGGCTCCACCTAGTAGCGGATGTTTCCATGGATCTAAAAAGGATAAACATCTCTTCTTTTTTGGTTCATCATTTGGCCAAGAAGGGAAACCAGTGGCCCTCCAAAATGCCCTAAACCAACATGGACTCAACCAGTGGTCCCAAATTTCACTAAACAGTTAGTTTAAGACAATTACTTGTTACTGTATCTCTGACTTAGAGATTTATTTTCCCACTGTTTTGTGGACTCACAATGTTTTTGAAGGATATCGGGTTGTGTTATGAGTCGGTCTATTTGTACTCTAGAATTGCTCACTCCACCTCTGAGCTCACTGTTTAAAGCTGTGTTTACACTTAGTCAATCTCTGGCCCCAGTTCTGGAGCCCAGGAAGACAGAGACACACCCAAGCTATGGCTGCGAGGCTGTCCTTGGGCTCCTGATTCTTAACTCCACTTCTAAGAGCATGTTTTCTTCTGAGTGGGGCATCCAACACCGAAAGGGGATGGAAAAGGGAAATATGACCTTTTAAATTCTCATTGCAAAAGCCTGAGTCCCTGATTGTTTTATAATTATTGTTGCTGCTGCTGCTGCTGGTGGTGGTGGTATTATTGTGAATATTTTGCAAGACAAGGTTTCACAAAGTAAAGTGTCTATATTCAAAGAAAGCTACCAGAGACTTCAACCAGGCCCTTGAGCACCCATGAATTCAGATCCACTGATGGGTGCAACACCTCTGAATTGGTGTAACATATATATATGTACCATGGTGACCCCCTCACCCCTCAAATCAACTTTAGACTTGTGGTCTTCAGTTACCTCACCAGTAGAAGGATATCCCAGCCCCTCTTAATAAATCAAACCCATATCCTTTAAGGTGAGCCAGGAAAGGATGTCAGTCTCTGAGAGCTCAAGTTAGGGCTTAAAAAAACCAGCACCGGCTGGGCGCTGTGGCTCACGCCTGTAATCCCAGCACTTTGGGAGGCTGGGATGGGCAGATCACGAGGTCAGGAGATCGAGACGATCCTGGCTAACGTGGTGAAACCCCATCTCTACTAAAAATACAAAAAAATTAGCTGGGCGTGGTGGCAGGCGCCTGTAGTCCCAGCTACTCTGGAGGCTGAGGCAGGAGAATGGCGTGAAACTGGGAGGCAGAGCTTGCAGTGAACCAAGATCGCACCACTGCACTCCAGCCTGGGCAACAGAGCAAGACTCCATCTCAAAAAAAAAAAAAAAAAAAAAAAAAACAGCACCTCCACCACCATGAAGATTCCCCTCTCATTGCCCACGCTGAGGGTCCTGGGTTCAACTTTTTTAAAGGATTTGGAGACTTTTCAAGTGAATCCTAGCTTGCCTCTCCTTTGCCTTTTCTATCCTAGCCCACCTCTTCCCCAGGCCCCTAAATAGATCCCTGGAGTAGGCAAGGGGGATTACTGAGAATGAGAGATTATTAGAGCCCTGGAGGACTTTAGAAACAAGTTGATCCCAAAAAAAGGAGCCTTGGGGCCAGGCACAGCGGGGTTTGAGTCCCAGTTCTAAAGCTCACCAGCTGCATGATGAGGGTGAACATGGCCTTCTAGCCTCAGTTTCCTTGTTAGTAATGTGAGGGTACTAACACATACCTACAGGATTAGTAAACATAAAACCTGCATGTAAATCATGAGCATCCTGCATGTGACATTCTTTGATTATTTGGTAAGTGATAAGAACTAACAATTCTTGGGTGCTGACTATGTGCTGGGCAAGATTCTAAAAGCTTCATATATATTCACTCATTTCATTCCCACAGACTCATAGTACAAGTGATCTATTATCCACACTTTTACAGATAAAGAAACTGATCCACAGAGAAGTTAAAAAGTGTCCAAGGTCAGGAAGGTAATAAATATTGGACCTGGGATTTGAACTTAAGTGGCCTGGCTCTAGCATACACTCTTAAGTGCCACACTTTATGGCTTCTGCACATATTTAGTAAATATCTACCATGTGTTAGGCATGGCAGTTACAAAGACTAAGACCTAGTGCCTTCTCTCAGGGACCTAAAAGTTTCATAGAAAAGACAGGCATGTCATCATTAACAGCAATACACAATAAGGGGTATAGGAGAATAAATATGATGTGTTATGGGATCACATAAGAGACGCCTTTGGGAGGCTGAGGCGGGTGGATCACGAGGTCAAGAGATCGAGACCATTCTGGCCAACATGGTGAAAACTTATCTCTACTAAAAATACAAAAATTAGCTGGGCGTGGTGGCAGGTGCCTGTAGTCCCAGCTACTCAGGAAGCTGAGGCAGGAGAATCGCTTTAACCCGGGAGGCAGAGGTTGCAGTGAGCCAAGACCACACCACTGCACTGCATCCTGGGCAACGGAGCAAGACTCCATCTCAAACAAAAAAGAAAAAAAAGAGAGAGAGAGATGCCTAACCCAAACAGGATGGGTCAGGGAATGCTTCCTGGAGAAAGGGGCACCTGAACAAGAAGAACAGAAGGAACTGAGTATGCAAAGAGAGATGATGTGGTACCTTCAGGAAACTTCAGAGACTCAGCATGGCCAGAGCATAAAGGCAACTTGGGAACAAGAAGAATGACTCTAAAGAGGCAGGAGGGTTGCATGGGTCTGTTGCAGAAGCCTCGAGTGCCAGGCAGGTCTAAGCAGCCTGGATTTCCTCTGAGGCAGTGAGGAGTCCTGGAGAAATGCAAAGCAAGGGAGGAATATGGTAGGATTTAGGAGTTGGGTATAATAAGGAGAAAGAATATGAAGGATTGAGACTGGAAGCAAAGAGATCAGAGAGGAGGCTATTGTGGCAATCCAGAAATCAGTGATGGGGACCCGGACCACAAGAGTAGCCATGGGGAAGAGGGAAAGAAGATGATTTAAAGCATGAATACAAAGATGTCAGCAGGAGGATTCGAAGCAGATGAGATAGTTGTGTAGGACACAGGAGAAGCAGAAGCCAGGCTTCAACATGGAATTTCTCTGAGATGTTAGCACCACTCACAGAGTAGGAGTCGTGAGTTCAGACTTCAGTGAGTTGCCTTTGAGGAGGAGATATTCAGTTGGCAGTGAGATGTGCAGGCTGGGCACACAGTAGAGAATTGTGAGCTTGAGCTACAGATTTAGGAATCACAGGAATTCTCTGATCTTAAAGCCATCAGAGTGCATGAGGCTGCTCAGGAAAATTGACCCAATAGACTGTGTAGAATGAGCAGAAAGATAGCCCAGGCCTTAACCTTGAGGAATACCAGAGTCTACGGGGGTGAGCAGAGAGGGTGAACTCAGAAAAAAACACTGAGAAAGCAAAGAGAGGAGGAGTTAATGTGGTATCACATAAGTAAAGAAGGAAGAGCGTTTCTAGGAAAGAGCAATCGATGGCACCAACTATCTGAACTGAATCGTACACTCAAATTCATATGCTGAAGCCCTAACTGTCTCTCTCTCTCTCTCTCTCTCTCTCTCTCTCACACACACACACACACACACACACACATGCACGCACACGCACATGCATACACACTGAAGACAGGCCATGTGAGGATATAACAAAGAAGAGAGCCCTCATCAGAAACCAAATCAAGGCCAAGCGCAGTGGCTTACACCTGTAATCCCAGCACTTTGGGAAGCCAAGGCAGGTGGATCACTTGAGGTCAGGAGTTTGAGACCAGCCTGGCCAACATGGTGAAACCCCGTCTCTACTAAAAATACAAAAATTAGCTGGGCCTGGTAGCACGTGACTGTAATTCCAGCTACTTGTGAGGCTGAGGTGGGAGGATCATTTGAACCTGGGAGGCAGAGGCTGCAGTGAGCCAAGATCACACCACTGCACTCCAGCCTGGGCGACAGAGCAAGACTGTGCCTCAAAAAAAAAAAAAAAAAAGAAAGGAAGAAACCAAATCGGCCGGCACTTTGATCTTAGACTTCCCAGCTTCCTGAACTGTGAGAAATACATGTCTGTTGTTTAAGCCACCCCGTCTATGGTATTTTGTTATGGAAGCCCAATCCGACTAAGCACCCAATAATTCAGAGATGTCAAATGCTTGCACCAGTTGGTGTGCTTGTCTAGAAATCACAACTCAAATTGGCTCACTGTCACACACAACTAATACGACCAGCAGTAGGATAGCCTTCAAGTAAGGCTTGATTAGGCTCTGGTTCCCCTTCTCTACAATGGCTCCAGATCTGTTCTCCTCCATATGGCTTTCTTCCTGGTAGAACAATGTTTACACAGGTTGAGCATCCCTAAACTGAAAATCTGAAATTCAAAATGCCCCAAAATCCAAAACTTTTTGAGGGCCACCACGATGCCACAAGTGGAAAATTTCACACCTGACCTTATGTGACAGAATGCCATCAAAAGTCAAGCAAATAACACACAGATTATTCAGTTTACCAAATGGAAAAAAAGGCCCTCCCAGCCCCCTTCAGCTGCAATGTAGCTTTCTTGCACCCAACCAGATTTTCCAGCACAAGCACACCCACAAAGGGTAATAAAATAAAAACTTGGTTTCATGCAGAAAATTATTTAAATGTTGTATAAAATTACCTACCTCAGGTGATGTAAATAAGGTGTATATGAAACACAAATGAGTTTTACATTAGACTTGGGTCCCACCCCCAAGATATCTTATTTTGTATAGGCAAATACTTCAAAATTCCAAAAAAATCCCAAATAGAAGCTCTTCTACTCCCAAGCATTTCAGATAAGGGATACTCGACCTGCAGTACCATTGGGGTTTCCCATTCACATGCCGTGTTATCCAGTCCAAGAGGAGCTGAATGTTTTTGGATAAATTTTATAACATCCCTGAGCCTCAGTTTTTTCATCTGTAAAATGAGTATAGTTGAACCTACCTATCATGGTTGTAAGGGTTAAATGAATCAATTAATGTGTTAGTGCCTGAAACTTAACAAATGGACCCTGCCCCTCATGGGTGTCCTCCAACCAGCTAGGAGGAAAGGAGAGAGTGGGCATTGGCAATGAAAAGAAGGGTTTTTAAAAAATTAGATTAAATCGATCATGTCACTCCCTCTCTCAAATATTGTTGATGCCTCCCCATTGCCTGAACTCTTAGGCATGAAGTTCATGGCTCTCCACCTTCAAGCCCCAAACCACTTTCAGCCTTATTTCCCATTGACTTTTACCTTACCCTCTAAAAATACTGGTCTACTTAGCTATTTTCAAAATACTTTAAACCTCATCCCTCCTCTCCTATGATCTTCAGTTCAAATCAACATACACACATATTTATCTGAGATGCTTTTCTCCTATCTTGTCATTTTAGGCCCATGTTCTGACCTACCAGAGTTTGTGTCCTGAATCTGTCAGTCCAGATACTCAGCCTGTTATTTCTCTGTGGCACAGACAAGCTTAAAAAGCAGAGTGTCTCTGTCGTCTCTAAAACCATTATTTAAAGTGTTGAATGACACCAAACACAGAATGTGTTCTTAATTTCTTTTTTTTTTTTTTTTTCAGATGGAGTTTCGCTTTTGTTGCCCAGGCTGGAGTGCAATGGTGCGATCTCAGCTCACCACAACCTCCGACTCCCGGGTTCAAGCAATTCTCCTGCCTCAGCCTCCCAAGTAGCTGGGATTACAGGCATGCACCACCACACTTGGCTAATTTTGTATTTTTCGTAGAGACGGGTTTTTCCATGTTGGTCAGGCTGGTCTCAAACTCCCAGCCTCAGGTGATCTGCCCACCTCAGCCCCCCAAAGTGTTGGGATTACAGGTGTGAGCCACTGCACCCAGCCGATATCCTCTCTTAAGGTTCATGTTTATTTGCTAATCTTCCCTTTTAGGGTAGATCCTTATTCAAGTAGCTTAGATGTTTTATTATCTATCACCCAGGACCCCAATTTGTCCAGAGAATACCCCAACTTGTTCATAAAAATCCTCTTGAAAGCCATGCTGGAATCAGACACTCTGATCATGAGGCTATCATGGTACAACCAGCCTAATAACCGTATTTGAAAGAAAATGTGCTCAGCCTTAAGTGAAGTGGCTGATGCATTCGTCAGGATGGGGTAGACTGCTGCAGTAACCTATCAGTCAGGAAATCTCTGTGGCTTAACGTAATACAACTTTATTTTTCATGCACACAAAGACCAGGATGAGTCCAAAAATTTCGCTCTTGTATTTTATCATCTGGGATAGAGTCCTCCAAGGCTACCACAACAACAAAAAAGGAGAGGGCTGGGGACGCAAATCAGCAAATAATTCTGTAGCTCCAACCTGACTGCAAGGGCACCTATGACATGTCGGGGAGAAAATGAATATTTGGTGGCATTAGTCATCTCTGTCCTCACTGGGTATGTTTCTCTGTGTGATCTCATGACCATTTTTTTCCCTCTGCCATATTTAGAAACCCTGATCATCCACCGTAGCATATTCAGAATTTATGGAATCCTCCACACTGAAGTCTTTGGACAGATTCCATTAGCATCAACCACTAGAGTCATAAATGCCAGTACAATAACTTAGATGTTCCCAAATATTGCTTAAGAAGTCCCTTTCATGTCTTTGGAAAAAAAAAAAAATCGAATCCTCTGATCATCGCAGGATAAGAACACTCAGTTCCAAACTATGTGTTTGACTAAGTCTGATTAATGAATTTCTGAAGTTATTTTTGTTGATCCTCCCACCCTTGACGCCATAATTTGCCTGTGGCAACATGTGTGTAGATTAATGAGGCTTTCAGCAGCTAGTGGAAAAGTGTTCATTACCTTAATTATCCATACCTTCAGATTGAGGGCAACGCGGGACTGTCAGGACAGAGCAGGGCGTCTGCGCTGGGGAAGAGCGCCTGCGCGGTGCGGCTCAGCCAGGCCATCATCCCTGGAGAAGCAAAGCAAGGGCCTAGGTGAACAAAGTAGATGCACAGAAGACAAAATGACAAGAGAAGAATAAGTGTGATTACCTAATTGCATGCTGAATGTGCATGCGCTCATTGAGCACCTAGCATAGGTCAACCCACAGTAGCCTGCTTGATCCTCATACAATTCAGGAACCAATCTGTCCTAAGTCAATGGGAATGGAACGGAAGAATCTTCATCAGGATCAAACAACAAAGCACAAGTCTATCCTACTCCTGGACTTATCTGATTTTATGTGTCAGTTCTGGTTGGCTCCCACTTGAACCTAGGTCTCAACGACACAGAGCCTGACAGTGTGCCTGGGCACCATGCGTTGCCTCCAATGGCCCTCATCCAGCTCCCCCAGGGATCTAATCCTACTTCTGATCCTAGCTGTGTGACGATCAAGCAGGCTACTGAGCCCCAGGCCCAAGGGGGAAGTTTCTCCTCCTTCTTCATGTACCCCTCTCACACCATGATCTCAGCCTGGTGCCTCTCCTCATCTCCTGGTTGCTGTGCTCTGCCCACTGGGACCAGCTTTTGCTCATCATCCTAATTGTGGAGCTTTCACCTTGGCTGTCACCACCCATTGCTCTTCAGTGGCTTATAGAGCTCCCTGCTAGACTGTCAGGGATAGAGATGGTCCTATGGGAGTTCATGGCACATAGGAGAGAAGACTGGTCCCAGAGAACAATCATTAGAGGAAAGATGGCTTCAACACCTTCTAAATCAGTCTTTCTCAAACTCACTTGATAGTAAGAATCACTGGAGACCGTCCAAAGATACAAGTTACAAATCCCCACGAAGAAAATCTGAAGTGAGGCCCACACATTTTCAACAAGCACCCAGGAGATGGTTATTATGAGGTAAGTTTAGAAAACACCAGGAAACAACAACGTGACTGTTGCAGTGACCATTGATTGAACTTCCAGAGGCTAGTCAAGGTACTGAGACATTTACATCTATTGACTCATTGAAGTATCTTATCAAACCTTTCCAGAGAGGTGCTAAATTCTCATTCTACTAATGAAAAACCCAGATCCAGATCCACTGACTAAGTGTTCAAAATCAGACATCTAGTAATCAGCAGAAATAGGATTCAAATCTTCATCTCCCTGGCTCCTAACTCACATCGACCTGTTACTGAAGGAAAGAGAATTTGTTACCCTAAGGAAAGAGAATAGGCCAGTGCTCTCTGAGCTATTTATAATCTGGCCCTATATCAATAACAAAATTTCAAGCATGCACCTCCAATATATGCCTGTGTATTTTTAATTTATGTACAGATACTATTACTCTATTATTCTAATATATGTCATACAATTACATAATAGTAAGTTTTAAACATTGAAGTCGAGATTAATTAAATAATTTTAATATTTATTTTATTTAGTAACACCTAACCAACTTTTTTGCTTTCCTATAAAAAATTTCAAAGAATAAAAATTATTTCAGCGAGCACAATGTGATTTTGAACATGCATTCCTTTTTTTTTCAATCTTGGTTTGATCTTCATGACATAGTAATTGATGGTTTGGTCCTAAATTTGATTTGTTCTGATACCTGCTTTTAATGGCTGTCATAGCTGGAAAAGATGTCTCAAAAAGATACATAGATCCAAATGAAAGAAATACAGCATTGTTGACCTATTCAGTCATAACACTTATTTTTTTATTTTTTAATTCCATCTACCAGTTAGGCAAAGGTCTTGGTGAAATTTGGCTAGTAAATTTCCAACTTTCTTGGTGACAATCCATTTTTCTCACAACTTATTGAAAAGTTTTAAAAATACTTCAATATGCACTGAAACATTTCATTTGGAAATTTAAAACAGGCTAGATTATTCTATTTCAATCTCTTCAGAAATAGAGATGTGGCTTATACACATTATGTTTAACAATGTTAACACAGAGACTGCTTCAAATCATCACTGCGCAAACCGTGTCTTCACAGAACAAGTGACTTTTTTTCTTTTTATTCAAGAATACGCACACAGAAAAGTGTACATGTAAGTGGACAGATCAACGTGAACATGCCTTGTTTAGGAAACAGATTAAGACACAAAACATTGTCTGCACCCCTAGGAGCCTCTCTCTATGCCCTTGCCAGTTCTTTTCCACCCAAGGACAACCACTATCCTAACTTTCAGATTAATTTTGCCTGAGTTTTCTTTTTAACCTCACGTAAGTGGAATCACACCAGACAAAACCTTTTGTTTGTGTGGCTCCTTTTTCTCAAAATCTCATTTGTGAGATGTGTCCCTATCACCAAGTATTGTTGTGGATCACTCATTCATGGAGTATTCTCTTGTGTGAATACACAACAAAAAGTTTATCTATTTTACCTTTGATGGGCACTTGGGTCATTTCCAGTGTTAGAGTATGAGGAATGGTGCTGCTATGAACAGTTTGGTGTCTTTTGATGAACATTTGTATGCTTTCTGTTGGTGTATACCTAGAATTAAATTGCTGGGTCATTGGGTTTTCTTATGTTCTGCCTTCCTAAATACTGCCAAACAGTTGCCTGAACAGGTTTTATGAATTGACACTTCCACCACTGTGGGATTTCTAATTGTTCCACATTCTTGTCAGCTCTTGGTATTATCTTTTTCATTTTAGCCATTTTGGTGCATACACAATGGCATCTCACTGTGGTTTACAAGTTTCTTCTGAAAATCAGTTACAATTTCACTCATTACTAACTCATGACATTTACCCTGATAGGGTAATTTAAATGTAGGTTTATGTTTTTTCAAATGTACCTGCTATACCTTATTCTTCACAGTCACTTATCCTTGAAAAGATCAAATAATTTGGAACCCATATTTTATGTTCACTTACTGTTTCAAATACTTTGCCAAAATAGAATGAGGGAATCTCTGCATGCACAAAATATTTCAGGTTTATTTCCTATCTAATTATAAAGTATTGTTAAGATTCTGCTATATTTTAAACATCTTGCCTCTATATATTGGTCCACATCAGTGACATCCTATTGTGCTCTATTCTCTTGTGACTTTAACTTACTTGCTTAAATAGCTTGATGTGGACAATGCAGTAAATAAATTTCACATGAGGTGCTAGCTCAGGAAACTTACCTAGTTTTTTCATCCCAGTCAACACAAATACCAAAAACATTGCTTTTGTTAAGAAACTAACTGACTATTGAGAATATTTCTTTCTGGTACATTTTTTCTTTAATGGCTCACAAGAAAGGGCCCTCCAATGTATTCCATTATTGAAAAGAAGAATCCAGCAATGACAAAAGCTGAAATATGTCAGAAACATCTGTACTTTTGAGCAACTGCATTGCAAACCTCTCACACTAAACTATTTGTTTTAATATTTGTTTCTTCAGCTCTTTGACAACAAGTTTGATGCATCTTCCAACAGTATTTAATGACTAAGGAATGTAGTTGTTAGGTATTTCTTCAACCATTTTCACTTATCTTTTCAAAGATAAGTGACTGTCAAGAGTCACAAGGATAAGTGACTGTCAAGAGCAATAATGTTTGGCCAATGGAATATGGCTATTCACTTTCACTGTTAAGTAATAAATTGAAAATTATCAAATTTAATCCAAATGTGTAAAGAGCTGGAGTGAGTGTCTCATGACTTTGAACAGTTGAAAAACCTTAGGTTTTTTAATGCTGGTCAATTGCAATGGCAATTCTCCTTAGCTTTATCAAGACACAATATTCACTCAGGAGAGCATCATCATGAATGATAATGAATATGAAAGGCCATATTTCAAATAGTCTTCTTAATAATTTTTGTCTTCTGACCAATTTTGTGATTGATGTCATTAGACTGCCATTAATTTTACCCTGTAATTAGCTGAAAAACAGCAAGCACTGGGAGCTGCAGGGGTATCAAGTCAGCCATTCTCCTGCTGTTTCCTTAGCCTCACATCATTAATATTATCTACAGCTTGCAATTTCTTCATGGAATCATTTAAATCACTTGTCCATTTTGTAAGAATTAGCTCAATTGAAATGAGATATCATGAGCTGCAAATCTACTTAACCAGGCACATAGACCTGCAATATATCACAAATAGGCTGAATACTTACAGGAGGCGCAAAAATTTCCATTTCAAAAAGACTCTCTTCACACTGAAGGATTTCTTTGAATAAGTGCTCCCCTGCCTTTCACCATGGGAGTCTCTCACAACAGCACTCTCAGAGCTTCTAGAAAGCATCTTGTCAGCTTCCTCATTTGACAGATGAGGAGCCAGAGACTCCCAGAAGAAGAGTGGAGGCTGTGTAGACTGTGGTTTAGTATACAGGCTCTGGCAATAGAGAACATGGGTTCAAATCCTGACGTCTGCTATTTCTTCTCTGTACATGCTTGAAAAAGTTGTTTTCTCTCTCTAAACTGGTTTCCACAGCTATATATGTAAACAGGACAAATGCTACTGTATGTAAATTTTAATTTAATAAACTCATCTTTAGAAGGAAGGGAAGGGAGAGGAAGGGAAGGGAAGGGAAGGGAAGGGAAGGGAAGGGAAGGGAAGGGAAGGCAAAGGAAGGGAAACCAGTCAGAGGTAGTGTCTCTGTCTTATCTCTGTATACCTGATGTGCTTAGCAGAGTGCAAGACAGAATAGATGTTTAAAAGTTTAAGTTATTACTGATTATAGTGGGTTGAGTGGTGGCCCTAAAAAGGTACATCCCAATCCCTGGAACCGTGACTATTGAGAATATTTCTTACTGGTACATTTTTCTTTTAATGGCTCACAAGAAAGATTCTGCTATATGACTGATAGAGTTTGGATATTTGTCCCCACAAAATCTCATGTTGCATTTGTAATCTCCAGTGCTGGAGGTGGGGCCTGGTGGGAGGTGTTCGGACCATAAGGGTAGAACCCTCATGGCTTGGTGCTGTCTTCGTGATAGTGAGTTCTCACAAGATCTGGTCATTTAAAAATGTGTAGCACCTCCCCTGCCCCCTGACACCTCTCGTGCACCTGTCCACTCCATATAATGTGCCTGCTCCCCCTTTGCCATCTGCCATGATTGGAGGCTTCCTGAGGCCTCCCCAGGAGCAGAGGCCACTAGGTTGCCTGTGCAGCCTGCAGAACCATGAGCCAATTAAACCTCTTTTCTTCATAAGTTACCCAGTCTCAGATATTTCTTTATAGCAATGCAAGAACAGACTAACACAATGACTTTATTTAGAAAAAGGGTCTTTGCACATGTCATTAAGTTAAGGATCTCAAAATGAGAACATCCTGGCTCATCCAGGTGGACCCTAATTCCAATGACAAGTGTCCTTGTAAGAAACAGAAGAGAAGAAGCCATACATAGCCACACAGAGGAGAAGATGTATGAAGATGGAGGCAGACATTGAAGCGATGGAGCTACAATACAAGGAGTGTCAAGGATCGCCAGAGTCACCAGAAGCCTCAGAAGAGGCAAGGCAGGATTCTTCCTTAGAGCCTTCAGAATGAGCACAGCCCTGGCCATACTTTGATTTCAAACTTCTGGCCTCCAGAATTACGAGAGTATAAATTTCTGTTGTTTCCAGCCAACTAATTTATGGTAATTTGTTACAGGACCCCTAGGATAATATTACTGGTCCTTTTGGCTTCTCCTAATCATAAAAGATTTGCTCTTTCTTCAAAATAGACCATATGATAGCCCATAAAACAAGCCTCAATAAATTTAAGAAAATCGAAATTGTATAAACCACTCTCTCAGACTACAGTGGAATAAAACTGGAAATCAACTCCAAAAGGAACCTTCAAAACCAGGCAAATACATGGAAATTAAATAATCTGCTCCTGAATGAGCACTGGGTCACAAATGAAATCAAGAGGAAAATTAAAAATTTCTTCAAACTTAACGACAATAATGACACAACCTACAAAAACCTCTGGGATACAGCCAAGGCGGTGCTAAGAGGAAAGTTCATAGCCCTAAACGCCTACATCAAAAAGACTGAAAGAGCACAAACTGACATTCTAAGGTCACACCTCAAGGAACTAGAGAAACAAGAACCAAACCAAACCCAAACCCAGCAGAAGACAGAAAATAACCAAGATCAGAGCAGAAAAAAATGTAATTGAAACCAAAAAAAAAAAAAAAATACAAAAGATAAATGAAACAAAAAGCTGGATCTTTGAAAAGACAAATAAAATTGATAGACCGTTAACAAGATTAACCAAGAAAAGAGAGAAAATTCAAATAACCTCACTAAGAAATGAAACAGGAGATATTCCAACTGACATCAATGAAATACAAAAGATCATTCAAGGCTACTGTGAACATCTTTATGCACATAAACTAGAAAACCTAGAAGAGATGGATAAATTCCTGGAGAAATACAACCCTTCTAGCTTAAATCAGGAAGAATTAGATACCCCAAACAGATTAATAACAAGCAGCGAGATTGAAATGGTAACTAAAAAATTACCAACAAAAAAACCTCCAGGTCCAGACAGATTCACAGCAGAATTCTACCAGACATTCAAAGAAAAATTGGTTCCAATCCTTTTGATACTATTCCACAAGATAGAGAAAGAAGGAACCCTCTCTAATATATTCTATGAAGCCAGAATCACTCTAATACCAATACCAGGAAAGGACATAACCAAAAAAAGAAAACTACAGACCAATATCCTTGATGAACATAAATGCTAAAATTCTTAACAAGATACTAGCTAACCAAATACAACAACATATCGAAAAGATAATCCACCATGATCAAGTGGGTTTCATACCAGGGATGCAGGGATGGTTTAACATATGCAAGTCAATCAATGTAATACACCACATAAACAGAATTAAAAACAGAAATCACATAATCATCTCAATAGATGCAGAAAAAGCATTCGACAAAATCCAGCATCACTTTATGATTAAAACCCTTAGCAAAATCAGCATACAAAGGACATACCTTTATGTAATAAAAGCCATCTGTGACAAACCTACATCCAACATAATGCTGAATGGGGAAAAGTTGAAAGCATTCCCTCTGAGAATGGGAACAAGACAAGGATGCCCACTCTCACCACTCCTCTTCAACATAGTACTGGAAGTCCTGGCCAGAGCAATCAGATGAGAAAAAAATAAAGGGCATCCAAATTGGTAAAGAGGAAGTCAAACTGTCACTGTTTGCTGATAGTATTATCATTTACCTTGAAAACCCTAAAGACTCCTCCGGGAAGCTCCTAGAACTGACAAAAGAATTCAGCAAAGTTTCCAGATACAAGATTAATACACACAAATCAGTAGCTCTTCTATACACCAACAGCAACCAAGTGGAGAATCAAATTAAGAACCCAACCCCTTTTACAATAGCTGCAAAAATAAAATAAAACACTTAGAAATATACCTAACTAAGGAGTTGAAAGACCTCTACAAAGAAAACTACAAAACTCTGCTGAAAGAAATCATAGACAACACAAACAAATGGAAACACATCTCATGCTCATGGATGGGTAGAATCAATATTGTGAAAATGACCATACTGCCAAAAGCAAACTATATATTCAGTGCAATCTCCATCAAAATACCACCATCATTCTTCACAAAATTTAAAAAAAAAATCTAAAATTCATATGGAACCAAAAAAGAGCCTGCATAGCCAAAGCAAGACTAAGCAGAAAGAACAAATCTGGAGGCATCACACTACCTGATTCCAAACTATACTACAAAGCTACAGTCACCCAAACAGCATGATACTGGTATAAAAATAGGCACATAGACCCATGGAACAGAATAGAGAACCCAGAAATAAACCCAAATGCTTACAGCCAACTGATCTTTGACAAAGCAAACAGAAACACAAAGTGGGGAAATGACACCCTTTTCAACAAATGGTGCTGGGTTAATTGGCTAGCCACGTGCAGGAGAATGAAACTGTATCCTTATCTCTCACCTTTATACAAAAATCAACTCAAGGTGGATTAAGGACTTAAACCTAAGACCTGAAAGTAAAAAATTCTAGAAGCTAACATTGGAAAAACCCTTCTAGACTGTGGCTTAAGCAAGGATTTTATGACCAAGAGCCTAAAAGCAAATGCAATTAAAAAAAGATAAATAGCTGGGACCTAATTAAACTAAAGAGCTTTTGCACAGCAAAAGGAACAGTTAGCAGAGTAAACAAACAACCCACAGGGTGGGAGAAAGTCTTCACAATCTATACATATGACAAACGACTAATATCCAGAATCTGCAATGAACTCAAACAAATCAGCAAGAACAAAATAAACAATCCCATCAAAAAGTGGGCTAAGGACATGAACAGACAATTCTCAGAAAAAGTATACAAATGGCCAACAAACATATGAAAAAATTCTCAACATCACTAATGATCAGGGAAATGCAAATCAAAACCATAGTGCGATACCCCCTTCCTCCTGCAAGAATGACCATAATCAAAAAATCAAAAAACAGTAGAAGTTGGCGTGGATGTGGTAATCAGGGAACACTTCTACACAGCTGGTGGGAATGTAAACTAGTACAGCCACTATGGAAGTGGAGATTTCTTAAATAACTAAAAGTAGAACTACCATTTGATCCAGCAATCCCACTACTGGGTATCTACCCAGAAGAAAGGAAGTCATTATACGCAAAAGATACTTGCACATGCATGTTTATAGCAGCACAATTCACAATTGCAAAATTGTGGAATCAACCCAAATGACCCTCAATAATCAACGAGTGGATAAAGAAACTGTGAGATATATACACACACACACACACACACACACATATATATGATGGAATACTACTCAGCCATAGAAAGGAATAAATTAACAGCATTTGCAATGACCTGGATGGGACTGAAGACTATTATTTTAAGTGAAGCTAACTCAAGAATGGAAAACCAAACATCATATGGTCTCACTGATATATGGGAGCTAAGCTACAAGGACGCAAAGGCATAAGAATGACACAATGGGCTTTGGGGACTTGAGGGGAAGTGTGGGAGGGGGTGAGGGATATAACACTACAAACATGGTGCAGTGTACACTGCTCGGGGGATGGGTGCACCAGGATCTCACAAAAGAACTTACTAATGTTCTTACTCCACCACTAAAGAACTTACTCATGTAACCAAATACCACCTGTACCCCAATAACTTGTGGAAAAAAAATAAATAAATGAGTTAATATTTAAAAAAGATTTGATAGTATTTAATCCAATGATTTCCAAAGTTAACTTCTACAGAGGTTATAGAAACCTCTAATGTAGAAACAGGTATGGTACCTATTTTGTATTTGGAGGTTGAAGTATTCTGCTGTTTAAAAAAAAACAAAAACTATATTAAAAAATTTAAACAATGAACCTTAAATCTTATTCAACTCTAAATGTTAACATTGAAGGGCAGTTACACAATCTGTCCAAGTTCTCTTGCAAGCAAGAGACAGAGCCATAGTCAGCCATCCCCCCATCTTCTCACTGCCTATGCAGGGCTCTGCCTGTACACCAAAGAACCTCCAATAAAGAAATGTCCTTGGATGCCAAGCGCAGTGGCTTGTGCCTGTAATCCCAGCACTTTGGGAGGCGGAGGTGGGCAGATCACTTGAGGCCAGGAGTTCAAGACCAGCCTGGGCAACATGGCGAAACCCCATTTCTACTGAAAATATAAAAGTTAGCCAGGTGTGGTGGCAGGTGCCTGTAATCCCAGCTACTCAAGAGGCTGAGATATGATAATCGCTTGAAGAGGTTGCAGTGAGCCAAGATCGCACTGCTGCACTCCAGCCTGGGCAACAGAGCAAGACCCTATCTCCAAGAAAACAAAAAAAAAGAAAAGAAAAAAGAAAGAAAAACAAATGTCCTTGGAAAAGAAGAAAACATCAGTAGGACTCCCATTTCAGTAAAAGATAAGACAAAGATGCCCTTTAATATCAGTACTGCCATTCAGCATTTTCTTCTAAGATAAAGAAAATGGAAAAAAAAAAAAAAAAAAAAAAGAAAGGAGAATTCAAGGGTTTGAGTTTCGGGGGATGGGCAGAAGCTTGGGGAAAGTGCCCACTGGTCCTACACCTGTAAAGGCAGAACATCCTTCCTCCATGGGCTGACCGCTTAGCTCAGCCTGCTGTCACTTTGCAGTTCAACAAAAGTGAATTCCAACTGTAGCCCTGTTACTTCTAGCTGTATGACCCTCTCTGAGCCTCAGTATCCTGAGTACATGGAAACAAAGCTACTTTGCAGGGTTGATGTAAGACTTAAATGAAGGTGGTGAGACCTAAATGGGATGGCAAAGCCTAGCCATTCTGAGCCCAAATTCTGGAGCCAAGTTAGTTGATTTCTGCCTCTATGCTGGGGCAATTGACTTTAACCTCTCTGTGCCTCAGTTTCCCCGTCTGTAAAACAAGCATAATACCACCTACGTCAAAGGGTTTCTATGAAGGTTAGAATGAGCTAATATTCACTAAGTACTTAGAATGGTGGCTGACAGAAGAGTGCTATATGAGCATTCATTAAATTAAAAATTAACATGAGAAACCATCATTCTCAGTAAACTATCGCAAGAACAAAAAACCAAACACCGCATATTCTCACTCATAGGTGGGAATTGAACAATGAGATCACATGGACACAGGAAGGGGAATATCACACTCTGGGGACTGTGGTGGGGTCAGGGGAGGGGGGAGGGATAGCATTGGGAGATATATCTAATGCTAGATGACACATTAGTGGGTGCAGCGCACCAGCATGGCACATGTATACATATGTAACTAACCTGCACAATATGCACATGTACCCTAAAACTTAGAGTATAATTAAAAAAAAAAAAAAAAAAGAAAAATTAAAAAAAAAAAATTAACATGAAAATATTCCTTTAGAGGGGACTTGTGATTCAGAATTTGGTTAAAAAATAATAATAATAATTTTTTGCATCATAATTCATCAAAGTCAGTTTTAGCAAGAGAAAAATTTGTTTTTCTGACAGACCTCCACTCTGAAGATTTGGAAACTCTAAAAATCTTCTTTGCCTAACGCGGTATGGACAGAAAGTTTCATGTGCAAAGTAAAACCCTGAGGGTTTCCATGACTGGCTGACAGTCAGAGGGTTTACTTTCTCTGATGAATTTTTCCAATGTTATGAGCCTAAGTGAGGGCTGTGCGTCTATCAAGCCCCTGGCACTGAAGAGGTGTTGAGTAATTCTCTTCCTGTTTCCGCAAGCTTCCCTCTGAAGGGATTAGGATTATTCCAGGCCCAGGACCAGACATCCTCAGGCTATGGGCACATATCTCCCTGACTTGCATCTAATTCCTGTAAAACTAATCTGCAGGCCTCCAGCTCACAGCAGCTGATCTTGGAGTTCTCTCATTCCTGCAAAATAAGAAGTACCAAGTATGTGTCAGGCTCTCTGCTGCTAAGCGCCAGAAACACAGAGATGAACTCATGGGGAAATGAGATTAACAAACAGAACATTGCACGTACTGTTAGGTAGGAGCACAAAGGAGGCAATTCAGCTTCATGGGGGTAGAGGGGCAAGTATAGGACAATCACACGGCACCTGCTATGTGTTAAGCACAACTCCACACATCTCTGCTTATGAACACATTCACCTCTTGTATCCACTCTGTGAGGTAGGTGCTTGTATTAGTCTGTTCTCACATTACTATACAGAAATGCCTGAGACTGGATAATTTATTTTATTTTATTTTATTTTATTTGAGACAGAGTTTCACTCTTGTTGCCCAGGCTGGAGTGCAATGGCGCGATCTCCGCTCACTGCAACCTCTGCCTCCCGGGTTCAAGTGATTCTCCTGCCTCAGCCTCCCAAGTAGCTGGGATTACAGGCATGAGCCACTATGCCCGGCTAATTTTTTTTTTTTTTTTTTTTTTTGTATTTTTAGTAGAGGTGGGTTTTCTCCATGTTGGTCAGGTTGGTCTCAAACTCCCGACCTCAGGTGATCCGCCCGCCTCAGCCTCCCAAAATGCTGGGATTACAGGCTGAGCCTCCGCGCCCGGCCTAATTAATTTTTTTTAAAAAAACAAGAGGTTTAATTGGCTCCCAGTTCCTCAGGCAGTGCGGGAAGCATGAGTCTGGCATCTGCTTGGCTTCTGGGGAGTCTTCAGGAAACTTTCAATCATAGCAGAAGGTGAAGGAGAGCAGGCAGAAGAGAGAGAGCGGGGAAGTGCTACACCCTTAGTTTTAAGCAACCAGATCTCACAAGCACTCACTCACTATCACGAATGCGGCACCGAGGGGGGAATCGGCCCCCATCACCTCCCACCAGGTCCCACCTCCAACACAGGGGAGTACAATCGAACATGAGATTTGGGCAGGGACACAGATCCAAACCATATCAGTGGTATATCCCCAATTTATAGTCGAAAAACATGAAGAACAGAGATTAAATAACTTGCCCAAAGCCACACTACGGGTGGGGGAGAGAATCAATGCGCGTCCAGGCAGTGGGGCCCCAGACCCCATGTTGTCGGTCATCACACTGCCTCTTAGTTGGGGCTGAGGTGTCAGTTGCCTGGTGGCCCATTGCATTTCACCTTTGTGTCCCCAGTTCCTTCAACAATAGAAAAGAGCAGGATCTGCCCAGACGGCCAGTGCTGTATTCCTGCCAAGAAAGAGGAGCTGGCTGGGTGAGGTGGCTCACATCTGTAATCCCAGCACTTTTGGGAGGCCAAGGCTGGGGGATCACTTGATGCCAGGAGTTTGAGACCAGCCTGGCCAACATGTGAAACTCTGTCTCTACTAAAAATGCAAAAATTAGCCAGGCGTGGTGGTGCACACCTGTTATCCCAACTACTAGGAAGGCTGAGGCATGAGAATCACTTGAACATGGGAGGTGGAGGTTGTAGTGAGCCAAGTTCACACCAATGCACTCCAGCCTGGGTGACAGAACAAGACTCTGTCTCAAAAAAAAAAAAAAAAAGGAAAGGAAAGAAAAAGAAAGAGGGGCTAATCTTGCCCTCGGAGGGCTCTGTTGCTCAAGGTTATTGCTATATGCAGGGTGAAACTCCAAGGGACAGGCTTCAATGGTGCAAGTGTAAGTCACAGTCTAATTGGATCAGTTTCAGTCCAATTCAGTGTATCAAGGCCCAGTATGGTTATCTTATACCTGACATCACATTCCATATTCACACCAACTCTAGAGATGGGTGTGCATGTCTTCATTTCACAGGTAAGGGAAGGAGAGGATTTGAGAAGCCACATGCTCTGCTTAAATCAAACAACAAATAAGATAACTCTAAATCTCATGTCTTTTTCACTATGCACATTGGACCTGGAATCACTAGGAAAAAAAAAATCCTGGAAGCCAGATAATTCAGGGCTTCTATTGCATAAAAGAACCAAAAACTGAGGGCAAGGAATAATAAATAGTAACAATGATACCAGGCATGGTGGCTCACACCTGTAATCCCAGCAACTCAGGAGGCTGAGGCAGGAGGATCACTTAAGGCCAGGAGTTCCACAGGAGCCTGGGTGAAATAGCGAGACCTGGTCTCTACAAATACATATATACATATATACATATATATATATATATATATATATATATATATATATATCTCCAAATATATACACACACACACACATATATCAGGCATGGTGACACACATCTTTAGCCCTGCTATTCTGGAGGCTGAGGCAGGAGGATCAAGAAATAACAATAACCAGTATAATAGTGGCAACTAATGTACACTAAGCTCTTAGCATGTTGCAAGCACTATGCTAAGCATATTATTTCATTTAATCCTCTTGACATCACTGTGGCATAGATTCTTTTTTTATCCCTATTTTACAAATGAGGAAAATAAAGCTCAGCTGATAAATAATTGGCCCAGTTTGTATATGGTGGTGCAGCAGAAATTCAAACCCAGGCAAGCTTGACTCCAGAGCCCATACTCTCAATTCCTCCTGCCCTTCAAGCCAGAGATAAAGACATCCAAACAGCCCCAGCTTCCGCATGGCTGGATGCCCTTGAACAGCATACTTAACCTCTCTGAGATTTGACTTCAATCGTAAAGGTGGAACCCATAATACCTGCCTTCTGAAGTGGCAGCAAGGAGGAACTGAGTCAAGATCCCTAGGGTCAGGAGCTGGACGTTAGAGTTGCAAAACCTACCCAGGTGACTCAAATAAGCAGTCAATGTTGGGCTCCATCCCATCAGGCTCTGGGAGGTGGAAGGGCTTCTTAGGTTTTAAGGCAATGTGGATCACCTGGGATCTTGTTAAACCACAACTTCTGATTGAGCAAGGCTGGAGTGGGGCCTGAGATTCCTCGTTTCTAATGAAGCCTGCTTCCTCCTCCAGCCCTCCCCGCCTCCAAGGCTGGTGGACCATACTCTGAATATCAAGTAGGTCATGGTGGTGAGATGAATTTTCTTTTATGTCCCAAAGGATGTGCCTCCCCCATGGAGAGTTTTAAACAGCAGAGTGTTATGCTCTGTTCTATTGCCTATAAGAATCAGTCTGGCTGCTCTGTAAAGAGTAAAGCTCCAGCCTGGCCCATATGGTGAAACCCTGTCCCTACTAAAAATACAAAAATTAGGCAGACGTGGTGGCACGCACCTGTAGTCCCAGCTACTCAGGAGGCTGAGGCAGAAGAATCGCTTGAACTCGGGAGGCAGAGGTTGCAGTCAGCTGAGATCATGCCACTGCACTGCAGCCTGGGTGACAGAGCAAGACTCCATCTCAAAAAAAATAAAAATAAATAAAAGTAAAGCTTTGGGGAGCAGAGGGGTGGGGGGGCTATGGTAAAGTGGGGAACCCACTATCTGTCCTGGCCTGGAAACTACATGAAAAGACTCCTAGGCTCTCTTCCTAACCGAAATGTATGCAGGGAACCAAGCATAGTGGCTGGCATAGTGTCCGGCATAGGAGGCCAGAAACTGATAGGGGTGGTTGTCATTGTCAAGCGACAATGAGAGTGAGCAAAGTGTGGGTATGCCACAGGCCAGAGGCAAGGTCCTTCCTGCTGCTTCCCACCTCGTCCACCTCAACAGAAGGAAGCTTTCTTGGGGTGCTGGATAGAGAGCACCCTCTCCCCAGCTGTGACTGGGCACAGTGGAGAATGGAACAGGAAGGCCCAGCTGGGCAGGTTGGAAAACAGAGCAGACATTTTCCTGAATTCTGCGAGGCTGCCTATACCTAGCCCTGAGCCTGGCACCATCTGGCTGGTCCTTCTGAAAGGCTCCATGCATCTCTGGCCTTCCACACCCTTCTTTTGGTTGCTCAGATGAGAGAGTTGGGAGGAAAAGGATTTCACCTCCAAAGGAGGGGCTGAGAGCATTTAACGAAAGACTCATCTCTCCAGGCTCTGTTACCCTCTTGGCCGGGTGAGTCATGCAGCTAGAAAATAACAAACATGGGTAAATAAGATAATAGGAATGACACAGGTGACTCAGCGGACACCAATACACATAGGCCAGGGCTCAGCAGCCCACAGCAGGCAAGAGGCTGCTTTTGGAAAAGGAGGATGATGGTGAATAAGAAATCCACTCAAGATAGGGTTTCGTGTTTTTTTCTCATCCTAGTTTCAGACAGCATTTCACAAGGTGTTTTTTTTCCCCCAGGAGCTGCCTGAATCTGGCAGGCCCTGGCATTAGTCATAAGGGAGGGAGGCCTGGGGCTGGAGTCAGGGCCCAGGGAAAGATAGATGTGTGTGTGCAAACCTGCCCTGATGGTTGCAGAAAATGCAGCACCCTCCCTCATCACAGCCACCCATTCTGCCCCAGAGTGCTAACCTAGGCTGAGGGTTTTCTCTCTCAAACCCTTCACCAAAAGAAATTTGGACCCTAGAGTATTTATGTGTAAAGTAACAGGATGCCAGATATATATATAAAACTTGTCTCCCAGGGTGGAGTACAGAGGCGTAATCTCAGCTCACTGCAGCCTCCGCATCTCGGGTTCAAGCGATTCTCCTGCCTCAGCCTCCTGAGTAGCTGGGATTACATGTGCCCACCACCACACCTGTCTAACTTTTGTATATTTTTAGTAGAGATGGGTTTTCACTATGTTGGTCAGGCTGGTCTCAAACTCCTAACCTCAGGTGATCTGCCCGCCTCGGCCTCCCAAAGTGCTGGGATTACAGGCATGAGCCACTGTGCCTGCCCTAGGATATGTTTTTTAAACTCTGCTCCCCATCCTAAAATTGGGAGGTAATAGATGAAATTACATTGCCAAAATGTTGATAACTGTTGAAGCTGGCTGACGGGTAAGGGTATGTGGGGTTCATTAAACCTCATATTCTCTCTTCTTTTATGTGTTCTTAAATTTTCCTAATAAAACTGCTTTATTCTTGTTACTTTTTCTTTTCTTTTTTTTTTTTTTCAGCCAGAGTCTCACTGTGTCACTCAGGCTGGAGTGTACTTATGCAATCTTGGCTCGTCACACCTTTGACCTCTCGAGCTGAAATGATCCTCCCGCCTCAGTCCCCTGCGTAGCTGGGACTACAGGCACGTGCCCATGCCAGGCTAATTTTTGTTTTTTGTTTATTGTTTTTTGTTTTGTGGAGACGGGGTTTCACCATGTTGCCCAGGCTGGTCTCAAACTCCTGAGCTCAAGAAATCTGCCCACCTCGGCCTCCCAAATGTTGTCACTTTGGGACAACCTCTCACCTCCTAGAGCACGCAGACCTTGCTGGAAAGTTTGAACACGTTCCTTTCCCTCATGAGCCTCAGTGTCCCCAGAAGCCTGGCCATCACCTGGTAAAAAAGGGTGTCAGCTCCAATGCTGTCTAAGCATCCCCAGCACCCCAAACCTGTGTTTCTGTGGCAAGCTTGGGTGGTATGCAGAGTACAGTGGGACAAGTAGGGATTCTGGAGCCACAGTACCTAGATTTGAATGTGGGTCACCAGTTAGGTGACCTTGGACAATTTCTTTCTTTTTCTTTTTTTTTTTTTTTTGAGACACAGTCTCACTCTACTATCCAGGCTGGGGTTCAGTAGCACGATCTCAGCTCACTGCAACCTCAGCCTCCCGGGTTCAGGTGATTCTCCTGCCTTAGCCTCCAGAATAGCTGGGATTACAGGTGCCCGCCGCCACACCTGGCTAATTTTTGTATATTTTTAGTAGAGATGGGGTTTCACCATGTTGGCCAGGATGGTCTCAAACTCCTGACCTCAAGTGATCCACCCACCTTGGCCTCCCAAAGTGCTGGAATTATGGGTGTGAGCCATCACATCCAGCTGACATTTCTTTAACATTTCTGAACCTCAATTTCCTGATCTGAAAAAATGGGGAAAATAATATCCACCTCACGGAGTTGTTACCAGGATTCAATAACTCTATATTTATAAAATATGTAAAACAGTGCTTGGCATATGGCGTTCCAGAAGTAGTGTTAACTAAAGAAAAGGGAAAGACTTCAGAAGAGTGGGACAGCCAGCTGACACTCTAGGTCCGGACTGGCAGACTTTTTCTCCAACATGCCAGATAGTAAACATTGTTGGCTTCCTGGGTCATGTGGCCTTTGTCACAACTACTCAACTCTGCCATAGTAACATAAAAGCCACAAATAGATGACACGTAAGCAAACGGGCATGGCTGTGTTTCCAATAAAACTTTATTTCTAAAAAGAAGCAGTGGGCTGGATTTGGCTTGTGAGCTGTTTTTGCTGATCCCTGCTCTATGATACAGCAGAAAGGAGCACTGGACCAGGAGCCAGGAGATCTGGGTTCCTGTTTGCTCAGGCGAGTCACTCCTGCATCATGCTTTTTATACCCCACATCTCCTTTGAGCCTCATAGCAACCCTGAGAACTATTAGTATTATTATTCCATTTCCTAATGAGAGCTAGCAATCATTCAGTGCTCACAAAGAACCAGACAATATACCAAGTGGTACAAGTCAGTTGTCTTTTTAACCTTCTGAAGGATCCTATGAGATAAGTACTATTGTTATCTATATTTTATAGATGATAATCTTAGACCCAGAGAGGTAAAGTAACTAACTTGCCCATGGTCACGCAAGTGGTAACTCTGGCATTCAATAGCAGACGATCCAACTTGAGAACCAAGACTTGAATCTGAATTCTGGTTCAGGGATAAGGCTTGGCCTTGGGATAAGCCTTGGCCTTGTAAATACAGAGTTGAGTTCTGGAGGAGAAGTAGGCATTAGCCAGGTGTTGAAGAGTGTGGGTAAGAGAGAATAGGGAGGAGCATGCCAGGCACAAGTGATGCCTCAATTAGAGGCATTGAAGTGTCACTTTCAGGTTGAATGAGGGGAAGAGGAGTAAGAGACTAGGTAAGACTACAGCTGAGAAAAGTAGAGGCCATGCAGCAATGTGGAAAGGCACATGACAAAGAACCTGGATTTTATTCCAATACCATGGAGAACTACTAAGGATCCCAGTTCATGACTGGGCTAGTGCTCACCAAATATATTCATCCACGACTCTGCACTTCCATGACTCTGCTGGAAACTGACCACCTGTTCCCTTGCAGTTATACTGGGACCAGGTGATCCAGTTCTGATGGATTGTGAGTGGCAGTGACATTCACCACATCCAGTCTGAGGCAACTTGAAGCTAATATGCCTCTTCCCCCCATTTCTCCCCCTGCCGCAGCAGCCCCAGAGGCTACATGTTCCACATAATGTCACTACAAAATTAAAGAGAACTCAATCTTCACTGCACTTCAGCACAATGAGAGGTAAACTATTATTGGGTGAAACTGCTGAAATGCTTGTGGCTTATTACTGCACCACAGCTTAGCCTAGCCCAACTAATACATAATTAGTAGCCCTTGGGACCTTAAAGAATAAAGTTATCTCTCTTTCCCATATCCACTCCAAGTTATGCAAACTTTTTGGTTTTTGGTTTTGTTTTCATATAACGCGTCAAATTCCCGCATCATGCCAACTGACATCTGCTTAACACCTTCCGGTTTGTGTAGACCCTTCTCCAAGTCACTGCCTAAAACTCACCAGGCCCAGATGGGCCTGACTTGCAGGAGAACAGCACTAACCCCCTTCCAGTTCCACTTTCAGGAATACACCACAGGGCCACATCAGGTATGCTTGGAGGCGGGAGGTCAGATCCTACTGTTGATGCAAACAGAGTTTCCTGTGAATCAAATTCTAAGTATATATCACAGGTGCCTCTGCTAAGCCCATCTTCTCATACAGTTTTTTTTACAATTGACTTTTAATGGAGACCAGGAGGTCTTGTTACATTTCCTCCTAGGCCACCATGCCAGCCTCAGGACAGCTATCACCCAGCTGAAGAGAACAGGACAAACTGGGAGGAATAGTAAGAAAGTGCTGCAAAGTGACCACAGTTTGGTGTTTCTTGCTCCTGACGGGCCCAGGCTTTTGGGGGATGGGAATGTGTGGAGAAGGGAAGGTTCTATGTGAGCTATGCTTACGGTGACTGTTTCTTCCAAGCTGAAAATCGAGATACAGATCAGATCGAAATATTATGCCATTTTGGAGAGGGAGGGATTCATTTGGATGCTCACATTAGAGAATTTTAGGAATATAGAGGGATCCTTTGGGTCAAGAAGAAAGAATTCTTGGCCACTGGGGTTGCCAGGACAATCTGGAGGATATGATTATAGCAGATCCTGTTGTCTGGAGGCCTCAGAGAAGGAGGGGCTCTAAACTGCTACCATGAAGGTTGAAAGAGAGAAGAAAGATCCAGCGGAGTGCTATTCACAGGTAGAAAGCAAGGAAATTGGGCTTTAGGGCCAAGAAAGCCTGCATTCAAATCCTGGCTCCACCATCGATCTATCGTATGAACCTTAAGCATGTCCCTAAACTTGTCTAAGCTATAGTTTCCTCAGTTGAATCTTATTTAAATGGCAGCATCCACCTTGAGGAACTGCTTGAAAGTTGAAGGGTGAAGGTCTATAGACGCCATGCTCTTAGAAAGCACTGGAGCTGGGAGTGCCATTGCTCACCCCTTCTTCTTTCACTAGGTACTAGGTAATTCTCCCACTATGTACTTAACTGCCACTAGATAATGGATGAAAAGAACTGTCTGTAAAGAGAAAAATATTCACTTTAGTAAAAATGTTTTATAATAATCTTTAGAACTGGAAATTGCCTTGGGACAATGGTACATATTGTATATTAGAATCACTGGGGAGCTTTTTAAAAAAAAAAACTCCTAATGCCTCGGCCCACCTCCAGGGATTGTGTTTCATGCCATTTGGGTGAATATAGAGTGCAGCTGGGCTTAAGGACCTCAAGCTCCGGCACCTCCTACCTCCAGAGAGAGCCCACCCACACAACAGCCCGCACAGGTCAAGGTGCTGGAGACTGAGCGGCCTCCCACCCCACAGGCATCCTGCCTTAAAGTTCCTGCCTGGAAGGCCGAGCATCTTGGCTGCCTGCCATGCGACATTCCATCCTTCCCTTGAGAAAAATAGGAGAACACGGAACCCAAGGCTAGGCTCCTGCTTTCCCAAGAGACAATTTATGGATGTTACAACAAAGAGTAGGAAATGGAAGACAAAGCGTTCTTCAGGGCCTTTATATCTTGCTGTAAATCATGAGATCTTTTCCACATTTGCTACTTTGTAATAAATCTATTAGAGGTTAGAGGAGACCGAGCTCCCAGGGCCCCAAATGAGAAGAAGAAATAGCAATTGAATGTCACTTTTGCCACTTAGCTCAAGTGTAAAAGAAGGGGGCAGGTCACCTTGTCCCCAGGCAAGCAGTGACGAGCTTATGTTCCAGGAACTGAACCATGAAGGGACCTCTCTGTCTTCCTCCAATAAGGGTGGGAGTGGGCAGGAATAGAAGAGGGGAAGGATCGTCACTGTTCAGAATTGCTTGACACTATCCCAGGAAAGAAATTTCTCCAGCAGAGATATGTGAAGGCAAGGCCACTAACACCCGATTGTATTTCAGTATTATCTTGAGTAGACGATAAAAAGAGCCATGTTGGAAAATTTATTTGGTGGTATTCTTGGATTTCTAAACCTTTCACACCCTACCTGATTACAATTTTTTGGCTTTAGTTAATTAAGAGGCTGGCAAAACATGAATCACTTCTGTTCTTTGGCCAAAAATTTTCCTACAACATCATCAGAGAGAGAGAGGGCATTAAATCATGAAAAGTGAAAGTGCAAGGAACCAGGTCAGATTCCAGGCGGGTCCAGAAGGAAAAAAGAGACATGAAGTCTTAAAATATTAACTCCGCTTAATAGACCAAGGTGAACTAGAGATCATCAGTCCTTCCAGCCTCCCCAGTACACCAATATTTCTGCTCTTCCCATGAGGAAATATGATGAGTACAGCAGTAGAGTGAGAAAGGAGGCCTGTCCCTAGCACTTCCCATAGAGGACAAATAGGCACAAGCAATTTCACACCTCTGTGAGCCAAAGAAGGAAAGCAAGGTGCATTTGTGGAATATTCCAGAAATCACACCAGCCCCATAAACCCAAAGGTGAACCTTATCTCCTTATCATTCTTCCTCTGCTCCCTCGATATTTATTTATGCAGCCAGCATTGATATGTTTCAGGCACACAGAACCAGAAATTGGCAGAAATAGGAACTGACTCCCACTGGGACTTAAAAAATTGCTCAGACATCATGGTGATGTCCTATCAACAGAAAACCAGAGCCAGCTGCCGAGAAACAAGGCTGTTCTCTCTTTCAAATCACCCTCTTCAGGTTTCAGGTAACCAGGGTCTCCACCCCAGCCCTGTACATGCCCCACTCAACTTCCAGCTTGTGCTGTGATGTGAGCGAGTCATTGACTTTCTGTGCCACAGTTTCCTTGGCAATTCAGATGAGAGCGGTTGCTCTGCCTGCCTGCTGGGGCTGCTGTGTGTGTCAAAAAAGTACAGTGACCTATGAGGCCACACGTGCAGATTGGGTCTCTAGAGAATGGCAGGGGAGGTGAGGAAGAGGGTATCCATCCTGCATCCCACCCAAATGGCAGTGAGAAGGAGGAGGAGGAAGAATAGAAGGCTGCTGCTGCTGCTACTAGTAATGACAATGACAACCACACCATGACAAAGACCCTTGTAATCTCACGGTACAGATTCTATACATGGGCTGACCAACAACCAAGTAGAAAAGGGAAAGACTGATTGGCAGATCACTATTTTCTCTTCCCCCTGGGAGGGCACCATGATTTAAGTCATAATCCTAGACAAGGAGACTCATATTATTTAATTTGTTTCTTGAAAATCACCTCAACATTCTCTTTTTGTTCACATTAAGGAAATGTCACATAGAAGACGTCAAAGAAATGATCAGATTAGAATGGGTGGCAACAACTGTTGTGATAACCAAGACTCTACACAATAGCGCTTATATTCCACCTCTCTCCCTGGGCACTCAGCAAGCAAGTGCAGACGGGATCTTGCTCATGCACCCAGCACTCCCTCTGGGCCCATGGGAAAAGTGAGGCTTCCCTCCCTCAGGGATGCTCTCCCAAGGTGTTGCGGCAATCTTCCTGAGCCAGAAACCAGAAGGAGGAGGACAGCAGCTAATGTTTATTGAGTGTTAACAAGGTACTTTACTTAATCCTCCAATTAACCTATGCAATAAAAAACATTGCCCCCATTTTATAGATGAGGCAACTCAAGGTCTCAGAGATAAAGTGACTTGTCCAAGATCACAGAACTAATAAGCAATGGAACCCAGAGCTTGAAGGGAGGCCTGGCTCAAAGCACCATATGCTATGGTGCTGTGGGAAGTGTAGAGATAAATATTCCAGAATAAATATGCCCTTTAAGGAGTTTTCAGTCCAGTTGGCGAGATGAACAGGTACAAGTACCATAAAATACAAAGTAGAATGTGATAAATGGTAACGTACAAGCAATGAACTCCAGGTGCCCACAGGAATAATTCATTTGACCCTGGGATCCAGGAGGTCTTCAAAAAACAGATGGCATTTGAATGGACTCATGAAAGATGGTGCCACAGTAGGAGGAGGAAAGGGAGAGGGGGAATAAGGAAGAACAAAGAAAGACCAGCCCTGGCAGAGACCTGGGAGTCCAAGAGCACCTGACAGGTTGCCAAGTCGGGAGGGTGGGGACCACATCACCACCCGGCTTATGGTTTCTTTTCTTTCAGGATAAAGTCCAGATCTCTTAACAAGGCTCACCAGGGCATTCAGGAACTGGGCTTCTTCCCAAGCCATAAATTGCCACCGTTGTGTCAGTTCACAACTCCTCATACTGTCTCTCACATCTAAGTCCTTCTTGCTGGGACGCTCGGGCCATGTTTTCCACTCCCCACTCCCACCCCTGACTCATTGTCAGGCAACATCCTATTTATTCATCCTTAAGTGCTGGACATCTCGCCCTCGCCCCAGGCAGATGCAGCCTCCCCTCCAGTGGGCTATTAGAGCCCCTCCACATTCAGCACCACACTGATCAAGCTGCCTGTGCTTGCTCACTTATGGCCTGCATCTCCCACAATGCTGGGAGCCTCATGGGGGTTGGGGCACATGATTTTTTTCCCCAGAGTTTAATGCAGCACCTGCAATATAGGAGGTGACAGCAAAGATTGACTGAATAAATGACCTAACAATGGGAAGAGGTGAGACATGAGGGAAGAGAGGAAACTTGGGTCCAGATTTTGAGTTGGGAGTTGGGGGCAAAGGAGCAGGACTTTGGATTTAATGTGTTTGATTTTCATTCTGCGGACAAGGAGGGGACTCCACGATGAGTTTGAGGAAGAAATATATCCTGCTTATCAGGTTGCAATGCACGAACATAGGGAGAGAGCAAGGCTGGAGACAGACAAATATGTTAGAAGGCTTTCGTGACGGTGCAGACAAGAAATGGGAAAGCAAGCACACTACTCATTTAAAGAACCCTTTAAAAAACCGAAAGCAGATGTTCAAAAGTACATCTTGGTTGTGACCTGAAGACTGGCAGCATTCCATGAGGCCAGACTTGACTGCTGTGGACCAGTCTGGGAAGGGCTGGGAAACTGTTCATAGGAGCTCTAAAGGAATCGACATGAATCAGTGGAAGCACTGGCAAAAGCACCCCTGGGAAACCGCCTATTATATGACTAAGGCTTTGAGAAATCTCTGGTGATGGCCTGGCAGAATGTTCGGCAGCTGAATCTGTCATTGAAAACCTAAGAGGGCTTCTGGGAGCGTGTGTATTACGGGCTGTGGGAATCCTGGGTCATAAAACTTTCGCCCAGCCGCTGGAGTGCCTGACTGGGCAATTAAGGAGGATTCTTTCAAGCAGATCAAAAGGCTCTGGTGAGGTGATCTCAGGAAGCTTCCTGCCCTCCCTGTGAGGAAGGTAGGAGTCGGGCCTCATTATCATCATTTTACAGATGAGAAAAGTAGGTTCCCTGGTGACTAAGTCCCTTGCCTGAAGTCAAACAGCCAGCAAAGGGTGGGACCCAAAAATAAGCATATCAGTCACCTGACTCACAGGACATCGTTGCTCCAGAGCTCCCATCCCACAGAAGATGGCCTGTTCTTGGGAAGTCTGAGCCGCATTTGGAATGTTAGGGCACGAGGTGGTCTGCAGGGGCTATCTCAACCACTTGACACACACGGATACTTCCACACACACCCAGAGACTTGGCATCAGCTTTCTGCAACATCAAATGTCTTGACAGTCTTCTCACATTAGCCATTTTATGAAACCAAAGACCTCAACTTAAAAATCACAATGCAGTTCACCCCTTGGCCCACCTATAGGCAAAGCATTTCAGAAGGCATACACAATTGTAGCAGTCATCTTATGGAACTTTTCCCCAGGTTCGTAGAGTTGTGCCTGGCTTCAAATGGCTGTTCTACCCCTCACTATTCCCAGGACATTTGCAAGTTACTTAACCTCTCTGAGTCTCAGATCCCACATATGTGAATTGGAAATATGTAGGCTACCTCTCTTACTGTGTTGTTGGAAGGATTCAGTGAGGTCTGGAATGTAAAGTATATGGTACAGTGCCTAACATGTAGTCATCAATAAAAAACATTAGCAATTATTAATCACACTGATTATACAAGTGACCCAAGTACAAAATGTAATTCTATGTTTTCTTTCTGTTCACAGTCTGGCTACTAAGGAATTAAGTCAAATCTTAATATTTAACCAGTTCCCTCCCTTCCAGGCCAAGGAAATTTATTTTTACTCTTAATCTCAACCACCTGCCATGTTTTACAGAGGAGGTAATTACCCTTAGTGCAAAGGATACTTGTTATAGGAAGACTCTAAGAGTCTCAGAGATGGGTCTAGCTTGTGATGGCTTCAGAATCTCCTCTGGAGCCCTGCCTTGGGCCTTCTTAGTCTTGTCACTGCTGTCTGGTCATCAACAGGTCCAGCATCCAACCAACTAAAGGTAGCCAACAAAGAAAGGCCAAAGGCTAGTTCCCAGTTGCAAGATGACATATACTTCTTTGGTTGTGACTCCAACAGCATCCTTGAGTTGCACAGTGTCTCCTGACCTGGAAGACCATCCCTCCAAATGAGCCCTGGTCATCCAATGTGCTTGAAGAGGCATGTCCTATTATAGGCTGTTATTCTTTTTGAATATTATGGCTGCACTACATGCACATCACTGTTCTGTGCTCATCCCATTAGCACATCCCACAGGTCACCTGCAGTTGGGTGACAGCTCCTGTATACTCCTCCACCTTCTTACTCTAAGTTCCTACATCTCTTGGACTGTGGTCTTTATCTGCCACAGGAATGCACTTGGCCCTCTCTCAGGGCAGACCAGGGAGATAATGCTTCCAACTAATAAAGGACAAGCATTAGTAGATAAATGCCCTAGTGGCCTCAGCCCCAAGTGGACAATTCTGAGATATGTCCCATTCTGTTTCTCAATGGAGTTCTCAGCACAGTTGAGTCTCAGATGAGTGCAGCAGCAGCTACTCAGTCATGCACCCTTTACTGGCGGCCTCCTGCCTTCCTTGACTCCCTTCCTCACTCCCCTACCAGAGCCTCCTAGTATCACCTCCAAATTAACTGCTGGCACCCAAGTCCTTGTCTGGGATCTGCTTTTGGGAAAGCCCAAACCAAAAAAATAAAAATAAAAATAATTCAATAAAAATAGCCTTTCTTTAAAAACGGCATAAATAATTTAACTAATACAACTATATTAAATAGACATTGGCACTGAAATACAATATGGAACAAAACTGACAAGCATGAAACCTCTTGCTTGTAGTGCTCTCTCTCAACAGAGCGTAGTGCTCTCTCTCAACAGAACAACTACCACTGAAATCTTCCAGGACTTTTTCCAATCACACCCCAAACTCCTGCGTTCCCATAATCTCCCAGGTATTGAAGACTTCCACCTTATTCCTGGGTTTTCCAAGGGCTTTATTGCCTGTTAGGGGCCAGGATTACGATGAGACCAATGAAGTCAGGTTGTACAAATCCAAGGCTAGAGCCAGTCTTTATTTAAAAGTTTGACAATTTGTTCATCATCTTTTGGCAGTGATTTTGAATTTTAAATCATTGCTTTAAAATTTAATTTATCTTGATTACTGAGGTTTTCAGCATCCCTTAAATTTAGCACCCAAAGTTAGTGCCTCACTCACCTCATATTATCCCCAGCCATAAATATGAAGTGAGTCCTACAAGAGCCCATAGCCAGCTAGTGTGAAGCTCTCCAAAACCAATTAATTAGACTCCTCAGGGCCAAGATGGAGCTGTTCATTGGTTCATTCAATGTCAACTTACTACTATACTCTTTGATCCTTTTCCTTCCAGCTCCCAAACTTAAAGGCAAAAAATAGATCAGAGTACTCTGTAATTTTTTTCCTGCATGATCCTCAGAAAATATTTGCTTACCTGAGGCAAGGCATGTTCTCAATAACTTATTCAATGAGTGTCCTTCTCATCCTAGATGTACACCTCATCTCCATCAAAAAGGGTGCCCTTTACTTAGCTCTGCAGATGTTACATGTTTAAAACACTGGCTAAGAGGGCTCCAGTAAGCCTATTTTCCACTAAGACTTTTTAAATTTAACTTTGGGAGTTTTGTCCTGAAAAATGTGTAAGTATTTGGAATCTATAAAAACAGTTTTGTTGTTTTGGTTGTTGCTGTTGTTGTTGTTGTTGTTTTAGACGGAGTCTCATTGTTGCCCAGGCTGGAGTGCAGCAGCGCAATCTTTGGTCACTGCAACCTCCACCTCCCAGGTTCAAGTGATTCTCCTGTCTCAGCCTCCTAAGTAGCTGAGACTACAGGCACCTGCCACCACGTCTGGCTAATTTTTTTGTATTTTTAGTAGAGATGGGTTTCATCATGTTGGCCAGGTTGGTTTCGAACTCCTGACCTCAGGTGATCTGCCCGCCTCAGCCTCCCAAAGTGCTAGGATTACAGACATGAGCCACCACGCCCAGCCCAAAGACAATTTTTAAACAAAATTATTTCACCTAATGTGCTGTATCTTGAGTGTTTTTTAAATTTTCACATGTGCCTTATAGTGGATGTATTTTCTTTTTGGTTTTCGATTTTTTTTTTTTTCTATTGCCGTGTAACACATTGCCACAAACGTAGAAGTTTAAAACAACAGTCATTTATTTTCTCACAATTTCTGCGGGTTAGGAGTTTCGCATGGCTTAAGTGGGTTTTCCAATTAGGGTCTCATCTGGCTATGGCTCAAGTATCGGGCAGGCTGCATCCTCATCTGGAAACTTAACTGGGGAAAAATCAACTTCCAAGCTCATTCAGGTTGTTGGCAGAATTCATTTCCTTGTGGCTCTCTTAGTGAGGGTCCTGGCTTTTTTCTGACTGTTGGCTAGAAGCCGTCCTCAGGTCCTAGAGGCCCCCACAGTTCCCCATCATGCAGGCCTCCCCAACATGGTTGCTTGTTTCATCCAGCCCACAAGGAGAGTCTCTGATACAGAATCTGATATAACATAACTCAATCACAAGAGTGACATTCCATCCCCCTTGCCATATTCTGTGGGCTAGGAGCAAGTCACAGTTCCTCAGGCAATCGACAGAAGGAGATTATACAACAGCATGAACACCGGGAGGTAAGGATCATAGAGGCCACCTTGAAGTAGGTGCCACAATAAGAGTCTCTGCCTTAACTTTAGCAACTGTCACATTCTCTGCCAGAATACCCTCATCTCATACCCTCCCATTCCACCACTAGAAGGCACAAATACAGCTCACCACCACCAACTATACAATTTCTTTGCAGTCACATATTTTTACCTTAGAAATTCTTGTGACATTTGCATTTGCATTTATTCTATAATGTATCCCAACATGTTTTTATATAAGAATTTATTTAATATTTACTGGTCAGATAGTTTAACTCTTCATGTCTTCAAATGGAAACAAAGCTTAGGAAGATGTGCCATGTTTTTTCATATGCAACTGTGTACTTCTGTTGGAGGACAGTTTAAACTGTATTTATCCTAGTTTTCAAATCCCTTAAAGTTTGCCTGGAAGACCTATAGGGTGGACCTATAAGAATCTATTTGCATAAGTCATTAAGCCTCCTGGGAAGAAATGCATTCTAAGGAAAAGTTACCCAAACTTTGTTGATTTTTTCACATTTTACAACATGTATGATATGTTCTGCATTTGAAAACCACCTGTACTTAATACTTTTAATTAACTCCTTTTTTAAAATTTACCCTCTTCTTTAACAAAAACAATAACCTACACTTTTCCTAGTACACTTTAAAATAAAGTGGCTAATGACTAAATGTTTTATTTTTTTGTTTTTGTTTTTGTTTGTTGAGATAGGGTCTTGCTCTACTGCTCAGGCTGGAGTGCAGTGGTGCGATCATGGCTCACTGCAGCCTTGATCTCTCAGGCTCAAACAATCCTCCGGCCTCAGCCTCCCAAGTGGCTGGGACTACTGGTGCATGCCACCAAGCCTGGCTAATTTTTTTTTTTTTTTACTTTATGTGGAGACAGGGTCTCACCATGTTGCCCAGGCTTATCTTGAACTCCTGGTCTCAAGTGACCCTCTTGCCTCAGCCTCCCAAAGTGCTGGGATCACAGGTGTGAGCCACCACGCCCAACCTGACTAAATGTTTTAATCATAATTTGCTTAACATCAAAATTCATTTCACCCCCACCCCAGCCACCTGTGGTAAGCAGCCTCTAAGATGATCCCCAATGATTCCTGGCCCCTTGTTATTCACAGCCTTGTGTAACCTGCTTCAGAGTGTGAGCTGGACCTAGTTACTAGTTTCTAATCAATAGATTTTGGCACAAGGGATGATACATCACTTGAAGAATAGGTTATAAAAGACTGTGACTTGTGTCTTGTTTGCCTTCTGCCTCGCCCTATCACTTGTTCATTACAACAAAGCCAGCGCCATATTGGGAGATACTCTATGGAGAGATCCATGTGGAAAGAAACTGAGGAAATCTTCTAGCCAGTAGCTCCTGAGGCACAGAGACCCTCGGCACAACAGCCGGCAAGAAACTGAGTCCTACCCCCACCAACCCCAGGATGCTGGGAAGCAGCCCCTGCCCTATGCAGCCTTGCCATGACCACAGCTTTGGGAAAGACCCAGAGCCCAGAGACCCAGTTAAGCCTCTCCTGGATTGCTGACCTTAAAAACTGTGAGACACTAAATGATGCTGTTTTAAGCTGCTAAGTGTTGGGGTAATTTGTTACATGGCAATAGATAACTAATACAGCCTCGACCAATGGTCAGTGCCCCACACTTTAGAGAACACCATCCTAAAGGGACCATGTTCCAGTGGGACACTATTCCAGTGTAGTAAGTGGAGCAATCATGGAAAGTAGAGGGACAAGTTGAGTGCAACGGCTCAGACGTGTCCAGATACGCTTCTTTACCTCTGCCTTGGAGCTTGTTCCAGAACCTGTGAGGGTGAATGCTGAAACAGAAAAAAAAAAAAAAAAAAGAATTACTTTTTATTAAAATCTCCTTGAGTTACTGGGAGGCAGCGTGGCCCTGCTTTGGGGCAAATGTAAGTAAACAAGATGCAAAAAGACAGAGGCATCGGGTCAGGATGGATCACAAGGTGACACTGGATGAATGTGGGATCCCCAGTGCAGACACCAGCCACACCAACCTTGGCAAGAGCCTCCAAAGCTTGAGTGCAGACATCAGAGCAGAAAGCTGGAGCTGGGAAACAGAAGAGTAAATACTACATGAGAGACAGGGGGATGGAGTTCACATGGACACATGAGCTGTTCCCTGGGACTTCCAGAAATAACTAAGATGAGACCCTTGGCAGGGGATCCCAGACAGTAAGACAAGAGACTGACACAAGGTAAACATAAAGCAAATACAAATATGTATTGACAATCAATAAAATAAAAGGTGTAATGGATATTGTGACCCTGATCCTCCTCAAAGTCTAGGGTCCCCAGGGACTTAAGAATATGAAATATTCTCTTCCTAACAATATTGTAAGACCACAGTACAGGGTTCCGCCTAGCCTTCCAGAGTGTGATGTAAGAAGGGCATTTATCATTAATTCCTCTTTACAGAAGAGGAAATGATTTCACTCGGCTCACACAGCTGGTGGGTCTTGATAGACTTGGAACCAGAACCCAAGGCTTTTGATTCCTCATCTAGTTTTCTTCTCCAGGTTGTCCCTTTAATTTCCATCATTACCCCACCCTTCCCACTGGAATAGTGCCTTAATGCTGTTCCTTCAGGATGGTGTTTTCCACAGTGTGGCATAAACCGTAAGTCAAGGATGTATTAGTTATCTATTGCTGCACACTGACATTCAGTGCGAAATGCGGAAAGAGAGAAATACCGTGGTTTTTCCGATCTAAAGACTATAATATAAATGAGCTTATGTTTACCCCCTTGGCCTGGCCCCACAACTGGAGGCTGCTTTTTTTTTTTTTTAAACAGGGTTTGCTGGGGCAGAAGCCTGCTTATTCAGTGCTGCACAGTGCAAACACCAGCCAACCACCTCCTCCTCATCACACCACAGCCAAACTGCTCTGAAATGCAACCTCAATGCCCTCTCAGGCTGAGCTCACTCCTCAATTTCTGGGTGCACAATCAGCCCTGAGCACAGGAGGCAGAAGAAAGCACCAGTGCATTGTGGAACGTTTCCAACATAGCAATGATGCTACTTTAAACAGCTCAGTGTTGTGGTATTTGTTACACAGCAATAGATAACTAATACATCCTTGACTTACAGTTTATGCCACACTGTGGAAAACACCATCCTGAAGGAACAACATTAAGGCACTATTCCAGTGGGAAGGGTGGGGTAATGATGGAAATTAAAGGGACAACCTGGAGAAGAAAAACAGATGAGGAATCAAAAGCCTTGGGTTCTGGTTCCAAGTCTATCAAGACCCACCAGCTGTGTGAGCTGAGTGAAATCATTTCCTCTTCTGTAAAGAGGAATTAATGATAAATGCCCTTCTTACATCATGCAGTTATTAGCAGCCTCAAATTACAGAACCTGAGTGAAAGCTCTGTAATATGTGAGGTTGTACACCAAGCGAGGAGTTATAATCATCAACATTATCATCATCTTTATTGTCGGCTGTTACAAGGTAAAACCAATAAAAGTTTAAATGCCCCAGTCAAAGTCCAACTAAGTAAACAGAAACCACTCTAGGTATTTGAAACCAGGGGAAATTAATATAGAGAATGGGTTACCTAGGTGAAGAGCTGGAAAGACAACTAGAAAATAGTGTCTTTCAGTTCAGAGATGAATAATAGCAGGAAGCCACTATCACCCGTAAGCTGGCGGAACAACAGGAAGAGGCAGGATCGCAGCAACCCAAGGCTTAGGCTTACCCTGTAAGAAACTGGAACCGGAGCAGGAGCTAGAACCAAGGAAGAAATGCAAATTCTCTGCCAGAGACACCTCTGAAGGCAGAGGGGAGGAGAAACACCCTGGTCTCTCCTTTCCTGATCCCCTTTGGTCTTCTGCCAGTGCCTCCCTCTGGCTGGACCCCGTCAGAAACCAGGTGACACAAGAATGACAAATGCATCTGGAGCCCACAAGTCCTGGTCCAAAGAAGCATTCTATTTAGCAAGAAATGCAACGAAGTGCTGGAAATGAAAATAACCCAACAAAGACACCCAAGGTCCCAAAGGCAGAGCCCAAAGGAGCATGGAGTTCATCTGGTCCAAGTCCTGGTTCTATAGGTGAGAGTTCAAAGAGGAAAATGATGTGACTTGCCCAAAACAATGACACAGCTGGCTCCGGGCAGTCTGGAACCCGGGCATCAGCTTCCCAGTTCATAGCTGTTTTCACAACATTAACTTTACAATCATAAAAAGCAGAGGCTCTTCAACTCACCAAATGGATGTGTTCCACTAGTTGATTTCTAGGGCAATTATTTGGATTTCAAAATTCATTTTTCCATGAAAACAAGGTTTTCTGGGCCGATTGTGGTCCCACACTAGCTATCAAATACCTATCGAGCACACTACATGGAAAAGGAAAGAACCTTAGTGCTTCAAATCAATAAGAAATCAAGGCCGGGCGCGGTGGCTCACGCCTGTAATCCCAGCATTTTGAGAGGCCGAGGCAGGCGGATCACGAGGTGAGGAGATCAAGACCATCCTGGCTAACACAGTGAAACCCCGTCTCTACTAAAAATACAAAAAATTAGCCAGGCGTGGTGGCGGGCGCCTGTAGTCCCAGCTACTCAGGAGGCTGAGGCAGGAGAATGGCGTGAACCCGGGAGGCAGAGCTTGCAGTGAGTCGAGATCGCGCCACTGCACTCCAGCTTGGGAGACAGCGAGACTCGGTCTCAAAAAAAAAAAAAAGAAAGAAAGAAAGAAAAAAAGAAAAGAAAGAGAGAGAGAGAGAGAGAAAGAAGAAAGAAAGAAAGAAAGAAAGAAAGAAAGAAAGAAAGAAAGAAAGAAAGAAAGAAAGAAAGAAAGAAAGAAAGAAAAAAGAAATCAAAAGGCTGATCAGCATCTTTCTCCTAGGGCAGACCAGAAGAGAGAATGATCTGCCCCATCTCTCCTCCCTCCACCTTGCTGGCCAAGGTTTCCCCTGCTCTGACATGAAGGGGCAGAGCACCTTGCCATCCAACTGGTGACAGGGTACTTCTCCATCCCCACATCCTTTCCCACAGTGGTTGTCTCAAAAGGGCAGTCTGTGGTTGCAAAGGCAGCAACGAAGGGGCCTGGAGCTCCTGGAGGCCTGGAAGAGGTCTCTCATTGCTGTTTTCTCATTATTGTTGCTGGTGTTGGTTTTGCTCTTTACATCTTTGTGCCCTCGGCATCCTTCTAGTGACTGACACAATCCAATCCTGAGATTGTCACTCAGTACCACACCCTGCCCAGAAAGGTCTGAATTACCATCTTCAGGCTGCGTTATGGGGAATGGTAATAGTCATTATACGATAATTTTATATTTGGGAAATGAAAACAATCCCTTTTGTTTTCTGCTGTAAGTTAAAGAAGGTAAAATTTTCACACATGCAAAAGCAGTCTTCTTGGTTAATGAGGATATTTAGGAAGAACCAAGAGAGCTGAGCATGTACTGAGGAAACACCTCCACATGGTGCCATCTTCAATGGCAGAGATGGTCACGAGATGGGCGCTCCCCTCTCTGGGCTGCCGTCAATTTCCCTCTGGTTCTGGCAGAGAATTCCCTAAATGGCTGCAAGGTTGCCCACGCTTGATCTTCTGGTTTTGGACACCCTCCTACAGTTGTTAAGCTCTAATTTCATGAACCAACTACACTAGAAAGAGAAACTACCCATCTACCCAAAAATGAGAATGAGAGTAAGATACCTGGGAATGTAAAAGAAATGCAACTTAGTAGCTAATGCAAGAAATGGAAACAAATACATTTCCTGCCTTGCAGGTCAAAACACAGAGACGTATTTCCTCAAACCTTGACAACTATCTCCCAGGTGAAGAGAACAGGAAATTAAGGTTTTTACAGCTTTGGCAGCATTCACACTCCAGTGCCCTTTGCTGTAAAGCCTCCCTGCCCTGCAGAGGCAGAAGAGTTTGTTCTTATCCCTTGCCTCCTTGCCCCTGACCCATGCTCCCATCCTATTTGATCAGGTACACCATATACAGTCGCACAGTCAGTGCACTGCACAAGTCAGGAGGTGCCATTTCCACCAGCTGTATTGTGACTGGGCTCCCTGGAGTTGTACGGTGCTTCCATCAGGGTGTGTTCTGTGGCTTGCCTTGTATCACAACTGACACCTGCAAGGCCATGGACTCCTAACTGACCTATAGTCACTGGCAGTGTCCCTGGCACGTAGCACAGTGCCTGGTACCTAGATAAACCTTAACATAAACTCCTAGGGATTTAAGAAGCAATTAATTGGACAAGAGAATCAGCACCACTCTAAGACAAGAAATAAGTAGTTATTTTAGGCCGGGCACAGTGGCTCACGCCTGTAATCCCAGCACTTGGGAGGCTGAGGTGGGAGGATCACCGGAGGTCGGGAGTTCAAGAGCAGCCTGGGCAACATGGTGAAACCCTGTCTCTACTAAAAATACAAAAATTAGCCAGGTGTGGTGGCACATGCTATAATCCCAGCTACTCGGGAGGCTGAGGCAGGAGAATCGCTTGAACCCAGGAGGCAGAGGTTGAGCCAAGATCCACTGCACTCCAGCCTGGGCGACAGAGCAAGACTCTGTCTCAAAAAAAAAAAAAAAAAAAAAAAAAAAAAAAAAAGTCGTTATTTTAAATAGGAGCAAAATTCTTTTAGAGTATGGATACTTCTTGAATTAACCTTAGATACTTTAAAGAGTAAATATAACATAACAGTTAAGATCTCTGGCCCTGGAGTCAGAAGGATCTGGGTTTTAATCCCAGCTTTACAACTAATTGAGCCATACTGGGCATGTTCCTAGACCTCCCTAAGCCTTAGTGTCCTCATCTGTGAGGGTAACTGAGATAAAGCCTTAGCATGGTGCCTGGCACACAGTCACACTCAATGCATCTTAGTTGTAATTATGAAGTACATTGGAGGTGTCAATTAATCCAGGCAATAACATGAAAAGAAAATGTTAGCTATCCATATTTATATCCCACAAAGAGGAATATGCTCAAGATCTATTAAGCGCCCAATTAATGTTTGCTGAGTGAATAAATGAGAGAGAAGAGGAGGAGGAGGAAGGAAGGTGGGGGAGGAGGAGAAGGGAAGGAGGAAGAAGAAGAAGAAAGAAAGATGAAAGGGAGAGTGAGGAGAAGGGGTACTGAACTAGGAGTCAGGAGGGATACAGCTTCAAATATGCCATCACTAACTTTGTGACTTGAAGTAAGTTCCTTTCTTGGTCTCAATTTGCTCCTTTTAAAGATGAAAAGTGACTGGATGATGCCTCAGGTTCTTCCTTCATGATACCCTCTTGGGGCTCCAGCAAAGACCAGAGTTCCCACTGCTGATCATTTTTGCAGTGTTCCCTTAGATGCTGCAGGTGGTGCTGCTGAGTTAGGAAGAAAACCTGTTTTTCTGCAACTTAGTTCTTAGCTGCCAAGTATTAATAGCAGACCAGAATTAGGGAAATCACTTACTTGTTGCTGAAAATGCCTGGGGCGGAAAATGAGTCACTCTACTTCCTCTCTTGCCTACCTGGCCTCTCCCGTTGCCATGAAAGTGCCGCGGGTGTGGAGTGGCAGCTAGCCCTGATTCTAGTTCCATTCCTGTTTCCGGCTGGTGACCTTGGGCAAAGATATGTGCCCTCTTGGGACCTCTATTGTAGTCTGCAAAATGACGATAATAATTCTGGCACCCCAGGAGTGTTGAGAAGATTAATTAAATAATGTGTGTCAGTTGAAGATCACAGCGCCTGGCACCTAGTAGGTATTCAAGAAGTGTTGGTTTCCTTCCTTCTCTGCCTTTCAGTCACTGTGGATTGTGGTTAGCACTTCAGAAGAAATGAACAGAGCACAGTGACAGACAGATGAGGAGGTGGGCTTCCCAAGAAGGATGCACTGAGGAGGGGACAGGCCCTCTGAGGCTAGAAGGATGTGGAGGAGGAACAGCATCTCAAGCGAAGGGTCAGCAAGTACAAAGGCACAGTCCATCTCACCCAGCTCCCCTGGCCCCTGCCATTACAAACCCATCTGCAATCCCTGGCTGGCTCTGACCTCTGAGCCCCAGGGTCTACCTTGTTCATACCTCTACAACAACAGTCATTCGCTCCTATTGTACATTTTGCAAACATGCATGTCCCTTCGAGGACCAGGAATGCATTTTATTCATATCTATCTCCCCAGAACCTGGTGCAACAAAAGCCTTAATGAATAAATGAGCCAATGACTGCATCATACTGGGACCCACTCAGTCTCTCATTAGCTGTCTTTACGTAAATGCATCCTGACCTTTTGGCTGCCTCCCATCTTGGCATACTCAGCACCTAGTACACAGTAAGTGCTCAACAAATGCCTGCTACTGAACTTCAGTTTGATTGTCATGTATCGAGCACCCACTGTGTGGCAGGAACTCTACTAATCACCAGAGATGCAAAGATGTATCAGGGGTAAGCCAGGGTGTGAAGGACCCACGTTTTAGAAAAATAAAAGAACCAGGAGCACATATGCAGCAATTGACATGTTCATTTCTCAAGTGCTTTATATGCACTCTTCTACTTAATCCTCACAAAAACCTGTGAGGTAGGTACTATGATTAGCGCCACTTCATAGATGGGAAAATTGAGGCTTGGGTGGAGAGACCCACACCGGGTGGCAGAGCCAGGCTGAAAGCCAGGGGTCTGGCACTAAAACCCTCGCCATTTACCACTTTGCCATAAATGTGTGCACACAGAAATAATGTAGACGTGTGCCCGGTGTGGGGGAACTGAGAAATGGAGGTGGCAGTTGGGATCTTCCAGAGGACAGTCCCTGTGAATTGACCTTTCAGGACAAAAAGAATGTTTCCTGGAAGATCACGGTGGCAGTGCAGAATTGCAGCAGAGAGGGAAAGGAATATTCAGGCAGAGGGATGAGGTCCCGCAGCCTGCAGAGATTATGGTAATGAGGATGCAACACACAGCCTGGCCACAGGGTCTGCCTGGAGACACAGGCTCTCCCCTGCCTCAGGAAGATCAAGTGCTGGATCTAGAGCAGGCCAGCTCAGGAGAGGATACACAACAATGGGGACATACCTGGAAACGTTTTGTAGAGATAAGTTTAACAAATAGAAACTTGCCCTTTTTAGTAACCGATCTGTGGGACTTCCCTGCCTTTAGTCTTGGCAATCAAAACACATAAAAGCCTAAAGCACTGATTCAACATTCACTAAACTCCTACTCTGTGCCAGGCACTTACAATTAAATACCCGCTCTGTGCCGTGAGAGTCAGACTTTGAGAGGCAGTGGAACTCATTGAGGTATGAATCTCTCTGGTCTTGAAGCTCAATTCTGTTACTCATTAAATACGTCACTTTGCACAAGTTACTTCACCCCTCTGTGACTCGGTTTCCTCATCTGTAAAATCAGAATATTGATAATAGCTATCTCATAGGATTATTGTATTAAATGAGTTAATGCATATCAAGGGCTTAGAACACGGCCTGGCAGACAGTAAGCACCCAATAAATGCTAGATACTGTCCACGTGTGCTACTATTGGATCTATACTCTTTATGGAACACTTACTAAGGGCCAGGTGTTGGGCTGGAAGTTGAAGGTTTGGAGATGAGTGAGACCACGTCCCCTGAAACTCCAGTAGGTCAGAGTTTAGTAAGCGTGAGGCTTACAAAAGAAGTTATCGCAATTCAATGAAATAAGAGCTGTATTAATGAGAATCACAAAGAAGAGGTAGGGTCTGTTGGGTGATTTATGGATACTGGCCACTCTGTAAAACTGGGTGCATATTTAGTCTGCACCACAAAGCTTTAAGGGAGATGCTGTCATTGTCCTTGTGTTCTATCTGAGTAAACACAAGGTTCCTCAGCAATGCATGCAGCTGGGGTGCAGAATGGAGGCCATGCTGCTAAGAAGGATGCATTCAGCTGTGGGAGCACAAGGAAGGAGGAACTGAGCCTTCCAGTGGATGAGTTGCAGCTGGGGCACACAGAGCAGGTAGTATCTGGGCTGTCTTCCTGGATTCTGAGAGAGAAGGAATTCCAAGTAGGGGAAAGAGCACATGACGCAAAGACCTGGAGTTGGAAATGATACGGTCATTTGCAGAGACAGTCAAAACTTGTCCCAGCTGAAGCAGAGGCGAAGTGTGAGACCTGTGCCTGCACAGAGGCCTTGAATGTGGTGCCGTGGAGCTCAGACTTGTTCCTGGAGAAGACAGGGAATTGCTGCGGTTTCCAATCAGGAGATGCTGAGCAAAAAGAAACAGCTCCCCCTCCACTCTTCTCCACGCACCCCCAGCCCCCAGGAATCTGGGCCAAGGCAGGATCTGCAGGCTTCTTATTAACAAGCCCATCAAGGAGTCTGTCCAGCCTCCCGATGGCGCATAAATAATTTACAGTGACGGGGCCTGTTGATGTGGGATGGCAGCCAGCTGCCCGCTTCTTCAGCCTCACTGCTTCCTCTCGCTCCACTGGCCAACCAGGTCCCGAGGACCTGCGGGAGGCCTCTGTCCTGAGTGACAGAGGCCCGGGAGCACCCAGATGCCCTCCACACCACCGTCCCAGTGGGAGGCAGGGGGTTCACAGTCCCGGAAGACTGCAGAGCCCCTTGGCCCTGGCTCCCTGGGAGGTCACGTTTAACCCCGTGAAGGCCTGAAGGGGCCTTTTGTGTTTTCAGCACATTTCTCAGAAGCAAGGCAGAAAGGTTTGACGTAGCCTAAGGGACAAGGCCAAGGGTGGACACAGACATAAGGGGCGGAGTGGCAAAGGGCTGGTGAGCCTGGCCTCCTGCCTCAGCCTGCAGGGGCTGCAGGCCTGGCCGGCCACTTCCTGGCTGCCTCACCTCGCCAGATCCTGTGTCTCAGTTCCCCTGACCACACAGAGGAGTCCCGAAGGAGACCTCCACAAAGCCCCCGTACCGTCTCTCCCTCTATCGCAGAAATTAAATCCATCTGCCAAATGCAGGAATTAATCAATACAAATGCAGTGAAACCAAAATAATCACCCATTTAAAATTATCCTGTAATCCATACTGAAGTCACATTCAGCTACATTGTGACACCAGCTCTGTTAGATATAAGCCCATACCTAAACCAAGTTGGTGAGATGTGAATTCCAGTGGGTGTGGAAGCTAAAGAAAAGCCTTCCGAATGAGGAGAAAAGCCTTTTGCTCAAACCTCGGCGGGAGAGGGGGTGGTGAAATTGGATAAAAACTACTACAGACCGGGCGTGGTGGCTCATGCCTGTAATCCCAGCACTTTGGGAGGCCGAGGTGGGTGGATCACCTGAGGTCGGGAGCTCGAGACCAGCCTGACCAACATGGAGAAACCCCGTCTCTACTAAAAATACAAAACTAGCCGGGCATGGTGGCACATGCCTGTAATCCCAGCTACTTGGGAGGCTGAGGCAGGAAAATCGCTTGAACCCAGGAGGCGGAGGTTGCAGTGAGCTGAGATCGCGCCATTGCACTCCAGCCTAGGCAACAAGAGTGAAACTCCGGCTCACAAACAAACAAACAAACAAAAAAAAAAAACTACTACAGTTAGGATGACTGAGGAACCTTCTGAAGCTTACCTAGATGTCTGGATTTTATTCAGCTCTTGCTGCAGCTGTGAATTATCTTGTTAAATACACTAACCTATGACACTGTTATAGGAAAGAGGTCCCGATCCAGACCCCAAGAGAGGATTCTTGGATCTCACACAAGAAAGAATTCAGGGCAAGTCCAAAGAGTAAAGTGAAGCAAGTTTATGGGAAAGTAAAGGAACAAAAGAATGGCTACTCCATAGACAGCTGGTTGCCCATTTTTAAGGTTATTTCTTGATGAAATGCTAAAAAAGGGATAGATGATTCACACCTGCCCTTTTTAGACCATATAGGGTAACTTCCTGACATTGCCATGGCATTTGCAAACTGTCACGATGCTGGTGGGAGTGTAGCAATGAGGACGACCAGAGGTCACTCTCGTAGCCATCTTGGTTTTGGTGGGTTTTAGCCGGCTTCTTTACTGCAAACTGTTTTATCAGCAAGGTCTTTATGACCTGTATTTGGTTCCAACCTCCTATCTCAACCTGTGACTTAGAATGCCTTCACCATCTGGGAATGCAGCCCAGTAGGTCTCAGCCTTATTTTACCCAGCTCCTACTCAAAATGGAGTTGCTCTGGTTCACACGCCTCTAACAATACTAAGCAGCGGATACACTCAGTTATATGTACACACTTACACACATACATGCATATACACAGAAAGACACATATACAGTCAGCCCTCATTATCTGTGGCAGTTATGTTCCATGAAGTGGTCATGAACATTGAATTAGAGGATAGTGAATCATTCTTCCTAGAGGAAGTCAATGATTAGGTTCCTGTGAGCCTCTGGTCAGAACATTTTCATCAAGTAATCAAACACAACCTTGTCTTATGTGTGTTTTTGCTTAGACACCTTATTTAATAGATATTGTTGATTCATTAACATTGAGCTCTTAGCCAACAGCACCATAGCTTATGCCTCAATGAAGCTTCTCTAACACATGTATTTTCTTCATAAGACACATCACAGCCTTCTGGCATTTAGGAATAAGAGACAGCACTTCAGCTCTACACTTGGGTGCCATTTAAAACATCAAAATCACCCCAAAAAGCACAAAAGTCCCCCAAACATGATACTAACTAGGCCTCAAAAAAGAGACTTGTTTCCAGTTTGAGCTGAAGAAAAGAAGGCAAAGCATCACCTTGTTCCACCTCTGCTGGGAACACGGGTGTTGAGTCAGTCCATTTTTCTGCTGTTCTGCACAGGTTCATGAATGACTGAGAAAGTGCTGTGAGTATTGATTTGGGGGTTGCGAGCAAATATTAGCAAGTAGGCAAATTCACAAATATAGAATCTGCTAATAAGGAAGATTAACTCTGTGTGTGGGTGTGTTTGTGTGTGTACACATCTATCTCTATATATTTATCTGTGTGTGGATATGTGTGTGTGCACTGTATTTAGAAAATATTTCAAGGTGGTCCCAGGGTCCTGGCCCACCTGCTCCTGCCCGCTCTTCCCGGGGCCGTCTAAGGAGAGGGGCACTGCAGGTGCTCAGCTGGAGGACAGAGCCCAAAGATCACTCTGAGCAGCACTGAAGCCACAGCTCACGCAACAAGCACTTGGCCCAACAGTCCTCTGAGGGCCACGTTCCAAACAGCCAACACCGCCCTCTCCCCAGAAATCGCCCCACACACATCTTGCTGGCTAAGGACAACCGAGGCCTAAAGGCTCACCCTACAGGCTCACCCCGACACCCTCCTCCCTGAAGCCCTGCCTGCCTCCCACACAAAGCACTGACCACTCCTGCCTTAGCACTTCCCCCGTGGGCCTTGTGTGACAACGCCATTCGCTCACCCATCTGCTTCCACACTGACACTGCTAGGCCCGAAAGGCAGAAACCTATTCTATTTTGTATTCCCAGCCCCGGCTCAGCGCACAACGGCCGGGAGCTCTTGAATATTTTGAATCACTGAACGGCAGAACAGGAAGGAGTATTAAAGATCATCCACCAAGGCTACTCAAGGGAGGTCAGTAGACTAAAGGGCAACATCTGCCTCACCCGGGAGCCCTTCCCCAGACTTCCTGATCAGAATTCCTGGAGCGGGGACCCAGTAATCCATATTGTAACAAGTTTTCCAGAACATTCATGTGCCTGCTAAGTTTTAGAAGCTCTCAGTTTATTTTACTCCACTCATCCTCATACTTTTACAGATGTGAATGGTGACTTGGTGAAGGAACCTGTTTCCCCAAAGCCACACAGGTGGCTAAGGCCAGGGGCAGAACCAGAACCCATCTCCTAACCCGAGGTCCCGTATGCTCCGGAGCATCTCACAATGAGGAGGCCAACAGGTGCCCCCACTGGAAACAGCCCTTCCCAGTCTTTCTCCACAAGACAAGCATGGTTTTCATTTCTCTCCTCTCCTCCCCTTTCCTCTCCTCCCTTCCCCTCCCCTCCCCTCCTCTCCCACCCCCTTCTTTCTCCCTCCTCCTCCTCCTCCTTTTTCTCTCCCTCCTTTCTTCTTCTGCCCCCTCATCTTGGACAAATAGCTTCAGCCATCTGAGAGTCCATTTCCTTTGAGGGTCAAATGGGAATCATCTTATCTCCCGTGGCTGGCTCAGTTGAATGCAAAAAGAATATGTGTTGCCTCCAAGCGGATGTGTTCTGTAATGGCTTGAATAGAACAATTTAGAGAAAAGGACTTGCGAAATTAAAACAGTCCACTCGCAGAGCAAGAGTCATTTTCAAACTCTTCCTCCATTAAATGGTCACCCCATCCCTATTCCCATTCCCACCACCAGCCCTCACTGCCCCCACCACCCCCTCCTTCAGCTGTGATAACAGGATTTGTTTTCCTCTGCAGTGGGCTCCGGGTTATGCATGCAAGCAACTAGGTGAATGTTCTGAGGCTGTCAGGGTTTCTCAGAATGAGTCATTTTTTCAAAAATAACAAAACCTCTCGACATCACTTGATTTCGGCATTCTCACAGGCTCTTGTAACCTCTTTTGCAATTGCATTCCAAGCACGCCTGACTTCTTTCTCAGGCCTGATGGTAAGTCCCTCTCCCAGGAGAAGGGCTTTACTAATAGAAACCAAGCCTAAGATCTACAGGTTCTGGTCCACAATGCAGTTAGGTTTCAGGTGATGGAAGGGAAATGACTGGAGGCTAAAAGGGCAGTGGGTGAAAGAGGCATAAAATCAGAGAGACTGGCCTGGCTTCCGACCCACAGAACCCACTGGACTTTGACAACCGCCCTGCCACCTTGCCTTTCATATGCTAATGAGGACCGGCTAATAATCCCAAAAGTGATTTGCTCAACGTATCACAGTTTTACGAAGCACATTTCACTTCCATCACCTCATTGTATGGTGAGAGCATTCAAAGCTCCCAGAAGGTTGAAGAGGTTGAATGTCTCGCCCAAGCCCTTGCACTTGGTGATGATAGTCCTAGGTTATTGACCCACGCCCTTTACCAGTGGTATCTTATTTACTCTTTATTCATCAATGCTGATAGGTGGGTTATCATTCTCCTTTGTCTAGATAAGAAAACGGAAGTTCAGAGAGGTTAAGAAACTTGTTCAAGGTTACACAGCGAGTGGTAGAGCTGGAATCAAAACCCAGGTGTCCGGCCTCAAAGCCTGTGTCTTTTCCAATACACCACATGCAAATACTGATCTCAAAGAACTTTGCACATTACTCCAGTTGCACTGTGTGTAATTAACACTTTATGTACCTGTGTCTTAAAGCAAGGAAAATGGTTTATTTCTCTCTATACCCTCAGCCTACAGCTTATTAACTGACATATACACATGCAACCATTGTTGGATGAAATTAGTGATGGACTTCAACCCTGGCCCTCAGACTACAGACCTCTAGGCCTGGCCTCTGCACACACCGCTGCTCCCACTCTGAAGTCCCTGGAGCCTGTGATACCCAATAAGCCCCCAGATCTCAACCTGACTCCTATACTTACTGGCCTTGGTAAAGACACCTCACCTCTCTAGGTTCCAGATTTTCTTATCCGTGTACATATTGGACAGGACATATTCAGGGGGCCCTCTAGGCTCTCACAGTTGATGGTTCTGGAAGTGTGTTAAGTTTTCTCAAGAGAACGGACCCTAGCACATTTGTTGGTTGAATTCTGTTTGTTGACAAAAAGGGTGGAGCAAAAGTCATTAACAAAGTTCACAACATTGGCCCAATGATACTCTTTGCATTTACTTTTGTCTCTATAAGATCCTTGCACAAAAGGAGAAGTGAAAGATTACAAGTCTTAATTTTGGATGCACAAAACTGTGTGTGAATAAAATATATACATATAGACTCAATGTAATTATTATTTTTGCTCCTCCTTGAATATCCATGCCAGATGTCACTTTCCTACAACTCCCACTGTCTCCCTGTCACCCCCAGCCCCAGGCAGGGTCTGTGACCCTCCACCATGCTTACCTAGGGGCACTCATCATTTCCCCATTGAAACTGCTAGGTCATTTACCTATATCCCAGGAGACTGTCAACCCATGCTTCTTTATTTCCCACCAGACTCTGTGTCTGGTGGTTCTCTATATCTCCAGCACTTCCCAGAATGCAACTCGGAGATGCCATGGAAGAAATAGTTGATGATGACACCAATTCACTAATACCATGCTTTTGCAGAATCCTTTGCTCTTCTTAGGGCACGTTCACATGATAACTCTGCAAAGTGAGTGGTGTTTGTCTCCTCATGCCCATTTTACAGATGAAGGAGTGAAGATAGAATGCTGACCGACTTCTCCAACACTATATAACCATGAAGCAGAAATGCCCACACTCCAATTATAAAACCAATGAGATTTAGTGGAGACCTTAAAGGTCACCTAAAACAAAACTCTTCGAACCTGCTTTTACCAAAAAAAATTTTTTATATATATAAAAAGTTATATGTTTTGTATATTTATATATAATATAAATATATAATATATAAATATATATTACATAATATATATTTTTATAAATTTGTGTGTGTGTGTGTATACATATATATATAGAGAGAGAGAGAGAGAGAGAGAGAAGAGAGAGATATTTTCTTCTCTCCCCGGTGGAATCTTACTCAAAATCACAATTTAAAAGGTGGGGGAAGGACCTGCTCTTGAGAAAGGAAAAATGGAAAAACTAAACATCCATCAGATGAGTCCCTCAACCTACCCTCAGGAGGAAGGGAGAGAGTTCCTGCAGCCCAGCCACCTGCAGCTTCATGACCACCATTGGAGAGCCACTGATTCGAACAGACATTCTAGAACTCTTACGTCGGCATTCTCATCGGCGTTCCTTCAGCTGTCGCATGCCACCTCTCTGCAGTTGCTTTCCTCATTCAAAAACTTTCTTGGCCACCACCGTGTGCTTAATGCTGTCAATCATACCAAATATATTGGGTCTGGGGTCCAATGATCCACTTTGATCCCCATTTCCACTGTTTCCTGGCTAGGGACTTTGGGAAAGTCACTTAATCTCTCCTTAATCCGTGGCTGCTTCATCTGCAAAATGTCCCGAAGGCTTGGATTAAATCAAAATCAGTTGCTGCATGCACATCAACATGCTGCACATGGATCTCAGCACCTGCACATGCTCCCCAAGCACTGACTGCATCCGCTCTTTCAGGGCTTTCCAAAGTGTGGTACATACACCACTGGAAGGACATGAAGTTATCATTCTCCCTTATCTAAATGGGAAAACCAAAGTTCAGAGAGGTTAAGAAACTTATCCAAGGTTACACAGTGAGTGGCAGAGCTGGAATCAAAACCCAAGTGTCCAGCCTCAAAGCCTGTGTCTTTTCCAACACACCACATGCAAATACTGATCTCAAGGCACTTTACACATTACTCCAGTTGCACTGTGTGTAATTAACACTTTATGTATCTGTATCCTTACATTTCTTTAGGATGCACACAGTTTTTTATTTTCATAATCACATATTTATATTTACAGTAACTTGTTGTTACTCACAAGGGAGTTGGGCTTACATTTACAACAGAGAAGTTTCTGTTAAATATAGAGAGGGTGTGGGTGGTCTTGCTCTGTCACTCTGGCTGGAGTGCAGTTGTGTGATCATGGTTCACTGCAGCCTCCACTTCCTGGGGCCAAGTGATCCTCCCACCTCATCCTCCTTGAGTAGCTGGGACCACAGGTGTGCACCACCATGCCTGGCTAATGTTTTAAATTTTTTGTTCAGATGGGGGTCTTCCTATGTTGCCCAGACTGATCTCGAACTCCTGAGCCCAAGCAATCCTCCCACCTCAGCCTCCCAAAGTGCTGGGATTATAGGCATGAGCCACCATGCCAAGCCAAAGATATGTATTTAAGAATGAAAATGTGGGTTGACTTCAATTATCTGGGAAGCAATGTTACAGATGGGAGACAGGTTAGCCAGCATCATGAGAGAGCACCTGAATGACAGAGTTCAGGAAACTCCAAGAATCAGAGAGTTACAGGCACAGAGGAGCACAGTGAGGGGAGGGCGGGTGGGGCGGCAGCCTTGTGTGCAGCTTGTTTTCCACCTCCAGCCTGTTGTCTCTCTGGAGGTGATGACAGGTGCCCAGGCAGCACAAATTATTCTATCAGGTAGCACTGTATAAGTTGGAAGCCACCCAGATCCCCTGCAGGCCTCTAATTAAAAAAAAGAGAGAGAGAGACAAAGAATCAGGAAAGAAGCCTCCAGGAGCAGCTTTTCCTCTCTGCCTCTTGTATCTTCATCTCAATCTGCAAGATGGCAGCTTGCTGGCAGTGCCGGACTCTGCGGGAGCCTCCAGGTTCCAGCTTTGAAGCTGCTGCTATTTTGAACAGGAATAATAATCCTCCAACATGAGTTTTGCCGACCAAGTCATTTCACCAATTGCTTCACTGCCTTTTAAATCCTGTGCCTTATAAAAGAAGAAGGCTGGGCAGCAGCTGTCAGTCCTCCTTTTCAGATGAGAAAACTGAGGCTCACAGTTGCTAGGACCACTTCGCCCATAGGTAGCTGCATCTGGACTGGAATCTGGAGGTCTTAACTCCAAGTCTGGCCCTCCTTCTAAAACCCTTTCCTTCTAGAAACACTCAGTGACCTGAGTGCTGTGTGTGGGGGTTGGGGGGCGGGGGCAGAGGGACGCAGTGCTCCTTGCCTCACAGAGGGCCCTGGTCAGCCAAAGGGCTTCTGGCCGGCATGTGGCCTCACTGCATGACGACATTGCCCGGGGCATCAGAACAGTCAGGCCCAGCCAGGAGCACCCTTGCAAAGTCTTGGCCTGGCGTGCTGGGCTCTGGCCAATACACCAAAGTCTCTTTCCTTCCTTCTGCGGGAGAGTCACCAAGGGCAGTTCCCCCAGGACAACCCCTGCCTTTTCCTTTCTCTTAGTCCTGGAGCCTGCAACCAAGGTGATATGGTTTTGCTGTGTCCCCACCCAAATCTCATCTTGAATTCCCACGTGTTGTGGGAGGGACCTGGTAGAAGGTAATTGAATCATGGGAGCAGGCTTTCCCTCGTTGTTCTTGTGATAGGGAATAAATCTCATGAGATCTGGTGGTTTTAAAAAGAGGCATTTCCCTGTACAAGCTCTCTCTTTCCCTGCAGCCATCCATGTAAGACGTGACTTGCTCTTCCTTGCCTTCTGCCATGATTGTTAGACTTCCCCAGAAATGTAAGTCCAATTAAACCTCTTTCTCTTGTAAATTGCCCAGTCTTGGGTATGTCTTTATGAGCAGCATGAAAACAGACTAATAGACGCTCAGACTAATAAGCTCAGAGGTCTGGAGGCCAGAGTGGAAGGGACCTCATATGATGGTTTAAAGTGATATGAGGCCGGGATTCAGTGCTACCTAGGAAGCTAGTTCAAAATGCACACACCCACCACGCTTTCCTGCAGGTGCATCACAATTCCTAGGTGAGCTGGGCATGTATTTAGAATACTCTCCAGCTAATTCACTCTTGCTTCACTGCAGAACCTAGGGCCACAGAAGTCACTTCATTTTACAGAGAAGAAAACTAAGTCCTACAGAGGAGAAGTTTCTAGTCAGGGCTGTCAGTGCATGTGTGCATGCATGCAACTTAGTTCTTAGTTTAGGACATGACAGTATCAGAGGAAAGGGAGGCTCTGTGACTCTGTGGCCCAGGGATTCTGTCTCAGCCTCAGTTTTCACACCAGGACAATGTGACCTTAAGTCCCTTCCAGTTGATGATCTGCTTCTGTGAGATTTATCTCCAGCCTCAGCCTCCTAGAGGCCAGAGTCCCAGAGGGAAGAGGCAGGGCCCCCAAAGGAACAATTCTTTGGAGGTTTTCTTTTCTGGGGGAAGAGGACAGGGTCTCACTCTATCGTCCAGGCTGGAATGCAGTGGCACCATCATGGCTCACTGAAGCCTCAGCCTCCCTGGTTCAAGCGATCCTCCCACCTCAGCTTCTCCAGTAGCTGGGATCACAGGCATGCACCAGCATGCCCAGATAATCTTTGTATTTTTTTGTAAAGACGGGGTTTCACCATGTTGCCCAGGCTGTTCTCAAACTCCTGGACTCAAGTGATCCTCCTGCCTTGGCCTCCCAAAGTGTTGGGATTACAGGCGTGAGCCACCATGCCTGGCAGTAGAGTTTTTCTTCAACAGAACAAAGAACAAGCTTTCACATGCCAAGCTCAAAGCCCAGCTTAACATTCTTCATCATTAAAATAGGCATAGTGGGCAGGGGAGATGAAAAAGATGTTGAAGGAAGACATGAAGTGGATAACAATGAGTAGCTCCTCAGGACCTTCCTCTGTTCTCCCTTCCTGCTAATTTCCATCATGAGGTTCAGGGAAAGTTAATCCATCCCTATTCAGCTCCAGGAGTGTGGCCTTGGCTAAGTTAATCATTGAGTTCTACCTACTCTCAGACAGTGATTGGTCCACGAGTAGTCATGCCATCTAAACTGGTCCAATCAGAGTGAATTTCAGGATGTTTGCCAGAAACAAAAGAGAAAATTCATCTGTTTTTATCTGGGCTAGGAATGAAGAGACACATAATCAAGGAGCTTCCAGCAGCTGTCTCGCAACCACAGAAGGCAAAGAGAAAGAAATAGGAAAAAAAAAAAAAACAGTTCATCAGAAGCATCTTTATGTGGCTGAACCAAGCGCTGCCTAAAGCACACGCTCTAGACTTTTATTTACATAAGCCAGTGAACTCTCTTCATTATATAAGTTAGTTTGAACTAGGTTTTCTTTAGGTTTTATTTTCAATTGACACATAATTGTAAAAATGTATGGGTGACTGTGATGTTTCAATACTTGTAAACATGTGTAATGACCAAATCAAGGCATTTAACTTATCCATCACTTCAAACATTCATCGTTTCTTTGCGGGGAGAATATTCAAAATCCTCTATTCTAATTATTTTGAAATATGCAATATCATATTGTTACCTATAGTGACCCTCTTATGCAATAGAACACCAGAACTTATTCCTCCTGTCTGTAATTTTGTACCCCCTGACCAATCTCTCCCCATTCCCTTCACCCCTTATCCTCCCCCAGTCTCAGGTAACCACTATTCTACTGTGTACTTCTATGAGATCAGCTTTTTTTTTTTATTCCACAAATGAGTAAAATCATGTGGTATTTGTCTTTCTGTGCCTGTGTTTTTTCACTTAACATAATGTCCTCCAGGTTAATCCATGTTGTCACAAATCACAGGATTTCCTTCTTCTTTATAGCTAAATAGTATTTCATTGTGTATATATACCACTTTTTTTAATCCACTCATCCATTGATAGGCACTTAGGTTGATTCCATATCTAAGTTGAAAATAGTCCTGCAGTAAACATGGGAATGCAAATATCTCTTTGACATACTGATTTCATTTCCTTTGAATAAATGCCTAGTAGTGGGATTGCTGGATCACATGGTAGTTCTATTTTTAATTTTTTGAGGAACCTCCACATTGTATCCCATAATGGCTGTACCAATTTATATTCCCATCTTCAATGGACAAGGGTTCCCTTTTCTCCACATTCATGGCATCATTGGTTATTTTTTTCTTTTTGATAATAATCATTCTAACTGGAGTGAGGTAATATCTCATTGCGGTTTTGATTTGCATTTCCCTAATGATTAGTGATGTTGAGCATTTTTTCATATACCTGTTGGCCATTTGTATGTCTTCTTTTGATAGTGTCTATTCACGTCTTTTGCCCATTTTTTAATCAGATTATTTGATTTTTGTTATTGAGTTGTTTTTCTTATATATTCTGGATATTAACCCCTTGTCAGATGCATAGTAGTTTGCAAATATTTTTCTCAAATTGTGTAGATTGTCTCTTTACTCTGTTGATTATTTCCTTTGTTGTACAGAAGCTTCCCAGTTTGATATAATCCCATTTTCTGTTTTTTGATTTTGTTGCCTGTGTTTTCGGGTTCTTATCCAAAAAAATCTTTGCCCATACCAATGCCATGAAGGGTTTTCTCTATGTTTTCTTCTAGTGGTTTTAGAGTTTTGGATGTTATATTTAAGTCTTTAATTCATTTTGAGTTGATTTTTGTATATGGTGAGAGATGGGGACTGGTTTCATTCTTCTACATGTGAATATCCAGTTTTCCCAGCACCATTTATTGAAGAGACTGTCCTTTCCCCCAGTGTGTACTCTTGGCATCTTTGTAGAAAATCAGTTGGCTATAAGTGAGTGGATTTATTCCTGTGTTGTCTCTTTTGTCCCACTGGTCTGTGCCTATTTTTATGCCAACGTTATGCTGTTCAGATTACTATAGTTTTGCAGTACACATATTTTGAAGTCAGGTAGTGTGATGCCTCTAGCTTTGTTTTTCTTGCTCAAGATTGCTTTAGCTATTCTGAGTCTTCTATAGTTCCATAAAAATTTTAAGATTTCTTTCTATTTCTATGAAGAATGACATCAGTATTTTGATTGAGATTGCATTGAATTGTAGATCGCATTGTGTAGTATGAACATTGTAATAATGTCAATTCTTCCAATCCATGAACATAGAATATCTTTCCATTTATTTATATCCTCTTCAACTTCTTTCATCAATGTTTTATGGTTTTTACTGTAAAGATCTTTCACCTTTTTGGTTAAATTTATTCCTAGGTATTTTTTGTAGCTGTTGTAGATAGGATTGTTGTATTGATTTCTTTGTTAGCTAGTTTGCTATTGGTCTATAGAAACACTACTGATTTTTGCATGTTGATTTTGTATACCACAACTTTATTGAGTTCATCTATTAGTTCTAAGAGATTTCAGTTGAGACTTTGGAATTTTCAACAAGATAATGTTATCTGCAAACAGAGACAATTTGACTTACTGCTTTCCTATCTGGGTGCCCTTTATCTTGTCTAATTGCTCTGGCTAGCACCTTCAATACTAGTTTGAATAAAAATGGTGAAAATGGGTATCCTTGTATTGTTCTAGATTTTAAAGAAAAATCTTTCAACTTTTCCCCATTCAGTATGATGTTTGCTGTGGATTTGTCATACATGGCCTTTATTGTGTTAAGGATATACCTTCTATGCCTAGTTTTTTGAGAGTTTTTATCATAAAGAGATATTGAATTTTATCAAATGCTCCTTCTGTGTCTACCAAAATGATATGGTTTTGTCCTTGATTCTGTTGATAGGATATATCACATTTATTGATTTGCGTATGTTGAACCATCTTTGCATCCCTGAGATGAATCCTATTTGATCATGGTGAATGACCTTTTTAATGTGCTGTTGAATTCAGTTTTGCTAGTGTTTTGTTGAGGATGAACTAAGCTGTGTTACTTTCAACCAACTGATACTGTTGTATCTGATACAGTTGTTCTGACAGTGCCCCTCTGTGAAATACAATATAATTACCTATTAATACCACAAAGCAATTTCCTATTAATGCCACAAAGCAATTTCATATGCAGTGTCTCAGCTGAGATATCAGCCATATAAGTGTTGTTAACCTCATTAAAATCAGTGCAAAATAGGAATGAGACTTTACTTCATCTTCCCTACTGTTCATACCCACCCCCACCTGACTCATTGCCTGCCACATGATAGCAACTTGCTACAAGGGTGTGTTGGTTTTAAAACGTGGTTTTAAAACAAATTTCCATCTTTTGATGGGAGGAGCATCTAACCAGCCTAGGATGCAGGAAACACTTCCTGCAAAGTGACATCAGAGCTGAGTCCTCAGAAAGTATGCAAGTTTGCCAGATACAGATGGGGTGGAAGAGCTTCTTCTGAGCCATTACCCCAATCTCCAGCTCCAGGAGCGTGACCTTGGCTGAGCCAATGGAACTCATCTCATCAAAAGATAGAGTACAATTCTCCTCCTCTTGAATGTCGTCCAGGCTTGGTGACTCCTTTTTAATAAATAAAATGAAGTAGAAGCAACCCTGTCTAATTTCTGGAGCTAGGTTATCTTACTTCTACCTGGTGCTCTCTCAGGCTCCTCCTGGGAACCCAGCTGCCATGTTGTTCAGGGAGCCACATGAAGAGGCTGGGTGAGATGTTCTGCCGACAGTCTCAGCTAAGGTCCTAGCTAACAGCCAGCAGCAACTACTAGGCCTAGGATTAAAAAGCTTTTGCATGACTCCAGCTCCCGCCTTTAAGCTGCCATAGCTGAAAGTGAGTAGAGCAGAGATGAGCAGTTCCCTGCCAAGCTCTGCCCAAATCGTAGACTCGGAAGCAAAACAAAGGTTGTTTTACACAATTAAGTTCTGGGGTCTTTTTTATGCAGCAATGGGTAACCAGAACAAAGAGTTAAACACAAGATAGTTACGAAGCATGTGTGTGTTTTTATCTCATCTGATTTATTCCCTATTACAACTTTGTGATGACATTGGTATTAATAACCCCACTTTATAGACAAGAAAACTGAGATTTAGAGAAGAGGCCAGCCCAAGTTTCCCTCAGATAACAAGTTATAAAGCTAAGAGTGAACATACATCTTCCATTCTTTCAGGAACTCCATCCTTTTGACAATAAGAGCCTCAGGAGGCACTTTCTCACTTACCCTAGGGCTTGCAGGGAGGAGGGAGCAGACGGAGACAATGTGGCCTGAAGGCTACTCCTGCTTTACAGAGAACGAATATTTATCAGGTCACCTCCTCCAACCATCACAAAGGTCACAGTGACTATGCCCATCTTCCCCCATCCTGGCCCGATTTTGTCCACCTGTCAATCCTCATCTCCCATCCTTCTCTCCAGTCAAGCCACATGTCAACCAACCATAAACAACTTAGAGATTCCCCAGATCCACTGCACGCCCTCTCACCTGGCATGTTGTCCATGTCCTTCTGTCTACCTGGAAGGCTGTTCCTCCCCTCTATCTGGCAAGCGTGCACACTTCCTGAGGACTCAGCTCCGATGTCACTTCTGCAGGAAGTGATCCCTGCAATCCTGGGCTGGTTAGGTGCTGCTTCCCTTCTGGTCTCCCAGAGTATGAGTATGCATGTGTACATGTGCATGTGTATGTGTGTGTGTGTGTGTGTGTGTAATGGGGGAGCAAAGCAAGAGGTATTTTCAAGTGAGGACATGAATTCTAGCTCCTAGCTGTGTCATCTCGGGCATTTTACTTGACCTTTCTAAACCTCAATTTCCCATCTGCAAAATGGGAGCAGAAAAGCTTCTGATAGGATCACTGATAAGATTAAATAAAATAATCTATGTAAAATGTTTGGCCCACATATTACTGTTTATTAAACTACCACTCTTTTTTTTTTTTTTTTGAGATGGAGTTTTGCTCTTGTTCCCTAGGCTGGAGTGCAGTGGTACAATCTCGGCTCACTGCAACCTCTGCCTCCCAGGTTCAAGCCATTCTCCTGCCTCAGCCTTCCGAGTAGCTGAGATTACAGGGACATGCCACCACACCCAGCTAATTTTTGTATTTTTAGCAGAGACGGGGTTTCACCATGTTGGCCAGGCTGGTCTCGAACTCCTGACCTCAAGTGATTCGCCCGCCTCAGCCTCCCAAAGTGCCGGGATTACAGGCATGAGCTACTGTGCCCGGCCCTAAACTATCACTTTTACTGTTGTTACTTATGATAAATTTCTTCTTTTTCTTCCCAACAAGACACTGAGCTCCATGAGGACAGGGCCTATTGTCTTTTTCATCAGAGTTCTCACTGCCTGGGTCCTAGCAGGCACTCAATAAATAAGCACTAAAGAAATGAACAGAGCAAAGTGGAACTGGGCTTTATATTCAGATTAAAACATGAACACTAACTGGAGATACCTGATTTCAGTGATCAAGAAGGCTTTGGCCACTGGGATGACTTTGAGGCCTAGAACCGCCAGCATAAGGGCCCAGTTAGCTGAACACCACACCTATTAGTCCCCAAGACCCTCCTCCTCCTAGCTTAATAGATTTCCCATTATCCCACCATAATCTTTTCCCATTATAAGAATATCCAGGGAAACACTTTAATGACCAATAACTTCTATTGATTCCATAGTCTGTGCCCTCTCAGAGGCACAGGCTCTGCTCCCTGGAAAGCCTAGGATGCTCCCCATCTTGACAAAGGAAAATCAGAATGTCCCTAGAGGCAAGGCCAAGGTGGGACCTTGAGTGGAAAGTTTTATTCTGGGATTTCTTGGGAAGCTGGAAGGATGACGAAGAGGAGAAAATCTGAGGGAGCCAAAAGGATTTGTCTTCCTTCTTAGGAGACATCCTTTTCCTAGAGAAAAGGATGATGGGTGGAGAAACAAAGGATAAAAGGAGGGAGGAGGGAAGAATTGAGATTAATCTAAGAAGGCATTTTCAAAGTATTAACTATGTCCACAATGTACAGACTGCTCAAACAGTGGTAAGCTTCCCATCCCTGGAAGTATCCCAGCAGAGGCTGAAAGGTCCTGTATCAAATATTTTGATTAGGGCATAATAGTAGATGCTGAGTCTTCGTGCTATGTTCTCTATAGACAGGGTCTCATTCACTTCTGATGACAATCACATGTGAGATACTCTGTATATTATTCTGGCATACGACTTCCTGCCTGCTTCAATTCTGCAAGGTCTTCACTTTCAGCCTTTTACCCCAATTCCATTTCTGTCTAATGTCTTCCTTGGACAATAACAGCAGCATTACAACTAGTCTCTCTACCTCCAACCCATTATGCTCAGGCCAGCCTCCGAGTGACCTGTGAGAAATGTAAATCCAATCATGTCTCTCACTGCTCTGCTAACACCTTCAATGGCTAACACCTTCAATGCCTCAACATAAACTCCCAGTCTTCACATAATATAGTGAAGTGGTTCCATTAAATCATTAAAGTCCTCAAATGGAAATTGTCCTGCCTACATCACAGAGACTGTGGCCTCTTCTTTCCAGGCCACAGCTCACTGGACCAGGAGAGGACACCTGACTAAAGGGCAGCCAAGCCAATCCTTCCTGGAAAGGGGCCAATGAGGTGTCCCTGTCAAGAGCACATTCCCCAGTAGAGACGAGGGTGACCAGTGAGATACCTCAGATTCATAGCAGGGAGTGTTCGTGACTATCAAATACTCTGTGTGATTTCCTCTTTCCCAGCTCCCTTGCAATTAGGTAGGGCCATGTTGCTACTTCTGGTGAATGGAATGCAAAGATAAGAATTAAAAATATTAAGGACTTGTGTGCTTCCTTTGTCCCTATCTTCTCTTGCCATGGGGAACTTTGAGGACACATGTTTCAGGTGGCACTTTGTGTAATGATGTAAAGCCCTGATGGTTTTAGAGTTTATCTGTTATCACAGCAGAGCTGATTTATCCTAACGCACACTCTTGAGGATTTGAGCTGAGGATATACACAGAGAACTGAATTCAAAAGGGTTTCATGTTAATATCAGACCTTCAGAGTAGGAACCAATGAGTTTTTGCTACTGAGAGGAAGACAAGATAAGTCAGTTACTAGAACTGGGTTTGATTCTCGACAGATTTATATTGTCAAAGTACATTCCAACCTTCATAAGTCTGACTGTTCTGAGGTTTTCATTCACTCTGTGGTGTTGGTTGTGGTGTAGTCCCAGTTCCCCAAGAATCTTTGCCCTAATTCTAGAACCTCCTTTGTTCCCATATGCATCTTCACAACGACCTTATTACTCGAGCTCACCTGGATGCCTCTGTTCTCTGCAATCCAAAGAGGCTGCCAGTGTACCGACCCTTCATGATCCGGCCCCTGCCAACTATTCCAAATCTGCTTCCCTCACATGCTTCCCAAGTGCTCTAGGCCCCAGCCCTGAGCACCAACCACACTTCCCAAACTCGCCCAGCCTTCCAGTATTTGCAGCTCTTGCTTCAGCTAGAATGTTCTGTCCACCACCTACTGCCTTTCTCAAAAGCCTGTTCATCCTTCAAAACTCAGCTTAAAACCACCCCTTTCATGAAGCTCTCACAGTTTTAATTAATCACTTTAGTCTCTTATTAGGTTGGTGCAAAAGCAATTGCGGTTTTTGCCATTAAAATTAAAAGAAATGGCAAAAACCACAATTGCTTTTGCACCAATCTAATAATTTCCACAGCACTTAAACTCTGAGATTTTTTTAACCTTTAAGATGGGGATAAAAATAATTCTTACTTTATAGGATATCTGGGACAGTCAAAGGAAAACATTGTGAGAAAACTTAAAAATGTGACAGACTACGTCTACATGAACTTGTATTGCGACCGTCCTCCTGCCAGAACATATTTTATTCTGGATGGTGTTATGGTTTGCTTTGTATCATCATAATATTATTTTCCTTTCCTTATATCAATTAAGGTTTCTTAGTTGCAAACAGAAACTCTGCCTACCTCAAGCATACACCCTGTTTATAAAAGTGCAAAGAAAATGTGCAGATCATGTATCAGTGAAGAGGTAAATTTGGCCACAAGTAACAGAAACCACTATGGAGTTCTTCAGCAAGGAGCCCAAAGGGAAGTTTGTGCCTGCCTGACGTCACTAAGCAGTGTCAGGCTGGTGCCCGCAATTCTCTTAAGCTTTCCCTCATGCTCATAAGGTATATGCCACAGCTACAACCATCAGGTCCACATTCCAGTAGGAAGAAGGAGAAAGGGGATAGACAGCCCCAGCAGACTTACACTTGCATCTCGCTGGTCAAGTATCATGGCCACTCCTAGCTGCAAGGAAGTCTGGGAAAGCGAGCTTTGAGTCTTCCACGTTCTAGAGCAGAGAAAGCACGGCTTGACGGGAAATGGAATGGGCGCTGAGTGAACCAACCTACAGTAGCTGCCACAAGGAAGCTCTCAGAAAGAAGGAAAGCTGAACAGCCAGATGGCAGGAACAAATGGGCAGCTATCTTCAGAGTGCTGCTAGCTGGATTAATCCGCTCTAGCCATTTTCAGATTAGGGGGTCATCATTTACTTTCCTATAGTCTAATTTTCCAATATGAGTCAAACATTCACCCCTTTGCCAGATGAGTGCTGGGATTTGGACTCGCAAACCTTCCAGTTGGCATGTGAACTGGGAAGGGGAAATCCCAATATGAAATGAAGAAGATGGGCAGATGAAAAACAAGGTAGTCCTTACACCTCCCTTGTAAGGACACGAGCGCCTCTGAGACAGAATCCCTGACATTCTCATCTGTGAATCTGCCTCTGTACCAGCAAAATGATGTGTTCCACATCTTCACTATGACTTGAGTGAGTGAGCGCATTCTTTAGCCTGTAGGCTGAGGTTGTTTCATCTGTTTTGATTTGTTTCATTAGGTTTTCATCCTCATAGAGAGGTTGGGTCTTGAAGCTGGACAGACCAGTGTTGGAATTCCAGCTCTACTTTGCCCCCTCGGTGTGGCTGTGGACAGCATTGTTTCCATGCCTCGATTTTCTTATCTGCAAAAGAGAAGAATTAAACCAATCTCATGAAGTTGCTGTAAGCATGGAACAATAATGTATGTGTAAAGCATGCACCTAGGGCCTGACACAGAGAAGACACTCCATCACCAGGAATCTGTTATTATTTTTATGCGAGAATTTTAAGCAGTAAGAGTGCAACAGGCCGGGCGTGGTGGCTCATGCCTGTAATCCCAGCACTTTGGGAGGCCAAGAAGGATGGATCACGAGGTCCGGAGTTCAAGACCAGCCTGGCCAACATGGTGAAACCCTGTCTCTACTAAAAATACAAAAATTACCTGGGTGCAGTGGCAGGTGCCTGTAATCCCAGCTACTCAGTTGGCTAAGGCAGGAGAATCTCTTGAACCCAGGACAGTGGAGGTTTCAGTGAGCCAAGGTCGTGCCACTGCACTCCAGCCCGGGCAACAGAGTGGGACTCCGTCTCAAAAAAATAATAATAGGCTGAACGCAGTGGCTGACGCCTGTAGTCCCAGCACTTTGGAAGGCCGAGGCAGGCGGATCACGAGGTCAGGAGATCGACACCATCCTGGCTAACATGGTGAAACCCTGTCTCTACTAAAAATCAAAAAATGAGACGGGCGTGGTGGCGGGCGCCTGTAGTCCCAGCTACTGGGGAGGCCGAGGCAGGAGAATGGCGTGGATCCAGGAGATGGAGCTTGCAGTGAGCCGAGATCGTGTCACTGCACTCCAGCCTGGGTGACAGAGCGAGACTCCACCTCAAAAAACAATAATAATAATAATAAAGAGTGCAACAAACACCTCCCTACCTCCGACTCTTCAATAACTCCTCTCTGGATTTTCACAGGTTGGAGGTTTGCTATTTGAGAAGAGAACAAAGTTCTAATCTTTCTAGTTCACCCTAAAAATAGTTAGTTCTTCTCTGTACATTCTGTCAGCTCAGCAAGTCCCATCTAGAGAACTGGGAGATTGTGAAAGGCAATCTTTCTAAACAGGGGTCAAATGTTCTTTACCCGAGAGGAACTCACAGAGGATACACATGAAGTTAGAGAGTTGGCCCAATAGCATGGGGGTCTTCCCACCCAGGCCAGGATCTTGTGTCTAGAACCTCAAGAATAAGCGAAACCAGTGCATTGAGCTTCCTAGAGAAAAGGGATATTTCTCTCATACTGATTTATTGAACCACTCAAGTCATCTGAAAGGCATCTATTGAAAGCTACCAGCTCACAAACTGGCATGTGCAGAAGATGCAGAAATAACTAAGTGTGCCTACCCTTAGAGTTCTCATGGTTAACTACTTGCTGAAATCCTCCTGTATTCCAGAATAGTAGTAATAATGATAATAATAACTAACATTTAATGACCACTTACTAGGTGTCATCCACAGTTCTAAAGCTTTATATACATCATTCACTTATAATTCTTACCTTAACCTCAGAAATTAAGTCCTTTGTCTCCCTTCTGCTGATTTAAAAAAAAAAAAGAATGAGGTACCAAAAGTTAAATGACTTACCTGGGCTGTTTAGAAACTCTCTACCTAGAAAGATTTCCATTACCGTCAGATGTTAGGAGAGGATCTAACATAGGAAAGGTCACCAGTTGTCACAGAAAAAGCCAAAGAACTTAGGTCTAGTGCCCCTTTGCCACTGACAAACTAATAACACCCTCTAGACATCCTCAAGTCCTTCTCCTTGCTCAGGAATTTTCTTCTACCAGGTCTTTTCTACCAACTTCTCTGTATAACTACATCTTACTCATCTTTCAAAGCCCGACTCAGTTGCCCCTTCCATCTAGAAAACTTTCCAGACCAAACTATCCCAGCACATGGTTATGATCTCTCAAACCTCTGTGTTTCCCCATCCCTGTTGCCCGTTAAATTCTGCCACAAGCTCAGACCGACTCTCTATTTGGCTTATTTGTGTCTAATCCATTGAGTTCTCCTCCAAAGCAGAGATCATGCTTCACTCATTTCTGCATCTCCAGGACCTTATGAATGAATGAATGTGTGAATTATAAGGATTACTAAAGCCACAGTGCCTGACTCAAAGCAAGACCATAGTAGGTGCTTGGTAATCATGGACAGCGTAGAATTGAACATGGAAATTAACCAAATGACACTCAGCAAAGAGAAAAACCTTGCATGCCAGCGTTAAGGTAGGCTGAGAAGATATCTGCAGGGGCTGTGAGCAAGAAAACCAGCAGGTTAGACAACCAAGACTTTTAAAGATTTAACAATTAGACTGCACCTCTCCACAACTTAACCAATTCTGTCCTCTCAACAGGCTGCTGGATTCCCCAATTGCCACCCAGAGGAGAAGAAAAGCAGAAGTCATATTATTCTTTTGAGCAACTTTTGGGGGAAAACCCACAGCTTTTATCCTATGGTTTCCGCACCCTGTTCTGTCCTTCTGTCCCCATCCAACTTTTTCTTCCTGTCCATAGGAGAAAACAGAAATGTGGCACGCTTTATAAGCCTATTTCATGAAAATTTAGATTTACCAAAATTATAAATCAGTTAGGAATAGTGATTTGCTTTAACAGAAATAATCTACTTTAGGAAGAATTCTCTAAATGGCAAATTACCAGTTTGGCGCACTAAAAGTGCACTGCGCTTTCTGGAAACTCAGTACATAAGCTTGTTATTCCCTGAATGCACGCCAGGTGCACAGCAGGGCCAGCACAGTCATTAGTGGGGAGATGATGGGGTATTTGGAGGACAATTGGAATGGAGGACTGAGAACTAAACAGAAACTGGAGCTATGACTCCTTCGTCTAAAAATCTTCCCACCTAGAATGCCTCTAGAGCCAATTTTCACAAAATATGTGTCCTGAGGTGATCCACCACAAATAGAGAGTCCCCATGGTCAAATGAGCTTAATGCATGTGCCTGCTCCATCCTGCTCATGAAGATCCTGATAACCATTTGGCTCTTCAAGAATCCAGGAGGCCAGGCACAGTGGCTCACGCCTGGAATTCCAGCACTTTGGGAGGCCGAGGCACGCAGATCACTTGAGGTCAGGAGTTCAAGACCAGCCTGGCCAACATGGCAAAACCCTGTCTCTACAAAAATACAAAAATAAGCCAGACGTGGTGGTGCACACCTGTAGTGCCAGCTACCTGGGAGACTGAGACAGGAGAATCGTTTGAACCAGGGAGGTGGAGGTTGCAGTGAGCCGAGATCATGCCACTGCACTCCAACCTGGGCAACAGAGTGAGACTCCCTCTCAAATTAAAAAAAAAAAAAAAAATCCAGGAGTAGAGAAACTTTAGTTTTATTTATTTAACCCTACTCATACAAACTTATTTAACCATGGAACCCTTTCATTACAGAGTCTCTAAAAACGTTTCATAGAATTACTATGCAGAAGAGGCTATCTTGAAAAAGACAGTAAAGTGAAGTGGGGAGAAGCCTAGTGCCTGTGGGCGGACAGCCTGGGTTTGAATCCCAGGAATGCCTCGTTACGTTCTCTGTGTGACATGGGCACATTATCCCAGCCATGCTCCATGCTTCCATTTCCTCATCTGCAGAATGTGATGACAGGAGGGCCCACCTCATCAGACAGGGTGGGAGTGAGAAGTAAAAGTGTTAACACATGTCAAGTTCTTTTTTTTTGTAATTTCAAATTTTATTTTAGGAGGCCAATGCCTTATCCGTTAGGCAACTGGGGCTTCTTCAAATTTTATTTTAGATTAGGGAGTGCCTGTGCAGGTTTGTTACATGGGTATAACTGTGTGATGCTGAGGTTTGGGATATGGATCCCATCACCTAGGTAGTGAGCATAGTACCCAATAGGCAGTTTTTTCAATCCACACTCCCCTCCCTCCCCACCCCCTGCAATAGTCCCCAGTGGCTATTGTTTCCATCTTTATGTCCATCACACACATAAAGTTCTAAGGATGGACCCAGTGTATAGTAAGTATTCAATAAATATCAGCTATGATTGAAATCTCTTAGAATAGGGGACCCACATATCATCCAACAATATGAAGACATGAGTATTAAGCATCTCTGAATATTCTTCCAGCTCAGTTCCGGATTTCCAGGAAACATAAAAGTGTGACCTGATGATACTAGGAAAATAGAGTTAAAGCCAAGACAAGATGGGTGTAAGCAAGAGATGGGTGTAAGCTCTTGGTGATGACTCAGGATAACCCAAAGGATGGAGGAATGAACATGGAAATGGTCCAATGCTCTTGGTTATTAGCATGGTCTGTGGAGGACAACTACCAAGGGTGAAGCCCAGCCATGCCACGTTCACACTGTGTGACTGAGGCTAGACACCTCACCTCTCTGTGCCCAGGAATAAGAATAGCACTTACCTTTTAGGGGATTAAATGAGCTGTTAAATGAACAGGGTCTGGTTTCTAGACAGTAAAGGTTAGCTCTTATTTTTCTAAGGTAGTGATGTCAATCCTTTTGCTTTTAGTTTGGTTTTTGTTTAGGGGTTGATTTTTCTTCTTGGAAACACACAGACCCACAGAATCTTAGAGCTAAAGGATGTCTGAGAGGTTGTCCAGAGCACATCTTTATTTTGCTGACAAGGAAAAGGGACTCAAACAGAAAAAGTCATTTAGCTCAGGTCACGTGGCAAGTGAGAGGTGAAAGGAAAGAAAAACCTTCCTCGACGACACAAAGAAAAAGTGGGCAGCCTCTCCCTGGGTGTACAGCTAGAGAGGTGTGACAATGGCAGAATGCAGCTTGGGAGGACCCAAAGCTGGTGATTCCTGACTCGAAGCCCTGATCCAGGGAACCACGCCATCTGCACCCCATGACCCACGCTCCTCTCCCTCCATTTTCAAAGCCCACGATGGCCAGGTGAGTCTTTCTCTCTGACTCTTCTTCTCTCGTGGCATCTCTCCCTCTGACCATGGGCAGGAAGGGTCTCCACTTGTAAGGACTCATGTGATTCCATCGAGCCCATCAGGATAGTCTTCTCACTTCAAGATCCATAACCTTAATTATATCTGCAAAGTCCTTTCTGCTACATAAGATAACACATTCACAGGTTCCAAGTATTTGGGTGTGGACGTCTCCTGGGGGGGTCTCCATCCTGCCAGCCACTTTGCCTAGGACCACATTGATAGCAAGCCCAGAAGCCCCAGCCTCCTTCCAGACTCACCTGATTCCAATCAGTCATTCTTTCTCTGACCTATTCTATTCTCCCCGTAGTTCCAAGTCAGTGCCATTCATTCAGCCAAATAAATTAATTCGTCATCTAATTAATTAATTATTCCATGCATGAATATTCCATGACCAAGCTGGACATGGAATAGAAGAATTAACAGGAGATCCGTGGAGGGAGCACACACCTAAGTTATCAAATCTTAGATTCAAACCTGGTTCTGCCCTTCACTAGGGACGTGACCTTGGGCAAACTATTTAACCTTCCTAAACTTCCATTTCCTCACCTGTAGCATGCAGATGAGAATGACATTAATCTCATAGGGTTGTTCTGTGGGTTAAATGGGATAGCATGTAGAAGGCGCTTTGCATGGTGTCTGACTCAAGAAACTACAGAATCAATTGCCATTATTATAGTGTCTTTTCATCTCCATGATGCTCTCTGTGAGGAACAGAGCACAGCGAAGGAGAATCTGTCCCTCTTGATGTGATTAACTGATTTCAGAGCCAACAGGATAGAATGATGAGCTTGTGGTGGTCAAAGAAGTAGGACTCTGGGCTTTCCTTGATCACTGGGGTTAAGAACCTAGAATCTACTGGACTAGAAGAAAAGGATCTTGAGCTCACCTTAGCCACAAAGGAACATAAAACACAGACATGATACATCTCTATGTTAGCCCCAGATTTGGGGGCATTCCTTTCTGATAGGCCTGAATGTTTAGAATCAGATGGGCAAGGTATGGCCTCAGTTAAGTGGAGCCTCAGTTTCCTCATCCTTAAAATGGGAATCATAGTTATCATATTCACTTTCTGTGAGCATTACATACCTGAGCAGCATAAATCCCCACAGCAGCCCTAAAAGGTAGATATTATTACCCTCAGCTTATGGATGGAGAACCTGAACCTTGGACAGAAAAAATAATTTCCGCAAGTTCGCACATTGCTGGGGTGATGACAACGCTGCTGATTACAAGAACAGCAACCAACACCTCGTGTGGACCCTGCGTTATGTCATGCTGTGCTGCAGATATGCTGGTGCTGGCAGGGGTGGCAGGTCTTACTGTCCTTGGGATGGTCCCTTTCTGGTTTTCTGCCTCTGCTCTTGCCCACCCCCTACCTCCTCCATACAACAGACAGAATGATCCTGAAATCTTTATTACTTCTCTATTTCTGCAAAAGCCTCCCTTTCACTCAGAATAAATTCCAAAGTGATCCCCATGCTTCTGAGGCCTTACAAGGTCTGTTCTGTGCCTCCGAGAGCTCATGACCTGCCACTGCCCTCCTCATCCTCCCTCTGGTCACTCTTCCTGCAATCCCCCCACAGGCCCCCAGCTCAAGGCCTCTGCACCTGCAGCCTGCTCTGCCCAGTGCACTCTCTCCCAGACATCCGTGGGCCCCTCCATCGCTTCTCCCAGTCTCTGCTCAAATGTCACCTTCTCCGTAGGCCCTCCAAGACCACCCTGTATGAAACAGCTCGCATACCCCATGCCAGCATTGTTTATCTCCTTAACCTGTTTCTTTTTTCTTTTTCTTTTTTCCAGACAGAGTCTCACTCTGTTGCCCAGGCTGGAGTGCAGTCGCGTGATCTTGGCTCACTGCAACCTCCACCTCCCGGGTTCAAGTGATTCTCTTGCCTCAATCTCCCGAGTAGCTGGGATTACAGATGCCCACCTCCAGGCCTGGAAAATTTTTGTATTTTTAGTAGAGACGGGGTTTCACCATGTTGGCCAGGCTGGTCTTGAACTCCTGACCTCAGGTGATTCCCCACCTCGGCCTTCCAAAGTGCTGGGTTCACAGGCATGTGATACCGTGCCCAGCCACCTGTTTCATTTTTCATCTAGGCACGCACCACCACCTGATCTATTACGATTGTGCATTTCTTTGTTTATTGTCTCTCTCTTCCCACCAGAGTACGAGCTCCATGAAGGCAGGGCCACTGCTGGCCGTGCTCACTGCTGGATCCTCAGTGTTCAGAGCAGGGCCAGGCACAGAGCGGTGCTCTACACATATCTACCGCATAACACAATGAACTAGAAGGCTCCTTTTGGCCCTCTGGCAGTCGGGGGTGGGGGGGTGCCAAGGGGATGATGCAGAAAGCAGCTGAATATAGTGGGAGGAGGCTGGGGGAGGCAAAATGGTTCCGAAGGAGGAACTGCCAGGCTGCTGACAGCTGCCCGCGGGTGCCCCTGGCAGGGCACAGCTGGATGCAGATGTTGATCTTCCCCCTCCTCCTCCCCAAAGTAAAGAGCATTCTGGAACCACCAAGAGCAGAGCCCCCATCCCAGAGCAGGCAAGAGAATAGAAAGCCAAATCTAGAATTTTCAGAATTAAAGCAAACCTCAGAGTCTCCAGTCTGCTGATTTGCTCCTTTTACGGCAGAAAAGAAACGAAGGGAGGGGAGGGGAGGGAAGGGGAAGGAGAAGGGGAAGGGGAAGGGGAAGGGGAAGAGGAAGGGGAAGGGGAGGCTGGGAATTCATCCCAAGAAAGACACTCAAGCCTAATTGAACAACCAATGATAAGCGCGTTGCTAGGTGTGTCCGCAAGGATGCAGCAGAAAAAAGAGTTCACCCCAGACTGTGCAAATGAAGATCATGTAATGAAAGAACCATTCTGGATGCTGGGGCTCCCAGAAATACCAAGTGGGGGCCCCTCACTCAGCTGAAGGAGCAAGGGGAGGAGATAGTGTTACTGGAGACTCAGAAGAGGGGCAGGAACCGCAGTTGTGGAGGGGCCCAGCTGCTGCCCAAGATGTGAACCTCCCTCTCCCTTTGCCCTTTGGTCTCCTGCCAGAGCCCTCGACAGACCCGACTCAACCAGAAGACAGTGACAGGGAGCCTGGGGGCACAGCTGGCAGGGTCAGCCTCCAGGGCTCCAAGCAGGCTAGGAATGGAGCCAGGCGGGCCACGGAGAAGAACCGCAAAGAAGGTGTGCAGTAACCAGCGATGTCCCCACTGCATGGCGCAAAACCCAGCACAGACTAGACCCCAAATACGTATTTGCTGAATGACTGAATGAATAAATGCTTGTCAGGCATCCCCTAACGCCTCCTAGCGTGCATGCTCTGCAAACTGTTCCATCCTCAACTCGGCACAAGCAAGCGCCAAAGGCGCCTAAAAGCCTTCGCACACACACTCACACGCAGCCCCCCTCACACCTGACCCTTACACACACACTCACACGCAGCCCCCTCACACCTGACCCTCACACACACTTGCACACTCACAAGCAGCCCCTCTACACCTAACTCTCACACTTACATGCAGCCCCCTCTCACACCTGTCACACACACACGCAGCCCCTCACACCTAACTTTCACACACACTTGCACACACACACAGACACCTATGCCACCCGCACACAACTCTCATACACACACACGACTCTCCCTCACACATACAGACCACACAGGCTTAACTCACGCTTACATACACACTCGCACATACACCACATACACTCAACTCTCTCACACGCACATATTATTCACACTTAGGCTCAACCCAACATGTAGACACCTACATTTACACACACATACACACACCCAACACATGCACACCCTCACACAGATACCTGTACTCACATTCACACACACCACGTACACTCAACTCTGTCACACACATATTTACACACCTATGCTCAGACACACACATCCACTCATGCACTTATGCTCACACCAGTCAACACATACACATCCTCACAAACACACACACACACACATCTGAAAGTGAGTTAGGAATCTCTTCCTTGTTTTCCCAAAACACCCCATGTCTACCTCCCCCCCAGACTGAGAACGCTGATGGATTCTTGGCATGCGCCTGTGTGAACACAATCTGGGCATATGTAGTGTCGTCATGAACACAGCATGCACGGAGCCTCCTCTGGAGCTCTTACTGTGCACTGAGCATGCCTCAAGCACTGTACTATCATGGTATCACTTACTCCCTATGAGATGAGCATGGGTACTCTTTTTCAGATATGGAAACCGAAGCTGAGGAAGGTGAATAGCTTTCCCAAAGTGACACAACTGGTGAGGGGAGAGCCTGGGCTCCCCGGGGTGTCGGGGGAGGTCTAACTCAAAGGCCATTCCCTCAGCCATCCTGTCGTTCATCCCTGAGCCTTACAAAAGGTCTGCCAGGCAGCGGGAGGTTAATGGCCATTGGCCAAAGCCCGCTCTTCCTGCAGGATCGACGAAAGTGGAAGATTATGAGCCCGGACCTGAACGTCAGCTGTCTCCCATGCAAAAATCACTAAGAATAAAATGGAATTTCTCTCCAGTGGTTTGGAATGGCCACCACAAGTCTGCATGGTGGCAGAGGAATGCAATGCATGACTTATTATGTCCTGGGTCACTCTGCCTCTGGCACGACTGGGGAAGCCCTTCCCTCCCTCCTCGTTCCCTGCAGATTCATCATCAGGCAACCCTTTGATGCCAGCACAGGCCCTGCACAAACTGATCCACTGAAAGTTTCAACTCCTGTCGCTAGAGTTTGGGGAAGCTGGTGATCCGGGAGCAGAACGCTGCATTTGTAGAAACCAACCTCTTCCAAAGTCAGAAAATGAACCCAGAAGAATGCTGCATTGATGGTGCAACTCTTGCTTGCCCACCATTTGACTTCTAGCAGGAAGTGTTTTTAAAGGGTATTTTTCTCCCTCGCTGGTCAGTTCCTCATTGAGAAATTCTCTTTTGTGACACTGGGACATCTCAGCTCCCAAAATGATGATGGGACTTTTTTAAAAATATCCACTTCCAGGTTTGGATTCACTTCTTCATTCATCTGGAAGAGTAGAAAGGATTTCCAAATGCTTACCAAACTTCTCCTCTGAGCCCATCACTGGCCTTATCCCTAGACCCTCACACATACACACAAACCACACATGCTCTCCCCAGACCCTGACTATCACCTCTTGGAGTCATGCAGCACAGGATAGGATGTCCCCATCTTCTCTTCCTCTCCCCCATCCCCTACTCACGCACTCAGTATGGTTTATCAGCCTCCTCTGTGTCCCACCATACGTTATGAAGCAACATGATAAAATCTTCTGTTAGGTTTGGTAAGAAATAGAATGTAACCCGATGGTGAAACCTTAGTGGGCTTCAGAATTAAACAGACCCATATGATGCTGCAAACTTCCTTAAACTCTCCTTTCCTGGAGGCCAAGAAAGCAGAAATCATCACCTGTTATGGTGACCCATGGCCAGGGTCACAGAAATCTCTTACACCCTGCATCTACTCTACCACCCATCTGCCAGGTCCCTCTGTTCTTCAGTCCTTTGGATGACGATGTGGTCTACACTCCTGCTTACTCTGCTGGCTTTACCTTTCCCTTGACTCAGACTCCCTGCGCAGCAACACCAAGCTCCTGGCACACACTGCACAGGCTGAGCTGTTTCCTCACCCCACCTTTGCTCATGCTGCTTCCTCCATCTGGGATGCTTTTTCCCCTCTGTCTTTATCTGGCAAACTCCTACTTATGCTAGAAGACTCAGCTCAAACTCACCCTGAGCGTCATTCCCTGAGCCCAAAGCTAAGCTGTGCTTCCCTGGAGCCCTGGGTTTGTTCTGCTGCTACGCTCTCCATCTTGTGTTGAAAACATCCATTTGCAAGTCCACCTCCTGCAGCAAGCTCTGAGTTCTGGGAAGAAAGAGGAACATGGCTGGCTCATCCCTAATTCCCAGAGCCCAGAACAGGGCCTGGCACATCACAGATGCTCAGAGGAGCACTTTCTTAAATCCAGCTCAACACCCTCCATTTTTCCTCATCATCTAAATGGGCATGTGGATGGGCTCAGTCCCAGCCCAGAGAAACAGGAACTTAGAGATATGCACAAAGTGACCAAATCTCCTCAGCCCACAGGCTCTCCCACCATTTGCAGTGGGTTGTGAAACAGACAGAGAGCAGCCCAGAGTGGGGACCCCAAGAAGCTGTTGGTGGTGGCAGTCTCTGGGGTGAGATAATTCCAGAAGGGAAGCAGGTGGTCTCCACGAGATATAGGGTTCATGGGTATACATGACTGATGCCCAAAACCATCCATCCCACTACAAATTCAGCAGTAGAGTAATTAGCAAAGGAAGCTGATAAAACATCCTTTAGTTTAAATCTCCCACCCTGATTAAAACAGAAAGCCTTATGGCAAGTATTTCTAAGCTGTCTTTATCTCTGCAGCATTCTTTTATAAAGTGGTATACCAGAACCTCTGCCCATCATCTCATTTAATTTCATAACAACTCTGTGAGATCAATGTCATTTTCCCCATTTTATGAATGAGGAAGCTTAGGTACAGAGAAACTAAGTAAGTTACCCAAAATCATCTATCTCAGAAATGGTAGAGCCAGAATGTGAAATCATCTATCTCAGAAATGGTAGAGCTGGAAAATGAACCCAGCTCTATCTGGCCCCAGGGTCCTCCTCTCTCTTAACCAAAATGTTAAATTGTCTACTGGGACAAGGGAAAAATTGTCCCCAAACAGGAATCAGGAGACCTGCCACATGACCTTGGCCTGATCACAATCATTCTGACCCTTGATTTCCTCATCATTTCCCTCTGAGCCCAAGTCTACACATGGCTTAAGACACATTTAGCATCACTTCCTCTACAGAGCCTCTCCCAACCATGCTATGTCATAGTCAATGGAGAGCTAACAAATCCTTCCTTTGTGCCCTCACCCGCCCCTTTATTCCAGGACCTATGCATCAGGCAGCTAGTGCTGTGTAACAAGCTGCTCCACAACTGAATACCTCTAAACCAGGGGCAAGCAAACATTTTCTTAAAAGGTAGTATTTTAGGCTCTGCAGATTACAGCATCTCTGTTGCAACTACTCAGTTTTGCCTTTGTAACTCAAAGGGAGTCACAGACAATGCATAAATAACTGTCATGACTAAATTCTAATAAAATTTTATATACAAAAACAGGTGGCTGGTCAGCCCACAGGCTGTAGTTTGGCAATCACTGCTTGGAGCAATAAGCATTTATTACTGCTTGCAAATCTATGGGCTGGCTGAACCCATCTGCTAATTGTGGCCAGGCATGGCTGATCTTGCTTGAGCTCACTTGTGCATCTGCAGTCAGGTGGCCAGATACCCAGGGGTTAACTAGTCTAAGATGTTTATTTTGCATATCTGGTATTTGGCCTGCTCTCTGGTAGAGGAACAGAGATGACTGGGCCATGTGTCTCTCATCATCAAGAAGGCTTGCCTGGGTTTGTTCTCCTAGAAACTCTGCAAGATTTGTAGACATGGTAGAAGCACACAAAGCCAACAGAGGCCTGGGCTCAAAACCAACATACATCACTTCTACCAAATTTTATCAACAGAAGCACATCATAAGACCAGGCCTCATCCAAGGGATAGAGAAATAGACCCAGTCTCTTATGGAAAAGCTAGGAAGTCACATTGCAAAGGGTGTGGGTACAACACAGTCCAAAATATTGTGGCCATTTCTACAATCCTCCATCACGGCCAGTTGTATTTGTATGTATGTATCTGTTACACGTCTGCCTCCCTCTTGTTAGACTGTAAGCCCCTTGAAGATGGGTTTCTATATCCTATTCATCATTGTATCTCCAGTTCCTATAGTACCTGGAACAGGAAACAGTCGATTTTAACTCCTGAAGAGCTCACAAATCCATCTATGTCCAGCACCACCACCTCTACCTGGGTCCCACGTATTGGCAGCTCTTGCCCAGCCCACATCTATAGCCTTCTGACTTGTCTCTTTGCCACCACTCTAACCTCCTTCCAATCCAGTCTCAACTCAACAGCCAGAGGGATCTTTTACAAATACAAACTAAATAATATGAATACCTCATCCCTACCACTTCAAATTAGAATTCTCTAGTGGATTCCCTGCCCCCTATCATTCAACCCCGCTCTCCTAAAATGACCCCTGGCCCCTCTAACCCCATCTCACATGTCCTTCCCCCTTGCCCTCTGCATGCTCACCCAACTAAAATGTCAGTTCCCCCATAGGGCCTTTGCACTCGCTGTTCCCATTGCCTGGAATGCTCTTCCATCCTCACTTCACTAGCTCACTGTCACTGCCTTTCAGAACGCAACTCAGACATCACTTTTAAGTGGCTTGAGGAAGCCTTCCCTGACTCCCAAGTTGAGATCATTTTTTTCTTTATTACTCAGTTTCCCCAAAGCTGGATTTGCTTCCTTCAGATAACTTATCTCAGTGTGTAGCTGCACATTCATGACCGTGACTCTGATTACTATCAGTCTTCCCTGCTGGACTCCAAACGTTAGGAGCTCCTGGGCTATGTCTGCTTGGACTCACCATTGCATCCCCAGCAGCTGGCACAGGAGGAGCACTCAGAACAAGTACCCAGTAAGTACACAGGGAATCCAGAATAAATATATCAATAGGAATATTGATTATCCCAATGTTTGTGGAATCCTATAGGGGCTCCAGTGCTTTGTCAGCCCCCCCAGATCCCCCTTGCTGAGGCGGTGATTAATTACCACGTCTTGGAAATAAGTTCACATAAATCAGAGCGGAAGAATAAGTCAGATGCAGAAGAGCACCCAGCATCTTGCAGGGCAGGTTGGAGCCTCCACCAATATAGGGCAATTGGGCAAAAAGGGAAGCCTAGGGACACGGACACTCCTGTCATGATTCTGCTCAGTGTCGGTCCCAGGCAGCATCTAGCAAGACACTGGGGGTCAACAATAGCAAGAAAGTCCAAGAATTTTGGCATACAGAACCAACATGGCACAGCCAGGAGCAATCCAGAATTGGCATCGGAAGCCCTGGTTCAACCTCCAGCTCTGCGTCTTTACTGGATTTGGGAAAAATAACCTCTCTGTGTCCTGTTTCATCATCTGTAAAATAAAAACAAAAATAAATCCTTCTCAGCATAAATATAAAACCCTAAATGAGTTTACATGAAAGGATGTTGCAATAAGAGCTAACACTCAGGGTGTGCCAGAAGTGGCTCTAAACATTTCATAGGCTTTAGCTCATTGAATTCCCACCGCATCTTTATAAGGCAGGTCCTACTACTATCCCCATTTCACAGATGAGGAACCCAAGGCTCAGAAATCTCAGAAACTTTCCCAAGGTTAAGTTTCCCAAGAAATCTCAGAAACTTTCCTGCTAGGAGGATCTGGATCTGGGGCTTGAGTTCATGCTCTTTTGTTCCAGAGCCCGTGCTTACTCAAGGACACTCAACAAACCCCAAGGTGATGTTATGGTTAAGGCTCTCAGCCCTCCCCAGGGTCACGCATGCCTCCCCCTTCCTTCCTGTTGCACTTGCCTAGCTAAACGGCAAAACAGAGGCCTGTGTCCTGTGCTTGGCTCTGCCATTTCCTCTCCACCTGACCTTGAGCTAGCAAGGCTACCTTTCTGAAACCCAGGGTACCCCTTTCCATAAGATGGATCTACTAATCCACACCACGTTCACAGGATCATCATGGGGAATAACAGACACGGTCGTAATAGCACATTGTAAGTTGCCAAGCAACATTGAACTTGAAGGGACTCCAGGGCAGGGCACTGCCAGGCTTGAAGAATGTGGACACTAAAGGGCCCAAGTGCCCCTTGGGGAAGAGCTCTTACAGAGCAGGCTGCCCCCGCCCAGAGGCCACCTTGTTTACGCAATGATCAACTCATTCTGAAACCCAAGAGGCTGCCATCTGCCCTCAGAGCAGGCCCAGACGCTGCTTTCCTGTTTGCTTCATTGGCTTCAGATCGGGGTGTTTTTTTTTTTTATTTGAAAAAAAAAAAAAAAAGCTTTTGGCAGGAGATGTCCCTAAAATTTTAAGTGGTTTGTTTTTCTTTTTTCCCTGCTCCCCCAGCCCAAAGCCTACCCCTGAGTTTTTCCTTCTTTGATTGCATGTAACCTCAAACAATGGCATCATTTACAGACTCCAAGCAGCCTCCTGCCATGGGTCCCACGCTGAGCTCTGCTTTCTAAATCATTGGCTGCTGTCACCCTGAGTCTGAAACCGCAGCTCTCCTTTGAGGTTGGGTCATGTGGCATCTGAGGGCTCCATAGTCTTGGAGTGCCAGTGTAAGCTGACCAGGATTCTGATTTTGTATTTTAAACTCAACCGTTGTTATTCAGTGCTGGTGGCACTTCTTCCCCTCTCTTCCCAATGTGTCTCCAAGGTTCTCAGCATTCTGTTCAATGGGTCTAACCCTCACACTCCTGACTGTTTCCCGGGAGACTTGATAATAGGGCTGGCCAATGTCTGCCGCACTTAGAGGTGTAGAGAGCCAGGGTCAAGGAGGATATTGACATGTATAGTATGTGGTTTCTGCCCTCCTGAATTCCCCAGACTAATCAGGACACTTCATGTTAAGACAATAATTTTGGAGAAGCACATTAGAGTCTATCAGTCATTTACATTAGAGTATGAATTGGCCTTTTTGGCAGATCCAAAAGCATTTGTTGTGAGATGGTGAAGAGGAAGATAACACTTTGCAAGACAAAACACCACAGAAAGTAAAACGGGATAGAAATAGAGGGTGGGCACACACTGAAAATGAACTTCACTTTTGTCCTTGAAGTTGCCTTGTGCTAGAACCATGCCAATGCTTTATTCCAAAAGGAAGTTAACTTCTAAGAGACTACCACACTGTTTATGAGATTTATTCCTGATTTACTTTATTTAACACATTTTATATAGTGCTTCTATGTGTTTAGGGATTAGTCAAATACAGACGAATTTAATCCTCACAACATCATTAGATAAGTTTTATTAGAATCTTATCTTAAAGATGAGGAAACTGAGGCACAGAAAAATAGTTTGCCCAAAGTCACGCAGCTTCTCAGTGACAGAGTTGGAACTCACATGCAGACAGTCTGGCTCCAAAATCCATGCTACGAATTTCTGTATTGTAATAGCAAAAGGATACAAAGCCATTTGTATGATTTTATCCTTTTTGGACCAGTAAATGAATAAACTCCTGTGATGAGTAAACCGTTTTCAACAATCAGCTTAAAGAAACCTCAACTTAAAAAGCATTACCAAGACTGTCAGAACCAGTAATCTGAGGCTGACTTATGAACTTGATGACAACATTCTTTAATTCACCTTTTTGACTCATTCAATAAGTATTACATGAAGCACCTCCTATGCCTGGGGCCAGTCACTGAGGATACAATTGTTCACAAGACAGACCTGGTCCTTCCGGCCTAAGGCGCACCGTCTGAATAGCAGTTGGAGCCCCAGCAGGGGTTGCTGGTGCATTCAGGAGTCAGGTGGCAGGTGTGGGCCAGCTCCTGTGGGAGGACAAGCTGCACCTAACTCAGACCAGGGGACTGGGGGCAGGTTCAGAGCAGTGACATCTAAGCTGAGGCCTGACAAAGGAGGAAGATTCAGTCAGATGCCAAGGCAGGGGGAGAATGAACCAGGAAGTGGAAAGAGCACGTGCAAAGTCCCAGAGGTGCCAAACAGCCTGGGCTGCAAGAAAAACAGAAAGTTGAGTGAGGCTGATGTGCAGAATGTGGGCAGGTGATCAGTGGAGGCTAAAGATGGCCTGACATCAGGGCTGGATGCCATTGGTCTATGTGGACCCTGATACAGATATTAGATTTCTGCCGGTGTCAAAGAGAAGTGGGTCGGGGAAGCCTGAGACTCTGATATAACATCACGTGACAGATAACAGTCCCTAAAGGAAATGAAAGTATTTTACCTCCAAATATATTTCTTGGACATATTTTGAAATGACCCTGCAAAGCCACCCGTTGTGGGGAAAATTTACATTCTGCAGAGAATCTTCTTCCCTTTCTAAGTCTTTTCCTGATCCAGGAGAGATTTAACTAAAAGTCTGACAGCTTTTAAGGTCTGATAAAAGACATTTACCATCTGTTCTCTCTGAAGTCTGCTACCTGGAGGCTTCGTCTACATAAGAAGAAACCTGGCCTCCACAACCCCCGTTATCTTAACCCCAAGCATTTCTTCTGCTGACTCAAACTCTTTAGGCAAAGCTTAACACTTTCAACCAATTGCCAATCAGGAAATCTTTGAATCCGCCTGTGACCTGAAAGCACCCACTTCAAGATGACCTGCCTTTCTTGGCCAAGCTAACATATAACTCACACGTATTGATTTATGTTTTCCCTGTAGCTTCTGTCTCCCTAAAATGTATAAAGTCAAAGTATAACCCAAACATCTTGGGCACATGTTCTCAGGACCTTCTGAGGCTGTGTCACGGGCCATGGTCCTCACACTTGGCTCAGAATAAACTTCTTCAAGTATTTCAGAGTTTGGCTTTTTTCATCAACAGTATGAACCCTGTGCCCCCCAAATTTATCTGCTGAAGCCCTAACCTCCAACATGATGATATTAGGAGGTGAGGCCTGTGGGGAGTAATTAGGTTTAGAGGAGGTCCTGAGGCTACAGTCTCAGTGATGGGATTGGTGCCCTTAGAAGAAGAGAAAGAGACAAAAAATCTCTCACTCCACCAGGTGAGGACACAGCAAGAAGGCAGCCATCCACAAGCCAGGAAGAGAGCTCTCACCAGGAGCCAAATCTGCTGACACCTTGATCTTGGACCTCCGAGCCTCCAGAACAGCGAGATAATAAATGTCTGCTGTTTAAGACCCCAGTCCGTGGTATTTTATTATGGCAGCCTGAGTCGACTAAGATGACCTCAAGTTAAATCTAAAACTTTGCCTCAGATGTCAACACCCAGGAAGCTACCATTTCTCCTTGAAACAATACATATGCAAAGAATATGCAAAGAAAACACACTCACAAAAGAAATAATCTCCAATGATAAGGGAAGCCAACTGAAGACTCTTTAAAGTGACAGACCCAAAAATATTTGTTACTGGTTAACTTTCATTTCCTCAGGCCCTATCAGTGCAGCGGGGACACATAACAGAAACTAAGGGAGGTCTGTGGCTTGCCCACCCCTGCCAAGATATACTGAAACCTCAGCTCTTCCTTTCCGATCCAAGAGGTCTTGGAGAGTCTCCCATGCACAAGACAGTTCTTCTTAATTCTCTGATGCCCATTCGCCTTCCCTGGGCCACTCAACTTGTGCTTCCTGTCATTTCCCCGGGGCGCTGCCATCATTCTCTAAGGCTGCTCATCCTGCCAACATTTCTGAGGCTCATGCCTCCTGGCCACGGATACAGACCTGTTTCCTAGCTGCTCTTTCTTCCACACTGTAAGTCATCTGGTATTAGAAATGCTTTGATGCAGTCATGGAGCTGAGTGAACACACTGTCTTAGACCCATGCAAACTTTCAGACACAGCTCCTTCATTCCCCAACAAATTTATTCTGAGTGCTTACCCAGTGCCAGGCACTGGGGAGGCAGGGATGAAGGAAATCCAGTTCCAGCTCTCAAAGGGAGGCTAGACTCATGGAGAAGAAGGCTCTTATGTTGGGCTCTCCCTCTGAAAAGCTTCTTAAAGCCTGTCCTACCAGGCATTGGCACAAGGAGGATGTCAGCAAGTGAAGATCGGCAGGACAGCATTCTAAGAAGAAAGCAAATGCAGGGTATGGACTTTCAGCCTGGGCTGCCACAAGGGCAAATCTCCTGCTGTAGTGACCTAGTATCACCCTCCACCTTGAGTTGAGAGACAGCGACAATAACAGCAGGAGTAATTGTAACGAGAAATGGCTAGCATCACAGAGCCCTTACAATATTCTCCACCAGCTCTGTCTAGGAGAATTATCTGTGATGATGGAAACGTTCTATATCTGTGCTGTCCAATTTAGAAGCCACTGAGAACTTGAAATGCAGCTGGTGCAATGGAAGAATCTCAATTTTAATTTTAGTTCATTTTGGTTATTTTAAATAGTCACCTGTGACTAGTGGCCACCATATCAGACAGCACAAGACAAGATATTGTGCTAAGCACTTTATGGGCAATATATTAATTTTAACAATAAGCAATGAGATAAGCACGATTTTTGTCTCCATTTCACAGATGTAGAAACTGAGTCCCAGAGAGGTTAAATAATTTGTCCAGGTCACTCATTTAGTAAGGGTAGAGCCAAGACTTAAACCCCAGCGATCTCTCCCCAGAAAGAAGTGAATCCTGCATCATACATTCATTCATCCATTCCAGAACCACACATTTGTTGTACCTATCATGAGTCAAGCAACATTCTAGATGATGGGGATATAGAGATACATGGGAAGGGGTCCCTGGACTCAGGGAGCAGACACTTTTTGAGACAGTCAAACTAAAGGAAGCCTCAACACCAAGGAACAACAGCCATGTTAAGCTCAGCTGGTGGTGCTGGGGAGCCCTCCGCTAAGGCCATTAAACACTGCATAGGGGGCTAGAGGTGGGGGGGTGCCTTGAAGATGGTTAAGGCCCTCTAGTTTATAAGTCATTCCTCCATCCTGAGCCCTGGCCAGGCCCCCCAGCTTTCCCCTAAAGGTGTCCCCCAACCCCCAACTATGATGAGAAATGTCTGCAGGGGGTATGGGTGGTCAGTCCCAGGGAGGGAGATCAAGTCCCCTCTCTCCCACGAGGCTCATGGGACACTCAACAACTTGAAATCTCCCCTGACATGCCCTGAACTGTCTGAATGGAACACTAGTAAACCACTTGGACCACAGCTTCCAGAACTTTCCTACTTTAGCATGCCCCAGAGCCTAAGAACACGCTTGCTACAATGCTTTAGAGTCCATTCAACCATGGTTCAGGACCCAGCTTCATCACACACCACCCCAGCGACCTCGGGCATGCTTTTTAACCTTTCTGCACCTCCGTTTCCTCATCTGAAAAATAGGAATAATAATATTTACTTTCCAGGGTTGTTATGAGAATTTAAATGTGTGTGAAGTCCCTGATACATTGTAGACATTTAATTGATGGCTGCTCTTTTTCTTAATAGTTACTATCAATTAAAACTAAAAGAAGACCATATCCCCTTGCTCCTCTACCCTTTCCACCAGGGTACTAAGGCAAAAGAAGGCAAGCAGAGGTGTGGAATGCATGTGTGACTGAGTGTTAGGAGGCCTGAGATCTCATCCGATGCTGGGTCACTCACATGTGTAAAATTGGATGAGTCACATCCCCACTGTTTCCTCATCTGTAAAAGGAGAGTGTTGGGCTAGACTTGGCAATCTTACATGCAAATGCCTGCTGGAATGGGGCAGAGAAAGAAAATGACCTACTGTGGGGGCACCTGCCATTGAATTACTGCTGATGGTTGCCGCATGGGAATGCCAGCTACTGTTCTCAGATATTCTGTGTCCACCAGAAGCTGGACATCTGGATTTTTGGTAAGAAATCTTTAATTATAAAAAGAGGGTACATATGCCTGTAGTCCCAGCTACTTAGGAGGCTGAGAGAGGAGAATCATTTAAACCCGGGAGGCGGAGATTGCAGTAAGACAAGATCACGCCACACTGCACTCCAGCCTGGGCAACAGAGCAAGACTCCATCTCAAAAAAAAAAAAATGAGGGTAACTATTTGCATCTTTTTATCATATCAAACACTGTAAAGTTAAACAGGGCCTCCCAGCCCTGAGAGCCAGCAATTCTACTCCTCGGAGTCTCCAAAACACTGTTCCTCCACCCCTGCTGCCTCTTGTGCCTGTTACTGAGAAAACATATCTTTCAGGTCCCCTTTTCAGTTCCTTCCCCTACGTGCGTCACAGAGTTTTAGGGCCACAAAGGTTGCCCCCTTCAGCAGCAGGCCTCCTGGAACCCTGCTGAAATGCTTTCTGGCAAGTTCTCCTTGCATTTCCAGGATTCTCTGCACCTCTCAGTTCCCAGTTCTAGCTAACGAAGATTGATGTTCTACACTGACCTCACTCCCCACTGTGCCCAACCAAAAGGGTTGATGAAATAATCATTTCAGCCACTCTGTGGGAGAGCAGGTGTGAAAACCAGAGCTGAGCTGACAGCCAGAGTTGCTGAAGTACCATTCACATGCAGGGTACTGTTCAAAGCATGCTGTAGATATTTACCTACTTAGTCTCTGAGGCAATCCTCTAAGGTAGGTACTATCGCCATCACCATTTTGCAGATGAGAACACTGAGGTTCCAAGAGGCCAAGTAACCTGCTGAGGGTCACCCAGCTAGGAAGTGGCCCTGCTGAGTTCCAATGGGCTGGCTCCAGGGTCCCCATGTTTATAAGCTGCATTCCCTCAGGGCCTCCCCAGCTCTGCTCTCCAGTCTCATATTTCAGTTGCCCCAGGGAAATGTTTGTGCCTCTGTGCCTTTGCAAATGCTGATCACTCTGCTGGGATGCTCTTCCCTCCATTCTCTGATCGCTGGACACCACAGCTGGCCCTTCCAAGCTCTCCTCAGTGAAGTCATCTGGACAATGGACTGTTCCCTCCCCAGGCCTGTGTCTGTGCTGTGTATGTTTCATCACCACGATTCACACAACAAGTATTCCTCACTGTAAGTCCGTCTCCCTCATGGGATCAAGGGCTCCTTGAGGGCAGGGGTAGGGTGCACCAATTCAGCCCTGACTGCAAAGCAGGCTCAATGCATGTTGTTCAAGATGATCTACGCTGAGCCTCTCCCCTTGCCTCCCATACTCTTTGGCTAGTCTGACCCCACAAGAACCAAGGTACTGTGGCTGGAGGACACTGCAGTTGGATCAGCTTATGGTGTTACCTTGCATTGATTTGCTAGGGCTGTCAGAACCAAGTACCACAGACTGAGCATCTTAAAAGAACACATTTATTTTCTCATAATTTTAGAGGCCAGAAGTCCAAGTTTAAAGTGTCAGCAGGTTTGGTGTTTTCTAAGGCCATTCTCCTGGGCTTGAAAATGCCCGTCTCTTCCATGTGTCTTCATGTGTCCTTCCTCTGTGGGTGTCTGTGACCTAATATCCTCTTCTTACAAGGACACCAGTCATATTGGATTAGGGCCCACCCCAAAGATTCATTAAACCTTCATTACCTCTTAAAGATCCTTCCCAAGTACAGTCACATTTAAAGATATTGAAGGTTCAGACTTCAACATATGAATTTTGAATATGTAAATTCAGCCCATAACATATCCCAATTTCCCTCCTCCCTTCTGCTCCCCAAGACAATACCTATGTAGCTAGAATTATTAAAGAACATGCTGGGAGAGCCCTTCGTGAGCATCCAGCCCAGTCTTTGCATTTCACAAATGGAGAAACTGAGGCCCATAGAAGGGAAGTGAGTTGCCGCTGAAATCACTCAGCACATTGAGTCAAAGTCCCTGCCTGCTAGTCCCAGGGTCTTCTTGTGAACCCTTCATCCATTTACAAACCTTATCCTGGATATTCTTTGCCATCTCCCACCGCACTCTCCAAGGCAGAGCAGAAAGGAGGCTGGTGCAAGTCAGAGGAGCAGATTTCCTGCCAGGAAGCCTCGTCCCTTGCCCTGCCTGATGAAGGCCAGGCCCATACTCATGGCCCACCTGAAGCTTGGGCCTCTAGAGCCATTCAGTGGCCCCTGTGGCCAGATGTCCCGGACACCTGCAGGGTTTCTGAAAGCTGCTGTCCTCAGCCCAGCTCAGCCATGGAGCTCCCAGAAGGGGAAGTTGATTTGCCAGTATCCCAAGTGAATTAACACAGAAACAGAAAACCAAATACTGCATGTTATCACTTACAAGTGGGAGCTAAAGCCTGAGCACACCCAGACGTAAAGATGGGAACAAAGACACTGGGTATGCTAAAAGGAGGAAGGGAGGGAGGCAAGGGCTGAAAAGCCTCCTGTTGGGTACTATGTTCACTATCTGGGTGAAAAGATCAATAGAGGCCAAAACCTCAGCATCACACCATACACCCATGTCATAAACCTGCACATGGACCTACCAGATCTAAAATTTAGATGAAAAAAAAAAAAAGAAACACCAAGCAATTGATGTTCTCCATCTACTCCATAGCATTGATTTAAAAAGAAACCTGTCACCATCTCTCCTGCTCCACTTGGGTCAACACATCCTGTCTCTAGCACTTTCTAGCAGTGTAACCTTGGACAAGTTACTTAACCTCTCTGTGCCTCAGTTTTATAATCTGTAAAATGGGAACAATAACAGTACCTTCCTTATACGATTGTTATGTATATTAAATTAGTTCATATGGGTACGGCATGTAGAATAGTGCCTAGAATATACTAAGCTCTGTGTAAATGTTTGTTAAATAAATACATACATGTCCCCCACCCTACCCAATATACCTAATACATCCACAATAAGCTTTCCTAAGAACCCGCAATGTACAAAGCACAGTCCCTGGCAGAGAAGGGCTTATGGATGCAGATGTATTTGATACAGGCCTTGAAGGGCAGGGAGAAATTCCCTAGCAAGGTGGAAGGCCAAGGGGGAAGGGAAGCCATCCAGGCAAAGGGACGAGCATGGCCTGAGTCACAGTGGCTTGAGAACACAGAGTGTGTTCAGGGCAGGACAGATGCTGGTGGGATTGGAGCTCTGAACCAGAGGAGAGGTTTAGGAGCTGAAGCTGAAAAGATGAGAGAGATCAAATCTGGGAGAAACTGGATGCTGGAGTGAGGGATCTCGGACATGTGGTCCACTTGTCAATCCAGGAACACATCAGGCCACCATGCATGTGCCCCTCTCTGGGCCTTGCTCAGCCTGGCCCTGCCCCTACCCCTTCTGCCATGCAACAAACACTGAGTTTCAACTGTGCCCCAGCTCAGCGCTGTGTCCAGAATCTAAAACTGAATAGGGTGTGTGTAGTCTCTGCCTTAAAAAGAAGCACAAAGTCAAAAAGGAGAAAGAGGTGGCTGCGTAGACACGGCCAGGATGGTGGAAAAGAGGAATGGGACCCTAGACAAGGAACAGCTCCAGCTGAACTTGAGATGAGCTGGGGAAGGGTAAAGAAAGGATGATCCAGTCTATGAAAAGGCACCAGAGTGTGACACTGCAGGGCCCTTCAGAGAACTGCTATGGCCTGGCATGGCTGGAGCAAGGGTCACACAGGGGGTGCTGAGGGCACGGGACAGAGCAGCAGGGAGGAGGTGATCAGAGGCAGCAGCCAGACCAAGGGATCACATCATCATCCAGGATTCTGTGGGCTCCAGAGGGACTTTTGGAGGGGAAGGGCCCAAATAGAGCTACATTTTAGCTCAATGGCAGAGCCTGAGACCAGAACATTTGTGGAGGTGGCTTATCTGAGAGGTGACTCCAGAAAGTAGCAGTGACAGTGAAAAGAATGAGACAGGGGTGGGAGAAAAGATTGGAAAGGGTGTGTGGTTGAGCTGGTTACCTCCATGGGCAGCCAGAGCCCAGGCCTGCTGGGACCCTCCGAGAAATCATGAATGAACCTCGTATGGTTACCAACTTTCATCTCCCGTTGATTGAGGGCTGCCCGTAGAAGGCATCAACTCTCCCCTAGGACCCAGTAGGAAATCTTTTCAGCACCTGCCTCTCTCCCAACTCCGTTCTTTTGGAGTCTTCATTTCTATTCCAGGCTGTGCCTGGGCAGGGGCCGACTGGCCTTCTGTGGCTTTGAACACGCCCTACATGTTTGAACAGAACTGCCCTCACAGCTGTGCTCAACTCAGTGGTCCAAAGAGGCACACGGGGCACAGAAGCATCTGCAACCATCCCCGTGGGTAGAAGACACATCAGTTAGAATTATGTGTAGCTAAAAATCACAAAGAAACAAAAAATAACCGTGGCTTAAACAAATTAGACCTTTATTTCACTCTTTCATTGAAGAAGTCCAGAGATAGTGACTTATGGTTGATATACTTCTTACAATTCATCCTTTCAGCTGTGGAAGGTGATTACCCACATAGTCCAAGGAAGTTGCTACAGCTTGGGCCATCATCCATGTTCCAGGCAGCAGATAGAGTCAGGAGAAAGAAGAGCACGCCCTTTCCATTTTAAGGAGACTTCCCAGCACTTCTACAGGTCATTTCTGCTTATATCTTCATCTGTTTTTTGTTTTGTTTTGTTTTGTTTTGAGACGGAGTCTTACTCTGTCATCCAGGCTGGAGTCCAGTGGTGCAAACTCGGCTCACTGAAACCTCTGCCTCCCGGGTTCAAGAGATTCTCCTACCTCAATCTCCCAAGTAGCTTGGATTATAGGCACGTGCCACCACACCCCCGCTAATTTTTGTATTTTTAGTAGCAAAGAGGTTTCACCATGTTGGCCAGGCTGGTCTCAAACTCCTGACTTCAAGTGATACACCCACCTTGGCCTCCCAAAGTGCCGGGATTACAGGCGTGAGCGACCGCACCCAGCCTATATCTTCATATAGAACTTAGTCACTTGGCCAATTCTAGCCACAAGAAAGTCTGGCAAATATTGTCTTTTAGATCACTGATCACTTACCTAACTGAAAATTGGGTATAACTAAGCAATGGAGAGAGAATGATGGGCCTTAAGAGGCAACCAGCAGCCCCTGCCATAGGATGTGAGATGGGAATCGGAAGGTGAATTAGGAAGCAATTGTGGTGATACAGAGCAGCAGAGATGAGAAGAACTTAAGCAAAGGCACCAGGAGTGAGGATGGGAGGGAGGGATGCATCTGTCCATTTCTGGGTGCGGATTGGACAGGACTTGGCGATGGATAGGGACAGTAAAGGAGGAACAGGAGCAGGAATGAGTCCCAGCCGTGGACTCAGGTGACAAGGAGAGTGGCCATTCACACAGACAGAGAACATGGGAGATAAACAGCCTGGGGAAAGACCATGAGTTCTGTGGGCAGGCTGGGTTTGTGAGACCTGAGGGACAGCTGCAGGGTTCCAGTGAGTAGAGAGTTGGGTGTTCAGGTAGGTTGTCAGTAGAGGAGTCTGGGCCAGAGCTAGCAACTCGGGGGGCATCAGCCACTGGAGTAGAGAAAAGTCCTGGGGGCGGGGGTGTGAGCAGAAAGGAGGGGTGCTCCTTTCCAGTCTCAGAGGAAAGAACACAGCCATGAGTCACATCACTGTGGGGAAGAGAGTCAAGTCCGATGTTTACATCCCTTGTTGGCCATGTCCCCAGGCTGAAGGACTCAGCTCCCAACAGGAAGCCCCCTTATAACTTCACTCTGGGTTCTGAAAGCCACTTGATCTTAAGGCCTAGGGCTGCTAATGGATCCCTAATATGGTCAGCCCTGGAGTGCTGCAGTATCTCTTTCTTTTATAAATAGCACCTTCTTTAAATTCTCCTTAAGTACAAAGATAGATAGATAGAATAAATGAATGGGTGAGTGGGCGGATAGATGGATGGATGGATGGATGGATGGATGGATGGATGGATGGATGGAAGGATGGATGGATAAGTGGATCAATGGACAAGTGGATGAATGGATGGGTGGGTGGATGGATAAATGATAGGTAACAGAGAAAGATGACCTCACAAAGGAAAATGAGGAGGAACATCAGGGAGGCAAAAGGAGAACCAGAAGTCCAGGGAGAAGTGAGCTACAGCGTCAAATGTGACCCCCATATTATTTAAGAGCAGGACCGCGATGTGCCCTTTGGATTGACCACAGAAGGTCACGGATGACCCTGACAAGAGTATTTTCATGTGTAAGAGAAGCCAGATTGCAATTGATAGAGGTGGAGACATGAGGTGGAGATGAGGAAGTGGGGACAACAACTTTCTTCCTCATCTCCTCCTAAAAAGCCTGGCTTACGTGTTGCCTCTTCCACAAACTTTCTCTGAATCTCTCTCCTTCCTCTGTGGTCCCTGAGCATCCAGCTGGCCACCTGCCATGAGTTGATGGTGAGCTCTCAGGGCAGGGGTCCATGATTCTGGGCAAACATGATCTCATGGAAAGAGCACTGGACTCTTTGGGGCAACAGAACCCACTCTCTGTCAGTTCCCTAGAAGGAGGCACATCTTGACTGACTTGGCCATGTGCAGGCTCTGGGGCCCCTGCCCAGTGTCTACTGCCCCACACGATGGGACTGGGGTTATTCCCCCAGCTTCCATCCAGCTGTGGCCTCCTAGCTGGTCAGCATCCACTAAAAGACCCCCACCTGTTCTGCTGTGGTCCTCATCTGCTCCCTCAGCCATGACAAAATGTAGGAGCATCCCATTTCCCTGCAGCCTGGTGGTCACAGACATTCCTTTTTCCAGCCTTCTCTGGAACTAGCCAAGACCAAAGGCAATCTCTGTTACAAAATAATGCCCAAGCTGTTCTTTCGGTCTCAGTAAGGACCTGGCTGCCCCTGCCCAACCAGCTTTGCTCGTCACTACCCAGACCTGTCACTGCAGGGTGTCACCTTGGCCCTGATCACTCAGGCCAAGGCACCGGCCAGGGCTGCATCACCAGCAGAATGAAGAACTATATATAGCCAGCCATGAAGCTGACATTTATGGGGCACTTCCTGGTACTCATATCAACTCAATTAGCCTCACAACAGCTTTATGAGATATATGCTATTCTTATCCCATCTAATAAAGTAGGAACCTAGGAAAGATCAATCTTTGGAATAATTTGACATCTTCAGATCCAACTCTCTTTTCTCAGCAAAATCATGAGGAAATGAGCCTGAATGGAGAAGGCAATTAACACTTTTGCTGGGTGCCTTATACATGGCAAGAGCGGTATCTTATTTGATCCTTACAGCAGCTCCACGAGGGAGCTGTACTTTACAACTGATCAGCCGGAAGCCCAGGAGGGGTAGGATTAGCCGGAGGGTTAGAGATGGAACACAGGGCTATGGTCTAAAGTTGGGCTGCCTTGGCTGGGCACAGTGGCTCACACCTGTAATCCCAGCACTTTGGGAGGCCGAGGCGGGCAGATCACTTGAGGCCAGGAGTTCAAGACCAGTCTGGCCAACATGGCAAAACGCAGTCTCTACTAAAAATACAAAAATTAGCTGGACATGGAGGCGGGCACCTGTTGTCCCACCTACTTGGAAGGCTAAGGCACAAGAATTGCTTGAACCTTGGAGACAGAGGTTGCAGTGAGCCGAGATCGTGCCACTGCACTCCAGCCTGGGTGACAAAGAAAGACTCCATCTCAAATAAATAAATAAATAAATAAATAAATAAATAAATAAAAATAAAGCCAGGCTGCCTGATGACAGACTCTACCCTCCCAGCACTCTTCTATTTAATCTGCTTGATAATTCACAACTCTGAGAAGTGGGTAATGTTATCCCCATTACACAGAGGAGAAAAACTGAGGCTTAAGCAGGTTGGAATGACCTGTCCAAGGTTGCTCTGTAAGTATGAGCTCCAAGGGCTGGGAGGTGGGCTGGGGAGGTGGGAATGAAGGGGGAGAGCTGAAATTGGAACCCAGATGTCTGACTTTGAAGCCCGTCTACACCAAGCAGGAAAGATGAGATTGGGGAACAAAAAGCTTGTCTGGCCCTCAGATTGTACCATGGCTTCCATGGCTTTTATACACACACACACACATCCCATTCCGCACCACAGGCACAGTGATCGGCCCCATGCCAGCCTCGGTACCCAGCTGTGACCTTGTGACATGTGGATGGGGTGCAGAGGGTTGGGGATGCGTGATGGGTTCTTACCCAGTCTAATGCACTAAGCTCCATGCTCCCTACGGAGATGGGGAAGACGGAGTTGTCACTGGCTCCTCACCTTCCCTGCTCTGCTCCACCCTAGCCAGGCCACTCTGAGCCTGCAGGAGGAACCAGAGAATGGCCTGGCTTCTGGGAAAGGTGACTCACTCACAGTACACGGAAAAGAAGCTGACTTTCTCGTTTTCTGGGCCCAAGTAGAGGTCGTCCTTGCGCAATCCTGCCCTTTGAATCTCCTGGGTGAGACCTGGTCTGGAAATCTGTGCCTTCTCAGACTTCAAGACCTGTCCACCCTCCCTGACTAGTTGCAAAACAATCACCTGTTCAGGGCCATCACCTGAGATCCTGCCTGCAGAGGGAGGACTTCCAGCTCCTGCTCAGGTTCCTGAGAAGGAGATCCATTTCCCACTGGGAATGACAGCGGCCAGCACCTGATGCCTTTGACCCCACCACATGTTGCTGTCCCTTCCTTCCCAAACACTGAGAGTGGCCTGTTCCCAGGAAAGGGAGGGCACCTGCCTCACCTGGGGGAAAGATCTGTAGAACCACTCCAGAAAAAATCTAAATCAACCCAAATGCTTTGGGACACCCATCTTGCCCCAAGTCAACTGTAGTGGGGTGGTAGTAGAGTCAGACAGATGTGGATTCAAATTTTGGCACCACCAAATTGCCGTGTGACTTTGGGGGCCTTCATCTCTCTGGGCCTCAGTTTTCTCCCCTGTAAAATGATTTGGTTATTATGAATGTTGACACAATAATATCTCTTAGGATTCCATGTAAACTGAAGAAAACAGTATGTGAGAAAATGTCTTGTACTGTGTAATCCCCACTCTCCATTCACCGCTACCACTTTCAATTCTGTGATCCTACAGTCTCCTACAAGCCCCACGTCCAGGCTCAGCAGCCCCAGTGGTCCATGACTCCCACCTGGTACTATGGACACAGGCCTTTCCAACCTTCCATTGTTGGCAATTTACTGCTCTCCTGCTTGGGACAAATTCCTTTCTCCACTACATCCAATCCCTTTTCAGGATCATAAGCCTCAGAGAAAGAATTTCAGCTGATGTGTCAAAGTCAGCAAGGCTTGGGGAGGCTCTCTGGCCCGTACAGAGTCACACAGCAAGCTAGCAGCAAGTCCAACCTGGACCCAGGCCTCACAACCTGGGCTCCTTCTGCATTGCTGACCCCTAGACCTATACAGAGTCTGCCTTTCAACAACTGGAGATTTCTAGGTCCCTGATTCAGAAAGAAGGCCTGGCTGGCACCCCAGTCTGCACGGAGGTTCCTTAGGGGTCTATCAGATGCCAGCTGGAACTGTAAACAGTTACGAACTTTCATTTCCATCTCTAATTCTTTGTAAACTTGAGAAATTCTAGCAAAGACAAGCAACACCTCACTACCCCCTTGACTGATGGTCATGGAGTCCACAGAGCTCTTCTTCCACCCGCCTCTGGTCTGCAAATGTAAAACATGGAGAATGCCTGCTGAACAAAGTGGCGAGATGAAGTGCAGGGAAGGTGGCCAGCTTACTTGGGTCACAGGGGTAGTGTGAAGGAGGCCAGGGTGAACTTCCTCTCCGTTCCATCTGCTTCGATGGGCAAGGCTGGACATGCAGAGATGAGATAAGAAGAGAAAATGCTTTGAGCTCTTGGACCCCCCAAGCATCCTCCCTAGAAGAGATCACTTTACCAAGCAGCCTTTTCTGTCCCTTCACTGAACCCTAGAAACCAGAGAAATCAAGGACTTACGTTCTACCTTACATTCAATCATATGTTTGATTTCACAAACACTGAGACCCTCCAACAGCAGAATAACCAGAGGACCATTTTTAACAGGCAGATCCTGGCCCCAGCCCAGATCCACAGGCTCAGAATTTCCCAGGGGTGGAGTTCCAAGTATGTCTATTCCTGAGAAGGGTGGTTCTAATGCCGAGCCAGGGCTGGAAACCATCAAATCTAAAATTAATCATAGGAGATGAATACCGAACACATTCTAGGTGCCAAGCAATGCCACCATGGTTAGCCTTGCCACAGCCAGCAAAGTGGGTTTTCTCAGCTCCATTTTATCATGAGGAAGGGGGAAAGGAGCATATGCTCAAGGAGGCTAAGGGGTTTCCTGAGCCACAGTGGAACCCTGTGTGGTCAGAGGCAGAACCCGCGTATGAATCTGGGTCTTTCTGACTTCAAAGCCCAGCCTTTCCTGTACCTCTCTCTGCCCACCCTTACTACGTGAGACATCCTGTGCTAACAGACCCTAAAGATATGAGACAAGTTAGACTCATGCCTGGTCCAGGAACTGACATCCAAATGGGGGCATCTGACACATAGACAGTTAACTCTGCCACAAAGCTGCCTGAGAGGCTCCAAGGGTTATGAGTCCAGTAGTGGTATGTTAGTAGTCCAGTGGAATGGCCAGGGAAAGCTTCTCAAAGAGGTGATCTTTGAACTGGGTCTTGAAAGATACCATGGCATGTCCACCTGTCACCTGACCAACCATGTATCTGACCTATGTACCTATGCCATGTCATGCACTGGGCTTCGTCCTAAGGATAGGAAGGCAAACAGGACATGGCCCTGCCCTCAGCATGCTCAGAGTCTAGTGTTCTGAGTCCTCCAGACCTTTCATCCCTCCCCCTCCCTCAGGTCCTTCCTCCTCCACCTCCTCCTCTCTTCACCACCCCCACCCAGCCCCTCTGCTTCCCGTGGTGTGGCTAGCTCCCATAGACCTGTATGTCAGAGCACCCTTTATAGTGAGCCAAGCCTTCTTGGTCACCCATGAAATGGGGGTGCTCCAGGTGCAGTGCTCAAGGAGGAGAGAGTCACATGGGCCCCACCCAGGCTGCACAAAGGGATGAGCTCCAGAGGCGCAGTGTGAGTCACAGTACACAGGCACCTGAGAAATGGGGATAATCAGACTGACTTCCCTGAGAAGTCAGAAAGAGAGATGAGATAAGAATGGAAAGTGCTTTGAGCTCCTCAGAAGAAAGACGCTATCAACAGATCCAGGGTATTATTACCACCGCCATTACCTGCCTCCATTAAAGGGACACACATCTGACTACATGAGAAATCATTAACTTGTCCTGCAACCCACACATTTTTGTATTTTTCATATAATTTCCTTTTTACTATTAACAGATAAGCCTGTGAAACACTCCTCGAGCCATTCAAGCATGTTAATACCCCTCTTCAGGCTGGGTGGGGTCTCCTCCTTCCCATACCCCTAGGAAAGAGTGCAGCTCAGGGAAAAGAGGCTGGGCCTCCCATGACTCCCCCAGCTCCCTGGTCCAGCTTCCCCCTCAGAGCTCTGGAACCACATCTCGACCCCGATTTCATTGTCCAAATTCTCCCTCTCCTGGGTCCTTCGTACCTTTCCTTGCTTCACCTACTTGCATACATCTGCCTTATCTATCCTTCGATTACGTGCATGAATAATTTAGTGAATGCCTACTGGGTGCCAGACATTGGGGAAACAAAGATTAAGTTGGACACAGTCCTTGCCTTCAAGCAGACAAGTACACAGGCTATTCATTCATTCACCCAACAAGCTCTGAGAATTTTACTACGTGTGAGACTCCATGCTGAGAATGCAGACCAGTGAGATAAACACACGTTCCTGCCCCCAGGAAACTCACACCTGTGTGTGGAGACTGACCCCAAAAACAACCACAGAAACACACACTGAGGTGTACTATAATAAAGGAACACCCCTGAGTCCTGGGGAAACGTGACAGAAGAGGAATCATTCTTTAGCCTTAGAGTGGGGATGGCAGGTCATCATGACTGGCTAGAGGAGGTCTCACAGAGAAAATAGGACATAAGCCAGGTCTTAAGGTGCTAGGGAAGAAAGGGCATTGCAGGCAGAGGGAAGAGCATGAGCAAATGTGGAGGAAAGAAAAAATAGGTATGCTCAGGTCATGGGGAGGAGTCCAATATGGCTGGGGAGTTCAGGGAATTGGGAAGAGGCATAGACATAAGGCTGAGTACAGAGTGAGCAGCAGATTGTGTACAGCCTCGTATTCCATGACTATAATTACAGGCCGCATCTATGGAACTAACCACGAGTAGCCAGGTGTAAGATGTTTTCTTTGTAGTAACATGTAAATCTCACCACACCCCTAGGAGGCAGCACAGTTATGATCCTCTTTATATATGGAGATGCTGAGATATACAGCCTTCAGATGCCCAGCTAGTAAGAGGAGCAGCAGGCTCAGAGGAGCCTTGGCTCTCAATGCCAAAATCAGGGGTTTGTTTGCAAACGGAAGTAGAGGGTTTTAGGCAGAGGAGGATGTAGAGCAGGTTTCTCCAGGTAAATAGAGGGATTGGAGGTGGGGACGTGATGAGGGTAGGGGGCACTTCAAGTGGGAGTAAGAAGGTGCAATTCCTGAGCGGAGGCTAGAAAAGCAGGAAGGCTCCCAGAGGAGGCCTCAACCTCCTCCACAAACATCAGGGGTCAGCACAGAGTGCAGCTGCAAAGGAAAGAGCTGGAAACAACCTTACAGAAAGTCCTCTGGTGGGTACCACATCTCTTACTTAGACATTCATCCCTTCATCTGATAAAAGCACGGTGGTTCTCCATTGAAGAGCACCATCCCCTTCTACCCCATTCTAATCCACAGAGTTTGAAAGGGCTGACCCTGCCTGCTCTCCTACCCTTCATAACCCCTGGCCACTATGGGCACATGACCAAAGCCTGGCCAATCAAAACCTTCCACCCACCCGTGGGCACACAACCAAGGCCTGACCAATCAGAACCTTCCACTCACCTGTGGGCACATGACCAAGGCCTGGCCAATCAGAAACTTCCACCTATCTGAAGCCTGCCGGACTCAATTCTGGGACTTTAGCTAGGAGAGGGAAGACACTTGAAATCCCTGGATCCAACGAGAACTGAAGTTGTCTTATCCCGGAACTTCACAGTTAACAAGAACCAATAACGCCCCTTTCCTGAAGAAGCTTATTTGTGTTTCTGACACTAGCAACCAATATAATCCTCTTTGTTTCCCACGTGGGCTGACTGGAACCCATGAATGATTGGAACATGAATGGTTTGCTCAGACCACACAGCGGGTCTTCTTGATACAGTGCTTTCTCCACTAATGCAATGAGTCGTCTAGGGCGACTGAGAGTGAAAGATAGTCCCCACTTCAATCTGGGACCTTGGATCTTTCCTGCTTTATCTGCAAACATGGTCTCCCACAAACTCCAATATTCTGGAGGGCCCTGTATTTTATTTGCCTTATCCAGCTACCACCCGTACCATCGTTTGCTAATGTCTTTAAATCAACCCAGTTTTTTAATGTAAATGGACTTTTTCAAATTAAATTTTGTATCACTATCAAATAGAAATGTAGTATCATTTGCCATGAAAATGCAGAGGCAATCAAAACACCCACAGTGTTAATTGAGTTAAGGCTAGATAGATTCCATTGTCTCAGACTTATCCTGTCTTTGTTAGAGAGAGAGATTTGTGAGTGGTTTTTTTTTTTTTTTTTTTTTTTTTTTTTTTTTTTTATTATACTCTAAGTTTTAGGGTACATGTGCACATTGTGCAGGTTAGTTACATATGTATACATGTGCCATGCTGGTGCGCTGCACCCACTAATGTGTCATCTAGCATTAGGTATATCTCCCAATGCTATCCCTCCCCCCTCCCCCGACCCCACCACAGTCCCCAGAGTGTGATATTCCCCTTCCTGTGTCCATGTGATCTCATTGTTCAATTCCCACCTATGAGTGAGAATATGCGGTGTTTGGTTTTTTGTTCTTGCGATAGTTTACTGAGAATGATGGTTTCCAATTTCATCCATGTCCCTACAAAGGATATGAACTCATCATTTTTTATGGCTGCATAGTATTCCATGGTGTATATGTGCCACATTTTCTTAATCCAGTCTATCATTGTTGGACATTTGGGTTGGTTCCAAGTCTTTGCTATTGTGAATAGTGCCGCAATAAACATACGTGTGCATGTGTCTTTATAGCAGCATGATTTAAACTCATTTGGGTATATACCCAGTAATGGGATGGCTGGGTCAAATGGTATTTCTAGTTCTAGATCCCTGAGGAATCGCCACACTGACTTCCACAATGGTTGAACTAGTTTACAGTCCCACCAACAGTGTAAAAGTGTTCCTATTTCTCCACATCCTCTCCAGCACCTGTTGTTTCCTGACTTTTTAATGATTGCCATTCTAACTGGTGTGAGATGATATCTCATAGTGGTTTTGATTTGCATTTCTCTGATGGCCAGTGATGATGAGCATTTCTTCATGTGTTTTTTGGCTGCATAAATGTCTTCTTTTGAGAAGTGTCTGTTCATGTCCTTCGCCCACTTTTTGATGGGGTTGTTTGTTTTTTTCTTGTAAATTTGTTTGAGTTCATTGTAGATTCTGGATATTAGCCCTTTGTCAGATGAGTAGGTTGCAAAAATTTTCTCCCATGTTGTAGGTTGCCTGTTCACTCTGATGGTAGTTTCTTTTGCTGTGCAGAAGCTCTTTAGTTTAATTAGATCCCATTTGTCAATTTTGTCTTTTGTTGCCATTGCTTTTGGTGTTTTGGACATGAAGTCCTTGCCCACGCCTATGTCCTGAATGGTAATGCCTAGGTTTTCTTCTAGGGTTTTTATGGTTTTAGGTTTAACGTTTAAATCTTTAATCCATCTTGAATTGATTTTTGTATAAGGTGTAAGGAAGGGATCCAGTTTCAGCTTTCTACATATGGCTAGCCAGTTTTCCCAGCACCATTTATTAAATAGGGAATCCTTTCCCCATTGCTTGTTTTTCTCAGGTTTGTCAAAGATCAGATAGTTGTAGATATGCGGCATTATTTCTGAGGGCTCTGTTCTGTTCCATTGATCTATATCTCTGTTTTGGTACCAGTACCATGCTGTTTTGGTTACTGTAGCCTTGTAGTATAGTTTGAAGTCAGGTAGTGTGATGCCTCCAGCTTTGTTCTTTTGGCTTAGGATTGACTTGGCAATGCGGGCTCTTTTTTGGTTCCATATGAACTTTAAAGTAGTTTTTTCCAATTCTGTGAAGAAAGTCATTGGTAGCTTGATGGGGATGGCATTGAATCTGTAAATTACCTTGGGCAGTATGGCCATTTTCACGATATTGATTCTTCCTACCCATGAGCATGGAATGTTCTTCCATTTGTTTGTCTCCTCTTTTATTTCCTTGAGCAGTGGTTTGTAGTTCTCCTTGAAGAGGTCCTTCACATCCCTTGTAAGTTGGATTCCTAGGTATTTTATTCTCTTTGAAGCAATTGTGAATGGGAGTTCACCCATGATTTGGCTCTCTGTTTGTCTGTTGTTGGTGTATAAGAATGCTTGTGATTTTTGTACATTGATTTTGTATCCTGAGACTTTGCTGAAGTTGCTTATCAGCTTAAGGAGATTTTGGGCTGAGACGATGGGGTTTTCTAGATAAACAATCATGTCGTCTGCAAACAGGGACAATTTGACTTCCTCTTTTCCTAATTGAATACCCTTTATTTCCTTCTCCTGCCTGATTGCCCTGGCCAGAACTTCCAACACTATGTTGAATAGGAGCGGTGAGAGAGGGCATCCCTGTCTTGTGCCGGTTTTCAAAGGGAATGCTTCCAGTTTTTGCCCATTCAGTATGATATTGGCTGTGGGTTTGTCATAGATAGCTCTTATTATTTTGAAATACGTCCCATCAATACCTAATTTATTGAGAGTTTTTAGCATGAAGGGTTGTTGAATTTTGTCAAAGGCTTTTTCTGCATCTATTGAGATAATCATGTGGTTTTTGTCTTTGGCTCTGTTTATATGCTGGATTACATTTATTGATTTGCGTATATTGAACCAGCCTTGCATCCCAGGGATGAAGCCCACTTGATCATGGTGGATAAGCTTTTTGATGTGCTGCTGGATTCGGTTTGCCAGTATTTTATTGAGGATTTTTGCATCAATGTTCATCAAGGATATTGGTCTAAAATTCTCTTTTTTGGTTGTGTCTCTGCCCGGCTTTGGTATCAGAATGATGCTGGCCTCATAAAATGAGTTAGGGAGGATTCCCTCTTTTTCTATTGATTGGAATAGTTTCAGAAGGAATGGTACCAGTTCCTCCTTGTACCTCTGGTAGAATTCGGCTGTGAATCCATCTGGTCCTGGACTCTTTTTGGTTGGTAAACTATTGATTATTGCCACAATTTCAGAGCCTGTTATTGGTCGATTCAGAGATTCAACTTCTTCCTGGTTTAGTCTTGGGAGAGTGTATGTGTCGAGGAATGTATCCATTTCTTCTAGATTTTCTAGTTTATTTGCGTAGAGGTGTTTGTAGTATTCTCTGATGGTAGTTTGTATTTCTGTGGGATCGGTGGTGATATCCCCTTTATCATTTTTTATTGTGTCTATTTGATTCTTCTCTCTTTTTTTCTTTATTAGTCTTGCTAGCGGTCTATCAATTTTGTTGATCCTTTCAAAAAACCAGCTCCTGGATTCATTGATTTTTTGAAGGGTTTTTTGTGTCTCTATTTCCTTCAGTTCTGCTCTGATTTTAGTTATTTCTTGCCTTCTGCTAGCTTTTGAATGTGTTTGCTCTTGCTTTTCTAGTTCTTTTAATTGTGATGTTAGGGTGTCAATTTTGGATCTTTCCTGCTTTCTCTTGTAGGCATTTAGTGCTATAAATTTCCCTCTACACACTGCTTTGAATGCGTCCCAGAGATTCTGGTATGTGGTGTCTTTGTTCTCGTTGGTTTCAAAGAACATCTTTATTTCTGCCTTCATTTCGTTATGTACCCAGTAGTCATTCAGGAGCAGGTTGTTCAGTTTCCATGTAGTTGAGCGGCTTTGAGTGAGATTCTTAATCCTGAGTTCTAGTTTGATTGCACTGTGGTCTGAGAGATAGTTTGTTATAATTTCTGTTCTTTTACATTTGCTGAGGAGAGCTTTACTTCCAACTATGTGGTCAATTTTGGAATAGGTGTGGTGTGGTGCTGAAAAAAATGTATATTCTGTTGATTTGGGGTGGAGAGTTCTGTAGATGTCTATTAGGTCTGCTTGGTGCAGAGCTGAGTTCAATTCCTGGGTATCCTTGTTGACTTTCTGTCTCGTTGATCTGTCTAATGTTGACAGTGGGGTGTTAAAGTCTCCCATTATTAATGTGTGGGAGTCTAAGTCTCTTTGTAGGTCACTGAGGACTTGCTTTATGAATCTGGGTGCTCCTGTATTGGGTGCATAAATATTTAGGATAGTTAGCTCCTCTTGTTGAATTGATCCCTTTACCATTATGTAATGGCCTTCTTTGTCTCTTTTGATCTTTGTTGGTTTAAAGTCTGTTTTATCAGAGACTAGGATTGCAACCCCTGCCTTTTTTTGTTTTCCATTGGCTTGGTAGATCTTCCTCCATCCTTTTATTTTGAGCCTATGTGTGTCTCTGCACGTGAGATGGGTTTCCTGAATACAGCACACTGATGGGTCTTGACTCTTTATCCAACTTGCCAGTCTGTGTCTTTTAATTGCAGAATTTAGTCCATTTATATTTAAAGTTAATATTGTTATGTGTGAATTTGATCCTGTCATTATGATGTTAGCTGGTGATTTTGCTCATTAGTTGATGCAGTTTCTTCCTAGTCTCGATGGTCTTTACATTTTGGCATGGTTTTGCAGCGGCTGGTACCGGTTGTTCCTTTCCATGTTTAGCGCTTCCTTCAGGAGCTCTTTTAGGGCAGGCCTGGTGGTGACAAAATCTCTCAACATTTGCTTGTCTATAAAGTATTTTATTTCTCCTTCACTTATGAAGCTTAGTTTGGCTGGATGTGAAATTCTGGGTTGAAAATTCTTTTCTTTAAGAATGTTGAATATTGGCCCCCACTCTCTTCTGGCTTGTAGGGTTTCTGCCGAGAGATCCGCTGTTAGTCTGATGGGCTTTCCTTTGAGGGTAACCCGACCTTTCTCTCTGGCTGCCCTTAACATTTTTTCCTTCATTTCAACTTTGGTGAATCTGACAATTATGTGTCTTGGAGTTGCTCTTCTCGAGGAGTATCTTTGTGGCGTTCTCTGTATTTCCTGAATCTGAACGTTGGCCTGCCTTGCTAGATTGGGGAAGTTCTCCTGGATAATATCCTGCAGAGTGTTTTCCAACTTGGTTCCATTCTCCACATCACTTTCAGGTACACCAATCAGACGTAGATTTGGTCTTTTCACATAGTCCCATATTTCTTGGAGGCTTTGCTCATTTCTTTTTATTCTTTTTTCTCTAAACTTCCCTTCTCGCTTCATTTCATTCATTTCATCTTCCATTGCTGATACCCTTTCTTCCAGTTGATCGCATCGGCTCCTGAGGCTTCTGCATTCTTCACGTAGTTCTCGAGCCTTGGTTTTCAGCTCCATCAGCTCCTTTAAGCACTTCTCTGTATTGGTTATTCTAGTTATACATTCTTCTAAATTTTTTTCAAAGTTTTCAACTTCTTTGCCTTTGGTTTGAATGTCCTCCCGTAGCTCAGAGTAATTTGATCGTCTGAAGCCTTCTTCTCTCAGCTCATCAAAATCATTCTCCATCCAGCTTTGTTCTGTTGCTGGTGAGGAACTGCGTTCCTTTGGAGGAGGAGAGGCGCTCTGCGTTTTAGAGTTTCCAGTTTTTCTGTTCTGTTTTTTCCCCATCTTTGTGGTTTTATCTACTTTTGGTCTTTGATGATGGTGATGTACAGATGGGTTTTCGGTGTAGATGTCCTTTCTGGTTGTTAGTTTTCCTTCTAACAGACAGGACCCTCAGCTGCAGGTCTGTTGGAATACCCTGCCGTGTGAGGTGTCAGTGTGCCCCTGCTGGGGGGTGCCTCCCAGTTAGGCTGCTCGGGGGTCAGGAGTCAGGGACCCACTTGAGGAGGCAGTCTGCCCGTTCTCAGATCTCCAGCTGCGTGCTGGGAGAACCACTGCTCTCTTCAAAGCTGTCAGACAGGGACACTTAAGTCTGCAGAGGTTACTGCTGTCTTTTTGTTTGTCTGTGCCCTGCCCCCAGAGGTGGAGCCTACAGAGGCAGGCAGGCCTCCTTGAGCTGTGGTGGGCTCCACCCAGTTTGAGCTTCCCGGCTGCTTTGTTTACCTAAGCAAGCCTGGGCAATGGCGGGCGCCCCTCCCCCAGCCTCGTTGCCGCCTTGCAGTTTGATCTCAGACTGCTGTGCTAGCAATCAGCGAGATTCCGTGGGCGTAGGACCCTCCGAGCCAGGTGTGGGATATAGTCTCGTGGTGCGCCGTTTCTTAAGCCGGTCTGAAAAGCGCAATATTTGGGTGGGAGTGACCCGATTTTCCAGGTGCGTCCGTCACCCCTTTCTTTGACTCGGAAAGGGAACTCCCTGACCCCTTGCGCTTCCCAGGTGAGGCAATGCCTCGCCCTGCTTCGGCTCGCGCACGGTGCGCACACACACTGGCCTGCGCCCACTGTCTGGCACTCCCTAGTGAGATGAACCCGGTACCTCAGATGGAAATGCAGAAATCACCGTCTTCTGCGTCGCTCACGCTCTGTGAGTGTTTAAAGATGTGCTAGCATCAAAGTGTTGGGGCCTCACCCAAGATCTCTTTGCGGTCCCAGCCAACACAGCCACCCTCAAGCTGCTGTGAGCAATGCACCCTTCTCCAGAGTATTACCTCTGTGGATAGTCAGGAATCGTCTCACAGGGAAATGTCTAGGAGTCACAAACCCCCAACTAACTGGAAGTAGAATACCCAGCCCCTTAGCCACAAGGAGGGACCAGCTCTGTGGTGCCATTCATGCTTCAGACTGCCCATGGGATCAGACTGAGGCTGTTCTCCAGCTGAAACCATATCTCTGCTGAACCCCTTCCATTGCCCTCTCCAGCCTCCCACACTTCCATACAGGGTTCTCCTACATCCCTTACGTAATAAATCAATTACACAAGAAGCTCCACTCAGATGGTATTTCTAGGGTGAAAGCAGACCCCAAAAAATAGCCCAGATCCAGGCCGATAATGACAGGGGCTTCAACCAGAGTGGTAGCAGTGCAGGGGGTGAGAAGTGGTGAGTAAGTCATGCTTCATAAGCACTACTCATTCAATCCTCAATATAGGCAGACATTGGAAATACTGTTATTAGTTCCAGAGGTACTTTAGAACTAATTCACTTTAGAAATAGAGAAACTAAACCTTAGGGAAGTTGATAACTTGCCCAAGGTCACAAATATCAGAGCCAGAATTTGAACCCAGAACTGTCTGACTCTAGAGCTAGAGTTCTTTCCTGTCAAACTCTCCTGCCCTGTCTATGTCATGTCACTTATGGAAAGATGTGTGCCAATAGGAGGCCTCATACAATGCTGACAGACACGTTAGTCTGGGACTCAGAACTGGGTTCCAACTCTGCCTCTGCTTCTAAACACTATGTCAACTCAGGGAAGTTTCTTCATTTCTCTGGGCCTCAGTTTCTGCTTAGGAAAAACATGAGGAAATGAGTTCAAATACCTTTTGACTCTTCTCCCAGGGTACTTTGTCTATGCTTCCAGAAAGTGTAAAATTTTATCTTGCATGACTGGCTCCCTAGTGGTCATGTTAACGCCATGAGCCTATGCTGGGTACAGGGCAGGCACACAGAAAATACTGGTTGAAGCTGGGCGTGGTGGCTCACGCCTGTAATCCCAACACTCTGGGAGGCCAAGGTGGGTGGATCATGAAGTCAAGAGATCGAGATCATCCTGGCCAACATGGTGAAACCCCGTCTCTACTTGAAATACAAAAATTAGCCTGGCATGGTGGCAGGTGCCTGTAGTCGCAGCTACTCAGGAGGCTGAGGCAGGAGAATCACTTGAACCCGGGAGGCAGAGGTTGCAGTGAGCTGAGATTGTGCCACTGCACTCCAGCCTGGAGACAGAGCAAAACTCCACCTCAAAAAAGAAAAAAGAAAGTACTGGTTGAGTTGAACAAAATGAATGGGATGAAATGGAATGGAATAATTTCTATCATTCCAACAGTGAATGAACCTTCCAATGAACCTTCATACATTGGGAGTTGTGCTTACCTAGTGATATAGTTTGGATCTGTGTCCCCTTCGAATGTCATGTTGAAATGTGATCCCCAATGTTGGAGGTAGGGCCTAGTGGGAAGTGTTGGGGTCATAGTAGGGTGGATCCTTCATGAATGGCTTGGTGCCCTCCCTACAGTAATGGGTGAGTTCTGGAGCTGTTAATTTACAAGAGAGCTGGTTGTTTAAAGGAGCCTGGAACCTCTTCCTGTGTCTCTCTCTCTTGATCCATCTTTCACCATGACATGCTGGCTCCCCCTTCACCTTCTACCATGAGTAAAAGCTTCCTGAGGCCTCACTAGAAGTCAAGATGTTTGTGCCATGCTTGCACAGCCTGCAGAACCATGAGCCAAATAAACCTCTTTTCTTTATAAATTACACAGTCTCAGGTATTTCTTTATAGCAAAGAAAAATGGACAAATACACCTTGGAATAGACACTTGGCAGCTGACCTCTCCTCTCACAGCCAACCAGGGCTAGTGACAATAAAAGATTGTTCATGGAACATATTCAAGAGACCAAGGCCCAGGAAAGGGAAAAGCAGAAAGAAAAAGAGGATATCTTCTCAGGGGTTCCAAATGAGATCTTCAATATCCATGCAGGAATCTCATAAACCCTCCAACCCACATTTGCAAAACTGTGTCATCCCCTAATACCTGTCCCCCACAAACCTGTCCCCTTCCTGTGCTCCTTACCTCAGTAAACAGAAGTCCCACCTGACCAGTTACTTAAGCAAGGAGCCCTAGACTCATCCTTGATGCTTCTCTCTCCCTTCACTCCCCACCCTAGAGATTCCTGCCCGGAATATTTCATGGGGCTGTTGCATCTTTACACTACTTGCACCCACTTTCAAGTCAATAGCGTTACTTGCTTGGCTTACCTTAGAAGAAGTCTAAAATCCTTATCATGGCCCAGAAGGTTCTGTGTGACCTCTGCCTGACCTTATCCACCCCCTACTCCTCACCTTCCCACCCCAACTTGTTCACTCACTCCTCCCTCCACCCCACTGCCCTTCCCTAGACTTCCTACACTCTGGCCACGCAGGACTTCAAGTGACTTTTGAGAGTCTAGCTCATTCCTGTCCCTGGAACTTCATGCTTGGAACACTTCTTGCTATTCCTCAACGCCTCATGTCACATTTCCAGGCTGCCCCCCTTATCCTTCAGCCCTTGTTAGCCCTCTTTCTGCCCCTGCCTATTCAATGCCCTTAAGACACCCAGTGCTTTTCTAGCTAATGCTTTGCTCACTTGTAATATTTGTTTGTTATCTTTATAAACTTTAGGGACTAGAGGTGCCCACAGCTCTGTCCCTAAAGCTGGAACAGTGCCTGGCACACAGCAGGGCTCATTAAGTATTTTTGGATGGATGAATGAGTAAACAAGAGGAACAAAGAGCAAACGAATGTGTGCGCCTGGCACTGTCCCTTTCCTCCCGCCATTCCTTTGGCCTGAACCAGTCTCTTCTCTTCCTTCTCACAAGGCCACCCCTTAATCTCACTTGCTCCAAGGATGCCTCCCTCATAGCTCCTCTTAATGGAGGAGATAAATACTCCTTTTACTGGCTGTCACAGGACCAACGTGTTGTCTAAACTTACAACGCTTCAGTGAATCCACTGTAGCCTGTGATCACACGCTGCTCTGTATGTGTAAATCTTGCCTCCCTGCTAGAAGACAGTTCACCGAAGCCTGACGCTGTTCCCCATGGTAATGGGTGCCGGACAAAGGAGCAGAGGAGGTCACATGACTGAAAGTGAGCTCAGCAACCAGAAGGGGCTAACTCACGGTAAAAGGTTTGAACATGACAGCATGTGATATAAATGTAGCCTAAGCTCCTTTCCTTTCAGGCATTTAGTGAACACTGTCTATGCATAAGGCTCTGAGTTAGAGTGGAACAGAAGAGGGAAAATAAGTAGGAGCCCTGATCCCTACCTGCTGAGGGTTTATGGTCTAGTTACAACATAAGACTTGATTGTAAGTAATCACCATATAAGGCTTTAGGCTCAGTGCCCAGGAGAACCCCACCTCCGGAAGTCCATTTCTTTATCTCTAAACAATCCCAAAGTCTGGCCTGATGCCCATGAGGCACCTGGTGTTGGGCTCCCCTTCTCTTACTGGGTGCTGTTCTCCTCCACGACATCATCTTCACTAGAGCTCCTATTTCCATCTTCCTGTTTTATCTTCTCCAGTGGGATATGTGTGTGCATGTATATATGTGTCTGTGTGCGTGCTCATAGTACAGGCAGCTTGCCCCAGATGAAGTGCATGTTGGTAAAACCATTCCTAAGCTGTCTGCAGAATTGGCTGTCCCCGCTCCCTGGGAATTGTTTACAAGCACTTGAACTTAACGACCTGCCTCTAGCAAATGCACCCAGTTGGGCAATGTGGCCAGTTGGGTAAATGCTAGACCCTGGAGTCCAACGGTCCCAATGAGAACTTGGAGTCTCTAAGCACACTTTCGATATCCTTTCGTGGTAAAAGCAAAGGTGATTTAGATTTATTGAGTGAGAGAAGTCCCTGATACCAAAGAAAATAGATGAGTTGGGAAAGGTGACTCTGTTGGCACTCTTCAGAGACTGAGACACGGGAGTTGCCAAAGTTTCTCAAATACCACCACCCGCACCTTGAGCCACTGGGATGATGAAATACTCTGAAGAGTTTGATTCTCCTGTACTGATGAGCTTGACTGAAGCCCAGCAACCCGGCCTACCTCCTGGTGGCCACTAAGGACTCCAGGTTGGACTTGCCATGCCCCTGCAAACACTTTATGGACCAGAGCACAGCTCCCCATAAAGCACAGTTTCCATGTTGCCAGTAGCAAGATGAGTTACTTCACCTATTAGCTGGCAAATGAAATGCCAGGTGGAAGCAAAGTGTTGAAACACAGAAATAGATGCATCCCCACCCTGAGGGGTGATGAAAGACTTGGAAGAGGCCTTCACAGGCACTTGGCACATGCACGGGAGAGCTGGTAGGTGGGTGCTGGGGCTGGGGACGCCTGGCTGCAAGAGCTTGACTTGAACCTGAGCATGCCATGCCTGATGGTGGGGAGGGGACTCTGGGTATTATGCAGCTGCATGCAGGAAAGAACCTAGGCAGAATTTGGCAAACAGATTCAGCTTTTGGTAGCCCTGGAGGGAGTCTTTACTTTCTGGTTGAAAATTCCAACATGAGTCTGATAGTCCTGATAATTCCCTAAGATTTCATGGCTAGGCCAGGCACGGTTGCTCATGCCTGTAATCCCAGCACTTTGGGAGGCCAAGGCGGGTGAATTCCTTTGAGCTCAGGAGTTCAAGACCAGCCTGAGCAACATGGTAAAACTCTGTCTCTACAAAAAAAAATACAAAAAGGTAGCCGGGCATGGTGGTTCATACCTGTTTTCCCAGCTACTCAGGAGGCTGAGGCTGGAGGATCACCTGAGCATGGGAAGCAGAGGTTGCAGTGAGCCAAGATCACACCACTGTACTCCAACCTGGGCGAGAGAGTGAGACTCTGTCTTAAAAGAAAAACAAATGAAAAATTCTTGACTAGAAAAAGGAAGAGAAGTCTGGTTTCGAAATGGGGAGAGAAAGAAGAGAAAGGAGGAGGAAGGGAAGAGATGGGAGGGAGAAAGGAAGGAAGGAAAGGAAGGGGGAAGGAAGAGAGGGAAGAAGAGACAGAGGGAGGGAGGGAGCTACAGAGAATGAAATCTTTGAGATTGTGTCTGATAATATTGCTTATCTGAAATATGCCAAAAGTTTGAAAACAGTTTTCCCCAATAAATGGTATAGTGTGTATGAAAATGTGTGCAAGTGCACATGTGTTTGTGAATATGTTAGAATAGTGTATGTGGTATGCATCTGTGGGCATATTTGTGCATGCGTATGTGTGTGTGAGCATTAGTGTGTGTGTGAAAATGTGTGTGTTTGCACGATGTGTGTGTGCACGTGACTGTGTGTGCTTATACATGTGCATATGCAGGTGTGTGCACGAGTGTGGATGTGTTTGGGTGTATGTACTAGGTGTGCATATATGTGTGTCTATGTCTGTCCAGCACCTGGAATGAAAACAACCTCGGAATCAATCCCAGGAGAGGTGGGATTGTATGCAGATTGGCCACACAGCAGCTGTGTGACTTTGACCGAGTCCTATCACCACCTTGGACCTCAGTTTCTCATATGTTCTAGTTCCTAGAACAATAGCTAGCACACAGTAATCACTCAACAAATATTTACTGAATGAGTAACTGTTATTTAGGGGTAATACTGGCTACTTCTTAGGATGGAGGAGATGACAAAATGAGAAAACATATGCAAAACTATTCTCTGTGTGCTTGGCACATAATCAAAGCCCCAAAACAGTCAGCCCCTCCCCTCTGCAACTTCAGTTTTTTTCCCTTTGGTAGGAGGTCAATGAAAGAAGTGACACACAAGGCCAAATATCCCTTGCAACCCCCTTCCTTAGGCAGAGTACCACGGGACCAATCCTCAGCCAATTTCCAGGGGCTTCTGAGTTCCCATTATGTTATATATTAGCCAGGCTTCTTCCTGCTCTCAGTCAAAGGTTGACAGCAATTCATTTGCAAAAATTAAATGCAAGATTGAATTTTAACAACTCGGAAATTTGAGGTCACGCTTGCTTTTTAGTGACCTATGGGGCAGGAAGCCTGGTGAGTGAGCTGATTCTTGACCTGCCATCTGTATAGCATACTTGTGGGTCACAATCCTGCAAAGTAAGAATTAGTATCCTCATTACGCAGTTGAAGGAATTAAAGCTCAGAGAGATTGTGACTGGTCCAAGGTCACACTGCTTACTCCAGGCCACCAGAGCCGCCTCCAAGTCCGATAAGTGTTATTCAGAAGCTTTGAGGAGGTAAAATCTCCTCACCCAAGCAGACATTAATGAGGTTTCTATGTTTGAACCCACAAACATCTCAAAATCTCTGACCAGTCAGCCCCGGTTGAGTATTGGCAGATAGAGCCAGGGCCATGTGGCAATCAGAAAACTAGTCAGGTGGCACTGGAACAGTGCCTCTGAGGTATTTCACAAACATGGGGAACAAACACATTTGGTGTTGCAATCCTGGTCACCCGGAGCTGCCGCGTTGGCTGTTTTTTGAGAACGAACTGCGGATAAGGAGTTTGAGGCCTGATAGCGCTGGGATGCCCAGAGAGGTGGCCATTTTGGAGACTGCGTCAGCACTCAGGAGACGGAGAGTTCTTTCAGCCCTGAAACCCCTTATGGTTACAGCCAGAGAGACCCACTCCTCCCAAGTGGCCAAAAGCTGTACCCCAAACCCCTTAGTGAGGCATTCAAGGTTTTCCATGGCCCAGAAGTCACCTACAGTTTCATCTCTTCCCACAACTCCCCTTGACAGACTCACGACCCAGGCCAATAACCTCTGACTGGATCCCGGACGTACCTCGTTCTTCACCACGTCCCTGCCCAGGAAACAGACTATCTCCTCCCCTCAGAAGAACCATTCATCCTGTAATCCTCAAGACACAAGTTAATTAAGACCGGGATTTCACAATGCCCTCTGGGATGATTAGTATAACCAGTATGAACTGCTCCATAAACTCAGAGCACAAATACCATCACATTACACTTATTTTTCTGAAACATCTCTTAAGCAGTCACCTACATTAAAAGCAGGAAGTCCAGAATTTTCCTCTGAAAGTTTCCTCTGCTCCCAACAAATTGTCCCAAAACCCTGGGGAGGCCAAGTGAAAACAAAAATGAGTCCTCTTCAGACATCAGGCACAGAGGAACTGGTGTCTGTTCAATTTGCAAATGCCACGGACCTCTCACAGGTTCTCACTGCCATATAGTGTCACTGTGGAGGCTTACACCTACATAATTTCTTGGATACATGCAAATGGCGAGACCAAATCCCTGACCTGCAGCCAGGGGCCCCATGTCGAGCTCTGAAAGTATAATTCTAATTCCTTTTCTCATACTCAGCTATTTATCAGGATACAAGAGAACATCAAGAACACTAAATCAGAACTTGGTCTACTTTCCACCACTCACAAATCCCTTTTTACCCGCCCTATGACTACTGCAAGAAACACCTTCTCTTTTTGAAATCTCCAGAAAGGGAAATTTTTTTTTTTTTTGCGACAGAGTCTCGCTCTGTCACCCAGGCTGGAATGCAGTGGCGCAATCTCAACTCACTGCAACCTCTGCCTCCCAGGTACAAACGATTCTCCTGCCTCAGTCTCCCAAGTAGCTGAGACTACAGACATGCACCACCACACCCGGCTAATTTTTGTGTTTTTTAGTAGAGACAGGGTTTTGTCATGTTGGCCAGACAGGTCTCGAACTCCTGACCTCAAGTGATCCGCCCACCTCGGCCTCCCAAAATATTGGGATTACAGGTGTGAGCCACTGCGCCCGGTCGGGAAACATCTTTTAATACCTTTGCCTCAAGAGAATGAGTGCTGCCTGCACTGCACCTGCCCTTCTCATGGAAACTGGCCTTAGTGCCTTTCTTTTCCTGCCTGTACCTTGCTGTAACTGGCAACTTCCTCACTAAAGAAAATAACAAAAGCTCAAGTTAAATCTCCAACAGGGCACCTCCTATGAGGGCACCTGCAACAATTGCAATACATTTTAGGACCACAAAATTGCTCCCAGGCATAGCCAGAGGTGAGTGATTATATTTGGAAAAGGCCTACTGTCTACAGGCATTTTGACACAAATTATTCTGTTGAATCCCAACAATGACAGCGAAGTGGTGTGACCTGCATTTTACTAAGGAACATGAGGCTTAAGGTAGCAAGGGGCTGAAAGCTACACAACTGTGAGATGCTTGACCAAAGTCTGTCTCCTGCCCTGGAGAGAGTAACAGCTTGCTCCTCCCACCCCAGTAATTCACTGCTAGTGAGATCAAAGTAAAAGAAACATCCCAAGCAGCCTTAAAGAGATAAAGGCATCACAAAAGGGCAGCCTAAAGACTTAGCACATAGTAAGTGCTCTATTAACAGTTGTAAATGGCACAGTGGATACTTGTTCTGTTTTGTGCCCAGACATGGGACAGATCAATGAGGCATAAGGGCTGATTCTAGCACAAAACCTCACCTCTGAGCTTACCATGAAGGAGAAGATTCACTTCTCAACTATTCTAAATCAACACTGGAAGGAAATACGCTATCAAAAAAACTAGAGAAAGGGTGAAAAGAAAGCCCAGGAGAAGAAAACGCTAACTTCCTTTTTTTTCTTTTTTTTTTTTTTGGTAAAGAGACAGGGTCTCACTATGTTGCCCAAGCTGACCTCAAACACCTGGCCTCAAGCAGTTCTCCTGCCTCTGGAACCACCACGCCCAGCTCCAAGAATGCTAACTTCCAAACTTCCACCTGGAGGAGCTTGGGAGAATTCCCAGAGAAAGGGAGCATTTTAGCTGGGCCTTTGCATGTACATAACAATAACAACAACCATAATCTACTAACTATAGTTAACCACTTGCTCTGTGCCAGGCACAATATAAGCCCTTCCCATAAATATTGCCTCATTTGACTCTTCCAAGAAATCTCTAAGGTAGATGCTATTGCTATTCCCATCATACAGATGAGGACACCAAGATACAGTAACAACAAACCAGAAATTATTAAAGAAGGGATTCAATCTCGTGTGTATCTGGAATTCATCTGTCTAGTCAGAGGTGAGCCTGTGACAGGCAGAAAAAGGCATTTCCTCTTTTAATGGCACATTCCCCTTTGGTGGACTCCCCCAGGAAGGCAGGAAGAAGGCACAAGCCAGGTAAGGGGGATGGTGAAGTCTGCCCCTGCCTGAGGGTGACTCTCCCTGCCCACTAATAAACAGCAGCACAGTAAATCACATACTCTATCTAGCCAATTAGATAAGATGCTCATTGCTTGCAGAAGAACAATTAAAGAGAGACTTTGGGGTTCTTTGCTCCAAAGTTCCCCAAGGGCAAGCATGGAAAGAGAGTAAATGGACAAAGGACCCATTTTCCTAACAAAAAGAGCCATCACTTACCATGGGCAAGACATGTACTAGGCTTTTGCAAGCATTATCTCATTTTAATTTTCATCAACACACTCTAATAAGTGTAGATAACATCCACTGATTGTGAATCCTGTGCTAGGCATTGTTCTAGATGTTTCTACAAACCCATTGGATCCTCACAACTCTGTACACTATGATTATTGTGATATTATGTTTATTAAATATTATATATTATATGTACATTATATAATACAATAATACAATATTGTTGTTGTAATATTATTATATAATATTATTAGGTTGGTGCAAAAGTAATTGGGGTTTTTGTCATTACTTTCAATTTAGGTTGCACCAATCTAAATTACATTATTATATTATTATCTCCACTTTACAGAATCAGAAACTGATGCATAGGGTAATTAAGTATTTTTTCCAAGGTAATGCAGGTGATTGGTGGGAAAGCTAGGTTTTGAACTCAGGCAGTCTGGTTCCGGATCTCATACTATTCACCACGATCTATTTTGCCCTATAAAGAAGGTATGAGTATCCACATTAAATAAAGAAGGAGGTGGAATTCCATAAGATACTATGAATTGCCTAGTCTTTTTGGTGACAAAATCAACATTTGACCCCAACAGCCATGCTCTTAACCACTTGGCAATAGCAGCCCTGGTCCTGCACAGCCTCGCAGTGTGCTGTGCACATCACTTCTCTCCATGCCTTTTCCAGGTGTCATAACCTGGAAAAGAAGAATATGAAAGTTGATAGCTCCAAGTGGCCTGGTCAGCTCAGACTCCCCAGGACACACTGGAGAAGTTTAACACTCCAGGTATCTATTACCTGAGTAGGACACCAGTTACTTTCTGGCAGGCAAACCACAGCCTAATCCTTAACAGCTCCTTGTTTGCCTGAGGATAATTTTGGGTTTCTGCCACCACTCCTCTTCTACCTTTGTGACAGAGAGTCTCCAATATTGCCACCAACACTTTCTCCCATCTTTCCACATATATCTGCTCCTCACAACAAGAGGTGAAGTCTGTCTTTCCCTCCCCTTGAATCTGGTAGGGCCTTGCGATTTACTTTGCCCACATGAATATGGTAGAAATAATGTCCTAGAGTTTCTAAGCCTGGCTTCAAGAGTTTGGGAAGCTTTCTCTTCTTGCCTCTTGGAATCTAGCTGTCGGACTGTAAAGAACCTTCAACTACACTACGAAGATGAGAGACCGCATGAGGAAGAGAGGGCCCAAGGATGGGAAGCCATCTTGGATGTCCCAGCCCCAGGCGGCTCCCAGCTTAGTGCAGCTACTTGGCTAACATTGGCTACACAACATAAGAGCAGAAAACTGCTCAACTGTTGGGAGAAAGAATACATCTTTGTTGTTTTAAGACATTAGAGAGTGGTTTGTTACACAGTAATTGAAAGAACTCCATTTCCTCCACCTTATCTTTTTTTTTTTTTACCACAAAAGATTACTCCCTAGCTTACTGGTGTCAATGTCCATTGGATTACAGCATTTAAGTGTGCTCATGCCTTCCTGACTAACGACGACTTCTGACCTAAGACAAAGGGCAACGATGTGGATTTATTCATTCAGTGTGAGCATCTTTCTGTGCCAGGAATATGCTGGAGCCCAGAGACCCAGAGATAAATAAGACACAGCCCACGCCTTCAGAAAGCGATGTTTGGGGAAGAGCTAGGTCAGTCTCATCACAACACGGAGTGATGGGATCAATCTGTTCATTCATTCAATAGCATCTATTGAGTGCCTACTATGTGTCAGGCAGTCCGCTAGTCATTTGGGCTATCATCAATGAACAGGCAAAGATCCACGTCTTCATCTGGCTTACATTTTTTAGGGTGCTTTCATTCCAATAGTGGCAGAAGTATAAGTGAAGCTCTGTCCAAGAAGCTCTGTACAATGTAAAAACGAGCTGACCAGTCCATTGATACAAGTGGAGTGGGAACACGGAGGAACTAAATGCTGATGTGGCCAAGATAACAAGTTCTATCCTTATCTTACAGATAAGGATTCTGAGATCCAGAGAGACCTCAGACTTAATCCACAATTTATTAGCTGTGTTACCCTGGGCAAGTTACTTAACATTTCCGCCCTTCATTTTCCTCATCTATAAAATAGCTTTAATAATAATACCTATGTCAGTGATTATTATAAAGGTTAAATGAGTTATTATTTGTAAAGCACATGAAATAGTTCAAGACACTTATTTTAAAAGTATATTAATCTTTAGCTGGGCGCAGTGGCTCACGTCTGTAATCCCAGCTCTTTGGGAGGCTGAAGCCGGAAGATCACCTGAGGTCAGGAGTTTAAGACCAGCCTGGCCAACATGGCAAAACCCCGTCTCTTCTAAAAACACACACACACACACACACACACACACAAAAATTAGCTGGGGGCGGGGGGTGGCACACATCTATAAATCCCAGCTACTCGCGAGGCTGAGGCATGAGAATCACTTGAACCCAGGAGGCAGAGGCTGCGGTGAGCCGAGATTGCGCCACTGCACTCCAGACTGGGTGACAGAGCGAGACTCTGTCTCAAAATGTATATTAATCTTTGCTAAATGAATTTTAGAAATAAAACACCAAATAAAATGACATGATTAGCTCAAGTTCACAGAACTGGGTGAGTATCAAAGTTGGAATTGACTCCTGATCCAGTGTTCTTTCCACACCTTTCTATTCTACTTCTCAACTAAATTTGCACTTCCATTTTCAGTGAGAGATGTAAATCATCTGCGTGTTCCCTTTAGGCCATATATAGCTCAGGGATACCCCTGCATGCCTCCTAGCCAAAAGATCCAGCAGGGAAGGACTCCCAAGGCCCAAATCCCAGGCTCCCTCTGAGATCACGTGCAGGGCGGAGTCTGTTGAAATGACTCAGGTTGAGGCTAATTTACAGATGTGCAAAAAGTCATGCTCACGCCCCAGGTGTGTTAAGTAGGACTTGAAGGGTTAAAATGCACCATCCTGCAAGTAGGGACTACCTAGGACTGGGACTTCACAGATATTTCCACCTTCTATTGTCTGGTCATCCTGGGGTTCACCTCTGTGACTCTCATCTGATGAAACTCAGTCCATTCAAGGCAGATAGTGCCCAGGCTCTCTGCAGCTGACATTGTCCTTCCCTTGGAGGAGAAAGCAAGGGCGATGGGAAGACTAGTCTCATTTGCAGCCTGGCTTCCATCCATGTACCAACAATGACACAACTCCCTCCTCCGATGAGCACTTTCCAATCTCCACTGAGATCTGTTGGATGAGAAGCCAGTTTCCATCACAGCCACGCACAGGCAGCTATGGGTGGGGGTGTGGATATAGCTCTCGTCACCCCAAGATCTGGGAAGAGAGAGCTCATCTGTTCACCAGCCAGAAACCCAGCCAAGCATAACAGGGCTGCTGTGAGGGTCTTTGAGGAACCAAAGGGGAAATGACCCAATGGCCAGGACTGTGAAAGCTACGGTCATAAGAGAAGCATGCTCCTCTAGCCCTGCTGATGGAATTGTCCCAAAGGGAAAGATTTAACTTGTTTTAGGAACTAGTCAGAGCCTGGCTTGGGCATGCCGCCAGTGTATTACGAGAACAATCTCTGGGAAATGAGGAATGAATGTATTGCCAAGCAGATTGTAGCCCTGGAGCCTAACAATCAGTGGCCCCTGACATTCAGCCAGCCCCCAATTCCTTGGGACCTCCCTGACCACTACCAGTGCCAGACAAGCTGATCCCTGATTCTCATTCACTCAACATATGCTGAGTCCCTGTTATGGTCAGGCACCGTGCTAGGAGCTGGGGAAAGAGGTGTGATGACACAGCCTCTGCCTCGAGGACTTCGTCTGGAGCCCATGGATAATTACAATGCAATATGATTGGATGCCCCAGTGTGTACTGCTTCCGGAAGCCCAGAGGGAGGAGTGACTAGTCCTGTCTGGGCAATTCCAGAAGGATTCAGAAGAGGTGAAACATGAGCCTGGTCTTGAAGCATGATCCCTGTTCCACTGATGTCTGTGAAGCACCCTGGGTACCAGGCAGAAGACCAAGACTGGCCAGGGAGAGTTGGGTGTAGGGGGGTTCCAACACAGCTGCTCCCCAGCCTTCCTGCCAACTAAAACCCTTCCTGCCTTCCTTTTACATGCTAGTGCAAAAGTACCTCCCCTGCAGAAATCATTTTCCAGTTAATTCAATATCTCTCAAATAAATCATGGACTTGGTCAGCCTCTTCATGTACCAACCCAAAGACATTGTCAGAGCCCAGAAGAGTAGCTTAGAACCCTTAGAACTCTCCAGCTTGTGCTGGCCTTCAAGAAGAGAACCATCATTCCTGTCCTCAAGCAGTGAATAGTCAACCTGTAGAGAAAAACCAAAGACCAATTGGGTGCCAAACTGAAAAATCATGTTTAGAAGTCGATAGAAAATTAGGAATAAAATTGGAAATGAAGAGAGCTTTTGCTCTCCTTGAGAGCACCGGTTGAAAGATTCTTGGACCACTTCAGGCGGGAATAGATGTTTCAACCCCAAGAAGATGCAAGCCCGTTGAGAGCAGAGGTTTCTGTTTTCTTTGTCTCAGTAGTCATCTCTCTCCTTCCCCACCCTCATACTTAACTTCTTAGCAGAGACACCTGTAGTCCCAGTGCAGAATGTATTCAAATAAGCCATCGTGAATGGGGAAGTAGACACCCTGACAGAGCTGAATCTCACCTTGCCAGTCAAGAAGGGTCCTCCTAGCTGGGTCTGAGGAAGAATCTGAGGGATTGAGATCAGGAGGCTAGATATGCCATCCTGATAGAAAGGGAGGAAGGGAGGGAGGCAAAGGAGGGAGGGAGGGAGGGAGGGAAGGAAGGAAGTTGTTATATTTCCTTTTGCATGTTTCCTTTCCACTTCCAAACTACCCTGTGAGAGAGGTTTCATTGACCCTACTTTGCAGACAAGAAACTGAGGCTAAGGGAATTTAAGTAACTCGCTGAAGGTCAAAACTCTAGTAAACAGGGATTCAGTCCAAAATCTGAGGACTCTGAAGCCTGTGCTTTTTCTAGACAGCCTGGATAAAAACAACTGTCGTGTATCAAGAATCTGCCACTTGCCAAGACCTGGGAAGGCCCTTTACAAACACAGATTGCACGACTCTCACTGAGCAGATTCTCCTAGCAGGAGGCCCCCTGCCCAGCTGCTCCTCCTGCACAGATGGGATACCAGGGTGGCCACAGCATTTAGCACCGAAACAAGTATGGTTTGAAGGTGACCAGGGGGCACTTTTAATGATTGTGGTGAGTAGCAGGTACAAATAGGACTGTCCCATGTGGTCACCCTAGTTGTAGCCCACCTTCCAACCATCCATGCATCCCTTAAGCAAATATGTCACAAAAGGCTTGAATCCAACTCTCCTTGAGTCCCTCCTCACTTTTCCCAACAAGAGGCCATCCAGCCATCCCAGGACTTTGCAGACACTGGCCACACTAATCCAATGTGGAATGTAAAAGCAATTAAAGCCACGTATTTTATTGTTTAGCTTTTCCATAAAGCTAAAACTTTTCCATTCAAAGAATTATCCTGTGTCTTGAGAGCACTTACTTTCTTAGGGTTAAAAGTCTCATTTCTTTGGATGGCATAATGGTTATGACAGATTGTAATTTGGTTTTTAATACCTTTAATGGACAGAACTAAAAGTTGGGAAAGTTATGATGTTAGTCTGCTTAATTTTTTCTTTTTACCATTTTAACCATTTTGAAGTGTATGGTTCAGTGGCATTAAGTACATTCACAGTGTTGTACAACTATCACCACCATTCACCTCCAGAACCTTTTTACCATCTCATCTGAAACTCTGTTCCCACTAAACAACAGCTCCTCATTCCCCCTCTCTTCCCAGTCCCTGGCAACCACAATTCTACTTTCTGATATTTGAATTGAAGGTACCTCTTATCAATGGACTCATACAGCATTTGTTCTTTTGTATCTGGCCTATTTCACTTAGCATAATGCCCTCAAGATTTACCTACGTTGTGGCATATATCGGAATGTTCTTCCTTTTAAAGTCTGAATAATATTCCATTGTATGTGTATACCAAGTTTTGCTTATCCATTCATCCATCAGTGGTGCCTCGTTTAATTTTACAGGTCACCATGATCCAAAAGCCTGGGAACCACTGATCCAGCCTGTGCATATACTTCAGTGATGGGCGCTCACTCCTCTCCCCATGCGGGCATTCCTTTGTATTTTATATTTAATCCTAGAGGACAACAGAGTGTGGATCTAACTGAGGAGGAGCATGGTGGGAAGGTAGAGAATGATTTTCAGGTCTCAACAGCCTCCCTACACTTCAAGATTTGTTCCCTACCTTTGTGGATCTAGAAGCCCATTGTTCAACTTTCCTAGGAATGATCAGATCCTGGAAAAAAGGACACCAACCGCCTACATTTCCAGCCACCTTTGCTTGTGAGGGAATATTATCAATGCATATCATTCCCTCATTTACTGAGATGTACCCTGAACTCAGATACTCGGGCCCAAAATTTTGGAGTCATTTCAGCTCCTCTCTTTTCCTCACACCTCACATCCAAACCATCAGCAAATTTTGTCATCAGTAACTTCAGAATATAACCCAAATCCAACCCTTTTGCACTGCACCACCATCTCCTATTCCAAGCTATCAAATCTTGTGTCTGGACTATGGCAATAGAGTCCTAAATGGTCTCCTGTTAGGACATCATCCTCCTTGTAACCCCCTCTCTTCCTACCACCTAAAATGACCCTCTAAAATGTAAATATGGCTGTGCAATTTTTATAAAATATATCAGAAACCCTCCCTGTTTAGCACAATAACAATCATGAATAAAGTCTTTTTAAAACCATATTCCTTTATGAATGGCTGAGCTAGCAAAAGAGAAAGGGAATCCCTTAAATGCCAGCAACAATAAAAAAGCTTGAATCTGTAGGGTAGACCGACAGTGGAGCCAATGGGGTATGTGTTCTACAGGGGCAAAAAGACAACATCTTCACAGACCTTGTGCACTGGGTGGTTGTTGGGAAGAGTAGAAAACAAGGCCTGAGGCCCTAGCAAGGTTGGAGGTCAGACTGAAAATTCTCATAATAAGTTAGAACTCCCAAGAATGACACACCTTAGTAAATAAATGAGGAACAAACATTCACTCCACAGATTGAAATGTGCCGGTCTGGGCTTTGGCTCTTGGTGGAGCAGAAACAAAGAAAAAAAATTTTTTTCCTTTAAGAATTTCTGACTACAAGCCCAAATTCACAGTGTGTTTGAGGCCACTATTCACATGTCCTGTGTGGCCCGAAGAATCTAAATAGACCTGGGTATTTCGCAGAAGCAAGCCATATATATTCCCTGAAGGTGTATACTTTAAAACTAAGCTTCAATGAATTACCACAGATATTGTTCATAGGAGCATAAGTCACAATCATAAAACACAAACACACAAATAAACAGATCCTTATAAGGGAGAGTCAGCAGAATCAACCAACGATGGTGCCCCCTCCACAAGGACTGCAGATGCTGGAATTAATAGATACAATCCATAAAGTAGTCAAACTTGATGTATTTAATGAAATCAAAGAGGGAATGAGCCAGGCATGGTGGCTAACGCCTGTAATCCCAGCACTTTGGGAGGCCGAGGCATGTGGATCACTTGAGGCCAGGAGTTCAAGACCAGCCTGGCCAACATGGAGAAACCTCATCTCTACTAAAAATATAAAAATTAGCCAGGTGTGGTGGTGCAGGCCTGTAATCTCAGCTACTCGGGAGGCTCAGGCACAAGAATCGCTTGAGCCTGGGAGGCGGAGGTTGCAGTGAGCTGAGATCACACCACTGCACTCCAGCCTGGGCAACAGAGCGAGACCCTGTCTCAAAAATAAATAAATAAATAAATAAGAAGAGGGAATGAGTGCATGATGAAGGAATAAGAAGCCAATCAGGCATGTTTGAAAAAGAACCAAAAATCTTTGGAAAATGAGATGGTATAATAATGAAAATTAGAAACCCAGTGTATTGCTTAAACAAAATATTAACACATCTGAAGGGAAAATTAGTGGAAACAAATCTAAAGAAATTATCCACACTGCACTACAGAGACAGAGAGAAAAAAAACAGCAAATAGAATGACAGCATCTAACATATGTCTGAGTGATCAGAAAAAGAAAACAGAAGAGGGAGGCAGCTGAATTTGAACACAGCACCCCCCTGCTCAGTCTCTCATACCTTCCCCCTCATTCATAGTGCTCTAGGATGTATCCATAGGAGAATTATTGGGGGGAAATTTTAAAGTCTCTATAATCAAACATGATCTGGCTCCTGACTACTTCTCTTTGCTGGCCTTCTGTTTCTAGAATGTGCCAAGCCCACCTCCATAGCAGGGCCTCTGCCAGGAGCACTCTCCCCCTTTGAACCCCACATACCTCACTCTCTTCCTTCATTCCAGTTCTTGCTTCAACAGCATCTCCTCTGAAAGGCCACTCTTGACCACTCACTCTAACGTTGTCCCCCAAACCCTTTCCCTGCTTTATTTGGTGTCATAGCTTTTATTATTACCTAATATTATATTATACTTTTGTTTATTTTGCATTGTTTCTCTCTCTGATGTGAAGACATGTAACTTGCTCCAAGCAGATGCTCAGTAAATATTTTTTGAAAGAATGAACGAATGAATAAATAAATGAAACATATATGTACCTACTATGTGGTCGGTGCTGCCAGGGATATAGAGATGAGTGAGGCAGAGACTGAGTTGCCTGCCATTGCCCACTCTCCCTTCCTCCCTTATTAACACAATCTTGATTTTGTAGAGGAAGCAATGAGACCAACTGAAAACACGTATTTCTCCAGGCACCCTTTTACAGAGATGTGACCATTTGGCTATGTTCTGGCCAACATGGTATAGGCATTCTTTGTTGGGTGGAACTTCCAAAAAAGGAGAGGAATAGACTCAGCTTGGGGCCTTATAACTTTTTCTCCCACCTCCTTCTTGCTACCTGGAATGTGGACATAGGAGTTGGGACTGCCATTTTATACCCATAAGTCAACCTTGAGGATGGAAGCCATGAGCTAAGGATGGTAAAGAAAACAGGTCAAAGGAGTCTGTGACATCAAAGATGTCACACAGCTGTCACTCCAGGCCTGTCTTCTTACCCTAGACATCCTTTAGCAGAGAAAGAATAAATCCCTATCTTTTTTCAGCCACAGCCTGCTGAAGGTACTTCTCAACTGATACCATGAATAAGACTCAGTCTCTGACTTCAGAAACTTGCAACCAACAGTGGGGTTCAGAGGTACCCAGTGACACCCAGGGTGATGTGCTGGCCAGGAACTCAGCAAGGTCAAGTGTCTTGCCCAGCATGGGACTTGGTGGGCAGAAGGAGAGGGCTGATATCTCCCCAAGGAAGGATTGGGTCATTAGCTTGGCCTTTCACACTCCCAAATTGTTGGGTTAGGCAAGGACTGGCAGTGTGAGGGGTCAGACCACAGCAATTTCTCCTCCTTCTGAAGTGAACCAGTGGGGGAAATGTCATGTATGCTCATGAGGTGTCACTGGTCAATAGGCAAGCATTGACTCAGCACTGTCTCCGTGCCTAGCATTGTGCTAGGTGCTATGAGAAAGGCACAAGGAGGAGACATGGCTCCTGTCCTCGAGGAGCTTATACTCACAGGGACTCAGTAACTCTTATGTCTGAAAGGAACCTTGGGTGGGAACCTTGGTTTCCTGGCCTCCTGTTTCCATGAGGAGGGACCTTATCCAGGGTAACACTTCCTGTCTCTTCTATTTCCATGCAGAGGGACCTTATCCAGGGTAACACTTCCTGTCTTGCTTCCTCACTAGGCTCCCTCCTCATGAGAGGTGGATTCACTTATCTGATCAATGAGTTCAGGAGAAAAAAACAAATAAGTCTGCTCTTTTTAGGAGCTGCTTTAAGATATATCTACAAAAGCATGACCATAAGAAGGAACTCTGGGAATGTACAGAGTTGCCAATGATGGGATGGACAAGTCTGTCTAACTCCAGGGAGCAGTATTATGAAGGCCATTGTTGTGGCCACACCTCTGCACATTCTCCAACCCAAATTTTATCCGTAAAAACATCATTTATTTCTATCTTCATTTCTCAACCCAGGAGGAGAAGGAACGAGTGTTATTTTTGGCCCCTCAGGATGATTATTGCTGACAGCTGTTACAAACAACCCCAAAATCTTAGAGTCTTAACACTAGAGAAGTTGTATTTCTCATCTCATGCCTCTTGTTTCTGGTCAAGAGGATCTGCTATAAAAGGGTGACTCAGGGACCTACTTTGCTTGGTATTGTGTCTCCCATCATGTGACTTCAAAGTCAACCTGGAATCATCTAGCCATGAGAAATGGGGAAAGCCTGGAAGATTGTGCCAAGGGAACGAGAATCAGGGATATTTTATGGTGTACACAGCCAGGCCTGGAAATGTGGGAAATCACATTTACCCACACTCCACTGGGCAAAGGAAAACTATAGAAGGCATTGAACCCAGGTGAGGCATCTACTCTGCATCAGAGAGTAGTGAGTTCCCTGTCACTAGAAGAGGCAAACAGGGGCTGATCATTTGGTGGAGATATTAAGAATCAAGTCTTCCATCGGACAGCTGGACCACAGCAATGATTCCCACACTTTTTATTCTCCAGGGCCCTTTCATAATTTTTCCCTTTGGACCTCATGTTTTGAAAGATCATGTCTAACAAACAAATTGCACTTGTTGAGTAATAACAAATATATTTCCCCACTTCTTATTCACCAAGTCTGTGTGTGTGTGTGTATGTGTGTGTGTGTGTGTGTGTGTATGCGGTGTCTATAACTGGACATGCTCATTTTGGGCACCATTGCTGCCATGGTTTTGATTTGCTAATCATATTCCAGGAATGCCTAGGATGTCATCAACAGCCAGTCTAAGTTTCTGACCAGCATTTGATGATTTAATTCCAGCCAAAGCAAAGAAGCTAAGAGTTTAGTTAAAATAAGTTGTCCGGCTGGGCGCAGTGGCTCACATCTGCAATCCCAACATTTTGGGAGGCCGAGGCAGGAGAATCACTTGAGGTCAGGAGTTTGAGACCAGCCTGACCAACAAGTTGAAACCCTATCTCTACTAAAAATACAAAATTAGCCAGGCGTAATCCCAGCTACTTGGGAGGCTGAGGCAGGAAAATCACTTGAACCCGGGGAGTGGAGGTTGCAGTGAGCCAAGATCGCGCCATTGCACTCCAGCCTGGGCAACAATCTGTCTCAAAAATAATAATAATAATAATAATAAGTTGTCCATTCATGGGGTAAATTAAAGCCCTTTTATCTTTGTAGCAGGACCTTGCTCATAGCAATCATCACACAATCCTCCAAATTTGGAATGGGGTTCAGATGCTGGCAGCTAAAATCCATGCGTCCTCTGCAGGGCAAATGAAAAATTCAGGAACGGAACTCAGGTATTGGCACTCAGTGCAATTCCTTTTCTGTATCCTTTTCCTCCTATTAATTTTGGAGCAGGGTCATTTTTTTTAAACTCTTCCATTTCTAGGAATTTCTCCTAGAGATACTCAAATATGAAAGCAAAATGAAATACAGCAATGTTCACGGTAGCAGATGTTGTTAACAGTAAAAAGCAACAAAGAGGCCGGGCGTGGAGGCTCACACCAGCAATCCCAGCACTTTGGGAGGCCGAGGTAGGCAGATTGGATTGCTTGAATCCAGGAGTTTGAGATTAGCCTGGGCAACATGGTGAAAACCCATTTCTACAAAAAATTAGCTGGGCGTGGTGACGCCTGTCTGTAGTCCCAGCCACACAGAAGGCTGAGATGAGAGAAGCACCTGAGCCTTGAAGGTCGAGGCTGCAGTGAGCCATGATCGCACCACTGAACTCCAGCCTGGGCAACAGAGTGAGACCTTGTCTTAAAAAAAAAAAAAAAAAAAAAACAAAAACCCAACAAAGGAAGTTTAGAAACAAATGAAAAGCACATTCATGAGAGTCAACTAATCTAAAAATGGCACTGTTCCTACAATTGAGTACCATGTGACTACTTTTAAAAAGTACACCAGTTTTATTGATGTAGAAAGACATCCAAGACAGGTAAATGTAAAAGTTAGGGTGCAGAACAGTGTTACAGTATGCCGCCATTTGTGATAGTGTATGGATTATATACACGGGAAATTAGGAAAATGATACATAAAAAAACTATTGAAGGTAATTACCTGTGGGAAGTAGAATTGGGGTGTGAAATGGAAAAACATTACTCTTCATTGGCATGTCCTTTGCTTTTGAAGTTTTACCATGTGCATGTGTTCTTTCCATAATAAAAAATTAGGCTGGGCATGGTAGCTCAAACCTGTAATTCCAGCTCTTTGGGAGGCTGAGGCAGGAGAATCACTCAATGTCAGGAGCTCAAGACCAGCCTAGGTAACATAGCAATACCCCATCTCTACAAAAAAATTAAAAATAAAAAAATCAGCCCAGCATGGTGGGGCACAGGTATAGTCCTAGCAGCTTGGGAGGCTGAGGTAGGAGGATAGCCTGAGCCCAGGAGTTTGAGGCTACAATGAGCTGTAATTGTACCACCGAACTCCAGCCTGGGCAACAGTGCAAGAACCTGCCTATTAAAAAATTAATTTACAGGTTTAGTCACCAATAAATTAGCTCTATTAATTAATTTTAATAAAATTTGTGCCATAAATGCTAAGTCCACTTATTAATAATTCAACTAACAATGAATAACGGTTTCTCATGCCCCAAGCAAGTGCCAGGTGTTGGGATTATGTATGTCCACAAAAGAAAATAAGACTGAGACTTACCTTCCAATAGCCCATCACCAAGTGGAAGAGTCAGCCAAATAAATGTTCACAACAGCAAAAATTAGTGCCATGCAAGAGAATCACTTGAACCCAGGAGGTGGAGGTTGTAGTGAACCAAGATCACACCACTGCACTCCAGCCTGGGTGACAGAGCAAGACTCCATCTCAGGGGAAAAAAAAATTAGTGCCATGATTGAGGAAAGCCCTGAAAACTGTGGAACCATGAAGGAGGGTACTTAATATAGATCATAGATTGAAGGAGGCTTTCGGACGGAAGTGTTATTTGCAGTGGGTTTTGAGGGATGAATAGAAGTTAATCACGAACAGGAAGGAAGAGAGATTAGGTGGCATAAAGAACAAAACACATCAAGCACTTGGGACAATATGGAAAGGTAGGTAGTAGTTTAAGTATAAGGAAACACATACCTTGAATACTTATTATTTAATATGCTTTCCTAATGAAATACTACACAACCACTATAAAGGAAAAAGTGAATCTATCTGAACCAAGAGTCAGTTTGCCAAAGTGGTTAGGATTGTGAGTTTTGGAGCCAGATGTTGGATCTGGTTCAGATCCTGTCTTCACCACTAACTAGCTGCCTCATGTTCCTTAACTTTTCTATGCCTAATATCCTCCCCATAAAATGAGAATAATGAAAGTACATTCTTCATAGGGTTCTAGTGAGTATTGGAATGAAATGATGAATGCAAAGTCCTTATCCCAGTGTCTGCTACAAACGAAACATTCAGTGGTGATAGTTACACTCACATGGACTGATATCAAGGTATATTAAGAAAAGGAGGGGAAACTGCTTTTTATATTTATCATAGGATCTCATTCCAGCAAGCAGGGGCTTTGCTGTCTTGTTCTCCAATATGTACCCCTCAGTACATAGTTGGCATCCAATAAATAACTATTGAATAAAAGAATTCCTGTAAAAGAAAATTACATATGTCATTTGCTAATTAGGATATACATAGGTAAAGAAACTGAAATGATATATACCAAGCTGTTAACAGGTAGTATCTCTGGAATGGCAAGATTATAAAGAATTCATCCTTCCTAAAGCATACTTTTCTCTAACAAACTTTTTACAGGAAGGCTGATTTTCTTAAAATCCGGAGAAAGCAATAAAATTTGAATGTAAAACAAGAAAAAAGTAAACATTTTAATTGATTATTGTGACCATCACAGTCAATTCATGGATATTTTAAAGAATTTGTCTCCAGTCAACTGGTTGAGAAAATGTAGTCATTAACTACATAACTTGGTATTTTCTTAATTGAAAATCATGTCGTAGAATAACTTCAGTCATTGCCCTAATCTGTTCACCTCTCTTTGGTGGTACCTTCCCAATACTCTCTGGGCTTGGCCCTGTGACTTGTTTTGGCCAATGGAAAAGCCACAAACAAGACCAAATTACAGGCTTGGAAAGCAATGACCACTGAGGGTCTCGGAACCCTGCCATCATGTGAACAGCCCAGGCTAGCCTGCTGGGTGATAAGAAACATGTGGTCTACTCCCACCAAGAGCCAACAGCCAGCCAATCTGTGAGTGAGGCCATCTGAGATCAGACACCCCTGAGCCAGCTGCAGACATATGAGCAGCCCCAGCCAAGATCCTCCAAACCCAACATAGACCAGAGAGCTGCCCGGCAAAATCAAGGACTAAAGAGGTAGCTGTTATTTCAGGCCACTAAGTTTTAGGTAGTTTATGGTTCATTACACAACAATAGTTAACAAATACAAATTTCATTAGTCACATGGCTCCTAAACAATGTGCTCAACTGTGATATGATTTTTCAAATGGAAAAATAAAAAGGTAAAAATCCTGCAGAAAAATCACAACCAACGATTTGCAAAGGACCATTTTTTAAAATGAAAAGTAGATCAAAATTGAGGGCTGATTTTTGAGAAGGACAGCAGACACTAATAAGAACATTATAAGGGCTTTAGCTTTCTGACCACGGGAACGGCCAAAGCTCACCCTGGCACAATACATATTGGACTTCCTTATGAGATGATACAACATGTAGTAATAAGTGACTGATTGAATTTCTTGAAGCATTCATATATCTTGACAATGAAGCCACTCCTTAAAAATCACCCTGAACTTTTCTTTTTGGACATTCCTGAGGCATGAAGAGGCAGCATCAATGCACTACCAGAAACACTCCTCTCCCAGGTGGGCCCCCACATTCACCCACATCACCCCATTTGTCCTCACAGAAGTCCTGAAGGTAGTTGTGGTTATTCCAACTTAAAACAGAGGCAATGAAGCACAGAGAAGTTAAGGGACTTGCCTAAAGTCACACAGCTCATAAGTGGCAGAGCTGGACTATAAGCCCAGGTCTTCTGTATCCTTACCTCTCACCTGTATCTCTTCACTGCACAATCTCTGATAGACTTTTAAATTGGTGAAGTTAGATGGTTTTACAGTGAGCATTTACTCTCTCCTGCTCAGTCCTCTGATTTTAAGACCAAATAATAATAGCTAACATTCACATAGCATCTGCTGAACACCGGGTACTGTTCTAAGCAGTTTGTATATAGAAATTCACTTAATTCTTAACACAAGCCTATGAAGTAGATACTTTTATTATCCCCATTTGACTAATGAAGGAACTAAGGCATACAGAGATAAGCGAGGTGACCAAGATCGCAGACCAAGTGAGTGACAGAGCCACATGATTCAAACCTGGGAGAGGGAACTCCAAAATCAAGTCTCCTAAATAAATTAAGCTACACTGCATCAAGACCTATAACCTGATTGGCCCAGGATACAGGACTTTCAGTGCTAAAGCCAGGACAGTCCCAGACAAACTGAAACAGTTGGTCACCCTGGCTGGACAGACATTACAAACCAGCAAGTCTTGGGCCACATCCAGCTTTCTGTTTAGACCACACTGTATTTTGAAATACAATTGAGCCAACATTTTAAAATCAGAAGGCATCATGCTAACAGCTGTATTTTTGGCATTTCTTGAAAAGTTGGATGATCTGGTCCCTGGGTGCGCGTGCGTTCAGGCATGGGGGCAGTCAGTGGCAGCTCAGTAGCCACTGGTCTCTGTCGTCCTGGCAATAGTCCTCCATCCTCTGCAGCCCCCTCCCATCATACCACGTGTTCACATGCACTGACCCCAGCCTGATTGGCTCATCTCTGCACCTGACCGGACACTGTGTGCATTTGAGTGTGGAACCCAGAACATCAGCATCATCCTGACTCACTAGGGCAAGCCCTCCCCACCTTTCCTGCACCTTTGAATCACCTGGGGAGCTTTGAAGGCGCCCGGGACACACCTCAGCCCAGTGAAATCAGAATCTCTGGGAGTGGGTCTCAGACATCACAATGTTTTAAAACTCCCCAGATTACAATGTGCAGCCAAGTTTGCAGGGCTCCTCCAACTTCAGTGTGCACAGGAATCATCAGCAGATCTTGTTAGAATGCAGATTCTGATTCAGTGGGTCAGGGTGCAGCCTGAGATTCTGCATTTCTAACAAGCTCCAAGCTGATGCCTGTGCTGCCCTTCCCAGGACCACACATCGAGAGGCAAGGGGCCAAAAGACAGCTCCTCATCAGCATGCGCTCTTCCCAGCCTCACTGGCTGGCCTGGACAGCTCCTGTGTCCTTGGAAACTCGTCAACGCTTCTAGCAGCAGAGGCCCAGAGAGGAGCATAAGCAGCCCAAGGTCACACAGGCCAGGAAAGGCACCCACATCTCTATTTCTTTCCACTGCACAGCACTGCCTCGCCTCCCCTAATGAGCAATTTCACCCACCCATCCAAACCCCAGCACATCCTGGCTCTGTTTGTGAGGAGAGGCCAGGATGAATTTCTCCGTGAAAAAGTCAGTCCTTGCAGAATCGGCGTCTGGACGTGGGTGGATGGTAGTGCTCTGTGGAAAGGGGTCCAGGGGAAGGTGGGGGAAGCAGCAAAGAGCTCAGACCGTGAAATGCAGAGGCTGAGGAGGAGGGGGAGGCCAAAGGAGGGGCACCGGGACAGCCCCCTCCCCTTCCCCCCTAAGGAGGACGCCCCACGGTGCCTGAGTCAGAGGCCTGTGAGCTCAGCCCCAGGGTGCTGGGTTGGGAGGTGAGTCAGAGGGTGTGTGATGGAGTGAATTTCTCCCCAGCCAAATATGGGGCTCTGCTCTGCTCGGTCTTGCCATGCGCACTGCCAGAGGCTGAAAGCTATGTCTGCTCCACATGACAGCAAGGTCCCTGATGAAAAGGGGAAACTATTCCACTCTCCGCTCGCCCCTCTCCCGCTCCCTGGACAGTGGGTGGCACTTTGTGTTGCACTGAGTACCTTGTAAACTCCTCCACGTCCCATCTGTTCACCCCAAGTCATTCAACAGAGCACAAAATAGAGAAGTAATAAGAACGTATTTTGAAATGGAATTTTGATCCTAACAGGGTCCTGGCTGGGCTGCCCTGCACCCACAGCCCTGGGAAGGAAAGAGACAACATCCCACTCTTCCCTGGATCCCCCAGTGCCACACGCGAAGTGTGGGACATGGTAGACATGATTAGCTAATAACTGGGCTGGACGCAGTGGCTCATGCCTGTAATCCCAGCACTTTGAGAGGTTGAGGAGGGCAGATCACTTGAGGTCAGGAGTTCGAGCCCAGCCTGGCCAACACGGTGAACTCCAGCCTCTCTTTTATTTTTATTTTTATTTTTATTTTTTTTCCGTGAAACCCTATCTCTACTAAAAATACAACAGAGCAAGACTGCGTCTTAAAAAAAAAAGTCTTTAAAAGATAGTAATAATAATAACTGTGTCATTGGGTGTGTGTTATGTCTTTATCTGACAGTAGACTTAATTCCTTGAAGAAATAACAACTTACATAGCACACCCTATATGCCAGGCACTATTCTAAAAATCTACTCATATTAGCTCTTTTACTATGAGGATTAACTTATTCATACTCACAACAGAACAGCCCTAAGAGGACAGTGCTATTATTATTCCCATTTTACAGATGAGGAAACTGAGTCACAGAGAGGTTAAGTCATTTGCCCAGGGTCATATAGGCAGTAAATGGTAGAATCAGGATTCTACCCCCAACAGCTCGGCCTCAAATCCTGCGCTCTTAACAGTATTTGATTCATGTCTGTGTCTCTGATCCCCAGCACACTGCCTGGCCTGCTAGGTAGTGATAACTATTTGTTGACTAAATGAGTAGAATTATTAACATGCTAGTTATCGTGTGTGTTTATATGTGTTTGTCTCTCCCACTAGACCTTGAACTTCTTGAAGAAAGTATTGATCTTGCCAGTGCCTCCCAACGCACTTAATAAATGCTTTAAGAGTGAATATGTTAAAGAATGGATGTTTCCAAACCCCAGTTGTTTGCTGTGTGAACCAGACTACCTAACCATTGAATGGGGTGTTTGGAGTTTATTCAGATGTCCAGAAAGAGATGGTGTGGCCAAGTGTAGGGCCAGCTTCTTGGCTTTGTGACCTGGTCAGTTGCACAGAGTCCCTGCTTAGACAGGCCCCACACTTGGTTTAATGTTCTGCTATAATCATCTTGAATTTCTTAATAATTTTTTAACAAGAGGCCTCACGTTTTCATTTTGCACTGGGCCTCGCAAAGGATGAAGCCTGTCCTGCCAAGGGTGAAGACAGCTCCTGAGGACGGGACACCAGGAGCCCCATGTCTGTGGCCCCCGGGAGTGAAGCCTTGGCCGTGGGTAACATTCAGACAGTGTGGCCCAGGCTCAGTGACCCCAGCCCAGATGTGGCTCCTGAGAGGTCATTTGGATCTCATCACTCCTGACCCAAGAGCTGTCCCTGAGGAACTGCTGGGCTTCCCAGACTCCAGTGGCTTCAGACTCTCGGCCAGCCCAGGCTCTACACAGATGACGCCTTCCGTGGTAGGGCTTGGACCATAGCTGAGCGCTCGGCTGAGCACTTTATTTTACTTGATGCTCGTAACCGCTACCCTCTGAGATAGGTTTTATTGGCCCGGTTTTAGGCACCTGGGGTTGCAAAAGGCCCAAGGTCACAAATGAATAAGAGGCAAGATGAAGTGCAAATAAATGATTCCAAGACCCTTGTTCCTCACCACGGGCCCCTACTGCCCCCTCACTGTTTTAGGCAGGCCCTCTTTCTCTCTGCTTAGAAAGTGCTTCACCCTCTTCTCAAATCCTGTCTTCCCCACTTACCTCTTTTCCAGCCATACAGCTGGGAGTGGGAAAATCAGGGTTCCAAGTCAGCCTTGGGTTATCTGCTCTTAACCATATTTGTTTGCTATACTTGTTTGAGCATGGCTTGGATATCTCAACTCACAGAAAGATGGACCACAAAAGAACTTTAGCCTCCACTTCTTCATCTGTAAAATGGGATCAATAAAAAGAACCACAGCACAGACTTACCTGGATTAAATGTAGTAACAGATGTCGAAGTGCTTTTTAACCCTCCAGAGGTCTAAACACATTGGCCCGTCACGGGTCAGCAGAGAAATGAACCAACATGCATCCCTATGAATCACGGGGATTTCTCCTGCATTGTCTTCAGATCCTGAGTCTCTCACTTCTTAGCTGTGTGACTTTGGGCAAATCACTTACCTTTCTGAGTCTTAGATTTCTCGTCTGCAAATTGGGAAGTGGGGTTGATGACAATAGACGTTCGGCAGTGTGGTTATGGGGTACTTGGGAGAGTGGTCATGAACTGGTGAATGGTATTAGTCACAGAAAAACTCCAGTGCACACCAGATTTCCTTTAAAGCAGCAAGGCCCTGGTCAGCATCTTGCCCTTGAAGCACCGTTCTTGGATGTCTTCTCCCCAGTCAAGACACACCACATTTCCAGAACATGACCGAGTACTGTACTAGTAAGTCCTAAGTTAGCCAATTCTCTAAATCAGCTTTGAAAATCTCTCAGCTTGAAATGCAAATTAAAACCACAATGTGATATCATCTTATACCATCAGAATAGCTGTTATTTAAAAGTCTAAAAATATCAGATGTTGGCAAGGATGCAGGAAAAAGGGGAATGCTTGTACACTATTGGTGAGAATGTAAATTAGTATAACCTTTATGGAAAACAGTATGAGATTTCTCAAAGAACTAAAAATAGAACTACCATTCCATCCAACAATCCCACTACTATCTACCCAAAGGGAAAGAAAGCAATATATCAAAAAGACACCTGCACCTGCATGTTTATCATAGCACTATTCGCAATAGCAAAGATATGGAATCACCCTAAGTGTGCATCAGTGGAGAACTGGATAAAGAAAATGTGGTGTATATACACCATGGAATACTATTCAGCCACAAAAAAGAACAAGGTCAGCTTGGATGGAACTGGAGACCATTATCCTACATGAAATAACTCAGAAACAGAAAGTCAAATACCACATTGTTCTCACTTATAAGTGGGAGCTAAGCAATGGGTACACACGTGGACTTAGAGTAGAATAATAGACATTGGAGACTCCAAAAGGTAGGAGGGTAGAAGGGGGGCAAGGATTGAAAAAATGTCTATTGGGTACAATGTTCACTTTTCAGGTGATGGGTACAGTAAAAGCCCAGACTTCACCATTACTCAATACATGCATGTAAGAAACCTGCACTTGTACCTCCCAAATACATAAAAATAAAAACTAAAATAAAATCTCTCAGCTTGCCCGAACCCTGAAGTGCAGCTGTGCGATCTCATCTCACTGCAACCTCCACCTCCCGGGTTCAAGCAATTCTCCTGACTCAGCCTCCTAAGTAGCTGGGATTACAGGTGCACGCCACCATGCCCGGCGAATTTTTTGTATTTTTAGTAGAGACGAGGTTCTATCATTTTGGCAAGGCTGGTCTCGAACTCCTGACCTCCAGTGATCCATCCGCCTCGGCCTCCCAAAGTGCTGGAATTACAGGTGTGAGCCACCATGCCCGGCCTCCAATGTCTTCTTCTCCCTTTGTCTTCCCTTCCCATCAGGCTGGCTGGCCTGTCATGGTTGTAACTCACTGGTGGTGGCCTTATAACTCCACTTCTGCCCCCACTTCTTCTTTACCCCCATAACCAATCTGGAACTTTTTCTTCTCACTTTTTTAATCTTTGCAAAAGAAGGAGCAGATTGAGGGCCTAACAGAATGCAGTAGAGAGTCCATTTAGAGTTGCAAATTCCCCGTTCCCTGCTCAACTCTCTCCCTCAACCATTTTTCAAAGGAAGGAAAAGGTGAACCCATCCAAAACATACACACCAGCTCCACATGTGCTAACTCTGTGACCTTGGGCAAGATACAGAAGGTCTCTAAAGTACAGATGACTGGGAACAATCAAAGTGCCTATCTGGTAGGGCTAGAGTGAGGATTAAATGTGATAATCCAGGCCGGAGTCTAGTCCAGTTCCTGACACATAGTAAATAACAAATGTAACCATCTTGTTATATGAAATCAGTTCCAAATTGAGAAGTGTACATCACTGTTTTATTTGATCCATGATGTTGTTAATCTACTTTTTCATCACTGTAACAAATAAAAACTATGAGCACGTTGACATAAGTCAACTGATGATGACATTTCAACAGGCCTGGGTGCTGCCCACTAATTGTTCCACCGTATGTTTGGTTGTGTTTTTTTTTGTTTTTTTTTCTTTGCTTTTTTTTTTATCTCTAGACGGAGTCTTGCTCTGTCGCCCAGTCTGGAGTGCAGTGAGTGACCCAATCTCGGCTCACTGCAACCTCCACCTCCCAGGTTCAAGCAATTCTCCTGCCTCAGCCTCCCAAATAGCTGGGATTGCAGGTGCCTGCCACCACACCCGGCTAATTTTTGCATTTTTAGTAGAGACGAGGTTTTACCATGTTGGCCAGGCTGGTCTCGAACTCCTGACCTCATGATCCACCCGGCCTCCCAAAATGCTGGGATTACAGGCGTGAGCGACCGTGCCTGGCCAAACTTTTTTTTTTTTAATTCCTATCAGCACTTTGCCTCTTTCACTAAAATTTTTAAAAATTAAAAAACTTACTCTTTATAGACTTTTGATGTCTTAAGTGTGTTAAACTCTGGTTTCTTTCATGATAACTGTAATTATTTAAAAGCCTGTGTAATCATTCTTCACAAAACGTGCTGAGAGCTCACACATCAAGCCAAATGGTAGGACAGATAATGTTGGTATTAAATGACAGGAAACTTCATCACCACAGACAATACATGAGGGGACATCTGGGATCAATATGGAGACAGGATACAAGGCTATCTCAGCTTAAGACCCTGAACATGATTTGAAATTCAGAACATAAGAAATAGCTACACTGTATCAACCAAAATACGCCTTCAAAGTACAGAAAGTTCAGGGCCAATTTACAAAGTGTAAAGATTCTGGATAACAGACTTTTGAAGGCTGGAGTTCAATAGCATTCTGTTTTCAGATTCATTGTGCTGCCAGGAAAACTGAGCCGTGGGAAAGAGGACTTTCTAATTCTATTAGGAAAAAAACCTGAAATTTTTCAGAAAATATGAGAGAAATAATATTGCAATTACAGATTTAGAAGTGATTTATAGTAAACTACCAGGGGGAAGTATCACCTACACAGCCAAATAAAATGAAGGAAATAGAAAAGATTTTTTTTAAAAAAAGAGTAGTTTAAAACAGGGGCCAGGCTGGGCACAGTGGCTCTTACCTGTAATCCCAGCACTTTGGGAGGCCAAGGCAGAAGGATTGCTTGAGCCCAGGAGTTCAGGACTAGCCTGGGCAATATAGCAAGACCTAGACTCTACAAAATTATTTTTTAAAAAATAAACTAGTCAGTGGCACACACCTGTGCTGCCACTTACTCAGGAGGACAAGGTGGGAGGATCACTTGAACCCAGGAGGTGAGGCATCAGTGAGCCATGATTGTACCTGTGCACTCCAGCCTGGGCAACAGAACAAGATCCTGTCTCAGAAAATAATAAAAAATTAAAATAAAACAAGAGACAAATTTTGACCCACAGGCCACATTGGCCAACTACTTGTTTTTGTAAATAAAGTTTTATTGTCACACAACCATGCTTGCTCATTTATATATTGTCTCTGACTGCTTTTGCATTACTTTCAATGGTAGAGGTGTACTTATGACAGAGACTTTGTGGCCCACAAAAGCTAAAATATTTACTACCTGGTACTTTACAGAAAACTGTTGTGAGCCCTTGGTTTAATACATGAATCTGTTTTCTGGAAACCAAAACAATATTTAGAAGTATGTTTAAAATTAGAGTGGACAACGAAAGAAGAGAAAAACTTCATTTGTTCATTCCACAAATAGTTAATGAGAACCTACTGTGTGCCAGGGACTGTATAGCTGTGTAAAAGTAAACAGACAAAAGTATGGGCCCTCACAGAACCTACCCAGACTGAGGAGTTTACTAATTGATCACTATAAAAGAACACATATTTTAAAAGTGAAATCTGGCTGGGCGCGGTGGCTCATGCCTATAATCCCAGCGCTTTGGGAGGCCGAGGCAGGTGGCTCACCTGAGGTCAAGAGTTTGAGACCTGCCTGGCCAACACGGCGAAACCCCGTCTTTACTGAAAATACAAAAATTAGCTGGGCGTGGTGATGGGCGCCTGTAATCCCAGCTACTCAGGAGGCTGAGGCAGGAGAATCACTTGAACCCAGGAGGTGGAGGTTGCAGTGAGCCGGGATCGCTCCATTGCACTCCAGCCTGGGCAACAGAGTGAGACTCTGTCTAAAAAAAAAAAAAAAAAAAAAAAAAAAAAAAATGAAATCTTTAAATGAACAATGAAGAATGAAATGTTTCAAGGCGTAAAGAATGAGATCAGTGTTTCCTCAGCTTAGTCAATAATATGTGATGAGCCAACCGACAATGAAAGAACACTTGTCGACTTGCGCAAAAGAGATCCAAGAAGACCTCAAAGCAAGGCATAAACAAAGAAAGGCTGAAAGGTCTCTCATCAAGGTTGAAGGAAAAACCAGGACCAGTTGGCACAGGGTTGCAGCATGGAATTGATTTGAATCAAATTATTGGCCAGGTCTATCATAATGTTGCTACCCAGAGTAGAAAGCTTACCAGATTCACAGTGAAGCTGATGAAAACAGAGCTAACCATTTCACACATATATGGTTACACCTGGGTTTAGGAGTCAGTAGTAATAAGCTTTGGTTTGTGAGTGAGGAAATAAAAGCATTTCCAAGAGCTCTCAATATTATCAATCCATGCATTGAAGAAAGGGCTGATGGTGTTTTAAAACATTTCTATGCAGAGTGAAGATCAGCACACAAGAAGCTGTGTTGCTTGTTGAAAATGTCTTTGAGCTATCGATGATGTGTCCACTTGGGTTTAACTCCCTGATACGGTTAGGCTTTGTGTCCCCATGCAAATCTCATCTTGAATTGTAATCCCCATAATCCCCACATGTCCAAGGAGAGACCTGGTGGGAGGTGACTATATCATGGTGGGGCAGTTTCCCCCATGCTGTTCTCATAATAGTGAGTGAGTTCTCACAAGATTTGATGGTTTTATAAGTGTCTGACAGTTCCTTCACACACTTGCTCTCTCTTGCCTGTCGCCATCTAAGACGGTGCCTCTTCCCCTTCTGCCATGATTGTAAATTTCCTGAGGCCTCCCCAGCCATGCAGAACCATGAGCCATGAAGAACGCTTCCCTTTATAAATTACCCAGTCTTGGCAGTTCTTTGTAGCAGTGTGAGAATGAACTAATACACTCCCTTACAAAGATCAGTGAAAATAGAAAATGGTATGAAATAATGTTTAAAAGACCAAGTGTCTATCTGTTGAGCAGAGCACTGAGTCTAATTTCCAAATTTGAATTTATCCTGTGTTTAAAATGTGTCACATATTAAGAATTTCAGGAATTCTTTCAAATGAGCTTCAGAAAGAATTATCTATATTCACTACCTTTATTTTTCTTCATTATTTATCATCTCAGTAAAATGATAAACATTTCAAAACTATTTAGGACAGAGTAGAAGACTCATGCCAAAAAATAATCACTGAAGGTTTCATAGTTAAGAAATCATACTTGCAAATGAATACCTAAAAATCATGGAAAAAAAACAAATCTTAGGGGCTTAGATAGCTTTTCTTTTTCTTTCAGAAAACAATATAACAAATAATGTTAATTACTAAGGATTGGATTCTTAGTTACTGAAATTCAATCATATTTTAAGAGCATGAGCACAAAAATATACAAATTCTGAGATTTTTGTATGTGTATATACATAGATATGTACATAATATGAAACACACCAGTAAGTGAAACAACAAGCAAATATTTTCAAGAATATTGGCTGGGCACGGTGACCCAGACCTCTAATCCCAGCACTTTGGGAGGCCAAGGCGAGCAGATCACTTGAGGTCAGGAGTTTGAGACCAGGCTGGCCAACATGGTGAAACTTCGTCTCTACTAAAAATACAAAAATTAGCCAGTTGTGGTGGCAGGTGCCTATAATCCCAGCTACTTGGAAGGCTGAGGCAGGAGAATTGCTTGAACCCAGGAGACGGAGGTTGCAGTGAGCCAAGATTGTGCCACTGCACTCCAGTCTCCACAGAGCAAGACTCCATCTCAAAAAAAAAAAAAAAAAAGAGTATAGATGAACCTATGGTGTAATATGGCCCCATAACTTCATAAGGATTATGCAAAATTTAGTTCCCTTACAACCACATCAATGTAACCAATATGGGATTATTCCACATGGTCTTCACAAAAGTGTTGCCGATATCTTGAGCCACTGCATTTTGCTTCAATCCTGCCAGTTGCTAGAGCTAGCAGGAATGTTTGTTCCTATTCTGTAGCATCTAAAAACATACTGTGCAGTGCACTTGCCCGTGATGGCTGTTAAGAATGACCTGATCATCAAACGGATAGACCTTGAAGGAAGGCACCAGTGGCATTTGAAGAAGTTGACCATGCAAGATGAGAGACAGGTGGTGTTTTATGGATCCAGTCTCACCTATAAGAATGACCTACACCTGTTGATAGATTGTCATGGATGATATTCCAATCCAAACTCTAAGTTCTAAGGCATGCTACCCTGATAACAATTGGACACTGTTTCTGGGAGAGGATGGTGGCATAATGGAAATTATCATGTTGTTTTTATAAACATATTCCGCACATTCTGAGATTTTTTTCCAACCCCCATTTGAAAGCTGTTGCTCTAAACCTCCTTACTTGCTTAGTCAAGGTCCCCTCATACAGAAATCTGCCAATAACAAGATGAAGGAATCTGGGTCCCCGACAAACATCCTATCAGGCTCCACCTTTGCTGTGCATAAAGGGTTATTACAAAATCCCATTTTGTAGATGACAAAAAGGTTCAGAAAGGCTGAGTCACTGCACCTCTGGTTTTCCAAGTCACCCTCAGGGAATGGCCTCTTTGCCACTCAAAGTGCAGAGATTTATGCAAGGTGTTGTTTATTTACTCAAAGGCCATCGGCCTTCTAAGCAGGCCCACGTGTGACTGGCATGTTTACAGGCCCTGGAGTTCTTGGGAACCTGAGGTATTACCAGGCTGTATCTTCACAGAGTGGCTAGAGGGTGCCACCTCCCAAACCATGACACCTGCCTGTCTCCTCCTCCACTCTGGACTGCCACACACCCCTTCCAGCCAACATGAGTTCCTCACAGTTCCTGAAACCATCTGTGCTCTCTCTTACCATCAGCTCCTTCTGATTCCATTCCATTGCCCAGAACTCTCCTCCCAAACTCTCCTCGGCCTGGGGGTGCCACTTCTCACCTTTCAGGCTTCAGCATAGTCTCATTTCTTCGAGGAAGTCCTCCTTGCACCCATTCCTCAACACCTGGATTGGGAACCCACTCTTTTTGCTCTTGTAGCATCCTGTGTTTCCTCCAGTAGAACTGCACTGAATTATAATTGATTTGGTTGGATGACAAGGTGGTATAGCACAGTGGTTAAAGGCTTGGGCTGTGCAGCCAGTTTGCCTGGGTTTAAGTCTTGGCTCTGTCTCTTACTAGCTCTGTGACCTAGAGCAAGTTGCTTAACCTCTCTGTGTCCCTGTCTCTCCCTCTATAAAATAATAATACAACCAAACTTTATTGTGATGATGAAAGGCACTTAAAGCAATGCCTGACACATAGCAAGTGTCTGATTTTTATTATTACGGTCATCAGCTGTTCTCTTGTCCCTTCCTTCACTAGACTAAGTTTGTGATTGCAGAGATCCTGTCTTAATTATCTCTTAGCACAGCATCTGGCAGACAGTAAGTGCACAGTAAATATTTGTGGAATGCATGAATGAGCAATAGAAGCCACAGTCTCTGCTAAACCCCCTGCCTACAGCTGGCTTTCTCTAGCAGCCACCTAGATTTCCATAGACTGGGGGCCCTGCAGCTGAGCTGATTTGCTCAGAGAAGATACTCATGAGGCAGAAAAACCTTGCCTGTGCTGTTCCCAGTGCTGAGCTCTCCCTCCAAACACAACTGTTCATGCCATCAGAGTTGTGCAACTCCAGGCGATGCAGCTTTGCAGGGACTACTCCTTGTCTGGCTGGGATATTGACCTGTTTTCATGGAACTGCACTTCCCCCACTGAAAGGTCCAGGAATGGAGGCTTAGCTGATGGCTCACTGGCTGCTCTATGATCCGTGAAACCTCCCCTCATCGTGGTCTGGCTGTGCCCCACAGCCCGGTGCTGCCTGCCCCTGCTCTCCACCTGCTATGGCCAGCTCTGCCTTCATCTCAATCTCAAAGGCCACCCCTCCAGAGCTTATACAGAGTACTCTTAAGTGGAAATGATTTCTCTCCACTCTGAACTCGCCCAGCCCTTTATCCACTCTTGTCTCTTCACCTCTTGGAGTCTTAATCTCCTTATCTGTGAAATAGATACCAGTGGCTCCTTCAAAGGGAGGTTGTGAAAACCAAGTGACTCAAGCAATGCTTCATATCATAAGTATTTGCTCATTTACTGGTTTGGAAGTTCTTAAAGCCAGAGATTCTCTGTTTCATCACTATATGCCCCTCGTTCTCAGCACGGCCCCTGACTCATCACAAGCATTCAATAAATATTTGCTCAATAGAGCAGTCAATCAAAAAACCAGTCAACAAACCAATAAATGATGGCAACATAGCAATATCCTACAGTTGTAATACAGAAAGTAACTGTCTTTGAGGATGTTCATTCTTTGTTTCATTTTCTTTTTTCTTTTTGATTGTTTTTAAACTAGTAATGGCCAAACCAAGTCAATTATCTCTTTCCTGGGAGGTGAATTCATAGCACATAGTGAATTCAAAATTTCATTTATTTTGAATTGAAATAAATGGCCAGAGAACTTGGACTTTGGCAAAGAAACTCTGAAAATCATCCTGGCAGTGATTTTCGGAAATAAGTGGGGGCTAATCATTCTCCCCAACTTGTAATATGGGCCTTGGCTACCATCAGCCACCTCCTTCAACCTGTGACCTCATCCTGGGCCCTTCCTGCCCTAACATCCACATGTCACCACCTGTACCCAAGGTCACCAAACTAAGTGATCGTCACTTACTCTTCTTAACAAATGAAACCTTGTTTTCCCACAGAATCCTCTAGAAACCCAAGGGGCAAGCCTAGAGAATTCCATGCTTGGGAGGTGGGGGCAAGGATCACTACCTGATTTCTTATAAGCCCTTGGCACAGGGAAACAGGAGGATGTGCCTGCTTTGGGGTGTCAGTGGTATTCAGGGAGGCCTGGTACTTTCACTGGATTCAAGTCCCCACCCTTCTTTCTCTTGCCCATTCCGTGAGCCCTGGGGAAGAAGCCCAAACTCCCTACAAGGTGGTGCTGGCAAGAAATTGCCCCATCCTCCTTATCAGACCTACTTGGCTGCCCGATCCAGACCCGTCCCTTGTACAGTCACAGGTGAGGCTCCGCCCAGGCAGTTGCAACTTGCTCAGGTGAAGCAAACTGACTCACCTGAAAGGTGAGGGTGAGCCAAAACCAGGACACCCAGGAAAGCCCAGAGCAGGTCAGTTTGGAAGCAGAATGCTGAGGAGGGACCATGGGAGGCCTGGGCTGCCCAGTCAATGACCCACTCTGCAGGATGGCCCTGCAGCCAGCTCCAGGCAGGGACTTCAGCCTCTCTTTCTCCTCCTCCCACCTCTGACTCTCCTCCCACGGCACTTGCCACAGTGGGCTGGCTGCTCAGACAACGCCTGATGACAGATGGATATGCACAGCACCATAATTCATCCGTCTAAGATGCTGGTGATTGTAAGATGCAGCATTATTTTACATACCTCTAAGAAAGAAAAACATGTTACCTACCCAATTATGACACATGGATTTTGATTACACAGAATGTGTATTTCGCACTTACTGAAAGCTTTTTTAGTTTTATTTAGAACGGGTTTTTACTCTATATCAGCTTCATGCATGCATGAAAAGGAAAATAGAAATGAGGTAAGTTGTTTAAGGTATTCCTAAAACTTAGTCACATTCAGAATCCAGCTCCTCTGAGTCACTTTTTGACTCAGAGCTGTCTATGTGCAACGTTTTCCCCACAATGCCACCCTCTGAGCCATCTGGACCCAGGGATGATCACAGGAAGGATGCAGTACTTCTTCACAGAGTGTTTTGCTCTTGCTCTTGTCTTGGGGTTTTCTTCCAAGCTACTGACATCATTCTGCCAGATTAATTGTACAGACAATGAAAACTACATCAAGAATGCCTCCTTCCCAAAAGTGACTATTAGATGTATCCCATTTTCAGAGACGATAGAAAATGAATGTGCATTTAACTTGATAATATATGGCATAATAGTGACAGCTAACAGGTATTGAACAGCTAAAACATCCCAGGGACTGTGCTAAGTACACACCCTATATATGTTATCTTATTCCATCTGCTGTCTGAGGTAGATAATAACATGAGCTAACCTTATGTCATGCTTACTTTTTGCCAGACACTGTTTAAGTACCTTGTATATATTAACTCATTTAATCTTCCCAGTGGCCCTATAAAGTAAATAATATTCCTGTTTTGCAGATGAAGATGACGACGATAAGCTACTTGCACAAGATTAACACAGTCAGTGGAAAACTGGGATTTGAATTCAGAAGTTGAGTACTAGAGTCTACGCTTAACCACGACACCATTTGTGCTGGTAATGTGCCCATTATACAGATAAGGGAACTGAGGCTTACGAGAAATAAATCCTTGCCCAAGGATACACAGCACAAGGGCCAACAGCCAAATCAACATCTGATTTGAAAGCCCGTGTTGTCTCCCATTTTGCTGTGCCATGTAGAGGAGACAAAAGGGCAAATATCAAATTCAGATATTTAGATTTAATTCTGTAATTCAGAATCCAATGTGTCATCATACTGAAAAAAATTAACTCACTTTTTTTCTTGCAAAGATGCAGGTAGTACAATTTTCTTATAGGGATCTGAAGGATGTCTCATTCATCTGTTCATTTATTCACTGAATAACTATTTTTGAAATGCCTATTATGAGCGAGGCCCTGATCTAGGTGCTTCAAGGAGCTTACAATGTAGCTGAAATAATAGACTTCGGACAAGTGATTAAAGTGTGACCAAGGGGGAAATACTATTTACAACTGCAAATGACTGGAACCCCACTGCCACTGAGGAAGACGGTTTGGGAAGGAAGCAGAGATGCAGAAAGTCAGGGGAAGATGGCAGCCAAGCTACTTGTTGGGCAGTTGGAGAATCTTGAAAACAATGACATTTAACCAACTCAAAATCAATGTATTTGCATTCTCATCATGTAACTCCCTCCATATCCATAAACCTTTCATAAAATTTGCTACGCATACAATAACCTTGAGTAAAGGCTTTTAATGGAAATCGAGAAAAGAAGTTGAGGTCCTCATCTGTGTGAATATGGGGGTGGGAAAGAGCATATATGAGAAGGACCGAGCGTAATTTGGGGGATCAGAGAAGCCTGCTGCATTGGCATAAACATTCTGACTTTGCTGACCTGCTAACCCTCACTTGTCCACGGTTCTGAAATCCTCATCTGTCTTGGTCCTTGTTGAAAACCCAGAGCCTTGAATGATGGCAGACACATAACAGGTGCTCAGTAAATATTTTTTGATTGCCTGACTACATGAATGATCTCAGCAGCCCTTCAAAATCTCTCCCACTTGTGTTTCTCTAACACTCCCCGATGTACCCTCAGAGCCTGGCACATAGTAAGTGCTTAATAAAGAGCCCTTGACTGACAAAAAACCTTTCTCCACAGTTTAGATAATCTCCTTGAACTGGCTTCCAGTGAAATTACTAGATCAAAGAGAACGGAGACAGGTAAGGCCTTGGATGTGATACCAAACTCCTCATCAAAAGGAGTGCAGAGTGCATCCTGGTCATAACATTGTAGGAGAGCACCTAGAACAATTTCTAATGTTCTTGCCAATACCTTCTTCACTTGCCCTCCACAAGGAGCTAAGGCAGCTAAGACCCACTCACCTTGAGCTCACCCTTGACCACAGTCCCTTGCTTTAGACATCACACCTGGACCACTGCCAGAGTCTCCACACTGAACTCCTTGTACCTGCTCTGATCTCTCTTAGTAACCAGCATGTTCTTTGCAAAGAGCAAAATTTGAACACATACCCTTCTGTAGCTATTTCTTTCTCCCAAACCTCTCCTATCAGTGGGCTGGGTTCTCCTGACTTTTCATCAACTCTTCCCATCCATTTCCTCTTCTTCCTCTCTATTCCACTCCCAACCCCAAATGCAGCTGTAAATAAGGCCCAGGTCTATCTGACTCCAAAACCTACTGTTAACTAACATTAATGAACCTTTTGTGCCCCTTATAAATTAAATCATGTTAATGATTCATTGGGTATATTTTTATTGGACTACCATGGTGTACAGGATTTCCAGAATCCAGATGACATAGGTATTTCTTAAGCATGTACTATGTGCTAGGCATTGACTGGACTGGTCACATTCACATATTGTCTCATTTAATTCTCATCGCAGCCCTACAAGGCTGACAAGGACACAGAGGCTCAGAGAGTGAAATAAAGAGGAGAAATGTCCCCAGTGGGAATGAAGGACAAATAAGAGCTTTTGGCCCAACTCTCCAGACTCCCAGTCTTGTGTGTTCAGTACTTATTGAACACCTAAACTTAAGTATTATACTATGGATCCAGATAAAAGGCAACTGTACTATCTCCTTTTGGCCTTACAGCGTTGTATGTTGGAAAGTTCTTTCAGGTGTCTAATCTAAATTCCTTTGGCTGCAACTCAAACCCATTCCCACCCTTCCATCCCCACCCCCATCCTTAGATAAGTACAAAAACAACAATTGCAGATGAGATTACCAAACTTCTCCTCTCATGGCTTCTGTCTTCAGTTGCCTCACAGTCCTGAGATAAGCCCCACAGAACAGGCTTCCTATCTCCCTGGGTGTTGCCTCCACCCAGCGTCACTCCTCAGCCCCTGGCCCGAGCCAGAGAAGACCAATCGCTTCAGGGGAGTCTTTTCTGAGGGGGAAGGGAAGAAAGATACAGAAAGCTGAAAGCTTCTCCCAGCTGACCACTTCTTGGGAGGTGGCCACAGGTGACATCTTGTGGGAAAACGTGTTTCCTCACCTGAGAGGCTCCCTAGATTAGGAAACAGTAATGACAGGCCAATGAACTTGCCCTTGCCCCCCGTAGTTCCCTAGAAGGCCCCACTAGATAGATACACAGCATTCTTCTTCAGTGGTTTATCAGACGAGACAAGGTCAGCCACAGCCCTCCTATGGAACTTGAAGACGACTGCATCTAGGTCCCCTAGAATACAGAATAGGCTTAGTAAATGTTTGATGACTAAATGATTTTTAAGAGTGAGAGAAAGCGTAAATGAATTAGCATGTGATTAAATGGATCAATTTAGTGAGTGAATAAATAGAAAAGTATGAATCAGAGTTAGTAAACAAATGAGTTTGTAAAAGAATAAACTTCTAAGTGACTAAATGAATGAATAAATGAGAGGAGGAAAGAGTAACAAAATTATTAAATGGGTACATGATTGAGCACGTGAAAAAAATAATGCATGAATATGTGAGTCAATTAAATGAGTGTGTGGACAATGGATGGATGGATGGATGATGAACACATTCACGACTTCTTAGAGAAAGACTAGAGCGCTAAGTTGTGGACTCTAGTGAGGCCAATAACTAGGTCTGTTTTAGTCCTTGCATTATGCCCATCCCCTAGTACAGTGCCCTATGCATGCTAAGAATTCTGATAGGTATTTGCTAATGAATAAACAGAAGGATAAATAGACATCCTCCTGGCTTCAATACACAATACACGGTACTAAAATCTTCACTGGAGTGCAGTGGCACAATCACAGCTCACTGCAGCCTTGACCTCCTGGGCTCAAAGTATCCTCAAACCTCACCCTCTGAGTAGCTGGGACTACAGGCACATGCCACCATGTCTGGCTAATTTTTACATTTTTTATAGAGACAGTGTTTGCCATGTTAACCAGGCTGGTCTTGAGCTCCCAGGCTCAAGTGATCTGCCTGCCTCAGCCTCCCAAGGTGCTGGGATTATCGGGATGCTCATAGTATCCAGGTGCCTTTGTGCAATATTCAAACTGTACCACCAGACACAGAGTCCCAAGAGACAGATGGGGTGATAATAGAGATAGACAAGGAGGAAATGTTCACTTCACATTTCAGACTCAGCCTGGATGCCATTCCACACCTTTGTCTTATGGAGTCAAACAGATGTGGATTCAAATTCAAGCTTCATTGTCTACCCCATGATTCCTGTCTTTCTCTTTCTCATGACTCTTTCCAGAGGAAACAGACTTCCACACCACAATCCTGATCAAAGCATCTCCTGCCATCTTGACAGAATCATAGCTGTCATCAAAGATGTTCCTGTGTCCCAGGAAGGGGAACATCACACACCGGGGCTTGTCGTGGGGTTGGGGGAAGGGGGTAGGGATAGCATTAGGAGATATACCTAATGTAAATGATGAGTTAATGGGTGCAGCACACCAACATGGCACATGTATACATATGTAACAAACCTGCACATTGTGCACATGTACCCTAGAACTTAAAGTATAATTTAAAAAAAAAAAAAAAGATGTTCCCGTGTCCTTCTGTTGGCCAGGCTTGGGCTGTTTCCAAGCAAAGCAAGCTTTCAGGCCTAAGCCTCTGCCATCAAGGAGCTGGGTGCTGAGAAGTGATTCCCTGGAGGCACTGTTTACAGCAAACAGCCCACACTTCCTTTGGAGACAAGTCAGAGGGTTCACCTGCTCTGCCCATTTGTTATGTGGCCTTGGGGAAGTCACTTAACCCTGCTGGTCCTCCAGGCTGTAAAAGTATTAGGACCAACCAGATGGTCTTTCTGGTCTAATGGGGAGAGCACAGGACTGAGAGTCAGCACGTCCATACAGACTACTTGTTAGTTTTGTGATCTTGGGTCCAGTCCTGATTCCCTGAGCCTCAGTTTTCTTACCTGTAAAATGAGAATAATAATTTCCCCTCCCCTGGGTTATAGAGAAGCAAAGGGGTATAGAGGAACTTTAAGAGACCTCTAAGGTATACAGAGGCCAGGCTGGATTGTTGTGGTCTGAGATGCCTGTCATCAATGAAACCTTCAGCTTGGCTTTGGTCTCTAGAACTTAAAACCCACATAGTGCATCAAGACGGTTACTTGGTCTTGGGTTGCTTTTGCTTTGAGGGCTTTTTTTCTTGTTTGAATAAACTTTTTGTTTAAGTTAGAACCATTTTCTCATTTAATTGTCCTTCAACTGAAGAACACTTATTGAACACCTAGCACACGCCAGGTCCTGCTCAGGGCATGAGAAAACCAGATTGTCATAACAAGTAGCATTACCTGAAGGCATTTGCCATACAGCAGGTAAGACTATGAATATTTTATATGCAGGAGGTCACATCATCCTCATAACACCCAATAAGGGAGCTATTCTTATTATACCCATTTGTCAGATGATAAAACTGAGGTAAGAAAGATATCATGGTTTTTTGGCCAATGATGTTATCAGTCTGTCATATATCAGTAATGAAGTTCCATGGATGTTAAGAACAAGTAGTGGGGATAACAAGAGGATATTTTTTTTCATCACTACCTATTAACACATACATCTTCCCCTCTAGATGGTAATCTCCTGGAGTAACATATTAACCCTGATATGCCATGTCTTAAGTTGTTTAATTCTTATAATAACTCATTGAAATTGGATCATTTTCCCTCTTTTTACAACTGAGGAAACTGAGGCTTAATAAGATTAGGTGGCTTGCACAAGGCCACGTGGCTGTATGAAGAGGCATGTTTGGGGCCAGATCTGCTTGACCTCAGAGTTTATGCCTGTGGCACCACATCTCACCCTTTCCTGCATCCACATGTCTAATAACCAACAGAGTGGGGTGGCAGAGATTGACACAGCCCAATGTCCATTCTCTCCTTCCTTAATAAAACTGGAAATTATGGCTGGTCACATGCTCATTTGAAATAAAGACTACATTCCCCAGACTTCCCTTATAGGTGGGTATGGCTTGAAACTAAATTCTGGCCAGAAAGATACTAGCAGTGGTGCACATAGCAACCTTCAAGAACCTTCTCTAAGACAGGGGTCCCCAACCCCAGGCCACAGACCAATACCAATCTGTGGCTTGTTAGGAACCAGGCTGCACAGCAGGAGGTGAGTGGCAGAGAAAAGGAGAGAAGCTTCATCTGTATTTATAGCCACTCCCCATCACTCACATTATTGCCTGAGCTCCGCCTCCTGTCAGATCATCGGTGGCATTAGATTCTCGTAGGAGCACGAACTCTATTGTGAACTGCACATGTGAGGGATCTAGATTGCATGCTCCTTGTGAGAATCTAGGCCAGGCGCGGTGGCTCACGCCTGTAATCCCAGCACTTTGGGAGGTCGAGGCGGGCGAGTCATGAGGTCAAGAGATCAAGACCATCCTGGCCAACACAGTGAAACCTCATCTCTACTAAAAACACAAAAATTAGCTGGGCATGGTGGCATGCACCTGTAATCCCAGCTACTCAGGAGGCTGAGGCAGGAGAATCATTTGAACCCGGAAGGCAGAGGTTGCAGTGAGCCAAGATCACGCTACTGTACTCCAGCCTGGGCAACAGAGCAAGACTCTGTCCAAAAAAAAAAAAAAAAGAGAGAGAGAGAGAGAGAATCTAATGCCTGATGATCTGTCATGGTCTCCCATCACCCCCAGATAGGGCCATCTAGTTGCAAGAAGACAAGCTCGGGGCTCCCACTGATTCTACAGTTTGGTGAGCTGTATAATTATTTCAATATGTATTACAATGTAACTGATATGATTTGGCTGTATCCCCACCCAAATCTCATCTTGAATTATAGCTCCCACAATTCCCAGGTGTTATGGAAGGGATCCAGTGGGAAGTAATTGAGTCATGGGGGCGGGTCTTTCTCATGCTGTTCTTGTGATAGTGAATACGTCTCATGAGATCTGATGGTTTTATAAGGGGGAGTTTCCCTGCACAAGCTCTCACTTTGCCCGCTGCCATCCATCTAAGACATGACTTGCTCCTCTATCCCTTCTGCCATGATTGTGAGGCCTCCCCAGCCATGTGGAACTTTAAGTCCATTAAACCTCTTTCTTGTATAAATTACCCAGTCTCAGGTATGTCTTTATTAGCAGCATGAAAACAGACTAATATAGTAACAATAATAGAAATAAAGTGGACAATAAACATAATGTGCTTGAATCATTCAAAACCATCCCCTTCCCCAATCCATGGAAAAATTGTCTTCCACAAAACCAGTGCCTGGTGCCAAAAATGTTGGGGACTGCTGCTCTAAGAGGCAGCTGACTCGAGTCCCTACTCCTTCTTCCATCTGCTGTGTGATGCATGGAGGTGCTGGCTGGAACACCACTTTGCCCCATGAGGGGACCAGGCATGCCAGGCAGAGCAACAAGATAGAAAGAACCTGGGTACCTAGGGATTTCACAGATCAGAGATGCCCTGCCTGACCTGAACTACCTATATCCAGACTAACATGAGAGAGAAATTCCCATATTGTGTAAGTCACTGTTCCTGGAGTTTTACCTTTATTCACAGATGAATTAATCCCAACTGAGAGTGAGTGTGAAGAGTTGGCTTTGGTTTTCTATGCTCCCTGTTATAGAATTCTACAAACACTTTCCCTGGGGCTTGCAATACCTCCCACTACAGTCGGTGGAATGTATCTCCCTGGCCTATTGATGATGGGCCTGGTGGTGCGAAGAGCTTTGGGAAATGAAATAATAGCCGATTTGATTGGACCAGGGCCTTTAATGTCTCTGCATGATTTTGCTTTACCTTTACCTCTTGCACTTCTTTAATCTACCATAAGATGATAATGTCCCGGGCAGCCCCTGCTCCTTCAGCTTAAGCTCAGAATAAAGACATAGAAAGAGAAAGAAATTCAACTAGAGGCCTGAGTCGAGCCTGCCTGGCCAAGGCAAAGCTAGATCAGCTGAAGTACAGCCAATCCGCAGACCCACAAGTGGGAAAAATAAACATATGCTATTGTAATGCCACTGAAATTTTGAAGGATTGCTTTTTTCTACAGCATCGTTTTATAGTTAATATAGCAGTTAATCAATACCTTATTCATTGAGTTCCTATGATATACAAGCACGGTGCAAGGCGTTATGGATACAGTGGTGAATATGGATGTCCCTGCCCTTATGCAAGACACTGTGGAGTCATGATCAAAACAACACGGGCAGAACTGGCTTCAAATCCCAACTCCACCACTTCCTAGCCAGTGACCTCCAGCGACTGATTTAACCTCAGTCTCTGGCCTCCCAGGGTTGTCACGAGGATTAAATGAGATCAAATGTGTAAAGCTCCAGTACAGAGCATGTTACACAATAAGTACTCAGTAAGGGGTAATATTAGTAATAACCAATAGCTTTGCTCAAATAGAATAGCCACTTATACATGCAGGGAAATCAGACCTACTTTAACACATTCCTCTTTTCCATTAACACAATGATAGCCATGCCTACCAGGTTTTCCAAGGTAGTCCCAGTCATACTACCCTTTTCCATCATTCTCAAGAGTCTGGCTGAACTCTCCATGACTGTGCCGCTTATGGAGCTGCCATCCTTAATGGGCTTGCCCTGGGCCACACAAGCACCAGTCACTTTTTCTTCCTCATTAGTCCCCTGGCCTGTGGGTCTGCACTCTGCTGCCTGAACTTCCAGGTAGCAAATAGGCCCAGGGAGAAACAGGTTATTCACCCAAGGTCACCTCACAAGGCAGCCTCAGAACAAGGGTTATAAAACTATCAAGAGAGGAAAGGAGGGAAGGTGAGGAAGCTATGAGAGATGGTGCCTGAATCAACTGGCATTGGGTCAATTGCTCTGTAGCAAGTGATTTCTGCAGAATTAGATTAGTCATGCAGACACCTGTCTCCTTCAGAAACAACTGCAAATATGAAATCACTTTTTTAAGTCAACACATGTGATATGTATAATTAGGTGCACATGCGTATCTATGGACCCAGAGAAAGACAGCAGAGATAAGACAAAGGGAAAAAAACAAGAAGATGACAAGGTTTCAATCTGGGGGATTGCATCAGAAAATATAAATAATACCCCCTTCCCCCAAAAATGATTTATGAAAGTAGCAGCCCAGTTATTTGAAAATTAGGGTCATGCTCTTTTCTGATAAATCCAATGACCTTCTTTTTATTTCACTTTTGTGCAAATAAGTTTTTTCCTTTCTGAAAATTTTCTATTGCTATTTTGCTTATATAGCAAAGATTTTAGACAGTCACTATATTTTTTATTTTACTTTTTCTCTTTCATCTTTATTCTCTCTCGCTCTTTTGATTAATGTATTTGGTTTTTATTGTATATCTTTAAGGTGCAATGATCACCTCTCAGTGGCCAAATTTTTCAGCCCCTCCTCAGGCCCTTCCCTCCTTGGCCTCTGCTATGCCAGGCCCTGCTGGGCACCATCTCTCCTGCGACAACCACAGTCCTTACTTCCCTTGGCTTCATGATGTCACTCTCTCCGGGGTCATCTGCCACCTCTCTGACCACGCTCTCTCACTCTGTCTTTTTGATGATCCTTTTCCACCCTCACCTGAAATGTTGCTGTTTCTCTTGGTTCCTCTCCTGACCTTGCTTCCATCTTTCCCACAACTCTGTGCTTGTGCTGCTGCCTCCCACTCTCTCCCCACTGGAATGTCAAATCTGTTCAGGGCTTGACTTGGCTTACACTCTCACCACTCTAGAAATGGTTCCCAAGTTTTTATCCAACACCAAGTGACTCTTCTGAGCCATGCACACAGCTCCCACTGTTTCATCTCCTAACTCAGGGGTCAGCACATTTTTTTTCTGTACAGAAACAAATCATACATTTCTAGGTTTTGCGAACCATCAGTGCCAATCACAATTGTTCCGCTCTGCCATTGGGGCACAAAAGCAGCCACAGACATTAGTAACTGAATGAGCATGCCTGCATCCCCATAAAACATCGGTTACAAAAACAAACGGTGGCTCTTATTCTGCCTCCAAAGAAGAACTGATGGCTGTGATCAGTGAGTATTCCTCCAGCTGAATAAAGATGATCCCACTGGTCCTCTTACTTGTTGGCTGCACATTGGAGCCACCTGAGGAAATTGTAAAACTCCCAGTGCCCAAGCTGTATCCTAAACCAATGAACTCAGAACCTCTGAAGCTTCACAGGTGATTCTGACGTGCAGTGAAGGTTGAGACCCACATACTATCCCACCATTGCCAGCTTGATGAATCCCAGCCCCGTCAGCATGCACGGATTTAACAGGTGGTCTCTATTTATTTAAACTTACATCATCACCTAGGAAAAGTGTCAAGAAGTACCCTAAAGACCCTTTCCTCATAAGAAATTGTGTGTCTATTTTGTTTCTTTTTAATACCCTACCTAAAGACAACATGATAAAGTGGAAAGAGTACTGGACAAAGCGTACATTTTTAGGTTTTGCAGATACAAAAAAGTAATGGGAACACTTGCCTTCTGTTTACAATTCTGGCACTCACTCTCCGAATGATTCTGAGTGCACCATTTCACCATTTGCAAAATGAGGGGGTTGTAGTAGGTGGTTTCTGAAGTCTAGGTAGCTCTGATGGGCTATAATTTGTCTTCTCTGCCAATAGTTGTATTTATTACTAAAAAGTTAAACAGCATCATTAATATTGTATGTAATAGATGATTCATAATACAAAAATAACTGATGTTTACCTAGTGCTTTGGAATATTCAAAGCTGCTGTTTTCATATATATTGTCATGTTTTATCCCCACAACAACCCTTTAAGGTAGCTATTATTATGCCCTGTGGGAGGCAGTCTCTAAAGCGGTCTCCAGTGATCCTGGCATCCTGGTATTCATGCCCTTGTGTAATTCCCTCCTGTTGACTGTTGGCCTGGTGACTTGTTTCTAACAAACAGAACAGGGCAAAAGTTATGAGATGTCATTTCCGAAATCAAGTCTGTATTAGTCTGTTTTCATGCTGCTGATAGAGACGTACCCAAGACTGTGACATTTACAAAAAGAAAAGAGAGAGAGAGAGATTTAATTGTACTCACAGTTCCATGTGGCTGGGGAGGCCTCACAATCATGGTGGAAGACAAGGAGGAGCAAGTCACATCTTACGTGGATGGCAGCAGGCAAAAAAAGAGCTTGTGCAGGGAAACTCCTGTTTTTAAAAACCATCAGATCTCATGACACCCATTCACTATCACAAGAACAGCATGGGGAAGACCTGCCCCCATGATTCAGGCATCTCCCACTGGATCCCTCTCACAAAACATGGGAATTATGGGAGCTACAAGGTAAGATTTGGGTGGGGACACACAGCCAAACCATATCAAAGTCATGAAGGATTATGCTTTCCATCTTGTTCACACTCCCTCACTTGCCTTTAACTCATGCAGTCTGCCATACTGTGAGCTGCCCTCCATAGATATGAAGATGCCCACTGCACAAGGAAAGGAGGAGACCTCCGCCCAACAGCCAGCCTGGAACTGAAGTCCTCGCCTCCATATTATAATCCAAAAGGAATTGGATCTTTCCAACAGCCACATTAGTGAGCTTGGAAGTGAATCCTTCTCTAGCGAATAACCAGCCAACATCTTAGCTGCAGCTATCATGAGAGCCCTGGAACCAGAGGACCCAGCTAAGCTCCACCCAGATTCCTGACCCACAGAAACTGTGAGACAAGAATTTGTTCATTTGTTTTGGGACAGTAGGCATTGGGCTAATTTGTTATGCAGCAAAAGATAACTAATACGTCCCTGTTTGACACATGGGGAAGGGGAGCAGGAACTCAGTATGCCCATAGATTATGACCTTGATGGATAGTGGTTTTACTAAGAAACACTATTCAGATAACATCCCAACTCCATTTTGCTAAACCTTGTGTTTGACAGAGTAGGGCCCTTCTTACTGTCTGTGCTATAGAGAGGTATTTGGTCTTTGTCCCCAGTTCCTAGCACAGAGCTCCTAAAACCCTTGGAATTTCCTGAGTGATAAAGGTAATGGGAGTCCCTTTTGTTCTAATGAAGCGACTCTTGGTGGGCCCCTAGATGGCTTCCAGATGGGAACTAGTTGCCAGAAAGACTAAGCCTTGATTAGAAGCTTGAAATTTTTAGCCTCTTCAACCTCCAGGGAGGAGAGAAGGAATACAGAGTGAGTTCATCACCAAAGGTGAATGATTTAGTCAATTGTGTTCATGTAATGAAGTCTCCATTAAAAACCTCTAAACAACAGGATTGGGAGAGCTGAAATGGCAGCTCATCCCAGCTCCGCAGGGACAGAAGCTCCTGTGCTCAGGACGCTTGCAGACCTTGCCCTAGGTCCCCTCTTCATCTGGCTGTTCATTTGCTTCCTTTATAATAAAGCAAAAATGGTTACGTGAAGTGTTTTCTGGAGTTTTGTGAGCCATTCTAACAAATCATCAAACCTGAAATGCGCAGTTGGTTGTGTGAACCTTCCAGGCTTTGTAGCGAAGTTGGACAGCAGTGTGATCACCTGAGGAACTGGTGCTGTGACTGGCATCTGAAGCGAGGGCAGTCTCGTGGGACTGAGTCCCTAAGCCTGCGGCGTTAGTGTCCAAATTGAATTGAAATGTAGGACGCCCAGTGGGTATCCAGAGAGTTGGAGAGTTAGTTGGTGAGAGAAGAAAACCCACACATTTGGTGTCAGAAGTGTTGTGAGTAAAAACAGCTCCCACCCCTAACAAATCCATGAGCATAGGGCCTAGTGGGAGATAAGAAGAATGTTGCCTCAAATTGGCAAACTCCCAAGCCTATGGGGAAGATGGGGAGAGAGGGAGGCTGACAACCAGCTCTGACCTTCGGGAAAACTTCCCATGAGTCATCTCCAGAACCTGTGGGCTTTGGAGCCCTCCGCAGCCGTAGGCGTCAGAGGTCACCACCCCATCTCCACCAGAGCATCTTCCTGAAGTGAGGAGAAAGCCGTGGGCTAGCCACTGAGTTAGCATCTATCTTCTCTTTCATTTGAACTCCACCTTGCGCTTTCTCGTGCAGTGTCCTGAAAGAGCTGGCATCCTTACCCACTTGACAGGTGAGAGAGTCCTTGGCACCACTTAGCCTTCTGAGGCTTGTAGAGGTCATGCTGGCTACTCAAGGTCATGCAATCAGAGGCAGTAGCAGAACTGGAAAGCAGGTTTCCTGTCCCACGGTGGCCCAATGTATTTCTCCTAACACCAGCTGTGTGTTCGCTCCCAAGAGCTAAGCAGCAGAGGGGGTGGGATACTTTGAAAGAAACAACCCCAGGGAAAGGGCAAAAAATGAAGACTGTGCAACTTGAGGCACTGATGCATTTTGGGGCAGAGATATTTTGAGGCTATAAGGTTGTACTGTGCTACTCAAGCCAGGGAACCTCATGCACGCCCTCCTTATCCTGTGCTTAAGCATGTCCTAGACTCTTTGGAAATCAGTGGGATTGTAGGTCCATTTCCCTCCCCTAGAACTGGGAGGGGAAGGAGGATGACATCAACTCTTAAATATCATGGAGCCTTTGCTATAAAAACACATCACAACCAGGGGCTGGGGGGAGAGAGGAATGGATGATACTGTTTTATGGTACAGAGTTTCCATTTGGGATAATGAAAATGTTCTCAGATGGATCATGGTGATGGTTACATAATAATGTGAATGTACTTAATGCCACTGAACTGGATGCTTGAAAATAGATAAATGGTAAGTTTTATATTATGTATATCTTACTCCAGTAAAAAGAGCAAGAGAGAGAAAACCAAAAATAAAACGAAATTACAAGTTCCCTCTCGAGCCAGTGGGAGGGCTCCGAAAAAGATGCTATGTCCTCTGTGGAGTGAGGATTCTCGGAGACCTTCTCAAACCCAGAGGCCACAGAGGAAGCTATGCCTTTATCCCAGCAAGACTGGCCTGAACTGCTCCACAGCTCCACAGTGTAAGAGAGACAAGCAAATAAACAGCTGCACAAAGCAGGAATGAGGTCAGAATTTCCAAGATGGCGACTCAGGGAATACCAGGGATGGGAAGACTCTTAAAAAGTCATCTGGTCCAACCCCCTCATTTTATAAGTGGAAGAATTGAGTCCCAGAGAAGGGAAGCGCTGGCCCACACAGGCTGTCAGTCCACAGAGGAGCCAGAAGCCATGCAAATGCACCTGGGTTCAAATCCAGCTCTGGTGTGCTGTGGGACTGCTGCACTGACCTCACCTCTCCAATCCTCAGCTTATCCATCTCTAAAAAAAAAAAAAGAAGAAGCATACTGTGTCACTCATCAAGGTTTTGGGGAAGAGGTCAATGAGAGTGGGCATCTCAAGAGCTATAGAAAGGGCCTGGTCTGCAGTGGGCACCCTCTCCCCACCTGGTTCCTCTAAAAGCTTTTGTCTGGACTCTCAGCCATTGCTGCCCCTGCTCTTGTAGCCAACAGAGTAGGAAGTGGGGAGACAGCCTGACCCAGGCATCACCACACCATGGGGACAGAGTCATCTACTGAGCAGGGCCTGAGAGGAAGGGACGCCCAGAGCTGGCAATGTCTGGGGGTCTAAAAGCTGGTTCCATTCCCTTGGAGCCATTCCGAGGATACATCGTTGCCCACCAGAGTCTCCTTCTTCCCCAGGGGGCTGGGACTTCTGCACCCACAAAGAAGGAAGATGGGTCTGGGGCACACAGAGCCAGGTGGTCTTCTAAGGGTTTTGCCACCATCGTCCATTCAAACCTCACCCCAACCGAATGAATGAGGGCAACAACACTTTCATTTTGTAACCGAGGAGGCTGAGATGGGGAGGCTGGGAAGCCTGACCAGCCTCCTAAAGCCAGGAAACAGTTGAGCACAACTTCAACCCAGAGTCCCCAGGAAGAGGAGACAAAACTGGATTTGTGTTTGGTTCCCAGCTCTATACCAGGGCCAAATGATCACGGGCGGGTCATTTCAATTCCTAGACTCAATTTCCTCACCTGTAAAAGGACATTGATAACATGGGCCCCACCTGGCAGGTGAGAGGATTCTCGTGGGATTCTCACTCGAAAGCACCTGGCAGACAGGCTCAGGAAATGACCGTGGCTCTTTCCTTCCTCGAGGGGTCACCCCAACACTTCCGCATGCCCCCACCCAGGAGCCCCGCTCGAGCCCGGGTTTGTTGACACCACATCCGGGCCTGCGTGGTGTTGTCACCCGCATTGCACCACCACACCTCACCAGTGACATAACCTCTCCAGTCTCTCCCCCAACCCAGGCTGGTGCAACCCAGGCTCTGCTGACACATCCTTGTTGAAATTCGAAACCAGATACTGTTTGCTTGCTGGTTTGTTGGAGAGCAAAGCCAAGTCTAGCCTCCTTTTCTCTTCTCTCTTTCTCTTTCTTTGCCTTGGAAGCCTGGGAAGACTGCTGGGAGCCAGGAGCTAGGAGTGGACACACATGTAGCAGAGCCAGGCCCAGCCCATCTGGCACATCCCATGGGTTCCTGAGGCAAGATGGCATGAGGCACGAGGTGCATACAGTAAGGTGGTGGTGTGGGTAAACAGGCCTGCCAGTTGAAACCCATTTCTCAGCCATGAGAGCCCAAGAAGGCTTGACAAATAGAGACGGAGCCAGCCTGCATTCCTAAGAGCAAGTCTCTATTCACTGACACATGCCAACCTATTTTTTGAGCACTATGTCCTAGGGTCATTTGCTGGGGACACTGTCATGATTAAGGCCAGATCAGAAGTTTCAGCCTCACGGCCGCACATTCTAGAAAATCGCACAGACAATAGCCAGCTAAACTTACAATCAAACGAGAGTGCTTCTGATTGTGAAAGGTGTTTTGCAGGAAACAAAAGTGCTGATACGATTATAACTGAGGCAGGGGAATGCTGAGTGGGGTGCTGAGGAGGTGACAGTGAGCTGAACCCCAGAAGATGAGAAGAAGCCAGCAGTGCAAAGAGCTGGGGGTAGAATTTTCCAGAAAATGTTCACCAATGCAAAGTCCACAAGGTAGTGAGAAAGGCTGGCTGGCTTGCTCAAAGATTAAGAAGGGGCTGGACTGGCTGGCGTATGCAGGGTGAGGGAAAGGGGTGAGGCCTGAGATGCCTCCAGGTGCCAGGTCATGCTGGACATGGCAGGAGTTAGGACTTGATTTGGAGGGAGATTTTAAACACATTGTAGGATCCTTCCCTTCCTGGAGCCTTGGGTCCCAAATGCCTGGGGGACAAGGGTAACCAACACAACTCTTGCTCACAGGCACAGGAAGGAACCGCAGAGTCTGTCCAGATCAATGCCCTTCCACTTTGTAGATGGGTAACAGCCCAGAGATGGGAAGGGACGTGCACAAGATGGGAATGGGCGTGCCCATGGTTGCACCGTGTGGTGTGGCAGAGCAGGAACTGGAACACAGGCGGCTGGAAGTGAAAGTGGAGCTCAGGCTTTTTAGCAGTTACTATGTGTGATTTCCTTTTCATCATCACATCAACCCCATTTTTTTTTTTCAGATGAGAAAGGGAAAGTGACCTCCTAAGATTCCACAGCGAGAGGTGCTAGGGGAGCCAGGCTCCAAATTAAGGTCAGCACCCAAACTCTTTCCACTGGGCTGCCTTGGATTTACATAGATATCCCTACAGTCCCAAGCTGCTAAGTCCAGACCTAGCACTTACTGAAAGCTGCTGGCAGTTTCTCTGGGAAATACCATGAGTTACAAGCAGATGAAACAAATGAGCCAGTTGCCCTCACGCATCAGTCCATTAAGAAACAAATGGAAATACATTTTTTAAAAAGTAATAAAAAGGCAGGGTGCGGTGGCTCATGTCTGTAATCCCAGCACTTTGGGAGGCTGAGACAGGAGGATCACTTGAGCCCAGGGGTACAAGACCAACCTGGACAACATAGTGAGACCCTGTCTCAATAAAAAAAATTTTAAAAATTATTTTAAAAAAGAAATAAATGAATGCTTTTTAAAAAAATAGATCAAGGAAACCATTTATAAATATATACTACTATATGTATACTTTCCATAATCAAACATAGCTCTGAGAATATATATTGAAATGGGCCTAGGGCAGAATTTTTCTGTGTGAGTCATCTGCTAGATCTTGCTCCCTGTAGTGCTGTGGACCTCAAACTTTAGCCGCATCAAATTGGGAAGGTTTGTTAAATCACAGATTGCTGGATCTTATACTCAGAGTTTCTAATTCAGTAGGTCAGGGGTGGAGCCTGAGGCTTTGCATTTCTTGCGAGTTCCCAGGTGATGGTGATGCTGCTGGTTTGAGTGCCACACTTTGAGAACCACTGCTATAGTGGATGCTGTGGTGCCCTACCCAGATGAATCTCCCTTAGGGACAAAGGCTGGCTCAGCTCCCAGGAGTGTTGGCTGCTAACGGCTCAGAGCCCAGTCCCTCCCCAGGAAGCGCCCTTCACTGAAGGGCACTGCCTCACCCAAAGTCATGTCCCCTCACTGGCAACCCACGACTAGCAATGTAGAAGTTCAGAGGCCTCAGTCTGAGAGAATTCTGCAGGATCATCTCAGCTTCAGGGTCCCCCATGCAATCGACTAAGGCCTCTTCTGTGACTGCATCAGAGAGTTGAACTCTGCATCAGAGTTCAACTTCTCCCACTGGCCAATCTGAGATTCTTCACCCGCTTGCAGGTGTTGTTTCCAAAGCACTCCCCAGTAAGTACCCAGGATCTAGATTTCTGTCTCAAAGTTTATTTCTTGGGATACAAGAATTAAGACAGTTGGTATCAGAAGTGGGGTGGTCTAAGGAGCAGACTAAATGAGACTTTATAACTGGATCATCCACTCACTGGCTGGCGGACATCACTGAGGTGACAGGATGGTGGTAGGTGGAGTATGAACAGCCCTTGGGGTGATAGAGTGACATAAATGTGAAGCCTTTCACTGGTGGTAAATTGGGATGGACTACTTGGGGAAGGGAATGAACCAACGGGTGCAATATCTCAGGCTTTTGAGAGGTTTGGATGAAGTACTAACTATAATGACAACAAAATGGGGTGGCTTGCTGAGTGCTACTAACGTGCTACAGAAAGACAATGGAAATTGCCAGCATAAGGCAAAGCATCAAAGTCAGAGGGCCTCTTTGGTAGCATGTACAGAGTTCCCCTCTCCTGCATCCAAAGGACAGAAAAGGCCCAGAAGCAGGCCCAGGTCTTAATTATGAGGGTAACAGAGCACCAGAAAATTCTCAACCTGGGTAATTCTGTCATGCCAAGGTTAGGGCTTCGATTAGAAAGAAGTGGGGCCCTAAGCTGTTGGATAGGGACAGTAGGGTTCATGCCCTCAAGAATCCTTAAACTCCCAGATACTCAGGACTCTCTGAGCCTGCAGAAGTGTCCCAGGACTCCTAGTAAATACTAGCACTCCCTCCTAGCTTAAAAATGATACAGAAGCTTCTATGTTACATGAAAATAAACACCCCCTTCACCTCTCAGTTTAGACCCCACTTTACCCCCTGACTGCCAAATCCATAACTAGAGCCAAGTTATAGCATTATCCAGCCAGAAAATACTGGGCCTGGTAGACTTCTGTGATAGCAAGGGGGATGATAGGATCCCAAAATAATAGATGCCAGATGGCACTTAACCATCAAAGGGAAGATGATTGCAAATATTGTAATGAGCAGCCAAGTCACCAAAGCAGCTGGGGGCCTGACCCACAGACAGCTATGGAGATGATTAATAGAACACGACATTCCTGAAGCCTAGCTAGACAGGCAGCTAACAAGGGAATTGCTCAATCTATGCAGTCAAAATAAACCAAGACTCAGGATCCCATGCCAAGCTTCTAGACCTGAACCTATTTTCAGACATGAAACCCATTGACTGAAGAAAAGACCAAACCTCCAGGTAGAAAGACTCTGCACAACCATGTCAAAGTATCTCCCAGCTTTTATTCTGTTCATAGTCAGAAATGTTAAGGACTGTGGATACATGGTCTGAGTTGATACATGGAGATCCAAAATATTATTTTGGCCCTTGTTCGAATGGGAGTGTATGGAGGCCAGGTAACAAATGGAGTCCAGACTCCAGTCCAGGTCACAGCCAGGTCCATGGACTCACCCAGTAGTCTTTCCTCAGTTCCTCGTATACAACTGAAATAAACATACTCGGTAATTGGCAAAACCCCCATGGCTTATGAGACAAGAGCTATCAAGGTGGGGAGAGTGGGTTCCGAAGGTGAAACTTGGGAAACTGCCTCAACCCACCCGCCACTAACAAAGATAGTATTAGATTGGTGCAAAAGTAATTGTAGTTTTTGCATTGAAAGTAATAGCAAAAACCACAATAACTTTTGCACCAACCTAATAAATCAAAATCAGTATTGCATCATGAGGGAATGGTAAACATCAGTGCCACACTGGAATGACCACCTGGACATTCCACAAAACATTGCATTGGTCAGCTTTATTAACATGACCCTATTAATCAGCAAGCAATGAGCAAGAAGTGGCAAGTATCTTGGAAGTAATGAGTAAGTAATGAATAAGAAGTGACAAGTACCCTGGAGGATTTATTTATTTATGTATTTATTTATGTATTTATTTATTTATTTTGAGACGGAGTTTCACTCTTGTTGCCCAAGCTGGAGTGCAATGGCGTAATCTCAGCTCACCACAACCTCCGCCTCCCAGGTTCAAGCGATTCTCCTGCCTCAGCCTCTCGAGTAGCTGGGATTACAGGCATGCACCACCATGCCCGGTTAATTTTGTATTTTTAGTAGAGACCATGTTAGCCAGGATGGTCTCAAACTCCCGACCTCAGGTGATCTGCCCACCTCAGCCTCCCAAAGTGCTGGGATTACAGGCGTGAGCCACCGCACCCGGCTTTCCCTAGAGGTCTTGACAAGACATAAGCACTCCAGAGGATGAGAGTGAAGATTCAGGGTCCTGCCATATCAGCTTTAATGGATTCCTGGAAAGGCCAGGATATCCCCTCCAAAGTAAAGGGCAAATTATTATATCTTGCACCTCCTACCACAAAGGAAAAAGCACAATACCTGGTAAGCCTCTTTGGGTTCTGGATTTAGCATATTTCACACACTGTAGTAATAATCCATGCCAATTACCAAGTGACACAGAAGACTGCCAGCTTTGAATGAAGCCTAGTGCAGAAAAAGGTATGCAGTAGATCCTGGTTATGGTATAAGTAACCCCCAGTACTGGAGCCATAAGCCCAGTTAAAACCCATGGTCTTACAGGTAAGTCTGAAGGGGGAAAGATGCTGTGAGGAGTTTATGGCAAGCCTCAGTAGAAGAATCACAATGTGCACTCATGGGTTTTTGTCATAAAGCCACGATATCTGCAGCTCCTGGTGTGCCACTGGACCCTAATAGAAATAGAGCACTTGACTAAAGAATATCACATGACTATGTAGCTGGAAGTGCCCATCATGAGCTGGGACCTTAGACATGATTTAATCCATCCCACTGGTTTGATAGATCAGGTATCTGAGATTCCGCAAGAGGAAGCAATTTACTTTTAGGAAGGCTTTTGGGTGAAAGTAACAGAACTCAATCAACAAAGACTTAAATGAGAGTACGTTTTTTTCATATAAGAAGTCCAAAGGTAGGTGGTTGCTGCAGTGACCCAGCTGCTTATAGATGCTGTCAGAACCCTGGATCATTCTATCTTTCTGCTCTGCCAAGCTTAATATGGATGGGACCATCATGCCTGCTGCCTCATGGTCATAAGATGGTCATTGCATCTGGTGGAAAACAGGGGTGCCAGCTTCCTCTATCTCTTCTATCAAAAATCAAAGCCCCCTTTATGAGTTGTCTATTGCTACATAACAAATTGCCCCAAACTTAGTGATCTGAAACACTTTTTTTTTTTTTTTTGAGACAAGGTTTCACTCCCATCTCCCAGGCTGGAGCACAGTGGCAGAATCTCATCTCACTGCAACCTCCGCCTCCTGGGCTCAAGCAATTCTCCTGCCTCAGCCTCCTGAGTAGCTGGGACTAGAGGGAAATGCCACCACACCTAGCTAATTTTTGAATTTTTTGTAGAGACGGGGTTTTGCCATGTTGCCCAGGCTGGTCTCAAACTCCTGAGCTCAAGTGATCCACCTGCCTCAGCCTTCAAAGTGCTGGAATTACAGGCATGAGCCATGGTGCCTCTGGCAGGTCTGAAATACTTTCTATCTCAGTTTCTGTGGGTAAGGATCTAGTATGGCTTACCTGAGTCCTCTGGGTCAAAGTCTCTTACAAAGCTACAATCAAGATGTCAGCTGAGACCACAGCCATCTGAAGGTTCAACTGGGGCAGGATCCACTTCCAAACTTTCTCAGTGTTGTTGGCAGGATTCAGCTCCTCACTGGCTGTTGGCCAGAGGCTTTCCTCAGTTCCTTGCCAGTTGGGCCTCTCCATGAGACAGTTTACAACATGGAGGCCTGCTTCATCAAACCGATCCAGGGAAGGAGTGTGAGCGTGCTGGCTAGATGGAGGTCCTCTGTAACACAATCATGGCAGTGACATTTCTCCAAGGGAAGCTGGGAAATCACACACCTAGCAAAGGGAGCAGGAAAGCCATGCTGGGATTAGACCAGTCATTCTCCTCAGCTGGGTTCTGTCGGCAACTCAACTTATATCAGATTACCAACTAGAGATGACCATCACACAAGGTTTTCTTCCAGAGCACCAGGATTGACCAAGACAGATTCTTCTCGCTCAGCCTTGCCCCCAGCCCTGTATCTCCAGAGGAGACAAGTTTCAGGGCAAGGCAACTAAGCTACAGTTTGGAATTTCCACACACCATAGCTCCATGCAAGAAGGGAGGACACTGAGTTTTCCAAACTAAGACAACTTAGGCTTCTGCAGACAAAACAAAGGACAGAGTTATGGAAGAGATCCACGATTCCTATTCTGACTGGAAACACTTTGGCAAGGGCCCTGCTGGCTCCCTCTTTCAGCCCATTCTGAGCCAGAACTTCAGGGATGAAAGCAGTGGGGATCCTTTTCCTGGACAGCCCTTGGCAAGGCACATGAACAAGTCACAAGCAGAACTGGACCTAAAATAAATAAGACCATATAGACCTGGGTTCGAGCCAAAACCAGGGTGAGAAGGATCCATGGAATGCCTGAGCTAGAGGGAGACCTGAGAGAAGCTTACTCAGTGGTTCCCAAAATGTGTTTCGTGAAACCTTAGGGGTTCCTATCCCTCTTCAACCAGCGAAAATCAGCCTTCTCATGTTTAATCTATAAGATTGCTATAAAATGTGTCATCTGAATAAAATATATTCTGGAAGAGGAAGGGAGGGAAGAAGGAAGGAAGGAAGGAAGGAAGAGAGGGAGGGAGGTAGGGAAGGAGCGAGGGAGGGAGGAAGGAAGGAAGCAAGCGAGGGAGAAAGTTATAATCTTGGTAGAGATGGGGTTTTGCCATGTTGCCCAGGCTGGGAAGGAAGGCAGGAAGGAAGGCTGGAAGGAAAAGAAGGAAGGAAGGAAGGAAGGAAGGAAGGAAGGAAGGAAGGAAGGAAGGAAGGAAGGGAGGGATTAGGAAGTTAGGAAGGGGAAGGACGGGAGGAAGGAGGGATTAGGAAGGGGAAGGAAGGGAGGAAGGAAGGAAGGGAGGGAGGAAAGGAGGAACATGCAGTTATAATCTTTAATCAAAAAAATCTCATACTCAGAGTTCACAAGAAGATATTATGAGTAAATCTTCCTGATATGGGCTAAATCATATGCCCCCAGAAGATATTGGAGGTCTATCCCCAGTACCTGTGACTGTGAAATAGGGAAATTTGGGTCTTTGTTGATAATTAAGTTGAGATGAGGTCATTGGCATGGGCCCCAGTATCCTTTTAAAAGGGGGCCAAGCGAACACAGAGAAGACACGAAGAGAGCACCATGTGAAGATGAGGGCAGAGAGGATGATGCGTCCACAAGCCAGGGATGCGAAAGATTTCCAGCAAACCACCAGGAACTAGGAGAAAGGCACTCTCAGACTTCTCGCCTCCAGAATCGTGAGAGAATGCATGGCTGTTTAAACCACCCAGCCTGTGATCCTCTGCAGCCCTAGGAGACTAACCACCTCCCTACCGCGAGGCCTGGCACTAAGACATCGTGTGACAAGCACAGACCCCCTCCTCCTTCCCTCTTCAGGCAAAGCTGGCAATAGAGAATCTGATGGGGGTGATCGTTGGAAATCTACAATGGCAGGTGGCATCACGGAGGTTGTGATCAGATGCCAAGACCTCATGTCGGTTCAGGGATGTGGATTTAAGGATGAGATGCAGGCTGATATTCAACCAATACGCACCTGTAAAGGTGTTAAAATAATGACATACTCTCATACCTAAGTGGCTAGTTGCCACTGTCCCAAGCCTGGCAAAGGCACCGTCCATCCCAGCCACTCTGTCCCCTCCCCAGCACCCCCAGACCACCCACCTTTAGCATTCAAAGGGCCAGTGCGTACCGCAGAAGGGGAACTCTAGGATTTGGCCAGTGTTCATTCTAATTGGTCACTACCTGTGCCAAATGGCTTGTTTAATATTTGAATAGGACTCTGGCCCCAAACGGAAGTGGAAGAACAAGGCAAGACCGAGGTGCTCAGAGGAGCGCAGGACAACAGGATCCCAGTGCCAGAGCTCAGGATAGCCAGGGCCAGACTAGCAACAAGGATGACAGGGCCAAGTCCCTGAAGACAGCCCTGAGGGCTTCAATCCCCAGGATGTGGCCCAGCTCAGCCTGCAGATTTGGGGAGAAGGGAGATGAAGGCCACATGCCAGGCTGGGGTTGTCCAGGAAAGTCCTTCCCCTCTCTGGGCCTCAGTTACCCCAACTATAAAATCAGTAGACTCTTGACTGCTCTGTGGCCCTCAACTTGAAAATGCAGAGAAAGGGCAAAGGCACCATCTCTTCTCCCCTACTCTCCTCTCCCCTTCCCTCCCCTCCCTCCCTCCCTCTCTTCTCTTCTCCTCTCCTCCTTCCTCCTGTGGCTCCTCTTACAAGCACCTGCCCTGCAGTTGAAGAAACACGTCCATGTGTTTGCACTTCAAGAATAGGTATACATAGGCCGGGCACGGTGGCTCACCCCTGTAATCCCAGCACTTTGGGAGGCTGAGGTGGGCATATCACCTGAGGTCGGGAGTTTGAGACCAGCCTGACCAACATGGAGAAACCCAGTCTCTACTAAAAATACAAAAATTAGCTGGGCATGGTGGTGCATACCTGTAGTCCCAGCTACTCTGGAGGCTGAGGCAGAAGAATCGCTTGAACCCGGGAGGCGGAGGTTGTGGTGAGCCGAGATCACACCACTGCACTCCAGCCTGGGCGACAAGAGTGAAACTCCATCTCAAAAAAAAGAAAGAAAGAATAGATATACATGAATAAAGACATCCTAAAATAATGAGAGTCACTGCTCACTGCTGCCTGGCAGTGTGGGGCAGGTGTGGGGTTGCTGGCCCAGAATTCCCAGAGGCCTGACAAGGTGTCCCCATCATACCTCATCCTACCACACTGCTCAGTGAGGGCTGTCCAGACAGGACATTCTGGGGAAAGCACTGCAAATCCAGCCCACTGGTTTCTACTGCAGCCTCCCTGGGAAGCAGATGAGGCAGCTAGGGGGTGGGAATGGAGTGTAGCCAGGAAGGGTGAGGGCGTGGCCATTTGTCAAAGTGACTTTGCTTCCACAGAAGAAACTATTCTGCTTCAAGAGGATTCCCAGCATATCCTAGCACTTAATAAAATGTTATTTATAGTTGGTGAGTTTGGAGCAGTACAGCCTAGAAGAGTGGTTTTCAAACCACTTTTGGCCATGAAATGTATTTTACATGGTGACACAGAACACCTTTATATATGTGCATGTATATATGCATGTGTGTGCAAATATATGAATCCAAGGTGTGTGTGTGTGTATGTGTGTGTGTCTGTGTGTGTGCAACTATATGAATCCAGGATGTGTGTGTGTGTGTGTATGTGTGTGTGTGTGTATACATGAACCAAATTTTTCAGAAACCAATCTTTACAGTTTGCCACGAGTAATGCACTCTTATCTTTTCCAGTCTATTCTTTTTTTTTTTTTTTTTTGAGATGGAGTCTCGCTCTGCTGGCCAGGCTGGAGTGCAATGACACAATCTCAGCTCACTGCAACCTCCCAGGTTCAAGCAATTCTCCTGCCTCAGCCTCATGAGTAGCTGGGATTACAAACATGTGCCACCAAGCCCAGCTAAGTTTTGTATTTTCAGTGGAGACGAAGTTTTGCCATGTTGGTAAGGCTGGTCTTAAACTCCTCACCTCAGGTGATCCACCCACTTCGGCCTCCCAATATTCTATTTTCTTTTTTTCTTTTTTTTTTTTTTTTTTTTTGAGATGAAGTCTCGCTGTGTCACCCAGGCTGGAGTGCAATAGCACAATCTCAGCTTACTGCAACCTCTGCCTCCCAGGTTCAAACAATTCTTGTGCCTCAGCCTTCCCAGTAGCTGGGATTACAGGCGCATGCCACCAAGCCCGGCTAATTTTTGTATTTTTAGTAGAAATGGGGTTTCAACATGTTGGCCAGCTGGTCTCAAACTCCTGACCTCAAGCTATCCACCCGCCTCGGCCTCTCAAAGTGCTGGGATTACAGGCATGAGCCACTGCACCCGGCCTCTATTCACTTTAAAATGATCATGATCTACTAATTGCTTTCATAACCCAATAGTTAACAATCTCCATTTTGAAAAATAGGGGCATAGAAATCTACTTGGGTTTGAATTCAGATTCTGCTACTTCCAAGCTGAGTGCCTTTAAGCAGGGCCCTCAGCCTCTGATTCTCGGTCTGTAACCTAGAGGTTTTAATCCCGCCTGCTGGAGAAGGTGGATGTGAGGATTAAACATATATAAAGCCCAAAGCATCACAGCTGGGCATAGCGAGCAGTCAGTAAAAGGCAGAGGTTGATATGATGTCACATGAGAAACTGAGACTCTCAGCGGAAGGAATGAGGATCCCTTGTCTAAGCCTCTAAAACCCTCATCTTCTCCACCCCTAACCCATCACACATGTATCCTTCCCTGCCAATGGCTGACAGCAACACAGAGCTCACTACCTTACAAAGGAGCCAGAGCAGCTGGGTCAGGTGCTGAGCCACACGCTTTAGAAGAGACATCCATGAATTGGGCACTAATCCTGCCCTGGAGGAGCTTAGATTCCAGAAATGAGTCATAAATCCAATTAGTATATAAACGGGTGGTGTCCTACACAGAGCAAAGACAACAGAACTAGAGTCCAAAGATGAAAGCTGTTCCTTCTAACTGTGGAGATCAAGGTAGTGCCCGACGGCAGGATGCAAGTCTACCTTGCTCAGCAAAGGAACCCCAGGGCTCACTACAGCCCTGGGCATGTAAGAAGTGCCTTATAGATACATATGGATTAAATCATTTAATACATCAAAAAGAAGATGGCCTGGGGAGAATCCAGACATACAGGAAGGGACAGAAGGAGGACATTCTAGGCAAGGAATTCCAAAAAGAGTAATTTCCAGGGAGATCCAGAATGACATTTAACTTTATGAATCCAAACCCATCCCAGGAAAATCCAAATTAATTGCCCTACCACCCCCTTATTCCCATAGTCCTGTATTGGCCAAGAAAAACTGAAGATGGAAAATAGGAGTCCAGATGTTGGAACTTGGATCCCAGTCCTGGGTCTTTCCCAAACAATCCCGGTGACCTTGGGCAAGTTATTCCCCTCAGCCCTCAAAAGAAGGATTTGGACAAGATAATCTCTAAAATCATTTTCAAGTCTATAGGCCCTTTTTTCCATGAGATCCTTTTTCTTGCCCTCTCTCTCTTCCAGCTATCCAGGGACAGCTCATTCTGAATTGCTATAATCATTTGTTTGGCCCATAAATATGAGCTACCAAGAGCTGGCTGGATCCAAGGTATTCTGTTTACTATTGATATGAAATAAATTATTCCAACATTTAATGGTGTAAAACAACCAACTACCATTCTATCTTGCTCATGAATTTACAGGTCAATAATTCAGAAAGGGCATGATGGGCAGCCCTTGCTTGGGAGCCTCTCACAAAGTTGGATCAATGCCAGTCAGAGCTGCTACACTCATCTGAAGCCTCAGTTGGGCTGGACATCTAGATTTGCTCAGTCACGTGAAATCTCAGTCCAAGATGGCTGGCAGCTGAGGCTGGCTCTTGGCTAGGTGTTTAGATGTGCCTCTCCAGCATGGTAGTCTTGGGGTTACTGAACTCCATGCAAGTTGGCTGGCTTCCTCCAGAGTGAGTGACCCAAGAGAATCAAGCAGAGGCTCCACGGGCTTTTATGACCCAGACTAGGGATCATGGAGCAAAACCTCTGCTGATTCTACTGCTCACGAGAGAGTCACTAAGGCCAGCTCAGATTCAAGGGGAGGAGACATAGATCTCTCCTGTCAATGGGAGAAGTGTCAATGAATTTGCAGACTTGTCTCAAGACTGCCACACCAGGCCTCAGTAGAATATGACAGAGCCATCTGTGGCCTTGGCCTTCCCTGCCAGCCCCATCTCCACGACCTCAGTGCCCTCATGCCATCCTGAGACACAATGGTCCCAGATCTTATCCTATTAGTTCCCTCTTCTCTTCAATCAAACTTTGCCTGCCCCACGTCCTATTCCTTCAAGATCTCAGTCTGTGCAAGATCCTCAGGGATCCTAATAGATAACAGAACACCTGAACCTTGTTTAATAGGCTCATCTCTGGAAGACCTCTCACTGAGTGACCCAAATAAGGCAATTACAGACACTGTGGCAGGTAAGGAGACGCGACACATATTTTGAATTCTGCTGGGTTTCTGATGTCCACTGACCTTGAATTTGGAGTATATAATGAAACAAAAGATCCATGAGATCAACAGAGCTACACATGGGGAAATATATCTGAGACTACTTCCTAATTTCTCTCTAAACCTGCACATGGTTTTAACACATGGTTGTCAGGCAGAACGCCCATCCAGATTTGAGCTGAGCCAAACTGAGACAGCACTATTTCCATCAGCAATACTCTGAATTAGCATTTATTGTATCTCCACCTCTTACCCAATATTAGGCCAGTAACGCAGTTGGCTAAGCCAAGTCCAAAGAAACTAGTTAGGACTGGAATTGGGTGGATGATATTTATAGGATACACTGTAATGGGTAACATGGAGTAGAATGGCGTGCACTGAAAGGGAATGTGCTCCACATTCACTCCTCAGGGTCTTGATAATTGCTTCCCTTTCTGGAATGTTCTACCTCACATATCTATATGGTAGGTCTTTCACTTCATTCAAGTCTCTGGTCAAATATCACCATCCTTGATGACCCATCACTCTCACATCCCCTTCCCTGATTTATTTTTCTGATCTCTACCATGAATATTTATATATATTTGGCTTATTCTCTGTCTTCCCCACATAAGAACATAAGTTTCAGCCAAGCGCGACAGCTCACTCCTGTAATCCCAGCACTTTAGGAGGCTGAGGTGGGTGGATCACTTGAGGTCAGGAGTTTGAACCCAGCCTGGCCAACATGGTGAAACACTGTCTCTGCTAAAAACATAAAAATTAGCCAGGCATGGTAGTGCGCGCCTGTAGTCCCAGCTACTTAGGAGGCCGAGGCAGGAGAATTGTTTGAACCCAGGAGGCAGAAGTTGTGGTGATCTGAGATCATGCCACTGCACTCCAGCCTGGGTGACAGAGCAAGACTCTATCTCAAAAAAAAAAAACAGAACATAAGTTTCATGAAAGCAGGGCCTTTGTCTTTTCCTGTTTACTGCTGTATCTGCCCTTCCTAGACCAGTTTCTGGTATACAGTAGGCCTTCAATAAATACTTTTTGAATGACTGAATCATTCAACAAAAGGAAAAGATAGAATGGAATCAGCTAGGTTGGGGTGGGATGGGGAGGGGCAGATAGTTCAAGATAAAAGGAAGCAAAAAAAAAAAAAAAACCAGAACATAAGTTTCATGAAAGCAGGGCCTTTGTCTTTTCCTGTTTACTACTGTATCTGCCCTTCCTAGACCAGTTTCTGGTATACAGTAGGCCTTCGATAAATACTTTTTGTATGACTGAATCATTCAACAAAAGGAAAAGATAGAATGGAATCAGCTAGATTGGGGTGAGATGGGGAGGGGCAGGTAGTTCAAGATAAAAGGAAGCAAAAAAAAAAAAAACTCAGTTCAGAGAAGAAGACTGGAAACATCTGGGGAGCTTTTATGCCACATAATGCTCAGGTCTACCCATAGATATTCAGATTCAATTGGCCTGGGGTGGGGCCCAAGCACCATTATTTTTAAAAGCTTTCTATGTGATTCATATTTGCAGCCAGGAGTGAGAAGCACGGTATTACCACATCCTGGTTATAGAAATAGGTTAACTTTAAACTCAGCTGTAAGGCTTATGCATAGAAGAGATACCAGCCAGAACCTAGAATCCCAACAGCCTGTCTGTAAGGGAGCAGGTTCACCAACAGCAGTAGCCACAGAAAATCTCTTGAATTTTTAACCATTACCCAACAGAGCATGTTATTCTGAGCAGGGTGTGTATGGAAACTCTCATCTCTCAGCTTCAATACCTGATGCTGCCATGGGTCCAGGCTCTCTGCTGGTGCATCCTCCGTGTCCTCTCTGCACACTATGAATTGGGCAATCCTAAAGGTCATTCCATCTTTGCAGAGACATAAATAGGACACCCTGGAACTTCAGTCTTCTCCAAGACAGACTGTCCCCCTTGTCTTTCTCCTGCTGTCCAGCTAATCGCAAAATCTCCCTCTGCTTTGGGCCAAACTAAGCAACATTATGAAGGAAACCCAAAGTCTGACATCGACAGTGACTTCAGGTTTTCCTCTCTCCAGTGCCCTTTGAGGCCCCCCAGCTTTTATCCAAATCTACTTCAGTTCTCTAGAAAAAATAATGACAATGATTGATGATGATTGATGATGATGATGATGATGATGATGATGGCAACTACTTTTTCCTGAGCTCTGACTGTAATAAATCTACCATACCTTGCTATGATGCTCACTTCACATAACAATAGCTAGCACTTACCAAGCATGCATTATACACCAGGCACTCTTCCTTTAATTTTGCATCTATTAGCTTATTAATCAACTCTATGAGAAGGCACTATTATCCTCATTTAAAGAGGAGAAAACTGGGGTACAGAACAGTTCAGTGACCTGCCCAAGAACACACAGCTGATCATTAACAGACCGAGGTCTAGGCCCCCGGCTGCAGAGTGGGGGTTCTTTACATTATATCCGGCTGCCTTGGGTAATCCTCGTGTGTTTAGATATTATTACCTGATTTGACAAATCAGAAAACTGAGGCTCAGCTATGTCCTAGGACTTTTTCCAAGCTGTGGTTTTGGTTTGGGGCCTCAAATCCAATACTGTCCGATTCTAAAGCCTGACGACTCCCAACCACCCTTCCACTCTCCCCCTTAGTTCTCATGCCGCTGAGCTTGGGGGAGCAAGGGGGGCCTCCCCTACCCCTAGCAGGTGTAATTTGAGCCTTTTCCTCGTGGTCAGGAATTTCTCATATGGGCAACCCAGAGAAGGGGTGGCCTCTGGATTTCTGGATTCAGACCCTGTGTGCCACCACTTGAAAGCAGTTACACTAGGCTGCGCCCACCCTAACTTTCTCCCTGGACCCCAGGAAGTGCAAGTGATTGCTCTAGACTGATGGAGGGTCAGGAGATTCCAAATGGCAGGCTCAGGTGGGTGAGAGAGGATCTTTGAGTCACTGAGAAAACCAAAGACTTGGGTCCCTGCAGCCCCCGCTCCCAGGTCCAGGCGACCGCACCCCAATACTTTGGAAATGTGTAATTCACACCCTCATCCTCCTCCCACAGACCTGGGGTTCAGGCTCTGCTGATTCATTTTGAGAAGCTCCACTTTCCACAGCAACATGAGGAAGGGCTGTCCCCCGCCGGAGCCATGTGTGTTTGCTATGATTCATCAGATCGTCTGCAATCTCCTCAAAAATAGCCCTTACGCAATCCAGGAGCTGCTGGGAGCCTCGCAGCGCAGGGGCTTCCCCTCTGAGTCACCCTGTGGGCCTCGGTCCATTTCCACGCGGCCACGGGAACACGGAGGGACAGGAACATGCCCGAAAGAGGAACTTGGGGAATTAGCAAATGGGGTGAAGGCAGCCCCTCAGTGTTGGCAACTGCGATGAGGCAAGATCACAGCTGTGAGGATCCTGTAGAAGTGAAATATGCACCATAAACAAAATCTCCCAGGGCCTAGGGTCACCCCTGCCTCTTGCCCTCTGGCTGTGGGGGTCTGTAAAAAGGAAGAAGGGGACAGGGCTGATTTGCTCTTTCTGCAGATTCGGGTGTTTGGTGTGGGACAGGCTACAGGCTGACGCTGCTAGAAGGCTAGGCAAGAGGCAGAGATGGACGGAGAGGATAGAGAGGTTGGTTCCACCCCTGCTGCCCTTCAAACCTTCCCACTCCTCCAGTGTTTCACTTCCCGCTGCTCACAGAGTCAAACGGGGGAGCTTGGAACACACACGATGCTCAGGCCCCAGCTCCAGAGTTTCTGATTCAAATCACTGGAGTGGGGCCTGGGCATGGGTGTTTTTTAAAGCAGATGTTGTAGGGGTAAGAACTACTAGTCCAGTCTCTCACTTGCCTATGAAGAAACTACACCCACAGAGGGGAAGGGATGTACCCAAGGTCACACAGCAGCTAATGACAAAGATTAGACTTGAACTTTACACTGGCCTGCAAAGCTATGCATGATCCGACCTCCCCAACACCTCTCTGGACTCTTTGACTTGATACTCTCTCTCTTTCTCTCTCTACCTCCCTCTCTCCCTCTCTCTTCCTCTTCTGTCTCTTTCTCTCTCTCCCTCTTCTATCTCCCTTTCTCTCCTTCACTCCCTGTCTCTCCTTCTCTCTCTCTCCCTCCCTCTCTGTCTCCCTCTCTCTCTCACTCTCCTCTCTCTCTTCTCTCTCTCCTCTCCCTCTGTCTCTCTCCTTCTCTGTCTCTCTCCCTCTCTGTCCCTCTCTCTCCCTCTCCCTCACCTTCCTCTACCACTCTAGCCACCTTGCTCAAACACTGAGCATCCTCCCCGCTCAGGGCATTTGTACTGACTATCACCTCTACCTTTACCCCTAATGGTGATTCACCTCTCCCATCATCCCAGGCTCTGTCCCAATATCAGCTCCTCACACCACCTTCCTTGGCCACTCTTCCAAGTCAGTGGGCCTTCCATCACTCTCCATTCCCCCACCTGGCTTTATTTTCTTTCATGGCACAGCCTGACCTTATATCTTTATTTGTTTATTGCCTTGTCCCCCATGGGATGTGAGCCCCAGCAGTGTCAGGCTCTGTCTCCTGCTGCATCCCAGCACTGGCTCAGTGCCTGGCACGTGGTACCTGCTCAGTACGCATTTGTGAGATGCATGGATGACACCCTGCGGTGTTCACAGGAATCCCAATGTCCCTGCCCCACACCCCACCAGCCCAGTGTGCCAGCTCTTGGACCAGCCCAGTGTGCCAGCTCTTGGACCAGCCCAGTGTGCCAGCTCTTGGTTCATCCCCAGGGTCACATGCTTCTCTTTAGGGACCAGCTCATGAATGCCAAGAAACAAGACCAGAACCCCAATCCTTTCTTAGCACAAACAGTATCTCTAAGGCACACCCATGAAGGACCAAGGACTGCTTCGTAAGCAGCATATGGGGGTAATCACAGTCAGAAAACTGTTGTCCCAGCCCAGGAGCCTTTTGGGGAGGCCCTTCTAATGATGCTACCACTGACCAAAATGTGTTCAGACTCCCACAGGGCCTGGCCTTCACAATCAACTGGCCCCCACCTCTTTAATTTGCAGCCACCATTTTGTTTTCAACCAGTCACAGCTCATGCATGTATAGCTGTTTATCCATCACAAAACAATTTCACAAATATGCTCGGTTCCCACAGTAAACCAGGGTGCTAGGTGTTACTGCCCTTCATTCTGCAGACAAAGCCCCTGGGGCCTAGAAAAGTCACCTCACCAGCCCCAGACCACACAGCTAAGGATGTGGCCAACATCACACCTGAAGCCAAGTCTTGGCCAAATCTAGCCCTTCACTCTGGCCTCCAGTCCAGCTGTCGCTGCACGTGGAACGTGATTTACCACCCAAGCTTAATACCAAGCTTTGTTCTGGATTGCGTCTGGCTATTGGCAGGAATCAATCTCCTCCTCCAGGAAGATGGAAGGTTTGCTGTGTTTGAAGAGCTACAAAAGATCAGGCCTCAGCTTCTGAAAGACAGTCCAGAAGAGGAACTGCTGATGCTCCAAGCAATCCCACCTATTTCAGCTTTTGTTCCCCAAAAGCAGAGCCTGAGACAAGGACTAGGGTTCAAGCCATTTATTTAGGAGATGACCCAAAGAAGCAGGAGTGAGAGTTGGGGGTGGTGAGTTGGGGAAGAGGAAAGTCAATGCAACTGTGCACCTTTTTTTTTTTTTTTTTTTTGAGACAGAGTCTTGCTCTGTTGCCGAGGCTGGAGTGCAGTGCTGCAATCTCGGCTCACTGCAGCCTCTGTCTCCCAAGTTCAAGCGATTCTCCTGCTTCAGCCTCCCGAGTAGCTGGGATTACAGGCACACACCACCACACCCAGCTAGTTTTTGTATTTTTAGTAAAGACAGGGTTTCATCATGTTGGCCAGGCTGATCTCAAACTCCTGACCTCAAGTGATCCTCCTGCCTCGGCCTCCTAAAGTGCTGGGATTACAGGTGTGAGCCACCGCACCTGGTCCTAAGTGTGCACTTTTGAAGTCACCCTTTTAGGCACGGAGCTAGATTCTCTGGGAACCTCTGAGTTCCCAGCTGTGCTTGCACTAGGCTGAGTGAGCTCCCGAAGCCCAGCCTGAGGCAGAAAATCAGAGAGTCACGCATCTCCAGCACCTTAGGTGGGAGGCTGTGAGCAGACGTCTGAACTCATAAGGAACCATCCACCCACCTCAGATGCAGCTAAAAACCAGAGACAGGCCAAGAGGATGTGCCGCAGAGCTTCAAATGCATCTCCTACAGCAACAGCGTTGGAATAAAGACTGTCCACACTCTCCCCTGGTGACAACTTTAAAAGTAGTCCAAGTGTGTTTGCTTAAAAGGAAAAGCTGATCACACTTCCCATCCAGTTATGACCATCAAAGAGTCACGATTATATATGTCAACAATTTCTCAGCAACTTCCTGTGACTAATAGCTGGAGCAAGGGGCCTTCCACCAGCCTACAGCAGCCCAGAGGGCTCCTGGGTCCCCTTTCTGCGGTCTCCAGCCCCTCACTCTAAAGCTCTATCAGGTACCCTTTCTTCCCTGATGAACCCAGGCTCTGTCTCCATCAGGCCTTTCTTTCCATAAGAGGTCTTCCCCAAGCCTTGTTGCTCAGGCTCTGTGATTGGGAAAGCTGGAAAGGCCTGTGCCTTTCACCCAGACTCCTGCGGAAGTGTTGGGCCAAGGCCTTCCACAGATAGAGGCATCTGGTCCTGTAGGCTTCTGTGTGTAGACCTAGGACTAGCCACATAATTTGTAGGTAGGGCCTCGCGAAAAAAAAAAATACTGCAAGGCCCCTTGTTCAAAAATCATTAGGAATTTCAAGATGATGAAAGCAGAACCAATTAAACCAAGTGGGTGGTCCTTCTGAGTGTGGGACCCTGTGCGATCACACGGGTCACATGCCCATGAAGCTGACCTTTGTAGACCCCAGCTCTCTCAAAGAAATTCCAAAGAGGCAGGGTGGGCTACTTCAAAAGCGACAGCTTTCAAGCCAAATGATCCTGGTTAACATCCTGACTTTTTTTTCTTTCACATGCTCTGAAACTCTGATCGGAATTTCTTCACCCCTCTGGGCTTCAGTTTCCTCCTCTGTAGAGTGGGGATGAGATGGCAAACTGCATGTAATGTAGGTGGCACACGAAAAGCACTCAGCAAATGTGAGCCCATTGCTGTCCCTCCCCTCCTCCCTCCTCCATATCAATTTCTTCCCTTTCAGGCTCAAACCAGAACACACACACCACCACCATCACCACCATCTTGGCCAAGGTCTTAGCCGCAAAGTAAGAGCTGGAGACATTTGCGGGGGACAGTGTCCCAGCAATGCCACCTAGGGTTGGTGTCCAGTGTGGAAGGGGCCTTGGACCCCATGTACTCATTTGTCTCTACCCCTACCCAAGGCCAGGCTTTGTCAGGCTGGAACCATCATGTCTGGCTGCACCTCTCCCTCTCCAAGGAAGGGCCAGAGGTTCCCAAGGTGGCAGCTCTTTTTTACCCTCCATTTTTCAGGCAGGAAGGAGAACAAAGGCACAGTAAGCTTGCATTGGGCCTCCACTGACTCATCATGGCACCGTGGGCAGGTCACAAATGGTGACGCTGGGCCTCAGCTTTCCTATCTCTAAAATGGGGCTAATGATGCCTGCCAGTGACCTCGGCGACAGGATGTTGGGAGAGCACTCATTAGAGTTGCTGTTGCTGCTGTCGTGTGCTTTAGCTAATAATATGCTGCCCTGGTGAGGCCCCAGAGGGACCTGGGAGCTTTGGGAAAACATCCTCCTCCATCTTCAAAGTATCCCTAGAAGCAGGTGGGAGGCAAGTTGTAGGTTTTGGGGAGGGAGAAAAGGTAGCTCAAGAGGCAAGCACCTGTGTGGCAAAGAGACGGCTGGGAATGCATGCCCGGGGACTGCAGAGGGGAAGGTAGTGGAAGCTATTTAATCTTAGGTGGTGGACATAACTGAGTTCAAATCTCTCCTCTGCTGGGAATAAGTCAGCAACTTCCTGTGACTCTTTGATGGTCATAACCGGATGTGAGGTGTGATCAGCTTTTCCTTTTAAGTAAACACACTTGACTACTTTTAAAGTTGTCACCTCGCCAAGCTTCATCCTGAAGTGAGAAGAGAGATGCCCACTTCTCAGAGTCATGGTGATGACAAAATGAAAGCACATGAGTGCAAATACCAGCACCTAGTAGGTGCTCAGTAAATGTGTGCCCTGGACTGTCCTGCTTCCTCCCTAAGGAGTAAGGAGTACCACGTGCAGGACTGCCTCAACTCAATGTCCACACTGGATACTTTCTGTAAAAGTGGTTTATTGAATCATCTCATCTTCATAATTGCATTTGATATCTTTGTTAGGCCACACGACATACAACTTTGGATTCAGAAAGTATGGTGATTATGGGTGACTAGGTTTTCGTGGTCCTCCTGGGAACACCTGGCTCTGACCTCCCTGCCCAGAAGAAATGCCAAGAGGTGGTAGGGAGGAGAGGGAGACCCACACTCCTGTCACAAGCAAAGCCTGGTGGAGACACAGATGTTTATTAAGTGTCTGTTCAGTTCCCTCAGCCCTGTGCAAAGGCCTCGCATACCCATCTGATTGACTCCTCTCACGTGAGAAAATGGTGGCCCAGAGAAGTTGAGTGACTTGCCCGAGGTCACACAGTTATTAAGAGGCAGAGTCAGGATCTCTTGGTGTCCCATAAGCCCATGACAATGTGACGCCTGAGGCCAGAAACCTGGCTTGAGTTGGCAGCAGGTTGAAAGACTGTCTTTCCCAATCTTTCAGCTTAAGGCTGAAGAAGCAGGTGCTCAGAGCAGACAGGGAAACAGTCTGAGGTGACTAAAATCAAGCCAGGGCCTGTGTGAGGGCCTTTTCTTCCGCCTTGGTTGGGGTGGGCTGGGGAGGTGAGTGGGTGGGGCCTCTGGGACACTAACCACAGACACACACTGGCTTCTGGTTCAGGGACCCGGAGCAGCGGGATCCCTGTGCGTGGGAATGGGAGTGCCTCCTTCAACCCTCGCAAATGTTCTTTAGTCAGTCATCAGCCCGCTAAGCGCCGACTGTCTGCCAGGCCTTGGGGATGCCAACGAGAAAAACACAAGGCTCTGTCCTCCAGGTGGGTGGAGCTGGGGAGACAGAAGCTCGGGAGTTGACTGGTCCAAGGCCACACTGTGCTTGGTGGCAGAGCCGGGACAAGAATCCAGAGCAAACCTTGTGTTTTTGCCTCTACACTGGGTGTCACTGGGCCAACAGAAGAACTCCAGCAATTAAGAGAAGAATGGCAACTAAGTCATCTGTTGTCCAGACCGGTACACTTTCAAGAATGAAAAGCAGTGTTATTATTAATTACACTGAGACAACGAGCACAAACCAGGCTGTCCCTGGCCTACTGGGACTCATGGTCACACGAACCATGAGGCTGTGATGTGCCCCACGCAGTGACAAGGGCTTTCTCCTCACTGAACGGTCATACCACGCCTGAAAAGGAGATGTTAGTATTCTATCTCCATCTGACAGATTCAGAGCCATGATAAAACCTGCTCAAGGGCTGGGCACGCCTGTAATCCCAGCACTTTGGGAGGCCGAGGCAGGTGGGTCACCTGAGGTCAGGAGTTCGAGACCAGCCTGATCAATATGGTGAAACCACATCTCTACTAAAAATACAAAAATTAGCCAGCCATGGTGGTGGGCACCTGTAGTTCCAGCTACTCAGGAGGCTGAGACAAGAGAATTGCCTGGGAGGCAGAGTTTGCAGTGAGCTGAGATTGCACCACTGCACTCCAACCTGGTCAACAGAGCAAGACTCTGTAAAAAAAAAAAAAAACCTGCTCTAACAGGCAACTGCAAGAGACAGGTGAGTGGACAGGCTCCGTGTCCTGAGGGAAGAACGGCAAAAGCAGAGTGAACCATCAACTGGTCCAGTTCACCTTGGAAAGGAGATTATGGCTGCTGTCTGTTCATTGTGCCAGAGCAGTGCCCATGGCAAACTGGTTACTAGATATTTTAAGAATTACCCTCTCTAGAAAGGGAGCCCAGGGGCAGCCCAGGAGAGCTGAGGGCTCCATGGGATCGGGGCAGAAAGGGTCTTGCATAGCCAGGAAGGCCTGTCATTCCTGGAGCTACAAGAGAGCTAGAAGGAGCCACTCTGTGTGGCTTGGCCCCCTTGGGCGATGGCCTCTCTGAGAAGGAAGTCCTCGGCTTCCTTCCTTTTTTTTTTTTTTTTTTCTAAACTGGCTCGAAAGCAGCCACCGTGGGGTCTAAGGACCAGCAGGGCACTGAGAGAGGCAGCAACCCCAGCCGCAGTGGACAGAAGGCAGTGCCCAGAGTCAGGACCAGGAGAAGCACAGGAAAGAGGTCTGCAGGCCAACCTTCACAGGTCCAGCCAGACCCAGCCATGGGAGGTCATGCCAGCCCTCTGCCTGTGGGAATGGAGAGGGGATCTGGGGTCTGCCGAGGCCTCACCACAGTCCCTTGCAGTTTAGGGTCCAGGGTGCACAGCCGCCCCCACCCCCACCTCCCAGCCGTTTGCTTTCTAACAGGAAGTTCCTTCCTCTTTCTATGTTTCCCCCCTTGGCTGTACCCAGCTATCCTCAGCCCAGAGCTTGGGGTGACTTTCAGGAACCTGTCATTGTGAAAAACTCAAACCACTCCCAACTGGCTATCTCTAACCACCTGGGGTGAGAGAGGTCCCGTGAATCCAGGAAGCAGAGCCACCAAGCTGTCAGGATGGCCCCTGACTTCCGAGGAATAAGAGCCATGGTCCTTGCAGCAGTCTCCCCCGCCCCTCTGAAACCCCACACACACATTACACACAACCAGTGGAGGGAGCCCTGGGGCAGAACCTGGCAGGAGACACAGGGGGCATCAACTACGGTGTCAGCTGTAGAAATGAAGAGGGTGGACAATGGTGCCAACAGGACATGGGGATGGATTGTGTGCAGATGCAGGATAGGCTTCTGGGTGGCCTTGGACTGATCAACTTTTCCTCACTTTCTTGCTTGTACTTCTCAAGAATTACTAGAGAAGCTAGATGGGAGGAAGAAGGTCTAGGGTTCTGTAACCTTGTAAGATGAATATGGTTAACAATAATTTAGTGTACATTTCTAAAAAGCTAGAAGAAAGGATTTTTAATGTTCGCAAGACTGAAAAAATGATCAATGTTTCAGGTGATAGACATGCTAAGTACCCTGATTTGATCATTATACTTGTATTCCATAAATATCACTCTGTATCCCATAAATATATACAATTATTACATGTCAACAAAAAATAAAAGGGGAGGCCAGTGGCTCACGCCTGTAATCCTAGCACTTTAGGAGGCCAAGGCGGGTAGATCACGAGGTCAGGAGCTCGAGACCAGCCTGACCAACATGGTGAAACCCTATCTCTACTAGAAATACAAAAATTAGCTGGGCATGGTGGTGCATGCCTGTAATCCCAGCTACTCAGGAGGCTGAGGCAGGAGAATCACTCGAACCCAGGAGGCGGAGGTTGCAGTGAGCCAAGATCATGCCACTATACTCCAGCCTGGGTGATGGAGAGAGACTCCATCTCAAAATAAAATAAAAGGGAAAAAAGAATAACTGATAACCGTAGAATGTGCTGGGAATGCAATATATCTTCCATACACATGCCTCCCTAGCCCACTCCCTTTGACAATAAGCAGAAGACGAAATTCTGGCCCTGGAAACAAACAGAGAAGAAAGGGGTGGGAACTTCCAGGGAAGCTTTCTTTGCTAATAAATAGACATTCCTGTGAAGAGACAATCCCTCGTCCTCTGCTGGCCACTGTCATGCCTGCATGTGACACCTGAATTAGCAGTAGCCTTTCTGTGGCCATGAGGCGACATGGCCAAGGCCAAGTCTGTGGGCTGAGGGTGGCAGTACAGAGGGAAAGAAATTGAGTCTCTGGTCGGGCGAGGTGGCTCACACTTGGAATCCCAGCACTTTGAGAGTCCAAGGCAGGTAAATCACTTGAGGTCAGGAGTTCAAGACTAGCCTGGCCAACATGGTGAAACCCCATCTCTACTGAAAAAAATACAAAAATTAGCCGGGCATGTGGCGGGTGTCTGCAATCCCACCTACTCGGGAGGCGAAGGTTGCAGTGAGCCGAGATCACGCCATGGCATCCCAGCCTGGGCAACAGGGCAAGATCATGTCTCAAAAAAAAAAAAAAAAAGAAAGAAAGAAAGAAACTGAGTGCCTGGCAAGAGCATTGAGCACCATATTGGCCAACCTCAAAACACTCAACTTCAGGATTTCTTCCTGTCTGAAGTGAGTTGAGGCTTTCTGTAGCTTGTAACCAACAGACATCCTTATCCAACCCCTGGGTCCAAATTTAGAACACCCCTGGGTTCTGGGCTCATACTGTACTTTCCCGCTTCTGTGCTCTTTTTGGCATGGTTCCTTCTGCCTATCTGGGAACCTTGTCCTTCCCTCAAATACCAACTCAAATCCCTATATGAGTCCTCCCTTGAACCCACGGACCAGAGGCAGCAAGTCCTTCCTCTGCACTTCATTTGCAGCTTCTTCCTAGTGCTTTCCACTCTACCCCATTCCTTGGGGTCATTCACACGACATCTTAGTGCCACTGCTAGACTGTAAGCTCCAGGAGAGGACAGCCCATGCATTATTTATACCCAGAGACCTCATAGCGCTCTTAGAGGTATCTACCTGCCGCTTTACCAGCTTCTGATAGTCCCTACTCCCAACTGTATTCTTTTTCTACCATTGCTGTAACAAATTACTACAAACTTAGAAGCTTAAAAGAACACAAACTTATTTTATGACAAATCTGGAGGTCAGAAGTCCAAAATGAATTTCACTGGGCTAAAATCACAGTGTCAGCAGGACTGTGTTCCTTCCCAGAGGCTCTAGGGGAGAATCTGTCCTTTTGCTTTTTCCAGCTTCTAGAGGCCACCTGCCATTCTTGGCTCACGGCTCCTTCCTCCGTCTTCAAAGCCAACAATCACATCAGTCCATCCTCTGCTTCCATCACCACGTCTCCTCCTCTGACTGACTCTCCTGCCTCGCTCTTATAAGGACCCTTGTGATGACATTGGAGCCACTCAGAAAACCCAGGATCATCTCCCCATCTCCAGATCCTCAACTTAATCACATCTGCAAAATCCTTTGTGCCATGTGGGGTAGCATATTCACAGATTCCAGCGATTAGGATATGAACACTGGGAGGCGGGGAATTATTCTGCCCACTACACCAACTAAAACCCTCAGTTCAACAATCAGAAATTCGTTAGAAGAACAGGCCAGGTGTCATGGCTCACACTTGTAATCCCAGCACTTTGAGAGGCCGAGGCAGGCGGATCACTTGAGACCAGGAGTTCAAGACCAGCCTGGCCAACATGGTGAAACCCCATCTCTACTAAAAATACAAAAAATTAGCCGGGCGTGGTGGCAGGCAGCTGTAATTCCAGCTACGGGGGAGGCTGAGGCATGAGAAACCCTTGAACCCGGTAGGCAGAGGTTGCAGTGAGCCGAGATCACGCCACGACACTCCAGCCTGGGCGACAGACAGACTCTTGCCTCCAAAATAATAATAATAATAATAATAATAATGAAAGAGAGAGAGAGAGAGGAAGGAAGGAAGGAAGGAAAGGAGGGAGGGAGGAGAGAAAGAAAGAAAGAAAGAAAGAAAGAAAGAAAGAAAGAAAGAAAGAAAGAAAGAAAGAAGGAAGGAAGGAAGGAAGGAAGGAAGGAAGGAAGAAAGAAAGAAAGAAAGAAAGAAAATAAAATGAAACAGCATCATCAAGATTAGGACAGTCTCAGGGTCATCTCAAGCTCCTGAATATTACAACACAAATTTCCAGCTTGGCATTTCTCAGAATGTAGCCAAGTGGAGTTCATTTAGCTTGGGTCATAAAAGAATTGGACCCAGAGTTGGGACAAATAAAACAAATGCCAAGTTATGGGAGCTGAGTGATAGGGAGAACTGATGCTAAGTTCCTGATGCTGAGACTTAAAGATCTTAGACCTGTCATCTCCAGGATTGGTCCTAATACTAGGGCTGGGTTAAAGCGGCCCCCAGGAGAAAGAAGAGCAAAGACATGGAGGCTGGAAACTCAGTAGGACCTGTGGCAGTCAACACTTATCCGTCCTGCGTTACATGGCCCCGAGCCTTGCTTTTTGCTATCAAATAAGTAAGTCCACCATGCGTGTCAGTAGCTAGTGACAAATTGTTCTATTATTCATACCTTGGTAGAAGTTTTCCAGTAAATAAGAGCCTTAGCCCAAAGGAAAAAAACCTCGTGGTAAAAATAGAGGTGGCATGTCAAGCTGATGGAAGAGCTATCTGGCTGCCCGAGGACAGTATACACAGCATCAAAGCTCCCCCCTCAACTGTACTGGTCAGACTAATGCTGGTCCCCTTGAGCAGTCAGAGCCACATCCAGGCCTTGGGACTCCCAAGGCTGTGTGCTCCACAGACATGACCACCATCTCCCCTGAATGGGCCCCAGACCAGCAGGGGACAGCTCCTCTGCACCCTGAGAAGGAGTGCATTAAAAAGCGAGGGAGGGAGAGAGAGAGACAGTAAACAGAGTTTTACAAAACTTAAAAGTGGTTACGATCCAATAATCAAAGGCAAAACACGTTGCCTCCAATTCCCCTTTGAAGCTATTTCACAAACTAAATTCCTTTCCTTTGACCAACTTTCCCAATCCTCACATATTTACCTTGCGGGGGAGGCTGGTAACATGCTCAGAGCCCCACCCCCTGTGGCAGGGCTCCACTGAACGCACACCCCTGGGGGGCCACCTCCAGCTCTCCCCCAGAGCCAGCCACCCTTCAGCGGGACAGGGGTTCCAACCAACCATCTGAAATTCTCACAGTCACCCTCTCAGCAGGGCATGAGACTCCCATTTTACAGGTGAGAAAACTGAGGTTCCGAAAAATTTAAAAACTTACCCAAGTTTCACAACCAGCTAGTGATGAACAGGGCTGGAATTGGGACTCTGGGCTAGTCATCCTCCACACTCAGGCTTCTATCTACCGTGTGAGCAGCTCTCCAGCTTTTGGTCTTTACACTCTTAATTATGGCGGCCTGCAACAAGCTTTATTTTTATGGATTATATCTATCGATATTTGCTGTATTCAAAATTTAAAATAAGAAATTTTTAATCTTTATTAATTCACTTAAAATAACAATGACAAACCTATTACACATAAATAAAAACAATATCTTTTCATTAAAAAAAAAATAAAGGCTGGGAGCAGTGGCTCACGCCTGTAATCCCAGCATTTTGGGAGGCCAAGGCAGGCGGATCACCTGAGGTTAGGAGTTCGAGACCAGCCTGGCCAACATGGTGAAACCCCATCTTTACTAAATATACAAAAATTAGCCAGGCACAGTGGCACATGCCTGTAGTCCCAGCTACTCGGGAGGCTGAGGCAGGAGACTAGCTTGAACCCAGGAGGTAGAGGTTGCAGGGAGCCAAGATCACACCACTGCCTTCCAGCCTGGGCAATAGAGCGAGACTTCGTCTCAGAAAAAATAAAATAAAAATAAATAAATTTTTTTTTAAAAATTCCAAAACAAAACTAAGTGAGAAGGATGGCATTGTTTTACCCTTTGCAAACCTCCTGAATCTTGGGCTTAAAAGAAAACAGCTGGATTTTCATATCTGCTTCTGTATTCAGTATATTGCCATACTCTGTTTGCATTAAAGTATATGAAGAAAATCCTAGGAGCTCACCTTATGAAAGGGTCCCTAAACCAGACTTTGAGAATCACTGCACTACATCATATTACTTCATTTCTGATGCCTGAAACCTACGTTCCTAAAACTCTGCTTACACAAAATAGATGCTTAACATGTTTGCTGAATGAATAAATGAGCAAGGCTCACCAAAGCTGGCTGGGGGGAGAAAAAGGTCAAGTCTTTAGGTCTAAAAGCAAGTTTGAGCTTTATCTGTGGACTTCAATTATCCAGAAGTGTCCTTGCCATGAGATAGAAGGGGAATAGGAAAGTCAGTAAAACTTTCTAGATCAGGGCTGCTGTGAATGGTTGTGCGGGTTGCAGACTCTGCAAAAACATCCCAGATGGTGCCAACCCATGTTCTGCTCACCATGCCTGCGCCCTGGAGCAGGGCTGAAGAAGGGAGCACTTTTCTGATTTGCACAATGCTGCTGGGTGTGCCAGCAGCTGCCACGGCCCTACCCCATAGGTGTGAGTCTCCCAGACACATCTGGGTGTGGTGAGGGACAGGCAAGTCCCAAATTCTTGGAGAGGGTGCCGGGAGATGCTGCAGAACCCCCTGGGCTGAGCCAGCAGATAGAGCTTCACAGCCTGGACATGAATCCACATTTCAGATCCTCTGGGGTTTTTTTGTTTGTTTTTGTTTTGTTTTTTTAAGACAGGGTCTTGCTCTGTGGCCCAGGCTGGAGTACAGTGGCGCATTCTCAGCTCAATTCAACCACCACCTCCGGGGTTCAAGCGTTTCTCCTGCCTCAGCCTCCCAAGTAGCTGGGTCTACAGACACGTGCCACCATGCCCAGCTAACTTTTGTATTTTAATAGAAATACAACATGGAGTTTCACCATGTTGGCCAGGCTGGTCTCGAACTCTTGACCTCAAGTGATCCACCCGCCTCGGCCTCCCAAAGTGCTGGGATTACAGACATAAGCCACCATACTCGACCAAGATCCTCTTACATAGCCTGGGCTACCTCTGGATCAACTACAGACCTAGCAAGTGAGGGCAGGCAACCACATGAATTGGCACCCACTGTATGCACAGCCAGTGTATGCCCTGGAAAAGGACACCCAAGAAACAAGCAGCATGGCCTGCTTTTCATGGCTGTATTGCAGTGGTTCTTAACATGGAGGTATTTTGTCCTCTGGGAACATTTGCTAATGTACAGAGACATGTTTGGTTGTCACAACCTTGGATGTGGGCAGCGGGGAAGCTACTGGCATCCAGGGGATAAGAAGCCAGGGATGCCGCTGACATCCTGCAAGGAACAGGACAGCCCCTCCCCCACCACGGCAAAAAATTATCCAGCCCAAAATGTGAATATTGCTGAGGCTGAGAAACCCTAGTGCAATGAAAAGAATATGCGTTCTAATCTCAGAGGGACTGGGTTCAACTCCCAGCTGTGCCGCTTTCTAATTCTGTGCCTATAGGCAGGTCACTTACTTTGCTTCCCTTTTCTGTGAAATGGAGAGAATAATACCTACACTGCAAGACTGTTGTAGAGATCAAATGACAAGGGCTATGCCTACACTTGCCAAATGAAGACAGCGGCCCCGCCGACTCAACAAGCTGGTAGCAGTAGCAATAATCACAATAACCCATGCCCAGTGTCTGCCATCGGCTGGCACTCTGCTAGCTGCCGGGGGAATGACATCTGTCTCTATTTCCTTTCCGGAAGTTCACAGCCCAGCAGCCAAGCAAAAGTTCCACGATCGCAGCTATTTAAGTCGACATGCATGTAAACAGAGGATGGAATGTTCAAAAATAAGAGGGCTTATGGGTGGAAAAGTGTTTTTTTTCTCTCTCTTGTTTCCAAAAAAAGAAATCTTTCATGTTATTTTTATGTTGTTTTTCCCATCAAAAGAAGAAAAGAGGGAGGAAAAGTGAACGCAACTTGTTTTCCAAAAAGCATGTAAATGATTGAATATGAACATAAATGCTCCTCATCTTAGGCCCTAATAGTGATCTTGGTGTAAATCTAATTTTCACATATCAAATCATTTTCTAATGCATGATTGATATTTAGCAAAGGCAAGTACTGGACCTTTGGGTAAAGTGAAGAACAGCCCCTTCATTCATCTGCTATGAGCATCTGCACTTTGCTATTTTGTAAAGCTGGGCCCACCTGCAGAACCCAAGTTCCCTCTAAATGCCAATCCGTAGCAGGTCTGTGCAGTGAGTGGAAGTAATCAAAGAAGGCTTCCAGGTGGAAGCAAGGTTTGTGACACATTTTTGAAAGCAGAGATTCATAAGAAGGAGGGAAGGCCACCTCAAGGGCTGAAATGACACAAAAGCTCAGAGACAGCAGCTACAGGGTGGCCAGCCCTGGGGAGGCTTTGAAGTCACCTTCTGAGCAAGGGTTTCCAGCAATGCTCAGGCCCCAGAACTCGCAGAGGGAAAAGCTGGTAGGTCAGGTAGAAATGAGTCACAGAGGGCTGGGCGCAGTGGCTCATGCCTGTAATCCCAGCACTTTGGGAGGCTGAGGCAGGTGAGTCACCTGAGGTCAGGAGGTCCAGACCAGCCTGGCCAACATGGCAAAATCCTATCTCTACCAAAAATACAAAAATTAGCCAGGCGTGGTGGCACACGCCTGTAATCCCAGCTATTCAGGAGGCTGAGGCAGGAGAATTGCTTGAACCTGGGAGGCGGAGGTTGCAGTCAGCAAAGATCATGCCACTGCACTTCAGCCTAGACGATAGAGTGAGACCCTGCCACAAAAAAAAAAAAAAGAAAAAGAAAGAAATGAGCCACAGAGTCTTAATCTCTGCAGAGTCCTTCAGAGGACACGAAGGCAGGGCCACTGCTGTCACCTCAGTCTCCTCAAGGCCCCTGCTGAAAAGCTGGGAGCCTCCTGTCTCACCCTCCTGGTCTCCATGCCTGGCCCACACTGGAGGCCCCCCACCTTGCTGACTCTCCATCCCCGGCAAGCTCTGGGCTCTCCTCTGTGCTCCCAGATCCCACACTCAGAAAGCTGGGGCGTCCTGGGCAACTCACTCCCCGTCTCTGAGCCTTGGCTTCCTGGTTTTTCGGGTGAGGTTGATGACAGATTTACCTTCTAGGTCTGTTGGAGGAACCCTGAGATCCTGAGGAAAGTGCCCCTGCCTGGTACCCACCGGTTCTTAAGGAAAGGTGCATGTGGCTCACCAGCTCCCCACTCCCATGCCCCCACCCCTTCTGGCTGCCTCTCCCACACTCAGGCCAAATACCACCACCTCCTTCACAACAAGCACTTTGGGGAGACCCTGCCTTAAACACAAAGACAGAGGGACCCAGAGCTTTACAGCTTGTACAGATCAAGTTTTAATCAAGATAGATGAGGGAAGAGCACGGTGGCTCACATCTGTAATCCTAGCACTTTGAGAGGCCAAGGTGGGTGGATCGCTTGAGGACAGGAGTTCGAGACCAGCATGGACAACATGGCAAAACCCTATCTCTGTTTTAAAAAATATAAAAATTAGCCGGGCATGGTGGTGCTTGCCTGTAATCCCAGCTACTCAGGAGGATGAGGCAGGAGAATTGTTTGAACACAGGAGACAGAGGTTGCAGTGAGCCGAGAAGACGCCCCAGACAGAGCGAGACTGTGTCAAAAAAAAAAAAAAAAAAGACAGATGGAGGGAGCCTGACTTTGAATACCCCTCCCTCCTTGCTAAACCCACCCACAATCCCCCACATACATTCACACAAAGAATAACAATAATACCCATTGCCGTGTGCCTACCAAGTGGTGGGCTAAGCATTGCACACACCAGCACATCTGCCCTGCAAGGAAGACACAGACATGCATGGAGATCAAAGCTTAGAAAAGGTGAGTAACTTGCCGAGGACTGGTGGCTGGCAGAGTTAGAGGCATGATATCTGTTTCTTCTGCTAGACCACCTTCCTAATCTTCTCACCTGCGTGCAACCCTCCCCCCACCTGCATTTCAATCTCCCCTTCAGGGCAGCACTGGAGTTTGGCCCATCCATGCCCTGCCCACCCCCAATCTCCTTCTCCCATGTCCTCCTCTATTAGAAAGGCTAGAAAATTAAATATCCATCTTTCCTCTCTCCCTTGCAGTGAAGGGTCATCGTGCGGCCCAGTCGTGACCAGTGAAATATAAGCAGAAGTCTGCTGGGAAGAGGCGTCTGGGAAAGTTTATGACTTTCCCAATAAAAGTAAACAGCCCCAGCTGGTGTGATGTACTGCTCCTTCCTCCTGCCTCGCCTATGGCCATGATGCCTGGAGGTACAGCAGCCCCTTCCCAGAAAGATGAAAGTCAATACTCTACAACGGGGCAGAGAAGATGAAAAGAGCCTGGGTCTCAATGCCATGGTTGAGTTTCTGCCCCAGCTCTTCCCTGTCTACCTCCAAATTTCTTGTTTTGTGAGAAAAACAATCCCCTAATTATTTAAGCTTCTGGGGGCTGGGTTTTCTATTGCTTGCTGCTGAATGCACTTTTTTTTTTTTTCTTGAGACAGGGTCTCACTCTGTTACCCAGGTTGGAGTGCAGTGACATGATCACATCTCACCACAGCCTCTACCTCCCCAGGCTCAAGCAATCCTCCCACCTTAGCTGGAACCACAGGTGCATGCCACCACGCACAGCTATTTTTTTTTTTTTTTTTTTTTTTTTGTAGACATGGGGTTTTGCCATGTTGCTTAGGCTGGTCTCGAACTTCTGGACTCAAGCAATCTGCCTGCCTCGGCCTCCCAAAGTGCTGGAATTACAGGCTATGCCACCACACCTGGCCTGAATGCACTCTTAATACCCTATTCACATCCTAATCCTACACCCCAAACAAAACACACATACACCCCAAGTCCCACCTGAACACCACTGTGTAATACCATTGCCCCATGTAACACTCTCCCACTCCCTACACCCCCAAGAACAACCCACCCTAACGCCAGCATCCACTGTGTGCACCCACCCCTAATCCTAATGCTGGTTGAAGCATTTATTCTATTAGCCGCTGCCCTTTTACAAGTCCTCACCATTCAGGACCCAGTAGCCTCTTCCCTCGCCCTCTCCACTTCATAAACTGAGCTTCAGAAACCACTTTCACCATCATGCAATTACTTTGGGAAGAGAACTGACGTCTCCTGAAGGCCGGTGAGAGTCTAGTCACACTTCTCCTTTCTGAGTTAGGACAGATTTATCTACCTGAGATCACACAACTCTCTCATGATGCAAAGAAATTCTGCTCTATGGGGAAAACAAAGAAAACAAAACAACCACCCACCCCCTCCAAAAAAATTGCCTTTGCCTTCTCTTTAAAAACTTCATTTCAAAACACTGGACCATGTGGATCATTTGGCAAACATGGTGTTAGGCAATGCCTCCAGGGGCCAAGAAGAGACACTCAGGGAACATCCTCCATCCAGGGTGAGCTAATCAGGGTGACCAATGACTCTGAAGTGGCTGAGCCAGGCTCCCTCACTTAGATGGGTGCAAGGGAACTGGAGAAAGTGTCCAGACACTCAGACCCAGCACCCTTCTTTCTAAGGCCACAGTCCCTCATAATTAATTAACAGCCTGCCCTGAAGATAGCATGAGTTGCCGCTGCCCTTGGGGTGGAATGGGCGAAAGGCTCGGACCAGCCCCTCCCACCACTCTACAGCACAGTGTCTCACCACCAGTCACTCTGCCCTTTGCATCCAGATCCTGGCCTTCTATCTGTCCACATTACCTGTTACCCAGGGAGGAACCTACTCCACACACAGCTCTACCCTGCTGATGGAGAACTGGCCGCCGGGCACAGACCCAGACCAGGAAGCCTTGAAGAGAGGGGAGGAAGACCAGAGCAGACCAGGGCAGAGTTGCATGACCTTTGGCAAGGTACTCTGAAGTGATTATAAATCCCTTGATAGCTACTCAGGAGGCAAGATGAGACTGGGAGGGACCTGGAGGGTCTACAGTAATCAGGGAGGAGCTGTGCAGTGGGAGGGAAAGGAAAAAGCCCAGAAAATCTTCAGGAGCATCTCCTAAAGTTTGAAGTTCCTGGGGATTTGTGACATACAGAGACCAAAGAAAGATCTATGAGGTTGCACGTGGAAGGAAAAAAAAAAAAATCCTGGGAGAGCTCTGTAGTGTCAAGAGCAAAGAAATGAAGGGTTTGGGCCAGGTGTGGTGGCTCATGCCTGTAAGCCTAGCACTTCGGGAGGCTGAGGTGGGCGGATCACCTGAGATCAGCCTGGCCAACATGGTGAAACCCAGTCTCTACTAAAAACAAAAAATTAGCCGGGCATAGTGGCAGGCACGTGTAATCCCAGCTACTTGGGAGGCTGAGGCAGGAGAGTCGCTTGAACCCAGGAGGCAGAGGCCGCAGTGAGCCAAGATTGCGCCACTGCACTCCTGCCTGGGTGACATGGCGAGACTCCATCTCAAAAAAAAAAAAAAAAAAGAGAGAGAGAGAGAAATGCAGGATTTGCGAGATTGGCTGTGAGGAACAAAAACATCATTTGACAGTTGGAGAAATGGAGGCAGTATCAAAGTGGCTGAGGAGACAGTCACAGAGGTGGCTGGCCAGAGGCCATGAGGTCTCTTGAGCTGGGACAGTCAAACTTTGCTTAACAACAGCCCATGGTCAGAAACACTTTTTTTTTTTTTTTTCTTCTTTGAGACGGAGTCTCACTCTGTCGCCTGAGCTGGAGTACAATGGTGCTATCTCAGTTCACTGCAAGCTCTGCCTCCCAGGTCCACACCATTCTTCTGCCTCAGCCTCCCGAGTAGCTGGGACTACAGGCGCCCACCACCGTGCCCGGCTAATTTTTTGTATTTTTAGTAGAGACGGGTTTCACCGTGTTAGCCAGGATGGTCTCGATCTCCTGACCTCGTGACCCACCCACCTGGGCCTCTCAAAGTACTGGGATTGCAGGCGTGAGCCACCGTGCCCGGACCAGAAACACTTCTTCTGCAGTGACCCAATATCCACACATAGAGGGTGACTTGTGTGCACACACACACGTGCATATCTACATATAAAAGAAACAAATGGAGGAGATGGATTGGAGTTGGGGTTTGGGGTGTCTGTGGCAACTTCATCTGGCCCTTAAGGGGCAGGACGACTCCCCTCAACATCAGGGTTACACATGCAAGAACACAAAGAACATGCTCAGAACACTCCCCTGGGCGCTGTGTCTGTGTCTTTGTTCCTGTGGGTCATGCAACTGTATCTGGGAGCCTAGGAGTCCTCCTGTCCATGTCTGTGTATCTGTCTCTGTTTGCCCCTGTAGACCATAGGAAAAGAAACACAAACTTCTAGTGTGAAGACGTTTTCACAGTTCTTTCTCCATATGTCTGGGACCCTCTGTGTCATGGGGCTAAGCGGAGCCTGGGCAGAATTCTGGCTTTGCTCTGGAATCAGAAAACCTTAGAACTGAAAAAGACCTTGGAAACTCCTTGGCCCAAACACCCCCTTTTAGAAATGGAGAAAATATGATGCATATTATGGAAGAGCAGAGAAGCTTTGAGGAAGGACAAAAATATCTAGAATTGTGTAGGAATGCTTTTACACCGTTGGTGGGAGTGTAAACTAGTTCAGCCATTGTGGAAGACAGTGTGGTGATTCCTCAAGGATCTAGAACTAGAAATACCATTTGACCCAGCGATCCCATTACTGGGTATATACCCAAAGGATTATAAATCATGCTACTATAAAGACACATGCACATGTATGTTTATTGAGGCACTATTCACAATAGCAAAGACTTGGAACCAACCCAAATGTCCATCAATGATAGACTGGATTAAGAAAATGTGGCACATATACACCATGGAATACTATGCAGCCATAAAAAAGGATGAGTTCATGTCCTTTGTAGGGACATGGATGAAGCTGGAAACCATCATTCTGAGCAAACTATCACAAGGACAGAAAACCAAACACCACATGTTCTCACTCATAGGTGGGAACTGAACAATGAGAACACTTGGACACAGGGTGGGGAACATTACACACCAGGGCATGTCGTGGGGTGGGGGGAGGGGGGAGGGATAGCATTAGGAGATATACCTAATGTAAATGATGAGTTAATGGGTGCAGCACACCAACATGGCACATGTATACATAAGTAACAAACCTGCACCTTGTGCACATGTACCCTAGAACTTAAAAGTATAATAATAAAAAAAAAATCTAGAATTGTGTCTTCCAACACAGCAGCCACTAGCCACCTATGGCTGCTGAGCACTTAAAATTGACTAGTCCAGATTGAGATGTACTATAAGTACAAAATATACCCCAGACTTCAAAGACTTTATATGAAAAAGTACGTAAAATTGTTCAATAATTTTTACATTGATTGCATATTGAAATGATAACAATTTTGATCTATTAGGTTAAAATATATTATTGAAATTAATTTTACTTTTTAATTATGACTACCAGAAAATGTCAAATTATGTATGCCGCTCTCATTTCTGGCCCACTTTATATTTCTATGGGACACACTGACCAAGAGTCTTGCGTCAGACATTTAACGTCTCTGAGTCTCGATTTCACCAGGTATAAAATGGGTGTCGTGATGCTTATCTCTTGGAGTTGTTGTGAGGATTAATTGAGAAACCATGTGAAAGAGCTTTTAAATCTTAAGAAGCTGTTCAGATAAAGAGGTGGATATGGTGGTGGTGATGATGGTGATGGTGATGGTGGTGGTGGTGGTGGTGGTGGTGACGGTGGTTGTAACTCAGATCTTCGCCAAGAGGGAAGGGGTGAAAGGATAAAGGATTTAATAGTTTGACCTTCAGGAAAATACCCATAGGGGTCAGCCATATGCATGTGATCACCCACCCACCATAATTTTGGTGCTGGAGAAACAATGACCACTCCCAAACTCAGAACCATTACCCAGACCAAGCCTTTCAAAACCCCGAGTCACCATGTTCTTGCTCAGCAACCATACCACACCATCCTCCGCCTCTGCAGGTCCCTAGCCACCCCTCCAGCCTCCTCTGACACAGGAGGCTGTCTCCTCTCAGGGTAGCATGAAGCCCTTCTCCCCAGGGCACCCTTCCTTAGGAGGACAACTCCACATCTGAGTGGGATTTCCCAACAATGCTTTTTCTCTGCTCTTTGCCAGAGGCCCAGGGTCCCAGAGGGCTCCAGAAAGAGGGAGATAGCCCCAAATCTGGCCTGAGGGGACCAGCCCCTTCCTGGGACCATCACCCAGGGCAATCCCTGTTGCAACGGTGGTCTCGTAACAATCGCTTACAAACCCGGTTAGGCAAGCTGCTTTTGCGTGATGGGGCTATCTTGAGTAAACAGCATCCTCTGTCCCCTGCCGGTCACTTGCTCAAGACATTGCTGGACATTGCATTACAGCCACTGACACACGGAGTTTTGAAAATGAAAACAGGCCCTCTGGCTTATGATCAGATAGCATTTAACTCATTTATGATTGCGCCATGTTTTCCCAAGACCCAAGGGCCACAGAACGGATATTGTCACAAATGCAAACAGAAGATGCTGAGGACAGTTGGAGCCTCGGGTCACCTACAAAATGAGGCTTCCAAAGACCAACAGGCAGGTGAGGTCTGCATCACCTTGGCCTCAGTTATCCACACATGGGCATCTGGGGCTATGTAGCTTCTTAGGCTAAGCTGGGACACAGGTTCAACCCCTAGGGGGTTGAGAGAGTTAGTGTTTTCCATTTCATCCATTTTACCCCTTATTCTGGCTACCTTTCCTGCTGATACAGATCAGGAATTGAAAGGGGTGGATAAGGTCTATTTCTGGTATCTATTACTATGTAACAAACCCAAACATACTCGCTTAAAATGACTATTTCTTATTTCTCACAATTCTGCTGGTTGGCCAGACAGTTTTTCTGCTGATTTTGGCTGGTCTCACTCACATGGCTGTACTTTGCTGGGTGGTCAGTGCAAGTGACTTTGGTCAGAAAGTGAAAGATGGCCTCACTCATGACTCCAGTGCTAGCTATTGGCTGGTCACCTTGGCTCTCCTCCACATGGTCTCTCATCCTCCAGTCTGCTAAATGCTTCGCTTACATAGTGGTCTCAGGAGAGCCTTCCAAAAAGTTGAAAGCCACAGAACCTGCTGGTCAGAGCAACTCACGAGACCAGCACAGGGTCAAGAAGAAGGAAACAGGCTCTGCCTCTTGATAGAAATTGCCAAAAAATACAGTTTTCAAGCTACCGCAAGGCAAAAAAGTATAAATGCCTCCATGGAAAACTTCCCAGCATAGAAAATAATCTGGTAAAGTTATATTTTCTGAATCAACAATCCACAGTCCCAGACTAACAAAGGTCTTCCCTCCGATTCATGAATGTGTGGACAAAGGTGAACCAACAGGCTCATACCAAGTTATATATTGAATGCCGTGTTTCTCAGCCCTGGCTGAACATTAAAGTTACTTGAGGAGCGTGTCCAAATCCCACGTCCCTGCTGAATAAGAATTTTGATTGGGATGGGGAAGTGGGAGGGGATTGGGCTGGTAATCTACATTTTCAAAGGTTCTCCCAGTGATTCTGATCCACAACCAAGATTAATAACTGCAGGATTAGCAAACAAACTTTATGGGAAATAAGGTCAGGCAGGATATCTAGAAATATGGGTCATGAGCCTATCTATCTTTTACACATAGGTTCCTGTTAAATCCAATCTTAAATCCAGATCATTGTTGGAGCTATCAGACTCTAACATTGGGGTCTGGACATGAACTAGACGCACACCCTCTCTCAAATTATAGCTGCTACTCACCATGGACCAAGCCTTGTTCTGTGGACTTTCTGTGCGTGAACCCATTCAATCCCCACAGCTCCATGAGGTGGATACTGTCCCCATTTTACATATAGGGAAACTGAAGCTTAGAAAGGTTACATGATTTTTCCTAAGTTACACAGCTAATAAGATGATAGGGTTGGAACTGAAACCCACCTGGCTTCAGAGTCCATGATCTTAGCCATTAAACATGTGCCTCACTCAGAGCACACTGTCCAGGGTAAGGAAGTCGACAACCCACATCAGACTATGAGCATTCTGAGGAGGAAAAGGAAGGGGCCAGGCGGAGGGCTGTCTGTTTTCTTGGCTCATTGGCTGTTCTCAAAGCAGTGGTTCGCCACTTTGCACATTAGAATCACCTGGGGAGCTTTTTCAAACTAGGGCTGAACCATCCGCAAAGATTGTATTAACTTGCTTTGGGTGGGGTTGAGTCATGGAAGGTTTTTAAAAGCTTCCTAGGAAATTCTAGTGCACAGCCAGAGTTGAGATCATAGGCTCCACGGTTGGGCAGGAATTTATCATTCTCAGCAGGGAGGAGGATGGTGGCCCCAGTGTTGGAAGCATCTGTGAACTCTATACCCCAAGAACTTCCTAGAAATCAAACAAGCTCAAGCCAAAAGGAACCTCCTGTATCACCTGGACCAGATATCCCCAATCCTGGTTATACACTGGCAACACCTGGGTAGCTTATAAAATGCCCCACCCCAGATATTCTGATTAAGTGGTTCTGGGATGGAGTGGGGGCATCAGCATCTCTTATATCCATCCTCTCAGGTTGATTTTTTTTTTTTTTTTCAGACAGGGTCTCACTGTGTTGCCCAAGCTAGAGTACAGTGGTGCATCATGGCTCACTGCAGGCTTGGCCTCCTGGGCTCAAGCCATCTTCCCACCTCAGCCTCCCAATTAGCTGGGGCTACAGGCGAGTACCACCATGCCTGGCTAATTTTTGTATTTTTTGCAGAGACAAGGTTTCGCCATGTTACCCAGGCTGATCTCAAACTCCTACACTCAAGTGATCCACCCACCTCAGCCTCCCAAAGTGCTGGGATTACAGGTGTGAGCCACCGCACCTGGCCCAGGTTGATTCTAACGTGTATCCAGTTTGGGAACTACTGATATAGTCCCAGACTCTCAGTTTACAGATGAAGAAAATGAGGCTCAGAGAGGAGCAGTGACTTGCCCAAAGTCACACATCATGCTTGCTCCAGAGGCAGGGCTAGAGCCCAAACTCCTGACCAGGGCTATTTCCATGCTGTAACCCCTATGGTTTGCAAAATTATTTCACATATATTACCTCGTTGGCCTATATCTTGCCAGACTGCATTGCTTCCTGCCACCATCCTCTCATTTCGCAGAAGATGAGATGGGGCTCAAAGAAGTGACCTGCCCAAAGCCACACAGTGGCAGGATCCAGAAAAGAACTCAGGTCTCCTGACTGCAGATCATGGGTATGGCCTCACCCAACAATGCCCATGGCCAGTCATCTGCCTGCCAAGTTCCAGCATGTGAGGTTTTCCTGAGCCTCAACACCAGCAGCTGAAGGTTTGGACACCTCCAGAGGCCAGGCTTCCTGAGCCTCAACACCAGCAGCTGAAGGTTTGGACACCTCCAGAGGCCAGGCTGTGCAGAAATCTCACAGCGGACAGTTGCCTGGTGCCCTGGAAGTTCTACTCACCGATAACCCCTTACCCACCGTTCTGAGCATACTGAGATTTCCTGTTTACAACAGGTTTGCATCTGTTATCTCCAATGGTGTGTTAATGACAATCCCCATTTTACCAAAGGGCAGACGGAAGCTCAGAGAGCTTTGAGGACATTGTCTCAGGACCAAAGCTAGCCTAGAACCAGAATCAGGTCTTTGGACTCTAAGGCCAGCCCCTGGGGCCTGGGGGGCCTGGGACCTGCCTGCTTTGTGAAAGTTTTCCCACCCTGCCTGAACAGATGGCCAGAAGAGCTTAAACCAGAGATTGGGGCAGGGTGGTGTGTATGTGTGTGCCCCAGTTTGACCAGCTCTGGTTTCTGGTTACCTGCTGCCAAAAAACAAATATTTCCCAAAGTGGTAGGTGCAGGAAACAGACCTCACTTCTTTAAAGCCCAAAGTAGGCAAGCCATTTCTACCTTCCTCCCTTTTTCTCACCTAACCATTTGAGGATAACAGTGATTAAATGCCTGCTTTCTGGCCAGGCACAGTGGCTCACGCCTGTAATCCCAAGTTTGGGAGGTCGAGGCAGAAGGATCATTTGAGGATAGGAGTTTGAGACCAGCCTGGGCAATACAGTGAGATCCCCATCTCTACAAAAATAAAAATAAAAAATAAGTCCGGGTGCCATGGCTCGTGCCTATAATCCTAGCACTTTGGGAGGCCGAGGTGGGCAGATCACTTGAGGTCAGGAGTTCAAGACCAGCCCAGCCAATACGATGCAACCCCGTCTCTACTAAAAATACAAAAAAAATTAGCTAGGTGTGGTGGCGCATGCCTGTAATCCCAGCTACTCAGGAGGCTGAGGCAGGAGAATCGCTTGAACCCGGGAGGCAGCAGTTGTAGTGAGCCAAAATCACACCACTGCACTCCAGCCTGGGCAACAGAGTGAGACTCTGTCTCAGAAATAAATAAATAATAAAAGCTACTTTCTCCTTGTCTACACCCCCTGATAGTCGCTAGACATAGGGAGCTGGGCCTTGAGGAAGGGCCCAGGATGACCTGTCATTTATTTTACTTACGAAGCACTGATACAACTCGCTGCTCCAAGTGCTCTGAAACATTCATTAACTCATTTCAATTTTCACAACAGCCCTATGGGAGAGGGGAGGGCACTGCTCCTCTCCCCACTCTAGAGATTAGGAAATAAAATACAGACAGGTTAAGTGACTTGCTCAATGTTACACAACTAGAAAGAGGCAAAGCCGGGATTTGAACCTAGGCAGTCTGGCTCCAGAATCCACGTTCTTGACCACTGTGGTTTACTGGGCAGCATTTGCCTGAGTGTCTGGTGCTACACCAGTCTCACCAGGGAGACTCCTAAACACACTGCAAAGTGACACCTCATGCTCGACTGGCTCTTAAATCCAGATGAAAGAGTGTAAAACACTAACCATTTTCTGGGGTTGTCACGGTGTGTGCAAGTCCACATGGACGCCCATTTCAGGACCTCGCCACCACCTTCCACCTTCCTTCTTGCATTCACTGCTGTGATTAGAGTCTGCACGCCACCTGCATCCACTCTGGCAGTTGGTATTGTAATCCCCCATTGTACAGGTGAAAACACTGGGGCTTGCGGAGGGCGTAAGTGACCACAAAGCTAATAAGTGGCAGAGCTTGGAAGTCAATCCCCTGCTTCTGCTCATTACATCATTTGCATCTTTCCAAGACCCCTCAGGAGGGATTCTGCAGGAATTGTGGCCGCTATTCTGGGAAACGGAAGGTGCGAGTCACGTGATCAGTGTGAGAGTCCAGGCCTCTTAACTTCTGAGCGGATTCTCTTCCGCCTCCTGCTTCCACCATTTGTCCATGTCCATTGCTACCATTCCAACACCTCGGTTCCTGGAATGGAGGGACACATTTGACTGCTGAAACCTGCTCAGTGTAGACTCTAGCATCTCCAAAAAGCCGGGTAAACTCTCAACCCAAAGGAGAGAAGCCAAGTCTTGCTCAGCAGCTATTTTAGGGCCTGAGAGCTCCCCCTGCCCCTCTCGGGATGTGGGGATGTCGGGATGTCGGGATGTCCGCAGAGCCAGTTTTACCCTCCCGTGGGTGCGTGGTGGGACCAGTCACCGAGGGAGGCAGCGCCCGGGTGCAGGTGGGCCGTGTTCTGATGGAGCTGGTGGATGGCAATGCCAGCCAGAGAACTCGGTAATGACGGGAGCCAGCATGGGCGAGCACTCACTAGATGCCAGGCGTCGCTGTATGTGCCTCAAGCCCCGCAACCACCTGGGCTGTGGGCTCTAAGGGGCCCTCAGAGCTTCGCTGCCCTCGGAAGTGATGGGATCTGAGGAACACCTATCACCTAGATTGACAGGGCACTGGGCCATGGCCTTAGGGTCTGCTGGGGTCCAACCATAGCCCTGAGATCCTGGGTCCTGCCCTCTGTACCCTTGCCCAATCTCCATTTTGCAATCCATCAGCCTGACCCAGTAAACATCTCTAGCCCGAAGAGAACCCATCTTCCTGACCCTTTTCTATGTGTTTCGAAAAAGAGCCCAGGGGTGTGGGGGAGGGAGGGGGCCTCAGGCATCTGATGGGAGGCTGGGAGAAAGCCACTGAGCTCTGGTAGGCTGCCTGAGTGCCAGCCACTTTACCCAAGCTTCCTTACCAGTACCAAAGGAAGGAAACAGAATCCCTGGAGGGGAAACTAGAAAGCGGTCTTGTCCATGGCTTATCTGTTGGGGGATAGAAGGGCGCAGGAGGGAAGGGAAACTATAGGTCAAAGTTCAGAGAAATATTTTCCAACTGCCTCAGGCTGGCTGTGCAAAATTAGACAGCTCACTAAACATCTCTGAGGGAGTTTTCTCTTTTGTAAAATGGTAGAACATCCTGGCCCCCTCCCTGTTTCATAGGGTTAATGCCACTCTCATGTTATTTCAACAAGAGCTCCATGAAGTATAGAGGGCATATTATATCTTCTTCACTGTCCGGTTGAGGAAACTAAGGCACAGAGAGGTTTATTCCTTCCACCAAATATTTTAGAAGGATCCACCAGGTACACAGGGTTTGGGAACGCTTTGTGTGAGCCCAGAAAAAAAAAAAAAGAAAAGAAAAATGAATAACTTGCTGGAGGCACCAGGTAGAGAAGCCAGTGGGAGGAGACCCAGCCTCTAAAGCGACTGCCTTCCAGCAGTGGCGGGTCCCAGGGCCTGCCGGCACTGATACAGCTCCTGCTGCTCTGAGCGCTCTGAAACATTCAGGAACTCATTTCAGTTTTCACAATAGCCCCATGAGAAGGGCACTTCTACCCTCCCCACTTTAGAGATAAGGAAATTAAATACAGAGAGACGGGCAGATTGCCTGAGCTCAGGAGTTCGAGACCAGCCTGGGCAACATGGCAAAACCCCATCTCTACAAAAAAATACAAAATTTAGCCCGGCATGGTGGCACAGGCTTGTGGTCCCAGCTACTTCGGGTACTCAGGTGAGAGGATCACTCGAACCTAGCAGGTCGAGGCTGCAGTGAGCCAAGATAGTGCCACTGCACTCCACGAGTGACACAGCGAGACCCTGTCTCTAAAAATATAAAATAAAATACAGAAGGGCCCGCTAACACTTTCCCCATCCATCCATCCGTGTACCTGCACCGCTGTGGCACACTCACTGGTTCAAACATCTGTTTTCCTCTTCTGAGTTCCAAGCTCTTTAAAGGAAGACCCATGACTCACGATGATTCTCATGCCTGGGGCCTGATAGCTAATATCTGGTCCTTTGTGAGTGTTTCATAAATGCTTGTTGCATGAATGAATAAATGAATGAATGAATTGCAACAAGGGGAAGTGCGGGAAGGGCATTCTAGTAAAGGAAACTGAGTCAACGTAAGTGTGGAGATGGGAAAGCCACAGCCCGCCTGAGCAGGGCTCTCCCCTCCCCCATCCCTGGGACACCATGTGCTGCTGCCTTAAAAAGGCAGGCGAGAGGATATGGAGAAACAGGAACACTTTTACGCTGTTGGTGGGACTGTAAACTAGTTCAACCATTGTGGAAGTCAGTGGGCGATTCCTCAGGGGTCTAGAACTAGAAATACCATTTGACCTAGTCATCCCATTACTGTGTATATACCCAAAGGACTATAAATCATGCTGCTATAAAGACACATGCACACGTATGTTTACTGCGGCACTATTCACAATAGCAAAGACTTGGAACCAACCCAAATGTCCAACAATGATAGACTGGATTAAGAAAATGTGGCACATATACACCATGGAATACTATGCAGCCATAAAAAAGGATGAGTTCATGTCCTTTGTAGGGACATGGATGAAATTGGAAATCATCATTCTCAGTAAACTATCGCAAGGACAAAAAACCAAACACCGCATGTTCTCACTCATAGGTGGGAATTGAACAATGAGAACACATGGACACAGGAAGGGGAACATCACACATTGGGGACTGTTGTGGGGTGGGGGAGGGGGGAGGGATAGCATTGGGAGATATACCTAATGCTAAATGACGAGTTAATGGGTGCAGCACACCAGCATGGCACATGTATACATATGTAACTAACCTGCACATTGTGCACATGTACCCTAAAACTTAAAAGTATAATAATAATAATAATAAAATAAAAAAGGCAGGTGACCCCACCTAAGAAAAGGCAGGGAGCTGGTGCAGGACCTGTGCAGGGGAGAGGAAGTGGCACTGCTCGGCTCGTCACCCTCCCCTTTCCCATGCCAACCCCCTTCTTGGGATGAGAAGATGAAAGATATGTCTAGAATTTCTTGATATTGGCCTAAGATCTTCTATGAGCCTGGTATTAGGGGCTTTTCGTGTCTATTTCATTACCTCTCTTCCTAACACTTCATTGAGGTTGGTGGGACATTTTAAAATCATCATCATTATTATTACAAAAGTAATACACGTGTGTTATTTTTTAAAATTCTTTTATTTATTTATTTTTTTTTGAGACAGAGTCTTGCTCTGTCACCCAGGCTGGAGTGCAGTGGGACTATTTTGGCTCACTGCAACCTCTGCCTCCGGATTCAAGCCATTCTCCTGCCTCAGCCTCCCAAGTAGCTGGGATTACAGGCATCACACCAGGCTAATTTTTGTATTTTTTTAATAGAAACAGGGTTTCGCCACGTTGGCCAGGTTGGTCTTGAACTCCTGAACTCAGGTAAATCTGCCGGCCTCATCCTCCCAAAGTGCTGGGATTACAGGCGTGAGCCACTGCGCCTAGCTGCTTAAAATTCTAATAAAGGCCAGGCTCGGTGGCTCAAACCAGTAATCCCAGCATTTGGGGAGGCCAAGACGGAAGGATTGCTTGAGCCCAGAAGTTTGCAACCAGCCTGGGCAACATAGTGAGACCCTGCCTCTACAAAATAATAATAATAATAATAATTAATTCTAATAGTGGAATAGAGGGAAAGCACCATGCCAAAGCCAACACAACCTCAGCCTGGTGACGAAGGCAGCAGGAAGAAATGTGGGTCCCAGAGGGGCCTGCTTCTCTTCAACCTGCCTCCCTGATGTGGGTCCCCATCTCCCCAGCACCAGCCCCCATCCTCCCAGCCCAAGGAAGTCCAGAGTGGAGCAGAATGGGCCATACATTCTTCACAGATGTCACATCCCTCCCACAGCAGCATCTCACAACTGATGGTATGTTATACTTGACCAAATAGGGTAGCCCACTGCAGTGGCAATTTGCCTAAACAAGGACCAAGGTTCCTGAGTTCTAGCCCCACAGCTCTGCCAAAACCTTACTGAGTGACCTCAGGCCAGCCTCCAAATCTTTCAAGCTCTACGGCATCCTTACCAGCAGAATGCTCATTCTAATACGTCTTCCCAAACTAACTTCAGATGAAGTTAATGTGATTTTAATTGTGGGCTACAACCAAGCTGTAAGCAGTTATTAATTTTAGAAAGTAATCCCAGGATCACACCATTGCACTCCAGCCTGGGCAACAAAAGCAAAACTCCATCTCAAAAAAGAAAGTAATCCCAGGACAATATTGAGCAAATAGCCTGCAGTGCATCCTGTGAAATAGTCATGGAGGAGGGCATTTCTGTATTCCAGGACTTCTTGGGATTTCTGAATGAGTTTATAGGATTTTTTTTGGTAGTTTTATTTATTCTATCAGCCATTTAAACAAATGTTTATTGCTGCATTTTTTTCTAGTGTATCACTGTTTTACTGCCCTTGTAGTACTGAAATTTAGTTGGAAGAATAAAACATTTATTTCTTAAAAAAAAAACCCGAAGTTTGATTCTGAATTTGTTATGTTTGAGGACTCTCTAAGATGTCCAAGTGAAGCTGTCAAGACAGATTGCTAGAGTTTGAATGCCTGCCAAGGCAAATTAACTCTCTGTGCCTTGATTTACTTAACTAAAACACAGGTGTACATACCATTAGTACCTACTACATAGGGTTAAGAATGAATTCACTTGGCCGGGTGTGGTAGCTCATGCCTGTAATCCCAGCACTTTGGGGGTCCGAGGTGGGTGGATCACTTGAGGTCAGGAGTTTGAGACCAGCCTGGACAACATGGTGAAACCCCGTCTCTACTAAAAACACAAAAATTAGCCAGGCGTGGTGGCGCATGCCTGTAATCCCAGCTACTCGGGAGGCTGAGGCAGGAGAATCACTTGAACCCCGGGAGGCAGAGGTTGCAGTGAGCCGAGATCATGCCACTGCACTCCAGCCTGGGCAACAAGAGCCAGATACCATCTCAAAAATAAATAAATAAATAAATAATTGATTGACTTAATACAATGATTCTCAGCATTGACTGCACATTTGAATCACCTGGGGAGCTTTTAAATCCAATGTTCAAGCTTTGACCCCACAAATTTTGACTTCACCTATATCAAGTGGAGCCTGGACATTCACATTTTTTACCTATATGATTCAAATATGCAACCAGGGCTGAGAACCACTGAACCAATTCTGTAAAGCACACGGCACAGTAAGCCCACACAGTAAACACACAATGAAGGTTAGCTGTTGATCTGGGCATCATACTAGGTCAGCTGGAACCCTGGCTGTCAAAGAAAAATGTTAGACTCCCCAGGTTATAGATGAGAAAACCAGGGCTCAGAGAAAACCAGGGCTCAGAGAGGCTGGCTGACTCGCCTGCAATCACACTGCAAAGAAGCGCCAGGTTCTGGCTCCAGAGCCATTGCATGGTAGTGCTTCTCCGATCTGCAGAACACGCGGCCTGCTCTCAGCAATCTGCAGAGCCTGGCAGCTCTGACATGGCCAGACAACGTTTTCCACTGGATCTACACACATCAGCAAATCATGAAATCATTTTGGTCATTTATGAGTAGCCATTTCTTACATGAAAGAGAAGAGAAAGAAAATATCAGGCTGCATCATGGATCACAGCAATCACTTTACCAAAGGAGAAAACTCAGGCCCAGAGAAAAAAAGAGACACTTCCAGGTCACATGACAAATTAGAATCTGAGTCAGGATTGCTTGTTCATCCTTTCAACAACCATTTATTGGCTGGGCGTGGTGGCTCACATCTGTAATTGCAGAAGTTTGGGAGGCTGAGGTGACGAATTGCCTGAGCTCAGGAGTTTGAGACCAGCTTGGCCAACATGGTAAACCCCATCTCTACTAAAAATACAAAAATCAGCCAGGTGTGGTGGTGCATGCCTGTAGTCCCAGCTACTTGGGAAGCTGAGGCAGGAGAATCACTGGAACCTGAGAGGCATGGTTGCAGTGAGTTGAGATAGTGCCTCTGCATTCTAGCCTGGGCAGCATAGCAAGACTCTGTCTAAAAAAAAAAAAAAAAAAACTTTGATTGCACACCTGCTATTGTGCCAGGCGTCATACCAGGCATCCGGGAATCTTTGGTTTACATAATCCGATATTCATCAATAAAAATTAACACAAAATAACTAAGTTTGCCTTAAAAATATATAAAGTATAAAACATTGTAAACATTTATGAAATAATACTTTTGTCCTCTCCATAGACCAGTCCACCAATCTTTCCAGGCAGGACTTGGAATCAGGAGTGACATGATCTGATTTGTCTTTAAAGATTGCTTTGCCTGCTGTGTGGCTTCTAGGGGGTGAGGATGGGAGTTGGGATCCCCATTAGAAGGCACCGTAGCAGTCTAGATGGAAGTTAAAGACATCTGGGGCTAGGCTGGCACTGTAAAATCCCATCTGCAGCTTTGTGAGTGGCACTGAGCTTTAGTTTTATATATATATATACACACACACACATATACATAAAGAGAGACAGAGACAGAGACAGAGAGAGGTGGGGGGCTATATTCTGAAAGTGAAATCGATAGAATTTGCTCGTGGTTCAAATGATGGATGTGAGAGAGGTAAGTCCAGGACAGCTCTTTGGTTTGGGGCTTGAGCCCCTGGGTGCCGTTAACTGAAAAAGGGAACACAGAGAAGGAAGCAGGTTAGTAGAGGAAGACCCAAAGTTCCGATTATGTTATGCTTGAGGAGTGTCTAAGATGTCCAAGTGAAGCTATCAAGACAAAAGTGTTGGGAGTCATCCCGTGTATAGATGATATTTAAAACCAAGAAACAGGATTGGATCATCGGAGGACATTATGCAAACACAGAAGAAAAGGGCTCAGGAGTGAGCCCTGGGGCACTTCCACATGAAGGCAGAAAGGGGAGGAGGATCCAGCAAAGGTGATGGAGAAAAAACACATCAGTAACAAGGTAAGAGAAAAAGAGAATTGTGTCCTAGAAGCCACGGGAGAAAAACATCCCCAGACAACAGACAAACCAAGTGCTACCAAGACCCTGACCTGTGCCTCTTTTTTCTGAACAACATTGCTTCTGAGTCCACTTGAAAATGCTACTGAGTCCCTTCGATTCTAAGATATGTGATTTGTTTCTGAACTCTAACATTGCTGAAATCAGGGTACCACGTACAATCAATATTTGTCCCCACCACACACACCAACCTTGCCAAAAATAAATAACAGCTGTTAATAAATCAATACGGCATCTTACAGTCGATCAGTGGGGAGATATGCTGTCGTGATGATGAGGAGAGATCAGGCAACAAAAGAGAGACAAGAAGGAAGGTAGCATTTATTTAGCATCTCCTGGAGACTGAGAATCATCATGCTTAAAGCTTCACGTTTTGCCTCATCTAACAGCTGGAGAGAGGAAGAAACTTACAAAGGAAGGAGAAACACTTTCCAGTCTAGCATGATAAAGGAGCTTGTAGTGTCTTATCCTCAAAAAGCAATAGGCTCTCCAGCTCTAAAAGGAGAAAGCCAAGTTCATTTTGGTTTGTGCATCCCTCATCCTCATCCCCCTGAAACACCACCAAAGAAATGACAATTTCAGCCAACACAGTGCTTTCTCAAAACTTGTAAAAAATTTTTTAACAGGTGTAAACACAGCAAGTGTTTTCTGAAGTCAAAGATGCTTCCAAAAAGCCAGGGAACAAACTAAAAAGCAGTTAGCAGATACAGCACTTGGTTTCGTGAGAGCGGGCTTGGAGGCGCTTCCCAAAGTTTGGCCTCGTTTCTGCTTAACTGACTAGGCATGATGACTTGCTTTTGAGCCGAGTTTACTCAAATCTCAAATCCACCATCTTTGAATGGAAGACGCAACGAGCTTTGTGTCATGAGGGGAGAGATACAAAAAATAAACCAGATTTGTTCTGCTAATTTGTAGTTGCTGATCCACTGTAAAATACCATCAGCAGCTTTGTAAATGGCACGGATATTTGGTTTTCTTCTTTTTTTTTTTAAGTCCCAACATGAGATAGTATGTTGATAGATGAAAGTTAGGTAGATAGGTAGGTGCATGATAGATAGATTGCTCAATTGATCAAAAGAAAGAAAATAGAAATATAGATGACAGCAGGGTGCAGTGGCTCATGTCTGTAATCCCAGCACTTTTGGAGGCCAAGGCAGGCCTGAGGTCAGGAGTTCAAGACCAGCCTGGCCAACTTGGTGAAACCCCATCTCTACTAAAAAAATACAAAAATTAGCTGGGTGTGGTGGTGGGTGCCTGTAATCCCAGCTACTTGGGAGGCCGAGGCAGGAGAATCACTTGAACCTGGGAGGTGAAGGTTGCAGTGAGCTGAGATTGCACCACAGCACTCCGGCCTAGGCAACAGAGCAAGACTCCGTCTCAAAAAAAAAAAATATATATATATATATATATATGTATATATATGTAGATAGATATAGATGTAGAATCTATCTATATCTATATAGATATAGAATCTATCTATATCTATATAGATATAGAATCTATCTATATCTATATAGATATAGAATCTATCTATATCTATATAGATATAGAATCTATCTATATCTATATAGATATAGAATCTATCTATATCTATATAGATATAGAATCTATCTATATCTATATAGATATAGAATCTATCTATATCTATATAGATATAGAATCTATCTATATACATAGATATACATATATATCTATGTAGATAGATAGATAGATGATAGATGAAAATAGGCCAGGCACAGTGGCTCATTCCTGTAATTCCAGCATTTTGGGAGGCTAAGGCGGGCAGCTCATGAGGTCAGGAGTTTGAGACCAGCCTGGCCAACATGGCAAAACCCTGTCTCTACTAAAAATACAAAAAAAAAAAAAAAATTAGCCGGGTGTGGTGGCAGGTGCCTGTAATCCCAGCTACTCGGGAGTCTGAGACAGGAGAATCACTTGAACCCAGGAGACGGAGGTTGCAGTGAGCCAAGATCATGCCACTCCAGCCTGAGCAACAAGAGCCAGACTCCATCTCAAAGAAAATAGATTATTGATAGATAGATAGATAGATAGATAGATAGATAGATAGATAGATAGACAGACTCTAATCCTGATAGGACTTTATAGGTGTGTTCAATTCCAACCATAGGGAACAGGAAATAGAACCCAAACCTTTATTTCCTGCAGAGCCAGAAGAGAAGGTAAAGCCAGACTCTCCCTCTCTGGATCAAATATAGTACCTGACAAAGACACATCCTCAGCAGTTTTCTTTTCTCTATTTCCAGGGGGCGGCATTTTCCTCCTTGCCTGGGAGGTGCACCTTTTGATCATTATCAAGCCATCTGTCAGCACCACTCTACCTGGCCCTGGCTTTCTCCTCCCAGAGGCCCCATCTCTCCCTCTGTAGCCACACCAAGATCATCCTAGAGATGCAGACTGTCACTTGGAGCAGCTGGGAGGGACCAGCCACTTCAGGAACTGGCCAGGGCACCTCAGCTTTCCCAGACAGAGCAGCAATGAGCACACCAAGGGCTGGGCCCCACAGGGCCTTCCCACTGGGACTCCTGGGGAGTTCTATCTCCCATCTCCTGGTGAAGCAATCCACATAATTAGCCACATTAATATCCAGGCCGTCTGAGGCTGCCTATCTCAACCCCAGCCTGTCGCAACGAGCACCTAAATGACTATTCAGCTCCCTTCCAACCAGCTGAGCAGAGAAAAATGGGGTCTCCCTCCGGGACAGCTGCCTAGCACCCTACTCCCCTGGGCTGGGCTCTGTCTCCAGGACAGGTTTTTCCAGAAACCCGACCCCTACGGCCACAAGGACATCATTTTGACATGGCAGCCCCAGGGACTGTAGACCTTGCTTTGGGTTCTGAACATTTTTTGGAAGGCTGTTTTGTTAACCAACATCTTTTCAGCCCTTTTTTCAATAGGCAAGGCCCCACAAAGGGTTACTGAAATATGCTAAAGAAGACTCTCTGACCTTCAATTTCCTATGATTTCATTGTAGAAAAAAGACACATACATCTGAAGAGATACATGGGGTGGGTGGGGAGCAGGGCTAATGTCGCTGACTGAGTGCCCTGTTCCACACCCTTTAGTAAGCATTATCTCATCTATTTCACACAAGTATCACTAGCCCCATTTTAAAGGCTCGGATTGGTCAAGCAGAACCAGGACAAGAATGCTCTAATAATAACAATCTGTGTGGCCTGGGAGATTTGTTTTACCTCTTTGAGCCTCTGATCCTGGTGAAATCTAGAGCTCTCTAGGTCCCTGTCTTAGTTACTCTGCCAGATTCAATCCAGGTTGGTCTGTCCGCTGAGCCCAGATGTAACCCAGGCTCTGCTGGCCCTGCAAGAGTAGTGCAGGACTATTCGCAATAGCAAAGACACGGAACCAACTGGTGCCCATCAACGGTGGATTGAATAAAGAAAATATGGTATAGAAACACCAGGAAATACTACACAGCCATAAAAAGGAACAAAATCATATCCTGTGCAGCAACATAGATGCAGCTGGAGGCCATTATCCTAAGCAAATTAATACAGGAACAGAAAACAAAATATCAAATGTTTTCACTTATAAAGTAGAAGTCAAATATTGGGTACCCATGGACATAAAGATGGCAACAATAGAGACCAGGGATTACTAGTAGGGGGAGGATGGAAGGAGGGCAAGGGTTGCAAAACTACCTATTGGGTACTATGCTCACTAGGTGAGTGATGGGATCATTCATACCCCAAACTTCAGCATCACACAATATATCCAAGTAACAAACCTGCGCATGTACCTCCTGAATCCAAAATTAGAGTTGAAATTTTTTTTAATCACATAAGTGAAAAACAAAACAAAAAAGAGTGATGCTGGAAATCGTGTCCACAGCCAGTTCTGCACTGGTTGGGAGGGACAGGGCTGTCACAGACAGTGAGGGAACCTGATGGGCAAACAGGGATCGGAGGAGGACTGCAGGGAAGGGGCTGCATTTTACAGCCCTAGGCAACAGCAAAGGCTCAGAGTGGAGGAACCGGCAGGGCAGATTCAGGGGTGAGCGAGGAAATGGAAGCGACTCTCAGACCTGTGGCTGTGCCTCTCCAAGTTCCTAGAACCTTCCTTTTCAGAATTTTCCATTTCCTAAGAGTTGAGGCTGCATTGCTCAACCATTGCGCTCTGTTTCTCATGGGTGTTCCAAGCCCGTTCCCAGAGATGATATCAGACACAGGTCGTGGATTGCCACATGGATTCAAGTCAGTAAGCGTTGCCAGTCAGTAACGGTGTGCAGGGTACCCTCTCCTTAGTTGCCTCTCCTGGCTGCACCCAGCTCCCCCTGGCCTTTTCCCCCTCCAAGGCCATTCCAAATGCTGACCTCTGGCCTTACTCCACCCTGCAAAGCACCACGGCATCATGACTCTGTTCAAATCCAGACATTACTACTTAAGAATTCTGTGCCCTTGTGCATGCTATTAGCCTCAGTTTCCCAATCTGTAAAATGGGGGGAACCCTAATACCTATTACAAAGGTTTGCTGTGAGAATTAAATAAATGTAATACCTGTGTGGTTTCTAGGATTGCACCTAGGACAAGTCAATACTCCATAAACTCATGTTGGCAATGACTAATCAGTATGTATGTAGGCTTCCTTGATTTCTTCCTCTGGGAATCACTGTGTCTCTGTATTAGCATAATGCCTATACCAGAAGGTGCCAAGGAAAGTTGTGCCAAGTAATTGACGTGACTTGAATTGGAAAGACGGAAGACAGCACTGCCCAGAGGTTAATGCATGGGCTTTAGTGTCCTGTGGCCTGTGTTTGAATTCCAGGCCTGCTACTTACTAAGGGTAACCTTGGTAATTACTTAATCTCAGTTTCCTCATCCATAAAATGGAGATTAACATAGTTCCCACCTATAAGGATTTCTGTGCACATAAACACAATGATACCACGAAGAGTTCAGCCCAGCTCAGGGGCTGGAGCGTAGTGAGCTAGTATTGCTCTTGTTAGTACATGAAGTTGTTCTCTGAGAGTTCACCATCTCTTTAGAGAGCCAAGTCTCAGACACCAGCTGTAGAGAACCAAATAAAGACAGGGGTTTGGCCGGGCGCAGTGGTGCATGCCTGTAATTCCAGCACTTTGGGAGGCTGAGGCAGGTGGATCACCTGAGGTCAAGATCAGTCTGGCCAACATGGTGAAACCCCATCTCTACTGAAAATACAAAAATTAGCCAGGCATGGTGGCAGGTGCCTGTAATCCCAGCTACTCAGGAGGCTGAGGCAGGAGAATCGCTTGAACCTGGGAGGCAGAGGTTGCAGTGAGCGGAGATTGTGCCACTGCACTCCAGCCTGGGCATCAGAGCGAGACTGTCACACACACAAAAAAAAAAAAATAGAAAAAGAAAAAGATAGGGGTTCACTCTTGGTACCTTCTTTCTCCTCTCTTTCTCCCACCTCAAAATTTAGAAGTCCCCTTCCCTTAGTCCATCAAGTAGCTGTGCAGGAGATAGCCTAGGTATGAAGAGGACGAAAGTCCTTGTTCTGCCTAATACCATCTGTGTGGTACTGGGCAGGTCACTGCACATCTTCAAACCACAGTTGCTAGTGAAACACAACGCCAATTAAGTTATTCACATAATTGGTCTACCTAACCCTTCCTTTTCGTTTGCTGAGGGGAGAGAAAAAAAAAAACATAGGTAGAGATGTGCCTAAGCTTTGGTTCCTGCACCTTTATTGAACATCTCTGTGTCTCAGCACTGGGCTAGGTGCTGGAGATACAGTGCTGCATGGCATCTTTGGCAAGAGGCAGAGGCTTCAACAGAGAATTACTTAAAGAGTGCTAACTGGCTAACATGCATTGAGTGCTTACTCTGAGCAAGGCCCCATGCAAAGGGCTCTGCGAGGATGGTCTCTTTCCACTTTGCTGCACTGCTGCGTTATAAGTACGATTATTATCATAGCCATTTTACTGATGGAGGAATTTAAGCAGGTTATATAATAGAGTTACACTGTTAATCAACTGCTCTGAGGGAGGGAAGTGCAGATTGGAGAGCGTGGAAATGAGTGGGAGCAGAGGATTCATCAGGAGAGAAGACTTCCTGGAGGAGGTGATGTCTGCATCTTGAAGCATGAGGATGAGTCAGCAAAGGGGTGACAGAGGGAGTGTTTAAGAAGAGGGGACAGCAAGGGCAACAGCCAAGAGAAAAAGAGACCGTAGCCTATAAAAGGGGGATGTGACACAAATGAAACAGATGATGGTGGGTCAGGTGACTAAGGACTTGATGGCTAGCTACTGAGGGTTGGATGTTTTACCTGGAAGGCAATGAGGGCCTCTTGAAAGGTTGTAAACAAAAGATCAGATTTACCATTCTGGAAGCTCTGTTGACCGCCATCACAAACATCCAGGCTTCTTCAGGATCCCATCTCCAAATGGGAGTCTGCCCCAAGCTGTGAGTACCTCTCAGTCAGTGCCAGGCCCATTGCTTTCAATTCCATGCTGTGTACTGGCAGAGCTACTTCATCTCTCTGACCAAAATTTCTTCATCTGCAATGTAAAAATAACAGTCCTGGCTAGGAGTGGTGGCTCATGCCTGTAATCCCAACATTTTGGGAGGCCAAGGTCGGTAAATCACTTGAACCCAGGAGTTTGAGACCAGTCTGGGCAACAGAGCGAAACCCCGTCTTCACAAAAAAATACAAAAATTAGCCGGGCTTGGTAGTGTGTGCCTGTAGTCTTAGTGACTCAGGAGGCTCAGGTGGGAGGATCACCTGAGCCGGTGGAGGTAGAGGCTGCAGTGAGCCATGATAGTGCCACGGCACTCCAGCCTGGGTGACGGAGTGAGATCCTGTCTAAAAAAATAAATAAATAAATGTAATAAAATAAAGATAACCATTCTGCAGTAGGACTCTCTTGATAGTCAACATGGGATAACACATGCAAACGCCCAACCCCGCACCTTCTACATGGACGTGCTCAGCAGAAGTGGTTCCTTCCTTCCCTCCTCCTTTTCCTAAGCTGCATTTTCCTTGTTTTTATGCTGAAAATAAACACTTTATGTGCATGTTATCTGACTGATCCATGACTGATTGATGGGACCTTTGGTATTTTCCACAAATCAGCAGTTTTGACTATTCATAAGCAACCCTGAAGGCCCCTGACACACAGCCATTTTGAATTTAGCTGAAGCTCGGATTAGAATTGCAGGAGCAATACGGCCTGTGTGAGAGGCAAGATGTTTACCAGTTGAGTCTGACCACATTAGTGAGGTTAAGACTCAGCTGCTCTGACGAAGAGGTCCTAAAATGCAATAGCTTAAACAATATTGAGGTTTCGCTGATAAAACAGTCCCAAGATGAGCTGTCCAAGTTAGCAGTAAGGCTCTGCCCCACCTCCAAATTAGAACTACCTTAGACTGTTATGTGACCCAGTAACACCTGTCTTTAACCATGACACATTTCGGGTCTATTTGTTACAGTAGTTAGCCTACCCCAACGAATACACTCCATTTTATAAATGTAGAAATGGACACACAGAGGTCCCTAGGAGGAATAAGCTTAGCCGTTATTACCATGAAGTTGGCCATGAAGCTCAATGGCAAGGACATACTGGTCACATTAGTGTTCATCATGGACATCAAGGCCAACAACACCAGATCAAAGAGGCTACGAAGGAGCCCTACGACCTTGACTGGCCAAAGCCCATACTCTGATTAGGCCTAATGGCATAACGAAGGCATGCATTTGCTCCCTGGCTACAAAGCTTTGGACACTGCCAACAAATTGGGATTATCTCAACTAAGTCCAGTTGCCTAAACATTTTTAGCATCTTTTTAAAAAGTAGCTTTCCATTTTGTATTCTCACCAACAGTGTGTGAAAGTTCCATTTGCACCAAATCCTCATCATCAGTTGGCACTGTCAGTCTTTTTATTTTATTTTATTAATTGAGACAGGGTCTTGCTCTGTCACCCAGGCTGGAGTGCAGTGGCATGATCATGGCTCACTGCAACCTTGAACTCCTGGGCTCAAGCTGGGGCTACAGGCATGTGGCACTGCGCTTGGCTCATTTTTTTTTTTTTTTAAATGTTTTGTAAAGACGAGGGTCTTTCTCTGTTGCCCAGGCTGGTCTCAAATTCCTGACCTCAAGCAATCCTCCCACCTCAGCCTCCAAAAGCACTGTAATTACAATCATGAACCACCATGCCTGGCCCAGTCTCTTTCATTTTAGACATTTTAGTAGGTATGTATTGGTATTTCATTGTGGTTTTAATTTACATTTCTCTGATGACTAATGATGTTGAGCCTCTTTCCACATACTCATTGGCCCTTCATATATATTCTTTGGTAAAGTATTTATTAAAAATCTTTTGACCATTTTTAATTGGATTGTTTGTCTGGCAAATATTTTCTCCCAGTCTGTAGCTTATCAACTCATTTTCTTAATAGTGTTTTTCAAAGAGTATAAGTTTTCATTTCAATGAAGTAGAGTGCACTATTTTTTTATTTTGTGGTCTGTGCTATCACTTGTTTTTTATGATTTAAAATAGTTTTATACCTCATCCAGAAAATTCTTTGCAAGATGAAACTGGATGATCTTAGAAGGTTAAATTTAACATCAGAATTTATTTTGGGGGCAAGGGGCTAGGTTTTCATTTGGTGTGTTGTGGCTTTTAAAAAATCTTTGTTTATGACAGTGGTTACCATATGAGACAGAAAAAATTAGGGTGATTTGAAAAAGCAGTTCAGAAGTTTTGTGAACACAAGACTCAGCAGAAGAGTGACTCGGGAGAAGACCAGGAGGCATGCTTGTAAATTGAGAGAACTAAGATTTGAGGACAAATTCCTTTTGAATGTCAAGTGTCCAGTATGGTGTCTTTCTTAAGCAAAGCTACAGTGCTAACAGAGGAAAAAGTGTTACCAAGTTAGCAGGAGAATGTGGCAGACAAGACCCATGGTCCTGGCACCGGCCACATCTTAAATCCGCGGGTGGTCCTTCAACCCCACCCCCCAACCCGTGCTTGACCAAGAGAAAACTATTTCTGCTGCTTAACCAGGCTCCTGGAAGGGCCAATTTATTCCCTCCCACGTTGAGCAGACTTCAATAACTAAAGCATATGGCTTCCTGCAAACAGGCCCAGCCAGGAATTAACTCCTTCCTTCCTTCCCCTGCAGTTATAACCAATTAGATCTTTCCAGACTAATGCATGCCCCAGCTCACCAGGAAGGAACAACAGTCGATGGCAGATTTTCCATGGCTTTCTCAGTGTCCTGCTGGCCCTGGATCTCCCTGGAGTCAGCCCAAGGTATTTCAGGGTTGACATTGCATGACATTATATGGCTGCTTACATCCAAGCCTGCAACTGCTGACCCAGTCTAATTTGAGACAGCGTTCATGCTGGCTGCTGTTATGGGCCCATGCTGCAGGTATTCCCATCAGGGCCCTGTCCCAAAAGATGGCATAAAAGGTCACCAGGTTTGGACTAATTGAATTTAAAAGGCTATTTGTTTGAATCTGGATTTTTAAAGAGAAAGATACACAGTATAATGAAAAAGAAAGTGATTGGGCTGGGCACAGTGGCTCATGCCTGTAATCCCAGCACTTTGGAGGGCCAAGGCAGGTGGATCACTTAAGGTCAGGAGTTCAAGACCAGCCTGGCCAACATGATGAAACCCCATTTCTACTAAAAATACAAAAATTAGCCAGGTGTGGTGGTGCACTCCTATAATCCCAGCTACTCGGGAGACTGAGGCAGGAGAATCGCTTGAACCCAGGAATTTGAGATCAGCCTGAGCAACATAGGGAAACCCCATCTCTACAAAAAATAAAAAATTAGCCAGGTGTGTTGATGTGTGCTTGGGGTCCCAGCTACTCAGGAGGCTGAAGTAGGAGAATCGCTTGAGCCCGGGAAGTCAAGGCTGCAGTGAGCCATGATCATGCCACTGCACTCCAGCCTGGGTGACAGAGCCCAGCATTGAAGATGAGGTGACAGCTAAAGAAGATGAAAAGAAATGGCTGGAGGAAGAGAAGGGAGGGGAGGTGACTTGGGGGCCCCAAGGAGTCTCAGGGAAAATATGGAAGCCATGAGGAGCATCAGGAAGAGAAGACCTAGCCATGCTGGGGTGCTTGGCCTTTGGGAGGTCAGTTATTGCTGAGAAGTGGTGGAGAACAAAGCCACGTTGATGCAGGTGGATGAATGCATTACAAATGAAGGGAAAAAAAAGGAAGTACAGTAAAAAGCCAAAGCCAGTGGAGTCAAGTGATAGCATCAAGACAGGGAACATCTTGGTATATTAAACAGTCACAGGAAGGAGTGGGAGAAAATAAGTCCAGAGAGGAACAGAAAGAAGTCAGAAGCCAGGAGCTGCACTGGGTCAGTGGATGGAAGCCAGCGCCCAGCCCACAGTGGTGTTTGGTGAAACCCTTCACAGGGGGCCACCAACACGGAATGTGCTCGGAGAACTTTGACTCATGAGTGATAGAGAGCAAGGGCAGAGAAGTGAACAGCCCTGCTGACACTGTGACACAGTGCTAGGAGGTGGCCAAGGGAGATCGGTGTGATAAATGGGATTTCACCCAAAGTTCCAGGGTCTAGAAATGTGCTAAGGGCAGGGCGGGGTACAGGGGAGTTGGGGAATCACTGCATTTGGCCATGGGAGGCTCAGAAGGAGGTGAGGATGAAGTCCAAGTAGGAGCTTGGACGTGATCTCAATTCTTCCCTAAAATGTGGGAGTCCTCATCAGCCATTGAGGGTAGCAGTAAGGAAGAGCAGAGAATTCAAGATCTGAAGAGAAATTCTAGTCTTTTGAAATTCCATGGTCACAGTAGTTTTGCCTAATATTTGTCTTAATCCTTTGCAAAGTGCTTTCACTGACAGTTGTGTTCATTTGGGAACAATTAGTCCCCTTCTACAGAATTGGGGGAAACTGAGGTTTAGAAAAGTTCAGTGGCTTACTCAAGATCATACAGCTGGAAATGGCACAGCTGGGACTGAAATTCATGTTTCTGTGATTCAAGGTCCAACCCTGTCTCCCCGACCCAGGGAGCTGTTAAAATCAACCCGACTATCCATTTCTTAGGCACCCCTGTGTGCTAGACACCATGCTAAGGCATTGCCGGTGAATTTCACACTAGCAGACATGTTTGTTGTTTGCCCAACACCTGCTACACTCTCCTGATTTTACTTACTCAAAACAGCCCAGAACTGGAAATCATTCACATGTCCATCAGCAGGTGAATGGAGAAGCAAATTGTGATGTCTCCATACAGTGGAATGTTACTCAGAAATAAAAAGGAACCATTTGCTGGTATACACAAACACATGGATGCATCTCAGAAGATGCGAATATACACAAAAACATGAGTGCATCTCAAAAGATGCTAGTATACACAAAAACATGGGTGCATCTCAAAAATATCACTTGGCATAATGCATCCATGTCTTTGGATGCATCTCCAAAGATCACATACGTAGGCTTCCATTTCTATGAAACTGTAGAAGCAGGTAAATCTAATATGTAGTAGCCGAAAACAGATTAGTGGCACCTGAGATCAGGGTAGGGTGGTGAATTGACTGAGAAAGGATACAAGGGAAATTTGAAGTGATAGAAATGTATCCTATGGCATTATGGTGGTGGTTACATGGGTACACACATCAAACTGTATATGTGAAATTGATGCATTTTATTTTTGAAAATTATACTTCATTAAAGAAGACGATGCAAGGGCCGGGTGCAGTGGCTCACGCCTGTAATCCCAACACTTTGGGAGGCCGAGAATGGTGGATCATGAGGTCAGGAGATGGAGATCATCCTGGCCAACATGGTGAAACCCCGTCTCTACTAAAAAATACAAAAAATTAGCTGGGCGTGGTGGCACATGCCTGTAGTCCCAGCTGCTCGGAAGGCTGAGGCAGGGGAATCACTTGAACCCAGGAGGCGGAGGTTGCAGTGAGCCGAGATCGCGCCACTGCAATCCAGCCTGGGCGACAGAGCAAGACTCCGTCTCAAATAAATAAATAAATTAATTAATTAATAAGACAATGCAAAAAATAATTTTAGCATTTGAGATGAATCACAGAGATGAATATAATACAAATATATATTAATAAAGAAATGGAGGAAAGAAAGGCTGAACTTAACATGAAGCCAGAGACAAAGTGAATTCACAAAGCCTACATCGATTGCTTAATTGAGGGAAACTACAAATTGGGCTCTGAGCTTCCCAGAAGCCAAAGCAAAAAAAAGGAAAAGAAATATTCACAATCTTTCATACGTATGAAAAAGAAAATAACAGTGTTCATAAAATTGGATCATAGAGATATGGCTTGTAAGTATTATGAGAACACACAGAAGGAAGTGACTAACTCTGTTTAGGAAAGTGAGGAAATGCTACAGAGATAAGGATTTAAAAAAAAAAAAGGCCAAACAAACAAAAAAACAGTGAATGCTGACTTCAGGGAGGTTGAATGTGAAAGGGGTGGGATTGAGCCACTGAATGGGAAACAATCAGCTGAGCTCATGTCCTAGATGTCCTTCAGCTCTAAAGAGGTGAGATCAGAGGCCGTGGTCTCAGAAGCAGGAAGGAGGCTGGGGCCCAAGGAGGGAACTGTCGTCCCACAGCCAGGAGAGGCATTTAACATATTTACTCACCAGTTTGCCATGGATCTATCCAAATCAGCATCAGACCCCAGCTGGACCATGTCTGGAAGGCCCTTGTCATGTGGGTATTAAATCTTTCACTGTTGGATCATGGGGAGGTGAAGGTCCCAGCGGGTAGGAGCCGTTGGGGAGGTGAAGGGAGTTACTAACCCATAAAGAGCATGTTAGTATTTCAGTAACAATCCAGGCAGATCGCGCCCAGCTATCAGCTGTGGCTCACCCCTGCCCATACCTATGACCTCTCCGCCCAGCTGCCTTCCACAGTCCAAGTCATGCCTGATTATCACCAGCTAATGAGAATTCCTGGCCTTGGTCTACTGCCCACACTCAGGAATTCGCTATTCATGAGAAATGTCAGCTTTACGAAAGTGGGCCCTGTGTGTCAGCTCTTTTTCCCACATTCAGGGTTTACAGCTGACAGTAGTTTGTTTCACATGATTTGCTGATGGGGGAAGAGGCCGTAATCCAGGAAACTGCTCTGGCAAATCACCCCTGGGCCAACAGAGTATTCTGGAACATTCTTTTTATGTTTCCCCTTAGAAATCATTTGGAAAGGGAAGTGTTGAGATTTAAACAAGGCTAGAGAGGAAGATTTCATGCCTGAGGGAATAATGGAGCCAAATGCTGAAGCTGCCACACCTCAGCTTCAGCGATTCTCCTGCCTCAGTCTCCCAAGTAGCTGGGATTACAGGCACCTGCCACCACGCTCCACTAATTTTTGTATTTTTAGTAGAGATGGGGTTTCACTATGTTGGCCAGGTTGGTCTTGAACTCCTGACCTCAGGTGATCTGCCCGCCTTGGCCTCCCAAAGTGCTAGGATTACAGGCATGAGCCACTGCACCTGGCCTCACATGACTTTCTTCTTTTCCTCCTAATCAGACCTCTGGACCAAGAGTTGACAAATTTCATAAATGATGACAAAGGCAGCCTATGGAACGATGACATTCTAGGGTACCAGCCTGGGAAGAAATATCTTAGAATGCAAACTTCCTCAAACACAGGGACCCTGGATTTTAGGTGTTTGACTTGGTGATCTCTGAATGGGGCTGAGCACAGGAAATACTAAAGAGCTACAAATACTCAGAGAGAACAGGAAGGGCTGAGCTCCCGTTGGCCACTTGACATAGTGCCAGCTTTCTTCAGGGTCCTACTCCACCCCTGCCAAGTTTCCAGTGAACCACAACATCATAGAATCAATTACATTCTCGCGACTGTTAATATGGCACCGTGAGGTTCACACAGGCTCTCAACCAAGCCTTTCACCACCCCAGCAAGGAAAATTCAGAACGCTTTACTGAGACTGGGAAACTGATGCCCAGAAAGAGGCCCCAAGACACACAGTTAGTCAAGGGGAAAACAGGCTAGCAGTCAACAGTTTGGTCTTGCAGTCAGAAGAATCTGCATTGAAATCCTTACTGGCTCCCCTCAGTTTGTTACCTTACTGTCTGAGTTTGTTTCCTCCTCTGCAATACGGTACATGCTTCCGGAACAAGGCTCCAGGGCCACCCTGCCAGGGATCCTAGGTCAACCACTTAGCAGCTGAGTGATCATGGGCTGGTTACTTAACCACTCTGTGCCCTGGTTTACTCATCTATAAAATGAGGATAATATTTGTACCCACCACACGCACAACATGCGTTACTCTCACAGACATACGTTAAAAACAAAGAAGTCGGACCCAAAAAGGCACATCCTGCATGATTCATTTATCTGATGTTCGAAAACAAGCCAACTGTTTAGTGGGAATGGGGCTTCCTTTTGGGGTGATGAAAATGTTTTGGAGACACAGAGAGGTGATGGTTGCCCAATATCGTGAATGTGTTCAATGTCACTGGATTATTTTCTTTAAAATGGCTAATTTTGTAAATAATGTGAATTTCACCTTAATTTTTAAAAATAATTAAGTTATTAATTTTGAAAGTCAGCCAAACTCATTGACAATGCTGGAAATCAAAATAGTGGTTACCTTCTTGAGGAGAGGGTGGTGGTAATGACCGAGAACGGCCATGAGGAAGGCTTGGGGAAAACTTCTATAGCTTAACCCAGGTGGTGGGGGCATGGGGACACATAGGTAAAAACTGATTAAGCTCTGTGCTTAAGATTTTTGCACTTGCAGGGCTATTGTGAAATTAAGTGAGGTAATCCATGTCTAGCTCTTTAAACAACCCTGACACATAACAAATGCTCAATAATTAGTAACTCTGGCTGGGCACGGTGGCTCACACCTGTAATCCCAGCACTTTGGGAGGCTGAGGTGGGTGGATCACCTGAGGTCAGGAGTTCAAGACCAGCCTGGCCAACATGTTGAAACCCATTTCTACTAAAAATACAAAAATTAGCCGGGCGTGGTGGCACATGCCCATGGTTCCAGCTACTCGGGAGGCTGAGGCAGAAGAATCACTTGAACCTGGGAGGCAGAGGTTGCAGTGAGCCAAGAACGCACCACTGCACTCCAAACTGGGTGACAGAGCAAGACTCTGTCTCAAAAAAATAATAATAATAAAGAAAGAAAATTAGTAACTCTTATTAGTGTCATCATTATCGTATGCAGTCTGGAAGGTTGGATGAGATGATACACATAAGGCACTTAGGCAGGAGTTTTGTATATGCCCCAATAGAGGCAATTTTCACTAATATTAAATCAAACCCAAACCTCTGGCTCAAGATTCAGAGTGCTTTGCAAAGTGCTGTCCTGCCCACTCCTAGGGATTGGTTTGACATGTGCTATGTGGAAGAGAGCCAAGGATTTAAGGATTAGGGCTTGGTACACCGCAGCACAGCCTCTGGATAAGCTGGCTTCCCTCCCTCAGGCGAGTCTGGGTACAAAGTAAACCAGTTGCCATCACAAAGGCAGACTTTGGAAGAGAACAGTCACCTCACATTCACGCAAAGGTCGATGGTATCTGAGAAAGAATGGGCCAAGTTAAATCTAGCTTTTATTGTCCCCTGACTGGTGGGGGACTACCCTGCTCATTAATCTGCTCATTTGATTGGCATCCTTTCCTGCCCAATTCCCTTTGACTGGCATGCTTCATGCAGACCCAAAAGAATAATCTTCCCTTCATTGGGCCACACAATCCCAGGTACATATCCGCCTCTCCAACACCTATGATGTGGGGCCGTGCTCATACATCGGGTATCTCTCCTTCCAAATCCCAGACAAGAGCCCTGTTTCAGTCAACTTTTCAGCTCAAGGGTGGCTCCTGGAACACAGCAGGGACTAAATGTGTAAAGGAGAAAGGGACAGAGGGAGAGGCTCCCTAGTTGGGTAGATCCTTTCTTTTTTCTTTTTTCTTTTTTTTTTTTTTTTGAGACGGAGACTTGCTCTATCGCCCAGGCTGGAGTGCAGTGGCGCGATCTCTGCTCACTGCAAGCTCCGCCTCCTGGGTTCATGCCATTCTCCTGACTCAACCTCCTGAGTAGCTGGGACTACAGGTGCCCGCCACCACGCCTGGCTAATTTTTTTGTATTTTTAGTAGAGATGGGATTTCACTATGTTAGCCAGGATGGTCTCGATCTCCTGACCTCGTGATCCGCCCGCCTCGGCCTCCCAAAGTGCTGGGATTACAAGCGTGAGCCACCGCGCCCGGCCGGGTAGATCCTTGAGAACAGAATCAGTTCCCTCCCTTCTGATTCTAAAAAGATTTGTTTGGAAAGAAAGCACAGAAACAGATAGGGGTTGATCCGGAGCGGGCTGAATATGCAACTACTTCCTGGTTCCTTCTGAGTCAGTTCAATTCCCTTTAGAAAGAGCTACCAATATCCAGAAATGGCAGTATTGTTGCTTTGTGGGGGGAAAGTGAAGTCGAGGGTGGAAAGCATTTGGGAGGTGGGGTAAGTGGGGGATTTGTGTAATTTTGTTTCATTTTGTTTTCTGTTTGGGGATTAAGTCCGCCTATCCCTTATCAGCATGGCAATTTCGCAAGCATATAACGTCAACCACAACACATTTTCATCTAAACTAATAAGCTGCATTTAGATCTGAAAAATAGGTGCAGCTCTTGACCTCTGGGGACATCCCCCCCGAAAACCTATGCCCTCCAGTCTAATCGTGAGAAAGACATCAGACAAATCCCAGTTGAGAGACACTGTACAGAATATTTCAGCAAAGCATTCCTCCAAATTGTCAAGGTCATTAAAGACAAGAAAGTCTGAGAAACTGTCACAGCCCAGGGGACCCTAAGGGGCACGGTGACTAAATGTAATGTGGGATTCTAGATGGAATCCTGGAACAGAAAGAGGACCTCAGATAAAAACTAAGAAAATCTAAATAAACTATGCACTTTACTTAATAATAACGCATCAGTAATGGTTCATTAATTGTGACAAATGTGCCATCCTAACGTAAGATGTTAATAATGGGAGAAACTAGAGTATATGGGAACCCTCTGTGCTGTCTTTGAAATTTTTGTAAATTAAAATCTGTTCAAAAAAATCAGATTTTTGTGTTTTTTTTTTCTAAATGAAGTACTGCAGAGCGTTCAATGTTAGTAACAGGCTGGGTGCAGTGGCTCGGGCCTGTAATCCCAGCACTTTGGGAGGCTGAGGCAGGAGGAGCTCTTGAGACCAGCCGGGGCAAGATAGTGAGACCCCATCTCGAACAAAAAAAAAGAAAAAGAAAAAATTCATTAGCAGGGCATGGTGGCATATGCCTGTAGTCCCAGCTACTAGGGAGGCTGAGACGGGAGGATCGCTAGGGCCCAGGTCGTTGAGGCTGCAGTGAGCTGTGATCATGCCACTGCACTCCAGCCTAGGCAACAGAGCCAGACCCTGTCTCAAAAAACAAACAAACGAAATATTGAAAAACTCTTCCCCCTTGCCCCCTCAAAAATGTACCCAGTCATCAAGAGTTTAACACATAAAAGATTTCACCTCTCCTGTGTTTCTTCCCCCACAAAGTGTCAGACCCCATTTGAAGTCCCAAACTATTGGAGTTCAGGTGGGAAAATGATCTATGCCCGAGCTGCCCTACATTTCAGCATTTCAAGAATAAAAACAGACCAGGCACCGTGGCTCACGCCTGTAATCCCAGCAATTTGGGAGGCCTAGGCGGGCGGATCACCTGAAGTCAGGGGTTTGAGACAAGCCTGGCCAACATGGCAAAACCCTGTCTCCACTAAAAAATACAAAAATTACCCAGGTGTGGTGGCATGCTCCTATAATCCCAGCTACTCGGAAGGCTGAGACAGGAGAATCACTTGAATCCAGGAGGTGGAGGTTGTAATGGGCCAAGATCACACCACTGCACTCCAGCCTAAGCAACAGAGCAAGACTCCGTCTCAAACAAAAGAAACAAACAAAAAAAGAATAGAAACACCGGGTGGCAGGCACCTGCAGTCCCAGCTACTCAGGAGGCTCTGTCAGGAGGATCACTTGAGTCCAGGAGTTTGAGTCCAGCCTGGGCAGCACAGAGAGACTCATCTCTAAAAAGGAAATAAAAAATAAACAGAAATGTTTAAAAATAAATAAAAATGACTCCAATATTTTCAGCTACAAACAACATGTTTATTCCAGATGTCCAAACTTCACAATCTATTTGTTTTAAAATATATATATATATATCGTAATTTTATTGCATGCCAAGCACTGTGCTAGGCACTAGAGAAACATTGACAAGAAAGACAAACACAGCCCCTTCCCTCCTGGGGCTTAGTGTTCCTTTCTAGGATGCATGATACACAGCTGAACCAGTAAAGGGCTATGGGGGTAACAGTGACCAGGAGAACCTCTGCTCAGAGTCCTTGCCAGGAACAGCGACCGGTGGTCGGGAGCCCTCCGAATCCTCTGTCTGCGTCTCTCTTCAGACCAGAGAGCTGATGAACTGCGGTTGGATACAGCCTATGGCATTCGGGTCAGAAGTATTCCAGCCCAAGTATTTAGGGGCTTGAAATTTGTCTTAAAGGCAAGGAAAGACTTTTTACAGTGGCCACATGACTTTGACAAGTCACTAATAACTCTTAGCCCATCGCTCCCTGAGCATCCAGGGAGTACAGCCACTGTGCTACGGTGGAAGAGATGGCAATTACAGCGGGAAAAGAGGCTGGAGAAGCTTGAGGTCTAGTGCCAGACACAAACCAGAAAACAGACTGTGGAAATACAGTGTGGGGAGTGCGGTGGCCTGCAAGGCACCCCAGGACTAGAACCCACAAACAGAGGCTTTTTCAAAAGATCAACTTCATCGGGCCGGGCGCAGTGGCTCACGCCTGTAATCCCAGCACTTTGGGAGGCCGAGGCGGGTGGATCACCTGAAGTCAAGAGTTCAAGACAACCCTGGCCAACATGAAGAAACCCCCGTCCCTACCAAAAATACAAAAAATTAGCCAGGCATCATGGCAGGCTCTTGTAATCGCTGCTACTCAGGAGGCTGAGGCAGGAGAATCTCTTGAACCCAGGAGATGGAGGTTGCAGTGAGCCGAGAATGCGCCACTGCACCCCAACCTGGGCAACAGAGAGCGACTCCATCACACACACACACACACACACACACACACACACACAAAACAGCTTTATTGAAGTGTCATTTACATAAATAGAATGCCTCTGTTTTAAGTGTACATTTTAAATTTTATGAGTTTGACAAATGTGTACACCTGTTCACCACCACCACAATCATGTATAGAATATTTCCATCACCCCCAAAATGTCCTTTGTGCATCTTTGCACTCAATTCCTGCCACCCACCCCCCAACCCCTGGAAACCACTGATCTGTTCTCTTTCATTATGGTTTTGCCTTTCCTAGAACTTTCTGGAATCATACAGTAGATACTCTTTTTTTTCTAGTTTCTTTCATTTAGTCCAATGCTCTTGAGACTCACCCATGCTGTTGCATGTATCAGTGTGTTCCTTTTCATTGCTGAGTAGTATTCCATTGTATGGATGTACCACAGTTGGTTTATACAATCACCAGTTGATGGACATTTGGGTGGTTTCCAGTTGAGGCTGGAGAAATAGCAACAGCAGGGGTACTGTGCTAAGGGAAGATGATGGGAAGACACAGGAAGATTTGCAGCAAGAGGATCCCTTGTAGTTTGTGCATTGCAGTCTGACAGTGACCTACTGAGGACTGACACTTGTTTGTAATGGCCACCAGATACCCAGGTACAGAGTTTAATAGGAAGTAGAAGAAGATCCATGCTGAATATGTGGAAACTGATATGTAATGGTTGAAGCCATGGTGTTGGTGAGATCACCCAAGCAAAGCACACAGAGGGTGGAGTTATCTGAGTGCTCACCTTTCTCCCCCATGAGCCTGGGAGAACCAGCTAAGTGCAGTGGTTAAGAGTATGTACTCCAGAGCCAGACTTCTGGGCTTCAAATGCCAGTTGTGTGATGTGGGAGCTGGCATTTGGTCTCAATTTCCTCATCTGTAAAATGGAGGATAAAAATATACCTACCTCATTGGCTTGATATAAGGGTTATATGCGTTCATTCATGCGTAGCTCTTAGCACACTATCAGGCACTTGCACACAGGAAGTGCTACGTAAGTGTTAGCTATTTTTGATATCATTTTTCTTTTAAAAATCTGGGGTGTAGGTATCACCAAGACTTAAATTTGAATACCAACCCCATGCTTGAGAAGCTGAAGGACCCTGTGAAATTTAACATCTCTGAGCTGAAAGTTCCTTACCTGACAAATGAGAATAATAATTCCTCTCTCATTTGTTGGAGGAGTAATTGAGTACAAGATGAAAAGTAGAAACTGACTGGGCACAGTGGCTCACACCTATAATCCCAGCACTTTGGGAGGACGAAGCAGGGGATCACCTGAGGTCAAGAGTTCGAGACCAGCCTGGTGAAATAGACCACCTGGTGAAATAGACCACCATGCCAACATGGTGAAATGCTGTCTCTACTAAAAATACAAAAATTAGCTGGGTGTGTTGGCAGGCGCCTGTAATCCCAGCTACATGGGAGGCTGTGGCAGGAGAATTGCTTAAACCCAGGAGGCGGAGGTTGCAGTGAGCCAAGATCGTGCCACTGCACTCCATCCTTGGTGACAGAGCAAGACTCCATCTCAAAAAAAAAAGAAAAAAGAAAAGTAGAAACCATCAGAGACCTCTCCTGTGGGGTTAATCTCTGTTTTTCTCCTCCCCTCCTCTGTGTTCCCACAGAACACATACATTACTATTCCAGCTCTTTCCTCACTGCTATGGTGCACTGCTTACTGGTGTATTAGTCAGGATGGGCTAGGTTATGCTGCAGTAACAAACAGCCCCCAATTCCCAGTGGCTTACAATGACAAAGGTTTCTTTCTCACTCACCCTACATGTCCACCACAGGTTGACTGCTGTTCTGTTCACCCATCGTCACTCTGGAGCCCAATTGAACAGTGCAGCCTGTTTCTGAGGGCATTGCTGGCTGTTATGAGAGACAGAAAAGAAATGTGTTAAACCTGGTGCTGGCCTTAAGGCTTCTGTCCAGAAGTAATACACGTTTATCCTCCTCATGTTTCATTGTTCAAAGCAAGTTAAATGACTATACCTTGTTGAACATGGCCATGATCTGCCATCCGTTTAAAGGGAGGAACAGTGAACTTTGGTGGATAGTAATATTATATCACAACTGGGCTACATCTGCCACTAAACAGAGCCTCTGGAAGGCAAGGTCTGGGCACTAGTCACAGCCACACCCCATGCCTGGCACAGTGCCCCCAAGGTTTGTTGAATTAAGCAAGGTTGAGGGTTCTTTAACTTGGCCTGGAGCATCTAGATTTACTCTGCCCCAAGATGGAAAGCTCTCCTCTGGTCACCTCTCCCATAGAAAGGGGAGTGAACCCATCATCACCAGGAGGCAAGCAGTCTCCATGCCAGGTCACCAGAAGAAGGTGTGTCTGCTAGCAGGAGGAAACTCCCACAGGTGCCAGCTGCTGCCCAGGGGACCAAGCCTCATTTGTATGTTGGCACAATAACAGTAATTCATCAAGTGCTTTACAAGTGTTGTTTCATTTGACCTTCAAAACCTGTGGACCTCAGGAGGCACATAGCTCACAGCATCCCCAGCAGGAAGATAAGGCCATCAAGACAGTGAAGTACGAGCCTGAGCAACATGATGAAACCCCATCTCTACAAAAAAAATACAAAAATTAGCCAGGTGTGGTGGTGTGCACCTGTAGTCCCTGCTCTTCAGGAGACTAAGGTGGGAGAATCCCTTGAGTCCAGGACGTCAAGGCTGCAGTGAGCCATGATCATGCCACTGCACTCCAGCCTTGGCAATAGAGTGAGACCCTGTCTCAAAAAAAAAAAAGACTGTGAAGTAGAAACTGGAACCCTGTGCACTGCTTGTGGGAATTTAAATGGTGCAGCCACTGTGGAAATCAGTAACGTCAGTTTCTCAGAAAAGTGAACATAAAATGACTATATGATCCAGCAATTCCACTTCTGGGGGTATATGTAAAAGAACTGAAAGCAGAGACTCGAACAGATATTTGTACATCCATGTTCATAGCAGTATTGTTCACAATAGCCAAAATGTGGAAGCGACTCAAGTGCCCAGGGATGGGTAACCAAAATATGGCAGTATATTCATACCATGGAATATTATTCAGGCTTAAAAAGGAAGGAGATTCTGACACATGCTACAATATGCATGAACCTTGAGAACATGATGCTAAGTGAAAAAGCCAATCACAAAAAGACAGATACTGTATGATTCAGTTATATGCGGCTTCTGGAGCAGTCAAATTCATGGAGACAGAAAGTAAAATGGTAGTTGTCCAGGGAAAGAGGGAGGGGAAATGGGAAGTTTATGTTTAACAGGTATAGAGTTTCCATCTGGGAAGATGAGAAAAGTTCTGGAGATGGATGGTGGTGATGATTGCACAATAATGGGAATGTATCTAACACCACTAAATTGTACATTTTAAAATGGTTAAGATGGGGCTGGGCATGGTGGCTCATGCCTGTAATCCCAGCATTTTGGGAGGCCAAGATGGGCATATCACCTGAGGTCAGGAGTTTGAGGCCACCCTGGCCAACATGGTGAAACCCCATCTCTACTAAAAATACAAAAATTAGCCTGTCACAGTGGCAGTCACCTGCAATGCCAGCTACTCAGGAGAGTGAGGCAGGAGAATTGCTTGAACCCTGGAGGCAGAAGTTGCAGTGAGCTGAGATCGTGCCACTGCACTCCAGCCTGGGCAACAGAATGAGACTCCGTCTCAAAAAAGAAAAAAAAAAGGTTAAGATGGTAAATTTTATGTTATGCCCATTTTTTACCACAATTTTTTTAAAAGGATCAAGGAAAGTGACTTGCCCAAGGGCATGCAGCTGGGAAGAGAAAGAGCCATAACCTGAGAATCTGAGTGCAGTGCTTTTCCTCTAATACTGCACGGCTTCTCACCATGACTGCCTTTATCTCTGTATTAACCTCACCCACAGTCACCTCACCACCTGAGTGTGGAGTGTCTCCCTTCCCCAGCCCTCATCCTGCCCAGTGGGTAGAATATAGTGTTCTTTGTCACTGAATCACTCATTCATTCATTCAACACACATGATTGGAACACCTATTATGTGTCAGACACCCCCTCTACTCTAGGTGTCAGGCACAGAGGCCAGTCCCTGCTCTCCAAGGACTATCGGGCTAGCAGCAATTTCAGTGTGCAAAGCACTGGGAAATAAAGATGAGCAGGAATCTTCAGGCACACAGTGGACGAGGGCCTTAACTCTGCCTGGAGATATCAGGGAAGGCTTCAAGGTGGAGAGGACATTTGATCAGAACCTTGGAACATGAGTAGGAGTTTTCCAGGAGGAAAAGGAGAATATATTCCATGTAGAGGGAACAGGGTGTACAAAGGCATGGAGAGAAGAACAAACAGATGGTCAAAGAATCCCAAGTTATCAGAGTTAGGCCCAGTATTCGGGAAGTTGGGAAGTTTGCAGAGACTACATCATGAGGAACAAAGTATGCCAAGCTAAAGAGTCTAACTTTCTTCTTATGGGCAACAGGGTATCATTATCAGATTTAGCAAGGGAGTGGCACAATCAGATTTACATTTTAGAAGGGTAGAGAATAGCTCATAGGGAGAAGTTCAAAGACAAGAATATTGACAAAGCCCAGGCAAGACGTTAGGAAAGCCTGAGCCAGGGAAAGGCAAGGGGGATGCAGATGAAAAGTAGAAATCATTCAGAGACCTCTCCTATAGGGTTAATGTCTGTTCTCTCCTCCCCTCCTGTGTGTTCCCACAGAACACTATACATTCCTTTTCCAGCTCTTTCCTCACTGCTGTGGTGCACTGCTTACTGGTGTATTCGTCAGAATGGACTAGGTTATGCTGCAGTAACAAACAGCCTCCAGTTCCCAGTGGCTTGCAATGACAAAGGTTTCATTGAACAGATCAGTGGTTTCCAACATGCCACTGGAATATCAGCACCTTAGGACAGGAATTTTTGCCAGTTTTATTCACTGCTATATGCTCATTACCTGGCACATAGTGGGGTCTCATAAATATTTGTTGAGGGACCAATAAATACTTGTTGAATGGTCAACATCAGAGGTAACTAGCAGAAACAGGACTTAATGAACATTGCATGTGAGAAATAATGGAAAAAGAAGAGTTTAAAATTACTCCCAGGTTTTTGTGTTGACCAACTAACTGGGCCAATGGCTATGTCTCATCAAGCTAAGACAGCTGGTAACCCGAGAAGCTTTCAGTTTGATGATGATACTTTCAGCTTTAGGCTCTTTGAGTCTGAGCTGAGACAGTTGTCATCCAGTTGGAGCTGATACTCACCCAGGTAGTATCGGATTTACAGGCCTGGAGTTGGAGAATAAGATCTGGGCTGAAGACAGACATTTGAGAGTCCAGAGTGGTGTTTGAAGCTATCAAAAGCAGGCAGTGCTCCAGGGAGGTAAGTCTCCTCCTCTGGAAACAGCGGGCCTCAACTTTTTGGCCAAATTTGCTTTTCTTTTTTTTTTTTTTTTTTTTGAGACAGAGTCTCGCTCTGTCACCCCAGCTGGAGTGCAGTGGCGCCATCTCAGCTCACTGTAACCTCCACCTCCTGGGTTCAAGTGATTCTCCTGCCTCAGTCTCCTGAGCAGCTGGGACTACAGACGCCCGCCACCACACCCGGCTAATTTTCTGTGTGTTTGTTTTTTTTTTTTAGTAGAGACAGGGTTTCACTGTGTTAGCTGGGATGGTCTCCATCTCCTGACCTCGTGATCCACCCGCCTCAGCCTCCCCAAGTGCTGGGATTACAGGCGTGAGCCAACGCGCCCAGCCCCAAATTTCCTTTTCAACCTAGCATCCATAGCATCCCTGCTATCATCCTTTCCCAGAAAAATCCTAGAGAAGACCCCACATACATGGGGTCCTTGCAGATTCAGCTTCCCAGCCTCTGGCCATGCTCTTCCCCCTTCTACACAGGCTTCTTGGTTGGCTTCCTCCTTCCATCTGCCCTTACCCCCAGGCAGGGCCCAGCTCCGTCCTCTGCCCTGGAGCTGCCTTCAGCTAGGCCCAGACCAAAGAGTCCTGAATCTTCAGGATTCCAGCACCATTTGACACCCCACACCACAGCTTTTAACGTGGTACTGGCCTTCTTTGTGATTTGAGCATGTGTCACGGCTCATGTAGCACTGACAGTACCCACTGCAGGCAAGGCCGGAGCCTGGGGCTAGCGAGTCTTCTCTCCCACTGCCCAGCCCTGGTGCAGGCTGCCACCACCAGTGCCCTCTGGGATCAGGACAGTGGCCTTCCAGCCCTTCTCTCAGCTACAACCTTGCCTCCCCTCCTGGATCCCCAACCCTCCTACCAGAGTCATCTGCCTAAACACAGGTCTGCTAACATCACTCCCCTACTCCAAAACCTCCCGGTGCTCACAAAGGCCACAGGACAAGGGCCAGACCCCTCAGCCTGGCATGTAAACTCTCTTTCAGCCCTTCCCAACCTACCCTTCCAACCTGACACTCCACTATGCTGCCCCCAAAAACACAACGCCCCTGGCTGACTCTGCCTCCCCCTCTAGAGCCTGAGTTTAACACCTGGCTCTATCACTTACCAGCTGTGTGACCGTGGGCAAGTTATTTAACCTCTCTGGGCCTCCATTTCTAGGCCTCAGTAGAATAAAGATCATAAAAGTATCTACGTCTGGCCGGGCACAGTGGTCCAAGCCTATAATCCCAGCACTTTGGGAGGCTGAGCCGGGCAGATCACCTGAGGTCAGAAGTTCAAAACCAGCCTGGCCAACACGGTGAAATCCCATCTCTACTAAAAATACAAAAAAAAATAGCCGGGCGTGGTGGCGCACACCTGTTGTCCCAACTACTTGGGAGGGTGAGGCAGAAGAATCACCTGAACCCAGGAGATGGAGGTTGCAGTGAGCCAAGATCGTGCCACTGCATTCCAGCCTGGGCAACGGAGCAAGACTCCATCTCAACAACTACAACACCAACAGAAAAGTATGTCCTAAGGCTGTCGAAAGGATTAAATGAGTTAACGTGTGCAAAACACAACAAGGCTAGGTAAACGCCAATAGCTGGGCTTACTGTTATTATTATTATTCCCACCACTGAGCTTCTGCTCAGGTTGTTCCCATGATCTCAGTATCATGGTTGTTTCTGTTTGCCCTTCATCAGACAGCAAAGGACTGCGGTTAGACACTGTCCCTCATTCCCCTCTGTCGCAGCCCCCAGCACAGCCTCCCACAGCCTCCAGAAGAGCTCTTGACACATAGTATGGCAATGTGGTTAGTAAAATTCACAGGCTCTGGAGCCTGACAGTCTTGCGTTCACATAGTGGCTGCAACACTTACTAGCTGTGCAACTATGGGTAAGTTACTTAACCTCTCTGAGTTCCAATTTCCACATAAGGAATGAGGATGCCCATCCCACTCTTGCAGAGTTGCTGTGAGAATAAATCCGACAATATCTGAAGACTGTGGACAGTGTCTGAGGCAGCAGAGGCCCTCGGTGAAGGTTAGCTTCTTTCCACATTCAATACATGTTGAAGTCACATCTTCCACTGTGTGAGTGTAGGCACGTTGAGGGCAGGGATTAAGCCCAAGTCCTGTGAATGAGAAAATTTGTGATCTTTTAAGTAGATGCTTGGCTGGGCGTGGTGGCTCATACCTGTAATTCCAGCACTTTGGGAGGCCAAGGCAGGGGGATCACTTGAGGCCAGGAGTTTGAGACCAGCCTGGTCTCGTGGTAAGCAAAAACAACATGGCGAAACCCCATCTCCACTAAAAATACAAAAAAGTTAGCCAGGCGTGGTGGCGCGCAACTGTAGTCCCAACTACTCAGGAGGCTGAGGCATGAGAATCGCTTGAACCAGGGCAGCGGAGGTTGCAGTGTGCAGAGATCATGCGACTGCACTCCAGTGTGGGTGACAGAATGAGACTGTGTCTCAAAAAAAATAAATAAATAAAATAAAATAAGTAGATGCTGGACAAATATCTGAGCCATGGCAGTGCTATGTGAAAGGAGCAGTCTCCTTGGTCCCTGGTTTGGGGTGGTGAAGATCAACTCTAAGTGGTCCTTAGTGGGGGTCGGGCCATGTTGGAACTGGAGGAGGCAGGAGGTTAGCAATGAATTGCTATTTGTTGCTAACTTTCCCCTGGGCAAAGGCTCTGTAGTCTGACTCCTTAAAGTGGAATGAATGATGCGGCTCCCAAGGACTCCTGGCTTCCCTCCCCACTTCTACCTCCGGAGGCTGTGCGACACCAAGGAGGCTCCAGAGACCCTGTTTTCCTGGTGCCAGAGACCAGCGGAATATCATTCTGGCTGCAGCAGGGAGAGAGGAAGCCATCTCTCTCCTGGATCAAGCTATATTTGACTTGCTAGGCAAGGCCATCCCCGCAGGCCACATTCCGTGGCCCCAAGCCAGGCCGGTGTGTAATACGCTCCGGCCACCCTGTCGTTACCTAATGCTTTCCTAATCTGCAGCTTACGCAAGAGGAGTACAAATCTCTGAGAACACCAAGAGAAACACCCCACCAGGCACCTCCCTGGCCGACCTGCGTGCTGTTTTCGGGTTGGTGGTTTCATCACGGAGGTGCTCGCTGTTGGCTACCATGAGGGCCACCTTGGTAGGCCATTTAGAGCCCCATTTCTCACATGAGGACTCCCCCAGTTTGCACCTTCACCCCTTCTCTGACAACACTCACACTGCACTAGATATTCTATTTGACACAGAGGCGGGGGACGAAGTCTTGCACCTTTCTGTCTTGCTATCTGTGAAGCAGATCTTTCAACAAATGCTGCTGGAACAATTACACAATTAATATTAAAAAAATATTGACTCTACTTCACGCCATATGTACAAATTAACTCAAATGAATCATTGACCTAAATGTAAAACCTAAAACTACAAAACCTTTGGAAGAAAATAAATAGGGGGTATAATTTTGTAACTAACCTTGGGTTAGGTAAAATTTCCAAGAATAGAAAATACACAAATACGTGAACCACAAAAGAAAAACATGGATAAATTGGACTTACTAAAAATATAAAACTTTACTTCTTCAAAAGACACTCTTTAAGACCATAAGCCGGGCGCGGTGGTTCACGCCTGTAATCCCAGCACTTTGGGAGGCTAAGATGGGCGGATCACGAGGTCAGGAGATCGAGATCGTCCTGGCTAACACGGTGAAACCCCGTCTCTACTAAAAATACAAAAAAAATTAGCCGGGCGTGGTGGCGGGTGCTTGTAGTCCCAGCTACTCGGGAGGCTGAGGCAGGAGAATGGCGTGAACCCGGGAGGCGGAGCCTGCAGTGAGCCGAGATCGCGCCATTGCACTCCAGCCTGGGCGACTGAGCAAGACTCCGTCTCGAGAAAAAAAAAAAAAAAAGACCATACAAAGACCAGCTATAGACTGAAAGGAACTATTTGCAAAACATATATTGGAAAAAGAATTCGCATCTGGGATATAAAAGGAATTCCTACAACTCAATAAGAAAACCAACACCCTGGCCGGGCGTGGTGGCTCACGCTTGTAATCCCAGCACTTTGGGAGGCCAAAGGCAGGCGGATCACTTGAGGTCAGGAATTCAAGACCAGCCTGGCCAACATGGTGAAACCCCGTCTTTACTAAAAATACAAAAATTAGCCAGTCGTGGTGGTACATGCCTGTAGTCCAAGCTACTCAAGAGGCTGAGGCAGGAGAATCACTTGAACCCGGGAGGTAGAGGTTGTAGTGAACTGAGACTGCACCACTGCGCTCCAGGACAGGGCAAGACTCCGTTTCAAAAAACAAAAAGAAGACAGGAGAATAAGCATTTGAAAAGATGCTAAACCTTAATTATTCATTAAGGAAATGAAAATTAGACCACAATGAGATACCATACACATCTACTAGGATGGCTAAACTATAAATAAATAACTAAATAAACCTGACATACTGAGTGTTGGTGAGGATGTGGAGCAATTAGAGTTCTCGTATATTGCTCATGGGGATGCAAAAATGGTGCAGCCACTGTGGAAAACAATTCAGTGATTTCTTATCAAGTTAAACATATGGCTGGGTGCGATGGCTCACACCTGTAATCCCAGCACTTTGGGAGGCCAAAAGTTCAAAGACCAGCCTGGGCAACATGGTAAGACCTCGTCTCAAAATAAACAAAATTAGCTGGACGTGGTAGCACACACCTATAGTCCCAGCTACTTGGGAATTTGAGGCAATAGGATCACTGGAGCCCAGGAGGTCAAGGCTGCAGTGAGCTATGATCATGCCACTGCACCCCAGCCTAGGCAAGAGAGAAAGACCTTGTCTCAAAAAAAAGTGACCCAGCAGTCTTATTTCTAGGTATTTACCCAAGAGAAATGAAAACATATGTCCACACAAAGGCATGTACACACGTTTGTGGCAGCTTTATAATAACCTCCAACTGGAGACATCCAGATGTCGTTCAACTGGTAAAGAAATAAACAATATGTGCGGCCAGGCGCTGTGGCTCACGCCTGTAATCCCAGCATTTTGGGAGGCCAAGATGGGCATATCACTTGAGGTCAGAAGTTCGAGAGCAGCCTGAGCAACATGGCAAAACCCCGTCTCTATTAAAAGTACAAAAATTAGCTGGACGTGGTGGTACACGCCTGTAATCCCAGCTACTCGGGAGGCTAAGGCAGGAGAATCGCTTGAACCCAGGAGGCAGAGGTCGCAGTGAGCCGAGATCGCACCACTGCACTCCAGCCTGGGTGACAGAACGAGACTCTGTCTCAAAAATAAATACACAAATAAATAATAAACAATATGTGGTACATTCATGCAATGGAATATTATTCAGCTGTAAAAATGGCCACATTACTGTACATACAGCAGCACAGATGAATCTCAAAAGCATCACGCCTTGTGAAAGAAAGTAGACACAAAATATTGCACACTGTATAATTCCAAAACTTGAGACGAATTATATCAGTGATTGCCAAAGGCTATTGGTAAGAGTTTGGCTATAAGCAGGCGTGAGAGATTTTTTTGTGGTGATGGAAATGGTCTATATTATAATTATGGTGGGACTTAAACAAGTGGATGCCTTTGTCAAATCTTATCCACCTGCAGGCCAGGCATGGTAGCTCACGCCTATAATCCTAGCATGTTGGAGGCCAAGGTGGGCAGATCACTTGAGCCCAGGAGTTCAAGAGCAGTGTGGGCAATATGGTGAAACCCTGTCTCTATGGTCCTATAAGCATTAAGATTTCAAGATATCTGACAAAAAGTTTATTAGATTATAAGATCTACGATGACAGGAACTGTAATCTGTTATTTACCTAACTCTCCAATGTCCATCTAAATGACAAACATTTTGTGGGGAGAAACACTTCTTTCAGGAGAGAGTGGAAGTATCACAATCACAAAAGGAGGAAACAACTCCATTTCATATTCCTATCTGTTGGAGAATAATTTCTATGATTATTTTTGGAAAGTAAAATAAATTTGATTTCACGAAAATAATGGCAAATCAGTCCTTTAAAATTTAAATCACTGGCTGGGCACGGTGGCTCACGCCTGTAATCTCAGCATTTTGGGAGGCCAAGGTGGGTGGATCACTTGAGGTCAGGAGTTCAAGACCAGCCTGGGCAACATGGCAAAACCCTGCCTCTACTAAAAATACAAAAATTATCCAAGTGTGGTGGTGCACACCTGTAGTCCCAGATACTTGGGAGGTTGAAGTGGGAGGATCGCCTGATCCCAGGGAACAGAGGCTGCAGTGAGTCATAATCACACTACTGCACTCCAGCCTGGGTGACAGAGTGATCAAAAAAAAAAAAAAGTATCCACCTGTACACTAGACAAGGATTAATTTTATTATAGTGAAATTCTACATCAATAAATATGATTTTTAATGTAACATAAAATCCCAGCCTGTGAAACATGGGGAGACCTTGTCTCTACAAAAATTAGCCAGGCACGGTGGCCCATGCCTATAGTCGCAGCTACTCAGAAGCCTGAGGCCGGGGGATCGCTTGAGCCCTCCTTAAGCCCAGGAGGTCAAGGCTGCTGTGAACCAGAGATCACCCCACTGCACTCCAGCCTGGGCGACAGAGCGAGACTCTGTCTCAAAATAAAATAAAATGTGAATCTAATGGGACTTGCCCTTCTCATCATGAAGATAAAATGACACCAGTGATAGTCACAGCCAATGTGTCTCAAGCACAGTCTCAAAAAATGTACACACATTGTCTGATTTAAGCCTCGGTTTTGCTGTCCCCAACACACACAAAGCACTTTCCTGTTCCAGGGCCTTTGCACTTGCTAATCCCTTTACCTGGAAGACTCTGCCTCTCACTTTCCTCAGGTTGCTACTCAAATGTCATCTCCTCAGAAGAGGCCTTCTCGCTGCCATTCTATCTAAAATAGTGTCTCCAACCTGTTCCTCTCAGTACTAGAGATGCTGACGGCTGGACAAGGTCAGAGAAGCCAGACTGCTCTCTGCATGTAAGCAGGAGGCTAGAAGGCTGCCTGACTGCCATGGTTCGGTGGCATGTAAAGCATGTAAATAAACATACAAAGCATATAAATCAGCGAGGCTCTGGGCAGGAGTAAAGAGCAGAATGATGCTTTTTCGTCTTTCTTTGCACTCCCTCCATCCCACCATACAGTGGGATGCAACCTAGGGTTCCTTGGAACACAGTTTGAAAACTACCACTCTGGAACCTTGCTGATTTAGTGCTCACTTTGGCAGCACATACACTAGAACCCCCTGATTTAATCATTATACAAATATTCATATTTACCACTATAAAGCATCATTCTAGGTACTGGGTATCCAACAATAAGCAAAACAGATAAACGTGATGGATTTCACTTTTATGGGATGACTTGCATGCAACGAGTGCTTATCACGTGCCAGGCGCTGTTCTGAGAGCTTTTTGTGTATAAACTCATTTAATTCTTACCACAACCCCACAAGACAACTACTGCCATTGGCTTCATTTTAGAGACAAGGAAACTGAGGCCTGGGGAAATTAAATAACTTGCCAAAGGTCATACACCAGGGAGTGGCAGAGCTGGATCTGAACCCAGTTAGGAATCCTGCCTAGGTCTAGCCTCTGGTGTATGATCTCAGCAGGTGCACATGAGCCTGTCTTAGCAATGTAGGCCCCTCTTCCTGCCTCTCCAAGACTGGGCTCCAGGTGAAACTGGATTCCATGTGACTTTGAGTTGATGCAAGTGACATTTTGTACCTGCGGATGCTGAAAGGCTCATCTCCGGGTATGGGAGAATGTTCTGTCTGGCCCAAGTGCTGAGTTTATTCTGGTCACTGCTACACCGTTTCGTCTGCTGTTGGGAAGATGACTGCGTCCAGCAGTTCTGCTGGTGTTACTGACATGACAGGGTGAAACTGATATGTCTGCAACCAGAACGTCAGCACCAAATTAGGAAGCGAGTGGGGACACAGCCAGATGAATGCTGAGTAAGAGCAGATAGCACAAACTCTTCCAACAGGAGGGTGGGAGGGAGCTTGGAGGTCATTTACACCCAGGCCACCCATTTTGCTAACAGGGAAGCTGTGGTCTCGAGAGAGGAGATGGCTTGCCTAGGATCCTCTCGGCTGTGTTCTCAGGCTCCTGCCATTGCTTCCAAGGTAGAGGACCGTGATGGGATTGGAGGCAGAGAGACCAAGCCCTCCCCCAGTCCCGCTTGAGCAAGTCACTTAACATCTGAGTCTTGGTTCCCCATCTGTACAATGGAAATGGTAATATCCCTCAGGGAGGCTGTCAACATTCCAGGAGATAATTCTTTCAACAATGCCAACACCGAGCAGCTACTCAATCATACCAGCTCCTCTCCACTCCCCTTCTCCTGGATTTACCCCGAATATACCGATTTTCAGGAATTAGCTCATCAGAACCAAGCCTTAACAGGTCACTGTTTGAAAATGGGTTTTGCTGGGCTCTGTGACTCATGCCTGTAATCCCAGCACTTTGGGAGGCTGAGGCAGTCTGATCGCTTGAGCCCAGGAGTTAGAGACCAGCCTGGCAACATGGCGAAACCCCATCTTTACAGAAAATACAAAAATTTGCTGAGTGTAGTGATGCACGCCTGTGGTCCCAGCTGCTCGGGAGGGTGAGGTGGGAAGATTGCTTGAGACCAGGAGGTGGAGACTGAGATGAGCTGTGATCATGCCACTGCACTCTGGACCCTGTCTGGAAGGAAGGAAGGAAGGAAGGAAGGGAGGGAGGAAGGGAAGAAGGGAAGAAGGGAGGTAGGGAGAGAGGGAGGGAGCGGTTTCAACCCTGGGCTGTTCTACTTGTGGTCTGAACGCCAGCAGCATCGGCCTCACCCAGGAACTGGTTGGAAATGCAGAGTCTTGGGCCCCACTTCAGCCCTGATGAACAGAATGCTCATCTTAACAAGATCCCCCAGCCCTACTTAACAAGAAGCACAGTTTAGCACATTTGTAATGAATCGACTCGTTGATTTTGACCTTCTTTGACCCAAATTCTTGATAGCCAACATTCACTGAGCACTTTGTATGTGTCAGGAGTGTGGGAAATATTTTACAGGCGTGAACTGATTTAAACTGCGAAATGATCTCAGGAGGCAGGAATTCTTACCACCCATTTTACAGGTAAGGCAACTGAGGATGAAGCAGTTCATTTCCTCAGCAGGTAAGTACTAAAGCTACACTTCAAACTTAGGGCCTCTGTGACTCCAGCCCTCTCACTTAACCACTTCTCCCCAGAAGGGGAGTTTCTGAGCACCGGAGGTGCTGATGGCTGGATAAGGTCAGAGAAGCCAGACTGCTCTCTGCTCCCCTGAACTAAGATCAAGGTCAGCTGACTCTCGGGCAGCAGGAGGCTAGAAGGCTGCCTGACTGCCATGGATTGGTGGCTCCTGGGCACCGCTCTGCTCCCTGCCACTGTCCTCCCCTCCAAGCCATTGTGGAACAGTCAACACTGGCCTCCGCAAACCTGCGCAGCAGCGGGGAAAGAGCAGGGGAGACAAAGGAGAGAGGGGAAAATGCATAATTATGAGAAGGACACTGATCCCTGACTGCAATCCCAGATGAGAGCCCCCTCCAAAGCAGGCCCTCAGCGTGTTTTATCACCAATCCTGCCCGCAGCCCCAGAGCCCTGCAAAACACCCATTATTAGGTTCTCATTTTATGGATGAGACAATAATGGGCCAGAGAGATGCCGCGACTTGCTGAAGGTCACAGAGCAAAGGAGCTAGTCTGGGATTCAAATCCAGGTCTGTCTGATTTCCCAGCTGGCTTCCTCCCACTTGTAAGGAATTTGTCTGAATTTCAAGCCTACTATGTGGCACCTTGGACTATGCATTACTCATGGAATCCTCGCAGCCGCAGCTGTACGGGGTAGATAGTATTCCTGGCATGTCAGTTATTACTGCGCTTGAGGCATGGAGATGTCACGTGACTTGTCTGGGTCACATAGCTGATTAACAGCAATAGAGCTGGGATTTGATACCAGGTCTCTCTAGCCCTAAAGTTCAAGATCCTTCCTCTTTACTGCCAGCTCCATGAGGTGTTGGTGTTTTCCCCCAAAAGAGGTAAGGGTCTCCACCCAGATAGACTGACAAGATAGGGCTTTAATTGTGGAAATATAATATGAAAGGTGGACGTTGGCCAGGTGCGGTGGCTCACACCTGTAATCCTAGAACTTTGGGAGGCTGACGCAGGCAGATTGTTTGAGCTCAGGAGTTCAAGACCAGCCTGGGCAACATGGAAAAACCCTGTCTATACAAAAAATTAGCCTGGCCTGGTAGCGCGCACCTGTGGTCACAGCAACTTGGGAGGCTGAAGGCTGAGGCAGGAGAATCACTCGAACCCATGAGGCAGAGACTGCACTGAGCTGAGATTACACCACTGCACTCCAGCCTGGGCGACAGAGCAAGACTCCGTTTCTTTTTTTTTTTTGAGATGGAGTCTCGCTCTGTCATCCAGGCTGGAGTGCAGTGACACGACCTCGGCTCACTGCAACCTCCGCCTCCTGGGTTCAAGCGATTCTCCTGCCTCAGCCTCCTGAGTAGCTGAGATTACAGGCATGTGCCACCATGCCTGGCTAATTTTTGTAGTTTTAGTAGAGAAAGGGTTTCACCGTGTTGGTCAGGCTGGTCTCGAACTCCTGACATCAGATGATCCGCCCGCCTCGGCCTCCCAAAGTGCTGGGATTACAAGCATGAGCCATCATGCCTGGCCTTGAGCAAGTTACTTAAACTTTCTGGGCTTTCATGTACTTACCTGTAAAATGGGGCAAATAAGAATATCTTCCCCACAGAGTTGTTGGGAGAATTAAATGAGACATGCTTTCGAAGTACCAAAGGCAGGGTTGGACAAATAGCAAGTACTTAATTCATGGGGGTTCCTAACATCATTATTATTGTCATTATTTGTTTTCTCCACTCCTAGTAGGCACAGGCAGTCCAGCAGGGTGTCTGAGACAGACTGAGCGTTAGGGGGCTGCCTATGAAATGTCACCCACCAATTCTGTTCTGCAATGTAGAAGTGAAAAAAGACGTCAATCAGCAGGAATTTAGAACCCAACTTAAACACCAGCTACAGAGCAACAAAAGTACAAATACAAAATGAGCACTGGCCGCACATTGGCTGTTCTTTCCCCTCTCTCTAACTCAGCTCCCATCTGTAAAATGGGAGGAGTGTAAACTAACCCGCTTCCTGGCCCCATCAGCCTCATCACAGAGCAGCCCTCCTGGTGAAGCGGGGAGTTTTTTGCATGGTGTCTCCACCTCCCAGACCACACAACCTCTTGGATTGGAGCTTGGATGAGAAATTGTTTTGGAGTGTACTCAAGCCCTAACCCCTAAATCCCTTCCTCTTCAAACTGAGGCCAGGCCCTGCTGGCAGCGACATTTTTCCCAACTTGCTCCCACTGTCTCCTAGCTAATGAGGCATGGCATGAAAACGCATGAGTGCATGGCACGTCCCTCAGACTGGCTCCCTGTGCTGTGGCTGACTGAGAGTGATGACTACATGACAAAACTGATGGAGACACTCATGTGGTCACTGATCCAAAGGTCAGACCTATGAGCTGATTTTTCAAAATGCCATGTCCCATGTCGAGAAAAGTTTCTGACACATTCCATGGAAGCATCGTGCATACACTTACCTCATGCCACGTTCTAGAAGGTCACTCAGATCACACCAACAGGCACCCAGGAAGCTCGAGCTTCAGGTGAAGGCCTGAGGGTGCTGAGTCAGGAGTAGCTTATAGCTACTTGGCTATTAATTTCCCCAGTCTCAGCCTTAGTTTCCCCTGGCTGAAAAAGGGAGAAGTGCAAACTAAATATCTTTTTACAAATAAACTTTTGGCCAGGCGCGGTGGCTCACGCCTGTAATCCCAGCGCTTTGGGAAGCCAAAGCGAGTGGATTACCTGAGGTCAGGAGTTCGAGACCAGTCTGGCCAACATGGTGAAACCCCCATCTCTACTGAATATATAAAAATTGGCCGGGCATAGTGGTGGGCACCTGTAATCCCAGCTACTTGGGAGGCTGAGGCAGGAGAATCACTTGAACCTGGGAGGCAGAGGCTGTGGTGAGCCGAGATCATGCCATTGCTCTCCAGGCTGGATGATAGGGCTGGACTCCATCTCAAAAGAATAAATTAATTGAAAAATAAACTTTTTATTTTGGAATAATTTTTAGAGTTAAAGAAAAGTTGCAAAGATGGTGCCTATATATATACCTCTAAGGCTACCATTTTACATTACCATGGTATATTTGTCATAACTAAGAAACCAACATTAATACATTATTATTGAACTCCAGACTTCATTCTGACTTCACTCATCTTTTCCAATAATGTCCTTTTCTCTGTTGCAGGACTTAGCACTAAATTATTTATGCACTCCGCTCCCAGTTCTAAAAACAAAGAACAGTAAGCCTTCACATTAAGGGTATGTGCAATTAGCAAATGAACGCTGCGCTGTGTAACTTTGGGCAAACCACCTACCCTCTCTGAGCCTCAGTGTCTCTAAGTGTCTTAAGCTACAAAAGGGGGATGATAACAGTACTGCGTCAAGGGGTGCTGTGAGGTTATCACTTGCTAATAATTTATGTGAGGCACTTAGCAGGGCTCTTAGTGCATCATGATCACTCTCTTGGCGTTTCTCCACTGGTAGAAATCATACACAGAAATCAGGGCTGACCCAGCATGCTGTACTCTCCCTAGTAAAAAATCTCCCAGCAAAATGGCTGCTCCAAAAAGAAGACATCATGTTGCTGGTCTAGCACATCAGACCCAATGTGGAAAGCACAGGGCAGAAAAAGGCAAAGATCTAAAGTTTTGCATGCCAGGGTTACAGTTTCACCGACCCACTCATTAGCTGTGTGATCTTGAGCAAATTCTTCAGCCTCTGGATCTCAGCACCAACATCTAGTCAATGGAGACAAAGCATCCTCTTCACAGGGTTACTGAGAGGGTAGAATAAGATGTGTACTGCAAAACGTCTGGCAGGATTGAGAGGTAATGCTTCTAGGACCGCTAAGTTGTTGACTGCAATCAAATCATTAGAGAATCAACTGAAATCTGATGTGGGCAGTTGCCAGGGGTTAGTAATGAAATCCCACTCCTCTTTTTTGGGGGGTGGTGGGGATCCTCCTTTTCCCAGTCAAAGCCATGCTGAAAAGCCAACTCCATACTCTTCATTGCTGCAATGCCTGATACGGTTTGGATATTTGTCCCTGTGAAAATGTCATGTTGAATTGTAATCTCCAATGTTGGAGATGGGGCCTGGTGGGAGCTATTTGGATCATGGAGGTGGATGCTTCGTGAATGGCTCTGGGTCATCCCCTTAGTGGTAAGTGAGATCTTGCCCTGAGTTCACACAAGATCTGGTAGAGATCTGGCCATTTGAAAGTATGCAGCACTTGGTTGGGCAGAACGGCTCATGCTTGTAATCCCAGCACTTTAGGAGGCCGAGACGGGCAGATCACTTGAGGTCAGGAGTTCGAGACCAGCCTGGCCAACATGGTAAAACCCTGTCTCTACTAAAAATACAAAAATTAGCTGGGTGTGGTGGTGGGTGCCTGTAATCCGCTACTAGGGAGACTGAGGCAAAAGAATCACTTGAACCAGGGAGGCAGAGGTTGCAGTGAGCTGAGATCATGCCACTGCACTCTAACCTGGGAAAAGAGTGAGACTCCATCTCAAAAAATTAAAAATTTAAAAAAGATGAGCAAATAAGAACCAGCAGACTGCTTATTCACAGTCATATAGCAAAAAAAACTTTGGCACTAGGAAGAGATCCTAGTCACAAGACTTCCACTTCTGTGCCCTTGGCTCTTTGACTTAGAGGTCCATTAGACTCTGAGCTGCTAGGGGATTGCCATTCATCCACCTACCTGTCCACTCATCCATCCATCCATTCACCCACCCACCCACCCATGCACCCATCTACCCACCCACCGATCCATCCATATTGGCATGCATATATATATGTATATAATATATTTTATATATATATATATATGTGTGTGTGTGTGTATATATGTGTGTGTGTGTGTGTGTGTGTGTGTGTGTGTATATATACATGTATATGAGGTTTTGTTGTTGCCCAGGCTAGTCTCCAGCTGGCCTCAGGTGATCTTCCTGCCTTGGCCTCCCAAAGTGCTAGTGCTGAGATTACAGGTATGAGCCACCACACCTGGCCCATGTTGGCTTTTGACAAATTTCTTGTGGAAGGCACTGTGCTGGTGCTGAGGAGCCAGGGGAGAACAAGACTGTCACACTCCCTGACTTCTTGGAGCTTTCCATTCAGTGAGCCAGAACTGAGCCTCAGTCATCTATTTCCCAAGGGTCTACCACAATGTCTGGCACATGGTAGGTGCCCAGTAAATGTTTGTTGAATGAATAATGGATTGCTCATCTTCCATAATGCCTACACATTTATAATTGACATACTGGGTCATTTGAAGACATTTGTGGAGCTAAAAATTCAGTATTTGTATTTGTCTTGAACCACTTTCTCTCATCATTATTCTTACCAGGAGACTTTGTGTGGTGGTGTGTAGGCAGAGCAACAACATTGGGCATGGAGTCCAAAGACCCAAGTTCATATCCCAGCTCTGAGCTGCTTACTCCTGAGTAGCTACTGAAAGACGTTTGAGCCTCTGTTTTTTCAACTTCAGGGAAATATTTGACTTGCCTGTTTCACTCATGTGCTGTGACTCCCTGGGGAGGAGAGGAGAAACTTCCAGAAAATATGACATGAATAAAAGGTTATTGAGATGTTACTTGGATGACTTCCTCAAATGACAAGTATGTTGATGACACAGGGGAAAATAAAAGCAGCCAGCTTTTCAGCACACTCATTCTGACCTTATATAATTTAACTGGTTGCAATTGCCCCAGATTTGTTCCAACCTTAGAAGAGATTAAATGTATGGATTTGTGGTATCACATGTCATCCCAGCCAATCCTGACCCATATTTCTGTCCATCTGGTTCATGCAACAACAGTACAAAGAGGTGTTATAACCTTAATTGCTTGCAAAGTCTTTTGAAATCCTTAGATTAAAACCTCGGTGAAGTCCGAAGTATTAGCATCCTGAATGCCCAAGAAGTCACGCTGAGCCTTGTCTGGGTTCACTGGAGCAGGCAACAAGGTCTGTTGTGAGGCCTGCTTCAGGAACTTTGGGGTTTAAAGTCCTATTCATGGGATGGCCAGAGACCAACCCCCAACTTCTGAGTTCCTAAGCTACCCAGGCATTTGGCCATTTCCCACGTTGCTTCTGAGATGACTTTTACATTTCTTAAGTTCCTGGGTCACAAGGCCTGAGTTGCTCTAACTTCAGTGTCTGCTTTCCTGGCCAATCCCAGCCTGAGTCCTAAAAAAGGGTAATTGTGTCATCACTAACTTCTGTCTGCCTCTTCGTATGAGTCCAGAGTTGATGAATTGGTCCTCATCCTAACTTATACAGGTTAGAATTAAAATCCCATCCCATGGTGGTTACGCTTAGAGCAGGCACCAGGCAAAAATTGAAAAGGGCAGGCAGAGGTTCCTGAGGCCCTCCCAGTGTTTTGCTTTCTAGATCTATTGGTTATGCCTGTGTGTTGTTTGTGAAAATTTACTGAGCTACACACTTATATGTGCATTTTTCTGTTGTTACATTTTACAATGTGAAGTATTTTTAAAAATCAATCTGGATACAAATTTACTTCATTTAGACTAGATTCTGAAGTGAAGCTATAAATAGTTAAGCTATAAACAATAAAAAACTCTTTTCCTTTCTCTACTTTTGTGATTCAAATTAATGTCACCTTAGTATTTTCCTTGCTTTTATTTCCATTTTCACACTTATGGAAAGAAAAAAGTAAAAGAAAGAAAATGCCTTGCTTGGCCGGGCGCAGTGGCTCACGCCTGTAATCCCAGCACTTTGGGAGGCCAAGGTGGGTGGATCATGAGGTTGGGAGTTCAAGACCAGCCTGGCCAATATGGTGAAACCCCGTTTCTACTAAAAATACAAAAATTAACCGGGCATGGTGTCGGGCGCCTGTAGTCCCAGCTACTCAGGAGGCTGAGGCAGGAGAATCACTTGAACCTGGGAGACAGAGGTTGCAGTGAGCCGAGATTGCGCCACTGCACTCCAGCCTGGGCGACAGAGCAAGACTCCGTCTCAAAAAATAAGAGAAGAAAAAAAAGAAAATGGTTTGCTTAGCCATTTTAATTAAGTCTAATGAAGAGGGATTGGTTCACAATCGGAAGTCCCATGATGCCTTCAGAGATCTGTGTGAACCTCTGCAATGATAACAAAATTTTGTTTTATACATGTGACACTGTTCTCAGGAGTGGTCATAGCTTTATCAAATTCTCAAGGGTCCACGGCCCAAAAAAGACAAGCTGATTTTTACAACTCAAGGTTAATTTATGAATGCTCACCTTCAAACGTTTCTTGATTCTGATTCTGCTATGAAAGAGTATAAAAAATAAAAAATGTTTCCCGAGTCTAAATTCAACCCAAAGCACGTATCAACACCCAATGGGCTTCATCCATCAAAATAAATTTGCCCACTGAAATGAGAAAAGCAAATGGGTTCAAGTCTGCCAAAGGTCATCGATGATCCTCATCATCTCTACTTTTCCACCTTCCCCTTGCTGCTCACCCCCAACTAGACTGTAAGTCCTGAGGCCAGAGACCTTTGCAACCTCTGCATGAAATTGCAAAAGGCAAAGCAGATGGAACTCGAAAGAAATTCACCACACCTATTTACGAAACCAGGTTTATTAAAATTTCTCTACAAGTCAGAAACGGCCATCTCACTGTTCACATATATACACGTATGTACAGGAAGAACCTAGTGTTTCTAGCTTTCCCGGCAGAAGGCCCTGCCAGCCCAGAGTCCTTAGTCGGATAATGTATCACAGATACAACAGTCGAGCAACCACGAGAGCGTTAGTGCGACAGAGGCCTCTGTCCTCCCTCTTCTCAAAGTCCCATGATTCTGTCAAGGTAATATTGCCAATAATCATTCACATTTCACGTGGTTTTAGACACGCAGGTTATTCAGACAGACACAGACAACAAAACAAGCCTCAAAGCCAGAACAAAACAAAACAAAACAAAATCGAACATAGGTATAAAAGGTAAAATATATGTACAAAGTACACAGTACGTGAGGTATACACGGCATTCTCACAATGCATGTTAGTAGTTTGCCTAGGCATAGCCCTTAAAGATGACTGCCTGTTTTTGTGCCATTTCTCAAAATACAGTATATTTTGTTTACCCGTTTAACCACCTGATTTCAGCACTGTCCAAGACAGTTACTGATATTTCATCTGAATTTGTTTTTTAATGAAAGTTGCAATTTCTCCATTAAGCTCCATCTTTTGTAGGGGAGTGAGTTTCCATCTCTGGACATATCTAACAGAGGCTGGATTCCCACCTACAAAAGAAGCTGAAGAGGGGATTTCTGCCTTGGGAGGTGGCAGAAAGAGGAAAGAGATTGGACCGGATGATTTTTAAAGTTCCTTCCAACTTTGAAGATTTGGGGTTTGCTGTTTCACTCCAGAAGCCGATTATACAGACGTATTCATAAACCACACATTTGAAATATTAACAACCCACCATGCAAAACTGCAGATGTACACACAATGCCAAAGGCGGACCATATCTGGGAGGGGTTAAAGTATAATTCTGGAAGTTAGTCTGAGAATCACAAGACTATCCAAAATTCACTCTCTTCAAAGCACAAAGATGTTTAATGTCTGCTCTTGGGAGAGGTGGGTGGGAGCCTCCTTATCTTTCTTCTCTTAGACAGAATGCTCCACCCTGAGATGGTCTTGGGGAAAAAGTAAAGGGTAGGTACTAACATATTTGGAAGGAACTTAAAAAGCTAATAGTTTCCAAGCACTCAAATTATTTTTTAAAATCTGGAGTCTCTCTGAGCTCAGAGTTCTGAAATCGTTGGGAGATGGAATCTTTTGTGATACTGTTCCACGTTCGGCTGGTAAGTGCTTTTATAGCTAAAGGGGGAAGTGTCAAGGTCAGGGAGAAGGCATTAGTGCAGATGAGGTCTTGGCAGGAAACAGAGAAGAGTCTCGGTTCATGGTTCCATCAGGCTCCTGAGCAACTTAAAACAGTCTGCTCCAAAAACGGAGCAGAGTCATTGGTAAATGTGAGTGTGAAGAAAGGGTGAGTGTTAAGCCAAAAAAGGAACTTTCCCATCAGAGAAGCTGCCGTAGCAGTCTAGCCACCAAAGATGAGTTCAAAGATGGCAGATTTATTGGCCCAATTTGTCACCCTGTGAAAAATACGGTTATTACTCAAAATATGTCATTGTGCGATTTGCTTTTTCTCCCATTCGAATGCTCAAGTTTATTACACACTTGACCACCGGGTGTAAGATGTCCATACTCTGCCCTCCACAAAAGATGCGGAACTCCCAAATCCAGCAGAGATAGTTGGTGAGGGTTCCTTAAGGGAAACAAATTTGCAGGGCAGCCAATCACAGCATATGCTGCTCAAATCAATAAAGTCACTCATCCCAACAGAGAAGAGGAGGCGCCATGCCGAGTTCAGCAGCTTTCATCCTGATGCAGTCATTATCTGGTTGGTACCACGCCAAAGGGCCTGTCCATCTTTAGAAATGGAAATGCCAGGTGTTAAGAATTATGAGGTTTCTGAGGTTTTGGGGATTAGCAGAAGAAGGAACTAATGTCACTGTCCTCCTGGTACTCTGGAACAATCTGGTCTGAAGTTCCTATTTCTGAGTCGATGTACCCGGGTTCCAAGACGGACTCAAACCAGGGGTGCAGTAGGATCTCGGGGGCAGTGAGTCTCTCGGAGGGCTCCCGTCTCAAGAGGCTGCGAATGAGGCACCTGGCTTTGGGGGAAATGTGCTCAGGAATGCAGAACTGTCCACGCCGAATTTTGGAGAAAAGGGCACTGGGGTCTGAGTCATGGAAGGGGTATCGTCCAACCAGAAGGGTGTAGAGCATCACCCCCAGGCTCCAAACGTCCGCAGCCTTTCCGGAGTAGGTCCCAGTGGTGTTGAGGATCTCAGGGCTCACGTAGGCTGGGCAGCCATGTTTGTCTGACAAAGCATCATCTTCCCCCTTCATTATGTGTGTGTCTTCTAGACTTTCTAGTCTAAGCTGGGTTCTGCAAGAGAGAGGAACCAAGCCATTATTTCCACACCAGCTGCTATGAAAAACAAAGCCTTCCCAATAACAGCGCCCACAGGCACTAACAGCAAAGGCTCCAGGAATGCTATTTACCCCTTCGTCCAGTAAGCAGTGCCCTGCAACTACCGAGGGCTCCTGATTTCACAAACTAACACGAACTGCAATAAATGTTTGCAAAGTATCGGCAGAGCGCCTGGGGTGGAGGGTATGAGGCAAAGCCCCAAATAGTATTCATAATGCTGGAGCTTACAAGAGATATCCTAATAGGAGTTACGCAATTTACTAAGTTCCCATTGCAGAACTGGGAGCCTGTCTCAGAATGCTGCATTCTCTACAAAAGCTAGCAGGGAAGAGCAGCATATCCTACTTCTTCAGAGAGGGCCTGAGCATCCTACGAACCCATCTTCCCTCTTATGACTGCCAGGGCTACCTGGACCCACACTGCATTACAGAACACGGAGCCCAAAGTCACTGCTATTACACACAGGTCATCAGCGCTGGTGCCCACACTGATACATGCACACAGAGCAAACTTTGTCCTCCTGGGCCCAGGCTGCAACAATTAGGATGGGAAAGTTGCAAGGAATGTTAATTACATTTATTGGGGTGTTTAACTGCAAAGAACACTTTGCCTGGACAGAGAGGTTATGCGAGCAAACAAAAGTGGCTGATGGATTTCAGGGACGCAGGGACCCTGAAATTCTTACACAGGGACACACACTCCCCCTGGGATGGCACATCAACATGTGAGCATATGTATTCTACAGGGGGGGTCTCTGTTCAGGTAACAACGAAAGTCTAAAACACCTTCAGTCAAAGGCTCTCTTATGAAGCTGCAGGTGCCTCCTTATTCAGAACCAGCCACCCAAGTCTCCTGGATCCCCCAAAGCTCAAAGCCATGTGGTGGGGAAGCTCTGATATCCAGTGACACCCTGTCTCTGCCTGCTTCTCTGAAATACCCGTTTCAGTAAGTCACTTGTGAAGTTAAATGCAAACATTTGGTACTGGCTGATGGGTCAATTCCTTTTCCTCTCAAAGGTCTGTTTTTTTTTTTTTCTGCCTTCCTGTTCCCTGGAGTGTAGTATACATGTGCTAACTTCAGTATGTCCTCAGCGTGACCTCCCTGTCGTTATGTAAAATACCCATTGGTTCTGTAAACGGAAAATATGACTCAACCCACACTGTCTGCCCCTGATTGGCTGCTACAGCACTAAAACCCTGCACCTGTGCTGGTTACACGAATAGCGTCAGCCTGACATTGCTTAACCCCCGGGTTGCCAAACCCCATGCCCATGATATTCGCCTGTGCAATGCAGATTTCAAAAGCTAGTAAGGAGGTGTGTAAGGCATGTTTCAGAAAATGCATCACCATATCAAAGGAGCATGTTCCAGGAATTAGAAACTTCTTCATTGCCAACAGTTTGCTTTTCTTTGCTAATCAGTGTGTTCCAATAATTATTGCGAGGTCAGATACAAAGTCATGCTTTATGACAGCTCAACCCTGTACTGTTTCATATGCTCTGGAGTCAAAGGTAAAAATGCACAGGTGAGATAAGCCCACTTCTTACAACAAACTAACTCACTCTCACCTCTACAATGTTACAGCCTTACTGCTTGTAATCTTTCCACAAGGGATGTGGCTGGCTCTTAAAATCAAGTGTGGTCTATCTCATGCGGCTTCCTGAATTCTCTAGCTGAAACCTCAGCTTTGAATCTTAATGCCTCATTACTCTCTTATCAAGCTCATCTTGTTCTTTATGAGGTAAGCTATGATCTATATTTAGCAATCCATCCTAACCAACTTCCATTTACTATTCAATGTGGCTATTTTCTGAAGACGGATCCAAACAAGCTGTCTAAAAAGTCACCAGAGAATGTGATGTTACAGAGAACCTGGACTGGGATGGGAGAGGAATGCTGTGTGAAACAAGAGGGTGGAATTCTGCATATATGACAGTCTCACTAGCTCTGTGAAACCTTCCAGGTACAAAACAGCACTTGGCATAAGCAAAGATTTGAACACTTCCTTCAGAAGGCAATATCGTAAAGGGCAGTTTAATATTTGTACCCCAGACAACTGACCTTTCTGACAACAATGGGGAATGAACCTGATCCTGGGGTAGGAGAGGAAGAGCACCCTGTCAACACTTGCCATCCCATAGAAGCGCCACGGTGTCCCCAGGCCCCGTCCAAGAGAATGCAGAATAAACCAACCTTGGCTGTGACTCCTCAGGAACAGAAGCTCTAAATACTAAATCTGGGACATATGAGCCCTTGACTTTGTTTTGCACCAACACACAGCACCTAACTACATGACCTGCACCTCCGCTTTGGTTCCAAAAGGCCACAGGAGAAGCTGTGGCGGCCGCTCACCTCTCCTCCGTGGAGAAGACGAACTTCCTAAGCTTCAGGTCCCCCAGCACGATGGCTGACTGGTGGCAGTGGGCGACGGCGGAGACAATCTGCTTGAAGAGCCGGGCGGCTTCCTCTTCCCGCAGCCTCTTCCGGCTTCGCACATAGGAGTGCATGTCCCCAAAGTCCTTCTCAAAGAAGACATAGGCCTTGGTTTCCCCAAGGATCACTTCCACAATGCCAGTAATGTTGCTGTGCGATGGCAGCTGGATGTAAGGCCTGATTTTGTCCTGGTAGTGTTTAATGGGAAACACCTGTAGAGAGAAGGGGGGCCCGTTTAGGGGGCTAGAAAAGCAAAGGCAGCCTCCCAAACCCCTGAGGGAGCTGAACAGAAGTTCTCAACCTGTGGGCTTAGGATGTGAGTAAGTTCCATTCACCTACTCCTTTCCTCTGCCACCTTACCTTACGCAGCCCCAGCTGCCCCTGACACCTTTAAAACCAGTAACACCTAAAGCTCTAGACTTGCAAATACCCAAAGGGTTACCCGCTTTCACACAGATGATTTGAAAGAACTGTCTCCTGTACATGTTCCCATCTTCTGTCAGCTCCTGAGAGCTAAGCAAACCCCCCACCCTCTGTGGCCCTTTCCTGTTTGCAGGCCACACTAGTTGAGTGGCTGATAGAAGGAAGCCCCTGGCCTGTCCAGGAGCTGAAAAGCAGTCCCTGGACGTGCATGTGCCTCCTGCAGACCCAAAGTGCTCAACACAGAAAGGGCACAGAATGTGGTGACTCTGCAGCCTCCAAGGGGAAGCAGGGGCCAGAGAACATGCAGAGCTGTCATTAATCAGAAGGAACAGATGACTTGGAGGGGGAGGCTGGGACAATGCAGCCTTAAGCAACCTGCCTACAGTCCGACTCAAGTGTAAGCAGCCTTGAGTTACAATTCTCACAGGAAGGGTATGGAATCCTGCGAATGGGTTTTCCACTTGTTTGTTTATCCCCCCACACCCGACCCCACCCCTAGAAATGAGTAGCATCTCCTCTCTTCTAGGAAGCTGGCTGGTCTCTTTAAAGGCCTTTTGTTCAGTCCAGTTACTCATATCCTAGACTCAACTGGAAACGGTGACACACGGGCTGTCACCATCTGGATTCAGCTATTATCTGCTCAGAGGAACTGGAAGGGGTTGCACAATGGCCAGACTCACCCCACCTCTAAGAGGCCTGGCTGCTCTGGCACCAGCTAGAAAAATCCCCTGCTGCCCCCTCCTCCCACCCCATCCCATCCCATCCCACCACACACACATACATGCTTGTCCCAGAACAGCTCTTAGCCCCAGTCATGGAGAAGAAAAGGTTTTTTTTTCCTCCCTATTAAACTGGGCTTGATCATGCGTCTGAAATTTCATTCGGGTTGGGCAGTAGGTGGCAGCAGCGAGCCCCGGGACGGGGTCGGGGTGTTGGGAGTGTCAGGTGAGTTGCGGAAAACCCAGAAGCGACTTAACTGGGGGGTGATCCTATCTTTCGGGTGAAAAGGAGCGGCCCGAGGGTGCTCTGGGGTGCCTCAAGCAGGGGTGCCACGCTCGCATAAAGTAGACTGTGGGAACGTTCTGCGTCTACCCGCGCAGGAGGAGGACCCGGCGGATCCTGTTTCTAGGAGCTGTGTCTCCTCCTCCTGGATGGGATCCCTATGTTCAAAGGAAAATCGCTGGCTGGAAAATAAAGTGAATCGAAGCGAGGGTTCCTGGCCGGTGTGGGCTTTTCAACATTTCTACTCCGAGCAGATTCCTCCGCCTCGGGTGGATGACTCTGGGACTGCTCCCTTGGGAGGGCGTGTTCTAGTCTCAGCGCGGATTCAATTCGGAATCCCCAAGGCAGGAGCCGGACACAGTCTTCCAGCCCCCTTACCACCTACAACTGAGCCCGGGTGCCGTGCAAGCCCGGCAAGAGAGCTGCCAGCTGCTCCAAGCTCCTAGGAGGCACCCACTAAAGGGCGTCCTTCCAGGACATTGGCGGGGGAGGGGGGGTGGAGAGCGAGGAGAATGAGAGAAGGGGAATGGCATGGCCCTGGAATCCATTTCAATTCCACAACTTATATGGAACGCCACGCGCTACACTGGGCGCTGAGGAAAGGAACAGATAGAGAAAGCCACTGAACACTGCACTTCCTCTAGGCGCCCCCATTATATCACTCCATGGGAAACCCCTCGATCCACAAAAACGTGAACCTGGTCAAATGGCGTCTTATCTGACCCAATCTACTGATCCGCCCTGTGCCCAGCCCAAGCGTTGGCCGGACCCCAAGCACCTTTGCCTACCACCCCGTCCCGCGCCCCCGACCCCAGCCGGGTCCTGGCCCGGGAGCGCCTACCTTGCAGCGCAGCTCGCGTCCAGTGTGGATGCACAGCGCCCGGGACACATGCTCGCGCTCGGCTAGGGGCAGCAGCAGGTAGTCGGCGATGCGGCTGGGCCCCGGCGCGCTCCCGGAGCCTCCGCCGGCCCCCGGAGCGGCAGGCGGGGGCTGCGGGCTGCAGGGCGAGCCGGGGGGGCTGAGGTAGTCCGGGGGGCTGGAGCACTCGGAGAGGCGCGGGCACTTGGCCGCCACAGCCGCCGCGTCGTCGGCGTCCAGCAGGCGTTTGGCCGGGACGCCTCGGGTGGCTGGGAAGAGCAGGGCCGGGCCGCGGGGCTGCGAGGCGCCGCTCATGGCAGAGCGCACCGGACCGACCCGCATCCCGTCCTGGGCCGGGGTGGCCCCGGCTTTTTAAGTCCCGGGATCCGCGCGGGAAGACGCTGCGGGTTTGGTGCCGGCTCCGCGACTTCTTCCAGCCGGCGGGATGGAGTTTGCAGACTGGTCTTGGCTCGGCCCCCACGAGGGGCAAAGCAGGAGCCACTCCCCGGCGCTCGCGTTGCACGCGGGGACCACGCTGGCTGTGCGTCCGGGAGGCGGAGGCCGGCTCGAGTCCCCGGACCCCCGCAGGCAAGGGCTCCCGGAGCCTCGCTGGGGGCGGCCGCCACTATTGTTGCCGAGGCTGCCGATAGTCCGGGAGGCAGAGGCGGCGGCGGCAGCGGTCAGCGATCCCGGGGTCCCGAGCCGCGAGGACAGGATTCAGCAGGCTCGGCGGAGCCACGAAGCAAATGCACTTCCCAAAGCGATGAGTCTCCAGCAAAAGCCGGGGGAACTTTTTCGCGGCGCTCGGGATCCTGAGCGCTCCTGGGCTCCGGGCGTGTATGAGAGCGAGCGAGACGCGCTCAGAGAGAGTGACTGTGAGTGAGTGTGAGCGCTGCACCGATCCCGGCCAGTGCACTCCTCCTTCTCCTTTTCCTCCACCTCCTCCGCCTCCTGGTGACTCACGCTGTATACACACACACTCACAGGCCGGGCTGTGTAAACAGTTGGGAAGCCGGGTTGTGCAATGAGGTGGCTGCGACGACTCCGGCCCCGCCGCCCAGCGAGCAGTCTCCGGAGCGGAGGGAGGAGACTGGGGGAAGGGGAGAGGGAGTAGGAGGTGGGGGGAATGGGGGTGGACTTAGGGCTGGGGATGCTCCGGGCAGCGCGCGCTCGGGCGCAGGTGGTGCGTCCCGGGCCGGCCTGGACGCGCGCACACGCCCCCAGGGCTGGGAGGGGCTGGGCAGGAGGCGGCGCGCGCGCCCTCCCGCAGGCCCCCAGCTCAGCGGAGAAGCCGAAGGAGGGGGCGGAGGAAAAGTTCCCGTGACGTAAGGGCCCGGGGAAGTGGGCGGGAGGGACGGGGCTGCGGGGAGCGAAGCGACCGCTGATTGGTGCGCGCGCCTCATTCACAGTAAGCACAATGGGCTGCGGGCGCGAGGCGGGAGCGCGCACCACGGTTCTCTGCACCCGCCGCTCGCTGCAGCCCCGCGGCGACGCCTTTCGCCCCGGGGATCCCCCCACCGCCCAGCGCCTGGGGAGCTCCGGTTGGAGCCGTGGGCGCCGCCGAGGCCCGGCTGCAGCCGGAGGAAGGAGGGGGATAGGGAGGTGATGAATTCCAGAATCAGTCATTCACCCCCACGCGGTAGTTCCGGGGAAGACCTGTGCGTGGTAGTGGATGTGGCTTTTTTTTTTCCCTTTTCCTGCCCCCTCCCAGCTCTAATCCCCAGCGTCTGTTCGCTTCCACAAATAGAACCTTCTGTTGGAGGAAATAAAAGCAAACACTGGGCCTTCTGCGCTGCCTCCACCTCCACGCCCCCCCAACCCCCCCGCGCCTGCCGCCCGCCCGGATTGCACGGAAATAGCTTCTCCAGGCTCCCGGGCCGCCCCTTCGCGGTGACTCGCAGAAAGAGCTTCCTGAGCCAGGGCCGGTGGGAAACAAAGGATGTGGGGAGCGGGCGGAAGGGGCCCACGTGGCTGCCGCCGGATTCCTACTCCCTCCCCAGCCTCCACACGCGCCGCAGGGTCTAGGGCCTGAGTGCCAACCTGGGTAGGTGGGTAGGCTGGTGGAAGTCATTCTGGCCACTGCCAGAGATACCGCCTGCACCCGGGCAGCCCTGCCTGGTGGTGCGCATGCATTCATTCCGTGTGATTTGGAAGAGCATCAAAGTTGCGCGTGAAACAACTTGGAATCTGTCATTTTTCTTTCTTGAGTGAACCAGGTCAGTTTGGAGTCCCTGGGCACCCAACAATATAACTATTATTAGAGAGCCCTTACTTGTCCTTCTGCTAAATACTTAATTTTCTAAAACCAGGTCGAGCCCCAGGAATAAATCATTTTCCTTATTAATTCTCCATTCATTCAACAAATACTAATTAAGCATCTACCAAGAGCTAAACGCTGGGAATTAGAAGGTGAAAATTAAAATAATAATAATAGCTAACATGAATCGAGGCCTACAATGTGTCGGACACTGTTCTTAGCACTTTATATGTATTACTTCAGTTTTCCAACCACACTATGGGGTTATTTTTTGCCCCATTTCACAGGGAAGAAACTGAAGCCTTAGAAGGATGAAGTTAGGCCAAGCGTGGTGGCTCACGCCTGTAATCCCAGCACTTTGGGAGGCTGAGGTGGGCAGATCACCTGAGGTCAGGAGTTCAAGACCAATCTGGCCAACATGGTGAAACCCCGTCTCTACTACAAGTACAAAAATTAGCTGGGTGTGGTGGCGCGCGCCTGTAATCCCAGCTGCTGGGGAGGCTGAGGTGGGAGAATCACTTGAACCTGGGAGACAGAGGTTGCAGTGAGCCGAGATCGTGCCACTGCACTCCAGCCTTGGGGAGAAAGCAAGACTTAGTCTCAAAAAATAAAAAATAATAATAATAATAATTTAAAAAAAGAACGAAAGATGAAGTTACTTGCTGCGGTTAAGTAGCTCATAAGGGGTGGTGCGGTCAAGCTCCTAAGCATTTATGGCGACTGGAAGGAGAGATTACAATTTGTAGGGGAAAACAGGAGTTAGGGAGGACTCTAGAAGGCATTTGACCTGGGAGATGTGCAGGGACTGTGAGGGAGTTGCTCAAGGGAGAGTATGAATGGTGGGAGGCCGGGCCAGACAAGGGGTGTGCGGAAGGGCAGGGCTAGCAGGCCAGAGAAACTACAAGGGTGGTGGGAGCTGAGCCTGCAGAGGTCTCCTGAGACAGTGTTGGGAAGGGCTTGAAAGCCATGTTGCACTTGGTCCTGTGCCCAGAGGAGAGCCCACCGAAGAGTTAGTTAGTTAGTTTGTTTGTTTGTTTGTTTGTTTGTTTGTTTTGAGACAGAGTCTCCCTCCATCGCCTAAGCTAGAGTGCAGTGACCCAATCTCGGCCCACTGCAACCTCTGCCTCCCGGGTTCAAGTGATTCTCCTGCCTCAGCCTCCCAGTAGCTGGGATTACAGGCGCCCGCCACCATGCCTGGGTAATTTTTTATTTGTAGTAGAGACGAGGTTTCACCATGTTGGCCAGGCCGGTCTTGAACTCCTGACTTTAAGTGATCCACCCACCTCAGCCTCCCAAAGTGCTGGGATTACAGGCTTGAGCCACCACGCCCGGCCCCACCTACATTTTTTTTGTCTTTGAAGATTATTCTGTGCCAGAATGTAAGATCCACTGAGCTGCCAGCACTTGAATGGCAAACTCAGCATGGCCCCTGAGCATCTTCCTCCCAGGTGTGTGCCTCCTTCTCTGCCTCTTCTGAGAGACAGGCATGCCACCATCCACCCAGCTCCGCCCACCCAGGGGCCAGGATCACAGGCACTCATCGTGGGTTCCCCTTTGAATCTGCCTTTTTCCTTTCTCCCACAGCCCACCCTAGACCTGTGAGCTCTCAGTGCCGGGCCCTACCCCGCACTGTTCAGCTCCCTGGGGCTGGCCCTCACCAGCTCTACTTCCCAGGCTCACTTGCCCATTGGCTTCCAGCCCAGTTTGCCCAGTGGGAGGCCCGGGAGGGAGATTAGAAGGCAGGAGGAAGAAGAGAATGCCCAGGCTACTATTTGCTTCAGGCAGCTGGCCACACCTCCTCTGGGGCTCCAGAGGAGACAGCCACTCCGCATGGCTGCTGCGATGTGCTCCCCAGATCCCGCTGCCCAACTGGAGGATCTGTTTCCCTGGCTGCTGGGAGTGCATATCAGGAGCTGTTTTGGAAATTGCCTTGACTGAGAAGAGCCACTTTGCCGGAGGTCACACTCCCTTCCCAAGGGTCCACATCCAGTGACTGCTGATCATGGAAGAATAAAGGTCCCCTTGTCCCAACTTGGGCCACCTGTCCAAGGCATCCCAGCTTCAGAGCTCCCAGATTTAGGCCTTCCTAAAATTGCATCACAGCCCAGCTTTTTCCTCTGCCCAATCCTGTTCCTTCCTCCCCCTCTTCCCACAGAATCCTCTTGCAGGCTGGCCTGCATCTCAGAGTCAGCTTCCTGGGGAGTTCAACCTGTGGCACCCCTTCTTCATGGTCCGAGCTCACTCCAGGGACTCTGGCTTCTGGGAGCAGGTGAAACCACCTTTGTCCCTCCAGCCGTAGGGTGGCAGCAGCTTCCAGATGTTGCTAATCTCTGGGTGGCCCCCAGCACCATGTTTTGTTCTGTTTTGTTTCTGCCCTTTCTATGCCTTTGTAACTAGTTTTCTACATAAATTCTATCCACTGAACTTCCTGGCCTGAGTTCCATTTTCCTGCCCAGACCCTGTCTAATAGAAACCTTCTCCCTTTCCCACGTTCGGCCCTCTCCCCACTCCCATAATCCTAGTTCACAACCTTCCCCTGGATTCCTGCAGTAAGTTCTCAATGGAGCCACTCATTCATCCCTTCAACAAACATTGAGCCCCTACTTGGTGTCAGCACCCACTAAGTGCTGGAGACACAGTGATGCACAAAACACAGTATGTCGTGTATCCCCTTGATCCATCCCCCACACAGCTGTGGAGTCACTTTCCTAAAATCCAAATGTGATCACGCAAGGCACTGACCTAAAACCTTGCAGGGACCCCACCCCCAGATAAAATCCAAACACCACAGTATGGAAAAGTAGGCCCTCTTCCAAGCCCCATTTCCCTTCCGAGCCTCACCTTCCAGGCCCACTTCCCTTCCAAGCCTCACCTTTCTTGCCTCCTCCCCTCTGTCCTACCCATGCCAGCTCCTGGCAGGGCCCCAAACTGATCTATCTGCCAATTCACATCTCTGCACTTCAGCCTGCGCTGTTCCCTCCCACTGGAATTCCCTCTCTTCCTTTTCCAAGGAAAGGAACTCTTACTCATCCTTCAAAACACCATCCGGATTTCCCCAGCGCCTGCACTCAGATCTCAGTGTCCTACCAAATGCTGTCGAGTCCTCTGTCCAACTATCTCTCGTGACCCTTTCCACGCAACTGTGTTCCCAGAGGGCAGGGGTTGTGTCTTGTTCATTCGTGTTCATCCAGCCCCCAGCCCAGTGTCCGTTATAAAAGAGGGACTTAGGCCAAGCACAGTGGCTCACGCCTATAATCCCAGCACTCTGGAAAGGCCGGGCAGGTGGATCACTTGAGGTCGGGAGTTTGAGACCAGCCTGGCCAACATGGTGAAATCCCGTCTTCACTAAAAATACAAAAATTAGCCAAGCGTGGTGGCAGGCACCTGTAGTCCCAGCTACTCTGGAGGCTGGAGCACGAGAATCGCTTGAACCCGGGGAGCACAGGTTGTGGTGAGCTGAGATTGTGCCACTGCACTCCAGCCTGGGCAACAGAGCAAGACTCCATCTCAAAAAAAAAAAAAAAAAGAGGGGGCTTAGTAAGTGTCAACCAAATAAATGCACTCCAGGGCAGAGGGTCACCCACAAGGAGAGCCTGAGATGACAGATGGAGAGGAAACACTGGACTTCAGACAGAGACAGGGGCTGGAGAGCAGGGCACAGATTTCGGAGTTAGACGTCTGGCCCTGGAGAGGTAATGGGAGGTGGAGTGTCGGGGAAAGCAGGGGCTTGTGGGGCTCCCAGCCTGCATGCCGGGGAAGATGAACATGGACCTTTGGCAAGGCCTGAGATAAGGCAGGCCGAGGCACAAGGCAGCTAAAATTGTCTTGATTTCTTTGCGGAGGGCTTCCCTACTGGTAAAATCTGGACTGAAATTCCCTCAGACTTTTCAGATACTCACTTGAGGAAGCCAGTGGCTCTTAATGAGCCTCGGTTGTCTCACCTGTGAAATGGGCGTAATAAAGGCCTGGTTTTCCTCTCCTACACAGTTTAGTTTTGTTTAGTTTTGTTGTGGAGATGGGGTTTCATCATGTTGCCCAGGTTGGTCTCGAACTCCTGGGCTCAAGCAGTCCTCCAGCCTCAGCCTCCTAAAGTGCTGGGATTACAGGTGCGAGCCACTGAGCCTGGCCTCCTCCCCTACACAGTTCTTAATGGAAATGAGGAAGTATAAATATGTGGAAAGTACTTTTGGATCATCCAGCCAGACCCAAATGTGGGAGATTATCAGGTATGGGTGTGCCTTGATTTTGAACAGTATTCATTTAGTCAACAAATATTCATTAAGGACTTGCTATATGTGAGAATTGAAAAAAAAAACAAAAAGACCGTACTATGAAACTCCAAATCGACAAATACAAATATCTAAATAAATAGGATGGTAATTAGGAAGTCATTCTTCCCATATTAAAGGGTCTCTACCAAGCGATGCCATCCACAAGCTCCTCTGGTGCATTTATGATGAGGCCTGAAAGCCAGAATCACCACTGATCGTGCATGCGTGTGTGTCCTGCGTAGCCTCGGCATGATGCTCAGCTTGATGCTGGATGCTCAGTACATGGTCAGCTGTGAGAAAATTGATTTAACTCTGACTTTTCAGGAGCTCACATATTACATAACATGGGGAAACCTGTATCGATTTTTTTGGACAAGGTTAGGCTGCTGATGACCTCTGGCTTGATTCATTTTCATTCATGCCAAGGTAGATGCATGGCAGCAACGTTAGGAAGGCTCTGAGTGTTCTACCCATTCTAAAATGGAAATCCTTAGAGGCCAGGGCCCCCAGTTTCCATCTCCCTGTCTCACGGCACATGAGGCTTTGTAGCCACACACAGAGGGTATGCGTCCAGTGCATTATGCTCCCTGACCTTACATTCTAAAAAATAAAATGAATTAAAAAGTTTGGGGGCTGGGCGCAGTGGCCCACTCCTATAATCCCAGCACTTTGGGAGGCTGAGGCAGGCAGATCACTTGAGGACAGGAGTTCGAGACCAGCCTGGACAACATGGCGAAAGCCCATCTCTACTAAAAATACAAAAACATTAGCCGGGCGTGGTGGTGCATGCCTGTTGTTCCAGCTACTCAGGAGGCTGGGGCATGAGAATCATTTGAACCTGGGAGGCAGAGATTACAGTGATCCAAGATTGCACCACTACACTCCAGCCTGGGTGACAGAGCAAGACTCTGTTTTAAAAAAAAAAAAAAAGGAACATATTTAGGGAAGACAATATATCAAAAGTTAGGAAAGACAAAAACATGTATTGTGTTCCTGCCAATTCTAGACACTTTCCTGTTGTTTAATTTAATGTTTAAACAATCATGGAAAATAGTTATTGAGCTGGATGCAGTGGCACGCACGTGTAGTCCCAGCTACTCGGGAGGCTGAGGCAAGAGGATCACTTCAGCCCAGGAGTTCAAATCTAGCCTGGGAAATGTAGCAAGACCTTTTTTTAAAAAAAAAAAAAAAATCCTGGGCGGGGTGGCTCTTACCTGTAATCTCAGCACTTTGGGAGGCCGGGGCGGGCAGATCACTTGAGGTCAGGAGTTTGAGACCAGCCTGGCCAACATGGCAAAACCCCATCTCTACTAAAAATACAAAAAGTAGCCAAGCATGGTGGCAAGCAACTGTAGTCCCAGCTGCTCAGGAGGCTGAGGCAGGAGAATCGCTTGAACCCAGGAGGCGGAGGTTGCAGTGAGCCAAGATCATGCTGCTGCACTCCAGCCTGGGTGCCAAAATGAGACTCCATCTCAAAAAAAAAAAAAAATTGTTATTACCACCATTTGTACAGATGCACAAACAGGCTCAGAGAAGCTGATTAATTTGTCTAAGGTCACACAGCCAGAAGGTGGCAAAGTTGAATTGAACCCTCTTAGGGCTGAATCCTAGCCATGGCTTTTCTGCTTTATACATTGCCTCAATCTCCTAATGAAGAAAAATTCTATCCAAACATTTCTCTTTCTTTAAGAGCACAGGAAGCCTTAGATTTGCATAGGCCTAACATCTGTGGAGTCCTGAACAAGAGTATAAACAGAGGCTTCTGATCTGTGACCTGTTTTCCCTTATCTTCCCTCCTGAGCTTCTCTTCCCTCCTTCAGTCCTCACCATGTAGGGCCTCCACGGCCTGCCCTGGAGATCCTAGATGACACATCCAAACCTGATCCCCACACACACCCCACACACACCCCACACACACACCCCACACACACCCCACACACACACCCCACACACACCCCACACACACAGCCCACACACACACCCCACACACACACCCCACACACACACCCCACACACACCCCACACACACACCACACACACCCCACACACACCCCACACACACCCCACACACACCCCACACACACCCCACACACACACCCCACACACACCCCTTGGCCCTTCCTTGACCACCCATAGGCCTAGAGGTCCACACAGCAGAGTCAACAGGTTGTCTTGGGAAAATGGGACCCAGGAAAAAGACTCCTGAGTCCCAAACGCATGTTCCAAACCATTAGGGCAGGGAATCCCAGGGTCCTAGGTACCTGGAATTGGGTCTGGAAGGGCAGGCACAGGCTCTGTGTAGGCCCCGGCCCTTGCTCAGTGGAAAGGATACTCCTGGAGGACCAGCGAGGGCCTGGATTGTCCAGGTCTAAGGGAGGTACTGGTTTGCCAGGAGGGATTCCAGAGCACTTTGCCAAGGCCCTCTCTCCTCCCTCCTCACATGCACGTTACGGTCTCTTACTTGTAAAATGTTTTTTGTTTGTTTTTTTTTTTTGAGACGAGGTCTTGCTCTGTCGCCCAGGCTGGAGTGCAATGGCCCGATCTCGGCTCACTGCAACCTCTGCCTCCTGGGTTCAAGCAAGTCTCCTGCCTCAGCCTCCCAAGTAGCTGGGACTACAGGCACGAGCCGCCATGCCCGGCTAATTTTTTGTATTTTTAGTAGAGATGGGGTTTCACCGCATTAGCCAGGATGGTCTCGATCTCCTGACCTCATGATCCGCCCACCTCAGCCTCCCAAAGTGCTGGGATTACAGGCATGAGCCACCACGCCCAGCGTAAAATGTTTTTTGTTTGCTTGTTTTTGTTTTTTTTGTGTGTGTGGCAGGGTCTCACCCTGTCACCTCGGCTGGAGTGCTGTGATGAGATCTCAGCTCCCTGCAACCTCTGCCTTCCGGTTTCAAGCGATTGTCCTGCCTCAGCCTCCCGAGTAGCTGGGATTACAGGCGTGCGCCAGCATGCCCAGCTATTTTTTGTATTTTTAGTAAAGATGGGTTTTTGCCATGTTGTCCAGGCTGGTCTTGAACTCCTGGACTCAAGCAATCCGCCCACCTCAGCCTCCCAAAGTGTTGAGATTACAGGTGTGAGCCACCACTCCTGACCCTTGTAAAATGTTCTTCTTGATCAGATCTGTAATTAGTACAATCCCTGCCCTCCAAGGAACGAGCCATAGTGAGAAAGGCACATTAACAGAAACATAGACAAATAGCTACCTACAGTCTAGTGCTGAGAAGGAAGAGAATCACTTAGCAGGGAGAAGAAGGAAGGATCAGGAGAGACCTCCTAGAAGAGCTGGACTTGGAGGGCCATGGACAGTCTATCACTTGTCTCCATGCATGGCTGGTCCAGTGTTTGCAGGCATTGTAGGGGTGGCCAGACTGGAAGCTTCTGAAGGTCAGAGCTGGGGGTTTCCTGGATCCAGGGGCAAACATAGCACCATGCCTGCCTGCCTTGGGTCAAATGCTGACACACCCTTCATGTCTTTCTGAGTTATTTTGCTGCAACTTTCTTTCTTTCTTTCTTTTTTTTTTTTTTTTGAGACGGAGTTTCACTCTTGTTGCCCAGGCTGGAGTGCAGTGACGCGATCTCAGCTCACTGCAACCTCCGCCTACCGGGTTCAAGCGATTCTCCTGCCTCAGCCTCCCTAGTAGCTGGGATTACAGGCGCTCGCCACCATGCCCAGCTAATTTTTTGTATTTTTAGTAGAGAAGGGGTTTCACCATGTTGGCCAGGCTGGTCTCGAACTCCTGCCTCAGGTGATCTACCTGCCTCGGCCTCCCAAAGTGCTGGGATTACAGGTGTGAGTCACTGCTCCCAGCTGTTTTTCTCCTTTTTGAATGAAGCTGTTGAACTGGTGATGTTCACGCTGAGTTCCCTGCAACCTTAAGGTTACTATGGTGGCATCTGGGGAGAGAGCGGGTAGCTAATGTGAGTCTCTGAGCTACCCATGCCAGCTTTCGCCAAATGTTCTAGATGATGCTTGTTCTGTAAGATCTTGCTGGAGAAAAGGCTTCCACCGCTCCTGAGTAAAAAAATGAAAACCACTGACCTTAGTGGTTTCGGTGATCTCTGAGGTCCCATTCATCTCTGACACTAATTCTTTTATTTAATATCAGGAATCATGAGCCAGGAACCCACAGGGCAAATCCAGTCTTAGGCCACGTTTGTTAGCCCATCTCAGTGTTGGCAATTCTTTGGGGAGTGAGGCATGCACTGTCTAGTTCACCACAGCCCCCACCACTCCTTACTGTCTAACATCCACCACATCACATTTAGGTTAGCAGCCTGGACCCTGGAGACCTTTGAGTTTACTCCCCAAAAATGCTCCCCTGAGACCCTCCCTTCCTGGGAGACCCTCCAGATAGCAGAAAAGGGGTCCAGAGCCTGGAAACAGATGTCCCCCAACCAAGGGAGAGGACAAAAGGGGAGCAGGGTGTTTTAGGTATAAGGGGTGCCTCCTTTCTTCCTATCTGCCCCACCCAGAAGACCCCTGTGATCATTTTATTTTTTATTTATTTATTTATTTATTTATTGAGACAGGATCTTGCTCTGTTGCCCAAGCTGGAGTGCAGTGGCACAATCTTAGCTCACTGCAACCTCTGTGTCCCAGGTTCAAGCGATCCTTCCCTTTCAGCCTCCCAAGTAACTAGGACTACAGGCACATCCCAGCACACCTGGCTAATATTTTGTATTTTTAGTAGAGATGGGGTTTCACCATGTTGGCCAGGCTGGTCTTGAACTCCTGACCTCAAGTGATCCTCTTGCCTCGGCCTCCCAAAGTGCTGAGATTACAGGCGTGAGCCACCGTGCCCAGCCCCACTGTGATAGTTTTAAAAATACTGTTGCAAATTCTTTGCCACTTTTCCCATCAAAAGGCGGGAGTCTCTTGAATCTGGGTGGCCTTATGACTGCCTTAACCAATGTCACAATGAAAGTGACACTCTGAGACTTTCCAGCTTGGGTCATAAAAACCATGCAGCCTCTGCCTGGTTCCATTGGACACTGGCAGTTGCAGCTCTGAGCAGCCAGGTAAGAATCCCCTCTCCCCTGAGAACATGATGCTGGAGAGGCCACAGGGAGCCCCTCCAGATGACAGACTCAGCTGAGCCCGTCCCACAGCTGTCCCAGCCCAGGTACCACACAGGGGGTGAGGAAGCCACCCTAGGGGTGAATGCTCCAGCTTCAGATACCACAGAGCAGACAAGCGCCATCCTCACCCCACCCCGGGCTCCCCCGCCCCTTGTCCTGTGTGGCCTGACCCACAGAACGGCTTTATGCCCCAAGTTTAGGAGTGGTTTGTTACACTTCTAGCCATAGACAACCAGAACAACATTCTGGAACTGTTCCAGATGAGTCAGGAAGTCCAACAGGCAGAGCCTCTTCAGCCCATAGGACACCTTTCAGTGCTAGCTAGAAAAGGGTGCCCTACCCTCTGGATGGGTTGCAGCAGGGCACAGGTAGCCCCCACAGCAGAGCAGAGGGCTTGGCCAGCGGAGAGCAGGCTGGATTTCAGCCCTGTACAACCACATGCAAGAGGGCCCTGCCGACCCGAGATGCCCTCTTCTGTCCTGCATGGATCAGTGTGAGCTGAGCTGAAAGGAAAAAAGTCATTTTCTAAACACTCATACAATTGCCCTGCAATCCCAGTGAGCATCTCCCAAGTCTCAGGAAGGTCCCTGTGCTCAGACCTTACAAGCTCTGCTGCACCAGTGAGTCATCTCGGTACAGAAAGCACTCACCAAAAACATAGACATTGCCAGGCGCGGTGGCTCACACCTGTAATCCCAGCACTTTGGGAGGCCAAGGTGGGCGGATCACAAGGCCAAGAGATCGAGACCATCCTGCCCAACATGGTGAAACCCCGTCTCTACTAAAAATACAAAAATTAGCTAGGTGTGGTGGTGCACACCAGTAGTCCCAGCTACTTGGGAGGCTGAGGCAGGAGAATCACTTGAACCCGGGAGGCGGAGGTTGCAGTGAGCCGAGATCATCATGCCACTGCACTTCAGCCTGAAGACAGAGTGAGACTCTGCCTAAAAAAAAAAGTGGCCAGGCACAGTGGCTCACGCCTGTAATCCCAGCACTTTGGGAGGCCGAGGCAGGTGAATCACGAGGTCAGGAGTTCGAGACCATCCTGGCCAACATGGTGAAACCCCGTCTCAACTAAAAATACAAAAAATTAGCTGGGCATAGTGGCGGGTGCCTGTAATCCCAGCTACTCATGAGGCTGAGGCAGGAGAATCGCTTGAACCCAGGAGGCGGAGGTTGCAGTGAGCCGAGATCAGGCCACTGCACTCCAGCCCTGGTGACACAGTGAGACTCCGTCTCAAAACTAAATAAATAAATAAATATAACAAAACAGAAAACAAACAAAAAACATATACATACACACACGCATATCCACAAGTTGTTTTTTCCTTTTTCTTATTAAAAAAAAAAAAGAAGAAGAAGAAGAAGTCCCCACCTTACCATGATCTGATCCAAGTTCTGCAGGCTATTTTGAAGTAATTCATCTTTCCCCTTCAAACAGACCATTTTCCCTCACTCAGCCCGCCAAGACTGTCTCCTTTCATTCTTGAACAAAGCTAGCCCCAAGCACAGGACCGTTTGGTTTCTGGGGTTTCCATTTAAAAATACTCTCAGCCAGTGGCTCTTCTGCAATATTCGTGAGGAGTGCTGCAGACCGTGAACTGAAAGATGAAGTGGGCCAGGGCCAAATCATGCCAGATCACCAAGCGTCTGAGGCATAGAAGTCTTTTCTCCTCTGGGTTGAGTAATGGCCACTGTGAGCTCAGAAGCCACAGACTGTGTTCACAGACGCTATACCTCACTTTATGCAAACCTGGTAGACAAAAATCTGGCTTTCTGTGAAAGAATGCAGAGGTGGAGTTGTCCACACAGCCTGTGGGTTCAGGCAGCCTCCTTCGTTGGGAGGATGTGTGGTCATAGATTATTTGTCTTTGTTGAGGAAAGGAACCCACCGATGCTGAGCACTGACTCAATGTCACTTGCTGTACTTTGTATACATTATCTCATCCATCCTCGAAACAGCCCTGCAAGTGGTTACTATTATCTCCATTTTCCAGCTGAGGAAAGGGAGGCTCAGAGAGGCTGAGTCACTTTCTCAAGGTCACACAGCTAAAAAGACTGGGAGCCAGTGGGCCGGACGCAGTGGCTCATACTGTAATCCCAGCACTTTGGGAGGCTGAGGCGAGAGGATCCCTCAAGTCCAGGAGTTTAAGACCAACCTGGGCAACATAGTGAGACCCCCCCCTCCCCCGTTGCTACAAAAAAATTAAAAATTAGCAGGGCGTGGTGGCACACGCCTGTAGTCCCAGCTACTCAGGAGGCTAGGGTGGGAGGATCAGTTGAGCCTGGGAGGTCGAGGATGCAGTGAGCCATGATCATGCTACTGCACTCCAGCCTGGGCAATAGCAAGACCCTGTTTCAAAAAATAAATAAATACAAATAAAAGACTGGAAGTCAGGATTCAAGCAAACCCCAGGTTGGCCCATAGCAAGACACTTGTATTTCCCTCTCCCCTCTCTCCACTTCCTTCCCAGGCTTGCTTTCTCTTTGCTCCACTCCTTAGGAAACTGCCCCGCAAGAGCCTCTGCCTAAGCACTGCTTAAGTGAGATTACATATGGCCTCACCCGTGGGTTGGAGGGAGGGCTTACCTAGCTCACATACAACACAATTCAATTGATCAAAACTTGTTTGTATAAGACCTTTTGTGTATTGGGACAAACCTGGACCGGGCTCTGGAAGGGATCCTTGTCCTTGGGCCAGAGTCATTTGTCCTTTGGCCCACATTTATTGAGCTTCTATTGTGTGCCAAGCATCATATTCCACACCGGCAGTAGAGAAGTAAACAGCAGCCCTGTTCTCTGTGAACTCATGCCGGAATGGAAAAGGAAGGGCACAGAGAATCGTAGGATGAGAAGAATGAAATGGATCCCAGAAGAGGGACACAAGAGAGGTCAGTTCTGCCAGAAAGCCCCCCATGGACCAGCCCCTGGAACGTGAGGTTGTCGTTGTTGAGAGTGGAGCCATGTCCAAGAAAGATTCACTTGAACCAGCTCCTGGAATTTGATAGACAGCAAGAATCGCATTGAGACAGGCAGCCATCCGGCAGGCCAGGATGTACGCATCAGCCGATCAATGAAAACATTCACTTTGCCCAGATGAGCCACCCACAGGAAGCCACATTATCAGAAAGTTAATTGTACCAACGGAATCTGCAAATGTGGCGGATATTGGGAAGTATTTTGTAGCCAGGGTAGCTTGAAGCCATCTCTGTCTCTAAAGGGAAAGTCATCCTAGGATACAGTTCTGGCTAAGTTAGCGCTGGCAAGAATCCCTCCACTCTACAGAGCACAGATGGTGTATTAGTTAAAGCACAGCTCTGCTGCGGTAACAAAGAAAGCCCCCAAAAAAGTGGTTTAAGGGATGCAAAAGTCTGTTTCACCCCCCTGTCACTTTCTGAGGGGACCATTCCCAATTGCTGGAATTTAGGGATGTAGTCTCTTTCCATGTTATGGCTCCAGCATCCCATTCGCACCATCAAGCCCAGGTCTCAGCCACATCCAGGTCCCAGTTGGCTGGCAGAGGACGAGAGCATGAGGGAGGCACGCCCACTTGGCCTGGCAATGGCACGGACAGCCTCCACTCACATTTACATTTCTCATCCAATGAAAAGGCCAGCTGGGAAGTGAGCCCAGGAAGATGCAGAGAGCAGGTGTAGGTGGACCCCTACCTGTCTCTGCTTCCGATGGCAGTTGTGATGTTTGCAGGTGTAACCAAAACCTCCACTTAAAGGGCCAGGCCCGGGGGCTCATGCCTGTAATTCCAGCACTTCAGGAGGCCGAGGTGGGGCGGATTGCCTGAGCTCAGCAATTCAAGACCAGCCCGGACAACATGGTGAAATCCCGTCTCTACTAAAAATACAAAAATTAGCCAGGCGTGGTGGTGCGCGCCTGTGGTCCCAGCTACTCAGGAGGTTGAGGCAGGAGAATCGCTTGAACCCAGGAGGTGGAGTGAATGTCATTGCACTCCAGCCTGCACAACAGAGTGAGACTCTGTCAAAAAAAAAAAAAAAAAAAAAAAAACCTTCATTTAAACCAGCTTAAACCCACAGGACAGCTTGGAGGAGGCTTCAGGGTCTACTAATTCACCACCTCATCTCCAGTGGGTCAGCTCCCCACTCAGGCAGGCCTCAGCTTGGCTGCAGTGGGTCCAGTATCAAATCTCAACATGACAACATTCAAAGAAGGAGGAGAGCGCTCTTTCTGTGCTTTCCCTTAGGAAAGAAGAGTTTCCCCAGAGGCAAGCCAGCACTCCCCTCCAGCGGACAAAATTAGCCGGGCATGGTGGTGGGCACCTGTAATCCCAGCTACTAGAGAGGCTGAGGCGGGAGAATGGCTTGAACCCGGGAGGCGGAGGCTGCAGTGAGCCAAAACCTTCCCACTGCTCACACCTGTAATCCCAGCACTTTGGCCAGATGTGGGTCACATGCCCATGTCTGAGCCAGTTACTGGAGCAATGGGCTGAATCGTGCCCCGCCCCGACATTCATATGGTGAAGTCCTAAGCCCCAGGGTGACTACATTTGGAGATAGGGCCTTCAAAGAGGTAAAGTAAAATGAGGTCATCTGGGTGGGCCCTAATCTAATCTGACTGATGTCCTTAGTAAAAAAAAAAAAAAAAGAAAAAAAAAGGGTGATTAGGACACAGACAACAACACACACTGAGGGATGACCCTGGGAGGACACAGGGAGAAGATGCCACCAACAAGCCAAGAAGAGAGACCTGAGAATTAACCAACCCTGGCCAGGTGTGGCGGCTCTACGCCTGTAATCCCAGCACTTTGGGAGGCCGAGGCGGGCGGAACGCTTGAGTCCTGGAGTTTGAGACCAGTCTGGGCAACATGGAGAAATCCTGTCTCTACTAAAAATACAAAAAATCAGCCTGGCATGGTGGTGGGCGCCTGTAATCCCAGCTACTGGGGAGGCTGAGGCAGGAGACTCTCTTGAACCTGGGAGCCGGAGGTTGCGGTGAGCCGAGATCACGCCATTGCACTCCAGCCTGGGCAACAAGAGCAAAACTCACTGCAGCCTCTGCCTCCCGGGTTCAAGCCATTCCGTCTCTAGTAGCTGGGATTACAGGTATCTGCCACCATGCCCAGCTAATTTTTGTATTGTTTTACTTTTAGTAAAAACAGAGTTCCACCATGTTGGCCAGGATGGTCTCAAACTTCTGGCCTCAGGTGATCCACCCGCCTCAGCCTCCAAAAGTGCTGGAATGACAGGCATGAGCCACTGCGCCCGGCCCACTCTCCAGTTCTTTATCTAGGAGTTGCTCTGGTTTACCTTGATAGGAGTTAAGAGCTTGGGGTGCTCTCACAACCCATGTCTCACCCTATGGTCAGCCCCCTGGTTTCCCCCACCAAAGGCCAATCACATGCCCTGGGGGTGGAATTTCTGCTTTAACTCTGACAGCAGCCTCATTTCCAAGTTCTTGGGAGCAGGGGTGTGCTGGTGAATGTGGGAACAGTTGATTCTGGTGGCAGTGTTTGCCGATTTCCACGGTGTAAATGCTCCCACCCTGGCCCATTTGAATCTGCTCACGTGAGGTCAGTGTGCACAGAGTTGGGCAGCTCCAGCACACACACCGCTGCCTAGGGGGCACCTCTTCATTGCCTTCAGTGGTGACAACGGCCAGTCTCTTATCATCTATTCTGAGCTCACATCTCAAATGATGTTTATGAGAAAATGGCTCACAGGGTAGGAGAGGGTTAAAAATATGTTATGGCCCCTGGGTGGGAACCTGTGTGCAAACAGAGGGCATGGGAAAATCTTGGGGGTGCCAGGTCCTGGAAAGATCCCCTCCTTCACTTGTTCCCAGGCTGGGAGGATGAATGCCACCGTGGATAATAAGTGGAAGTAGGACTCTGCTCAACTCTCACTGCCCTCTCCAGGAGGGGCCCTCCCCCCTTCACCTCTGCACAATCGCTTCCTCTGTTCCTGGAGCTCCAGAGCTCAGCTTCCCTCAGAGTCCCATCCAAGCTGGAGTCAGGATAAAGGCCACCATTGACGGGCACTTCCTCTGCACCCCGCACTGGGCTGGGTCCTCCAGACTCGATTTTCATTGAATTCACACCACTGCCCCACGGACTTAGTGGGCGTAGTCTCGTCACAAAGATGAGGTTTAGAGAGGTCAGAGAAATGGTTTCAAGGTTGCGGTGGCAGGCGTGGGATTTCCACGGTGCTTCCGGGGTCACATATGACACTTGGAGTCACAGAATAATAATAATAATGACCATGGCTAGTGTTTACTAAGAACTTAATTTTCTTTCATTTATTCTGTTTTTTATATATATTTTTTGAGACAGAGTCTCACTCTGTCACCCAGGCTGGAGTGCAGTGGCACAATCTCGGCTCACTGCAACCCCTGCCTCCTGGGTTCAAGTGATCCTCCCACCTCAGCCTCCCGAGTAGCTGGAACTACAGGCGTGTGCCACCATGCCTGGCTAATTTTTGTATTTTTAGTAGAGACAGGGTTTCACCATGTTGGCCAGGATGGTCTCGAACTCCTGACCTCAAGTGATCCATCCACCTCGGCTTCCCAAAGTGCTGAGATTACAGGCATGAGCCACCATGCCTGACCTGAGGACTTAATTTTGGAAGTGAGGATGTACATGCGCGTGGGCTGATTCAATCCTCATCACCGCTCTATGACATAGGGATAAACTATGGTTCCCACTCTGCAGATGAGGAACCCCAGGCTCCAGGAGGGGATGCATTGTGTGCTGTGTTACAGCGGCAGGGCAGGACTGAGAGCTACTTGGGGTTGGAGGGGTGGGCAGGAGAGCTGCTGCCCAACTCATTCAGGCACCCCCCTCCCTACTTCACTCCCCAGTCTTCCTTTGGTTCCTGGTCTCTCCCTACCCCTCCAGAGGACTAGCACTTTCCCCAGCAGTGTTTGGGGTAGATCCAAGGTCCCGAAGTTCCTGCCACAGGCACTGTCTGCGTGATAGGAAAGGAAATCTCTGTCCTTCCCCTCGGTGCCCAACCTCCCGTTGGCTAAGCCGGCACCTGGGCGGGCAAGAGGGTAGAATGAGGCTATTCAGAGAGTTTTCCTGATGCAATAACTGATTGCAAAACCCTTGCATCCCTGAGCGTTTTATGGAGGTTGGTAATTCTAAGTGGCACCAGGAAATCCCAAACTCACCCAGCTGCCAGAACACAGCCCTCCAGGTCAAACCACAGGGAAGAACAGTTACCCCAAGGCTAGGCGTCAGAGAAACAAAGGGAGCACCAACAATAACCCCATGAGGATCCAGCTCTTCATGCCCCTAATCCCATTTGCTCCACAAGGTCCTCTCAGGTGGGAGGAGCAAACCCAAGTCTCAGTTCACAGATGAGAACACTGATTTGTTCGAGGTCGCTGGATAAGTAAAGGATTCTGACTTTCAGACTCCTGGTCTAGTGCTCATTTCTCCACAGTTAGGGCCCTACACTGGAGACAATGGGTGATGCTATTAGGAGGGGCGAGAGAATGGCAGAGGTGACAGGAAGAGAGCAAGTGCAAGGGGCCTGTAGCCACACTGACCCAACTGCAAATCATGGCTCTGCAGCATCAGGCAAGTCACTTAACCTTTCTGGGCCTTCCTCCTCCACACAGGGGACAGGGAGATAGTTAAGAGTTTCCACTCTGAAGTCAGAATGGCTGGGTTGTAATCCTGGCTGCACTACTTACAGGCTAAGCTGTGTGACCTTAGACAAGTCGCTTAACTTCTCTGTGGCTCAGGTTCCTTATCTGTCAAATGACCCTTTTAAAACCCACCTATAGGCTTGTTGTGAGGATTTTCTTAACTAATGCAAGTAAGGCTCTTAGCGTACGCCTGGCTTATGGTAAACAGTTAATCAATATCAGCCCTTAATATTGCCTGCAAAATGGATAAGAAAAGAGCTTTTGTTTTTGTTTTTGTTTTTTGTTGTTGTTGTTTTTGTTTGTTTGAGACGGAGTCTAGCTCTGTCGCCCAGGCTGGAGTGCAGTAGCATGATCTCAGCTCACTGCAACCTCTGCCTCCTGGGTTCAAGCAATTACCTGCCTCAGCCTCCCGACTATCTGGAGTTACAGGCACCTGCCACCATGCCCGGCTAATTGTTGTATTTTTAGTAGAGATGGGGTTTCACCATCTTGGCCAGGCTGGCCTTGAACTCCCAACCTCGTGATCCACCTGCCTCAGTCTCCCAAAGACAGGCTGAGTCACCACGCCCGGCCAGAAAAGAGCTTTTGTAGGTTCGGTGTGGTGGTTCATGCCTGTAATCCCAGCACTTTTGGAGGCCGAGGTGGGCGGATCTCTTGAGGTCAGGAGTTCAAGACCAGCCTGGCCAACATGGTGATAACCCATCTCTACTAAAAATACAAAAATGAGCCACGTGTGGTGGCACACACTTGTAATCACAGCTACTCGGGAGGCTGAGGCAGGAGAATCGCCTGAACCTGGGAGACGGAGGTTGCAGTGAGCCGAGATTGTGCCACTGCGCTCCAGCCTGGGCAACAGAGAGAGACTCTGTCTCAGAAAAAAAGAGCTTTTGTAAATTAAAGGAAACAGCACATTTAGGGGGATGGGGGAGGGTGTGGTTGAGGGGAAGTGCAGGAGAGCTCTCCCTCCACAGATTGAATTGGAATCTTCCAGAAAGGAGAAGGAATCACAGTAAGGGGACCCAGGCTGGCCCTGGGCCGGCTCTGGGATATTTCCTTCTGTAGCACCCACTGGCCTTCACCTTTGTGCTCTATTCACTCTACCTTGCGTTCAATCCCACCCCCTTCAGCCACTCCTCCCTCCCCGCAAAGATTCCCTTGGGAGAATTACCTCAAGCTGGAAATCTTCCTGGCCAGGGTAGTGAGAGGGCAAAAATGTAAATACACATTGGCCTTGGAGTTTCATAACTGCCGTGAGTCACTTCCCTTCACAGAAGACATGGCAGAGGGACAAGCGCTCTGAGTCCTATCAGTGAGGGTGGACTTAGGTGCGTTTCCAGGCATTCTTCACTGGAGTCCGCTCCAAGTTCTCTCCACCGGAAGGATGTGCTGTGGATGTTTGTGCTGAAGGCATGTCAAGGTTCAGAAGAGGGAACAGAACCCCCCTGGACCCAGGTCACAAATTTCCCTCATCAAACATCATTTCTGTCTTCTTAATTCCTGGCCACTGAAGATCCTTTCCCAGCTGCCTCAGAGGCCTGGCAACTTGCCATGTATTCATTAGAAATTCTTTAGTTTGCGAGTAACTGAAATTATAGTATTATAATAAATAGGGGTTTATTTTCTCACATTGAAAGAAATTCAGAACAGAAGAACTGTTCTTGCATTTTTGGCAGCACAGTGACGTCGAAGCCAATCATACTATGATTCTGTTGGTCTTTCCCTCAAGGTTGCAAGATGGCTGCTGCAGCTCCACATATTACATCCACTCTCGAGGCAAAAAAGGAGAGAAGAGCACAAAATGGTGGTGCTGTTGGTGTCTGTTCCTATGTCCATTATCTATTGTTGCACAAACGACCATGGCCAAATTTAGAGGCTTTTTTGTTTTTTAAGATGGAGTCTCACTCCGTCGCCCAGGCTGGAGTGCAGTGGTGCGATCTCGGCTCACTGCAAGCTCCAGCCTCCCAGGTTCACGCCATTCTCCTGCCTCAGCCTCCCGAGTAGCTGGGACTACAGGCGCCCGCCACCACGCCCGGCTAATTTTTTGTACTTTTTAGTAGAGACGGGGTTTCACCGTGTTAGCTAGGATGGTCTCGATCTCCTGACCTCGTGATCCGCCCATCTCGGCCTCCCAAAGTGCTGGGATTACAGGCGTGAGCCACCGCGCCTGGCCAATTTAGAGGTTTTAAAACAACAGTCTTTATTAGCTCACAAGTGAGAGTCAGCATTCTGGGGTGGGATCGGCTGGCAGTTCTTTTACTCTTAACCAGGTTCACCCATGCAACAGCAATCAGTCGATGGCTCAGTGGAGGCTGTCTTGTCCAAGACAGCCTCACTCACATATCTGGTGCTGGGCTCTGGCTGTTGGAGACGTGAGTGCAGAAGCACAGGTCAGAGTGAGCATGGAAGCATTCCGTGAGCCAAGAAAGGCTGGAAAAGGCAAGGAATGGCTTCTCCCCTGAAACCTCCAGATGCAATGCAATCTTGCCAACACATTGATTTTACCCCAGTAAGACCCATTTTGGACTTCTGGAGTCCACAACATCAGAACTGTAAGATAATCGATTGATGTTGTTTTAAGCCACTAAGTTTGTGGTAGTTGGTTGCAGCAGCTATAGGAAACTATCTCTCTCCCTCCACTGCTCTCTATATTTCTTTTTTGAGATATAAAAAATACAGGCGTGAGCCACTGCGCCTGGCCTATATTTCTTTTTTGAAAGTAGAGAGATTAGGCCGGGCGCAGTGGCTCACGCCCGTAATCCTAGCACTTTGGGAGGCCGAGGCGGGCGGATCACGAGGTCAGGAGATCGAGACCATCCTGGCTAACACGGTGAAACCCCGTCTCTACTAAAAATACAAAAAAATTAGCCGGGCATGGTGGTGGGCGCCTGTAGTCCCAGCTACTCTGGAGGCTGAGGCAGGGGAATGGCGTGAACCCGGGAGGCGGAGCTTGCAGTGAGCAGAGATCGCACCACTGCACTCCAGCCTGGGCGACAAAGCGAGCCTCCGTCTCAAAAAAAAAAAGAAAGTAGAGAGAGTAGGTGGATATATTACAACTTAAAAAATGGGGTTTTAGGCCACCCCAGACCTATAATCCCAGTACTTTGGGCGACAGGTGGATCGATCACTTGAGCTCAGGAGCTCAAGACCACATTGGGCAACACGGTGAAACCCTGTCTCTACAAAAAATACAAAAATTAACCAGGTGAGGTGGTGCGCACCTGTAGTCCCAGCTACTTGGGAGGCTCAGGTGGGAGTTTCACCTGAGCCCAGGAGGTGGAGGCTGCAATGAGCTGTGACTGTACCACTGCACTCCAGGCTGGGCGAGAGTGAGACCCTGTCTCAAAAAAAAAAAGAGAGTTTTTATATATGTATGTGTATATATGAGTGTGTGCAAACATATATACCTATATATACTTAAGCTATTTTATAATAAAATATTAAAAGAACATACAAAAAATAATTAAAGAGTTGTGATGATCAAACATGAAATAGTCAGGCATGAACTCAAGCTCCAGTCTGTAGGACAAGTTGCTCGGGGTCAGACCAAGTGCAGCTGCCATGGATCCAGGGCTCAGTAATCCAGTGGACACCTATGTGTCAGGCTTGAAGCTTGACCCTAGAGCATCTTTTTTTTTTTTTTTTTTTGAGACAGAGTTTCTCGCTTGTTGTCCAGGTTGGAGTGCAATGGTGCAATCTCAGCTCACTGCAACCTCCGCCTCCTGGATTCAAGCAATTGTCCTGCCTCAGCCTCCTGAGTAGCTGGTATCACAGGCATGCATCACCACGTCTGGCTAATTTTTGTATTTTTAAGTAGAGATGGGGTTTCACCATGTTGATCAGGCTGGTCTCGAACTCCTGACCTCAGATGACCCACCCACCTTGGCCTCCCAAAGTGCTGGGATTACAGGCATGACCCACCGCGCCCAGCCACCCTGGAGCATCTTAAGGGAAGGGGAAAGCTTCGTCCCAGGAGTTCAGAAAAAGAGAAGCACAGTGGGGGTCTAGCCTGGAGAAGGAGCTGAGGTCTGGGCTTGCGCGTGGCAGACCAGGGGCAGGTGAGGGACAGGCCATCTCCTCCAGACAGCACCCTCTCCTTCCTCCACGGACTATTCAGGGGTGTTTGTCCTGTGCCACCCAGGATGCTGATAGGCACAGGGGCTTGGAGTCACCAGGCCTGAAGCTCTAATTAGTACTTCTTTTTACAAATTAGAAATACAATTAACTGGCCCGGCGCAGTGGTTCATACCTGCAATCCCAGCATTTTGGGAGGTCAAGGCGGACAGATCACTTGAAGCCAGGAGTTCGAGACCAGCCTGGCCAACATGGTGAAACCCCATTTCTACTGAAAATATAAAAATTTACTGGGCATGGTAGAGCATGCCTGTAATCCCAGCTACTCAGGAGGCTGAGGCAGGAGAATCGCTTGAACCCAGGAGGAGGAGGTTGCAGTGAGCTGAGATCACACCACTGCACTTCAGTTTGGGCGACAAAGCGAGACTCCGTCACAAAAGAAAAAAAGAGAAAGAAAAAGAAATACAGTTAATTGGTATGAATTGTATAATTATATTAATTGTAATAATTGTGTAGGACCCTGGGTTTTACCAGCTACTAGTTGTGTGACTGCACAAGTTCTATGTTAGCCTCTCAGGGTCTGGGTTTCCTCATCTGTAAAATGGGTATCAAACACTCAGCCTGCCTCCCTCACTGGGTTGCTATAGGGAGTAGAAAAGATAGAGGGTGTGAAAACCCCACAGCCAGGAGAAAGATGTTCCCTCTGCGTGAATGGAGGCTTTCCACTGATTTGTCCACAGGCACTCCTCTCAGATTAGAGGGGGCCCTCTGATAAACTGGTTTTTACACAGCAGCGTGCACCAGCTTTCTCCACATCACACGGGCACTGTCCTCTGTGCTTTGGGAAAAGCCAGCAGGGCTGAGGCAGCCAGGAACAGAGCTGGGACGCCAGTCCACTTCCACCCACCCATCCAGGGATTTATTCAACAAACATTTCCTGTGCACCTACTATGTGCCAGGCACCAGGATCAAGGACAGTGAAGCAAACAACCGTCTCTGCCTTTAAGGTGTGTGCAGTGGCGGGATGGGTGCCGGGGAGAGAGCTGTGGAACCCCAGTAGCTCCAAGACCTTCCACTATCTTTTACTCTTATAAGTTCGGCAAGAGAGTTTCCATGTTCAGACCATTCCGTTTGCTGCTTCTTCCAAAGGTTTCTTCATTTGGCCTCTTTGGGGAGGAAGGGACACCTACAGAAAATCTTGAAGGCTAATTCGGATGTTCCCAGCTTGGGAGGGAATTCCAGTAGAGGGGACAGCCTAGTTAACGTCCAGAGGCAAGATCATTTAAAGTTTACCAAGATTCTGTAGGGAGAGCTCCAATGACCATGAGGATCTTTTTCCTGTTATTTCATTGAGATTTAAGTTAGAGCTCGGCCAGGCGTGGTGGCTCATACCTATAATCCAGCACTTTGGGAGGCTGAGGCAGGCGAATCACTTGAGGTCAGGAGTTCGAGCCTGGCTAACATGGTGAAACCCTGTCTCTACCAAAGGGGAAGCTCAATTCTGAGGTTGAGTAGGAGGAGCTGGAAAAGATCAAGCTCAAGTTCTGCCACAGGTGCAAATCCTTAATTCTAAGCCTCCATTTCCTCGTCTGTAAAATAGGCTTGTTGCAGAGTTGTCCACATAATGAAATGAGAAATGGGCATAATAAGTTTTCTTTTTATTTATTTATTTTTTGAGACGGAGTCTCACTCTGTCTCCCAGGCTGGAGTGCAGTGGCACAATCTCAGCTCACCACAACCTCCGCCTCCCAGGTTCAAGCGATTCTTGTGCCTCAGCCTCCTGAGTAGCTGGGATTACAGGCGTGTACCACCCCACCTGGCTAATTTTTGTATTTTTAGTAGAGATAGGGTTTCACCATGTTGGCCAGGCTGGTCTCGAACTCCTGACCTCAGGAGATCCTTCCGCTTCGGCCTCCCAAAGTGCTGGGTTTCAGCCACAGTGTCTGGCCTGACATCGTAAGTTTTTGATCATTGTTTTTAGTGGAACTGCTCAAAAATGGACCTCCTCAGGGAGGATGTCCCCCAAATACCAGCGGTTAGTGGATGCTTCATCAGGAATTGGAGGAAATTGTGGACAGTCTGAGTAGGTAGCAGAGGGGGTGCCCCTGAACCTTATCTTTGGCAGCTAGAAGCAGCAGTTCCCCCACCTTCTGACCAGCCCAGGGAGTCCATTTCCCTGGCTCTTTCATATTCCTTAGGTGGGATCCATCCCTGCCAAGGCCCGTGTCCAGCAGGCCTAAGTCACTCACTACAGAACAGTCCCCTGAACTGGGGCAGTAGCCAGACTTGGAGGCAGGCATTGAGAACATTCCCAGAGGCTCCTGGGCCATCTGGTCACCTCCCACTTCTGCAGAGCCCTGCTCCAAACACCTTCATCATCAGCATCATTGTCATCATTGTCCCGTCTGCATGTTCTGAGCTCCCTCCTTGTGGCAGGCCCTTGGCAGACACTCAGATCTCACAAAGCCCTTTAAAGCGGACTCCTCGCTCCCTCTGTCCTCAGGAGTCTCAGCGCTGTGAGTAACAAGGCCAAGGCCACGCAGCCGCTGGAAGCACAGAGTCGGGCCCTGCCCGTAGCCATCAGTATCCTGTATCCGTCTGACTGCAGAGCCAGAGCTTTAAACCCCGTTAGTCCCCATGTGCTCTGGCCCCTCTGCCCCGAAGAGAGCCAGGAAGTGGCGTGGGGTCTGAGTGCACTTCCCAGGAGGGGCCTGAGCAGAGTAGGAAGAGCTGAGCCTCCTGTGAACTGACCTGCAGGTGACTCAGAGCCCCTCTGCCAGCTCCTCCCGGGAAGCACTAGGTGGGTTGTGGCCCATTGTCGTTCACCCAGCACAGGAATCCGTGTGAGTAACTGCGGAACAGAAAGGCTGTTGAAGGGGGCAGTTCCCGGGTAGAGGCACAGACGTGGGTTGGGGAATATGAGGTGTCTTTCCGGAGCCAGGAGGGCAGAGCTCCACCTTGTCTGAGGCAGACAGAGAGGGAGAGAGCCCGAGGGCCTCTGCCCAGCACCCGGGGATGCTCAGCAAGTGGATTCGGAACACCGCCCGTGTCTCAGACACGGGGGACACGCAAATGTGTCTCTAAGTCAGGGCACCCTCTGTGTGCACAGAGCCATCGAGGGCACTCGCCTGGCTGGACCCCAGGGAAGGAAATGGGATGGCTTAGTGGAGCAGCCCAGTGTGACTTCCCAGAGCTGACTTCCCAAAACATGCCACGTCCTCATCAAATAAAATCAAACCCAAACCCCTCTAGGCTGCTGCGCCTGACCTTGCTTACTCTAACCTCATCTCACCATCATGCTCCAGCCATGCCTTCTTCTCTATGTAATAGTGCTGGGCACTTTCTGCCACAGGACCTTTGCACACGCAGAGTCCTCTTCCAGGGGCCTCTTCCTCACCACCCACCCCTCTGCTTCTCCCCACCAACTCCTACTTCCCCTTCAGGTTTCAGCTACAGTCCCGCTTCCCTGAGCCCCTACACTAAACTACCTGGACCACTCTGTTACTCCTGCTCCCAGTGATCGCCTTTGCATCACTGACCGTCATAAGAAAATTCTTTGTGCAATTATTTGCTTAGTGCCTGACACTCCCCACACACGATACAAGTGCCGTCAGACTAGCGGCCATGTCTGTTTCATTTACCAGTGCATCCTCCATCATCCTTTGTTGATAAGAAGGAAGGAAGGAAGGAAGGAAGGGAGGGAGGAAGGCAGGAAGACTGGAAGGTAGGCAGGGAGACAGGCAGGAAGGAAGGGAGGGAGGGAGGGAGGAAGGGAAGGAGGGAGGGAGGAAGGAAAAAAGGAAGGAAGGAAAGAGGGAGAGAGAGAGACAGGAAGCACTGCCTCCAGGCTTACAGCAGCAGATGGTCTCACCCCCCACCCGTCTGCTTTTTTTTTTTTTTTTTTTGAGACAGAGTTTCACTCTTGTTGCCCAGTTGCTTAGTGCCTGACACTCCCCACGCACGATACAAGTGCCGTCAGACTTTCTGCAATGGCATGATCTCAGCTCACTGCAACCTCTGCCTCTCGGGTTCCAGCGATTCTCCTGCCTCAGCCTCCCGAGTAGCTGGGGTTACAGGCATGCGCCACCATGCCCGGCTAATTTTTTTGTATTTCTTAGTAGAGACGGAGTTTCTCCATGTTGGTCAGGCTGGTCTCGAACTCCTGAGTCAGGTGATCCACCTGCCTCGGCCTCCCAAAGTGCTGGGATTACAGGCGTGAGCCACCGCGCCCTGCCCGTCATCTGCTGTCTTTCCTTCCCTGGAGTGTTCAGCCACAGCTGGATGCAGGCTCCTCGGGTGGGAAGGAGGAGGCAGAGAAGGGCAGGCCAGAGTCCATCTCCAGAAGAGCCCAGCCCTGAGCGGCCCCTTAGGGGCAGCTTCCTGGCTCTGCCTCACAGCAGCTCCGAATCTAGAGTGAGATCCTTGATTTGAGGAGCCTCACTTGGCTCTTCTGTAAGGTGAGAGAGAGGTCTGAGCTTTATGCAAAGGCTTTATCTAAAGGCTGGTGCTCCAGGGCCACTGTCTCCTTCCATCCCCTGGAGCCCAGCCTCTATCCGGGCTTAGATAAAGGCTGTGCTCTAGGGGTGGGAAGGAGACAGCGGCCCCAGAGCACCAGCATTGTGCCTGGCCCCAAACAGGTGTTCAGTAACTGCGCTCCCCACCCCACTGCCGCCCCCCGCCTAGATGCTGCTCCTCACTCCTCACTGGCCCGGATCTCAGTCTTCCCACTACCACCTCCTGCAGACCAATGTCTGCATTCAGGTAGGGCCCATCTCTTTCCTTAGTGAATCCTCAGCGCATCACTCAAAGGCAGGCCCTGGGCCTGGAGCTGGTCAGGGGAGAGACTCCTCTTGTTAATTTTTTTTTTTTTTTGAGACAGATTCTTGCTCTGTCACCCAGGCTGGAGTGCAGTGGCATGATCTCAGCTCACTGCAACCTCAAGCGCCCAAGTTCAAGCAATTCTCCTGCCTCAGCCTCCCGAGTAGCTGAAATTACAGGCACGCGCCACCACGCCCAGCTAATTTCTTTGTATTTTTAGTAGAGACGGGGTTTCACCATGTTGGCCAGGCTGGTCTGGAACTCCTGACCTCAAGTGATCTGCCCACTGTGACCTCCCAAAGTGCTGGGATTACAGGTGTGAGCCACCTCATCAGGTCCCTCTTGTTAATTTTTAATCTGCACAAAGCCCCAGAGTCATCAGGCCAAGCTGACCCACAGCAGGGTCATCCCAAAGTTCCTGCCCTCACTGTTCCAGGCCATCCCCATGTGGCTTCTGGGACTGAAACACAGGGGTCATTACCTGGGACCAAGGCACAACAGATATTCTAAACATCATGGCCATTTTTCCATGAGATCATGAAAAATAAGCGATTCTTTTTTTTTTTTTTTTTTGAAATGGAGTTTCGCTCTTGTTGTCCAGGCTGGAGTGCAATGGCATGATCTCAACTCACCACAACCTCTGCCTCCTGGGTTCAAGCGATTCTCCCACCTCCGCCTCCTGAGTAGCTGGGATTACAGGCGCACGCCACCACGCCCGGCTAATTTTTGTATTTTTAGTAGAGACGGGGTTTCACCATGTTGGTCAGGCTAGTCTCGAACTCCTGACCTTGTGATCTGCCCGTCTCGGCCTCCCAAAGTGCTGGGATTACAGGCATGAGCCACCATGCCCGGCCCAATAAGCAATTCTTTTTATCCGGATTGCCCACTGGGGCCTGTGAGGTCCAACCCCGCCCTCAGAGCCAGGCCTGTGTCAGGTGAGATGCAAGGTGGAGGGGGACATGGAGGACTGGAGGAGCCTGGAGCCTGCATACCTGTCAAATTTTCTACATGCGCCCAAAGCCATTTCAGTGGAGTGAGTGACTCGCTGCCAAAAATAGGAGAAGGTTCCAGCACCCTGAAAATCACTGTCTTCCAGGTCAGGCCTCCACGCTGAGGCCCGGTGTACCTCTGGCTGTGGTGAGAGCCTGTTTCCTGCCACACGGGCCTTAGGGCCTTACATAAAGTTAGATTCCCAGGTAGAGGAGAGGGGTTTGGCTCCATCCAGCCGGTTATTGAATGCTGCTGTCCACAAGCCAGATGCTGGGGTACAGAGGCCAACTAGACACAGTCAGGCTCCTGGGTGTTTGTGGGGAAAGATGCTTTGACAGGCACTTGCAGAGTGTGGAAAGACAGAAGCAGGGGATTCTGGGGGCACAGGGCAGGGCTACCTCATAAACCCAGTTGAGATCAGGGAAAGCTTCCTGCAGAAGGTGGCAGCTGAACTGCATGCTGGATGCCAGGCAAAGAGACGGGGAACGGTGTTGCAGGCAAAAGAGGCTGCTTGGGTTCCAGAATGCTGGGTAGTTTGGTGAAGGGGAGGGGAGCAGGAGGGAAAGGGGAGGTGGGCAGAAAAGGCCACACTTGGAGGGGCTTGAGTACCAGAATAAGATGTACAGACTTTGTTCCAGAGGCCCTGGGGAGCAGGCAGGGAGATTGGCATGACTGGCCCTGTGATTCCAGGGTGGCTTTTTTATATTATTTGCTTAATTATTTGTTTATTTTATTTATTTATTTTTATTTTACTTTAAGTTCTGGGATACATGTGCAGAATGTGCAGGTTTGTTACATAGGTATACATGTGCCATGGTGGTTTGCTGCACCCATCAACCCATCATATAAGTTTTAAGCCCTGCATGCATTAGGTATTTGTCCTAATGCTCTCCCCGCTCTTGCTCCCAAACCCCCAGCAGACCCCGGTGTGTGATGTTCCCCTCCCTGTGTCCATGTGTTCTCATTGTTCAACTCTCACTTATGAGTGAGAACATGCAGTGTTTGGTTTTCTGTTCCTATGTTAGTATGCTGAGAATGATGGCTTCCAGCTTCATCCATGTCTCTGCAAAGGACATGAACTCATTCTTTTTTTGGTTTTTTATTTGTTTGTTTTTTGGTTTTGTTTTGTTTTGTTTTTTGTTGTTGTTGTTTTTTGGTTTTTGGTTTTTGTTTTGACAAAGTCTTGCTCTGTCACCCAGGCTGGAGTACAGTGGCACTATCCTGGCTCACTGCAACCTCCACCTCCCAGGTTCAAGCAATTCTCCTGTCTCGCCCTTCTGAGTAGCTGGGACTACAGGCGTGTGCCACCACACCCAGCTAATTTTTTGTATTTTTAGTAGAGACGGGGTCTCACCATGTTAGCCAGGATGGTCTTGATCTCCTGATCTCGTGATCTGCCCGCCTTGGCCTCGAAAAGTGCTGGGATTACAGGCGTGAGCCACCGCGCCCGGTGAACTCATTCTTTTTTATGGTCCAGGGTGACTTTTTGAAGCTACCTTTTATAATTTGTTTTAAAAACTTTTGTAGAGACAGTGTTTACTATGTTACCCAGGCTGGTCTCGAACACCTGGGCTTAAGCAATCCTCCTGCCTTGGCCTTCCAAGTGCTGGGATTACAGGTATGAGCAACTGTGCCTGGCCTAGAATTTTTTTTTTTTTTTTTGAGACGGAGTTTCGTTCTTTTTGCCCAGGCTAGAGTGCAATGGTGCAATCTCAACTCACTGCAACTTCTGCCTCCTGGGTTCAAGCAATTCTCCTGCCTCAGCCTCCCGGGTAGCTGGGATTACAGGTGCCTGCCACCATGCCCGGCTAATGTATTTTTAGTAGAGACAGGGTTTCACCGTGTTGACCAGGCAGGTCTTGAACTCCTGACCTCCAGTAATCCACCCGTCTAGGCCTCCCAAAGTGCTGGGATTACAGGGGTAAGCCACTGCGCCCAGCCAGAATTTTTTAAGAAGAGTTGAAAGGGCAGGTCCCCACCATCAAGCACTAATGAGGATGTGGAACCTCAGGGACACTCATCCATTGCTAGTGGGAGGAGACACAGGAACAGCCACTTTGGAAAACCATCTGGCAGCATCTACTGAAATTGAAGACACACAGCGCCATGCACAGCACTCAGCACGTGGTGAGCACTCAATGAACAGCCGGCGAATGCAGGAAGAAGGCGAGGAACACTGACCTTCATGGTGGGCGGAGAAGGAGCAGCCAGAGAGGTTGGTGGAGAGCTGGGTGGCTGCTGTGGTGGAGGGAGTGGGATGTGGAACTATTTGCATTCTTCCTTTTGATCCTCTTTTCCATACTCATTCATTCTTTTTTTTTTTAATCACAAATATTTCTCGAGCACCTCCTGTGTCCCAGGCACTGTGCTAGGCACTGAGTATCTGTCAGTGAACAGGAAAGGTGCCATCCTCATCCACACGAAGCCTGCAGCCTGAGATGGAAACAGAGAAACCAGTAGACCGACATGGACACACAGGTGACACATCCCCATTTGGGTATCTTCCTGGATGCTCCTGGGAAGTGGAGCCTATCAATGAAGGTCAGAAGAAAGGGGACCTGCCCAGGGTCACACGGCCTCTTCATTCTGGCTGCCACAGCCCAACCATGAACCCGTTCCGCACCTTGGTTAAAACCTTGGGGGAGCCGGGCATGGTGGCTCACGCCTGTAATCCCAGAACTTTGGTAGGCTGAGGCAGGAGGATCGCTTGAGCTCAGGAGTTCAAGAACAGCCTGGGCAACATAGTGAGACCCCGTGTCTACTAAAAATCAAGAAAATTAGCTGGGTATGGGGTCGCACATACCTATATTCCCAGCTACTCTGAGGCAGGAGAATCACTTGAGCCCAGGAATTTGAGACTGCAATGAGCTATGATGGTGCCACTGTGCTCCAGCCTGGGCAAAAAGAGTAAGACTCTGTCTCAAAATCAATGAATAAATTAATTAATTAAAATAAAAATTAATAAAAACCTTGGGGGAAAGTATGTAAGGAAGCTGCAGGGGGTAAGCCCTGGCTTGGGGTTTTGTAGAACTTTGGCTCTGCTCAGCAACACCATAGACAAGCACGGGGCCAGTCCAGCCAGGTGGGAGGGAGCCGGCTTGGCTGCATAGGCAGAGAAAGGGCAAACTGGGTCCCTGCACGGTGGCTCACACCTGTAATCCCAGCACTTTGGGAGGTGGAGGTGGAGGTGGGTGGATCACTTGAGGCCAGGAGTTCAAGACCAGCCTGGCCAACATGGAGAAACCTCGTCTCTACTAAAAAAAAAAAAAAAAAAAATTGCCAGGTGTGGCAGTGCGTGCCTGTAATCCCAGCTATTCAGAAGGCTGAGGCAGGAGAATGGCTTGAAGTTGGGAGGTGGGGGTTGCAGTGAGCTGAGATCAGGCCACTGCACTCCAGCCTGGGGGACACAGCAAGACTCTGTCTCAGAGAAAAAACAAACAAACAAACAAACAAAAAACAAAAAAAAGAAAGGGCAGCCTGGGGCCTAGATCAAGGATGTGGACAGCTACCATGAGTGATGAGCTCACTGCATCCTAAGAGTCCTTAAACACCCCAGCATCCATTCCTGCACGATGTCCCCCAAATTAGAATCAGAGAGAGGAAAGGACAACGGTGATCCCTTCTTCCCCCTCAGTGGTTTGGCATAGGTGCTGGAGAACAGGAACAGGTCTGGGAATCTGGATTAGAACTCATCTCTTCTGCTTGCTGGAAAAGTGTCTACCACTGCCCAGAGCCCAGAGTCCAACCATGGCCCTAAACCCACACTGAGAGTCTCCCAGCCATGAGAGGAGCCCCCTTCCCTGCATATACATTCTGCATCAGACAAAAACCAGTCCCCCTGGACTGAGAGGAGCGGTCTGTTAAAGGCCTTACAGTGTCGGCCGGTCAGAGTGGAAGACGTGGGCAGAAACCTGGACAAGAAGCTGAGCAGCCAGCCAGGGCCTTGGACACCACACCAAGGAGACTGGACTTGCCCTTGGAAGTGTCTGAAGAAGGAAGGGTACCAGGCGATTTGAGGGTTAGAAAAATCACTCTGGAGCAGTAGAGGAAATGGAGAGGAGAAAAGGGGGCAGAATGACTGGGGCAGCTTAGAAGACTACTGCACCAGTCCTAGCAAGAGAAGAAAGTGCCTGTATAGGGCAGTGAAGGTGGGGATGAAGATGAAAAAAGAGCGGGGCAAGGTGGCTCACGCATCTAATCCCAGCACTTTGGGAGGCCTAGGTGGGTGGATCCCTTGAGGTCAGGAGTTCAAGACCAGCCTGGCCAACATGATGAAACCCCGTCTCTACTAAAAATAGAAAAATCAGCCAGGCGTGGTGGCACACATGCTTGTGATCCCAGCTACTCAGGAGGCTGAGGCAGTAAAATCGCTTGAACCTGGGAGGCAGAGGTTGCCCTGAGCCGAGAGCACACCACTACACTACTGCACTCCAGCCTGGGCCACAGAGCAAGAGTCCATCTCAAAAAAAAAAAAAAAAGAAAAAAAGATAGGACAATGAGAGAAGCACCTAGCAAGGAGGAAAATGTCTGGGCCATTAATTGGCTTGGGCAGGGCACCTTCCAGGGTGTAGTGGGTTGAATGGCACCCCCAGAAAGAAAGATTTGTTTACTGATAACCTGTGGCTGTGACCTTATATGGACAAAGGATCTTTGTGGATGTGATTAAGTTATGGATCTCTAGATGAGATCATCCTGGACTATCCCGATAGCTCCTAAATCCAATGATGAGTGTCCTTATGAGAGGCACAGAGGAGAAGTCCACGTGAAGATGGAGGTAGAGACTGGAGTGAAGCAGCCGCAAACCAAGGAGCACCTGGAGCCACTAGAAGCTGGAAGAGCCAGGAGGAATTACTTCTAGAGCCCTTTACAGAGGGTAAGACCATGCTGGCACCTGATCGCGGACATCTGGCCTCCAGAACTGTGAGAGAATATATTCCTCGTTTTAAACCATCAAGTCATTGAATAGCAGCCCTAGGAAGCTGATGTATGGAGAGATGCAGGTTTCCAGGGTCTCGGAGACCCAGCCCTGCAGCTTCCCACCCACATTTCCACATCTCCCTGCTCCCAGGAAGGAGGCGCCCTGTTCCTAGCCTGCAGACCCAGACAGGCAAGCCTGCAGTGGGAAACACTCTCACTCGGGCCCTGCCTCGTGCTAAAAAAACAACCTCCGATGTGTTGCCACATGAGGATTAGTCAAATAATTATGAGCTCTGACTTCCCCTGAGTAATTCTGTCGGGTTGACAACTAAGGCCTCTGGAGGGGTAAGTGGAGTCGTCGCCCGGTCAGTGAGGAAAGGCAGCATCCAATACCTACCAGAAGAGGCTGATCTCCGTGGGAACCTACAAGAGACCCAACCGGGCTCACAGGTGGCACATCCCAAGCATGAACCAACTGGGGAAACGTGAGGCCACCAGCCAACCACCAACCCTGCACCCCACCCCACGAGGTGAGCTCACCCCATTTGGGGCCACAAGCTTTCATCTCCAGGATCACAGGAGCAGCGCTGGGGGCAAAGTGAGAGCTTGCCGGCACTCTCTCGGCTCTGCTCTATGGGGCCCTGAGAGGGAAAGGGAAGGTTGTCCTCACATTACAGGCTCAGAGAACCCAATGTGGCAATAGGCTCAGGGTCTTCAGAATCTCACTAAGAAGCCAGGTTCAAATGCCAGCATCAGCTGGGCGTGATGGCTCACACCTGTAATCCCAGCAATTTGGGAGGCTGAGGCAGGCAGATCACTTGAGTTCAGGAGTTCGAGACCAGCCTGGCCAACACGGTGAAACCCCGTCTCTACTAAAAATACAAAAATTAGCCGGGCATGGTGGCAGGCGCCTATAATCCTAGCTGCTTGGGAGGCTGAGGCAGGAGAATTGCTTGAACCTGGGAGATGGAGGTTGCAGTGAGCCAAGATTGCACCACTGCACTCCAGCCTGGGCGACAGAGAGAGACTCCGTCTCAAAAACAAAACAAAACAAAGCAAAACAAAACAAATGTCAGCACCACTTCTTAAAAGCTGTGTGTCTCTGGACAACTTAAGTCATCTCACTCAGCTTCAGTTTCCTCATCTCTAAAATGGGCATGATTAAACCCACAGTGCAAGGTTGTTTAAAAAATTAAATGAACTGGGCCAGGTGTGGTGGCTTATGCCTGTAATCCTAGCACTTTGGGAGGCCAAGGCGGGAGGATCACCTGAGCCCAGGAGTTTAAGACCAATTTAGGCAACATGGTGAAACCCCATCTACAAAAAATACAAAAATTAGCTGTGCATGGTGATGTGCATCTGTGGTCCTAGCTACTGGGGAGGCTGAGGTGGGAGGATCACTTGAGCCCAGGAGGCTACAGTGAGCCGTGGTCAAACCACTGTACTTCAGCTTGAGTGTTGCAAAGAAAAAGAAAGAAAAAAGAAATTAAATGAGCTGTTATATGCCAAATGCCTAACACATAGTAGGTGCTTCAATCAGTAGGTAAACACTTATTGAACACCTATTGTGTGCCAAGTGAACGAGCAGGTCACTGTCCTCATGGAGCAGAAACAGCCCAGCATGGGAAGGTTCTGATGGGAGCATAGGAGGTGAAGGGGAATTCCAGAGTAAGTGATATTGAAGGCGGCCTCGTATTTCTGTTCGGCTGCAAGTCTTACGGCAAGCAGTGGCAAGGTCAGTGCTCAAAACCCAGGCTTCAGACTCCCTACCTGCTGCCAGGGCCTCAGGCAGCCTTAGAGGGACCAGGTGAATGGGATTGGCCAGCTCTAGGTTAGAGTCAGCCCAGCAGCAACATCCCTGCCCAGAGGCTCCCAAGCCTCCAGCCTAGTGCACACTTCAGAGGGCTTCAGCCTTGGCCGCTACAGCTGCTTCTCCATTCACCTGCTGATGGTCATTTGTGTGTTTCTAGCCTTGGGTTATTACAAATAAAGCTGCTATGAATATTTATGAGCAAGTCTTGGTGTGGGCATACATTTTCATTCCCTTGGGTAAATTCCTAGAAGAAGACCCAAATTGTAGTAGGCATACATTTAACTTTTAAAGAAACTGCCAAACTGTTTTCCAAAGTAGTTGTACCACGTTCTATGTTCACGTGTTCCCTGACAACACTTGGTATAGTCAGTCTTTTTAATTTCAGCCAATCTAAGAGATGTGTTGTGGTGTCTCACTGTGGATTCAACTTGCATCTCTCCAATGATTGACGACCCTGAGCATCTTTGAATATATTTATTTGACTTCTGTGTATGTTTTTTGGTGATGTATCTGTTCAAATCTCTTGCCCATTTTTGTTTATTTATTTATTTAGAGATGGAGTCTTGCTCTGTTGCGCAGGTTGGAGTGCAGTGGTGCGATCTCAGCTCACTGCAACCTCCGCCTCCTGGGTTCAAGCGATTCTCCTGCCTTAGCCTCCTGAGTAGCTGGGACTACAGGGGTGCGCCACCAGTCCCAGCTAAGTTTTGTATTTTTAGTAGAGATGGTGTTTCACCATGTTGACCAGGCTGGTCTCAAACTCCTAACCTCAAGTGACCCGCCCATTTTGGCTTCCCAAGGTGCTGGGATTACAGGCGTGAGCCACTGCCTGGCCTATCTTGCCCATTTTAAAGAAGTAATGAGGTTGTTTGTTTTCTTATTATTGAATTTTAAGAGTTATTTCTGGCCGGGCACAGTGGCTCACGCATGTAATCCCAGCATTTTGGGAGGCTGAGGCGGGCGGACCACTTGAGATCAGGAGTTTGAAACCAGTCTGGCCAACATGGCAAAAACCCCATGTCTACTAAAAATATTTTAAAAAGTAGCCAGGCATGATGACGGGTGCCTGTAATCCAGGTACATGGGAGGCCGAGGCAGGAGAATCGCTTGAACCCACGAGGCGGAGGTTGCAGTGAGCTGAGATTGCACCATTGCACTCCAGTCTGGGCAACAAGAGCAAAACTCCATCTCAAAAAATAAATAAATAAAAAGAGTTATTTCTATTTTCTGGCTACAAGTCCTTTTTCAGATATATGATTTACAAATAGTTTCTCCCAATCTGTGGCTTATTTTTTCATTATCTTAACAGTATTTCCTAAAAAGCAGAAGTTTTAAAATTTCCAAGAAGTTCAATTTATCCATTTATTTTATGGGCTGTTCTTTTAGGGCCACATCTAAGAAATCTTTGTCTAACCCAAAGTCACAAAGGTTTCCTCTTATGTTTTTTTATTCTAGAAGTTTTGTAGTTCTAGGTTTTACAGTTAGACCTGTGATCTGTTTGAGTTAAATTTTTTCTATGGCACAAAGCATGGATTCAAGTTCATTTTTTAGAAGATGAATATCCAATTGTCCCAGCATCGTTTGTTTTGTTTGTTTTTTCCTTTTTTGAGACACAGTTTAGCTCTGTGGCCCAAACCGGAGTGCAGTGGCACCATCTTGGCTCACTGAAGCATCGACCTCCAGGCTCAAGTGATCCTCCCGCCTCAGCCTCCTGAGTAGCTGGGACTACAGGCATGCACCGCCACCACCATGCCTGGCTAATTGTTGTATTTTTTGTAGAGATGGGGGTTTCGCCATGTTGCCCAGGCTGGTCTCGAACTCAGCACCATTTGTTGAAAAGAGTATCTTTTTTCCATGCGATTTCCCTTATGCTTCTGCAAAAAAAAAAAAAAAAGAAGAAAAAGGCAGTTATTCATATGTGTAGATCTGTTGTTTCTGGATGCTCATCTCTTCCATGTATCTATTGGTCTGTCTCTGTGCCAATACCACACTGTTTTGACTACTATAGTTTTATTATAAGACTTCAAATCAGGTAGCATTGGTCTTCCAACTTTGTTCTTTTTTTGAAGTTATTTGTTCTAAGTCTTTTTGCATTTTAATATGAGTTTTAGTATTAGTTTGTCAATTTCTCAAAAATATATATATATGACAGGACATTGTACCTAGTAGTTGCTCAGGCAGTTGTTCTGGATTTCAATCTTGATTATTAACACTTCTACAGTGCTTCATGGTTTGCTCTACTTTTTCTTCCCTTAAATTTAACTCTCTCAACAAACCGGTGACACAGATGAACATGGTGTAGCTGATGTCCCCTATTGTACAATAAGGGAAACTGAGGCTCTGAAGGACAAACACCTTTCCTTATGATCACGCTGCTAGTGAGTGGCAGAAACAAGTTTTGAATGCTTGCTGTCAGACTCCAAACCCAGGGCTCTCCTGCAGTAACCTGCCTCTGAGTAGGGGGTCTCCAATACATTCTTACTATCCCCCAAATGTAATAACCTGGGCAAAGAGGGGCACTCATTGTTGTGGTTACCTTTTTAAAACTCAGTTTCAAAGGCTGGTGTCATGCAAATGTATTTCCGTTGCCCTTATTTGAACGCTTTCCTCTGGCTTCCCTAAAATGTGGGTGTCTGTCTTAATGGAAAAACCATATGCCTTTGTTCCCTTTTAACTTTCTTTCTTGGCAAGAACACAGCTCCATGGAGGAAAAGCGAGAGGAAACAGGGACACATTACAGAAGGAGGGATTCCGGTTTTGAAGTGAGGAAGAACTTCCGAATTGTGAAGGCTGCCAAGCCCTGGATTAAAATGCCAAAAAAGAACTTTTCCAGCCTGGGAATCCTGAGGTCCCACCGCTCTCTGGGGGCTAGCTATGGCCTCGAATCTCTCTGTCCTCAAAGGTCACTGGAAATCAGTCATTTGACCTCTCAATGCATTCCCCTAGGTGCACAATGACAGGTACAGGTTCTGGGGCTAGCCCACACCTCTCAGTGGGACCCATGATGGAGCTGACATACAGTGTACATAGCAGTTGTTTTTTTGTTTTGTTTTGTTTTTGGTTTTTTTTGTTGTTTTTTGTTTGTTTGTTTGTTTTGTTTTTTTTGAGACAGAGTGAGACTCTGTCACCTAGTCTGGAGTGCAGTGGTGCGATCTGGGCTCACTGCAACCTCCCCCTCCTGGGTTCAACCGATTCTCCTTCCTCAACCTCCTGAGTAGCTGGGATTACAGGAATGTGCCACCATGCCTGGCTAGTTTTTGTATTAACAGTTCTGAAATATTGGTTTGTCTTGTGTCGGGTTCTCTGGAAACAGTTCCTGAGATGAAGATTTGCATGTAGGGGTGTGTGGGAGGTGCTCTTGGGAACAAGGTCACGGGGTGTGCAGGAAGCCAATTGGGCAACGTGGATGCAACAGGGACCTCAGCCTGAAGTGCTGGTCCCTTTGTAACCCCCTATCAACCAGTCATTAGGTGCTGGCTGCCCCAGGGAAAGGAGAGGGACTGGCTGGCAGCCCACGCTCCTGGTCACTGGAAAAATAAGTTCCTTCATCCTGGAGGGAGTGTGCATTGGGGTGCAGGTTCCCACACATCCACTACGAGGACAGAGATTAGTTCAAGCCCTTCCTTTGTTCTTCACTGTTCCATGGGATCAGGCCTCTGGTGTCCCTGTTTTGAACAGCAGGAACGCACCTCCAGGAGCCCCTTGGGAGGCAATAAGTCCATTATTGGCTCACCCTCGGAAGAGCAGAGTGAAAATGATGTCAATGCAAAAATATCAACATCTAGAGTTTCTTTTCTCACTCTCTAGTTTTTTTCTGGGCTTTTGCTTCCATTTCCAGTACTCAGGACCTCTTTGATACTAATGAAAGACAAGGTAATTCTAGAACTTAGTGATTTCTTTCATGTCACCCACGGTGGTTGGAAGAATTCCTTGGCAGGCTGGACGCGGTGACTCATGCCTGTAAGCCCAACACTTTGGGAGGCTGAAGTGGGCAGATCACTTGAGGTCAGGAGTTCAAGACCAGCCTGGCCAACACAGTGAAACCCCATCTCTACTAAAAAAAAAAAAAAAATTAGCCAGGCGTGGTGGCGGGTGCCTGTAATCCCAGCTAGTTGGGAGGCTGAGACATGAGAATCGCTTGAACCTGGGAGTCGGAGGTTGCAATGAGCCAAGAGCATGCCATTGCACTCCAGCCTGGGTGACAGAGCGAGACTCTGCCTCAAAAAAAAAAAAAAAAAAAAAAAAAAAAAGAGAGAGAGAGAGAAAGAATTCCTTGGCTGATTCATTGACCAGATAACTGATTAGCGCCCCCAGAAAAAAAGCCCCCTCCCACCCTCACTCCTCCAGGGAGGAAGATTGTGCTTCTTCCTTCACTTATATTATCAGGAAGCTTCTGGAAAGAAGAGGAAATGCTGCCCAGAGTGCACAACCCTGAAGGGATAAGCTTCTCCTGGGTTCCGGGGGAGTGGGGTCGGTGGGGGTGGGGGAGTAAGCTTGCGATGGGGAGTGGTTGGGAGGAGGAGACATATCCCCACTTTTACTTGTTCCTTTAGCAAATATTCGTGGCACGCTTCCCATAGGGCGGCACAGTGCCAGTCCCCGCCCTTCAGTAACATGGGGTCTAGTGGAACCCTGTGTTAAATGCTATGATGGGGGGGGTAGAGGCTGCAGTGGATAAAGCGTCCAGGGCAGACAGCAGGGTGGGCACTGGGGAGTCAGCAAAGACCTGGGGGAGGAGAGGGTGACTAAGCTGAGACCTGGCAGAGAAGGAGGAATTGAGGGGGAAAGGGACGGAGTTGAGAAAGCCAGGAAGAGTCCGGGCTAGGAGAATGGCACCTGCCAAGGCCACAGGCAGGTGAGAGCCTCAGAGCTTCAAGGAAGGCACAACATTCTTCGTGGCTCAAGGGCAGAGGGATGAGGAAGCCAAGGGGCAGATGGGGGCAGAGCTGGCAGGGTGGGCAGGGTCTGAGACGGGAATAAACAGCTGGTGCCTGACCAAGACCACCACGACCACCAAGACCACCAAGGCGAGGGGCATCCTCAGGAAGAATTGGAGGTCTTGGGAGTGAGTAAATTATCAGCCGAGCAGCCCCTTTGGGAATTGCCCAGAGCGGCACCCCTGTCTCCCTCAGCCCTAGTGGGAGGGGAGGTCCGGTGGCAGCGGCAGCAGCAGCGTGGGGGCTCTCTTTCTGGAACATGCTTTCCCAGTATGGCATGGCTAGGTTGCTCACCTCTTGCAGGTCTTTGCCTCAATATCACTTTTCTCACGTGGGTTCTCCTAATTACCCTATTGCAACTTCTCCCACTCTTTCCCCCTGCCTGGCTCGTTTCTCTCCATGGCCCTTATCACCCTTCTCCCCCCAGCATTTTACTTGCCTGCCTCACATTGTCTAGCTCCTCTCACTTCTTGTGTGTGTGTGTGTCTTTTTTTTACCACCATATCCTGGGATCCTAAATGCTGGACTCAGTAAGTATTTATGGAATAGAAAACGGCTAACAAGCGCTCCTTGTTTTTTGTTTTGTTTTGTTTTTGTTTTTGTTTTTTTTTGAGACAGAGTCTTGCTCCGTTATCCAGGCTGGAGGGCAGTGGTGCGATCTTGACTCACTGCAACCTCCATCTCTCAGGTTCAAGCGATACTCATGCCTCAGCTTTCCAGGTAGCTGGGATTACAGGCACCCGCCAACACCCCTGGCTAATTTTTGTATTTTTAGTAGAGACGGGGTTTCGCCATGTTGGCCAGGCTGGTCTTGAACTCCTGACATCAAGTAATCCACCCACCTCAGCCTCCAAGATGCTGGAATTACAGATGTGAGCCACTGCGCCTGGCCAATCTCTCCTATTTAATACTTAACAATGCACCGGACTCAGCCTTCACACTTTGCAAGCGTTATCTTGTTTATCCACACAATAACTCCCATTTTACAGTGAGCAAACTGAGGCCAAGGGACACACAAAAAAGTTGCTCCAAATCCACATCTACTAAGTGGCAGAGCTGGGGTTCAAGCCCTTAGATTTGGCATCTGTAGTTGCTGCTGCTGAGTTCCCTCTGGAGAATGGCTTTAGCATTTCCAAGAATAGACAATATCTAGGAAGGGCATGTGTTTTTAACTCCCTCCCCACCGTGCGCACAAGCACATATTTTAAAAACCAAATTCCAGCAACTACACGTTCAAATTCAGAGGGCAGATTTGCCAAAGTGGTGGCATTGGCTGTTATTGGCAGAAACCTCCCACTCACAGACGTGGATCGTGAGTTTGCTGGTAAATCTGTTGAGTGGAACTCCTGAGATGGGGATGCACCTTCCCACGGCCTGTGTGGGGTGGCTCCCAGGCTAGCCCAGGAAGCCTGTTAACTCCCGCATCCTTCCTGAATTCGGACTGAGTCTCAACGCCAAGAATCCAGGAGAGCCAGATGGGAGGCTGCTGGTGGGGGAACTGACAGAGAAAGCGTGCTTCCTCCCTAGGAGCCCACTCTCACAGCCATGGCGTGTCCAAGTTTCTTATTTGTTCTACGAATAAACTACATAGACAGATAGAGGCACACTGACTAGGACGCTGCATCCTCCCACCTTGCAGCTGCCCTGGAGGGTGCAGGAGTGTCCTCTCATCTCACGAACGGGTCCTGAGGCTGAGAGAGGTCAGGGACTTGCTCTGAATCCTACAGCCTGAGATGGAATCCTACGTTCTCATAGTCTCACGGTCTCAGGGCTCGGGGAAGGGGTGGGGGGAGGGGAGCGGGCGGAGCTCCAGTCTGGGACTCCAGCCCCCAAAGCCTTGTTCTGTCCACTATTCGTTTGGGAAAGACTGTTGCCCAGAGAGGATGAGAAGCTGTTGGCCAGGCTGCTGTCCATCTTGAGCTCCGAGTGCATCTCTTGCAAATCGCTCCTGAAGCTGCGCCTCCCAGCTCATTCATCTGAGTGGAGAGAAGCCAGATTTCAGCACAGGCGCCGGGGCTGCTCCGCTACCTTTTCCCCCATCAGCCAGCGTTCCTCAGTTCTGAGTGGCTCTTTGTTGGCTTCTTCGGGGGAGAAAAGGATGATACTGATGACTGTATCTTTCACTTCCCAGACCCCACCCAGTGTACTTTTATGATTCGGAAATTTTATTAAATCCCTCAGCACAGCTTCTTTCTACACTTTCTGTGGTTTAACTCTCCCTGGGTCTTTTTGCTTAGGGTTTGGCTTTTGGTTTTTTTCTCTTTAAACGTGAGAGTCTGTCTCTCTTTTTTTTTTTTCCTCCATTGTTTCTTAAATGAACCAAGTACTAACATCTACTTGTTTTGTTCTGAGACAGAGTCTCACTCTGTTGCCCAGGCTGGAGTGCAGTGATGCAGTCTTGGCTCACTGCAGCCTCTGCCTCCTGGGTTCAAGTGATTCTCATGCCTCAGCCTCTGCAGTAGCTGGGATTACGGGGTGGGGTGCCACTACATCCGGCTAATTTTTATATTTTTACCAGAGAAGTGGTTTCACCATGTTGCTCAGGCTGGTCTCGAACCCCTGACCTCAGGTGATCCTCCCATCTCAGCCTCTCAAAATGCTGGGATTACAGGCGTGAGCCACCACGCCCAGCCTACATTTCCTTTTTTTTTTTTTTTTCTGAGACAGAATCTCACTCTGTCACCCAGGCTGGAGTGCAGTGATATGATCTCGGCTCACTGCAACCACTGCCTCCCAGGTTCAAGTGATTCTCCTGCCTCAGCCTCCCGAGTAGCTGGGACTACAGGCACCTGCCACCACACCCAGCTAATTTTTGTATTTTTAGTAGAGTGGGGTTTTCGCCATGTTGGCCAAGCTGGTCTTGAACTCCTGACCTCAGGTGATCGGCCTGCCAAAGTGCTGGGATTACAGGCGTAAACCACCATGCCCAGCCCCAACTACTAACATTTCTAAAATTCGCTATGTATAGGCCTTGAATACTGGACAGTAAGTGCACACTGACCTGGTGTTCATCCAGTGGATCCCTCTGTGCTCGAGTCCCCAGTAGAATCTGGGTCTCCTGGGCCTGCCCTCCCCTCTCCTTTCAGTCCTGTCCCTCTGGGATCCCACCTCTGGGCCTTAGCTCCCGTAAGAGAAGGCCTTTGCTTCTCACCTGTCCGAGCTGGTACCCTTCTCATTACCCAAAGCAAGTTCCCCTGGCCCGTGAAGTCTTTTCTGACCACGGTATCCTGAGCACTTTCCCAGTCCTACCTCCTGAAGGATTACTGCCTGCCTCACTGATCTGGTGGCACAATGTGACCCTCTATAATTATCTTGAGAAAGACTACATTAATTGCAAAGACGGGAATGGCATTTTAGAAAAATTAACTACCCCACCACCCTCCATCCTGGTTCCTCCCCACTTCCACCTACCCCCAAGCTAATTCATTCTGAGACTGCTTGGTGCTTTTTGTTATTTAATCTTCATGCATTCACATGCATTCAAATAGGCTGCAACCGCCTGAAAGCAGGAACAGAGGCTGCTACAGCCCAGGCTCACCAGGGGTGCAGCCAGGCAGGCCCCTCCCCTGCGTGCTTGATTCCTACCCGCTGAGGAGGGAATCCTGCCAAATGTTCCAGCGTCTCTGGGGTGAGAGCTCACTCAACACAGCCCCGAGAGCCCTGCAGAGCTGGGGCCACCTCCTTTTCACAGGTGAAGGCACTGAGGTGCGGAGAAGTTACTGTGAGTCACCTCAGGTCACAGAGCTAGTAAGTAAGAGAGTGAAATTGGAACTCGGGTCTTCTGACATGTCCAGCTGTTCTGGGAAAAACACTGAGGGCGTTTGACTTCCCTAAACCTCACTCCCTGAGCGCCTGTCACTGCAGAGCTGGGGTTAGCTAAAAAGGTGTTGCAATCCCTCGTTGTTCACCCAACAGCCAAGCCTGGGTTCCCATCTTTGGCTTGATACGTGCCCTTGGTAGCAGCCCCTCAAAACGCGTCTGTGGGGCGGCGTCCACCGGGGTGAGTCACTAACTATCTGCCAGCTGTCACCTCACCTTTAGCGCAGAGCGCTGGAAAGGCTTGTTTTCTTTGGCTGGCATTAAACAGCCACCTCTGACACGTGGTTGGATGCGGGACATATGTGGCGTCAAAGGCAAACAGGCCCACAGGAAAAATAGATTTGTAGAATGGAAGTCTCCCAGGCCAACAACAGCAGGCTTCTCCTTCAGACTCCCAGGGCTGACAGGGATGTCACCTGCTTCAAGGAGACAGATGGGGACATGTTGGGGAGTTCATGCTTGGTGACTCGTGGGAGCAATAGGAACAGCTGGCTGAGCTGTGTGGGTGTGACCTGGGATGGCAGCACCGAGGCGCTCGGGGAGTCTGAGCCCCAGCTCACACTTCTCCTGTGAAACTCAGATCTGCTGGTAAGCACAGCCGCTGGGGGCCTGTCCCTTCTGACAGTCTATGCTGAAATCCCAACCCCAGTGGGCGGGTGGGTATGCCTTGATGATTAATAGCCGAAGCTTCGTGCTGGTGTCGCCATGCTCTCCAGGGACTTCTTCATTTCAATGCTGGGCAGCGTGGAGGAAGGTTCTTAGGAGAACACTGGAGAATGTGGGAAGGCTTTGGGCACCGGCCAGGGCCCCCCGCCCCGCTCCAGCAGCAGCCTCCCAAAGGGTCACCCGGGATGCTGTTAGGGCTTTAAGAACACCAGTTTCGACCAGGCGCAGTGGCTCATGCCTGTAATCCCAGCACTTTGAGAGGCCAAGGCACGCAGATCTCTTGAGCTCACGAGTTCAAGACCAGCCTGGGTAACACGGTGAAAGAAACCCCATCTGTACAAAATATACAAAAATTAGCTGGCATGGTGGTGCGCATCTGTAGTCCCAGCCACTCGGGCGACTGAGATGGAAGGTTGCAGAGAGCTAAGATGGCGCCACTGCACTCCAGCCTGGGCAACGGAGTTGTTTCAAAACAACTTTATCTCAAAACAAACAAAACAAGAAAACACGAGTTTCTTTTCGTTTAATGTTCCATATCGATTTCAATGTATTTAAGGATACTTAGCACATCAAACTCATGATTGTATGCATTCTATTATTTAGGAGAAGGCTGAACTCCAAAAAATTCAGCAAATAATAATACAGGCCACAGGTGGATATGGTGAAACTTTGATAGCGGAGTTTGAATATTTGGAGTTTGGGAAATGCTGCTTTCTTGGAGAATCCAATATTCATGCCAAAAATATCAACTGAGCCTCGCTCTAGCTGAGCAGATGGTTAGAGACCTCTCTCTGATACAACGTTAGCCCATTCCCAAGCTTCCAACACATATGACATCTAGATTGGTAGGGTAAAGTGGAATGAGAGGTTTTTTTGTGTGTTGGTTTGTGATAATCAAGATTGTATCATGTAATGGGCCCTTGGGTATAGAGACAGAATATTAAAAAGAAAAGAAAGAAAAAGATGTACAACTCTCTACATTTTTGTACAAAATACAACTATGGTCTTTTTTGAGCTTTTTGCTTAAGAATATGCTGTTTTAAATAGCTAAAATTATAGTGTGTATATATGTTTTTCTGCTTGGCTTTATGAACCAAACATTAATTCATTTGGGTTTTTCCTTATATGCGAGGTGCATCAGGTACAGGACCCTCACATGGGGCATGAATTAGAATTGAAACAGCTAGGTGGGAAGGGGTCCCCAGAAAAACTCCAACCGGCCTGCTCCCTGGGAGAAACGCGCCCTGGGGTGGAGTCACAGCAGTTCATGCCGTTTACAGTGGGGAGAAGCCTGGTCCCTCCTTTTCCTGGGTGGAACCTGGGATTCAATCTGTGGGGCGGGAAACACATTAGCAGGGCCCTGGCTTTGCAGAGGGTTCCTCTTTCTCTTTTTTTCCCTTTTCCCAAATAAATTCTATTATTCTCACCCATCAAATTGTCTGCGAGCCTAATTTTTCTTGGCCGTGTGACAAGGACCCAACGCTTAGCTGAACTAAGGAGAAAGTCCTGTAACAGAATTACCTGGGAAGCTTGTTAAAATGCATAATTCCTCCCAGGATTCTGACTCAGTCAGTCTAGTCAGTCTAGGGTCAGTCTAGGGTGAGCCTATGCATATGCATTGAAACAAATTTCTTTTTGAGACGGAGTCTCGCTCTGTCACCCAGGCTGAAGTGCAGTGACACAGTCTCAGCCCACTACAACCTCTGCCTCCCGGGTTCAAGTTATTCTCCTGCCTCAGCCTCCAGAGTAGCTGGGATTACACATGTCTGCCCCCATGCCCGGCCAATTTTTGTATTTTTAGTGGAGACAGGGTTTCACCATGTTGGCCAGGCTGGTCTTGAACTCCCGACCTCAGGTGATCCACCCATCTTGGCCTCCCAAAGTTCTGGGATTAGAGGTGGGAGCCACCGCCCCCAGCCAGGCATATGCATTTTAACCAGCTTTTCCGGTCGACTGATAAAGGCGAGCCTGGACCTCACTTTGAGAAACCTTGATGCGTAGGGGGGAAACATGACTCAGACGTGGACTCCATCCTGAGGAGAGCACAGCCAAGGGAGGCAGATGAGACGCCTACAACAACTCACAAAGTAGAAAGGACCCAGTGCAGTGGGAGAATATGAAATGAAGTGCAAGGCAGCTCCATGGAGGGCAAAACTGCTTCCAACAACTTGTGCCTCATGCACTCATGCACTGCTCTGATAATAAGCTTCGTTATTTTGTGTCTTTAACCAGCGAGAAGTCGTCCTTTCAGGGTGGGATCTGGGTCTTGGTCATCTTTAAGCTCAGTGTCTAGCACAGAACTAGGACTGGAATGGGACTGACCCATGGCTGGTGGGATGGACAGACAGATAGGTGGAGGGAGAGGAATTTTCTCCAAGGATAGTGTCTTCTTTATTTTATTTTTATTTATTTATTTATTTTTGAGATGGAGTCTTGCTCTGTTGCCTAGGCTGGAGTGCAGTGGCGCGATCTCAGCTCACTGCAAGCTCAACCTCTCGAGTTCCAGCAATTCTCCTGCCTCAACCTCCCAAGTAGCTGGGATTATAGGCGCGTGCCACTGTGCCCAGCTAGTTTTTGTATTTTTAGTAGAGACAGGGTTTCACCACGTTGGCCAGGATGGTCTCGATCTCTTGACCTTGTGATCCACCTGCCTCAGTCTCCCAAAATGCTGGGATTACAGGCATGAGCCACAGCAGCTGGGCAGTGTCTTCTTTTTAGAAGGTGTTTGTTCATGCAACAAATCTCCATAAGATGCATGAGGGGTTTTGTTTTAAGGTAGGTGAGTTGGGGAAGGATGGTCTAAATAGACTTTTCTGGTATTCATCTCTCACCACCACCACCCACACTCTTGGGCGCTGCAGCTTGACCCTCTGCTTCTGAAGGTTGCATATTTTTGCCTGTTGTATTCCAACCTACCCAGAATTTTTTATTCATAGTATTACTCCTACGTCTAACAGAAGAATCATTTCAATGCTGTAGGATCTTCTCTCTCCTTTTGTTGAAGGGTAGTGGGGAAAAATTTCCCATTATTTGTCTTGGATATTGGAAGTCACACGCTAGTTGCAAGAACTTGTGATCTTTTGAAAGAGTGTGGCTTTTTGTGAGGTAATGCGTAAAACAAATACAGCCTCCCAAGACCCCACCCTTTCTGCTTATCAACAGAATCAAGAAACATGCCTGCAGAATCTTTTGAAGACAGGCTGTGAGTAGCTAAGGCAGGGCCAAGAATGGAGACATCCTCTCACTGTGCCTTCAATTCCCCACCACCCACTGCTCCTCCTAGAGTACCCGTGTGCTGTGGTTTGAATGTATCCCCCAAATTTCATGTGTTGGAAACTTGATTCCCAAATTAATATATTTATGTTATTTGAAGGTGAGGCCTTTGGGAGGTAATTAGGACCAGATAAGGTCATCAGGGTGGGGTGCCCATGATGGAACTAGCGGCTTTATAAGAAGAGGAAGAGAGACTTGAGCTGAAATACTCTTGCCCTCTCGCCAAGTGATGCCCTCCTTCACGATTTTATCATGGGGCACGAAGGCCCTCACCAGATGCCAGCACTGTACTCTTTGATTTCCCAGCCTCTAGAACTGTGGGCTAAATACATTTCTTTCCTTTATAAATTACCTGGTCTGTGGTATTCTGTTATAGTAGCAGAAAATGGACTGAGACACTATGATATAAATTCACTTTAAGAAAAAAAGAGTAGGCTCATGTGTTAGAAGAACCTGGGGACTCCTCTGAGAGGATCAGAACTGCTAAGGACTTCCCACGCTGGCTCCATGGTCTGACCTAGAACTTGATCTGCCTGGCTCAGTGGGGCTGTTTTGGCAGGGGCAGGGGTGGGGTCTGGTTCCAGTCCTCCTGGCCCATCACTCACTGGCTCAGGGATCTTGGGCAAGACTTGATCTTCTTTGGGCATCAGTTTCTTCATCTGCACCCACAGCTGTTGGGAGGATTTATGGACTAGGGCATGCAAAATATGCCTGATGAGCTCTGACAACTACCGCTTGTCTGGGAGGAATTTCATCTGCATTATGTATACGTATTTCTTCTTATTTAATCTTCTGAGGACAAAGAGAACATTTCAAAAAATGCATAATTTACTAAATGATCAGCAAACAACTGCAAGGTGCCAGGCTTTGTGCTAGGTGACAGAAATACATGAATTATAGCAGACTCTATCACAGAATGTCCTGGAAACATAGCAGAGGCTGGAATATAAATGAGGAGCAGCCAGAGAGCCAGGTCCACCATAGAGGGGAGTACAAGTGCCAACAGGGCTCTTGACCTTCATTGGGCCCTGGACCAGTGGGTGGTCCTAGTGAGGTGTCGAACCCTTTTTCAGAACAATGCTTTTAAAAGCATAAGATTACAAAGGAACCCAATTATATTGAAAGGTAATGAATTATATTGAGACATTTTGAAAAATGAATTTGTAATTTAGTAATAGATATGCTTTTTAATTAACATAGTAAATAAGATCTAGCAGCAGGTTTAGAAAGTACTGTATTTTATTTCTTCTTTTTTTGTCCTCTTCTATCTTCTTTCCTTTGGGGATTCCAAATACATGTATATTAGGCTGCTTGATGTTGTCCCACAGCTCACTGATGTTGTTTACTGTTTTCTTTCTGTGGGTTTTTTATTTCCTGTGACTTTTTTCTCCCTGTGCTTCAATTTGGTTAGTTTCTCTTGCTCCATCTTCAGCCTCACTAATCTTTTCTAATACAGTGTTGAATTTACTGTTAGTCCCACCCAGTATGTTTTTCATTCCAGATGTATTTTTTTTTTTTTTAGAAATTTGATTTGGGTCATTTTTATATCTTCCATGTTTCTCCATCACATCTCATGCTTTCCTCTACCTTTTAGACATATATTTTCTTCCTTTCTTTCTTTCTCTCTCTCTCTGTCTCTCTCTTTCTTTCTTTCTTTTTTGAGATGGAGTCTTGCCCTGTCTGTCGCCCAGGCTGGAGTGCAATGGCATGATCTTGGCTCACTGCAACCTCCACCTCCTGGGTTTAAGTGATTCTCCTGCCTCAGCCTCCCGAATAGTTGGGATTACAGGCACACACGTCCACGCCCAGCTAATTTTTGTATTATTAGTAGAGACAGGGTTTCACCATGTTGGCCAGGCTGGTCTCAAACCCCTGACCTCGTGATCCATACGCCTTAGCCTCCCAGAGTGCTGGATTACAGGCGTGAGCCACTGCACCTGGCCCTAGACATATATTTTCAATAGCTGTTTTAATATTTTCATCTACTAATTCTGTCATCTATGTCTATTAATATTACACAAATCTTCCTTTTATTATGGATTATATTTTCCTGCTTATTTGCATAGCTGGAACTTAAAAAAAATTTTTAAATTAGTTTATTACTTTTTTAGAGACAGGGTCTTGCTATGTTACCGAGGCTAGAGTGCAGTGGAATGATCATAGGTCACTGCAGCCTCAAACTCCTGGGCTCAAGCAATCCTCTTGCCTCCCAAAGCATTGGGATTACAGGCATGAGTCACTGCTCCCAGCACATAGCTGGAACTTTTTGATTGGATGTCAGACATTGTGAATTTGACATTGTTGGGTGCTAGATTTATTTGTTTATTTTGTATTCTTTTAAATATTTTTGAGCCTTGCTCTGGTATACAGTTAATGAGAAATGGTTCAATCTTTTTGACCAAAGGTCAGCAAGTGGGCTGGGCACGGTGGCTCACGCCTGTAATCCCAGCACTTGGGGAGGCTGAGGTGGGTGGATCACCTGAGGTCAGCAGTTCAACGTCAGCCTGGCCAACATGGTGAAACACTGTCTTTATTAAAAACACAAAAATTAGCTAGGCGTGGTGGCGAGTGCCTGTAATCCCAGCTACTTGGGAGGCCGAGGCAGGAGAGTCACTTGAACCTGGGAGGCGGAGGTTGCAGTGAGATGAGATCACGCCACTGCACTCCAGACTGGGCAACAGAGTGAGACTCCATCTCAAAAAAGAAAAAACGGTCAGCAAGCTACAGCCCACAGGCCAAATCTGCCCCCTGCCCACCTCTGCTTTTATATGATTCATGAGGTAAGAATGTGTTTTACATTTTTAAGTGGTTGCAAATATCAAAAGAATAATATTTTGTGGCAGGTGAAAATTAAATTTAAGAAATTCAATCTATAAATAACTCTTTATGGAACACAGCCACACTTATGCATTTGCATATTGTCTGCATTTCATGCTACAAGGGCAGAGTTGAGTTGCTGCAACAGAGACTGTATGTCCTCCTGCAAAGCTGAGAATATTCACTCTCTGGTCCTTCACACACGGTTTTGCTACCCCTGCTTTGGAGGTGTATTTTTTTTTTTTTTTTTGAGATGTAGTTTCGCTCTTGCTGCCTGGAGTTTTGCTCTTCGCAGTCTGGAGTGCAATGGCGTAATCTCGTCTCACTGCAACCTCCGCCCCCCAGGTTCAAGCGATTCTCCTGCCTCAGCCTCCCAAATAGCTGGTATTACAGGTACACGCCACCACACCAGGCTAATTTTTGTATTGTTAGTAGAGATGGGGTTTCGCCATGTTGGCCAGGCTGGTCTCGAACTCCTGACCTCAGGTGATCCACCTGCCTTGGCCTCCCAAACTGCTGGGATTATAGGCACGAGCCACTGCACCTGGCCTGGAGGTGTATCTTTAGGCATCGTTAAGCAGTACAAGAGCATCCTTTAGTCTAGGGCTAGATTTCCACTCTACCAAATGCCTCATCAGTTATGAGGCTTTCTACTCTGGCTGGTGGGAAAAGGAACTATTCTTCGGTCTCTGTGAGCTCCAGTTTTTGTTACCTCTCCTCCTCTGTGGTTCTTTTCCAGCCTCAGGTGGTTTCCTCACAGGCGCATGCTGATGATGACTCAGCTGCAGGCTCCAGGGGCTCGCTGAGCAGCTCTCTCTTTTCAGTGCTGCCCTGTGAATTCTAGCCGCTTGGCCTCCCTCATCAACTGTCCACTCAGCGCAGACAGACTGGCAGGCCCACATGGGCTTCCCTGGCTCTACGGTGGCCTGGGCACTCTCTGGGCACTGAGCAGTCATTGGGCTGAGCTGGTTTGTTTGTTTCCCTTCCCTATCACTGGCCTGTGCTGCCTGTTGTCTAGTGTCTGAAAACCACTGTTTCATCAATGACATCTAGATTTTTAGCTGTTAAAGGTGGGAAGATCAATCCAATTTCTCTTATTCTGTAATTGCAAGAAACAAACTAAGTAATGCATTTTATAAGAAATGACGGTAATTTTATCTCCATAACAACAGTAATGTAATATGAAAATATTATGACTTTTTTTTTTTTTTGAGATGGAATCTTGCTCTGTCACTCAGGCTGGAGTGCAGTGGTGTGATCTCGGCTCACTGCAACCTCTGCCTCCTGCATTCAAGGGATTCTTCTGCCTCAGCCTCCTGAGTAGCTGGGATTACAGGCGTGCATCACCATGCCTGGCTAATTTTTATATTTTTAGTAGAGATGGGGTTTCACCATATTGGCCAGGCTGGTCTCGAACTCCTGACCTCGTGATCCGCCCTCCCTCCTTGGCCTCCCAAAGTGCTGGGATTACAGGCATGAGCCACCACACCCTGCCTATTTATCACTTTTGTTAGTGATAAAGTCACAGGTACTGCTAATTCTATTGGAGTTCATTGCCTATATTCAGAATTGTGGGAGACGCTAAATTCCAATTACAGGTTAGTAAAGAAGCAATTTGCTCCCCACATCAATTTATAAACTTCCTGAATTTTATCCACAGTCCCTTGGGAGTTGACCAAGGGTTCCCTCCATGAGACCCTTTATGCTAAGTTTTTCTTCTTCTAAGTCTCAAAGACTGTTTAATTGGCCTTTTAATGGCACATATTGTTAATTGTCTTGTGGCATATTCCTGACACAGTCGCATATTTTCTTTTTTTTTGAGACAGAGTCTCACTCTGTCACCCAGGCTGGACTGCAGTGGCATGATCTTGGGTCACTGCAACCTTCGCCTCCTGGGTTCAAGTAATTCTCCTGCCTGAGCCTCCCAAGTAGCTGGGATTACAGGTGTGCACCACCACACCCAGCTATTTTTTGTATTTTTTAGCAGAGACAGAGTTTCACCAAGTTGGCCAGGCTGGTCTGGATCTCCTGACTTCAAGTGATCCGGCTGCCTAGGCCTCCCAAAGTGCTGGGATTGCAGGCTTGAGCCACTGCGCCTGGCCAGAGTCCCATATTTTCTATAAAACAAGCCTGAGTTTTTTTCTCTGTGGGCAAAAACATCCCAGTTCTTTTCAGTATAGCATCCAAGTTTTACCATCCCTAAATAGCCTTGTTTATGCTGTTCTCTGGACGAATCAGTGTCTTCACATTCTTTGTGAACTGTGGTCACCATGAATAGCTTAAAAACTCACCTCTGGGCCTCACGCAGAGCCTCATGGCCTGTCTTCCTGACTGCACGGCAGCCTTTTCCATACATTCCAGCAGCATGCGGACTCGTTTCTTAACAGCACTGTGGTGTTTGTGACAAAAGATGATCCTTGAGTTGCTTCCTTTCATAATCGTATCTTGCTTTTTGTTTTAAAACCAATTCTGCATTTGTTCATTAAAAAGAAAGAAATCTGCCAGGCGCAGTGGCTCACACCTGTAATCCCAGCACTTTGGGAGGCCGAGGTGGGCAGATAAGAGGTCAGGAGTTTGAGACCAGACTGACTAATGTGTTGAAACCCCGTCTCTACTAAAAACACAGAAAATTAGCTGGGCGTGGTGGCATGTGCCTGTAATCCCAGCTACTCAGGAGGCTGAGGCAGGAGAATCGCTTGAACCTGGGAGGCGGAGGTTGCAGTGAGCCGAGATCACACCACTGCTCTCCAGGCTGGGCTGGGTGCGGTGGCTCACGCCTGTAATCCCACCACTTTGGGAAACTGAGGGAGGGTGGATCCCTTGAGCCTAGGAGTTCAATATCAGCCTGGGCAACTCAACACAACCCCGTCTCCATGAACAAACAACAAAAAAATTAGCTGGGTGTGGTGGCACACGCTGGCAGTCCCAGCTACTGGGGAGGCTGAGGTGGGAAAATTGTTTGAGCCTGGAAGGTTGAGGCTGCAGTGAGCCGAAATCACACCACTGCACTCCAGCCTGAGTGACAGAGCAAGACCCTGACTCAAAAAAAAAAAAAAAAAAAAAAAAAAAAAAGTACTGGATTCAATGAGTTTTGGTAAATTTAGAGTTGTGCAACCTCCACTACAATCCAATTTCCCTTACCCCCAGAGGGTCCCTCGTGCATTCCCTCTCAGTTGTCACCCCCAGACCAGGCCACCACTAATCTTTCTGTCCCTCTAGATTTGAATCTTTCTGAACATTGAGTGTGAGAGGATTCATAGCCTATGTGATCTCTATGACTGGCTTCTTTCACTGAGCATGTTTTCCACATCCATATGTGCTTCACTCCTACTCACAGAAACAGAGTAGGAGGGAGGTTACCAGGGGTCTGGGGTAGGGAAATGCAAAGATGTGGGTCAAAGGGTACAAACTTGCAGTTATCAGCTGATCTAACGTATAGCATGGTGACCACAGTTAATCATAAAGCATTGTACACTTGAAATTTACTAAGAGAGTAGATCTTACTCTCAACACATGATACACACACTACACACACACACACACACACACACACACACACACTTTTTTTTTTTTTTCAGACAGAGTCTTGCTCTGTCACCCAGGCTGGAGTGCAGTGGCATGATCTCGGCTCACTACAACCTCTGCCTCTGGGTTCAAGCAATTCTGCCTCAGCCTCCTGAGTAGCTGGGATTACAGATGGCTGCCACCACACCCGGCTAAATTTTGTATTTTTATTAGAGACAGGGTTTTACCATGTTGGCCAGGCTGGTCTTGAACTCCTGACTTCAGGTGATCCGCCTGCCTCAGCTGGTCTCGAGCTCCGACCTCGACACATATGGTTTTTTATTTTTTTTTTTGAGATGGAGTTTCGCTCTTGTTGCCCAGGCTGGAGTGCAATGGTGTGATCTCGGCTCACCGCAACCTCCGCCTCCCAGGTTCAAGCAATTCTCCTGCCTCAGCCTCCCGAGTAGCTGGGATTACAGGCATGCACCACCACACCCAGCTAATTTTGTGTTTTTAGTAGAGACGGGGTTTCTCCATTTTGAGGCTGGTCTCCAATTCCTGACCTCAGGTGATCCGCCCACCTCGGCCTCCCAAAGTGCTGGGATTACAGGCATGAGCCACCGCGCCCAGCCAATGGTTTTTTAAAAAGGACTTCATTCCTTCGTATTGCCAAGTAGTATTCCATTGTATGGATTTATAACATTTTGTTTACCCATTCACCAACTGAATATTTGTATTGTTTCCAGTTTTTTTTTTTGCTATTGTAAATCATGCTGTTATGAACTATTTATTTATTTATTTATTATTATTATTATTTTTTTGAGACAGAGTCTCCCCCTGTTGCCCAGGCTGGAGTGCAGTGGCGCGATCTTGGCTCACTGCAACCTCTGCCTCCCGGGTTCAAGCGATTCTCCTGCCTCAGCCTCCCAAATAGCTGGGATTACAGGCATGTGCCATCATTCCTGGCTAATTTTTGTATTTTTAGTAGAGACGGGGTTTCACCATGTTAGCCAGGATGGTCTCGATCTCCTGAACTTGTGATCTGCCGTCCTTGGCCTCCCAAAGTGCTGGGATTACAGGTGTGAGCCACTGCGCCCGGCAGTGCGTTAACATTTTTTTAAAAAGCCAAACAGTTTTTTCAAAGTGGCTGCATCAACTTGCATTTCCACCAGCAATGTAAAAGCGTTCCTGTTTCCTTCAGTTTTACCTGCCTTCTTTTCAGAATCATCATCCCCGCTCCACAAATCTGACACAGGTAGAAGGCAGATTTCCAAAACATAATAATCTTCATACAGCTGGGTAATCTACTCACATGAGTCACCCCACCCTGTCTCCCAATCAAAGGGTTCCAGACTTTTAATTTTTATTTATTTATGTATTTATTTATTTTTTTGAGACAGAGTCTTGCTGTGTCGCCCAGGCTGGAGTGCAGTGGCGCGATCTCGGCTCACCGCAAGCTCCACCTCCCGGTTCATGCCATTCTCCTGCCTCAGCCTCCCCAGTAGCTGGGACTACAGGCGCCCACCACCATGCCTGGCTAATTTTTTGTATTTTTAGTAGAGACGGGGTTTCACTGTGTTAGCCAGGATGGTCTTGATCTCCTGACCTCATGACCTGCCCAACTTGGCCTCCCAAAGTGCTGGGATTACAGGCGTGAGCCACTGTGCCTGGCCTTTATTTTTATTTTTTTAAATTTTATTATTTTTTGAGATGGAATCTCACTCCGTCGCTCAGGGTGGAGTGCAGTAGTGTGATCTCAGCTCACTGCAACTTCCACCTCCCAGGTTCAAGCAATTCTCCTGCCTCAGCCTCCTGAGTAGCTGGGATTACAGGCACCTGCCATCATGATTCAATATACACATTTTGGTCAATTATATACTAATTTGTGGCTAGGCACTGTGACTCATGCCTGTAATCCCAGCTCTTTGGGAGGCTGAAGTGGAAGGATTGCTTGAGCCCACGAGTTTGAGACCAGCCTGGGCAACACATCGAGAACCCATCCCTACAAATAAAAAAAAAAAAATTAGCTGGGCATGATGGCCTGTGTCTGTGGTGCCAGCTACTTGAGAGGCGAGAGGATCACTTGAGCCCAGCAGTTGGTTACAGTGAGCTATGAATGTGCCACTGTACTCCAGCCTTGGTGGCAGAGCAGAGCAAGACCCTGTCTCTAAAATAGACAGGGTATGTGTGTGTGTGTGTTTGTACTAATTTCCACGTCAATCTGCTGTCCTTCCAAAGGGCCTTCTACTTCCCATAGGACCTAGTCATTGACAATATGACATGGAATCTTACTTCCTTTTTTTTTTTTTTTTTTTGAGACGGTGTGTCACTCTGTCGCCCAGGCTGGAAGGCAGTGGCGTGATCTCGGCTCATTGCAACCTCTGCCTCCTGGGTTCAAGCAATTCTCCTGCCTCAGCCTGTAGCTGGGATTACAGGCACCCGCCATCATGCTCGGATAATTTTTGTATTTTTGTAGAGATGGGGTTTCACCATGTTGGGCAGGCTGGTCTTGAAATCCTGACCTCAGGTGATCCTCCTGCCCTGGCCTCCCAAAGTGCTGGGATTACAGGAGTCAGTCACCTCACCCGGCTGGAATCTTATAGCTTTTAAAGAAACTTTAGGGAGCCATCCAAGTCTTTTAGTTTATGTGGGAAATCTGAGGCCTGGGGTAGGGAAGTGACAATATCACCTTTATGTGCTAGTCAGGGACACAGAGGGTTAGTTCGCTTCCTGGAAGAAACTTTGCTGGAAAGAGAGGGGGTGCTGGAATGGAGGGAAAAGAGGGAAGTGTTGCAGAGAGGAAGGGGGCTGCTACGTGGTAAAATCCTGAATGCCAGAACAGGACATCATTCTGTAGGAAAGGAAGGCTTTTGGGTAGGATGTGAAATTACCCAATCAGTATTCTAGTAGGTTAATATGAGAGGGGCAAGATTTGAGTCAGGAGGCCAGCTGGGAGGCCGGTGAATAGTCTTGGTGTGAAGTAAGGAGGGAGGCCCTGGATTTGGTGGTGTTGGCAGAGAGAACAAGGGAGGGGAGGATCACCCAGCTATGCTAAATTCGTGGATAACTGGAGTCTGCGAACCTGGGAAATTGGTCTCAGTAACAGCAATAAGGAGGTTGGGATAGAAGTGCAGGTCTGCTGACCCTGTATGTGCCCTCCATGGCCCTGGGGCAAAGAGCCCACCAGCAGGGCAGAGTGCTTCTGCTCACTCACTGTTCCATTCCAAGACAGGACTGACTGCGCACAAGTGTGTGACCCTGGGCAAATGACTTGACTCTGAACCACAGTTTCCTCATCTGTAAAATGGGGGTAATAACGAGGGTTCAGGAGACTTAGCTTAGGGGATACTTTTAAGGGACTTAGACCTGAGCCTGGTACATGGCAAGCAGTCAGTTCACACCAGCCTTGGTTCCTCTCAGTCCTGTAATTTATCTCTGTCCTTGCATAAAACCTCCGTCGGGGTGTATCCAGCTAAAAGCAGTACTCCCCTCAGACACTGCTTCAAGCTGGACACTCCATGTTTGAAGTTTTATATAAGGTGAGACAGAAATTATCTTTTGGAGTTTGTGGTAACTTTTTAAAAATTAATTAATTAATTTGTTTATTTTGAGGCCGAGTCCCGCTCTGTCGCCCAGGCTGGAGTGCAGTGGCGTGATCTCAGCTTACTGCAACCTCCGTCTCCCAGGTTCAAGCAATTCTCCTGCCTCAGCCTCCCAAGTAGCTGGAATTACAGGCACATATCACCATGCCTGGCTAATTTTTTTGTATTTTTAGTAGAGACAGGGTTTCGCCATGTTGGCCAGGCTGGTCTCGAACTCCTGACCTCAGATGATCTGCCTGACTCGGCCTCCCAAAGTGCTGGGTTTACAGGTGTGAGCCACCCTGCACGGCCGTGTGGTAATGTTTTAAATGTGCTAGTTGAGTTTCTTAAAATAATTAGCATTTTAAAACAATGCCATGTCCACACAATTGTCCTAATCTTAAATCAGTCATATCTGAAAAACTATTTCGCTACAATGTCTAGTGCAGTTTTCGAGTGCCACTCATGTGGCCTTGGGGTAATCTCAGATAGTACTCTGGGATTGTCCTGGGAAAAGGAGAGCTGCAACTCCCACCTCCTCTTTGACTAGAACTGCTCCCCTTTAAACTGTCTTTTATATTGGGTTACTAAAGAAGATGAATATAATTTTAATGGAAGAAAAGCTTCCATTAAAAAAAAAACTCCTATAACAGAAACTTAATAAATATGCCAGATTGGGCCAGATGTGGTGATTTACACCTGTAATCCCAGCTACTCAGAAGGCTGAGGCAGGAGAATTGCTTGAACCTGGGAGGCGGAGGTTGCAGTGAGCTGAGATTGCGCCACTGCATTCCAACCTGGGTGACAGAGCAAGACACCGTCTCACAAAAAAAAAAAAAAAAAAGAAAGAAAAAAGAAAAAGAAAAAACAAGCTAATAATATGCCAGATTGATACTAACAATCAAATGACAGACCTTCAAAAGATGAAAATCAGTTTTGTGTAAAACATCAAACTCTTTGAATGGCTAGACAAATTTATGAAACAGTTTCTGAAGGCTAAAGAAGGGGAAGATTTCAGAAGATATAAATACCATACCTTTTCAAAAGTGAAATACTGTTATTTTGCATTTTTCTAACTGGTATTGGTACCTATACAAATATTCCAGAATTCTCTTTAGAGTTGGGAAAAATGCAAATCCAATCTTGGGATGCATTTTATGCTTACTCCTATCTGTTTAGTAAGCAAAGTATTTCACAAAAGAACCACATTCCATGAAAAGTATGTTTGTTCTGGCTTAAATACAATCATTTCCTCCGTAAAGTCTGATTCAGATAAAGCATCTTAGGAAATTCAAAAGCATTTAGTTTGTAGACAACTGAATTTCATACTACTTTCTGAATTCCATAAAAGTGCTTTCAAAATTAATTCAACCATGTTAGACTATGCTTTTAAACTCAAATATGTTATTATTTAGTGGATTTTACTGCCCAGTAGATGTCAAATTCAGTTATTTCCTGCATCTAAAAAAATTTATTTATCTTTCTTTTATTTATTTTGAGACAGTCTCACTCTGTTGCCCAGGCTGGAGTGCAGCAGTAGTGTGATCTTGGCTCACTGCAACCTCTGCCTCCTGGGTTACCCAGGCTGGAGTGCAGTAGTAGCACGATCTTGGTTCACTGCAACCTCTGCCTCCTGGGTTTAAGCAAATTTTGTCTCTCAGCTTCATGAGTAGCTGGGATTACAGGTGTACGCCACAACACCCAGCTAATTTTTTGTATTTTTGGTAGAGACAGGGTTTCACCATGTTGGCTAGTGATATGGTTTGGCTTTGTCCTCACCCAAATCTCATCTTTGATTGTAACTGTCACAATTCCCACGTGTTGTGGGAGGAACCAGGTCGGAGGTGATTGAATTATGGGGGCAGGTCTTTCTTGCACTGTTCTCATGATAATGAATGAATCTCACGAGATCTGATGGTTTTAAAAACGGGATTTTCCCTGCACAAGCTCTCTTTTTGCCTGCCATCATCCATGTAAGACGTGACTTGTCCCTCCTTGCCTTCTGCTGTGATTATGAGGCCTCTCCAGTCATCTGGAACTGTTAAGTCCATAAAACCTCTTTCCTTTGTAAATTGCCCAGTCTTGGGTATGTCTTTATCAGCAGCATAAAAATGAACTAACACAGTAAATTGGTACCAGTAGAATGGGGCACTGCTGAAAGGATACCTGAAAATGTGGAAGTGACTTTGGCACTGGGTAACAGGCAGAGGTTGGAACAGTTTGAAGGGCTCAGAAGACAGGAAAATGTAGGAAATTTTGGAACTCCCTAGAGACTTGTTGAATGGCTTTGACCAAAATGCTGATAATGATATGGACAATGAAATCCAGGCTGAGGTGGTCTCAGATGGAGATTAGGAACTTTTTGGGAATTGGCGCAAAGGTGACTCTTGTTATGTTTTAGCAAAGAGACTGGCAGCATTTTGCCCCTGCCCTAGAGATTTGTGGAACTTTGAACAAGACAGATGACTTAGGGTATCTGGCAGAAGAAATTTCTAAGCAGCAAAGCAAAGGTGACTTGGGTGCTGTTAAAGGCATTCAGTTTTAAAAGGGAAACAGAGCATAAAAGTTTGGAAAATTTGCAGCCTGACAATGGAATAGAAAAGAGAATCCTGTTTTCTGAGGACAAATTCAAGCCAGCTGCAGAAATTTGCATAAGTAACAAGGAGCCAAATGTTAATCACCAAGACAATGGGGAAAATGTCCCCAGGGCATGTCAGAGACCTTTGGGGCAGCCCCTCCCATCACAGGCCCAGAGGTTTTGAAGGAAAAAAATGGTTTCATGGGCTGGGTCCAGGGTCCCTCTGCTGTGTGCAGTCTAGGGACTTGGTGCCGTGTCCCAGCTGGGCTGCTACTTCAGAGGGTGGAAGCCCCGAGCCTCGGCAGCTTCCACATGATGTTGAGCCTGCATGTGCACGGAAGTCAAGAATTGTGGCTTGGGAACCTCCGCCTAGATTTCAGAGGATGTATGGAAATGCCTGGATGCCCAGGCAGAAGTTTGCTGCAGGGGTGGGGCCCTCATGGAGAACCTCTGCTAGGACAGTATGGAAGGAAAATGTGGGGTCAGAGCCCCCACACAGTCCCTACTGGGGCACTGCCTAGTGGAGCTGTGAGAAGAGGGCCACCATCCTTCAACCCCCAGAATGGTGGCACCATGTGCCTGGAAAAGCTGCAGACACTCAATGCCAGCCCATGAAAGCAGCCAGAAGAGGTGCTACACCCTGCAAACCCACAGGGGTGGAGCTGCCCAAGGCCATGGGAGACTACTTGCACCTGTTTGACCTGGAGTCAAAGGAGGTCATTTTGGACCTTTAAGATTTGACTGCCCCACTGGATTTCAGACTTGCATAGGCCCTGTAGCCCCTTTGTTTTGGGCAATTTCTCCCATTTGGAATGGCTGTATTTATCCAATACCCGTACCCTCATTGTATCTAGGAAGTAACTAGCTTACTTTTGATTTCACAGACTCATAAGCAGAAGGGACTTCCCTTGTATCAGATGAGACTTTGGACTGTGGGCTTTTGAGTTAATGCTGAAATCAGTTAAGACTTTGGGGGACTGTTGAGAAGGCATAATTGGTTTTGAAATGTGAGGACATGAAATTTGGGAGGGGCCAGGTGGAATGATATGGTTTGGCTGTGTCCCCACCCAAATCTTATCATGAATTGTAACTCCTAAAATTCTCAGACGTCATTGGGGGAACCCAGTGGGAGGTGACTGAATTATGGGGGTGGGTCTTTTTTTTTTTGAGACAGAGCTCTATTGCCCAGGCTGGAGTGCAGTGGCATGATCTTGGCTCACTGCAACCTCTGCCTCCCAGGTTCAAGCAATTTTCATATGTCAGCTTCCTGAGTAGCTGGGATTACAGGCTCACACCAAGGCTAATTTTTGCATTTTTAGTAGAGACAGGGTTTCACCATGTTGGCAAGGCTGGTCTTGAACTCCTGACCTCGTGATCTGCCCACCTCGGCCTCCCAAAGTGCTGAGATTACAGGCTTGAGCCACTGTGCCCGGCCAATTTTGTATTTTTAGTAGAGATGAGGTTTTGCCATGTTGGCCAAATTGGTCTTGAACTCTTGACCTCAGATGATCCACCCACCTTGGCCTCCCAAAGTGCTGAAATTACAGGTGTGAACCACTGTGCCCGGCCTTATTTCTTTTTTAATAGAGATGAGGTCTTGCCATCTTGCCCAGGCTGGTCTCAAACTCCTGGGCTCGAGTGATCCTCCTGCATAGGCCTCCATTTTAATTAGACTTTTTGTACACACACACACACACACACACACACACACACACACACACACACACTTATTTACAAAAGCTTTGGTTCTAAATGTGGGCTTCGAATATATTTTCATTTTCTAAATTATGTCAATAGGGAGGAGGAGAGTATGGAGTTAAGAATGGAGATTTTAGGACTGGGCTCTCCAGATTCTGGTCCCAGCTCAGCCATTTCCTAGTTCCATCTCTGACTTTCCATGGGTGACTTCGCTTCTCTGTGCCTACTTTTCCTTATCTGTAAGAACTGTCCTTCTCTCACTGGGCTATGAAGATTATAGGAGTTAATATAATGTAAAGCACTTAGAATAGCACCTGGTATACAGTAAATAAGTACTCAATAAATGTTAGCTATTATTAGCTATTCTTGGTTTTCCAGTGCCATCAGGGTATGCTTCAAATTTGGTTTAATTAAATAGTAAGGTTGATAAAAGGTTGCTAATGGAGACAATAGATTGGTGCTCATCACACAATTAGAATATAATTGAAGACATTCAATTTAAAGACCCTGCTGGTGTCAGTCCATAGACTCTCAGGGGTCACAGGACATTAGGGAGCATCTTGTTGATTAGAGACATTAGAGAGCATCTTGTTGAACACCTTCACTTTATGGCTGAAGACACCAACATCCAGAGGGATGAAGTCACTTGCAGTGAACCATCTAGAAAAACAGAGAGCAGCTGGAATGTGGTTACTGTTGATGGTACTTTAGGCTCTTGGAGGGCTGCAGCAAAGTATTCATTATAGGCATCAATCATCACTGCAATGCACTGATTAGCCAGTCACTGGAGCATTCTATTCCATTCAGAATGACAATAAAAGCATTTATATGTTTGGAACTGTCAATATACAATGTAAATACAAGAAAGTAAACTGACTTTGCTTTATAACCAAATGCTATTATTTACTATACTCATAGAAAATGCCTCCCAATAGGGGTGTTTTTATATGTTTCAATTTCAAATATCACTTGAAAGACATTCTTTTTTTTTTTTTTTTTTTTTTTTTTTTTTTTTTTTTTAGAGGCTTGCTCTGTCGCCCAGGCTGGAGTGCAGTGGTGCGATCTCGGCTCACTGCAACCTCTGCCTCCTGGGTTCAAGTGATTCTCCTGCCTCAGCCTCCCGAGTAGCTAGGATTACAGGTGCGCACCACCACACCTGGATAATTTCTGGATTTTTGGTAGAGACGGAGTTTCACCATGTTGCCCCGGCTGGTCTTGAACTCCTGACCTCAAGTGATCTGCCCACGTCGGCTTCCCAAAGTGCTGGGATTACAGGCATGAGCCACTGCACCTGGCTGAAAGACATTCTTTAGTCAAAACTATTATAAAAATCAGTCTGATGTCCTTGAAATGGAAAAGCCTGCACCTCTGGAACAATCCATACATCAGGAGGCATGCAGGGAGGACACTGCAGATGATCAAAGTTTTATTTAACATTATAGAACACTTAAAAATAAACAATATGATTGCATTTCTGTTGTGTAACTTTGAAAAATGTTTTCAAGCACACATAAAAGCAACAAGTTTTACCCCCAACAAGTATGCTATGCAGCCAGTCCCTAACTGCTGGGGTCAGCACTGCTCTCAACAGACAGCTGGGGTAGGAGGTAGGCTGCTGGTGTCCCTGCAGGCAGGTGGCTTTTCCTACTCGGAATGACGATGTCTTTTCTTGTTATGGTTCTCAATTGCCCTTCTAAGTGCTTCATCCTGGATAAGATCTGACTTTCTTATATCCGTGTGGCTACAGCCAATTTGAGGGCAACTGTGAGAAAGAAAGAACATCAAGTCAGTCCCCTTTACTGCCTTAAGCAGAAACTTCTTTTATACTCAAGTGTTTAAGTAAGGCATTTTACTGAAAAAGGAAAAGTGTCAAAATCAGGACCAAGCTGTGCTCATTCATTTATTCACTGAGTCCCTACCTGAGCCAGGCCCTGTCTGGGTGCTGGGGACACAAGCGATATGTGAGTAGTGCCTGCCTTATCATGAGCTAACTTTCTTTTTTTTTTCTGAGACGGAGTCTGGAGTGCAGTGGCACGATCCTGGCTCACTGCAAGCTCCGCCTCCCGGGTTCACACCATTCTCCTGCCTCAGCCTCCCGAGTAGCTGGGACTACAGGCACCCACCACCACGCCCGGCTAATTTTTGGTATTTTTAATAGAGTCAGGGTTTCACCGTGTTAGCCAGGATGGTCTCGATCTCCTGACCTCGTGATCCGCCCGCCTCGGCCTCCCAAAGTGCTGGGATTACCGGCGTGAGCCACCGCGCCCAGCCTATGAGCTATCTTTCTAATGAGGAAGACAGGCAACCACTAGGGAACCAAATAAATGCTTGCTGCAAGTTCAGGTCACCTTATGGGCTATGAGGGCAACAAAGCAGGGTCAGGGAGAGAGAGTGCTGGGGCCACAGCTTCACTGGCTGGACTCAGGGCATGCCTCACCGAACACATCTTATCTAGGGCAGGACCCAGAATGAAGCGTGGGAACAAGTCTGCATGTGGTCTGGGCTGAGGCAGTAGCAAGTGCAGTGCTGAGGACGTTCCAGCTTGGTGCCCTGGAGTGACAGCAAGCTCTATGTGGCTGCAGCGACCCAGGCAAGAGGGAGAGCAGTTGGAAGTGAGGTCAGTGCGCCAATGGGGCTTTGGAGTTTATTTAATTTAATTAATTTATTTATTTTGAGATGGAGTCTCACTCTTTCACCCAGGCTGGGGTGCAGTGGCGTGATCTCAGCTCACTGCAACTTCCGCCTCCTGGGTTCAAGCAATTCTCCTGCATCAGCCTCCTGAGTAGCTGGGATTACAGGCGCCTGCCACCATGCCTGGCTAATTTTGTGTATTTTTAGTAGAGATGGGGTTTCACCATGTTGGCCAGGCTGGTCTCGAACTCCTGACCTCAAGTGATCCACCTGCCTCGGCCTCCCAAAGTGCTGGGATTACAGGCATGAGCCACCGTGCCTGGACTTGGATTTTATTTTAAATATGAAGACAAAACACTGGAAGGTTTTGAGATGGGTGAGGAGTGTGTTTGGTTTACATCTGGAAAATGTTACTCTGGCTGCTTATGGAGAATACAAAACAGGGAGGTAAGAGAAGGGCAGGGAAAATAGCATGGGGGATCCTGCAGGGTGCAGGAGAGAGGTGAGGGCAGCTCGGCTGAGGGTGGTATGGCGATCAGCTTCAGGACATGCTTGACCATAGAACCTATAGGACTTGCCGATGGAGTGGCTGTGGAGCATAAGCGAAAGGGAAGAAGCGAGCTTCATCTGGGTAGATCAGTGACTGGTAGTGCCCTTCATCACAGTGGGAAACGATGGGGCAAAACAGGCTGCAGCACAGAACCACAGTCCTGGTTGGTATCTGTTTCCTCTGGAATGGATGCCCAGTAGCCCTCCTAGAAGAGAGACTGAGTGGGCCACTGGGACTCGGTGGAAAGGCTGCAGCTAAAGACATCAGTGAGTCACCCACAAAGGGGTGGAAACAAGCCACGGCTCTGCTTCGATGTGGTCTTCTCTGAGGGCAGTGGGCTGGATGAAACCACCTATTTCTTCTCAAAGAATCTGGTTCTCAAAGTGAACCAAATTTTGGTAGATTAGAGGCCCAATGTTTGGAGTCAAGCTAACCTAGGTCTGAATTTTCTCTCTACCACCTACTTGCTAGTTATGAGACCACAGGCAATTCACAATAACCCTCTTGAGCCTCCCTTGCCTCTGAGTTAAAATGGGGAGAGAACCCTTATTTCCCAAGGTGACAGTCAATACTGTTAATTCCCTCCCAGATCCTCTGTGCTCAATAATGTTAATTCCCTTCCAGATCCCCTGTGACTATCATGTGTTCCCTCATCATCATTCTTCCAAGAAGTTTTAAAGTTCTGGATCTATTTCTATCTTGCATATATCCCACACAGGCATGCACCCATTCATGCATTAATTGACTCTTCTAGGGATCAGCCCTATGCTAGGTTCTAAGCATGCAACTGTGAAATACAAATACATGGTTCCTGCCCACACAGAGCTCTGGCCCAGTGATCTGAGACAGCTCTCCATAAAGCACAGGATATTAAGACCAAAAACAACAAATGTGCAAACCACAGTAAAGATGCAAACCAGAAGGAAAGAAAGTTGGTCATGGGAGCTCCAATTTGTCTAGTGGTAGGAAGCCCAACAGTCCAACATGAAAGAAAGTATTTCTTGGCCCTGATCTGTGGATCAAGGAGTTTTTACATTAGAGGGGTATTAATCAATGAAATATAATATGCTTAATAACAGTATTTATTTTTAAAATATTAAAATATGGCCAGGCACGGTGGCTCACACCTGTAATTTCAGCACTTTGGGAGGCCGAGGCAGGTGGATCACATGAGGTCAGGAGTTTGAGACCAGCCTGGCCAACATGGCGAAACCCTATCTTTACTAAAAATACAAAAATTAGCCAGGCGTGGTGGCGCATGCCTGTAATCCCAGCTACTCGTGAGGCTGAGGCAGGAAAATCACTTGAATCCAGGAGGTGGGGGTTGCGGTGAGCCAAGATTGCACCATTGCACTCCAGCCTGGGCAACAGAGCAAGACTCTGTCTCAAAACAAAACAAAACAAACAAAAAAAAAGTGCCCTACATACTCAGGTACATGATGTGTTAAATCATAATTACAGAAAGGCAATTATATGAAAGAGGATCAGGGTGATTTGGCCCAGGTATGCATCATTTTGATGATTTGGCTTTGCATTAGGGCAAGGCTGGAGAAATGTTTTACACTAGTTTAAAAATCTGTATTTTTTTCCCAGCCTGTCCCCCTACGCTGTGAAGTCTCAAAGCGAATTCTCCTTCCTTTCTTCCTTCCTTCCTGCCTTCCTTCCTTCCCTCCCTCCCCGCCCTCCTCTCTTCTCCTTCCTCCTCCTCTCTTCTTCCTTCCTTCTTTCCTTCCCTCCCCCTCCTCCTTTCTCCTTCCTTCCCTCCCTCCCTCCTCCCCCTCCCTCCCTCTCTCTCTCTCTCTCTCTTTCTTTCTTTCTTTCTTTCTCTCCTCTTTCCTCTTTCTTTTTTTGACAGGGTCTCATTCTGTCACCCAGACTGGAGTGGCACTATCTCTGCTTACTGTGACCTCTGCCTCTGAGGCTCAAGCAATCCTCCCACCTCAGCCTCCTGAGTAGCTGGGCCCACAGGTGCACAATATCACGCCTGGCTAATTTTTAAAAAATTTTTGGTAGAGACAGAGTTTCACCATGTTTCCCAGGCTGGTCCTGAACTCCTGAGCTCAAGTGATCCACCTGCCTTGGCCTCCCAAAGTGCTGGGATTACAGGCATGAGCCACCGTGCCTGGTGAATTATGTCTGTAAGTATGAAAAAAAGCAGCTAAGATCATGAAGAGGATACAGACACTTTTGTGACTAGAAAAGCCAAGTATCATAACTTTGGCTTCCATGACATTGAAATGCAACTCCAAGTAGGTTGCTGGGATGACCCTCCCTTAAAACATAACCCTGAATATCTGCTTTGGACTGCCTGGCCTTGGTCTCTTCCATTCTACCCAGCAAAGGCCTTAACTTTCATAGCCAGACAGTGAATAAGCAGTGGAGAGGGAAGTGGAGAGTGAGGTGGGGAGGACTTCCTGATGACATCATGGTTTTAGTCAGTGCATGAGAGCATGCTGAGAATGTCTGATGGACTTAACCACACACTCAGCTGCAGAGCAGGCGCCCACCTTCACTTCAGTGGGATGGATCCCAGAGTGAGCCATGTCAAACAAGGTCTGAGTTCACTGAGGAGATAGACTCTGATGGTAGAGGCATGAACCAAATAGCCCTCCCAAGGGGAGCTGGATGGCCTACTGACAGAATTGCAGGCTCAAGAATGAGAAAGACCTGGGCTTAAACCCCCTGGCTGTGTCACTCTGGGTAAGTGACTAAATTCTCTGTGCCTCAGTTTTTCCCTTTAAGAACATGAAGGCAGAGGACAAGCCTGTCCAATAAGGCTGAGAAATAAGCAGGCTGATGTGTGTCAAGGACTGGGGAGTTCACTTCAGGTCCTGCCGTGCACCAGTCCCTGCCCTAGTCCACAGCTTCCGCTCTCAAGAAGCTCGTGGAGAGGAGCCAGCTGCACTGACAATGTTGGCATGACATGGGGTGCTAACGACATTTTGTCCAGCATGAATAAGGGCTCAGGGAAGACTTCCTGGAGGCGAGGTTGATGCTGGAACTGGGAAGGACCTTGTTTCTCCTTCGTCTCCAATAAACACAAGTTTTTAAAGCAGAAAGGATAAGAGAAGGCCATCATGCCACAGTGCTGAATCAAGGCATGCCTCCTCTGGAGAAACAACTGTCTCCGTAAGCATTCGGCATTAATCCCACGACATCTTGGTGAGCGAGTTCAGTGTGGCAATACCCGATCTTCAGCTGCCGCATCATCGCTGTGCAGGAGTCAGCCCTTCAGGCCTCGCAGGAGCGGCTGGGTCCCCACCTCCAGGCACTACCCGGGCAGAGCATTTCGCTGCAGCACAGGGCAAACACAAAGGTGACTGCTGAGCAAAGGGAACCGGGTCTTGGGGTCCCACAGAGCTGTGGGGAACCTTGGCCTCTGCAAATGCTCAAAAGTACATGATTCTGGGAGTTCCTGGATCTGGGTCCCAAGAATTCCAAGGTTTAGTCTACAAGCTATAGACAGAAGGTCTATAGAGACCTCTGGAAATCTGAGTGGGAGGGATTCCTGTCATACCTCAACACAGACAGTAATTCTATCTTACAACCCCTGAGTCAAATAATGTGTCACTAAGCAGCACGGGGAGTGATAACAACTCTATCAGCCTCGGTCTTAACAACCCTACAGCTATTTGTTTAGCGCTCTTCGCTCCCAAAAGAGCTTTCAACTAAGTGCTTTTGCTACTCTTCTGCCAAGAAATGTGCTGGTCCAGACCTAGAATGGAATTCCCTACCATTTCTTTGGCCCCTGAAGTGCTGTGAGATGCTGATGTTATTTCCACTTTACAGATGAGGAAACTGAGGCAGAAAGGTTGAATGGCTTGTTGGTAAGTGTTGAAACAGGAATTCCAAGCACAAAGCTGGAGTTCTGCTGTCGAATGACCCATTTCTATTCAATTTCATTTTATTCTACATGCTCTTAAATATGACTTTTAAAAATATGTTTCCTGTTCTCAAACAAAAAAGCAAAAAAGTGACTGTGGTCAGGTTAGAAATATTAATATATGAAAATCATAAGGTTGGGAGGCCAAGGTGGGCAGATCACTTGAGGCCAGGAGTTCGAGACCAGCCTGGACAACATGGTGAAACCCTGTCTCTACTAAAAATACAAAAATTAGCCAGGTGTGATGGCATGTGCCTGTAATCACAGCTACTTGGGAGGCTGAGGCACGAGAATTGCTTGAACCTGGGAGGCAGAGGTTGTACTCCAGCCTGGGAGACAGAGTGAGACTCTGTCTCAAAAAAAAAAGGAAAAGAAAAAAGAAACGAAAAAAAAAAAAAGGAAATCATAAGGCAGCTTTATTTTTAAGAGAATAAATAGGCTTATTGTTAACAGATATATTTTAGGAAATTATTCTAACTACCGTGCTTGGCTGGGGCTAAAGTCTCAACAATATTATTCTGACTCAAGCCAGTGCAGAGAGGCCTTCCCAGGGCCTGAAGCTTGCACAGTAAAATTCAGGCAGTGCCCAGAACACAATGGACCTGGAACTCCAGTCTAAAAAAACAAACATAACTAGAACAATCTAGGAGGAAGAAATGAGACAATGTGTCATGGACATTTCTAAACAAAGCGAACCCAGAAATACTCATCACTCTAATGTGCATCATGGGAAATGATACGACTTCATGCTTCATCAGAAACTTCTGGAGTTGGTTTCAAGAAGGCCCTGAGTTCTAATCTACTGCTGCCCAAATGCACCTGGCCTTCAGAACCCTGCCCACCCCGCCCACAAGTTCCCATGAGCCTCCACTCCTTATCACTCTTCCTGGCTCCTGGCTATATTTTAGACTGCTTTTTTAGGGGTCTTCTTCCGCTGATTGATCCTCTCATTGGTCAACAAAGTGTTTTTTGAGGGTTGGCACCAGGGTGCTAAGGCATCACAGTGAGCAGAACGAAGTCGGGCTCTGGCCTTGTGGAGATCACAGGCGAGGTGCGGGTCCTGCCTTGCTGGCTCTCTGCTGGTGAATGCATTTGTTCCAGAGCTGCATCTGTGACGGTAGTTGAGCGGGTTGACTCGTCTATACTGATAACCTCCCAATCCACATCGATAGTTCTGAGTCCTCCCCTGACTGCAAAACTCACACTTGCTGCACTTCCTGGACACTTCCACGGGGCTGTATTGCTGGGACCTTGCATTTAGGATGACCTGAGCTGAGTCTATCACAATCCTCCAATAAGAGTGTTCCTCTCTCATGCCTTCTCTGGAGGCTAATGAGCAAATGACAGTATTAGACACCCAGATGAGAAATGTCAGCCACCCCTCGCTGCTTCTTCCTTTCTCTTACATTCAGTCAGTCGTCAAATGTCGTTAACTGTACCTCCACAATCACTCTTGTATCTCTATACTCTAATTTTCTATAACTTAAACCACTGTAAAAGCATCCTAACTGACTTTTTTTTGCCTCATGCCTCCTTAATCCATCTCTGCATTGCTATTGGAGTAACTTCCTAAACTCCAGGTTGGCTCATCTTACTCCTTTAAAACTGTCCTCGTCTCCCATGCCTATAGAGCAATGGTGGAAAAAAACGAAGAGGATGTTGATAGTGGCTCAAGTTTGAAGATGATGATGGGATAATTTTACTGAGCCCTACTGTGTACCAGCTACTTTAAGTACTTTGCATGTATCTTATTTAAATTTCAAATATGCCAATGAGGTGATTACAACGATTGTCATTCATTTATGGATAAGGAAACTAATGAAAGCATGCCATGGCTGGGCGCGATGGCTCATGCCTGTAATCCCAACACTTTGGGAGGCCGAAGCGGGCAGATCACCTGAGCTCGGGAGTTTGAGACCAGCCTGGCCAACATGGAGAAACCCCATCTCTACTAAAAATACAAAATTAGCTGGGCGTGGTGGTGCATGCCTGTAATACCAGCTATTCAGGAGGCTGAGGCAGGAGAATCACTTGAACCTGGGAGACGGAGGTTGTGGTAAGCTGAGATCACGCCATTGCACTCCAGCCTGGGCAAAAAGAGGGAAACTCAGTCTCAAAAAAAAAAAAAAAAAAAAGAGAAAGAGCAAGAAAGCATGCCATTTAACAACCCAGAATCCTCCCTCTTTTTTTTTTTTTTTTGGAGACAGAGTATCACTCTGTGACCCAGGCTGGGTGCAGTGGCATGATCTCGGCTCACTGCAAGCTCCGCCTCCCGGGTTCATGCCATTCTCCTGCCTCAGCCACCCCAGTAGCTGGGACTGTAGGCGCCTGCCACCACGCCCGGCTAATTTTTTTTTATTTTTAGTAGAGTCGGGGTTTCACCGTGTTAGCCAGGATGGTCTCTATCTCCTGACCTCGTGATCCACCCGCCTCGGCCTCCCAAAGTGCTGGAATTACAGGTGTGAGCCACCGCGCCTGGCCGAAATCTGACATTTCAACTGTTAACTCAAAAACTCAAAACAGATCAAAATGTACTAAGAATGTCTACATTTTGCAACCATTAGGCAGCAAAGCCACTATTCTTCTAGAATACATAGGATAAGTTATTTGCCTGAATGACCATCAAGATATCTTTAGTCTCCAATATATTATCTCTAAGTCCACACCCAGATGAGGAGTGCTGGGGAATTCCAATTCTAGGTCTGGACCAGCAAATTTCTGGGCAATGGAGAAGCAAGCCACACATCAAAGGGACTGTTATCAGAAGTCAATTGAGAACTAGTCACACCTGCAATTCCATTCCTGCAACAAATCCATGATAAGAGCACAAGAAATGCCAAACGAAGTCAATGCCAGTCAGTCTGGCTAACTCAGGATTCTATGTTATTACAGGAACAGAGCATGGTCCTCCGTGGTCATGGAAGAAGGGGAAGGAAGGTGAGATATATATATGTGTGTGTGTGTATATTATATATATTTAAAGATAAATAATATATGATATACATATAAAACAATATATAACATATAATATATATTATGTCTATTTATAAAGATTCTGCAAAACTTCCAATTAAAAAAATAATTTATCATTCATGAGTTAGCCATGAATTTACCTAAACCTTTTTTTTTTTTTGAGACAGAGTCTAGCTCTGTTGCCCAGGTTGGAATGCAGTGGCACAATCTCGGCTCACTGCAACCTCTGCCTCCTGGGTTCAAGAGATTATCCTGCCTCAGCCTCCCGAGTAGCTGGGATTACAGGCACCTGCCACCAAGCCTGGCTAATTTTTGTATTTTTAGTAGAGATGGGGTTTCACCATGTTGGCCAGGCTGGTCTTGAACTCCTGACCTCAGGTGATCTGCCCACCTCGGCTTCCCAAAGTGCTAGGATTACAGGCATGAGCCACCCTGCCTGGCCTTATTCTGTTTTGAAGGTGTGGTTGAAGTTCCCTCAGCTTCTTCCTGAACAGATTACTAATTTTTCCCTCATGTATTGTTTTTCCAGAAAGCCCACTTCCATGTTTACAGTATTCGGGAGGTGAACGGAATTTAGAAGAGACATTGAAGTGCCTCTTCCTCTAGCGTGAACACGCCACCTCTGAGTAACTACCACTAGGGAAGGCTCCACTTCCTTCCCTGCGTCCACTCACTAGGCCTTTTTCTTCCGCTTTTGCCTGGACTCAATCATGCGAACAATGGCGTCCTCTTCATAGGTGTGGCCACACACTTTATTTTTCACTGGCTTCTTCATTTCCTCCTGTAATCAAGGAGATGTTGGGCTTTCAGGAATGATAATGATCAACTTCCAGTAGCTGTTTCGTCCTAGTCCTGAGCTTTCTATGTTTAACTTCCCATTCTCATGGCTTTACATAATTACTAGGCTTTAGATAAGGAAATGCAGGGAATCCAGTGGCAGTACTGTCACTTGGCCTGTAGGCCATGACTTTAGTCCCGGATCCTTCAGGGCATGATTGACTGACAGCTCTCTCCAGCCCAAGAACCTCCCGTGGATACTCTTCAACCCCCAGCACTTTTCTTTACTCCCTCCTTAACTCCCTAAGTGAAATCAAACCAGAAAGCAAACAGGAACCTTTCTGCCTCTGTGAAGTGAATCGTGTTTCTTTCAGGGGAAGTAGGAGGAAGCGGTACCTTTGTAATGGGGCAGGTGAAGTTGGTCTGACTTTGGGTCACAATTATATCTTCATCCACTCCTTCTGTTCCGTCAGCTTCTCTGTCAGCTTGAAGACCACCTAGAGGAAAATGGAGAGTTGATAAGCCTCTCTGGTCTAACGTCAAAGAAAAGGAAGGAATGGAAGGAAGGGAGGTGAAGAGTTTCTGGGGGAGCATTTGCTGTTGGCCCCCATGTAAGGACTGGATGCATAGAAACTCTTCTGCTTTTCAGAGAACACTACGGGGTACCTCATTCTGACTATTTTTGATAAGGAAACTGAGGCTCAGAGCAGTTAAAAAGAATCTTTTTTAAAGTTATAGAGAAAGTGACCAAGGGTGTGGCTTCAGAGTCAGAGAACCGACCTGGTGATCTCTTTCTTGTCCAGTGGTGAGACGCTGGGCTAGCAAGGTGCCCTTTTTTAAAGCCTCTGCTTTACAGCCTTGTGGCAAAGATTAAAAGAGATGAAGAATGTGGTATGCTTTGCACAGCTCATGGTACAAAGCAATAATCAATAAACAGTCATTACAATTAGGTAGTGCAGGGCTTCTCAAACTTTTTAGTTATAGGTATGAACTCTTTTAAGCTTTTTCTATGTGGGTTATATTTATCAATATTTAACATATTAGACATTAAGATTAAGGAATTTAAAATTCATTAAAAAATAACAATAAGGCCGGTTGCGGTGGCTCACGCCTTTAATCCCAGCACTTTGGGAGGCTGAGGTGGGCGGATCACGAGGTCAAGAGATCGAGACCATCCTGGCCAACATGGTGAAACCCCATCTCTACCAAAACTACAAAAATTAGCTGGGCATGGTGGCATGTGCCTGTAGTCCCAGCTATTTGGGAGGCTAGGGCAGGAGAATCGCTTGAACCCAGAAGTTGGAGGTTGCAGTGGGCCAAGATCCTGCCATTTCACTCCAGTCTGGTGACAGAGCGAGACTCTGTCTCAAAAAAAAAAAAAAAAAAAAACCAAAAAATTAAAAGTAACAGTAATAATCCCACTACGTGTTACCATAAACATTTTAAAAGTTAAAATTATATTTCCAGAACACCCCCCCCCATACACACAGACATACATAATGAGAAGAATGGCATTGTTTTCCATTTTTATAAATATCTTGAATGTCTGGCTTCATAGCAGCCAGTTGGATTTGGATATCTGCGTATGCATTCAATCTGTCACAATATCACATATCCTGTAGTCTCTGGGAAAATTCACTCATGAAAAGAATGAGAGTGAAACAGGCAGATGAGATCATACTATTATTATAAAGACAGTTTTGACCTTATGGACACTCTGAAAGACCCTTGGAGCACCCTAGAGATCCCTGGCCTGCACTTTGAGAACTGCTGAGTGATAGTGACAGGACTGGCTTTGAACAGAGCATGAGCTGCTTCTGAAACTGATGTTCTTTGAGTTACATCCCATTGGCCCCCAACTGAAAAACCAAACCAAACCAAAAACAGATGATAGACAACATTTGAATGGGATGATGGGAGTATCTCACATGAAAGCCATTCTCTCTGAAGAAAAGATACTTGTAATTTTGCACAGAAGTTAAAGATCAATAGCTTTTTTTTTTTTTTTTTTTTTTTGAGATGGAGTCTCGCTCTGTCACCCAGGCTGGAGTGCAATGGCGCGATCTTGGCTCACTGCAACCTCCGCCTCCCAGGTTCAAGTGATTCTCCTGCCTCAGCCTCCTGAGTAGCTGGGAGTATAGGTGCACGACACCATGCCTGGCTAATTTTTGTATTTTTAGTAGAGATGGGGTTTCACCATATTGGCCAGGCTGGTCTTGAACTCCTGACCTCAGGTGATCTGCCCGCCTTGGCCTCCCAGAGTGCTGGGATTACAGGCATGAGCCACGGGGCCCAGCCAAAAGATCAGTAGCTTTCTAAACATGTTGATGGTGTAGTCCTTTCTCCTTCCTTCTCCTTTCCCTTTCCCTTCTCTACTCTTTTCTCCCTTCCCTTCCTTCTTTAATTTTGGCAAAATAATACAGACATAAAAATGGCTTTCCTCAATGTGTGAGAGGAAGCCCTTGTTTCTGGTTCAGATGGTGTGGCATACCTTTCGGTTCCATAGAACTGATGACTGTGGGCCATCACCTAGGCCAGATGAGGTGTTTGTTTGCAAAGGCACTACAGGTTGAGTATCCCTTATCCGAAATGCTTGGGACCAGAAGTGTTTCGGATTTCGGACTTTGAAATATTTGCATAAGCATGATGAAATATCTTGGGGGATGGGACCCAAGACTAAACATGAATTTCATTTATGTTTCATATAAAGCTTACACACATAGCCTGAAGCTAATTTTATGCAGCATTTTTAACACTCATGTGTACTTGTTGCATGAGGCCAGATGTGGAATTTTCTGCTTGTGGCGTCATGTAGGTGCTCAAAAAGTTTTGGATTTTGGAGCATTGTGGGTTTTGGATTTTGGGATTAGGGATGCTCAAGCTGTACTGAGGGGCAGGGAAAGGGCTGCAGAGCTCTTGTTCAAGGTAACCTGGTGAATTAATTGCAACACAGGGATTCTGCCTCCAATTACTTTGTTTTTCTTAGAGAGTCACCTTCTTGGAGTAGACTGGTATATTTGTATGCCAGCTTGCTGTCCCCTAAACCAGCTTTTATTCTTTGAAGAAGGCAGTGAAGATCTCAGGGCTTGGGAATAACCAGTCAGAGCATTTTTAACCACTGGGCATTAAGGTGCAGTGCCTCGGGGCTTCCAGCTTTTCAGAGAGCTAAACAAACGTCTGAGACCTTAAAAACCATTGGTTGGCTTCAAAACAGAATAACAATAGTACTGAAATTACTAAATGTTAAAGGTCTATGCAAATGTGAAGTTAACTTCATTAATTGTTGATCCGGTAATCGAAAATACATAATTTGGAAGTAATATGTAGGGCTGGATTTATTTCTTCATAAACTTCATAAAAATTTCCCAGTATGGTAAGATAATTGCTGAAACTAATAGTCAATTACAAATTAAATCAGTTACTGGTAGCCAACCTATTTCCAAAGCAAAATTATACAAATATTTTTTCAAAATTTTGACAGCAAGGTTGGGTGCGGTGGCTCACGCCTGTAATCCCAGCACTTTGGGAGGCTGAGGTGGGCAGATCACCTGAGGTCAGGAGTTCGAGACCAGCCTAACCAACATGGTGAAACCCCTTCTCTACTAAAAATACAAAAATTAGCTGGGCGTGGTGGTGGGCGCCTATAACCTGAGCTACTCAGGAAGCTGAGGCAGGAGAATTGCTTGAACCTGGGAGGTGGAGATTGCAGTGAGCAGAGATCATGCCATTGCACTCCAGCCTGAGTGACAGAGCAAGACTCCGTCTCAAAAAAAAACAACAAATTGACAGCAATAAAATTATATATATATATATTTTTTATTTTTTAGTTTTTGAGACGGAGTCTTGCCCTTGTCGCCCAGGCTGGAGTGCAATGGCACGATCTTGGCTCATTGCAACCTCTGCCTCCCGGGTTCAAGCAATTCTCCTGCCTCAGCCTCCCAAATAGCTGGGACTACAGGCGTCCACCACCAGGCCCAGCTAATTTTTGTATTTTTAGTGGAGACGTGGTTTCGCCATGTTGGCCACGCTGGTCTCGAACTCCTGACCTTGTGATCCGCCTGCCTCAGCCTCCCAAAGTGCTGGGATTACAGGCGTGAGCCACTGCACCCGTCCTAAAACGATATTTAATAGGGCAGGTACCATATTATAGTATGTTTGCTGTGGGGTGGGGTCTCTGGAAATTATATTGCTCATGGCTATGATGGGTTTTCATGCTTCTCAGGGCCTGTCTTTGGTATTCATAGTGCAAGAGTTAGACTCCTAAGAGAGTCCCTTTATCAATCCACTGACTCTTCATCATGGCTCGGGAAAGTTGGACAGGTAAGGAGAAAAGCCAAGGAGAAGGCTAGGAGCCGTCTTTCCCTTGGATTTACTTTTCAAAGCCTCCTCCTATGCTGCTGCCTCCCATTTCTGATCGTGTGTTTAAGAGTAAAAATAAAAGTAGCTCTTTCTTAATTTTGTACACCATTTATTCTGAACTGATGCTGGTTTCTGACTGTATACGTTGTGCCAGAGAATTCACCAGAAAATCTGCTGGATGAATAACAGAGTTCAGCTGATGTGAAAGACTGTGGGTTTGTTTGCTATTTCCTATTTTTAAATTTCAAAAGGTAGAGGAAGTAAGAAAGCACAACTCAAATGCAATGCCTACCACTAGGGAAGGCTGAGTGGGGAACTTCAAAATTGTAGGTGGCTACCAGCATCAGTGATCACGAAATAAAAAGGTAACAAAAGTGAGACTGGGGAAGAATGTCACGAGTGAGTAAGAGACCACAGACCAAGAGTCTAAAAAGAGAAAGACTCTCAATAGCTAAACTTCCCTAGAGACAGAACATTTCCTCACTCTCAATCTATATTTATAGAAATTGACATTAGCGTTGGGATTCTCCAGTGTGCTAACAAAAGGTCACATCTGGCAATAAATATCACTTATACTGATTTAGATGACCCAAAGACAAAACTTTGTGATAAGTCTGGTAAAAGGAAGATGGGAGAGAAAATATTGATCATCTACTAGAATCACAGAAGTTTTAAAGTTGAGGTTATCTATCTATCCTGAGTCTCACATTTACCTGAGACAATTGAGATACAAAGAAAGTGTAGGTTTTGTCCAAAGTGATGCAGGAATTTAATAAATCAATGTGTTGTTCTATTTTCTCTGACTGGTTCATTTGAATATTAAAATCTGTGTGTTGGTTCTGGGAGCTCCTCTGCTCCCAAATTTTTTTTTTTTTTTTTTGAGATGGATTTTCACTCTTGTCGCCCAGGCTAGAGTGCAATGGCGTGATCTCGGCTCACTGCAACCTCCGCCTCCCGGGTTCAAGCGATTCTCCTGCCTCAGCCTCCCGAGTAGCTGGGATTACAGGCATGCACCACCACCTCGGCTAATTTTGTATTTTTAGTAGAGACGGGGTTTCTCCATGTTGGTCAGGCTGGTCGCGAACTGACCTCAGGTGATCTGCCCACCTCGGCCTCCCAAAGTGCTGGGATTACAGGCGTGAGCCACCACGCCCAGCCCCAAATTGTTATTTCATTGATAATAATACCTCAAATTTACTGAATGTTATATAGCAGCTACAGTGCTAAGCACGTCATATACATTATTTCATTTACTCCTAACAAAATACCCATGAAGAATAACTATATTGTTATTCCTATTGTGTAGCAAGAAAATTTAAGCCCCACTATGTATATATATTTTTGAAATGGAGTCTTGCTCTGTTGCCCAGGCTAGAGTTGCAGCAGCACAATCTCTGCTCACTGCAACCTCTGCCTCCTGGGTTCAAATGATTCTCGTGCCTCAGTCTCCCAAGTAGCTGGGATTACAGGCACCCACCATCATGCCTGGTTAATTTTGTGTATTTTTAGTAGAGATGGGGGTTTCACCATGTTGGCCAGGCTGGTATCGAACTCCTGACCTCAAGTGATCTGCCTGTCTTGGCCTCCCAAAGTGCTGAGATTACAGGTGTGAGCCACCATGCCCGGCCAACCCCACAATATTTTTAAGGCAAATGTAGAAAATATCTACATTTGCTTTATAATAAAGCAACAATTGGATTAAATCAGTTTAATCTTTAGTAAAGAGGTTACAAAATTTTCCTAACTATAAGTAGAAAAACAAGCAAACTAGTCATATTATTTTCTATATACATAGACGATGTTGTTAGAAGCATATGCCGGCTGTCCAACTTGTGACCAATGGACTGATCTCAGACCTCTACTTGACCTCCAGATGCCCCTGCCCAGGGTGCCCCAGAACTGTGCTGAAGCAGGAAGCCTGCACAAGAACTAACATTTACAGCGCACCCATGAGGGATGGAGCAAGGTAGAGTTAGGTAACTCGAATATGTTTTTTTTTTTTTATGTCACAAAATGTACACCAAAAGGAAGGAGAAACCCTGGATATGTTTGAAGTAGTATTTCCAAAGGTCTACAAATACAGTCCAGCAATGTAAAATTGGATGGGAGGTGTCATGAGGGCATTGATTGGACCCCAAGATGTAAGTTCCCAATTTTTGTGGCTTGTCAGTTATGACTCAGGGAAGAGCCAAGCAGCTCTGCCTTTGGTTCTCCTCTTCTCAGTCAGCATCCACCGAGTTGCTCAAAGCCAAAGCCTTTGGAATCATTCTTGGTTATTCCCTTTTCTTCATTCCTCACATCCAATCCACTAGTAGGTTCTGCTGACTCTGGTTCTACACCATATTCCATATCCAGCCCCTTCTCTCATTCTCTACTTCATGCCTTGGTCCAAACCACTACTGCCGCCTGCTCAGCCCTCTGCAGTTGCTTCCTAACTAGTGTCCCTCACGAAGGGCCACAACCTCCCATGTCTGCCTCTTGCAGTGGCCTAGACAGCCCCATGTGACTCTGTCCCTGACAACCTAATATGGTTTGGCTGTGTCCCCACCCAAATCTCATCTTGAATTCCCACATATTGTGGGAAGGACCCAATGAGAGGCAACTGAATCATGGGGGCAGATCTTTCCCATGCTGTTCTTGTGATAGTCAATAAGTCTCACAAGATCTGATGGTTTTAAAAAGGGGAGTTTCCCTGCACAAGCTCTCTCTCTCTTTGCCTGCCAGCATCCACGTAAGATGTGACTTGCTCTTCCTTGTCTTCTGCCATGATTGTGAGGCCTCCCCAGCCATGTGGAACGTTAAGTCCATTAAACCTCTTTTTCTTGCCAGTCTCAGGTATGTCTTTATCAACAGCATGAAAATGGATTAATACGCAACCTCTCTGCTCAGTTGTCCTGTCTCCCACTGTGCTCAAGGCACACTGGCCTTTTCTGTTTCTGGAACATGCCAAGCTCCTCCTGTCTTTGGGCCTTAACACTAACCTGTCTGGAATGCTCTTCCTCCTGCTCTGTGCCTGTCCTACTCCTTCTTGTCATTTTAAAATGTCAGTTTAAATGTCATCTCCTTGGCAAGGCCTTCTCTGATGTCCCAAGCTAAAGAAGCCACACAGACTTTCTCTATCACATCACTCTTGTTCTCCACACAGCACATGTCCATAAGTGCTATTTTTCTGTCTGTCTTTCTTCTCCACTCCCCCTCCCTCGTTCTCTTCCAGGAAAGCACGGCCTTCATTCTCTTGCTCACGGATGTTTCCCAGAGTCTAAAATAGTCCCTGGCATAGGGTAGTAGGTGTTCAATAAACATCTGACAAGCAAAGTGCCTCATCCAACAAGGCAGGAGTGGGCATATTTTTCACAAGATTACACTTAACATATTTAGCAGACGTGGCAACACAAACACATACACACATCCTCACACAATGATGATTTTATAGGTTTTAGCCAAATGACAGAGAGGACTTCACTCTCGCTCGGGGTGCAGTCCTGGACCCTGAATTACATGTCAAAGGCAGGAAGTAAATATAAGCTTGAAAATTACAGTAGGCTGTGTGGTAATTACAAAGGAGAATCCAGACATGGTCTTGTGGTCATAAAATACATTTGGTACTGGCCACACACAGCCCTAGCATTAGTCACTTGTCTGTCTTCAGGCATCCCAAATTTGGCTACCAGTTAGAAAGTTTTATGCCAGCTGGGAATAAAATTTGATTGCTATGTACTTTTTCAATTAGGCTGGAACATTTCTTTTCTTTTCTTTCTTTTTTTTTTTTTTTTAAATACAAGCTCTCACTATGTTGCTGAGGCTGGTCTTGAACTCCTGGCCTCAAGGGATCCTTCCACCTTGGCCTTCCAAATTTCTGGGATTGTAAGCATTAGTCACCATGCCTGGCCTAAGCCTGAACATTTTCCTAAAAGCACTTTTCTCTTGAAACTATGAAAGTAGCATATGAAGAAAATACAAATATTTGTTGCCTGCTTGAAATGCTTATTAGGCTGCCCATATTATTTTACTTGCATTATTCCAAAGACAGTTTATTTGGAAAGGCTGAGCTGGTGCTTGGAAAATTTGGGGGTCACGCTAATGTGCAAAAGCACATTGATTCCAAGTTTGAAATTCTTTAGTTATAGCATGTGAGTATGTATCTGTGCCAATTCCTGATTTGTTTCTCCTACTCAGTAACCTATAGCTGGGGCTACCAGTAACCCCACCTGTGGACTCAGATACTTCTTAGGCTTTAAGTGGAAAAAGAGATATTCAGCAGGCTCAGTTCTTTTGGTTTGGAATTAAGAGCTCTGTGTGTGTGTGTGTGTGTGTGTGTGTGTGTGTGTGTGTGTGTGTGTGTGTGTTTTGCTTTGAGATCCACTCCTTGGTACTCTTGGGTGTCCAGCTTTGTACCTCAGTTTCCTCATGGGACTGGTGGCCTGTCCTGACTGCCAGCTGTTTGGTTGGGCCATGTTGTCATTTCCCTTCTGCAGGAAGCTGAATCCTAGGTTCCTGTATTAGTCCGTTCTCGTGCTGCTAATAAAGACACATCCAAGACTGGGTAATATTTAAAGGAAAGAAGTTTAATGGACTCACAGTTCCACGTGGCTGGAGAGGCCTTACAATCATGGAGGAAGACGAAGGAAGAAAAAAAGGACGTCTTACATGGCGGCAGGCAAGAGAGATGAGAACCAAGCGAAAGGGGCTTCCCCTTATAAAACCATCAGATCTCATGAGACTTATTCACTACCATGAGAAAAGTAGGGAGGACACCGCCCCCATGATTCAGTTATCTCCCACTGGGGCCCTCTCACAACACGTGGGAATTATGGGAGCTACAATTCAAGATGAGATTTGGGTGGGGACACAGCCAAACCATATAAGTTCCAATGCTCCCTGGTACCAGCTAAGACTCTGCTGTATGTGAAGACATTTCGCAGAATTCAGACGGAGATCATGATCAAATAGCACCTACACAATGAAAGATTCCCTAGATGTTACAACCTCACAGGATGGCAAAGTTCAACAAACATAAATTTCAACAAAAATACTAGAACACAGGTTGAATTAATATAATGTAATCAGAAAAATGGCTAGAACACAATAAGGATCCAATATGTTACTTATTTTGTATAGGTATTTATTAAAATCAACATTATATACTTCTGTAATTATAAAATTGTTACTGCTATTATTATTATTTTTACCACTGTTATCTGCTAGACATGCATGGTATTGGTGAAAAATAATCCTTGCCTTCAGGGAGCTCAGTCACACAGAACAGACACCTACAAAGCAAAGTGTTCTTGTGAAGGTCATGCATATACAAGATACTGTGGAAGGAAGGTCTCGAGAGAGAACAGGGTCAGCCTCTCTAAGGAGCTGATGTCTGATCTGGCTCAATGAGGAAGATCTTTCAGCGTACATTTTCTAAACAACTCTACCACCCCCTTAAATGTAAGCATTTCATTCATTGCCACCTCAGGTCAACATTCTGATCAATGTTCTTCCTCCTTTTCTTCTCTTAACTATAATCCATCCTCATCTCAGATTCTATGTACGTGGTGAAGCTATCTCTATCCAATCTAACCCAATGCAACTCAATCCACCCAACACAATCTCCATAGCCAATCTCCTTTCATTGAAATCTCATAATATCCACTGTCTATACCCACACTCTTTTAGCTCAAACTTCTTTCTTATTCTGTTGTTTCATGTGAATGGAACTTTCTTTTCCTGATACATTGAAAGCTCTTTGAGGACAAGCACTGTGTGTTTAAGTGAAGCTAACTCAACTAGACTTGCATTTATTGAACACTTACTCTGTGCCATGCACTACACCAAATTCCAGGTATAGATACAAAGAGGAATAAGATCGGGTCTGGTAGGAGAGACAGATATGAATATTTATATCCTGTGTGATCAGTGAAATATATACATTTTGTACAAAGTACAAAAGTATCTCTGGAGGTAGGGGAAGAGTCAAGGTGAGCCTCCTAGAAGAAGGTAATGACTCAGCCAGGCTCTCCAGGGAGGTGTGATAAGAAGAGGGAAGGATATTGAGACAATGAGGATTACAGTATTTAGGAACATGGGCTCTGGAAAGAGGCCTGCTTGGATTTGCCTGGTTCTATCATTATCAGCAGGGTGCTCTTGGGCAAATTACTCCATCTTTCTTTGTCTCAATCTTCTCAGCTATGAAATGGAGATACTAATGGTACTTACTTCATAGTGCTGTCTGAGGATTAAGTGAGTTAATGTATGAAAAGTTCTTAGCATGGTTCCTGGCAAATAGCAAGCTGTAGATAGCTGACACAGCACTATCAACATCTTCAATTTTTTTCTGTCTGCTTCCACTTCCATGGCTCTTTCGACACACTCCTCTGAAGATTTTGAAAGTAAACTGAATGAAGAGTTTCCTCCAAATGAGCTGACATTTTAGTAAGATATACCCTTTCATGTTATCATGTGCTTATAATTTATCTACTGTTGTTGCAGACATGTCCTTTGTCCTCAGCTGACATCATGTTATTAATTTGCCTCCAGCTATTAAATACTGTCCAAATATTAGGTTTAAAATAATCAAAACCCAGCACATTCAACTGGTAGGACAAAAATCGTCAGTTAAGATTTGGTCATACAATATCCACTTCAAACCAATAAATACTGGAAATACTCCCAAACTGAGCACCTGCATTTAATACCTCTTATAAGAAAAGGCTTGATGATCATCTCTAGGTCACCAAGCAGAAGCAGAAAATCTAATGCACACATTCTATTTCTTTTATCTGGGTAATGAACTAGGAAAACCAAATAATAGGGAAAGTCTGATTAGCCAGCATTGAGAAGGTCTACAATTTTCCATTATTTACATCCTCAGTAAAGTCTGAAGAAAGCAAAGATCAGAAGGTAAGGAGCGCCCTTTGCACTCATCTTCTTACATTCTCTTATTTTAGAGAGTTGTAAGTACCACCTGTGCAGGTACTCAAGACAGTACATGCAAGTTGTTCGTATAGCCTGTCCATTCTCCATCTTTATCTTGAGTCTGTCTCCTCCTCTTCATTTTCACTGCTGCTGTCCTACTTCAAACCCCCAACATTTCCAATTTGGATTACTGAAAAAAGTTCTTTATTCAGCTCTCTGCCTCAGTCTCCCCAGTCTATTCTTTCTATTCCAGCTGGTCATCTTTCTAAGACATGGCCTTCTTTTTTTTTTTTGAGACGGAGTTTCGCTCTTGTAGCCCAGGCTGGAGTGCAATGGTGCGATCTTGGCTCACTGCAACCTTTGCCTCCTGGCTTCAAGCGATTCTCCTGCCTCAGCCTCCTGAGTAGCTGGGATTACAGGCATGTGCCACCACGCCCAGCTAATTTTTTGTATTTTTAGTAGAGACGGGGTTTTGCCATGTTGGGCAGGCTGGTCTCGAATTCCTGCCCTCAGGTGATCTGCCTGCCTTGGCCTCCCAAAGTGCTGGGATTACAGGCATGAACCACCATGCCTGGCTGACCATGGCCTTCTAAGCATGACAACAAGACTCTTCGCTAGTTGGCCCAGAGTAAGTATCCTCATCTCCTACTCTACTCACTTCAATCCTATCCCCCATATCCATCCCAGACTGACTACAGTTCACCCATATTTAGCACATTAGTTTGTGCTTCTGCTGCTATCTCTTCACCTAGCAATCTCTGACCACCCTCCAAGACTCAATTCAGGCATTTCCTCTGTCAGGTGCTAAAGCAGAGGTGAGTCCTCCTCAGGACTCCAGGGTACCTTTTGTACCTACTGTAATCATTTGTTTACTTCTCTATCTTCCCTACCAGAATGTGGATTCCTTAAGGGAAGGAACTGTCTGATTCAGCTTCATGTTCTCAGTGAACCAGGCAATGTACAGGAACTTCATAAACGAATGGTTGCTGAAGTAAGAGAATGCTTTGAATACTGTCATGTACAAATTTACCACAATAAAAAGATGAAAATAGTGAAGAGGATTGTTTTGAAGACAAACATCTTAGAATAAGACAATTTGGTCCTTGAGTTAATTACTGATTTTCCAGAAAGAAAGCCACATTATACCGTGTAGGTCATACCATTGTTCATTCTCTGTTCCACTTCTGTACAAAAGCAAATTACCAAAAAGAAAGACGACGGAGGTCACATTGGTGGAAGAAATAAACTACTCCACATACGTATTTAGATCACCTCTGATTCTGTTCCCTGGCCAGAAACCATCTACGCCCCCGATCACCTCTGATTCTATTCCCTGGCCAGAAACCATCTATGTCCCCAGAAAAGTACAGAAGTACAGTAGTAATCGGCTGTCAAAAATGTGGAGGTTTTTTTTTTTTTTTAAGTTTGTTGACTTTACCAAGGTGGGACAGACATTCAATTACTGTTGTTTTTATAATAGAGAAACATTGGAGAAGTATAGATATCTGAAAGACTGAGAATTTAAGAGAACTGTAGAATTATGACTCACAAAATCTCAGTTTCTCTAGAATTTTCCTGGTTTTAAAAAATCTGATAGTTATTAAAAATAATCTTCAACATGAGGAAATGCTTACATTACATGAGGTGAAAAAACTGAAATTAAAATGTACATGTAGTACAATTAATTTTCTTTTCTTTTTTTTTTTTTGAGATGAAGTCTTGCTCTGTCAGCCAGGCTGGAGTGCAGTGGTGCAATCTTGGCTCACTATAGCCTCTGCCTCCTGGGTTCAAGCGACTCTCCTGCCCCAGCCTCCCAAGTAGCTGGGATTACAGGTGCATGCCACCACTCCTGGCTAATTTTTATATTTTTGGTAGAGACGGGGTTTCACCATGTTGGCCAGGCTGGTCTCAAACTCCTGACCTCAGGTGATTGCCCACCTCGGCCTCCCAAAGTGCTGGGCTTACAGGTGTGAGCTACCGTGACCGGCCATGATTCATCTTAAACAATGGTATATAGAAAAAAGATTGAAGGAATAGATGATGAAATGTTGCAGTCCATCCTGTGTGGGTGACATAACTACTGCATATTTGCACTAGGAGTAGAGGAATCAAGATTTCTGAGATATTTGGAGAGTAATTATTTAGCTTGAGCTTTTTATATCTAGTACTCTTCAAGAGACCAAATAATATTGATGAGGTAAGTAGGACTGACGGCAATGAGGGTGGATGGATTTGTTTATTCAATTAGTCAAATTGAAACAAATGATGAAATAAAGTCCAGAGATCATCATAGTAAAAAAGGGAACTTTAAGATTTACAATTGCTCAACTTTAAAACTGCAACATTTCAATTTGGGTAAGATGGGGCTATGACACCATTTCAATCCCTTGTATTTTCTAGATGTATTATCTTAAAAGCAGTTGTAATTTTTTTTGTTGTTTGTTTGAGATGGAGTCTCCCTCTGTTCCCCAGGCTGGTGTGCAGTGGCGCGATCTCGGCTCACTGCAAGCTCTGCCTCCCAGGTTCATGCCATTCTCCTGCCTCAGCCTCCCGAGTAGCTGGGACTACAGGCGCCCGCCACCACGTCCAGCTAATTTTTTTTTATTTTTCTTATTTTTTAGTGGAGACGGGGTTTCACCGAATTAGCCAGGATGGTCTCAATCTCCTGACCTTGTGATCTGCCTGCCTTGGCCTCCCAAAGTGCTGGGATTACAGGCATAAGCCACTGTGCCCGGCAGCAGTTGTAATATTTTAAACTTCTTGGATCCCTTACAAGGTTATATGTCATACTTTAATTTTTTTTTTTAATTTTTAGACAGGGTCTTGCTCTGTCACCCAGCCTGGAGTGCAATGGAACAATCTGGGCTTGCTGTAGCCTTGACCTCCTGGGCTCAAGCAATCCTCCTACCTCAGCTCCCCGAGTAGCTGGGACTATAGGTGCGTGCCAACACGCCTGGCTAATTCATACTTTAAATTTATATAATATGTTTTCTTCTGTCTCTTCTAATTTCAGAGACCTAGACAAACAATAATAAAATACTTGTACAGAATGTGAGACTTTAATAGCAAAATAAATCTAGACCTGATATCATAATTTGTTTTCTAAAGCTTCTCAAATCCTTTAAGGCTAAAAGGTAAAGAACCTCTGAAGATGTCTATTTTTGGATAAAGTGCAGTGAAGGAGGAAGTACCTGTGTTATAAGTTGTCACATCTGTTAGTGCTCAGCGCTGTCCTCAGATTGTAATGACTGGAGTATGTCCCCTCACCCACTGACCCCGAATCTAATCAAATATGTCGCCCCATAGGATTTACTCAGCGCTGTCATTACCAGATGCCCTGGAATCTTAGTATTAATGAAACATGCTTGTTTTTCCTTTTTACATGCATTTGATAGAGAGTATCAAGATTTATTTTTGATCCATTTAAACATTCTTCTTTCTAGTGGCACAATATACTCGTTTAAAAAAAAAGTCAGGAGAACAATCCCAAAAGGGTATTCAATCCGGAAGATATTAAAAAGATCAAAGCCCGAGGGTGCAAATCTAGTGAAGCCTAACAATCCTGTCAACAACAATGTGGGTGAAATCCCCAAAATGTAGCTCAGCTCCACGGCCTGACAAAGTGGTCAGAGCCAATCGAGGCAGGGCTACCTGAACTTCCAAGAGTAAGGAACACTCATCTGTGATGACATCTGTACTTAGTTTTCAGGGTCTTGTCTGAAGTTAGCCTAACAGAAAACATACCCCACAAAAACCTGCTGACTGGAAGGAAGAAATAAAATGAAAGTAAGAGAGAGGGAGGGAAAGAGGGAGGGAGGGAGGAGGGAAGGAAGGAGCTAAAAGATGAGGAAAATCTTTATTTCTGCAGAGCCCAAGGGAAGGCATCACTGAGTCAGCATCGTAGAACAAAGTCCTTGCCTCTAAGCCTTCCTTCCTCTCACCCACCCCCTCCTTGTCCACTTTCCATCCCTTTAAAATCCTCCCCACATGCAAAGGAAGACACATGACTTCAAAATCAGGATCAGCTTAGGACACAGCTCTTGTGAATGTGTACAACAGATCTGAGTCATTTGTTCATTTTGTAAACATGAAGAAATCACACTTTTCAAACTTCCTCCTTCATGACATTCACAGTGCTTGACAATATGCTTAGCATGGAACATTTACTCTTTTCCTTACCCACACCCAAAGGTGTCAAGAGGGACAGATGTTCTTTCTCACTGAAAGCTCACATATTCCAGGGCAGGTGACAATTACGAGTGAGCACAAGTAGAACCACAGAGAATGTGATGTCTATGAGCCTAGGCTGTGCCACACAGAAATAGAGTGCTGAGAAGCAGTCCAGGAGGGCATTTTATCAAGGCCACTGCCTTCCTCTAGGAAAACTTCTCACTCAGGGGTCCCCAGGAGTCTCCCCTTAACCCCCCCACCACCTGAGGCAATTAACATATCAAACACATCATTCATAATTATCTGTTTGTGTGGCTGTTTCCCCCACTAATCTGTAAGCTCCATGGGCAGAGACAGGTTTTTTTTTTTTTTTTTTTTTTTTTCCATTTCTAGATCCTCAGTGCATTGCACATGGACTCTCGATCCTAAAGGGTCCTTGGTGGCTTCAAGTTGGTTCTGCCCACTCTCTACCTCTTCTGCAAAGGAGTAAAGGAGTGCTCTGCAAGACCCAGAGACAACTGTTCTGTAGTTTCATACAAGAATGGACTTCGGGAGGGTAGGTTAAGTCTGGACCTTGGCTCTACCATAAATTGGGGGATAGGTGTCAAATTTCCTGTAGGCTATCACTTTCTTCTTCTCTGTATCATTAGGATACTGTGAAGATGGGATCAAGTGTTTTGCCCTCATTAGAGGAAAAAAAAAACTAACAGATGAATCAACGCAGTAACAAAAACCACATAAGGAGAACTCTGGAAATAGTTCCTGAAAGGGCAAGGCAGGGTGACTGGTTGATCTTGCTTCGCATTTTCAAAGCCTACGGGCCTGACTCCTAGCACTACAGTGTACATACTACCTGCAGTTGTAAGCGGGACAAAACAGAGGAAGCAAGAAAGGAGAAAAAGAGAGAAGAAAAAGACTCTCAGAACTTGCTTTATGAACTCTACAGGAAAATATAAAGATCCCAAATAGTGACCTTCCTCACCCCATAATGAAGATGATGCTGTTGGGTCACTAGCATAATCTACAGCCTGGCATGTGAATGACATCTGGGTCTTGCAGTAGGTAGTGAGTGCACACCAAGTAATGAGTGCCCCTCCCGCAGCATCGCAGAAGGACAAGGCTGGATTGCAGCTCTCCAGTTACTCTAACTACACTTTTATTCCTTAGCTAAAAATTCCCTTAAGACAAAAGAAAAAAAAATATGGAGAGGTGACTGGTTAAAGTGATTGGGAAAGCCTCTCTCTGAATTTGAGGCCCCCGACCACATGCCCAGTGAGGGAACACGTAAGCAGGGAATTCAGGAGCAAATAAAGGAGGCAGGCTAAAAATAAATGAAAGGTGAACATCAAGGAGGCAGAGAAATTATGCAGGGGATGTAATTAGCACACTAATTATCAGGGTCATAATTAGGAGCAATAGAATGAAATTGAGAAAAGGATAATTTTAATTGTTGGAAAGACCTTGTGAGGGAGAGATGAGTTTCTCATCCTCTTCACCCAGACTGAGGGCTATTCATCTGAACAAAGCTGGTTCAAAATGAGCTAGCAATTATTTAAAGAGAATTTTATTTTCGTTACCAAAAGTAGATTAGGTTACTTGATGACACACAGTGGCCTCTTGTATCTAATTTTATCATTCTGTCCTTTATTCTAAATTAAATAGTAAAATAGCTAATGACAAAAAAGCCAATGACTATTTCATTCCAAAAATATAATTCAGCATCTAAGGAGATCAAAATGGCAAAGCAGGAACAAGTAAAGAGAATAAAATGCAGTCAAATATGTTCAATTTACAACAGATTTATAGATGAGAAGGGAATACTAAAAATAGGACTTGTTTCTCATATTTTTCAGAGCTAATTCAGTTATTTTATTTTTCAGAAGTAATATAAAGACGGCCAAGAAACGTAACTAACCATTGTCACTAAACGGTAAAGAGCATTGGCTTTGAAATTTTAACCTAGTTTCACAATGACAGTCGAGTAGCATTTTCACAGTGGTTGGATAACTCAAACTTGCAGCCCTAAATATGGTTAAACGTCATGCTGTATTAGGCTAACACGGTGAAACCCCGTCTCTACTAAAAATACAAAAAAAAAATTAGCCGGGCGTGATGGCGGGCGCCTGTAGTCCCAGCTACTCGGGAGGCTGAGGCAGGAGAATGGCGTGAACCCGGGAGGCGGAGCTTGCAGTGAGCCGAGATTGCGCCACTGCACTCCCGCCTGGGCCACAGAGCGAGACTCCGTCTCAAAAAAAAAAAAAAAAAAAACAAAAAAAAACTACAACGTCGGAGGCTTATGGTTTCCCAGGATCAGGAGCAAAATTTAAAGAAAATTTATTTTCTCTTCCTCATTCAGGAGCCCAAGGTATGACTCATGCAACTTTCCTTCAGTAAATGTCTGCTGACCACCTCCCATTTCCCAGGCACAGAGGATGGGGTTGAAATAGACAAGGAAACCCACGACTGTAGCATAGTGTGACGGGCACCAGGAGAGAGGCAAGCTCAGGGGGCCACGGGAACTCACCAAGGACTTCTTAAAATGACTGGAGGCACAGTGACAGTGGGAGGAATCCTGAAGGAGAAGGAGTAGGATGAGCAAAGGCAAAAATGTGAGAGAAAGCACGGCTGCCACTCTGCCATTCTTAGTGGAGGGATTTGAAGGCAGCAATTCTAATGATATGTACAAATGCCTCATTATGTCCATTATGATACACTAGGGAATAGGAGCATCTGAAAGGCAGCTTTTCTAATGTTACTTAATATTTTCCCAGGATTATGATTATTTAAATGTCTCCTGAAATGTAAGCTATACAGAAGCTTGCCTGCATGCTTCCTCTTCCAACCACCCGCTCACCACTGTGTGCCTCTCATGTGTGGTAGGTTCTGCATACACCAAGATAAACAAGACAGAGCCCCCAATCCAAAGGACTCTAGTCTAGTGTTGGGGCAGACAGTGCCATTAGCATACAAGGGATAAGTTCTGCGAGCTTCTGCAGTGGACTCCTGAGGAAAAGGACCGTCCCAAGCAGTGTGGGGAGCTCACTCCAGCCCCCAAGGAGAGAGACCAGGTGCATTTGGAGAACTGTAAGCTGAGGAGAGAAAATTGAGGGTGGACAGGACTCAAGGCAGACCTGACAGAAGACACTGCAGAGCAGTGTCCCTTCCTCCAACAGCAACAAGGTGCCAGAGAGCTTTTTAAAATGTATCCTCTCCCCATGTGAATTACCAACATAGAACAGTTTTGACAGGATGTCTCAGGGTAAGGCACATCTTGTGATGAGGCACTTTGTGCTCTCCCCAGCCTGCTCATCCTTGACCTTCATGTCAACTGTAAATCTAGGGCAGAGCGTGAATTTAGTTTTCAGGGAATCCTTTAGAAATCTTTGGCCTAAACTGAGATGCTAAGATGTCAGAAGCACCATGATAGCCTAATTCGGTCCTTGTCAAGAAACCTTTTCCATAATCATTCAGTTTCATCATGCATACCATATTTATTACTCCTAGAATAAATTTCATTTATAACCCAACTACTGACAACAGATACTGAATTTTGAAAGGGTAGGCTGCCTGCAGACAGATCCAGAAGTAAAGTAGAGTTTACAACAGTAAGGATTTTATAATGCCAGGCTTTCATCTTGCATGATGTTAGCTGTAATTGCTAACTTGATTTTTCTTTTCTTCTCTGTATTGCTTCTGAGGTTATGATGAAATGTTTGTTGCTACTGCTAACGAAATTCAGAAAAGGACCATTGGTTTTCTATTCCACTTGGGAATTTTGATGCAATAGATGCTTGCACTCTGCTGTCAGGACAAACAAGACTTATTTTTCCAAGGTGCAAAAGGAACAAAGCTTTTCAAAAGAAAAGTGAGAAGAAAATTCAAGCCAAGAGGATTTTGGGAGATCCTGCAGGAAGAAACTTTTGCATTCTGTTCATCTCACTATATGAGAAATATTCCCAAGAACTTCTATATAAAAGGCAGCTTTTTTTTTTTTTTCCACCCAACATCTAGGTAGAAAAAGACAGTGCCTTCAAGACAACTGTTTGCCATTTAGAAGAAAATGGTGCTTTGGTGGAAAGGGCACCAGAATGACTGAAAGTTCCTGGCTCTGCCACTAGTCAGCTATGTGACCTGGGAGGTCACATCATGTATACCACCTTTCTCCACCTTGTTTCCTCTCCAGCCTGAAAAGGGATGAGAATTAGAAGGAGGGTGGTCTCTCTAGTATCAAAAATCCATTCCAGCTTTAAATGCTTTATCCTTTCAATCATTATCAACATTTTATCCTGAGAGGAATCAGACTATCTTAAAAAGAAGCAGAAAAATGACTCCTTATGCTGCCATCTCCAGGCAAACCTGTTGTTTTCTTTCTTTCTTTTTTTTTTTTTTTTTTTTTGAGATAGAGTTTCGCTCTTGCCCAGGCAATGGTGCGATCTTGGCTCACCGCAACCTCCACCTCCCAGGTTCAAGCAATTCTCCTGCCTCAGCCTCCTGAGTAGTTGGGATTACAGCCATGTGCCACCACGCCCGGCTAATTTTTGTATTTTTAGTAGAGACGGGGTTTCTCCATGTTGGTCAGGCTGGTCTCAAACTCCCGACCTCAGGTGATCCGCCAGCCTCGGCTTCCCAACATGCTGGGATTACAGGCTTGAGCCACCACGCCCGGCCAAACCTGTTGTTTTCTAGAGTCAACATACAGTATTTGCAAGTCAAACTTGCATAACATTCTACCTTATGTTACAGAAATAGGTGGCCATTAGTAATCTGGCAAATAAAATTAGGATTTCAAGTGATGAAAACATGTTTCACTATGACCAATATTAAGTAAATTGAGCAACAGAGATAATTGCCCAAGTATGGCAGGTAGGTGCAATGTGGTTATTACTAACATTCTGAAAATTGTATTCAGGAAACCTTATAATCACAGCATTATTTTATAAGAGTCAATGGACTACAAAGAAGAATTATGTTCAGACCTGTCATAGACTTAGAGGGGGTGTAGGGTTGCAAGTCAGCAACAATAAGAGAAGTTAAATCAGTGGCTGGAATATGTTTTCCCAGTGAGAGGAAACAGACTTCTTACTGTGCTATGGACTCTTACCTACTTTAAAGGGCAAATGTTTGCCCATTCTTTCCGTACCTCAAGACTACAGAAACCTAATATAGGCTAACCCCATTTTCTCAAATTATAATTATTTTTTCAAAGACCTCTACCATTAGTTGCAATTCATGCAAACCCATAATTTCACAAACAATAAGAAGCCTATGTCACTGAAAAAGGCAAGAGGATCAGATGTTGGGATATTACTAAACACAGATGACCAAATCACAGTGTTAGCTGGAGGAGAAGATTCCCATAGTTCCCAGATGGGAGTGAATGGATGAATGCCTATGTTGCCAATAGGACTGATCAGTTTAAAAATGTGAAAAACCACCCACTGGAGTCAGTATTTTTCTTGGAACTATAATCTGAAGATGCATCAACCTGGAAGCCCAACTATGTAGACTAGAAGTGCTTGCAAAGAATTTGTTCAAAAAGGAACTCGCAGTTCTCCAAAGAGAGAATTAAATGCAGCTAATATTTAATCTTCCATATACCAGGTAGTAAAATGCCACACATGGCAGATGAAACTGTGAACCCAACCATGTGAATTTCCTTGTAGCCAACTTCTCCCATTTCTACTCTGCAGCAGTATCACCCAACAAAGCCACCCATATCCTCATCACTTCTCCAAATCCACTCTGATCCTCATCATCCTCTCATAGCTTCTGACTCTGCATATAACCAATCCTCCTTCCCCTTCTCCAACTTCTGGCTGAAGCAGTGTGGCAGAAGCAAGGGATTCAGAGTCAGACCTGGGACAATCCTGCCTCCCCTAGCTATTTGATCTCGGGAAAATGACCACCTCTCAGAGCCTTAGTTTCCCCATCTGTAAAATGGGAGAAGACTTAACTGGCAGGACTACTGTAAGGACTGAGTATTTAACTGAGTATTGAATTGAATTTAATTGAGTAATTGATTATTTAATATGCCCAGCACATAATAAAATGCTCACAGGTCTTCTCTTCCTTTCCTTTCCTTCTTCCCTGGATTCCATGATACTAGAGGTGTTTGCTTTTACATTCTGCCTCAATGCTCTGTCCTTCCTATCTTCAAAGCCATATCAATGGTTCCTTTCTACCAGGAGTGGGGTCCTGTCAGGCTTAACTTTCCCTACTCTTCTCCCTTTATTACAAGGTGCTGTGTGATAACATCTGTCCTCTCCTAGCTTGTGATTTTCCTAATTCTTATCTATTCACTTCCATGCTACAGTGTCTTAGTACAATGTCATATATACACAGATCCAAAAGTGATGTTTTCTGAGGCTCTATCTCACTTGATGACACTATATCGTCTCTTTAGATGACACACCAACCTACCTATTCACTTTGAACTTTCCCCTTTGGTTGAGCAATGCCTAGTTCTTAAACACCCTAATCATCAGTAACTCTTACTATAAATGACATATGCTTATCTTTCTTTGGAAATTCTTCATCTCCTCTATCTCACTGGGTCACGTCACCATGTCAATGATCTGTCAAATAAGGAACCTTAGTCATTTCTGCTCATCCTTTCTTGGGCATAATTCAGAACACTGAGAGAGCTTGTGTGGTTTTCCCACCCTCACTGCATGGAGTATCACCCCCATTTTGCTCCTTTGTTTGTTTATAGACAATAATGGAAATTTTTAGTTACCTCCTGGCTGGCTATCCATAACTATCTCTAATATTCTTAGAGAGGGCTTAAGGTGTAGCAGACATATTTGGAAGGATCCAGCAGGGGCTTAAATACTGCCTGCCTCAGTCCCTCTGTGTTTTTGAGCAAGTTACCTAATCACCTTGAGTGCGTTTTGTCATACGCACAGGGGAAACACCTGTCTGGATGAAAATACCTGTCTGGTAGGGCTGTTCTGAGGATAAAGGCATTTTATGTAAAACGCTAAACATGGGGCTTGGCACATAATCGCTGTTTAAAAATGGTGGCAATGATTTCCTTAACCCTCCAGAGCTGCTTCCCATACCTCCTCACTCCATCATGTGTCATTACAGCCCCTCCCTTGGCAGTAATTCTGAGTGGGTGGCTTCCTTCTCAGAGTCCTGTTGGGACTTCACTCTGTGGTACAAAACACCCTCAAGAATTGCTTCAAGACTTCTTTCCAGATTGCTTCAAGATACTTCGCAATCTGGTCAGGTACTGCGGCTCACGCCTGTAATCCCAGCAATTTGGGAGGCTGAGGTGGGAGGACTGCTTGAGGCCAGGAGTTTGAGATGAGCGTGGGCAACATAGTGAGACTCCGCCTCTACAAAAAAATAAAAGATTAGCCGGGTGTGGTGGTGTACATCCTGTAGTCCCAGCTATCAGGAGGTTGAGGTGGGAGGATTGCTTGAGCCTGGGAGGTCACTGCACTCCAGCCTGGGTGACAGAGCGAGACTGTGTCTCAAAAAAAAAAAAAAAAAAAAAAAAAAAAGAAAAGATACTTCATAATCTTTTTTGGCCCAATCCTTCGTACACATAGTCTGCCCACCATCCCCAAAGTCATCCTCTGAGCTCTAACCGCCTCATTTCAAGACATCCTTGAAACTAACTCCAAACTAAAGCCTTTCCAGATTGACTATAATGGACACTTGCTACATTCCAACCCGTGAGAAAAACAATTCCCCTCCAGCAGGGGGAGGTGGGAAGGACTCAGCCTTGGTGGGTCACACATCCCGCTCTCAACGTGCCATGTGACCTGAGCTGCAGCACTTCGGTCCTCTAAGCCAGGGGCGCAGAATGGGTGTCCCCATGCTCCTTCTAGGCTCTCTGAATTCAACGTTCATGGATCCCCTGTTCTGTTGCTGTGTGAATAACCTTTATGTCCCTTGCCTCAGCGCTGTTCTCAAGGGCAGAGACCATTATCTGGGTAACTCACTTAGCACAGCCTGGAGCGCTGTGCTACAGATAGTACTTAACGCATGCATTTAGATGACAATGATCAAAGCACCTCCAGTGAGGCACAGACAGCTGCCACTAGATGACTCAGACCTCTCTGCAAAATGGCTTAATTTAGCACCCTTTCAGTTGTCTAAAGAACAGACTCTGAGTAAAGGACAAAGTGAACTGAACACCCTTTAACTAATTTAACCTCACAATGGCCCTTTAAGGTCAGGAGTTATTATCTCTACAGTACAGATGAGAAAGTACAGACACAGACAACTTTGTCTGTTTATCCTGAGTCCACGGCAGACCCAGGAGCATGAAGGAGTAGTGGAAAAAAACCTGCACTGACTGTGAGGGTGACCTGAGCTCTGAGCAGGCCTCTGCCATTCATGAGTTCAGCATGCCACTGATCTTGGTGGAGGTACTCCTCTCCTTGGGCCTTATTTTCTTCATCTGGGAAATGGCCTCGCAGTGGTTCCAAACTTGGTGGTATCAGAACCACCAGGAAGGCCGGGCGCGGTGGCTCACGCCTGTAATCCCAGCACTTTGGGAGGCCGAGGCGGGCGGATCACGAGGTCAGGAGATCGAGACCATCCCGGCTAAAATGGTGAAACCCCGTCTCTACTAAAACTACAAAAAATAGCCGGGCGTAGTGGCGGGCGCCTGTAGTCCTAGCTACTTGGGAGGCTGAGGCAGGAGAATGGCGTGAACCCGGGAGGCGGAGCTTGCAGTGAGCCGAGATCGCGCCACTGCACTCCAGCCTGGGCGACAGAGCGAGACTCCGTCTCAAAAAAAAAAAAAAAAAAAAAAAAAAAGAACCACCAGGAAAACTACATTAGAAAGAAATCTAGCAAGGCGTGGTGGCTTGCACCTGTAATCTCAGTGACTCTGGAGGCTGAGGCAGGAGGATCACTTGAGGCCAGGAGTTCGAGACCAACCTGGGCAACTTAGTGACACCCTGTCTCTAAAATAAAAAATAAAAAATTACCCAGGCATGGTGGCATGTGCCTGCAGTCCCAGCTACTTGGGAGGCTGAATGGGGAGGATTACTTGGGCCCAGGAGGTCAAAGCTGCAGTGAGCCGTGATCGTGCCACTGTATTTCAGCCTTGGCGACAGAGCGAGACTCTGTTTCTAAAAAAAGATAAAAAGAAAAAAAAAAAGAAATCTAGATTCTTAGGTCTACTGTTGGAGATTCTGATTCGGCAGGTCTGGAGTGGGGACCAAGACACCTTTATTTTCTGTATGGGTCCCCCATTTTGGAACGAAGCTCACTGGCAACAATCAATGTCTATGATACTGGGTTCACAGCTCAGTGTTCCACTCAGACAACTCTGTCTCTTCCAAGTTCCAAAACTGATTAGATCATCTTATCCCTCTCTCTTGAGGTCCCAAACTGGATGATTTCCAAGCACATTGCAGGGTAGCTTACCACATTCAGGACAACTCAAAGAATTTTGAAATCAAAGGTTGGTTCATAAGACTAAACGGCTTCTCACAGGGTCAACTAAAGAGGTAATCTTGTTTTGACAGAAATCTAAGCTAAAGTGCAGGAACCTCTCCCTGAGCAAGCTTCTTGTAACCAAAATGGAACCCTGAAGGGGATAGGGGAAAGAAAAATGGAACAAGCTTGCTATAGCAGTGTACAAAGCATTCTGTTTAAAAGAAAACTTGTAATATATCTGGATTAGCTTGACTAGAGCTTAAATATTCAATGAAAATCTTAACAAGGAAAGAACTAACCTAAGAACCTGTTTGTTTTGTAATATGAGGACTATTATTTACTGAAAGCTTACTATGCACCAGCTTCTACGCTAACTATTTTATAGGCATTGCACCATTTAATTGATACAACTCTGATGCGAGTACTATATTATTCACATTTGAATGAAAACTGAAGTTCACAGAGCTAGCCAAGCCCAGGTATATTTCACTCCATAAACCATACAATACTATTAGCATGGTCTTACTACCTCATGTATCTAAGGTCAAAATTTCTAGAATATCTAACAGTGAAGAGGAAGACTCAGCAAATCTGCCAATTTTCTAAGAATCTATGAATTAGAGACAAAAATATGCCCTTTATAGAATTCTCAAATTTTGACTTAGCATCGGTGACTGGCAAAATAATTCTCAAATTTGCTTTATTTAGGAGAATTTATTCAAATGGGAAGAGGATAATAAATAAAATTTAGAGTACAACTCCTGTTCTTGATGTCGATTTGCTTGTGCCCTTGAAAAGCCAGTTTTCATATCTGGCTGTGGGCTTCATATCAGCAGAAGGAGGGTGATAGCAGCTACTTACATGGCAGGGATGTTGTGAGAATTAAATAGATTAAGTCCACAAAGCAGCTTTGATCTCCTTAGAGAAAGTGCCAAATAAATGAAATATGGAACTACTGTTTGCCCTTGCACAGGCCATATCTGACTGAAGTTTACAAGAAGTACCCAGACCAGACTTCTTCCACTGCTCCTTCCGAAATTTTACCCCTGCAAAGTAAATTTGTGATTGCAAGAAGTGGACCATGCTATACGCTGAAACTTTACCGTTGACTGAAATTTGAAAGAAAGTAAGTTGCTCTTACATTCCTTGCAGGGGATTTGGGTTCTGAAGCAGTGAAATAACTTCTAACAATGTGGTCTGATTTTGAAGGCAGTCCCCAAACTGTGCTATTCTGAAGGATTAAGAGAAAAGTGTATAAAAAGAATCTGGTTATTTTGTTAAAAAAAAAAAGATCGTTTTTAAACTTCAGGGAGGAGAAAATCTATAGTTTTCATCTTTCCCATGCTAAGTTTTCCTACCCTGCCTGCAGTTACTCTTCCCCATTACCCAGCACTTGACATTTACACAGTGCTTTACAATCTTTTTATTATCTAATGTTCACAAGCACCCTATGAGGGAGGGCCCTGAGTACTGATAACAATTTTACAGGTGAGGAAACAGTCACAGACATCTAATGACTTGTTCAAAATTATGAGAAACCTTTTTTTAAAATTATTACTATTATTATTTTTTATTTTTTGAGACGGAGTCTCGCTCTGTCACCCAGGCTGGAGTGCAGTGGCGCTATCTTGGCTCACTGCAAGCTCCGCCTCCCGGGTTCACGCCATTCTCCTGCCTCAGCCTCCCGAGTAGCTGGGACTACAGGCGCCTGCCACCAAGTCCGGCTAATTTTTGTATTTTTAGTAGAGACGGGGTTTCACCATGTTGGCCAGGATGGTCTCGATCTCTTGACCTCGTGATCCGCCTGCCTCAGCCTCCCAAAGTGCTGGGATTACAGGTGTGAGCCACCGCGCCCAGTCACCTTTCTTTCTTAATATATGACACAATACCACCTTTTTCACATCATGTGTGTGAAAGAGGTGGTAACACAAAAATCTAATGAGTAAAGGGAACAAAGTTTGAGTTTCTCTTTCAGTGGACTCTGCATTACATTAAAACTGAAAGGAGCTGTGGTCACCTAGTCCAAACCCCACACTTGACAGCTGGGGCCTAGAGGGAGGTAAGTGCTCCAGGCCACGTGCTTGTGGGAGGCAATGTTGGGTGATCATCACTCCTCCAAAGCCTCTGGCGTTTCCCACTCCTCCTGCTTCTTATTGGGAAGAGCTAGCTCTAAATTCTGTTTCCTTTAGTACCTAGCGTACATTCGAGGCTTAAGAAATAAACGTAATTAGGCATGGAATGAAATCTGGAGTTGCCCAGGTGCGAGCTTATTTTTGGCCCATGCATTCCTCAGAGCAGATCTGTGTTTCTCTAAGGGTAGCCTTCCTCCCTGAGGTTGGGGATTGGCAAGAGGGCAGGAGATTTCCACACTTCTTCATGGTGTGTCCAAAAACTAGTTCTGGGGGCTGGGCATGGTGACTGACACCTGTAATCGCAGCACTTTGGGAGGCCGAGGTGGGTGGATCACTTGAGGTCAGGAGTTCGAGACCAGCCTGGCCAACGTGGTGAAACCCTGTCTCTACTAAAAATACAAAAATTAGCCGGGTGTGGTGGCACACGCTTGTAATTCCAGCTACTTGGGAGGCTGAGGCAGGAGAATCGCTCGAACCGGGAGATGGAGGCTGCAGTGAACCTAGATCGTCCCATCGCACTCCAGCCTGGGTGACAGAGAGAGACTGTCTCAAAAAAAAAAAAAAAGAAAGAAAAAAGAAAAAGTTAGTTCTGTTTTTCCCTAACAAGAAGGCAGACTTGTTTCCATCCTTCTGAAAGCGACGTGCCCCGAATCTGTAAAGCTACCTGTTCCCTCCCATTCCTAGGTCATACCCCTTCCTCCTGTAGCTTACCCACCTTTGGCTTTAACTCCCAACCTCAGGGTCAATGATTCTAGGTAATGATGGTTCTTTCGGAGGGGGCTGGAGAGAAGTGATAGTAACAAAAAAAATAACAACCAGTCTTACTACATGGTATCACCACCACCACCTCCATGGCCACCTGTCAGTTTACTGAGTGCTAACTATCTACCAGGCCTTGAACTGAGTGAACACTGTGTGAATTAATTCACAATGTGTCTCACAACAACTCTATGAGGCAGGTTGCAAATATTATCCCCATTTTACAGATGAGGAAACCGAGGTCCAGAGAGGTAAACTGGCCTGATATTTGCCAGGCAGCTAATAAGTCTGATCCCAGAGGCCATACTTATCACTCTCTCTACTGTGATGGAGCCACAAGATTAAAAAGGGCCCCCAGACTCCCAAGGTTTGTCCCAGTATATCGGAACAAGCTAGACAGGTGTGTTGCTGAGGACTAAGATCTGCTGGCAATGAGGTTGTCTATAACTAAAGGCAGACGTGGATTCCAACTAAAACATCAACATAAACACCTAACCCTCAATGTAAACAAAACATGATGCTTGTTCAAAAGGAAATCTTCTTGGTAACTAAAAAGAAAGGAAACAGGATATCAAAAAACAATGGCGGTCTCCAGGTTTTGTGACAGCTCTGAAGAGCCAAGCTGATAGGAGCCCTGCTCACAGCCAAAAAGCTCCTGTAGTGGGAGCTCCTGCTGTCCCCAGATTGAAAGGACCTGGGCTGAAACTGCAAGGCTGTGCCAGGTTTTAAACACATCCAAGAACATCCTAATTAAAGTCTCACTGAGATAACCTGGTAAGGAAGGATTGCCCGCTGCTGGGGACTGAGGTCAGGCTGGTCTTGCTGTCATTCAGATCTTGGTTTCCCAGGTAGGGATTTTACCAAGCATGAGGTCCTACCTTGATGTTGCTGCAACATGATTCAAGGGTGGTTTTCTCCACATCTTAACTAATACAGTAGCTGTCTTGGTCACAACTCAGTCTTGGATGAGTCTGGACACTGCCGCTCACATTTCCTTGGTCTGCAGACTGTCTGATGGGACAGGCCTCATGCAGGCAGCCAAGAAGGTGCTGAACTGGGGGCCAGGAGTTCTGACTTCGGGTCTCACTGAAACAGTGACTAGATGTTTCCTCATCTCTGAGAGGGTTGGGACTAATGACCTTGGATATTATTTCTAGCTGTGACATTTTAAGATTATAACTCCCCTGCCACTAAAAATAAAACAGAAAAAAAAACAGAAAGTGGAGACCCAGATGACAGGGATGAATGAAAAGGTTGCTACTGTTTCTGATGAAACACCGATGATAGATAGCAAATCACTGATTCATGCCAGAAATAAAACACTACACATTGAGAATTTGTGCACCAGCCTGTGAATCATGTGGAGAATCCTCAAGACCACATTTTTGAAAATCCCTGAGTTGGGCTCTCATGAGAGAACTACTCATCCTCTGGCTTGGCAGCGAATTCTGAAACCAGCAGGCCTTGGTGTCCAGATCTACTCCAGTGAAAACGTGTGTTAAGATACTCCTTGTGCCTGGCACACAACCCAATCCAGGCCCTCGAGGTGCTCAGCAATTTGCACGTTCATAGCTCTCCATGTGCTTTTATACACCTTTCTTTTATTCTTTCACTAGACTCTGATGAGACAGGCATGAAAATTGATTCTTAAATGGAGACTACAGTTATTATACTTAGCTCCATCCCATGACCTCATAAACAATTCAAAAATTTTCTAAAGACAGAGGCATCATGAAGATTCATACATCAAGTTTAGAATATTGTTTCTTGTGGACATGATTCTGACTGTCAATTTCAATGTCATAACTTAAGAATCTGTTAAAAAAAAAAAAAAAAGGCCAGTGAGAAGTCTTTGGATGATGCCTGCCTCTTAAAAGTGACTATACAACCTGGAAAAATGGCCAGTACTATTTCCTCAAATGTTAGTCTCACTAAAGCAAACAGTTTTAAAAAATGATTTTCCTTGTGCTAGAAAACCTCACCCATAATTATGATAGTTCTTGAATATGGCAATCTTTTATTGAGGAGGAGCTCTTTAATATATACTAACCTCAAAAGGTTCAAAGGGAGTTCCCAGATTACCTTGATATTAATCTATTCAGACCCATTTAGAGATGTCAAGAATCTCTGTAAACCCATTCATGATAATCCCTATGGTAATTAGTTACCTAATACAGTCATGCCTTTAAATCCTAAAACAATTGTATACATATATTTTGTGGTTACTTATACTATATTGGAGAAATGGAGTACTTCAGGTCAAACCTTCAAGTCCTGTAATATTCTAAAGAAATCTTACTTTTAACACCTTTTATTTCCTTATATTCTGTGCCCAACACCTGTATGGACAAAGACTTCTAGCCTCCTTAGTTCTGTACCTACCCTCTCTCTTGTCTATAGCTCTCACATACTACAAAATGGTAGATGTTTTAGCTCAAATTAAAGACTTAAAAAAAAACACTCTCTTACTTTAATCTGATCAAGAAATAAGGTGTAAAATATTTTAGTTATTTGGGACAAACCCACAACATCAATTTTCTAACCCAGAATTATCTTTAAAGCCTCCTAAAAAGACAGCAGCTACTCAGATGAATAAACAAACTGGATTATGTTTCAGTCATATAGTTTTCAATTGGTAATTATACTACATTCATTCAGTAATTATATTTCAATTATAGTTCCCAATTTTGGTTTCTCTCTCTTTTTTTTTTTTTTTTTTTTTGAGATGGAGTCTTGCTTTATCGCCCAGGCTGGGGTGCAGTGGTGTGATCTTGGCTCACTGCAACCTCTGCCTCCCAGGTTCAAGCGATTCTCCTGCCTCAGCCTCCTGGATAGCTGGGATTACAAGTGCTCGCCACCACGCCGGCTAATTTTTTTTTATAGTTTTAGTAGAGATGGGGTTTTACCATGTTGGACAGGCTGGTGTGGAACTCCTGACCTCAGGTGATCCACCTGCCTCGGCCTCCCAAAGTGCTGGGATTACAGGTGTGAGCCACCTCGCCTGGCCCTCTCTCTCTCTCTTTTTTTTTTTGAAATGGAGTTTTGCTCATGTCACCCAGGCTGGAGTGCAGTGGCGAGATCTCAGCTCACTGCAACCTCTGCCTCCTGGGTTCAAGTGATTCTCCTGACTCAGTCTCCTGAGTAGTTGGGATTACAAGTGCCCGCCACCACGACCGGCTAATTTTTGTGTTTTTAGTAGAGATGGTGTTTTGCCACATTGGCCAGGCCTGTCTCAAACTCCTGACCTCAGGTGATCCACCTGCCTCGGCCTCCCAAAGTGCTGGGATTACAGGCGTGAGCCATTGCGCCTGGCCCGCCTTTTTTATCTTTTTAACCAATCTTTTTTTTAAACTTATAAAAGAATATGCACATATATGGTTTTCAAAAAATTCAACAAAAGTGAATAAAATCAGAAGTCCTCTCTCTCTTTTCCACAATCCCACAATGCCAATTCTCAGAAACAACCACTGTAAGCTTTTGTATATGCTCAAGAAATCCCTCACATACACACAGTGTATATACACAAACTATATATACATATATGTAAATAGACACACACATACATATCTACAAATACACACACACACATATATATAATGCCTATTTTTACTCAAAGAGATATGCAAATACCTTGCATTTTTACATCTAATAATTTATTTGGGGGATCATTTCCTATTGACACATACAGGATGACTTGATTTTTATTTTTATTATTTATTTTAATTTTTTTTGAGATGGAGTCTCACTCTTTTGCCCAGGCTGGAGTGCAGTGGCGCAATCTCGGCTCACTGCAAGCTCTGCCTCTCGGGTTCACGCCATTCTCCTGCTTCAGCCTCCCGAGTAGCTGGGACTACAGGCGCCTGCCACCGCACCCAGCTAATTTTTTGTATTTTTAGTAGAGATGGGGTTTCACCATGTTATCCAGGATGGTCTCGATCTCCTGACCTCGTGATCCACCTGCCTTGACCTCCCAAAGTGCTGGGATTACAGGCATGAGCCACCGCGCCCGGGTATTTTTATTTATTTATTTATTTTGAGACGGAGTTTCACTCTTGTTGCCCAGGCTGGAGTACAGTGCCGCAATCTTGGCTCACTGCAACCTCCGCCTCCCAGGTTCAAGTGATTCTCTTGCTTCAGACTACCAAGTAGCTGGGATGACAGGTGCCCGCCACCATGCCCAGTTAACTTTTATATTTTTAGTAGAGTGGGGGTTTCACCATGTTGGCCAGGCTGGTCTTGAACTCCTGACCGCAGGTGATCCTCCTGCCTCGGTCTTCCAAAGTGTTGGGATTACAGGTGTGAGCCACTGCACCCAACTTCATTTTTAAAAATAGCTGCTTAAGCCAGGCACAGTGGCTCACACCTGTAATCCTAGCATTTTGGTAGTCTGAGGCGGGCAGATTGCTTGAGCTCAGGAGTTCAAGACCAGCCTACATGGCAAAATGCTGTCTCTACCAAAAATAAAAAAAAATTAGCCAGGTGTGGTGGTATGTGCTTGTGGTTCCAGCTTCTTAGGAGGCTGAAGTGAGAGGATGACTTGAGCCAGGAGGTAGAGGTTGCAATGAGCCGAGATCGTGCCACTGCACTCCAACCTGGGTGACAGAGTGAGACCCCAGAATTCATCTAATTAATCCCCTGACAATACACATTTTATTTTATTTTACTTTATTTTATTTTATTTTATTTTATTTTAATAGAAACGGGGTTTGGCTATGTTACCCAAGCTGGAGTGCAGTGGCTATTCACAGGCACTATCATAGTGTACTGCAGCCTTGAACTCCCGGACTCAAGTGATCCTCCTGCCTCAGCCTCCTGAGTAACTGAGACTATAATAAGCATTTAAGTAAGTAGCTTCCTGTCCCCATCTTTAATGAGGCATAATTAATATATAATTAACTATGCATATAAAGTATATAATTTGATAATGTACACATCTGTTCAATCATTACCACAATCAAGAGAGTGAATATTTGTTGATTGTTCACAAAGTTGCCTTGTGCCCTTAGTAATCCCTATCCTCTGCACTTTCAGGCTTCTACTCCCCACTCCAACACAACTGATCTGTTTTCTGATGCCTTACATCAATTTGCATCATAAAGAATTTTATCAAAATGGGCCGGGCGCGGTGGCTCATGCCTGTAATCCCAGCACTTTGGGAGGCCGAGGCGGGCGGATCACGAGGTCAGGAGATCGAGACCATCCTGTCTAACATGGTGAAACCCTGTCTCTACTAAAAATACAAAAAATTAGCCGGGCGTAGTGGCGGGCGCCTGTAGTCCCAGCTACTCGGGAGGCTGAGGCAGGAGAATGGCGTGAACCCGGGAGGCGGAGCTTGCAGTGAGCCGAGATTGCGCCACTGCACTCCAGCCTGGGCAACAGAGCCAGACTCGTCTCAAAAAAAAAAAAAAAAAAAAAGAATTTTATCAAAATGGAATCACATAGGATATGCTCTTTTTTTTTTTTTTTTTTGGTCTGGCACCTTGCTGCATGTATCAATAGTCCTCATTTTTTTTTTTTTTGCTGAGTAGTATTCTGTGGATATGACATACAATGTCTATTCATTTATCAGTTACGGGATATTGGGCTTGTTTCCAGTTTGAACTAATAGAAATAAAGCTGCTATGAACATTTGTGTAGTAGAAGTCTTTCTGCGGGCACATGCTTCCAATGGTCTTGAATAAATATCTCGAAGTGGGATGCCTAGGTCATATATGTTTAACTTTTAAAGTGGTTGTATCAGTTTACATTTCCACCAGCAGTGTGAAGAGACTCAGATTCTGCCTAGACTTGCCAACACATGGTATGATCAGTTTTTGTCGTGTTTTTAAAAACTTTAACTATCCTAATAGGTGTGTAGTGGTATTTCATTATAGTGTTAATCTGTATTTCCCTAATGACTAAAAGAGGCTGAGCATCTTTACATGTGCTTGTCATCTATATATTTTAAGTGTCTGTTCATGTTAGTTTTTTTGTTGTTGTTCATTTCAGTATCTTTTCAAAATCTTTTTTCCATTTTTGGGAGTGCTTTCTTCTTATTGAGTTTTGAGAGATCTTTTACTATTCTGGATTCAGGCCCTTTATCAGATTTGTGATTTGAAAATAACATTTCCCAGACTGTCACTTGGCCTTTCATTCTCCTAAGAGTATCTCTTGAAGAACAGAAGTTCCTAATTTTGATGAAGTCTAAATTATAATTTTTAAAAATGTGGATTGCTCTTTGCCTAAACCAAGGTCACAGTTTCTCCTATGTTTTCTTCTAGGGCTTCTATAGTTTTAGGTTTTATATTCAGATATATGATCCACTTTGAGTTAATTTTTACATATGGTGTGAGATATGGTTCAAAGTTTATATTCTGAATATATGAATATTGGATTGTTACAGAACCATTTGTTGCAAAGGCTGTCCTTTTCTCACTGCATTATCTTTGCATGTTTGTGGAAAACCATGGAACTGTCTTTGCATGTGAGTAGAAAATTAATTGGCTGCCTATGCATGGATCTATTTCTGGACTCTATTCCATTCCACTGATTTATTTAACTGTTGTCCATCTTACTACACTACCCTTGTTACTATAGCTTCATTAAGTCTTGAAGTCAGGTAGAATAAGTTCTCTAACTTTGTCCTTTTTTTTCCAAAGTTATTTTGGATGCTGTATGTCCTCTGTGTTTCTATAGGAATTTCAGAATAATCTCGTCAATATCTACAAAAAAACCCCTGCTGGGATTCTGATTGTGGTTTCTTTGAATCAACAGATCAATTCGGTGAGAATTGGCATCTTAAGTATATTGAGTTTTCGAATTCATTAACATGGTATATCTTTCCATTAATTTAGGTCTCTGATTTCTCACAGTTTGCATTCAGTAGACAGTTCTTGCACACCTTTAGTCAGATACATCGATAGGTATTTCATATATACATATATTTTTCTGAGACAGAGTCTCACTCTATTGCCCAGGCTGGAGTGTAGCAGCATGATCTTGGCTCACTGCAACCTCCGAAACCTGGGTTCAAGCGATTCTCCCACCTCAGCCTCCCAAGTAGGTGGGATCACAGGCATGCGTCACCACACCCAGCTACTCCTTGTATTTTTAGTAGAGATGGGGTTTTGCCATGTTGGCAGTATTTCATATTTTTGATGATATCATAAATGGCATTTAAAATTTTTAAATTCTGATTGTTGCTAGTATATAGGAATATAATTATTTTTAATTAGTCTTATATTCTTCAAATTTGCTAAACTCACGTATTAGTTCTAGCAGCTTTTTTGTAGATTTCATTGGATTTTCAGCACAGATGATCATGTTATCTGCAAATTTTACTACTCCTTTTCCAATGGATGCCTTTATTGCTTTTTCTTACCTTATTGTACTTGTTTGAACCCCAGTACAATGCTAAACAGAAGTGGTAAGAGTAGACATCCTTGCTAGTTTCCTTAGGGGATATGCTTTCAGTTTTTCACCATGAAGTATGATGTTATATGTAGGCTTTTCATAGATGCTCATTAGTAGATTTAAGAAGTTCCCTTCTATTCTGTTTGCTGAGCATTTTTAAAATCAAGAATCAGTATTGGATTTTGTCAAATGCTTTTTCTGCATCTATTGAGATGATCATATGATTTTCCTTCTTTCTGCTTCACTCACTCTCAGACTGCAGTGCAGTGGCACAATGATAACTCACTGTCACCTCCAATTCCTGGGCTCAAGTGATCCTCCTGCCTCAGCCTCCCGAGTAGCTAGACCTAGAGGTACCCACCACCACACCTGGCTAATTTTAAAATTTCTTTGTAGAGACACGGTCTTGCTATGTTGCCCAGGTTGGTCTCAAACTCCTGGGCTCAAGCGACTCTCCCACTTTAGCTTCCCAAAGTGGTCAGTTTGAGGTCATATCCAGAATATAAAAAGATCTCTTAAAACTCAAAATCCAAAAAATGGAAAAAAGATCTTAAAAGATATTGAAATAAACAAAAAAATATTGATGTGAACGAACACTTAAAAGAAAATATGTAAGTGACAAATAAGCATACATAAAGATGCTCAACCTCCTGAGTCATTAGGGAAATGCAGATTAAAATCATAATGAGATACCACTACACACCTATTAGGATGGCTAAAGTTTAAAGAAACATAACAAAAACAACAACAACAAAAACTGACTATCATGTCTGGGATTACAGGCAAGAGCCACTGTGCCTGGCCTGATTTTTCTTTTTTTGCTCTGTTAATATGGTGAATTATACAGATTAGTTTTCAAATGTCAAACCAATCTTGCATTCCTGGAATAACCCCCCGTTGGTCATAATGTATTATCTTTTTTGTACATATTTGGATTCCATTTGCTAAAAAGTTATTTAGAATTTTTGCATCTATGTTTATGAGGGATATTAATTTGTAATTTTCTTTTTCTTATAATAACTTTGCCTGGTTTTGGCATCAGGGTAATGCTAGCCTTGTAGAATGTTTGGGGTAATATTTTCTATTCTTCAGTTTTCTGTCAGAGTTTCTGTAGACTTGGTATTACTTTTTCCTTAAATACTTGGTAGAATTCACCACGAAGCCAGTTGCCTGGGCTCTATAGTGTAAGAGCCTTAAAACAGTATAATTCCATTTCTCCCTGCTAGCCTTAGTGCTGTTGTTACACATTTTACTTTTACATATGATACAAACATTGGTATTATTTTTGCTTGAAAAACTCAATGATTACAGAGGTTAGAATATTAAGAAAAAAAATCCTGTGTGTATTCATGTAGTTACCATTTATGATGATCTTTATCATTTAGTTCTTTGTGTAGATCCAGGTTTCCACTTGGTATCTGATATGGTTTGGATCTATGTCCTTGCCCAAATCTCATATTGAAATGTAATCACCAATACTGGAGGTGGGGCCTGGTGGGAGGTGACTGGATCATGGGGGCAGTTTCTAACAGTTTAGCACCGTCCCCCTGGTGCTGTTCTCATGATAGAGTTCTTGTGAGATCCGGTGGTTGAAAAGTGCGTAGCCCCTCTCTCTTCCTCCTGCTCTGGCCATATGTCTGCTCCCACTTTGCCTTCTGCCATGATTTACAGTTTCCTGAGGCCTCCGCAGAAGCTGAGCAGTTGCCACCATCATGTTTCCTGTACAGCCCACTGAACTGTGAGCCCAATTAAACCTCTCTGCTTTAGAAATTATCCAGTCTCAGGTATTTTTTTTACAGCAGTATGAGAACTAATACTGCATCATTTTCTTTCTTCTTGAAGGGTTTCCCTTTAACATTTCTTGTAATGCAGGTTTGTTGGTGATGAATTCTTTTATTGTTTGTATGTCTGAAAAAATCTTTATGTCTCACCTTTTTTTAAAAAATATATTTTGCTGGGTATGGAATTCTAGTCTGAAAGTTTTTTCTTCCTTTCAGTAACTTAAAAATTTCATTCCACTGTCTTCTACCTTACTTTATACATTTTTTTGAGAAATCTGCTGTCAACTTTATATTTGTTATTTTATACATAATGTTTCTTTTCCCCCTTTGGTTGCTGTTTTCCCTTTATCACTCATTTTAAACAATTTGATCGTAAGATCCCTTGGTGTAGTTTTTTCCCCATGTATCTTTCTTTGAGGGTTTGTGAAATCTGAAAACTGTGGGTTCACAGTTTTCATGAAATTTGGAAAATTTTCAGCCTGCCTTCCTTCCCTTCCTTCCCTTCCCTTCCTTCCTTCCTTCCTTCCTTCCTTCCTTCCTTCCTTCCTTCCTTCCTTCCTTCCCTCCCTCCCTCCCTCCCTTCCCTCCCTCCCTCCTTCCTTCCTTCTCTTTCTTTCTCTCTCTCTCTCTTTTTTTTTTGAGATGGAGTCTCCCTCTGTTGCCCAGACCGGAGTGTGGTGGTGTGATCTCGGCTCATTGAAACCTCCACCTCCTGGGTTCAAGCGATTTTCCTGCCGCAGCCTCCTGAGCAGGTGGGACTATAAGTGCATGCCACCACGTCCAGCTAATTTTTATATTTTTAGTAGAGATGGCGTTTCACCATGTTGGTCAGGCTGGTCTGGAACTCCTGACCTCAGGTGATCTGCCAGCCTTGGCCTCCCAAAGTGCTAGATTACAGGCGTGAGCCACCACGCCTGGCCAGCCACAATTTTCTTAAATCTTTTTGTCTCCTCATAGCTTTCTTCTTTTGGAGACTTCACTAAAACATATATGTGACTCCTTGAGACTGTCCAGACTTCACTAAAACATATATTTGACTCCCTGAGACTGTCCCACAATTCACTGGTGCCCTGTTCATTTTTTTAAGATTCTTTTTTTTATTTCATTTTGGGTAGTTTTCACTGCTGTGTTGTCCAGTTCACTAGTCTTCTCTTCTGCAGTGTCTAAGCTGCCATTAATCCCATCCAGTTTGTGTGTTTTATCTTTTCAAAAATTTCAGCCATTGTAGGTTTCATCTTATTGGGTCTTTACATATGTAAAGACATACACCCCCACTGCCCACACACACACACCTACCTTCCATGTATCTAATTAACATGGGCAATCTTTCTTATAGTTTTCTGAACATATGGAATGCAATCACAATAATTGTTTTAATGCCTTTCCTATTAATTTTTATATCTGTGTCATTTCTAGGTCAGTTTTGATGGGTTGATTTTCCCTCCCTTATTAGGGGTTGTATTTTCCTGCTACCTGTTTGCCTGGTAATTTTACCTGGAATCTAGACATTGTGGGTGCTGTTTATTTTTGTTTTCTTTATAAACATTCTTGAGTTTTGTTCTTGGATGCAGTTATTTATTTGGAAACAGTTTGATGCTTTTGGGTCTTATTTTAAAGTTGTGCTCAGGATGACCAGAGTGGTGTTTAATCTATGGTTAATTTTTTTCTACTACTGAAGCAAAAGTAACCAATGTCTCTGAATTATGGATTTCTTTCCTTTCTGGTTGTTGAGAACAGGTACTATTCTCATCCCTGTGTGAGTTCCAGGCACTGTTCTCTCTAATCCATTAGATAGCTCTTTCCCTGGCCTTGGGTAGTTTCTTCACATGCATGTGCTCATCAGTATTCAGGAGACCTCCTCACATCTCCAGATTTCTCTCTTTGTGCATCTCTCTACTCTAGTCTAGCTATCTTGGCTTCCCTGGACTCTTAGTTATATTTCCTCCATTCAGGGAGATCACAAGGATCTGCCTAGGTTCCCCTTCCCTGTACTATGGCCTGAAAACTCTCTCAATAGTAAGCTGGAACAAGCATGGGACCCATTTCCTTTGTTTCCTGTCTTCAAGGATCATTGCCTTTCCATGCCTGATGTCAATGCCTTGAGTGCCGTGGTTGTTTCACAGATTTTGTTTTCTTTTTTTTTCTCTGTTATTTTAGGAGGGAAGTTCAATGTGGTACCTGTTATTTAATCTTGATCAGAAGCTTAAGGTTTGCTTCTAGTTTTTGGCTGATACAATAGATGTTGCCATTAACATCACTGTATACATACTTTTGGGTCTATGTGTGGACTTACATGTTGAATAAATTATTTAAGGTGGCTACTTCCCCATATATAGATTGCAACACTGAATATTATCAGAAGTGTACATCTTTTCCAATTTGATAGGTAAACATTATTTTACTTTTTGAGTCAGGGTCTCACTGTGTCGCCCAGGCTGGAATGAAGTGCAGTGGCGCGATCTTGGCTTACCAAGAACTCAACCTCCTGGGCTCAAGTGATCTTCCCACCTCAGCCCTACTAAGTAGCTGGGACTACAGGCACTACATCTGGTTAGTTTTTGTATTTTTTGTAGATATGGGGTTTCACTGTGTTGCCCAGGCTGGCCTCAAACTCCTGAGATCAAGTGATGCACCTGCCTCAGGCTCCTGAAGTGCTGGGATTACAGGCGTGTGCCACTATACCCGGCCCTATTTTATTTTCATTTCTTTTGTAAAGTTAAACATCTTATATTCTTACTGGTGATTGGTACTGCTTTTTCTGAAACTATGTGCTTTCATTTTGTAGAATATTGGTTTGTCATTTTCACATTGATTTGTAAGATTTTGTGCAGGAAATTAATCCTCTATCACATAAATTACAATTTTCCTCTTTAGCTGATAGTTTGTCTTTTGACTTTACTGAGGGCATCTAAAAATATCATAAATAATTTTTTAACTTTTTAAAAATTTAACTGGCATTCTGGTCTGATAATTTTTGCTTTGATGTAGTTCAAATTATCAATCTTTTTCTGCATGGTTTCTAGATTTTGCATATTTTCTGGATGTATACATACATGACATTAGCAAGGCTTTATATCTCAAATGCATAATTAACAAGTGAAATACCCTAGTTTCTTTTCTCCCCTGTAACCTGGAATCAGATAATAGTGTTGCTATACTGAGTTCACATTGGCTTATGCTGACCTAGACTTCAGATAGGCAACTGTCTTTGATTAATAAAACATGGAAGACAAAAATTATTATGTGTAAATGCAATTTGGTAGGGAAGAATTTCAAAGCATGGAGGAGGGAGGAAGTATATATTAAAAAAGGAATCTTGGTCAGGTGTGGTGGTGCACGCCTGTAATCCCAGAACTTATGGAGGCCAAGGCGGGTGGATCAATTGAGCTCTGGAGTTCAAGACAAGCCTAGGCAACATGGCAAAACCCCATCTTTACAAAAAATACAAACATTAGCCAGGCATGGTGGCATGTGCCTGTAGTCCCAGCTATTCGGAGGCTGGGGAGAGAAGATCACTTAAGCCCAGGAGGTTGAGGCTGCAGTGAGCTGTGATTGCATCACTGCACTCCAGCCTGGGTGATAGAGTGAGACCCTGTCTCCAATAAAAAAAAAAAAAGATCTTTAGGAAACCACTGACTTTAAATCATAGTCTTATTTTTTTCCCAGGATGGACTCATCTTGAGGGTATTCTGGGAAGGTGGAGTGATGATGTGAAATCAGAAACAATAGGCCAGGAGTGGTGAGCCAGCCTGGAATCCCAGCACTTTGGGAGGCCAAGGCAGGTGGACTGCTTGAGATGAGAAGTCCAAGACCAGTCTGGGCAACATGGCAAAACCCCATCTCTTAAAAAAAAAACGAAAAACCAAAAATCAGCTGGGTGTGGTGGCACACGCCTATAGTGCCAGCTACTCGGGGGGCTGAGGTGCAAGAATTCCTTGAGTCTGAGAGGTAGAGTCTGCAGTGAACTGTGATCATGCTACTTCAACTCCAGCCTGGCAACAGAGCAAGAGGAAAGAAGAAAGAAAGAAAGAAAGAGAGAGAGAGAAGGAAGGAAGGAAGGAAGGAAGGAAGGAAGGAAGGAAAAGAAGGAAAGAAAGAAGGAAAGAAGGAAGGAAGGAAAGAAGGAAGATAAGAAGGAAGGAAAGAAGGAAGGAAGGAAAGAAGGAAAGAAGGAAATAAAGAAAGGAAAGAAGGAAATAAAGAAAGGAAAGAAGGAAAGAAAGAAAAGAAAAGAAAGAAAGAAAGAAGGAAAGAAAGAAAGACAGACAGACAACGGTTATTCTAAGACCTGCTGGTTGATCATAACATAGTTCCTAAAGTCTGGAGCCTGCCCTGAAAATTCCAGCTTCTGACCAATGCACGTACTGCCAGTAGTGTCATAAACATAGTTGGAATAGACTTTGTACCTTATCATACACTTTCTTCATATTGTTGCCTAATTGTTTTCTGGAAGTTCTATTTTCCCAAGAAGGCAGTTAGCTGCTTGAAAGCAAGGCCTTGGGCCATATGCTTCTCACAATACTAAGTTTATATATAGAAGGTGAATTGTTCTGAATTGAGTTCTTAAGTATGTGCTGTTGAAGGTAAGAAAACTGTGTAGAAACTACCTCAAATTAGGAGACTAGAATTGAAAAAGAAGACATGCTATTCACTTGTTTGCCCTGGGATGGCATCTGTTATCATCATGCATTGATAAGAATGAGGTTTAGACCAGGTGTAGTGGCTCATACCTATAATCCCACCACTTTGGGAGGCTGAGATGGGAGGATCACCTGAGCCCAGGAATTTGAGACCAGCCCGGGCAACACAGTGAGAGCTCGTCTCTGCTAAAAAACAAAAAATACATTAGCTGGATGTGGTGGTGTGTGCCTATGGTCACAGCTACTCAGGAGGCTAAGGTAAGAGGATTGCTTGAGCCCAGGAGGTTGAAGCTGCCGTGAGCTGTGACTGCACCACTGCACAACAGCCTGGGTGACGGAGTGAAACCCTGACTTTAAAAAAGAGAGGGAAAAAAAAGGGTACCAACAAAGGAAAATCAATGTGGTGAGCCTGAATGGAAGACTCCTCCATGGAAAATATAATTGCTAAAAAGTCATACTCTTTCTCTGTACAGTTACAGTGAATAAATTACTGAAGGACTTAAAATGGCAAACTCTTACATTTCCTTAGGGGAAAGGAACTAACCTTTAGCAAGGTTCTATTAAAAGGAGAGGGAAAGCTAACATTGCTGACCGTGCACCCAGCCTTGTACTAATAAACACTTTTCATGAATTAGCTAGTTGAATCCTTACATGCCCATGAGGGAGATCCTATTATTCCCATTTCATAAATGAGAAAACTGAGGTTTTGACACGCAAGATGACTCAGCTAATACAAGAAGTCAGTGTGATTTGAAAGCAGGTCTGTCTGACTCAAAACTCAGCCCCTCACTGTGCTACAGTGCACCTCATTTCACTCTCAGAGCAACCCAAATGGAAGCTTTCCCACTTTGCTGATGTGGAAGCTGGGGCTTTGAGGTAAAGGAACAGCCTAAGGCCCAACCAGGTCTTTCTGACACTGAAGCTCATACACTACTCTGTTTGGTACTTGGGGCCTGACATTCCTTACCTATCTACTTCTCCTGTCCCTACCACTCTATCCCTGTAACTCCTCTCTCTGTTCCTAACACACAAACACACATGAAAAGAAAAAAGAAAAAAAAAAGATTCTAGTCAATGAGAAAAGTCATGATGAAGAAAACATGCTCTGCAGGGTTATTCTGTGTCTGTTTCGCCTTATGTGATTCTTTGTGCCTAATTATATCTCCTTCCTTTAAACCCTTCAGTGTGAGTCTAGTTACATCTCTGAGGTCCTCCTTGATCCCCACCCTCCCTTGCTGGAATTAGTTGCTCCCATTCCACCCAACATCTCGCTTTGTTTACTTCTCTGCTATTCTAGTACTTCTCATGCTTTGCCCATCTCCCCATAGGGCTTCATCCAGCATTTTACTTAATTGCTCTATCACCAAGAGCTGGCACACTGCTCAGGCATGGTGCACAATGAATGAATGAAAAGAGATTGAATGAAAGCCTGCAAGTCCCTACACAGTATTTACATCAAGAAAGAAAGCTACTGGCAGGATCACAGCTCCACTTCCAGAGGTGTGAAAAAATATTACTGGTAGACAACCATCACCTGGCTTGGTTGTTTTCAGGGAGTGATCGAGTGTCTAAAAATGCAAGGCTCGGCCAAGCACAATGGCTCAGGCCTGTAATCCCAGCACTTTGGGAGGCCAAGGCGGGTGGATCACGAAGTCAGGAGTTCGAGACCAGCCTGGCCAACATGGCAAAACCCCGTCTCTACTAAAAATACAAAAAATTAGCCAGGCATGGGTGGTGGGTGCCTATAACCCCAGCTACTTGGGAGGCTGAGGCAGGAGAATCGCTTGAATCTGGGAGGTGGAGGTTGTAGTGACCTGAGATCGTGCCACTGGACTCCAGCCTGGGTGCGACAAGAGTGAAATTCTGTCTCAAAAAACAAAAACAAAACAAAACAAAACAAAAACAAAACACAAGGCTCCTTGAAAGGAAACTGCAAACCTAAAAAGCACATTACTGATTTATGGGATTTGCATAAGCTTTTAATGGCTGGGAGGAATTGGCCTGCTGCTTAGATATCCACTTAAGCATTAAAGACTTTGCTTCTAGTTGCTAAATTATTTTGAACAAATCATCTCCTACATTCATTCAATTCACATCTCTGCACGTTTGCTATCCTATTTGATTACCGGTCTTTGAAAAACACATGCCAATCTTTTTCACTTTCCATTATTCTAAATAACTACCCTGGAAATGCCAGATAGCCTAAAGTTGCTCATGCAGGGCTTTCTAGGGGGTCTTGGTTGGAAGATAGAGTAAGAAAGCATCAGTTGCTTTCTGCCACTATTTAGTTGTAATAGCTGGTGGACTGAATCTCAGATCTATCATTTTGGGTCCCTTTGATTTTTCATTTTGTTCTGCAAAGTCTGTTGAGAGAAGAAAAGTAAAGTTCTGTTTCTTTTTTTCCTTCCCTTCTCTGCCACCAGACTGAACAGTGTCACACTTTGTCCACGGAAGAGTATGGGGAACAAGGAAACTCTAAGGACGTGTATAACACATACATGGGGGCTGAGGGTGGATGTAGAAGGCACAGGATGACCGATTTTGAGGACACTTTTCCTTTGCTTCAGTCTCCTTTATGTGGAAGGTGACAACAAAAGAGCTAAGCTGGCAAGTCGTGAGGTCCTTCTCTTTCTAAGAGTTACCAAGAGTAAGGCCTGTCTGTCATCAAATACAAATTTGGAGCTTACAGCTGGTTGAGATTTGGCATACAGATCCTTCCTTCTTTAAAGTGTTTTCCACGTGCCATTTTTAGAATTGGGATAATTCTAAAACACAGTAAATTAACTCAACTGTTAACTTTTTCTCCCCATACTTGACTTTTATCAGGGCTGCCTCTTCCTACCTTTTGGATCTTATCTCACCACTCTCCCCCTGTGCTCTAGCTATACCTGCCTTCTCATCCTTTCTTTTTTCTTTCCTTCTTTTCTTTTCTTTCTTTCTTTCTTCTTTTTCTTTCTTTTCTTTCTTTCTTTCTCTCTCTCTTTCTTTCTCCTTCCTTCTTTCCTTCCTTTTTTTCCTTCCTTCCTTCTTTCTTTCTCCTTCCTTCCTTCCTTCTTTCCCTTTTTTTTTTTTCCACTTTAAGTTCTGGGATACATGTGCAGAACGTGTAGGTTTGTTACACAGGTATACATGTGCCATGGTGGTTTGCTGCACACCTACTGACCCATCCTCTACTCACTGTCTCTTGATCATCAAATTCACTCTAGCCCCAGGGCCTTTGCATGTGATATGTGCTTTCTGTGTATTTGCTGAGTTCTTCTCTGTGCTCTCCCCGTGCTGGTTCAGCTCAAAGGTCACTTCCTCAGAGAGGCTTTTTCTAATGACTCTTCTCCAACCGGCCCCGTACTCTTTATCACACTAGCCACCTGTCTCCTGCTCACCCCACCCCATCCTGCCACTGGACAAAAGGCTCAAGGCCCTTGCACTTGAAACAGATCTCTTGCCTTTTGCCCTGTTGAGTCTGCTTTCTACCACCTCAGTCTGCTATCCTTGTTCTAGTGGCACTGCAGATGCAACACATTTATTTATTTATTTGTTTATTTACTTATTTAAGACAGAATCTCACTCTGTAGCCTCGGCTGGAATGCAGTGGCGTGATCTTGGCTCACTGCAACCTCTGCCTCCCAGGTTCAAGCAATTCTCCTGCCTCAGCCTCCCAAGTACCTGGGACTACAGGCGTGTGCCACCCACGCCCGGCTAATTTTTGTATTTTCAGTAGAGACAGAGTTTCACCACGTTGGCCAGGCTGGTCTTGAACTCCTGACCTTGTGATCCACTCGCCTCAGCCTCCCAAAGTGCTGAGATTACAGGCATGAGCCACCATGCCCGGCCACAATACACATTTATAAAAGAAATTTCTGTTAACCTTGAGTAACTGGAGAAATTAAATTTAAAAACCATTTTCTAAGCATCTGAAATGTTAATGTTTCTATTTCAGTTTAGCTCTTATAATGTAACAAATCTTTTGAAAAGCATAGAACAGAGACATCAAAGTTTATTAAATGTCTCAGAGAGTTCATTATTTCTACAGTTTTTATTATTCTTTCTGTGACCTTATCATTATCTTCTTTTCTTTTCTTTCTTTTTTTTTTTTTTTTTTAATTGAGATGGAGTTTTGCTCTTGTTGCCCAGGCTGGAGTGCAATAATGACCTGATCTCTGCTCACTGCAACCACCACCTCCCAGGTTCAAGTGATTCTCCTGCCTCAGCCTCCTGAGTAGCTGGGATTACAGGCATGCGCCACCATGCCTGGCTAATTTTGTATTTTTAGTAGAGACCATGTTGGTCAGGCTGGTCTCGAACTCTCAACCTCAGGTAATCTACCCGCCTTGGCCTCCCAAAGTGCTGGGATTACAGGCGTGAGCCACCGTGCCTGGCCATCTTATTTTTAAGAAAACTATCATTTCTTGATTCTATTTCACCATTTAGGTTCACATGAATTATTCCAAATTTCTTAATTTCCAAGCAACACATTACATTCTTCAGATTTCTTCCAAAATAGTTAAGGGGAAATCCCTGATGATTTCAGCTGACAATTCCTTAATCAGGAAAAGACTTTAAATGCTAGTCATCGGAAAAGTTACAATTTACAGGAAAGAAAGGGGAAATGCTGACATATTGCACAACATACCACGAATAAAGCATGGCTTATTAATTCAGTGGCATACTCACGCTGACAATTTTATCAAGAACTTCTAGTGACATCATAAACTGTGTTAGAGCAAATGAAATGTTTTTATTATCTATGTTTTTGAAAGTCCAAGGTAAAAATAAGATTTCCTTCTTTGGAGATTTTATGGGAAAAGGAAACTATACAATTTACGCATTTTTTTTTACAGATTTCTACAAAGATTCTAGGTTTTAAATGAAGCAGAGAACTGAGTGAAAGGGAATTCTTTGGTGTCTAATTTCATCCAGTATTGAGGAGAGTGGTTTTCTTCATGGTTTCTATTCTTTGGTAAAAGAAAGGAAATACATGCTTCTGCTTCTAGTTGTGTGTGCACAGATCCAAGTTCTCTGCTAGTGGCAAGGGCAAATGCCTCAATATGGTCCCCAGAGCAAAATCTTTCCCCAGGTTACACAAACACAGTTTGAAAGCAGTAATTACTGCGGTGTAACTTTGACCCCCAATTTATCTGATAAAAATCAATTCGGTTTCAGTTGGAGTAATTATCTAACATATTAAAAGTGAGATCATCATTAGCACTGGGTTTTCCCCCTTGCGATCTAATATATTCATCAATAAACCATATTCTTTATTAATGTTTTATTACAAGTGATCACAAACATAAGGCATTTCATAAACATATCTTGTTAATAAACATATCTCATTAATCGTTACATGGTAATTCAACAGCAGGTATGATGCAAACATTATACTCCTCGGTAAATGAGCATGGAGGAAAAAAGAGCTCCAGGAGGCTGAAACAGATCACAGTGACTCAGTCCTAAAGTCAGCCTAAACCTCTGTTCACATTTGGTCTTGAGCATTTATTCATTGGAATGGTATTGGCTAAGGGAGAAAAACATTACGGAAGAATGGATGAGGTACTTGCAGGTATGCAGAAGACAAAAAAAAAGGGGGCTTAAAGTAACCGGGAATTTAAATGTAGTTATGAGAAACAGCAACAAAACTTTATGATATTGGTCTTTATTTTGAAAACCATATTGAATACACCAAACAAAAAGCTATTACACATTTCTCTTTTACATAATTGCAATAGCTACAATTGATTGGGCACTCATCATATGGTAGGTACTCTTTCAAACATTCTCCACTCATTCTTTCTTTGAATTTCCATGACAATCCTATAATGTTCCAATTCCAATCCCCATTTCAGGGATTAAAAAAAACTGAGGAGCAAAAAAGGTTAAATAACTTGCCCCAAATCTGACAGGTGGTGGGCTGGGAATGGAACTCCCTTCTGTCTGACTCTAGTCTGAGTTATGTATTTTCCTTATTTTGACATTTTGGAGTCAGTCTTCCTAGGTGCCCTTTAGGACTCTAGCAAAATGTGTCAAGTATTTTCTGATGTTTCATCCTGCCAGTTACACAAACGATTAGTTTCCCAATAGAAAGATACCATCTGTTGTTTCTGTTTAATCACACCTAATTTTGCTTCAGTGTCTCTGTTTACCTAGGATGAGGGTCCCCCCATCATAGTAGAAATGAGAAAGAAACAGCCTGCCAGCTTACATGTTTCATGATCTTGAGTTTCTCACAGCAGAGCTTTAACATTTCCTTCTTAAAAACCTTTTGACCACAGACTGGTGCTTCTTGTTTTGACAGTCCAATCTTATTAGATCATGCTCTAGCTCAGTGTAGGCCTTGCTCAATACTCTGAAATTTCAGACCTACTGAAGCTACTAAAAACTTTTTGATTGAGAAGTCCACGGCCTCATGTGAAACTGGAGTCATGGAAATTTGAACAATTAATACATTTTTTTTTTTGAGACTGGGTCTCACTCTGCACCCAGGCTGAAGTGCACTGGCGTGATCATAGCTCACTGTAGCCTTGATCTCCCCAGCTCAAGCAATCCTCCTGCCTCAGCCTCCTAAGTAGCTGGGACTGCAAGCATGTGCCACCACGCCTGGCTAATTATTTTGATTTTTAGTAGAGACAGGGGTCTCGCTATGTTGTCCAGCTTGCTCTCAAACTCCCGAGCTCAAGCGATCCTCCCCCATTGGCCTCCCGAAGTGCTGGGATTACAGGCATAAGCCACTGCACCTGATCTTAATAAAACACTTCTATGGTAAAGTGACTCAATGATGGCAATAAAATAAATGACTAATATTCACATATGACTTTTTATCCAAAGCTCCTAAAGTGCTTAATGAATTTTTATACACTGATTAAACTTCTACAATGCAGTAAGTATACTCTGTGGTTTCACAACACAATTCTTTTTTTTTTTTTTTTTTTTTTGAGACAGAGTTTTGCCCTTATAGCCCAGGCTGGAGTTGAATGGCGTGATCTCGGCTCATTGCAACCTCTGCCTCTAGGTTCAAGCGATTCTCTCCTGCCTCAGCCTCCTGAGTAGGTGGTATTACAGGGATGCGCCACCATGCCCAACTAAATTTTTTGTATTTTTAGTAGAGACAGGGTTTCTCCATGTTGGTCAGGCTGGTCTTGAACTCTTGACCTCAGGTGATCCACCCGCCTCGGCCTCCCAAAGTGCTGGGATTACAGGCGTAAGCCACCGTGCCCGGCCTCATAACACAATTCTTTCATGGACAGCTGCACGCTGGCCCCACGTTATCAAGCTCAAATTGTCCTCAGATGGCTGGCAGGGGGTAAGGAAAATGCACTTCTTCATCTATCTTCAGAATAAGGAAATAGTAAAAGGTGGGGAAGAACTTGAGCTGGGGCAGATTTCACCAACTGAGCTACACTCACCGGAATGGGAGGCCTGCAGAATCTCAGGGAGTGGGTTGGCCATGTGGCTTGAAAAAGGGGAGGAAAATGGCTTCCCAATAAAAGCAATTTGCAGATGCTTTTGTGTGTATCACCTTTGTATCGTGTGGCCCCATGACTCAGCTTTCAACTCTGTGGAAGTTAAACAGGTAACTTATTTCCCCTCTAGATCTCCATGCTCCCTTCCCCAGATACAACCTATAGTCTCAAATCTATCAGCAGCAAAAATAGGTGACTAAGGACGAGGCCAGATGGTCAAACTTTGGGTTGTTGTTTAGCCTGTATTGCTGGTAGTAACCAGAACAGCGTAAAATGCTACCATGGAAAAGGTCAAAGGAAAAAGACTTCTCTGACTCAAGAAGACCATTAGGCGAGGATAATTGCCAATTGTGATTTTTAAATAAATGACACAGAAAAGGTTTTACTTAGGATTTTTTCCCCCCAAAACATCCAGAGAAAATACTTAGGATTTTTTATCTTAAATCAAAGAGCAAAGGCCTGAGACTCAGTATTTAGCATCTTGTTAAAACTAGGTCAAGGAGTGTAATGAGAATTTTCACTTTTCATTTGGGATTATACTGTAGAGAACATGGCACCACGTTCTAAGAGAAGGTTATATAAACTCCCATGCCTCCGAGACTAGGAAACAAACAGGAGTGGAGGAAGTGGGCCAGGTGGGGCCTGGTAAACTGTGGGTACCAGGGAGCCACTGTTACCCAGTCAGGCAGACTGTTTCCACAGGGGAAGCAGGGAAGACACAGTGTTGTCAGATTTGGCAGTTAAAAAAAAGAAATTGAAAATGCAGATTTTTATGTGAAACCCCCCAGTTTTTGTATGTTGCAACAAACTGACATATGCGTATACAACTATGTGGGTCAAGCCGAACACATCTGTGGGTGAGATCCAGCTCACAGTGCTGGTGTCTGTCCTCTGAGACCACAGTAATCGTTTTTAACTCTTAAGCAATTGAAAAGAAGCAAGAGCTGACACATCCTCCAGGGAGCAAACGACACTTGCTTAGTCAAAACCCCTTTATACCTCTACTTTGTGGGGTTTTAGAGGCAGGTTCAAGAAGTTGATGAATTTCTTCCATTAACAGTATCAAGCCTACAACCCTGTAGCTTCCTCTTGGAAGAAGGGAGGTATTCTGAGAACTCTAGGGCAAGCTAGGGGAAGTGCTCAGTGAGAGTGATGTTCAGTGGCTTCACAACAAGGTGTAAAATCTGTGATTTGTTCTTTGCTGCCACTCCAGACAAATGGGCTCAGGAGATGTATCAACTAGGGTCTTCCAATTGGCAGCTCAACAGGACTGATGGAAAAGTTCAGCCACGGAGAAAAGAATCACATTCCCTTTCTGATCTGACAACACATTATGAAACAGACAACACGATGGCTGGCTGGCCGCCTGCCTATCTTCTTTATCATATACTAGGCATCTCGCCATACACCATGCTTTCAGCTATCTTCCCAGACTGCTCCTGGAAGATTTCTAAACATAGACATTGCACATGTGATTGGAAAGAAGGAGACTTCTATTTTAAAGAAAAAAAAATTTCCTTGTCTCTAGCTATGGGGCTTGAAATTGACTACCCACTAAATCTACCAGGGACCGGTACCCACAATGTTAAAAGAGAGGAAAAGGAAACAAATGCTGGACTCTTTCCTCCATGTTAAGTGAACAGGGAGCTGATCTGTGAGTGATTTACAATGGGCTGGGCTCCCATTTTAACACACTGTTTTATCCACTGGCATAATTCAGTAGTAGCACTAACATTGAACCTTTATAAATTGCTTACTCTATATATGCCATGTACAGTTCTAGGCATTTCACATGTATTAACTTATTATTCCTCACATAATGCTAAGGATGTAGGTAATATCATTATATTCCCATCTTACAGATGTGGAAACAAGCACAGAGAGGTTAAGTATTTTGCCCAAGGTCACACAGTTAGCAATTGGTGGAACAAGAATTCAAATCCAGACAGTCCAGCTCCAGGACCTGTACTTTTAACCATTACACTAGATAACCTACCAAAATGAAGACTGGATATCAAGATAAAGTCCATAAATTGAGACTGGGTTATTCACTGTGCAATATGAAGGCTTGGGAATTCTCTGTTCTGATGGTCAGTGGAAAAGAAACGTGCTATTTTCACATTTTGTGCAGGTCTCCTAGAGCAATTATGTGTTCAGGAAAAAAAATCTAAGAAATTTCAGTGTATACATTTGACTCAAATACTGTTACAGTGGAGCTGCATCATATCTCTTCACTGTGTGGGGAAGGGAGGGAGGAAGTGGGGAGAAGAGAGAGAGAGATAGAGAAATTTAAATTGGGCAGTAAGGCCCAAGATGGGACAATGAGTGGTGAAAACAGCTGTTGCTCAGTTTTTTTTTTTTAATATATATAAGCTTTATGTTTTTGTTTTGTTTTGAGACAGGGTCTCTGTTGCCCAGGTTAGAGTGCAGTGGGGCAATCATGGCTTACTGCAGCCTCAACCTCCTGGGCTCAAGCCATCCTCTCGCCTCAGCCTCCCGAGAAGCTGGGATTACAGGCACATGCCATGACACCTGGCTAATTTTTTAATTTTTTATAGAGATGGGAGGTCTCACTATATTGCCCAGGCTGGTCTTGAGCTCTTGGGCTCAAGCAATCCTCCCATCTCAGCCTCCCAAAGTGCTAAAATTACAGGCATGAGCCACTGCGTCTGGCCAAGTATAAACTTATTCAATACTATGACCTGTAATCCTAATTGCCTGGCTATTGACTCTCAAGCCTGGCTTTGGGGCCAATCTTATGCAGCATCCTGTAACAGCACCCTAAAATAACATTTAGCCTGTACTACAACTGATTGTTATTGTTTAATGGATTTTTTACTAAGCCTCTCCACTAGACTATAAGCTCTGTGAGGGCAAGGCTCAAGCTCTAACAGGGAACTCTCAATACCCAGCTGACTAAAAATTTATACACCAAAGCACAAGGCTATACTTTGGTCAGAAAAAATTACACTGCATATAGGTATATGAGCGTTTCTAAACTCCTAAACTGAGTATGCAGGTATACGAGTTTCTAAACTAGGTTGGCATCCCCCTTCTAGCCTTCATTTACTGAGGGTCTGTTTCTCTTTAACCATATACTCCTTGATGAGTAACCTCATTCACTCTCCAACACCATAAGCCAGCAACACCCACATTTTCTTATTTCCCCACATGCACCCCTGAGCTACAGGTCTGATTTTCCAGCTGCCTTCAAGATATCTCTGCCTGACAGTTTAACGCTTCCAGAACTAAGACTTCTCTTCAGCCTCTTGTCCCTACTCCATTTCTCCTCTTCCAGAGTGAGGGCTTATTTACTGCTGTGGTGTAAAGTGAGGCTTTGGTGTCATACAAATCCATGTTCAGATCCTAGGGAGACACTGACTAGCTAGCTATATGACACTGGGCTCCTCTGAGTTTAGGTTTTCACAGTAGTAAAATGGCAATGATACTACTTACTCCGTAGGGTTATCATGATGACTAAATCAAATAATGTATTAAATTCCTTAGCTTAATGCCAGGTATATAGTTTCAGTCTGAAGTAAAACAGTACCTTTTATTATTCTCTGTACCAGTTAATTTAATATCTCCATTTATCCAACCTCTGAAGCTGGAAAACATAAAGACATCCTTCACTTCTGAAGATCTTCCCACTCCCTTTTACTTCAAATAGTCCCCAAGTTCTATCAGTTCTTTCTTTCCTTCCTTCTTTCTTTCCTTCCTTCCTTCCCTCCCTCCCTCTTTCCTTTCCTTTTTCTTTCTTTCTTCCTTCCTTCCTTCCTTCCTTTCTTTCCTTCTTTCTTTCTCTCTTTCCTTTCTTTCTCTCTCTTTTTTTTTTTTCAGAGTCTGGCTCTGTTGCCCAGGCTGAAATGAGGTGGCACGATCTCAGCTCACTGTAACCTCTGCCTCCAGGGTTCAAGCGATTCTCATCGCTTGATGAGAATCAGTGATGAGACTTGATGCCTCAGTCTCCCAAGCAGCTGGGATTACAGGCCCATGCTACCATGCCTGGCTAATTTTTGTATTTTTAGTAGAGATGGGGTTTCACCATGTTGGCCAGGTTGGTCTTGAACTCTTGACCTCAAATGATCTGCCTGCCTCAGCCTCCCAAAGTGCTAGGATTACAGGTGTGAGCCACCGCACCCAGCCTCAATTCTACTTTTAAAGCTCCCAAACCTGGATCCTTCCTCTGCACCTCCACTGCCTTCAGGCAGGCCCTCATCTTTGTCTAAACCATTGTAACTACTTGCTGTCTCGTTTCCTTGCCCCGGGTCTCTCTACACTTTAGCACATACATCACGGGGCACTGAAGTCATCTCTCCTGAAACCTACATGGATCACGTCACTCCTCTGCTAAAAACCTTCACAGGCTCCCATAGGTAAAGTACACATCTTCACCTACTAGGAATGAGGTGGCAACTATCACTTACTATGCTAAATATCTTGGTAGGATCTTTATATATATTATTCATGTAATCATCACAACAATGCAAATGAAATGAATTTAAGTATCTTAGTTTTATAGATTAGAGTCGAATGAGGCTAATCATTAAGCACTAAGGGAAGTCAAATAACTTTTCCACAGTCTAAATCAGTCAAAAACTGAAATTCACAGCCACGTTTGACTTTATCCTGTATATATGTCAGTACAGTGAATTAATATCTTATGTAGAGAATAAACTCTGAAGTCAAAGCATAAGATGAAAATCTCATGTATGACAAAGCCAATTTGACAATTTCTTAGAAAGGTCAAACACAACCAGGATTTCTTTTAGCACTAGAAAGAACATTGTTTCTTTAGCCAGCACAAGAAGTAGGTGACATGCATCTTAGGGACACGTTATACAAACAATGTATATCTTTAAACACTACAATCACACTTGATGCAATGAAATTTTACACCATGAGAGCAATAGGGAAGCTGAGAGCAACTGAGGGAATCATTCATCCCTGTCATCTTCTGCACAGTGTGGGACTGGTGGACAAAATTACCTGTACTATTTAAATTTCCTCTCTGTTTTACTCTCCATTTTTGTTGAGTATGTGGAGTTGAATTTCTGTACAGCAATTGGAATATATAGTTAACAGTACTTACAGTGCACTGTAAGTACTTATAAATTACCTCCTTTTCCTAAACAGCGAGAGGGGGTGCAGAAGCCACTTATTTTGACGTTCTTGGCACCCAGTATTATACTTCGCACAAAATAAGCAGTTAATTTATATACTTATTGGAAAAAATGGATACCCCTGACCTTTTATTTTATAGTTTAGTTCCTTCAATACTCATCACAAACTTCAAATTCGTGCAGCATGAGTTAAGATGATCATTGGGTAGGTCCTTATTTGGTCCTGCAAATGAATCAGAATTCCAAAGAATTCTGTCTGTTCTTCATGTTCTGCACTGCAGTTTGGTCTCGAATACACAACTTGACTTAGGGTGTGTCCATTCAGTTGAGAACAACATCTTGCAGACTAAGGAGTCTGACAGTTCCCACAGGCTCTCCTGAGTCAAAGCTGAACTGCAGGTTCACAGAGGGAGGCAGCTACTCTGAAAGCTGCCTCATTTTCTGGTCTACTGTGGTCAGTAACAGGAAACTGAACCTTTGGTATTTTGGCCTTTGATTCTACCCTGCCCTTAAAAGGCACTCAGAAACACTGAGTCTTTAAATATGGCAAGAGTGAGGACTCTCCGCTTGCGAAACAGAAGATGCGGGGAGTGTGGAGCTGCAGCATGGACACTGCGTTACCCTGCTCCGTGCCCTGGGGAAAATGTGTGTGTGGTGCATGATGTGTGCTCAGATTCTTTGTCCCGGATTCCCAGAGTTGTTTGGAGGCACAGGCACCAACTTCCTATCCAGTTCCTGAGCAGTGGTCTTGCAGAGTGGTCAAGTGGAGGCTAAGATTAGTCTTGCTACAGCAATGTGATGGCAAACACATGTCTATATTCATTAAATGACAGTATGACATCATGAAATCACTCAGATCTGGGTTTGAATACTGCCCCTGCACGCTCCCCAACCCCTCTGTCTCAGGGTCCTTTCTCGGGACAGGCCATTTGCTTTATATCATTGTTCTAATCTTCTTGTTCTATCTGATTAAGAAGTATAACACAGGTCAAGCACTTAGCACAGTGCCAGCTATCTTCTATAAGCTCAATAATCAGCAGTAGTTATCATTCTTCTCTCAATTCTCACCCCATATTAACCTCTAAGTAAAAGCCAAAGTCCTTCAATGGCCTGGGAAGCCCTGTGTCATCCACCCCTTGTTAGCTCTCTGATCTCATCTCCTACTTTCCTTTCCCTCACTCATTCCATGGGAACCTCCTTGTCACTCCTGGAATGTGTGCCAGGCCAACTCCCACACCAGGGCCTTTGCAAGGACTGATTCCTCTGATTTATCCCCAATGCTTTTAACAGTGCCTAGCACATAGGAGACATCCAATAAATATGTGTTAAAAAAGAAATTGGGACCTGGCGTGGTGGCTCATGCCTGTAATCCCAGCATTTTGGGAGGCCGAGGCGGGCAGATGACTTGAGGCCAGGAGTTCAAGACCAGCCTGGCCAACATGGCAAAACCCCATTTCTACTAAAAATACAAAAATTAGCTGGGTGTGGTACCACGCACCTGTAATCCCAGCTCTGGGAGGCTGAGGCATGACAATCACATGATCCTGGGAGGCAGAATTTGAGTGAGCTGAGATTGTGCCACTGCACTCCAGCTTGGGCAAGAGAGTGAGACTCGGTCTCAAAAAAAAAAAATTGGGGCAGGTGCGGTGGCTCATGCCTGTAATTCCAGCATTTGGAAGGCTAAGGCTGGTGGATCACCTGAGGTCAGGAGTTCGAGACCAGTCTGGCCAACACGGCGAAACCCTGTCTCTACTAAAACTACAAAAATTAGCCGGGCATGGTTGGTTGGTGCCTATAATCCCAGCTACTCGGGAGGCTGCGGCAGGAGAATTGCTTGAACCCAGTAAGCGGAGGTTGTAGTGAGCCGAGACTGTGCCATTGCACTCCAGCCCTCCAGCCTAGGTGACAGAGGGAGACTCTGTCTCAAAAAAAAAAAAAAAAAAAATGGCTTGTATGGAAAACTCATGTCTTGTGGAGAATGGGAGCTCACTAACTGCAGAGGTCCTGACACCGTGCCTGGGTCCCCTTCTGAAGGAACTGGGACGCTGTCTCCTAACAACTAACAAGAAAGTCTTCCAAGTACTTTCGGTGAATAAGTTCACTTAATCCTCACCACCACCCCACCGCCACCTCCATGTAGTGAGGTACGATTATTATTACTTATTTTAGAGAAGACCAAGCACTGAGAGGTGAATTTGCAAAGGTCACAAAGCCAGTATGTGACAGATGCTGGATACCATGAGCCACTGCATTCTATTACCTTTGGCCAGGGAAACCTCGGGTTAGATGACTACTTGGGACGCTGTTTGCTGTCCCACTTTTGCTGGTTTTTCAACCCCTTCTGGATGCCGACTGTACAGGCAGGTGATTTTCCTCAGGCCCCCTTTCCCACCAGCCTGTGCTGCTGGGGTTCTAGCACATTCCCCAGCCAATCCTGCTCAAGTTATGATGGAGGTCAGGCTAAATGGGTCACATAGATTGTTCATTTCAGGGACAAAAAGGCATGGCTCAAAGTTTTTTTTGTTTTCTCTTTGAAGCCATACTTCACAAAAATAGTTAATGATTGTGACACAGAAATAACTGAGCAGTCAAATAATGATAGGATGGAACGTCAGTGAGTCAGACAGGACACTATTTGGAACTGAGATGACCACTGGTTAGGTAGGATGATTCAAGACTGCTCAGCGGGCTACAGAGCCCAGGTGGAATGTTCTTCCATCCATTCTTCACTCTGCTAGCATTAATCCATCTTTTAACATTCATCTCAGTACTCCTGTCCCCAGAAAGCCTTTGCAGACCAGCCCCTTCCTGTCTTTCTTCCTCTCTCCCCAGGCTACATCAGGCCACCTTCCTTTCTACTCTCAAAGCACCTTGTACCTCCTCCACCATAATACACTTGCTGAACTTTATTGAGACCACCTGTTCCTACTCCACTGCCCACAGACTGTAAACTTCAGTGCAGGGACGATGTTCTTCGCATCTTTGTACCCCATGGCATAGCGAATAAGAGATGCTCAATAAATGACTGTTGAATGGAACAGTGCCAACTTACTGAGATACCATAACTTTTTAATCTCTGAATTTGCCTTGTCACATTTGATATGGCTTAGAACGAGGTCTAAATGGCATAGCCAGGGCCAGGTGTGATGGCTCATGTCTGTAATCCCTGCACTTTGGGAGGCTGAAGCAAGAGGATCACTTGAGTTCAGGAGTTCGAGACCAGCCTGGGCAACATGGTGAAACCCTGTCTCTACTAAAACAAAAAAATTAGCCAGGTATAGTCCCAGGTACTCAGGAGGTGGAGGTGAGGTGGAGGTGTGAGAATCAATTGAGCCTGGGAGGTCAAGACTGCAGTGAGCCATGATGGCACTACTGCACTCTAGCCTGGGCGACCAAGCTAGACTTGTCTCAAAATAAAAAAAAAAAAAGAGGCACAGCCCTTGAAGTGACCCACTTCCAGTACAAGAAAGCCGAAAATTGTCCAGGTGTAGTGGCTCATGCCTGTAATCCCAGCATTTTGGGAGGCCAAGGCAGATGAATCACCTGAGGTCAGAAGTTTGAGACCAGCCTGGCCAACATGTTGAAACCCTGTCTCTACTAAAAATACAAAAATTAGCCAAGCATGATGGCGTGCACCTGTAGTCCCAACTACTTGGGAGGCTGAGGCAAGAGAATCACTTCAACCAGGGAGGTGGAGGCTGCAGCGAGCCGAGATTCTGCCACTGCACTCCAGCCTGAGTGACAGAGTGAGACTCTGTCTCAAGACAAAAAAAAAAAAAAAAAAAAAAAAAAAGAAAGCCAAAATTATGAGGTCAAGGTAATAATAGTCTTCAAACTACATGGCATTCTCTTTCCATAAGCCAAAAGTTCTTTGGTTATTCTCAGTGAAATGAATTGCCAACCTCCCAATAAATAAATGCATTAAAGGGGTTGTTACATTTTCCTTAGGGGTGCTTAATATGGTTTGGCTTTGTGTCCCCACCCAAATCTCATCTCAAATTGTAGTCCCCACATGTTGAGGGAGGGACCTGGTGGGAGGTAACTGGGTCATGGGGGCTGTTTCCCCCATGCTGTTCCTATCATAGTGAGTGAGTTCTCTTGAGATCTGATGGTTTAAAAGTGTGTGGCAGTTCTCGCCTCTTGCTCGCTCTCTCTCCTGTTGCCATGTAAGACATTCCTTGCTTGCTCTTTACCTTCTGCTATGATTTTAAGTTTCCTGAGGCCTCCCCAGCCTCTTTTCTGTATAAATTACCCAGTCTCAGTTCATTCTTTATAGCAGTGTGAAAAGAAACGAATAGAGTGCTCCTTTCTTTTTAAAAACGGAGCACACTGACAAAGAATCTCCTCTTGATTCAGCCAATATACTTGGTGATGAGAATCCTGTATCAACTAGACTATTGATAACCTCATGCATTTCACTATATACAGATTTAAAAATACAAATTATGTGTAGGTGATGCTATAAAAATACTTCAAAGGTTTACTTTCAGAATGGTTCACTGGGTCACAGTAAAGGAGTTATCAAATACAGAAGAAAATAACAGAACATTATTTTTTACTAGCATCAACTATTCCTGAAATGTGCTACCTTGGGTATGCATGCAGAAAAATGTTTCAGCAATAAATGGGGGCAAGGAAGTTCATTTTAAGGATCGGAGGAACAACTACTATGGGACTTTGAAATCAGATTTTAATATCACCCCAAACTTAATCCCATCAATACTAACACTGTCCTGAGTTTTGCAGTTATTAAGAGGATTAATTTAAAAAGTCACCCATCACCCTGCTTATTCTGAACCAATGTTGACATGAGTCTCAAACTGGTGACAACAAACCACATAGTATTTAAATGAATCAGAAGTTCCTGGTAAGACCTAAACTGGGGAAAAAAAAAAAAAAACAAAAAAAAACCCACAGATGAATTTGATATGCAATCCCTGTTAAGAACCACTGGTCACGTTCAATGGTATTCCATTTAATTACTATAACAACTCTGCCTGTTTTTACAGATAAGGAAACAAAAGTGGAGATGGTTTAAGTAAATTTCCCGCATTATCCTGCTAATGAGGCGCAGCATCAGCACTGGAAGATCTGGCTCTGGGTCCGCAGAGCTAAGGGACCAGGCAATCTGCTTGACTGCAAACGCTGGATCTCACGTTTACTGGCTGGGTGACTTTGGGCAAGTGTCTTAACTGTGTCTCAGTTTCCACATCTGCAAAATGGGGATTTTTGTAGTACATGCCTCAAAGGGCTGTGGTCAGGATCAATGAGTTAACTTAAACAAAGTACTTGCAACAGTGCCTGGCATGTAGTCAGCACTATTTTATTTATTTATTTTTTGAGATGGACTTTCACTGTCACCCAGGCTGGAGTGCAGTGGCACAATCTCAGCTCACTGCAACCTCTGCCTTCTAGGTTCAAGCGATCCTCTGGCCTCAGCCTCCCTAGTAGCTGGGACTACAGGTGTGTACCACCACACCAGGCAAATTTTTTATTTTTAGTAGAGACGGGGTTTCACCATGTTGGCCAGGCTGGTCTTGAACTTCTGATCTCAGGTGGTCCACCTGCCTAAGCCTCCCAATGTGCTGGGATTACAGGCATTGCACCACTGTGCCTGGCCCAGTCAGCATTATTTTTGCTATCATGTGACTTCAACATCCGTGTTTATTTGTCCACATTAATATTATGAAGTGTATGTATTCATTTTCTGATACATTTCATAATTGCTTTGCATATTGTAAAAGTAATCAATAATTTTTTTTTTGAGACAGAGTCTCACTCTGTTGATGGGCTGGAGTGCAGTGGCACAATCATAGCTCACTGTAGCCTCAAACTCCTGGGCTCAAGTGATCCTTCTACCTCAGCCTCCCAACTAGCTATGACTACAGGCGCACGCTATTATGCCTGGCTTTAATTTTTTTTTTTTTTTTCTAGAGACAAGGTCTCACTTTGTTGCCTAGGCTGGTCTCGAACTGCTGGCTTTAACTGATCTTTCTGTCTGGTCCTTCCAAAGTACTGGGATTACAGCCTAAGTGTTTGTTAATTAAGAGATTTCACCCTAGTTTTTACTGTGTCTCATTCCAGAAGGAAGAGCTAATGTGGAGAAGCAGGCCTTAAAGAAGACAACATTTGGCTGAACAAAGGAAACCATTTCCCCCATTTAGAACTATTTGAAAATGGAATGAGCTGCCTGTCCCAGGAGGTCCCTCAACCAAAGATGACTTCTTAGTAGGTAGAGACTTTGTAGAGCAGATTAAAGAATTGCCTTTGCAGGGGAGGGGAAAAACTGGGTAAAATAAGCTCTACAGATTCAATGTATTATCCTGGAGATGACTGCTGGCTTGAAGAGCTACCTTTTGGCCAGGCATTTTTATAGGAATGTAGCTTTAGTTACATTATATTCAGACATTTACCTTGACTAAAAAGCATGAAAATATGAAATACAGGTTGTTAAAAATGGGTGTGTGATTATGACAGAGATGTTACGAATTCATTGATTTTAGGATATCTCACAGTAAAATGGCCCAGTGAAGTGATTGTAACAATTTAATTGAATAAGTGACTAAGAATAACTTAATGTTTGCAATGAGAAAGAAAATACTTCCTGAATTTCTAAGTATACTCTATATTTTCTATGCAAAATAAGTAATCAGAGGTATTCGATTTCTTAAAGAAAAATCAGTATAAGCACTGTTGTTTTTTATTCTAATTTCTTAAGAGAAAAAAATTAGCAAATTCTCTGATTCATTTTTATTCCACGAAAGTACACCTTGGCCATTTTCCTGCAGGAATGCCCAGCCTTGAGTTTGCTTCTCCTCAGCAGTTATTGTCTTATGTTTGTAAGCAACAATACGAAGGAGGAAAAGGAAATGTTAAAAGCTTTCTTAAAAATTACCACAGCAGGCCGGGTGCGGTGACTCACATCTGTAATCCCAGCACTTTGGGAGGCCAAGGTGGGTGGATCACTTGAGGTCAGGAGTTTGAGACCAGCCTGGCCAACGTGTGAAACCCCATCTCTATTAAAAATACAAAAAAATTAGCCTGGCATGGTGGTGCATGCCTGTAATCCCAGCTACTAGGGAGGCTGAGGCAGGAGAATCACTTGAACCTGGGAGTTGGAGGTCGCAGTGAGCTGAGATTGCACCACTGCACTCCAGCCTGGGTGACAGAGCAAGACTCCGTTTCAAAAAAAAAAAAAAAAAAAATGACCATGGCAACAACAATTTGACTACAGCCAAATCCATCAGTTTGCTTCCCTGTTTGGGTATGCTCTCTCTCATTCATTCATGCATATTCTCTCTCTCTTACAAACATAGTATTCATTCAATATGTCATGTACCCAGCAGAAGTGAGTGTTGGGAGTTAAGGGTGCAAACTGCACATGACAACACTAAATTTACCTCAGTTTGTAAAAAGAAGAAAATAACAGTACCTAGTTCATAGGGCCATGGAAAGTATTAAATGAGATAATCTATGCAAGGCTATTATAATGCCTAGCGTGTAGTAAATGTTTAATAAGTGCTAGCTATTTTTTTTAATTAATCAAGAGCTAATCAGTGCAAAGATCAGAATCTAAGCTGTAAGCTGTAATTCCTACTCATACTTTAATAAATATTAGTTATTTCTTGTTTAATAGTTGTGAAGGCACATGGTTCAGGATTATGCAGTAGTTTAAGATCTTCAGTAGGGGCAACGGTTATTATTGGGTCATGATATGCTTCAGTTTCATCCAAAATAATATTTTAGTCAATAGAATGCTCAAAACAGAATTCATTAGAGCTTAAAAAACAAAGAAAGAAATCCAGCTCTATAAATGTATAAAGCTGTTGCTTCCTTTTACTTTGGAGGAGACAAAATTCAAGCTCCAACTATTCCTTCCAACTATTCCCCAACCGAGCCACACAATCACACACTAAAAATTAAGGAACCAATGAGGCAGAACATGGGATGATGTATTATGAAGGGTTAATGATCCACTCTCAGTTCTTTACCCCCTTTGTCCCTCTCAGAACTTCCCAAAGCTGTACTAAGCAGAGACAGGGGTGTGCAGCCCAATGAAGAGAATTCCGACCTGTGTGTTATTCTCTCAGGGGGTCAGAAAGGATGATCACTCTACTGTTAAGGCCTCTTTTCTGGGGAGATTTCTGAGAAATCCTAAGCACTTCTCTGAAGAAAGCATCCTCTGAATTCTCTTCAACTTTTAATTTTTTAATTTTATTATCAAATGGCCCTTTTGGATGCTGTTTTTACCTGTCTGCTAGTTGGTCAAACCAAGATGGTGAAACTCTGTCACCTTCCAAGCCCTGTGTCATTTTCTTTCTTTGACAGAAACACAAAGGTCACCAGATTAGGGGCCCCAGAAGGTAAAGAGATGGATGAAAAACTGGTTTAGAAAATAGTCTACATATATAAGCAAGGGGCTAAAAATCACAGTGCTTTTACTGGAAACAAGGGATACAGAGGCAAACAAAAGTTATAAAAAGGTTCTTTCCTTTCTGCAGCCAAAACCCTATGTCATCACAGCAACACGACATTCAAGAAAGTCCAACCTATTTTAAGTAGTTTCAGGTGACAGATTATTGGCCCACAATGAGACACAGACTGATGGATCACAGAGGAGAAAAAGTTCACTGTGCTGTGAACCACCACTAATCTTGACTGATAAAACCAGAAGAGACACACATCTCCATTTTCAAGTGTTTACTGGGTGACATCACACTGTGGATTTAACCAAAGTGCTGTCTGGATTATCCAGTAAATGTCACATAGTAGTACTTGAGTAGCTCAGATAAAGGCCTCGGAACACTGTGAATGAATTCATAGCGCAAAACAAATTTCCCAGATGAGTGTGTAATCTTAACTCCATGTCATTTTACTTTATGTTTTTTCACGTATAATTCTAACCCCATAAATGACATTCATCTTGTAAAGAACTATGGTTTTGTTTTAGAAAGTCAATCCAGTAATATGAGACAGTTTCTATTACGTGCATAAGAAAGTATACGATCGCAAGTTTAGCCCTAGATTGGTAAAATAAATATTACAATATTAATCCATCAGGGAAATGCAAATCAAAATAATGAAATACCACTTCATGCCCACTAGGATGTCTACAATAAAAAAGAGACAATAACATGTGCTGGTGAGGACGCGGAGCAATTGGAACCCTCATACAATGCTGGTGGGAATGTAAAATGGCGCAGTCCTTTTGGAAAAGTCTGGCAGTTCCTAAAAAGGATAAACATAGAGTCACCATATGACCCAGCAATTACACTGTGAGATAAATACCACGAGAAATGGAAATAAAAACAAATGTCCACTGTACACAAATGTTCACAGCAGCACTATCCATAATAGCCAAAAGACAGAAAGAACCCAGATGACCATCAACTGAAGAATGATATATAAAATGTGGTATATGCATATAATGAAATGTTACTCAGCACTAGAAAGGAATGAAATAGTGATACATGCTACAACATGGATAAACCTTGAAAACATTATGCCAAGTGAAAGAATCCAGTCACAAAAGACCACATATGCATGTTTATATGAAACGTCCCAAACAGCAAATAGAGATAGAAAGTAGATTTAGTGGTTGCCTAGAGCTGGGGAACTTGGGAGAAAATAGGAAGTAAATGCTAACAGATACAGGATTATACAGGATTTCTTTTTGAAAATGTTCTAAAATTGATTGTGGTGATGGCTGCCTAGCTCTGTGAATATACAAAAACAAAACCCAGTCTACTGCACACTTTAAGTAGGTGAGTTGTATGGTATGTATATTACATCTTAATAAAACTGTTATAAAGAAGAATATTAGCACATCAGATAGTAGGAGATATAACTGTCTAACTTGGGACTCCAAAGCCATCATCTCTCACAGCATTCAGTGTTTAACCCATCAGCTAAAGGTTCAAGACCTACAGGATGGTCTTCAAAAGTCTCAGCAACCTCATAATGTTTAGGGTAATCCTGTTACCTCTACTCATCAGTATGCTTGATGACTAAACCTTCCTCCTGTTTGTGTTCCCTACAATAATTAGCATGGAGCTTTCCACAGAGTGGATGCTCAGTGATCATTTATTGAACGAAGTTCAAATAAATTTCAAAATTAACCCACTGGAGTCAGTAAATAAAAATAAACAAAGAATAATTAGCTCTATATGGGGAAAGCTGGTCAGCACCACAACAGCCATTTGCCAAACTAAATCTGAGGTATCTAAAAATACAATTATGTCCTTCAAATTTTCGTCAGTCCTGGTTATAACAATAAGAACCACCCTCTTAAACTGCCAAGTTTGTATCTCCCTTGATAAACTTCCTGGGCAGGGGTAACTTCCAGTGTGGATTAATGGACAAGATCCCTGAGAGTGCAAGGTGGGGCAGCATCCTATTTCCCGGACATGAGTATAATAGTAATAGCATTCTTAGAATGGTACCCAGAATATAGTAAGTGCTCAACAGTGTAAGCTATTATTGTTGTATAATTAAATTTGCAGAATCCCTGAAACAGAGCTGGGGCACAGCTACTGTCATCATGGACAAGAGCATATGGTATCAGACCTAAACCAGGCCCCCTGGGACAGATTTAAGTAAAATTATGGAATTAGACTCTTTCCTAAATTCTTAGTTGGGAAATACTGCTCCAGACTACAGGGGGTCTTCAACAAGTATGACCTGCCAACATTTGAAACTCGTTCATGTTGAGGAACACTCCTAGAGGAGATGATTATAAGCTTTGATGGGCAACTCATAGTTGTGCTTTGGAAGGGAAAGCACACACTACCCCCATTCTGATTAAATAACTACTTTTCAGAATCGATTTGCTCTTATTTTTCTTCTGAATTTTCCAGCACTGACAGAACCAGGGAATCACATGTGGTTTGTAGAAGCCAACAGCACTACAGGTGGTAAGAAGCTTTTGGAGAGATAACTTATCTGAAATGATCTCAAATTTTGGCAACAAAATTCTTTTGAAGATACAAAGGGCTTTTCTACAATATTTTCTTTTTCATGTTTCCCATAGGTTCTTTTTTTTTTTGAGATGGAGTCTTGCTCTGTTGCCCAGGCTGGAGTGCAATGGCGTGATCTCAGCTCACTGCAATCTCCGCCTCCTAGGTTCAAGTGACTCTCCTGCCTTAGCCTCCCAAGTGGCTGGGATTACAAGCATGTGCTACCACACCCAACTAATTTTGTGTTTTTAGTAGAGATGGGGTTTCACCATGTTGGCCAGGCTGGTCTTGAACTCCTGACCTCAAGTGATCCACCCACCTTGGCTTCCCAAAGTGCTGGGATTACAGGTGTGAGCCACTGCTCCCCCTGGCCTCCCACAGCTTCTTCTTCTTTTTTCTTCTTCTTCTCCTTTTTTTTTTTTCCTCCCATAGCTTCTTGAATCTACATATTGCTAGTGTGGCAGACACTGAGAACAGTCACTAATACTCTCTTCTTCCTGAGTCCCCAACTATACCTTTGTCCAGCCCTCCTTGTAGGTAGGTGTGGTACTTGTGACTCAATCCTGGCTAATGAAATGAGAGTGGAAGTGATGTGCACTTCCTGGTGTAGTCCTGGCCCAATCTCATTCTTTCCCCATGGACCAGCTTGAATGAATTGAGTGCGGGAGGACAGAACCACAAGATGGAAAGAGCCTGGGTCCCTGAATAAATTTATGGAACAAACACCCCCTTTATCTGCACTGAACTTTATATAGGAAAAAAATCTACAGTTTAATAAGCCACTAGGGTTTTGGAGTTGTTTATATAGAAACTCCTGTTAGTTACTCTAATGAATAAAGCTAGGTAAAAAGCTCTGTTAATTATTGTTTACGAGATCTGGCTTGCTTCCAGAATAGTTCTGGAAACACTATTAGATACTGGCAACAAAAATACTAATATAACTCCAGAAAAACACATTTCTTAGGTGTCTTCTCCTCTATCTTTACCATCACTAAGATCACTGGAAACAATCTTTCCATCACACTGAAAACACATCCCGGTGTATCATCTGATCCTGCCTGATTCTCCTTTGGAGAACATGTCTTTCCCATTGTGTGATTTGTAATCTTAATCCAAATCTGCTTGCAGAGTTGGCCAATGTATATCTCCTATTGTGCACTTGATTAATCATTGACCAGCTCATAGAACTGTTATATAATTACATCGAGCTCCAGGCTAAGAGTTTACCAATTTAAAAATGGAAGATAAAAATGAAAAGATATCAGCAAACATTAATTAAATTTATTAAAATTTTATATAGTTCTTTACAGCAACCTTTTAGCAACCCATGCTCTAATGTAAACTAGTTTTTTATGTGTTAAAATGATGAATGGAACAAAATGTAAACGGAATCTTTTATGATTACCACCTCCAGTCTCTTCGGATGAATAAGCAAAGTTAGTACAGCTACTTTGGGTTTTAACACCATCACCTACCTCTGAAAGTTTCTGCTGTAGTTTGGTAACCCTTCCTTTACCCCTCTCCCCCTTTTAACTTTCTTAATATTTACCACAATTACATCTTTTTATTTGCTTGTTTTCTGCCTGCTTTCATGACCAGACTATAATTCCCATGAAGGCAGAGCTTACCTTAGTTTCTGTTCATCCAATATTTACTGAATATTTACTGAATGCCTATTGTCGGGCACTGCTAGGTACTAGAGAATTAAACATAATTATGGTGCCTGACCTCATGGTACACATAATTTGGTGGAGGAAAAAGACAATAAATCTATAAATAATTTATACTGAGATAGTGCTACTACATTATCCTTTTTACTTTATGCTTCCTTGGGTTTTTGGTGGTGGTAGGAGTTGTCTGTCTAACTCATGATAGCCCATCCTGTCTGAGAACTGTCTCTTTGCATTCAGACATGTGCCATGGCAACCATATTTGTGTCATGTGGCTCTGTCTCCTTGATCACAGTTGCCTGGACCACACTGGACTTGTGACCTACCTATGTTGCCTCAACCAACTTTTCTGTGAGACTGGAATTGTAACTGAGAGATTCTAATTCTGTCTGGGCTCTTTAGTTGAACTGAAAGAGGATACATAACCTAGAATGCTATGAGGTAGCTACCTTCTGCCAGGTGGTCAGGCAAACTGAGCAAGCCAGGCTGAGAGAAAGAAAAAAAAAATGCAAGTCATGCAAAGAAGTAGAGATGAGAGATTTTATGGTCTGAGAAAGACCAAAAGGGCCTCCTTTTAGATTCTTGTTCCTAGTCCCTTTTCCCATGAGACACCCCTTTTTCCTTACAGCTTATTTAAAATTTTTTCTATTTATTAATTTTTTTTTGCTACCGCTACCTTGTATTAGTGTCTTTTCCTTTCAGTCACGTTTTGACTAAGACATTTCTACTTAATATGATTTTAACATATTCTACTTAATCTCATTCATTTTCGTAGCATAAGACATGGGCTACTACCAGAAAGTGGAGTTTTTTTTAACGTCATGAAAAATGCATCTGTTGGATTTTAATGCTCAGGAATTCTAATAATGCTTCTCAGGTGCTTGTCTAGAAGTTCCCCATTTTCCTCACTAGTGATTTTGTAATACAGACTCATTTCCATTCAAGGGCAGAACATCAAAGACCAACATTCTTTAAACTCCGTGAAAAACACTATCACATGTGTACACCAGCTTTTGTGGCTAGTTAACATTCAGGGGAGAAAATAATTATTCTTATAAACATCAATGGTGTGTTTGTACTCATAAACAAAAAGGCTTTGATAATAAATGCTTTGATTTAAGACCAGTAGTTGATCAGCTAGTGTGATTAACAACTGCTAACTGGAGACACCAGAATTTGAATGCACCTAAACTAAAATACATGGCTTTTAAGGTCCTACTCAAGAAAGAAAACCTAAGCTTTAAATTCGAGGTAGGTGGGGGTTTCAGTAACAGCACACCCACAAACATCTGCTACTTTTAAAGTATATTCCTTCATTATTCATCAAACATTTAATAAGCAGAGCCATGTCAGACACTGAAAATGTAAAAGGAGCACGACTTGGTCTCTGTTCTAAATGAGCTCACAGTTAACTGGGGAAGACAGACAAGGAAACAGGAAACCCTTTGATAACAAGAATGCCCTCTGATAAGTACCCTGCTAGACACAGCAGCATGGATGAAAGGCCTCTAACCCATTCTGAGGTGGGCCAACAGCTGAGTCCAAGAGAATAAGCAGGACTTGGGCAGACTGAGAGCAGAGACAGAGACAGATTGGCTGAGAGAGGGGCACTTAGCAATACATGTTCAAACGCAAAGATGGGAGGCAGAAGAGAGTCTACATGTTAACATCCAGTTGTCCTGCAACAGCTGCATGAGTGATACTTTGGATAACTGCCTATATTTTTCCTCCAAAGTTCCCGTTTCCAATGCTTTTCATGTGTTCTGATTACTCTAGGAAGTAAGTATGATCCAGTTCAACAAATATTTATTGAGGATGTGGTAAGTTTTAGGTACTGCTGTAGGCCTTGGAAGTACAAAGATGAATTAAAGACTGGGGGAAAAGGCCAAGTGTGGTGGCACATGCCTGTAAATCCCAGCACTTTGGGAGGTTAAGGCAGGATTGCTTGAGCTCAGGAGTTTGAGACCAGCCTGGTCAACACTGACCATCTCTATAAAAAGTCAAAAAATTAGCTGGGCATGGTGGTAATGCATGCCTGTGATCCTGGCTACCTGGGCAGCTGAGGTGGGAGGATGGTTTGAGCCTGGGAGGTTGAGGCTGCAGTGAGCCAAGATCGAGCCACTGCACTCCAGCTAGGGCGAGACTGCAAACCCTGTCTCAAAAAATAAAAATAAATAAATTTAAAAAATAAAGACTGGGGAAAAGACTTGTCCTAAAAAAAACTCCTAGCCTAGTGGGGAACACAGGTACACAGTATCTCGAGTGTTAAGAAAGACACATGCATAGAACTAAAGGGGCAATGAGGCCTGAAATAAGTCTATAAGAATGAATAAATGTCAACAGTAACAACAACCAAAGTGAGAGAAGAGTTTCAGATACACAGAACAGTGTTAAGTACAGAGATTTGCCAGGAAAAAGGACCAGGACATAGAGAGAGGCCAGATTTGAGAAATATCCCTGGTAAAAGGAATTTGAGGAGATATAGGCAATCAATCAATCAACAGAAATAGCTCAGAGGCAAAATAATTGAAATGTGATTGCTGGGAATGAAGGAAGGGGGTTAGTCTAATTATGACTAGGTTTTCTATTTCAGTGTATGATGCACTACCTGAGGGAGGGAATGCAGGAGGAAGAGCTGATATCAGAAGAAAAAAATTATCTTGAGGCTGAGGGCCTCCTGTTACGTCCCAGCAGTCAGAGAAGCAGTAAGGACAGGATTATGGTGAGGGAGCTCACGCAGTAGCATAAAGGTGAGTGTGGGAGCTGCAGCCGTGATAATAAATGAAATGACAAAAGAAAAGTCAGTAGAAAGAAGCGCAATTGCCCAGAATGAGAATCCTAAAACATCGGCCAGTATGGTGGCTCACGCCTACAATCCCAGTGCTTTGGGAGGCTGAGGCAGGAGGATCGCTTGAGGCCAGAAGTTCGTGAAGAGCCCGGGCAACATACCGAGACCCTGTCTCCACAAGAAAAACAGAGATAATCCTAAAAAGTTATATTTAGGTGTAGATACAGGAGTTAGTTGAGAAGGATCCCGCACAAGGGAGTAATGAGTATCTGGGAGCGTCGAGTAGTCAAAAATTTTAAATGGCACAGAGACTTAGGAAGATATGGATTGGAAAACTGGCAATGTGCAGGTCACTGGAGATATTCTGCAGAGAGGATTCACTGGAATGGTGGAAGAGATCGGGCTGCCAATGTTAAGGAGTAAATGGAAGTAAACAAGTGGTCCCTGGGTAGTCAGAACACTCTTTTAAGACAGGGAAAGGAGAGAAGGGGCATTAGCTAGACACGGGACAATCTCTCTCTCCTCTGTCTGTTTCATTTTAAAGGGTTGAGTGGGTTTGTAGCCTGAGTGGAAAGCCAGCAGAGACTAATGATATGGATGATACAGAAAGAAGAGATAACTAAAGGGCAAGGTCCTGGAGGAGAAAGTTGTCTTACTTAGGTCATTTATTTTAACAAGGTTTAGCTTCTGGTTATCTCTAGCCAGGAGAGCAATCAAGCAGTGTATGTCCCAAGGATAGGCATCTGTGGAAAGGAACAGTAGCAGCAGGCATGAAACAATGGCACTGGGCTTGTAGCAACTCCAGATAGCTGGAGGCAAATTCTGTATTTGATTTTATTATTTTATATTTTTTGAGACAGAGTTTCACTCTGTCACCCAGGCTGAAGTGCAGGTGGGCAATCTCAGCTCACTGCAACCTCTACCTAACAGGTTCAAGTGATCCTCCTGCCTCAGCCTCCCGAGTAGCTGGGACTACAGGTGCCCGCCACCACACCCGGCCAATTTTTGTAGTTTCAGTAGAGATGGGATTTCACCATGTTGGCCAGGCTGGCCTCAAACTCCAGACCTCAAGTGATCTGTCCCCCTCAGCCTCCCAAAGTGCTGGGATTACAGGTGTGAGCCACCACACCTGGCCAAATTCTGTATTTTATTAATGTGAAGGCTTCTTACATGTGTGGTAAAACCACCCTACAGAGGAGGCACGTTACAGTGAGATCGGGAGTTCACCTCCCAATTGGCGTCTACTGAAGTTCAGAGATAAACAATCAAACACAGCCCCCAATCCAGGGGATTACAATCACCACACACATATGATTTTCTTAGGATGCAAAGGAACCAGAGCTGAGTTGAAGTCCCAGGTTTGCTGGAAATTAACTATTGGCTTTGGGCAATTTTTTTTTTTTTTTTTTTGCTCTAGGCTTCAGTTTCTTCATCTACAAAATGGAGAAGAGATGCTATAAACAAGGCTTAGGGAAGCTTAAGCAAGTTCATGGACATGAAAGTGGCTTGTAAAATATAATGCTTAATTTAAATATATGTATGTGTATGATGGCACATAAAAGATGTTATTTGGGCCGGGCGCAGTGGCTCATGCCTGTAATCCCAGCACTTTGGGAGGCCGAGGCAGGAGCATCACTTGAGGTCAGGAGTTTGAGACCAGCCTGGCCAACATGGCAACACCCCATCTCTACTAAAAATACAAAAAATTAGCCGTCATGGTGGTGGGCGCCTGTAATCCCAGCTACTTGGGAGGCTGAGGCAGGAGCATCACTTGAACCCAGGAGGCGGAGGTTGCAGTGAGCCGAGACTGCACCATTGCACTCCAGCCTGGGTGACAGGGCGAGACTCCATCTCAAAAAAAAAAAAAAATAAATAAAAGGTATTGTTTGGAGTCTCTGAATATTGGGCAAATCTGGAAGAGATGGACCATTGGATAATTTTTTGGTGGTGGTGTTATCTCTGTAAAGACATATCAACACAAAGGAAAATACATATTGAAGTAAAAACCTTTGGCTTTCACTGATGATTAATTCCTATTGATTTTCTGGTAGTCTTGTGATCCTGAGAAGGGGCCCTGAAGGTAAGGTATTGACAGTGGTGTGCAAATTAACTCTCCCAGGCACTGGAGGGTAGGGAAACAAGTGCTGCTAGTGGACTGTTCTCGGGGGTAGTGTGTGGCAATGGAGGCTGTAAAAATGGGATTCCAAGGTACATCCTAATGGCCAAGGGCTCAAGTTTTGGTCAGGTCAAACCTGAATTCAAATCCTGGCACAGTCACTGAGACATACATGTGACCTTGGACAACTCAACCTCACCAAGCTTCAGTTACCTCATCTGTAAACTGGGGTAATATGATGTACCCTTGGAATGCTGTAACGATTAAATACAACTGTGTGTATAGCTTTGTGTGTGTGTGTGTGTGTGTGTGCGTGTGTATGAAGAATTCTTAGCATACTGTAGGTGCTCAATAAATGCTAGCTATTATATTGGGTCTGCTATTACAGGTTTCACAGATTCTTGTACTGTCTTCACATGTTGCTGTTATTTATTGATACTTACTATGTGCCAGACACTAAGAGCTTTATAGGTACAGTGTTACCTAAATGTACATGTTTAAAGTAAAACATCTGTTATGTCAGTCTTCAAAACCCTATTAGAGCAGAAACTATGGCTACCCTATTCTTATCTGGGTATATACAAAAAATACCCAGCACAGAATGGGCATGTAAGTATTTGTTAAAAGAAGGAAGGGAGGGAGGGGAGGAGGGAGGAAGGCAGAGCTGTTGAGAGCTGCTAACTCAGGCTCTATAAAATTCAAGAACTAAGAAAAATAGAAACAAGGCACCCCAAGCCACTGAATGTGATGAAAACTTCTTGTAAAAAGTCACTTTCTTGTGTCGATGTGACTTATTTTTATTCTCCTAAGCTCTGGTATAATCTTTCTCTCCATCTGGCAAGTGGGAATGGACCAGTTATATTTCAAGTTTGCTAACAAAGACTGCTTAAGGTAAATATTTGTTGCTTTCCAAAGCAAACTGTGCCATTTTAGTTTTAGGTTATTTTAATGATAAGCTCCTTCAGATCTAGTTCAACTGATACTTTGTACTACAGCATGAAAGTACATTTGCCTCTAATTCAGACTATATTTAGAATCCTTTTCATGCCGCATCATTCAAACAGATGTGGGCCCAGCTGTTGCTATTCTTTCCTAGAATCTCACTAAAATGTAGATTTTCGTAAGATTTTTAAAAATAAATTACACAGGTGTTATCTCTGAGGCAATTAGCACATTAGCTATAAAAAGAATGCCTACTAATTAGGTTCTCTTTTCATAAGCTCAGAAAAGGGGACAGGGTTTTCACTGTTTTGATTAATCTATTTTCATTTGGTTGTATTATTTTTTCACAAAACAAAAATTGTTGTTATTGTTATTAGTTGTTATTTCAATATTATCCCAGAATAGTGATCCAATAAAGCCCTCTCTTTAGATTCAGATTCAAGTACTGAACATGGTGCAGAAATGCTGTAAGTGCTCTCAGATCCACTATGTCATTTTCTTCCAAGTGATTTAAAAATACCTAAACAAATCTGAATGGCATATCTTTGAAAATGTGAGAAATCAGAGAAAGAACTGAAAATCCTGAATACAGCTGAGTCTAAGTATCTTAGGGTAGGGGAAAGGTCAGCAGTTGAACAATCCTCGATAAGGATAGAACCTCTCTGGTTCTGTTTCCTCATTTCTGAAACAAAGACCAATGGGTTGGTCAGTCTCAAACCCCCATGTGACTCCGCTAGAATCCCTCCTTCTCTGAAGTGGATGGCAGCCTTAGCTGTGCCTCAGTATGCCATCCTCTCAGCCACAGTTTGGAACTCTTCCAAAGCAAGTCTAATAAAGGACTTGTGAGAGTCGAAGACATACTCTGTCTTTCAGGGGTATTTTTTTTAACAAAGTGGCAGAACTTAAAATTTTTTTTCTTTTTTTTTTTTACTCTCTAAATGTTTACTTGAGTCATTCTTTTTTTTTTTTTCTTTTTCCGGAGTCTCGCTCTGTTGCCCAGGCTGGAGTGCAGTGGTGTGATCTCAGCTCACTGCAAGCTCTGCTTCCCAGGTTCACGCCATTCTCCTGCCTAAGCCTCCCAAGTAGCTGAGACTACAGGCGCCCGCCACCACGCCCAGCTAATTTTTTTGTATTTTTAGTAGAGACGGGGTTTCACCATGTTAGCCAGGATGGTCTCCATCTCCTGACCTTGTGATCTGCCCACCTTGGCCTCCCAAAATGCTGGGATTACAGGCGTGAGCCACTGCGCCCGGCCTACTTGAGTCATTCTAAAGCCAGTAATAGTCCAATGCTTGCTGTGGATCAAATGCCTGAGTTGAAACAAAGAGGCAAAATGGGCCCTGGGTTCCTCTAGGGTCTACATGTTGACTGTGCTGTGTCATGAGGGCACTGCCCCCTCCCCAGCTGGACAGCCCTCCCCGCTACCAAACAATACCTTTCATTTGTGCATTGCTTTATGTGTCTTGATACATAATTGCATTTCATCTTCATGTTATCCTGATCTTATTGATATTCACAGAGGTTAATTAAGCAGTTTCCAGTTGGTTAGAGACACTAAGAGGCAAAATGGGTGCCCAAACCAAGATCTCTTGATTCTTTTTTAATTTTTTTGACACAAGGTCTCACTTGCCCAGACTGGTGTGCAGTGGCATGATCTTGGCTCACTGAAACCTCCACTTCCCACCTCAGCCTCCCAAGTAGCTGGGACTGCAGGTGCAGGTCACCATGAGCAGCTAATTTTTGTATATGCGGGGTTTCGTCATGTTGACCATGGTGGTTTTGAACTCCTGGACTCAAGTGATCACCCACTTAAGCCTCCCAAAGTGCTGGGATTACAGGCATGAGCCACCATGCCTAGCCCCAGATCTCCTGATTCTAAGTTCAGTGTTTTCTTAATTAAAAACAATAGCAGCAGAAGTGGCTAATAATTACTTTGCATTTACTATATATCAGACCTTGTGCTAAGAGCTTTATATAGAAGGTTGTCATATTTAATCATTGTCATAACTCTATGATGTAGATATTATTACTCTTTCCACTTACTGATGTGAAAAATGAAACCACAGAGAGGTTACATAATATACCCAAGGTCACACAGCTGTCAAGAAGCACAATTAAGATTCTAATCCAGGCAGTTTGGCTTTATGACTTGCTCTTTCAACAATTATGCTAGACTACCTTCCTACAATTAGCATAGATGCCCTCATCAGAACGATTCTCATAGTTTCCATCCATAATTTCGGTAAAAATATTTTCAAGTGGAGTCCAGAACTGCCCAGTAGGGCTGTACACTGTGTTACACATGGCATTGTGTATAACACAGGTCACTGGTGTCAGGGAACACTGCTCTTGCACAGTCAACAGATACTTTGAAGGGATAAGCTGTGTAGCATTATTACTGGTGCCCAAGCACAGTATATTATACACAGACAACGGGGAGTAACTGTCCTGAATTGAACTCAGTGGAAATTACCAACTCTTCATTGACACAGTCTGAAGTACAGCCTTTCTCCAGGTTACAGCCGTTTGAAAATTAAAAGACAAAAGCCCCAAGCCAAAAGGACAAGTTCTAACTCTTAAATCGAAGGAGTAAGTGGAGCAGAGGTAAATATGCGATGCATCAACCATATGTAGCCTGCAAATAGGTTTTGTTTAGCTAAACGTTGCATTTCAAATTTCAATCAATAGCTAATATTTAAAAATTAAGGGATCTTGCCGGGTGCAGTGGCTCACACCTATAATCTCAGCATTTTGGGAGGCCAAGGTGGGCAGATCACTTGAGGTCAGGAGTTCGAGACGAGCCTGGCCAACATGGTGAAACCCCGGCTCTACTAAAAATACAAAAATTTGCTGGGTGTAGTGGCATGCGCCTGTAATCCCAGCTACTTGGGAGGTTGAGGCAGGAGAATCGCTTAAACCTGGGTGGGGGAGGTTGCAATGAGCCAAGATCATGCCACTGCACTCCAGCCTGGGTTACAGAGTGAGACTCCCTCTCAAAGAAAAAAAAAAAATTAAGGGATGACATTAAAAAATCCAAACATCCGATTTCTCTAGAAAAACTGGAAGATGCAACACTACACAGGGTATTTGCTCTCTAGCTCACCAATTTCAATGGGACCAGTTTTATCCATTTCCTTCCCTCCCTGGCCCCTGCAGGAGTTAGAGTTTGCAAGCTACGAGCTAGACAGAGCATGGAGGGAGATTAGGAAGTATATTGGAGCCTTCTAAGATTCTTAAATCACCCACTTAGCCAGTTGTGGTTGCTCATGCCTGTGATCCAGCACTTTGGGAGGCAGAAGTGGGAGGATTGCTTGAGGCCAGGAGTTTGACAACAGCCTGGGCAACATAGCAAGACCCCATCTCCTTAAAAAAAAAAAAAAAGTTACGGCCGTGCACGGTGGCTCATGTCTGTAATCCCAGCACTTTGGGAGGCTGAGGCGGGTAAGATTGCTTGAGGCCAGGAGTTCGAGACCAGCTTGGCCAACATGGCAAAATACCTGCTCTACTAAAAATACAAAAATCAGCTGGGTGTGATGGCGCACTCCTGTAATTACAGCTACTCAGGAGGCTGAGGCAAGAGAATCGGTTGAACCCGGGAGGTGGAGGCTGCAGTGAGCCGAGATTGTGCCACTGCACTCCAACCTGGGCAACAGAGCAAGACCCTCTCTAGAAAAAAAAAATCACCCTCTCGATACACCCAGTGATCTCCTCTGGCAACCTTGCTGTATAATGTGTTGAAATTTTAGTCATTTAGTGACTGAACTTTTATCTTTGCCTCAGTTGACAAAGTAAACTGACAGATCCATCTCAAATTGATTTTGTCTCCAAAACTAGAATGTCTCCAATATTAAAGCACTACCACAAAAATTACAAATTGGGCCAACATCCTTTTAATGGGCTTCAAGATGAATAACCCATGCTGTTGTTTGCAGTGTTCTGCACAGTTGGGAAAAGAGCTAGCTATAACTTTCTCATGTGTTTTAAGGAAGAAAGACAGTCAGTGGCAAAGTCTGAACGCTTTAAAGCTATCTTAATCGGCTTATAACTGTCACAAAAGTTGTAGACAAAAAAGAAAAGGTGACATCTGCATTCACCGACCCATTCTGGATAGGCAGGCAGAGTTTTCTTCCTGAAAACCTCTGTGGTCTGTGCAGCTGTGCTACCATTCAGGAAGACTGTAGGTTTGTAGGGCAGCAGGCAGGGAGGCAAGTATGCATTTGAGAAATTACTAACATGTTTATTCAATCCAAATATAGTTACAGATTAACTACACCAGTTTATAATGAGATTTCCCTTACCAAACTTTGAATCTTATGTGATAAAAATATTTCCTCCATTAGTCAGTGAATCGTTATTGACTCCTATGTCTTAAAGAATCTATAGACATTTAAAGGCTTTCTCCTGTCTGGGACCCAAACAAAAGAACTAAAGGTGTATGAGAGGTCAAAAGCATTGCTAGAATCAGTATCACTTTTATTATAATCAGCTGGACTTCAAATACTTTCTTTTTTAAATTAATAGGATCATTTCTGAACAGATGGTTTCAAAACTAAGTATGATGATAGTGAATATGTAGTTTTTCTCACTGTTAAAAAACAATCCTGTTTGTTAGAAAGTCCAGAGTCAACTCAGCTTTATTGCTTCAAATAAGCAGTTTGCACAGAGGACAGTAAAACTGTTTAATAAAAGAATGTAATAGGCTTAGCAGATGTTGCAACCATAGAACATTTTAGGTAAATGTTTTAGAAAGGACATTTCATTAGTTTAGAAACACTCTGGAAAATCAAATTCAGTTGCTGAATTTATGGAATCTCTCTCTGAGGATGTATTTGGGTCTGTTTCTCTCTAGTTATAAACACAAGACTAAGTTTACAATGAACCAACTTCCAGCAAAGGCAGGGAAGAGGGAGTTGTAACTCTTCTAACTAGCTCATATTATCCACGTTCTTGCTTATGTTAATAAAGGCAGCTTTAAAAAATCATCTTTTCCATTTGTTTACTGACAGCTTTTGGGGTGTTAAAGAAAATCATCACTTTCTTGGCAGTGAGTCCTCCAACATTTGGTTGATAACCACTAGATGAGAACATAAAGATGGTCCCTGCCCTCGAGGAATTTATAGTCCAAAAGGAAAACAAAAAATGACAAATAAAAAACATGCACATTGTTACGTGGTTCACACTATTTCTTACTCATTGATAGAGAGGATAGATGACTGCGCTGGGGTTACTAAGTCATTCCTCTGCTAATAACAAAGGAATGAAAATAATGCCACCTTCTTAAGGGCAAACTTAAGGCTCAAAGGGGGAAAAAGTGTTATGATTTTATAATGTCACTTAACAAGCAATCCATCCACTAAGGAGATAGGCAAGTATGAACAGTCAACATTTTAAATATGGATGCTTATTTCCTAATAATCAAGATGACACACTTGATTATTTTAATAAATTATAAGTTATGATTCAACTCGGATTCAAAAAAGAGAAAAATCAAAGTAGCAACCTTTCTATCTTAATGCATTTCTATCTTTCGCATTTTGCCACTTAGGACCAGTAAATATCCTAGCCCCAAACACTTACATTATATCCGACACAAAGTTAAGCAGACTTGACCTTACTTACCCCAGTCTACTGAATTGCTTCTAATTAGTACTCTTATTTAACAAAACGCTCATATTGTAACATACCCCATTATACATTTACTTGTGAGAAAAGTCTTAGTATGGTCATTATCATTATCATTCTTAAATAAGAAGATCATTTCTCATAAGGAAGCTACTTTTCTGAGTGGCATGGAAAATGTAATGTTCATGCTATCTCAATCAACCATTTGCAATATATATAAGAAAAAACCCAACCCTTGCTATATCTCAGTGCTCCATCTGTGCTAACTGCTCCAGGCTCAGCCACGTCTCAGCTCCCAGGTGCACGGAACCACATCTATCAAAATATTTATCCGACATAGCTTTGTAATAAGAGTGGAATGTCCTTTTTGATGATTTCCTTTGAAAAATATATATGTATTTAACTGGCAACTCTAAACTTTTGGAGATGGCAGATAACATAAATCCACTTATTTAAAAAACTTCCCCTCGTGGTGGTTATAGCTGATCTAATATAATGATTATACAAACACAAAATATTTAATATGCTTTATATTTTCACATTTGACTATGGCTCTAACCTCCAGCTGAATGTGCCTTAATTCCAATCCCATCCTGGTTCTCGGTTTGAGTTGAATCCTGGCTAGATAATAGGAAGATAATCTTAGATATAAAATTTCAGCAGCAAGGGCATATCAATATTATGCATAGTTAGTAAAAGCACTAAAGTCTACAGCAATTTTTGAACAGGTGGAAGTGAATTTCAGCTTCTGGGACTGCAATTTATACTACAGAATGAAAACCAAAACAATATCCAAAAGACAAAAAGAAAGAAAAAAGAAGACCCTCTTGACCAAAGCAAAAGCATACCAAAAATCTACTTGACTTTAAACATTCAACACTCATTGCTGAGGAAACACCTCTACCATATCATCAACATGTTCGCTGTATAATCAGTACCTAAAACAATAGGTCAGCACTTTGAGTCACCCTGAGTGTGAAGGGCAAGTGGAAAGGTCAGTTCCCTCATGCCTCACGAAAGCACACGCTCTGCTCTGCTGGCAGCACCTGGCAATGGCTTGCCTTCGCTTCCTCTGCACTAGCATACTGCCCTTGGGGCTTCTGTGCCACCCCCAACTTCCTACATTCTGAAGGAACCAGACAGCGTGGCAAGCAAACCTAAGAGCAGGGCCAGGACAGAGTGCTCTGAAGGGCCTTACTGGTGCCATTCAAGGGCCCCAAAGATTGCTCAATATCTCCGCAGGAATGTGGCACTCATTCCACCTAAGCTGGGAAAATTCCCTTAACTCCTTTTTCTTTTTATAAATAAAAGAAAACAAAACAAAATAATAATGTAAAATACCCATGCTTCCTTCCTTCCACAACAAAAAAGACCATCATCATTTAACTATAATCAATTAAAATCCAGCAAATATTTCACGGGCTATGTGCACAGCATTTTGGACCCAGACAGTTTATTTTAAGGATCCCAAGTATGTTCGTTTTCTGGAGGCTCTCCCACTGATACCATATCTAACATATTAAAAGTTGTATTTATACCCAATTAAAAATAACTTTCTGCCCAAAACATTTTTGAAAGAATTTTTGCATCTTTTTAAAAAAATTATTTGGTAGCTGGTTATTCATTTAATTTACAGTTTTCTATGATTTCTCAGTAATGACTGCTAAATTTAACATTTAAAGAAGATGACAGGCTGGGCGCAGTGGCTCACGCCTGTAATCCCAGCACTCTGGGAGGCCGAGGCAGGTGGATCACAAGGTCAGGAGATCGAGACCATCCTGGCTAACACAGTGAAACCCCGTCGCTACTAAAAAATACAAAATACCAAAAATTAGCCAGGTGTGGTGGCGGGTGCCTGTAGTCCCAGCTACTCGGGAGGCTGAGGCAGGAGAATGGCGTGAACCTGGGAGGCGGAGCTTGCAGTGAGCTGAGATCGCGCCACTGCACTCCAGCCTGGGCGACAAAGCGAGACTTCATCTCGAAAAAAAAAAAAAGAAGAAGAAGAAGATGACAAATTATTTGGTTTTACCTTTGTGCAAACACTTATATTCAATCCTGTGCCTTTTTGTGTTTTAAAGCCATTTTCTTTTGAGATCTCTAAAATTGTTTAGGTCCTGAAAAGTACCATATTATTTAGTCATTGTGCCTCTAGTGCCTAATGAATATCATGGCCTTGACTTCAGAGAGGTGACTTGAGGAGGAGATACCTTTCTCAGGAGCTAGCAAGAATGATGCAGGGTGAGCACAGGGGGAGGGAAGCCTAGGTGAGGAAAAGGATGGTTGATAAACCCATGTCACAGAGCCTCAAACTCAGTAAACCAGCAGATAGGATATCTGACCATTCAACAATCCCTTTGTGTGTTACTGGCAGAGGACACAAAGATGAAGAAAGCACTTTTCCTTCCTTCAAGGAATTCATAACCTAGTAGAGGAAATAGGACTTGAGTACAGGATACAAGGCAGAGTATGAACACTGCTGTAAGAAAGATCTCATGCGCCATCAGAACACCAGTGAACAAGTTATTACCAAGGCCACCAACCACACAACTCCAGGGGGAGCCATTCACACTGTCATCTATGTGAATGGTGTCCCCCACAGTTGTGCAATGCAGTGGTCAAGGTGGGGGAATAATAAAAGGCTTTCCAGAAGAGATGGCATTTGGCAGGTCAGTGAAAAACAGGAAGCTCTTCCACTTACTAGCAGAGTGACCTCTATGAGATTCCATTTGCTTGTCTGTAACAGGAATAACACTAACTTCATTGGGTTATTAGGATGAAACAAACAAAAATACATCTGTATATAGTATAATACCTGTGCCAAATCCACCATTCCTTCCCTTTCTCCTTCCTTCTTTATTCAAAGGTTCATGGAGGTTCTACCATAAGTCAGACACTCTATGAGGGACTGTATATACAATCAGATATAATAACCATATGCGTCTGCCTTTATGAAGTTTATACTCAAATGAGGCTATTCCATTATTAATTATTCTACAATCAGTGATAGGAGGAAGGTAGGCCAAGTAGAAAAATTAGTGTGAGAAAAAGCAAAGCAAAAGGTATCAGTAAGCAAAGTAAAATACAATCAGTCCTCCAGTTAGTCTGGAGTAAGGAAGAGGGGTTTTAGGGTGGGAAGAATGCATGGTAAGACCAACAAAGAAGGGCAGGAAAACTACACAGCAACAGCAAGTTGGAAGCAAATCAGAGTGGGAAACAGATTTAATCTATGGTTTCCATTCTGTTTGATTGGCTAAGGGCTTCCTGGAAGGCTATATTGAGAATGTACTCATGATTGTCAATGCTGGCCCTGGGCAGTACAGGGGCTGGGGTGCTATGTGAGTGGTGGACTGGGCATTCTTTGTCTAAATGTAATTGAGTATCCTGTCTTTGTAAAAAGCCACTTCTGGAAGAATCTCTGAATTTCTTTGGCAGACATCTTGAGCACTACAGCAGGACAGAAGACCCAGTGCGGGGGGCAGACCTCTGGCTGACTGATGGCACAGAAGGCCATGAGATCAAAGGAATATAGGGTGCCAGTGACTACTCTAAGACATTGGCTAAGGCTGGAATTTAGGTCGGGCTAAAGACATAACAGAGTTATTGGACTGGAAAAAGTGAAGACACTTGGGTTTTGCAGGCGGAGCGTTCTGGGTTTGAATTCCAGCTCTTACAATTACTAGCTCATTATGTCACTTAATCATTCTGAACCTTAGCCTCTCATGACAAAAAAAAATCTGGATATTAGTATTTATTCATAGGATTGTGGAAATCAGCAAAACACCTCATACGGCATCGAAAACACATTAGGTGACTCAATAAATAGTACTTCGTTTCCTCTTTCCCTGAAGTGGCTAGAGGCCCCTACATAAAACATTAGGTCTAGAGAAAAGGAATCAAAATTGGGAGAGTTGGGAGGGTGATTATCCAGTGTGGCTGGGCTGGGCAGCCAACGAGGAAATACAAATGAGTAGAATTCAGGAAGTTAGAGGGCAGTAAGAGGAAGAGAACTCAGTGGTTTGGTTGGCTATCCACAGGGCACGTTCTTACCTGCTGGATACCATGGGAGGGTACAGGGAAGAATAAAGAGTGGCACTTCTCTAGTGGAGTTCATAGCCCACTCGGCAAGATAGTTTTTAACCACAAATTATAATGAATAATGATGTGTGGCTAAGAATTAGGTACAAATGACATGAGAGGGCTAGAAGACGGGATGAAGTGTGAGGGAAATTCAGAAAGTTTCACAGAAGCTGAAATGAGAGTTGCATCAAAGGACATCAAATGTTTTCCAAATGGAGTGAGAGAAAGACATTCTCCTATGGACAGGAAAAGGATATGGAAGGGGGGTGTGAAGAGTTTTAGGGGCCTTGATATCAGCTGACACATGACTATCATACCAGATAAAAGCAGGGATAGGGAAGATGGGGGAAAAAGAAGTCAGGTGCTGAAGCCACCTAGGATATTATTCTATTTATTATTATTATTATTATTATTATTATTATTATTATCATCTTCAGATTGTCCTGAAAAATTGCAAGACTACTCAAGAACAAATAGGTTCTTTTTTTTTTTTTTTTTGAGACTGAGTCTCCCTCTGAAGCCCAGGCTGGAGTGCAATGGCGCGATCTTGGCTCACTGCAACCTCCGCCTCCCAGGTTCAAGCAATTCTCCTGCCTCAGCCTCCCAAGTAGCTGGGATTACAGGCGTGCGCCACCATGCCTGGCTAATTTTTGTATTTTTAGTAGAGATGGGGTTTCGTCATGTTGGCCAGGCTGGTCTCGAACTGCTGACCTCAGGTCATCTGCCTGCCTTGGCCTCCCAAAGTGCTGGGATTACCAGCATGAGCCACCGTGCCTGGCCACAAATAGTTACTTACTAGAATTCTATTCCTTGTCAGTGAAACTGAAGATGCATCTCTCCTACCTAGAAAATAATGACCTAAATAGGCAAATAAAAATGCATAGAACTGGAAATGTTATGGACCATATGCAAAAAAACTTGTCTAACTGAAAACTGGTAGGTGACATGGAGTTAACTGAGAGAAGAGCTTGACTCACAACTCAGAAAGCAATTCATTTTTAAAAGCTAGTATTATTTTAAAAATAATTAAATGAACTAAAAAAAAATCACTGAGGTGACAGGAATTAAAATGAAATTAATACAAGGAACATTGATTGGATTTTAAAAAATCCTGTTTCACTAATTTACTTTGGAACCCCTTCATGTTTAGTAAATAAGTTAAAAAGTTTTTTTTTGTTTCATTTTCTGTATTTTTCAGTTTCAAAATCTTGAATGCTTGAAGCTTTCTTTTGTGCTTGGGATCTCCAATCTGCCAAGCAGTACGGGTTAAGCTTCCCTGTCTGCTGGGAGTGAGTGGAGAGTGGGTGCAGAGTAGAAACAGTCTGAGAGGCCCTTGTCTCAAGAGCTCTGAAGTCCTCTGAGGATGACATCATCATTTAGGTGAATCATCTGCAGCACATTCCACCTTGCAAAAAGAGGTGCTAAACACAGCACAAGCTATGCTGAGCAGGGCAGAGGAGGCACCTGGAGGAGGGAGGCTTTAGAAAAAGCCTGGGCACCTGCTAGCTCCAGGTCCCAGCAGGAGGTATGCAGATGATCAAGAAATGACTCCACTTGTGTGATCCTGGGACTCTAACATTTATACAGCACCCCAAACTCACAGGTATAAAAACAAAGTCTTAAGAAGGACACCTGTTGACCCCAATCTGCAATATGAGTGAGGAACAGGGCCATAATTAAGGCACTGGTCTCCAACTTTACTGTTCATTTCTTAGGTCATTTCCAAGAGAAATTCAGATGATAATCCAGTGAATCGTTATCATAGTGTAGTATAAATAAAGAATTAAATAAAAGCCAGTTGCAACCTCAAATATGTCCATAAACTGTAAGTTGGAAAGGTAGTTTTAAAATACATTTTCCAATTCCTTTGAACTAAAATCAAATTTAGGACGCTGTAGGAAGGCAGTTCAAACAAAAGCTAATTTTGTTTAATGAACTAACCAGGAAGGCATTGTGAAAGTATTGTGCAACTAAATGCTTAGCTAATTACTGTGAGATCAAATAACTGTTACCATAGTTACCGCACACTGTTTTCCATAATAACTTTTATCACTTCAATAAATCTTTGTGATGCAACAAATATAAAAAGTTTACTGTAACATGACTATAATGTTTTGGAAGGCACACACTGATGGCTGACCTACTGAAATTACCTTCCCATATTTGTCAGTGAACAAGGGATGGTATCAGTATCTGGTTGACTCAATACCAAAATGTCTCACTGGCGTCTTTAATAGGCTGTAACACCTCAACAGTTGAATTTACCTGGTCCTGACTTTCAACAAGGAAGTCACTGGCCTTTTCAGTATTATACTTTGTCTCTGAATGAGAATAAAAGTAACAGCAACCATTTATGAAGCAGTAACTGTCAGGTTCTATGATAGGCGGCTGACATACATCAAGATCTAATCCTTTCCACACTGCTGCAGAATCAGGATCCTGCCCCGTGTCACCCAGCTCCCTCTTGGGAGGGGTTTCAACCCTGGCCTAGCTCCCAAGTCAGTTCTCTTTCCACCGTATTACACAGCCTTTTATATATATATACACACACGTATACGTGTGTATATATATGTGTGTGTGTATATACGTGTGTATATATATGTGTATATATATACGTGTGTGTATATATATACACATGTGTATATATATACGTGTGTGTGTATATATATATACGTGTGTATATATATGTGTGTGTGTGTATATATATATATTATATATATATATATATCCCAAGTAGCTGGGATATATATATACATAATAAGGCAATTTCTATAACTGTTTTATTGTGGCAGTATAAAGTGTTAAGGTTATACTACAATGTCACAGGATGCTATGTAACACAATGACTGACTGGTCTGTTAGCGGAAATGATGTCATAGCACCACTGGAAAAGAAACAATCTTTTAGTTTAGAACTAGTGACATTACACTCCTCCTGTCCCCATGTGCCGGGTTAGTCATTTGGTCACCTCCACTCTTTTCTGTATCTTGTATGTCCTTTTCTAGATCTAAATGCTGAGATTTTTGAATAAGTAAGTGAAAAAGCAAACGTGACATAATAAGATGGACATTAAACTTCTAGTGTAAGTGTGATAAAATGAAGAAACTGCAGATTTGCCGGGCGCGGTGGCTCAAGCCTGTAATCCCAGCACTTTGGGAGGCTGAGGCGGGCGGATCATGAGGTCAGGAGATCGAGACCATCCTGGCTAACACAATGAAACCCCGTCTCTACTAAAAATACAAAAAAATTCGACAGGCATGATGGTGGGCGCCTGTAGTCCCAGCTACTCGGGAGGCTGAGGCAGGAGAATGGCGTGAACCCGGGAGGCGGAGCTTGCAGTGAGCTGAGATAGCGCCATTGCACTCCAGCCCAGGTGACAGAGCGAGACTCCGTCTCAAAAAAAAAAAAAAAAAGAAAGAAACTGCAGATTCAATATTCAGTTGTCAATGTAAGGCTAAATAGCCTTGGCCAAGTCACCGAATATCTCTGGGTTTTCCCACCTGAAAAACGGAGCAATAATCCCCACCTATAAACTCACAGAGATATTATGCAGATTATTTAATATTGCTGAATTCTTTGAAGATATAAAGTGCTAAGTATAACAGCCATTCTCAAGGTGAAACATAAAACATACACATGATTACAGAGTCATTAAAAAGCATGAGTGAAAAACAGTATCAAAAGCAATAAAATCAAGCATGCATCCTCCAGAACGCTGATGTTGAAACCCCAGGAGCTCCTGCCTATGAAACCTGATTCATACCTATTCAGCACTCTTCCAAAGGTCTCAGTTTTAAGGGGCCAAAAGCCATTTCATTACTGGTTTCAAAGATGAACAGCTAGGAGTCATGTCAGGGACTGAATCAGCCTTTGATGACTCAGCTATTGTAATCCTTCATGTCCAAGATAACCAAAGGCTGACATCAGTCCTATGTACCCTTAATACCTAGGTATTTAAGCCGAAACTTATCCTTGACTCTACTCTGTCTCTTATTTCCACCTATCTCTTCCATTCAAGTGATTACCACAACATTCCAAATATCTTTCAAATTTAATTGTTTCTCTCAAATTTAATTCCTCCCCTTTATGTCCACTTTGATAGTATCTTAACTTAGACCCCCCTCACTACTTACCTCATCACTAGAGTAATACTTTTTTTTTTTTTTTGAGATGGAGTCTCACTTGGTCGCCCAGTCTGCAGTGCAATGGCATAATCTCTGCTCACTGCAACCTCCACCTCCCAGGTTCAAGCAATTCTCCTGCCTTAGCCTCCTGAGTAGCTGGGATTATAGGTGCGCACCACCATGCCTGGCAAAATTTTGTGTTTTTTAGTAGAAACGGGGTCTCACTATGTTGTTCAGGCTGGTCTTGAACTCCTGACCTCGTGATCCACCTGCCTCGGCCTCCCAAAGTGCTGGGATTATAGGCATGAGCCACCACTCCTGGCCTAGAGTAGTCTTATACTGACTTCCCTGCCTCCACTTTTCCCTCCCACTTACATTTATTCTTTTTTTTCTTTTTTCTAAGAGATGGTGTCTCACTATGTTGCCCTGGTTGGCGTGCAGTGGCTGTTCACAAGTGTGATCTCATTACTCATCAGCACGGAAGTTTTGACCTGCTCCATTTTCAACCTGGGCCCGTTCACCCCTCCTTAGGCAACCTGGTGGTTCCCTGCTCCTGAGGGGTCACCATATTGATGCTGAACTTAGTGTGGACACTCGATCAGCATACTGTACTGTAGCCCAGAATTGCCGGCCTCAAGCGATCCTCCCATCTCAACCTACTGAGTTGCTGGGACTACAGGTATGCACCACTGCATCCAGCTAGGCCTATCTTTTACCCTACCCAGGATATAACACACTGCTGATCATAACTTGCTTCTATTTAAAGCAATTCAACACATGCCATTGCCTTCAGGATAACATTCAGATTCTGTTTTTCGTCTTGTTTTGTTTTTTGCTTTGAGACACAGTCTCGCTCTGTCACCCAGGCCAGAGTGCAGTGGTGCGATCTCGGCTCACTGCAACCTCCACCTCCTGGGTTCAAGTGATTCTCATGTCTTAGCCTCCCGAGTAGCTGGGTTTACAGGTGCCTGCCACCATGCCCCGCTAAGTTTTGTATTTTTAGTAGACAGAGGTTCAGCATGTTGCCCAGGGTGGTCTCGAACTCCTGACCTGAAATGATCCTCCTGCCTTGGCCTCCCAAAGTGCTGGGATTACAGGCATGAGTCACCGCACCTGGACCTTTCAGATTCTTTAGTAAGTCATATAAGGATGTTCATAATCTATCTCCTGTATACTGTCTCCAACTTCATTTTTTACCTCTCTCCTTATATTCTAGCTACACTCTCTCTCTTCTTATAGCTCCTTATGCTTATTGCTACTACAGTTGCAAGACTGTATTGAAATTCTCATTATTTGTAAAGAGACTAGTCCTAAAGAACCATAAGGGCCGTGCTTGTCCTTTAGTTCAGCCTTGCATAAAGTACATACGTAATCAATAAATTATAAATGGATGACTGACTGAATGAAGGCTTCCAGAGGACAAGTTAACAAGTTATGTTTAGCTTACTTTGTTACACTCTCAGCTTGGTAAAAGGCTCTTGAGCAATTAACTTGATAGATGTTGTTAACTATTGATGATGACTGATTCAGGATGACCTATTATTGAGATTCATGTGAAGTAAGTTATCCTCTGCAACACAGACTTAAACGATTTGCTTTCCAAGCTTATAGGTTTAATCAGATTCCATGAACTATTGCCAAGAGGCAAATACTCAAAGCATAAAACAAGGATCTTAATGATCTTGTAGAAAGCTATGATCATTGAATGTTCACATTCATCAGACCCCTGCTGTAAAAAACTTCTCTTCATCCAAGCCATGATGAGCACAGGAAATAAATTGATCAAGCAGTGAGCAGAATACAGAGGAGTGTCATTTTATAGTGGCATGGTTTTGCTCCATAGATACAAAGTTAAACAGTATTTCAAAGACCAAATCAGCCATATATGAACCAGCTTCTTTTACTCAGTTAAAGAGTCGGCTGGGTGCAGTGGCTCAAGCCTGTAATCCCAGCACTTTGGGAGGCGGAGGAAGGTGATCACTTGAGGTCAGGAGTTCAAGACCAGCCTGTCAACATGATGAAACCCTGTCTTTACTAAAAATACAAAAATTAGCCAAGTGTGGTGGCACGTGCATATAGTCCCAGCTACATGGGAGGCTAAGGCAAGAGAATCACTGGAACCCAGGAGGAGGAGGTTGAAGTGAGTCGAGATCGTGTCACTTGCACTCCAGCCTGGGTGACAGAGTGGGACTCTGTCTCAAAAAAACAAACAAAAAACAAAGTTAAAGAGTCAAATATATCTTAATCCATTTTGGGTAATAAGCAAAGATAGCTATGCATGAGTTCATATTTTGTGGAATAAAAAAGAGAATCAAGAAACTAAACAATATATTTTTTAAAAAGTCATGATCTCTTCCCCAATACCTGCCAAATTTTAAAATTCCTACTTTTTGATACTCTTGCTCCTCCAAGATCTCAATTTGTATTTTCTAAGCTCAAGACTACTCCTATGATTACTCATGAGTTTTGATCTGCAGGCTCTGGCACTGCTGGCCATACCACTCTTCCTAAAATTACTTCCTCTCTTGGCTCATGCACTGCTATGGGATCTTACACCTCCTCCATCTCAGGCCATTCCTCCCAGGGCATCTCTTTCTCTTTCTAGGCAATGGGTGTATGTGCATCTCAGCTCTCTCTTTTGTTTCTGCTGAAACATTAACATTAAATTTGGATATGCAATTTCTAAATATTTCATTTTTAGCCCTGATTTTTCTCTCTGATTCCAGGTCTGCATCCCCAACAACCTAAGGAATATTTTAATTACTCATCACACCACTGCTTCAAAGAAATGTTTAAAATGAAATATACCATCTTTTCCTTTATTCTCCAAATAGTTCTTTTTGCTTGTTGTTGTTGTTGTTAATGGAGTGATCATTCTCTAGGCAGCCCATGATAAAACCTTGGGATCCTTTTCTCTTTTTTTTAACTTCTTTCTCCTTCAAACGACCAACAGAAGTGCCAGTGACAATGTCAATTTCCTTTGCCACATACGTCACAACTTTCCTTTCCTTTCTAATTTCACTAACCAAATGTTGACCTTCTCAAAAAATACTTTTTTTTTTTCTTCCTTGAGACAGCATCTTGCTTTGTTGCCCAGGCTGGAGTGCAGTGGTGTGATCATGGTTCACCGCAGCCTCGACCTCCCAGGCTCAAAAAATCCTTCCACCTCAGCCTCTGGAGTAGCTGAAACTACAGGTGGCACCATCATGCCCAGTTAATTTTTTTTTTTTTTTTTAAATAGAGATGAGGGTTTCACTGTGCTGCCCAGGCTGGTCTCAAACTCCTGGCCTCCAGGGATCCTCCCACCTCAGCTTCCCAAAGTGCTGGGATTATAGTTGTGAGCCACCACACCCAGCCAAAAAATACTTGTTTTTACGCATGGATAAGTACTCTCTCTGCTTTCTCTTTCCTTCCTAATTCCACCAGATTAAACTTTTTGAAAAATGAGTTTGATGAGGCCATCTCTCACTCAGAAGTCTTCTATAATTCAACATGACCTATTAGATAAAGTACCGATTACTATTTTTTGAGACAGAGTCTCGCTCTTCACCCAGGCTAGAATGCAGTGGCACGATCTTGGCTCACTGCAGCCTCAACCTCCTGGGCTCAAGTTATCCTCCCAACCGCAGGCTCTCAAGTAGCTGGGACTACAGGTGTGCACAGCCACACTTGGTTAATTGTTTTGTAGACAGGCCTCCCTATGTTGCCCAGGTTGATCCTGAATTCCTGAGCTGAAGTGATCCTCCCGCCTCAGCCTTCCAAAGTGCTAGGATCATAGGTGTAAGCCACCATGCCTGGCAAAGTACTGATTTCTTAGCGTAGCATTCAACTCCTTTAGCAGTTTGGTCCTGACTGTCTAGCCTTACTTCTCACATTTGGTCCTCACTGTCTAGCCTTACTTCTCACATAAAAATACATACAAACGAAAGCCTTTACACATATTTGTCTCACTAAAGTAAACCAATAAAGAGAACATATATTTAGAAAAGGTACCCTTGGCTGGGCGCGGTGGCTCAGGCCTGTAATCCTAGCATTTGGAAGGCCGAGGCAGGCAGATCAACTGAGGTCAGGAGTTTGAGACCAGCCTGGCCAACACGGTGAAACCCTGTCTCTACTAAAAATACAAAAATTAACCGGGCGTGGCAGTGCGTGCCTATATATAATCCAGTTACTTGGGAGGCTGAGGCAAGAGAATTGCTTGAACCCAGGAGGTACAGGTTGCAGTAGGCCAATATCATGCCATTGCACTACTGCCTGGGAGACAGAGCAAGACTCTGTCTCAAAAAAAAAAAAAAAAAAAGAAAGAAAAAAGAAAAGTTATGCTTTTCTGCTTCTGTGCCTGATGCTCAAACCAAATGTTCAGATTACCTTTATTTATAAATAAAGTTTTTGTCCTGTGATATTCCCAAGGACATAGTGATTCTGAACATCTCTCCTTCTTCCTCTTTAACAGACACTGGAGTACAATTTGAAGGTCTAAGTTTCCTTGCCTCCGACTTCCTTTACTAAGCCTGAATTGCAAGGAAACACAAGTCTATTATTGCTCTTTTATCTTCTATTTCTAATCCCAAACTCCTAGTACTTTCTTTTGCTATTCATCCCCAACAGGTATACTGGATCTGAAATTCTCATGAAAGCCTGAACCTTATTCAGGAGTAAGGTCAACTATAAGGAAAATGATCAGTTGGAGACAGCATTCTATTCTCTCCAACTATATAGCAGGACAAATTGATAATACATTGTATAAAACAAAATCCTAACAGAAAAAGGTGATTTATGCCTTCATATAGTCTGATGCACTTCCCCCACCAGAAGGTGAATACAGACAGTGTTAATTGTGTTTGTTCTTGTTATGAACTATTTTCATTATTCAAGAAACTTCACTAAAGAGTAAAGTCTGTAGGAATTCTGACTTTATAAGACATGCCACTGAATTCATAGTTGCTTTTCTAACCACTATTTCATTCTACAGTTTGATGGGGTTTAAAAAATAGACCTCAGCCTGACCAACATGGAGAAACCCCATCTCTACTAAAAACACAAAATTAGCCGGGCGTGGTGGCACATGCCTGTAATCCCAACTACTCGGGAGGCCGAGGCAGGAGAATCTCTTGAACCTGGGAGGCGGAGGTTGCGGTGAGCGGAGATCGCGCATTGCACTCCAGCCTGGGCAACAAGAGCAAAACTCCATCTCAAAAAAAAAAAAAAAAAGAAAAAATTTGACCTGCCCCGCAAGCTCACACAGGGTTAGCTATATTCATGTGTTCTTTATTCGGGTCACAGGATTTTGTTCTAAGTAAGGCAACTATTTTGAAGTGTGCCCTTGAGAGACAATTCATCCAGAAATGCTTACAAATCAAATAACTTAAAGTAATAGAGGGTTCATGATACACATTTACAGGAAAAAAAAGTACAGAAAGGTCAAAAGGAACCATGAAAGTCATTCTCAAATAATGGGGCCTACAAGTCTGAGAAAATTTAAAAAACAACTAAGGATCAATAGATGTTCAGAGACAAAGAAAACTAGGCATTTTAAGTGGCTATGTGGTATGATGAGAAGAGCATATGATTTGGAGTCAGAAGTCTTGGTTCTAACACAGGCTCTGCTTCTTACAAGTCATATGACCTACAGAATTAAATCTCTAAGGCAAGGCACGGACTAGGGTAAAGTAAGGCGGCCACCTGCCTGAGAGGCAAAATTTAAGAGGGTACAAAAAACAAAAAACTGAATAAAGATAGCAGCATTTTAACGCAATAATTTAAAAACCAAAGTTAATGCAAAAGACTAGGTGCAGTGGCTCATGCTTGTAATCCCAGCACTTTTGGAGGCCGACATGGGTGGATCACCTGAGGTCAGGAGTTCGAGACCAGCCTGACCAACACGGAGAACTCCTGTCTCTTCAAAAAATATAAAATCAGCCGGGCACAGTGGTGCATGCCTGTAATCCCAGCTACTTGGGAGGCTGAGGTAGGAAAATCGCTTGAACCTGGGAGGTGGAGGTTGCAGTGAGCCAAGATCTTGCCGTTGTACTCCAGCCTGGGCAACAAGAGTGAAACTCCGTTTCAAAAAGAAAAAAAAAAAAAAGTAATGATAATAATAATAACAAAGTTAATGCAAAAAATTCATGAACTACCAAAAAAAAATTAAATAAAGCCAGGATCCAACCTTGCAGCTGGCATAATTCACTTCACTTGCCTCTCCTTAATCCTGGCCCTGTTGAACTGTATATAAACTTTAATTTTTAAGATACTACATAAAATATTACTTGATTACTGAGTTTTTGGCATCCCCTTAAGTTTTGTGCCTGAGGTGAGGACTCTCACCCTAGTTTCAGCCTGCTCCTGGTTTGAGATTTCTCATTTGTATAGTACTAACAATAAAAACAAAACAAAAGCCACATTCCCAGGGTTGTTGTGAAGATTAAATGAGATATTTGCATGTGTCAAGGTACTAGAAGATATAAGGCCATTTTTCAGTATTATTATTTTATAAAGAGTTGGAAGAGTTAATGAGGCTGCAAGATGGTATAAGAAAACTCCCAGAAAATGAGTCTGGCGAATTGTCCTACTTTTCTCTCCTACCCTGTGATAATTTTCTCTGGGTCTTTCAGCTCTTACACGGTTCTGAAGTAGCTTCAAGAACAGCCCACCCTGATCACCTGAGGTCAGGAGTTTGAGACCAGCCTGGCCAACATGGTGAAACACCCCATCTCTACTAAAAATACAAAAATTAGCAGGGCGTGGTGGTGCGCGCAGATGGTCCCAGGTACTCAGGAGGCCGAGGAATGAGAATTGTTTCAACCCAGGAGGCAGAGACTGCAGTAAGCCGAGCTCGCGCCATTGCATTCCAGCCTGGGCAACAGAGAGAGACTCCATTTCAAAAAAAGGAAAAAACAAGAACAGCCTGCCCTGTCCTGGGACAGGCGCTGCTGAGAGTGACAGGCATGAATGGGACTCCACAGAGGATATACATAAGGCATATGTTCTCCATCCTGTTGAGGGTTATAACCTTTTTAAAGGAATATGAATGAAGTACAAACTCAAAAATAAACAGAAATGCTAAGATTAAAAAAGAAATGTCAATGAAATTCACACTCATGACAGTCCACTTTGGGCTATGCCTCAGACTCCCTGGGAACAAGCACATCTACTGCTTTTAGGGCTTACTCTAGGGAGAGACTCCCTCATGGACCTGGATTACACTTGTCTCTATGTTCGTTGGAGAAAATTCAGAGGGCCAGTTATGTGCCAGACATGGGAAATCTGAAGATTCATAATGTATAGTCCTTGTCTTCAAGGAGCCATCTATCTGAGACATGAGAACAGTAGAAAAACTCTAAACAGGGGACTGCAGCTTTCATTCATTTAAAACATTTTCAGTGAGTACCAGGTGTTAGGAATTGTTCTAGGCAATGGGGAGACAGCAGTGAGTAAAACACAAAAATCTCTCTTTACACGCTAGAGCTGATATTTGAGAGGGATTCCTGAGTTAGTCCCAGATTAAATTTATTCTAGGTCATATCAGGCCTCTTCTTTTTTTTTTTGTTTTTTTTTGAGATGGAGTCTCGCTCTGTCACGGAGGCTGGTGTGCAGTGCCATGATCTCGGCTCACTGCAACCTCTGCCTCCCGGGTTCAAGAGATTGTCCTGCCTCAACCTCCAGAGTAGCTGGGATTATAGGCGCGTGCTACCATGCCCAGCTAATTTTTTGTATTTTAGTAGAGACAGGGTTTCACCATGTTGGCAACGCTGGTCTCAAACTCCTGACCTCAGGTGATCTGCCCACCTTGGTCTCCCAAAGTATTGGGATTACAGGCATGAGCCACCACGCCCAGCCCTCTTACTTCTTTCTAGAGCATGAACATGGTAAACCTAGGATCCAGCAGTAAAATTAACATGAAGCTAGAAGTAACCTTCTAGTTTCTTCCTAAGAACACCTGTTCCATGAGCCAGCAGGTATAACTGAGTATTCCAACGTCTAAGAGAGGACCCTTACAAACATTATAGAACCAAACTGACATACCTACATAGATCCCTGGGAAATGGCAATTAGGTAATGATTTATATTCAATCGCTTTGAATTTTCAAATCCAAGTCTAGGCTGCTTGAAGACAGATGCCATCTCCTACCTTATCTCTCTCTCTGCTCCCTTAATCTGAGCACTTAATCATTACTTGCTGATTTAATGCAATGTGTAAATTGAATAATATTTTCTAAATGAGTTTCATTCACTATAGTTATCATTCCCCCAGCTACCTCATTATGAGGTCCCTGTCGCCTGCACAGGAAGTGGAGGAAATGGTAAGACTGACCAGCATAAACATATAGATCTAGTTCAAGAGAACAATATAAAGATACTCATCTTCAACCTTTTTTCGCGGAGGCACTGAAATGGTCAAAACCACTGCCACATTTACAAGAATACTACTTGCTTTATATAACACCTGGGACTTCCAAAGCTCTTTCAAAACCACCATTTCATTTGATTCTGACATCAAAGCTACGAAGTAAACAGAGTGAGCAATACCACTGCAGAGAGGAGGAAACTAACACAGAATGGGTCTCACCTAAAGCCACACAGCCTACCAGTGAGTTTTTAGAAAAAAAAACTAGACTTCCAGTGTAATGCTTACACCATGACACCAGATTGTGGAGCTAAAAGCATTGAGCTCCAAATTTCAAAGTGCCTGGCACATAGTAAGCTCTGACTGTCTTATTTATTCTTGCTACCCTAGTGTCTAGAACAATTTTTGGTGCATGAATGAATGAACAATAAATGGATGAATACTAATAAATGGATGAATGAATGAATGGCAAACTAAAGGAAAGTTTGACTCATATACTTTCACAAAATTGTATACTATTTATTTATTTATTTTTTGAGAGGGAGTCTCACTCTGTCTCCCAGGCTGGAATGCAGTGGCGCGATCTCTGCTCACTGCAAGCTCTGCCTCCCAGGTCCATGCCATTTCCTGCCTCAGTCTCCCAAGTAGCTGGGACTATAGGCACCTGCCACCACGCCCGGCTAATTTTTTGTATTTTTAGTAGAGACGGGGTTTCACCATGTTAGCCAGGATGGTCTCAATCTCCTGACCTTGCGATCCACCTGCCTCAGCCTCCCAAAGTGCTGGGATTACAGGTGTGAGCCATCGCACCCGGCCTATACAATTTATTTTATATTTTATTTTATTTTATTTTATTTTATTTTGAGACAGAGTCTCACCCTGTCACCCAGGCTGGAGTGCAGCGGTGCAATCTCAATTCACTGCAACCTCCACCTCCTGGGTTCCAGTGATTTTCCTGTCTCAGCTTCCCGAGTAATTGAGATGACAGGTGTGCGCCACCACACCTGGCTAATTTTTCTATTTTTAGTAGAAATAGGGTTTTGCTGTGTTGGCGAGGACGGTCTTGAACTCCTGACCTCAGGTGATCTGACCATGCTGGCCTCCCAAAGTGCTGGGATTACAGACGTGAGCCACTGTGCCTAGCCAATACAATTGATTTTTAAAAATGTTTTTCAAAAGCTTCTAAGCTGTTTTGTTTTTGTTTTTTTTTTTTTACTTCTTTACATGATTAGCTTTTAACCAAAGTGGATATTTTCCCTGACCTATTTTCAAAGCTAATCTTTAAATCCCTTGGTTATGAAATCTTAAGGATTAAATATTTGTTCTGTAAAAATGTGTAATGGTTCAGGCAAGAAAAAATTCAAAGTGTAAGTATATTAATTAAATTTCCAGAATTCAAGATACTAGAGTTTTATTAAAATGCCTGAAGTGTGCTGAATCTCCAATGAGAGAATTTAGTTCCCAATATTTCAAAAGTGACTGAAGTCATACCCCCAATTACCTGAGAATAGTAACCACAGAGCACAGAAGCCAAATGGAAAAAGTAGAAAGAGCAGATGCTTCAATAAATAATAAAGGCTTTCTGATATTGGATCTCGACTAAATTTGAATACCTAGCTGGAGTTTTCTGACAGAAAGCAAGAGCTTTAGCATTTCTAACCTTGCAAATTTGATCACTGTTCCATTCTTTCCCTAGATTAACACAGCAGGGGATTAGCTTGCATAAACTTGCTCCCATAGTATCCAGCATAATAGTGATTGTCAATAAGTGTTAAACAATAAACTTTGAACAATTCCACAAAAAATTACAGGTAAGTACATGCTTCTGTAATGACTATGGAGTACTTTGGTTGATTCGCAAAACAGTAATTTTCTCCCCCTTTTCACCGAAATGTAAATATCGAGGCTTCTTTTCTCAGAATGATTATATACTTTTCTCTGTCAGCTTCATCCAATACACTTATGTATGGCATAATATACCTATGTTTTGCCTTAAAATATCTGTGCCATAGGGTATATCTGAAATTAAGAAATTTGGCCAGGCATGATGGCTCATGCCTGTAATCCTAGCACTTTGAGAGGCCAAGGCAGGTGGATCACCTGAGGTCAGGAGTTAAAGATCAGCCTGGCCAACATGGTGAAACCTCACCTCTACTAAAAATACAAAATTAGCTGGGTGTGGTGGTGCACACCTGTAATCCCAGCTACTCGGGAGGCTAAGGCATGAGAATCACTTGAACCTGGGAGGTGGAGGTTGCAGTGAGCTGAGACCACATCACTGCACTCCAGCCTGGGTAACAGAGCAAGACTCCATCTCAAAAAAGAAAATAAATAAATAAATGAAATGAAATTAGGGAATTAAACCACAAAGAAGACGGCCACCTAGATCCAAATTCTTTTTATTGAGGAAACTCAGGCCCCGAGAAGGAAAGTGAAAGGTTCAACGTCCACTAAGTGAGGGAGCCAGCAGGGAGGGCTAGAACCCAGATCTAGTGGGGAAAGCAACTACCACACACGAAAGTATAGAGATATAGCCCCAGTGAATCAAAATGAACCGCCCTACACTGTAATCATCCTTTAGCTAAAGTGCTGTCTTGGTAGAGAACTGCTATTCAGATGATTTCATCTTTAATTTTACCCTCCTGATTCCATTCTGAAAAACACATTTTTATACTGGGCTAACACTAGTGACTTAGCCTAAGGAACTAGATTCTTCCAGGTAGTCACATTCCGGGGCCACTCCCTTCCACTATTCTGACTCATCAGAGATATGTCCTCCCACATTTCTTGATTTGAAACCCAATCCCAAGAGTCGTGTAGTAGGGTGTGTTCCAGCTCTGGCTTCGACACTGACTGTGGCCACTAGAAAGTTACTGAACCTTTCTGGAACATTAAAAGATTTTTAAATAAAATATTTATCCCAGAATATCCAGCCTGCAATATCTGCTTTCTTTTTGTTTCACCAGGCTGCTGCCTCGGTTGCTTCATCTATAAGAGAAGAGGTTGGATTACATGAGCCCAATGCAGTTTCCAGCTCCAAAACTGCAGTGTGGCATAGCTGAAAAGAGCTAGAAGTCAGAAGATCTGATTTCTATTTTTATTTCATCCATTTATTAGCAGTATGACCTTACCCTCTGAGATTCAGGCTTTCTGACCTATGAATGAGATAACATTACCTACCCTGTTTTAGAGTTGTTGAAACCAACATTTAATAAACATAAAGCCATATAAATATAAGCTATTGTTTATATTATGATTACTACTGTTAAATTTGTGGGTACTGCAATAACAAGAGTAGGCCACAGGGTAAGATGTTGCTGTTCCACAACTCTATGGGATAACTCAAGCAAGTACGCTACTGCAGTTGTCTCCAACTTTTGGTGCCAGGGGCCGGTTTCATGGAAGACAATTTGTCACAGACTGGGGTGTGGTGGGGGCAGGGGTAGGGAGGACACGACGATGGTTTCTGGATGAAACTGTTCCACCTTAGATCATCAGGCATTAGTTAGATTTTCATAAGGAGTGCACAACCAATAGGGCTCATGCTTCTATCAGAATCTAATGCCACCGCTGATCTGACAGAAAGTGGAGCTCAGGTGGTAATGCTCGCTTGTGGGCTGCTCACCTCCTGCTGTGCGGCCCAGTTCCTAACAGGCCACCGACTGGGGACTCCTGCTCTACTGCAAACTCTGGGGCTGGCAGAGTTCACTCAGGAGCCCATCTCTGTCTGGCACAGGACTCTCACTTTCTCTTTAAAAGCTCTGTGAGTAGGCCAGGTACAGTGGCTCACACCTGTAATCCCAGCATGAAGTGGGCGGATCACCTGAGTCGGGAGTTCAAGACCAGCCTGACCAATATGGAGAAACCCCGTCTCTACTAAAAATATAAAATTAGCCGGGTGTGATAGTGCATGCCTGTAATCCCAGCTACTTGGGAGGCTGAGGCAGGAGAATCGCTTGAACCCAAGAGGCGGAGGTTGCAGTGAGCCGAGATCGTGCCATTGCACTACAGCCTGGGCAACAAGAGCAAAACTCTGTCTCAAAAACAGAAAACAAAGCTCTGTGAGCAGGCCAGAAACTGCTAAGGACCACTGGTCAGTTGTGTGACCACAATGTCTTGTACCAAGGAAATGTCAGGCAATAGCTTCCAACCAAGTCTTTCCTTCAACTAACCTCTGGCGACTAAATAAGAAGCAAATCACATTGCCACTCCCATAACCCCCCCACCTCTCTCCATTACCCTCATCCTCTTACTCCTCTGTGTTTTCTTATCTGTGGCTTTTCTCATTCTTGAGTCCCTTCTAATCTTTCCTATTATTTTACTTTCTAGAACCCTCATGCCATTATAAAAAACAAAACAAGCCATCCTCCAGTTGCACACAGAATGCTCCATCTGTTGTCTTAAACAAAACTTTGCTTTTGTCCAGGCTGAGGCTGCTTTCCTATGGAGGCTTGCCCATTCTCCCTCACTCAGGGGAGCCAGGAAAGTGGGGTGGGGGGAGCGGGGGTGAATGGGATAGGGGTGGGGCATTCCCTTGAATAAAAGCCCTAAACTGTGCAGATTACTAGTATAAGACCATAATCTCCAAAGTCAACTGGACCTCTGGGTCACCTATCAATCCTTCTTGCCTCTTGTGAGCTAGCCCTTGTTTCCATTTTCTTAAAAGACTACTCTAAGACTCACCACTGTCTTTAACACAGCTATCAATCCCTGCTATACTCATTCCCTCAGTGAACAAACTTATCTCCTGTTTCACAGAAAAAAATTAAGTCCATCAGCTTTAATCTTCAATCTCCTGCCCTACTCTTATAAAACTATTTACATCTATACCCACACTTACTGTATCCCAAAAGACTGCCCTTGACTCTCTGCCCTTCTATCTCTGAATAGATGCTACTACATGAATCACATCTTCTTTTTCTTCTCTCTTCAATCTCCTCCCTTTAATGGCATGAGCTATTTGGGTCATAAAAGTATTTACGTATTTTCCATCTCTCCAAAACCACCACCACCACCCTCTCATGCTCCTGTGTTCTTCTCTAGCTACTCTTCATTGCCTTGGCTGTACCATTGGTGTCTATTTTCTTACTTTCCATGCACTTATCCATTGACATTTGGTTTTGTCTGGCCGGGCACGGTGGCTCACGCCTGTAATCCCAGGACTTTGGGAGGCCGAAGAGGGCGGATAATGAAGTCAGGAGATCGAGACCATCCTGGCTAACACAATGAAACCCCGTTTCTACTAAAAATACAAAAAAATTCGACAGGCATGGTGGTGAGCGCCTGTAGTCCCAGCTACTCGGGAGGCTGAGGCAGGAGAATGGCGTGAACCCGGGAGGCGGAGCTTGCAGTGAGCTGAGATCGCGCCACTGCACTCCAGCCTGGGCGACAGAGCGAGACTCCGTCTCAGAAAAAAAAAAAAAAAAAAAAAAAAAAAGAGAAATTTGGTTTTGTCCAGCTTGGCAAAAGTTACCAATGACCCTTCCTCAATCCTTATCTTACTGGACTGACTGTTTACATTTGACACAGGAGATTACCCCCTTTTTCAACTCTCTGACTTTGGTTTCTGAGATGACTCCTCCTTCTTGGTTCTCCTGGAACTTCTTGGATCATTCTTTTCCCATCTCTTTTGTGGGCACATTTTCCTTTAAATGTCTTTTTTTTTTTTTCTTTTTTGAGATGGAGCCTTGCTCTGTCGCCTAGGTTGGAGTGCAGTGACACAATCTCAGCTCACTGCAACCTCTGCCTTCTGGGTTCAAGTGATTCTCCTGCCTCAGCCTCCCAAATAGCTGGGATTACAGGCACGTGCCACCACGCCTGACTAATTTTTGTATTTTTAGTAGAGATGGGGCTTCACCATGTTGGCCAGCCTGGCCTCGAACTCCTGACCTCAAGTGATCTGCCCGCTTAGGTTTCCCAAAGCGCTGCGATTACAGGCCCGGACTCCTTTAACTAACTTCTACATGTCAGGGTGCTCCCAGAGTTTCACCTTCAGCCCTCTTTTTTTTTTTTTTTTTTTTTTTTTTTTTTTTTTTTTGACACAGAGTCTTGCTTTGTCGCCCAGGCTGGAGTGCAGTGGCACAATCTCGACTCACTGCAACCACTTCCCAGGTTCAAGCAATTCGCCTGCCTCAGCCTCCCCTAGTAGCTGGGACTACAGGCATGTGCCACCACGCCCAGCTGATTTTTTGTATTTTTAATAGAGACAGGGTTTCACCATGTTAGCCAGGATGGTCCCGATCTCCTGACCTCATGATCCACCCGCCTCGGCCTCCCAAAGTGCTGGGATTACAGGCGTGAGCCACCGCACCCAACAGTCCTCTTCTTTTTTAACTGAACATTCTTCCCCTGGGTGAGCTTGTCTATGCATAATTTCAGCTAGCAATTTTGTGACAATGGCTGCCAAATCTTTTCTTACAGCTTAAATCTCCTTTAATTTTTGACATGTATTTCCAACTGCCTCACTGACATCGCTACATGGATGCCAGAGACTTTACATATCCAGCACGTCAAAGCTGTACTCTCTAGCTTTGCCCCTGCATTATCCTCCTCCTTATATTCCCCCTCACTCCCTTCTGGTGGCACTGGCATCTAGCTTTCACCTAACTTAGAAATCTGAGGGTCCTCTTTCACTGTCTCTTTCCTCCCTATAATCAGTTAGTTTTTTTTTTTTTTTTTGAGACGGAGTCTCACTCTGTCCCCAAGCTGGAGTGCAGTGGTGCAATCTCAGCTCACTGCAACCTCCGCCTCCCAGGTTCAAGTGATTCTCTTGCCTCAGCCTCCTGAGTAGCTGGGACTACAGGTGCACGCCACCATGCCCAGCTAATTTTTGTATTTTTAGTAGAGACAGGGATTTCACCATGTTGGCCAGGATGGTCTTGATCTCTTGACCTTGTGATCCACCTGCCTCAGCCTCCCAAAGTGCTGGGATTACAGGCGTGAGCCACCACATCCGGCCAGTTAGTATTCTTTTTACCCTCTAAATACTTCTTTTTAAAACCACCTATTTCTTGACTCTAGTTTCTCTTCCCCATCCTCACCCTCGCAGTCTTAATTTAGGCCTCATTGTCCTTGCCTGAACTGCTGCAACGGCCATCTGACTGGTCTTCATGCTTCAGAATTCATACCCTGAAATCCACCTTCCCCACTGCTGATAGAAGGATTTGTCTAAAACACAAACCTGATCAGACAGCTTCAATCCAAAATGCAATACAACAATAATGAAAATAACAAGCTGTGTGTACACAATATGTCTTCACCTGGCAAACACGGGCCTTCATGATTCAACCTTTGCCAATTATCTCTGGCTACATAATTAGTACTTCCTATTCCAGCTTTAAGCTCCAGCAACACCTAAGTGCTCATAATTCCTTCTGCACACCATGTTGTTTCCTTCCTCTCTGCTTGTGATCACACTGTTGTCCCCTCTGCCTAGAACACGCCACCCTTTATTCTCCAACCTGGTTAACCTGAGATTCAGTTCAGTTGCCATCTCATTCATTGAGGGAGTCTTCCTTGATGATGAAGGAAGGATTAGGTGTCTCGACTCAGTGTTCCTGTGATACGTAGTAAATATCACTGTCATTGTAATCTACATTGCTTCAAAATTGTTTATGTGTCTACCTCCTTGTTCCAGCAACAAATCATTCCTAAACTCTATGGCTTAACTCAACAGTCATTTATTTTGCTCACAAACTTGGAAAGGGCACAGTGGGGATGGATGACTGATGACTTGTCTCTGTTTCATGTAGCATTAACTGGGGCAGCTCTCCTGGAACTGGAGAATCCACCTCCAAGATGGCTCATTCATACAGCTGACAAGTTGGTTCCTCTCTGCTTGGGTCTTTAGGCTTCATCACAGCATGGTAGCTGGGTTCCAAGAGTGAGCATACAAGGAGACAGGAAGTGGACGCTGCTAGGTTCTTAAGGTCTGGGCCCAGAAACTGATACAATGCGTCATTTCTGCCATATTCTATTGGCAGGCAGTTACAGAGCTCAGATCCAAGTGGAAGGGGCAGAGTCCCACTTGCTAATGAGAAGAGTGTCAAATAATTTTGGGGGACATGTTGTAAAACAACTATATTCCTTTACGTGCCCATGAGCTCTTTCAGGACTCAGCTGGCATGGCATTTGTTTGCTGAATGAAAGGATTCATTCCCGGACCAAACTGCTTCCATAGAACGTCACAGTCTCAGTCATTTGCACCAAGGAGGTTGATTCCAGACAACTCAGTCACATCAATTAGCAAGAGGATTAAGGCTCAAAGGAAATTAGGCTTAAAGTCTTATAGCATGTTAGAAATGGGAAGAATTTACAAGCCAATCAAATTATAGTCCTTTATTAAAAAAAAAAAATCTGAGGTAAACAGATAAAAGAAAAAGCAAAGAACCCATGTGGGTCAGTTATATAAAAAATGGCAGTGATTCAGGATTTGCTATATATGGTGAAGTACATGCTATTTACTTGTTCAATTTCTTTCTTTTAGCAAGTTAAAGCTAATTAAACTTCAGAATCTGAATGAGCATGGTTAATTTTCTTTCTTGTAAAAGGGGACACTATTTACTTTTGTAAATTGGGTCCCGTTTACAGCTACCATTGTAATTCAACTATTTGATGACGCACCATTTCTTGGTAAAATGTTTTGTGGCACACTAATGACTCAAATCCTATGCACTGACATGCATCCAGCCATTAAATAGAATATGAAAAATGCAAAAGACTTTTGTTTTTAGACATCTTCAAACACGACTGAAACACAGAGTGTTTCAATAGAGATATTAGAGTTTGAATTATTAAATGTAATATTGGAGTCAAAAGAGAATTCTTTGATACCAATGAAAATCAAATTACAAGCCTAATTTAAAAGGTAAATTTTGACTGAATAAAAAAAGGTAGTTTGCTGAATTAAGAGAGATGCTTAGTTACAGCCCTTAGAAACACACTTAGACAAATATTTGTTATCTTCTAGGCCTTTTGAGAAGCATCCTGAACACTAGGATAATCTTATAGGAGAAGTCATGATGACTATGACTGCCAAAAAATTTTTTTTGGAGGGGGAATTGTCATTTAACTGCATATGTGGTAGCATTTTACCAAGACAAAGTAAAATTAATTTTCCCCAAAGGAATAAACTTTTTCTTTTTCCTCCAAATTCTTCTTGCATGGTAGAACATTTAGGAAATGGAATAGTAATTATCTTTTAAATCAGGCTGCCTATACGACTTCATTTTAAGCTTTCTGGAGGAAAGGCACAATACTAATTTAGCAATTCCATATAAAGATAAGTCACATGAGATGCTGCCTTTACAATACAAACCAAGATGAAGATTTATAACATTATCTGTATTCTCAAACTAATGTTTATGCAGTTACTACTTTTCATCCAGTATAACATCTGAGAAACTACAAAATCCCCTGGAATGGATCACAGTTAAAGTGGAAAATGGAAAGTCAAAACAAAACAAAACAAACAAACATAAAAACAAAACTCCACCCGAAACTCTGCATCTAAGGTATATTGCAGGAATTCCCCAAACACCCATCCACAAAGATTGCATCTTTTTTGCTCAGGGCGAAAAGAAAGCCTGCCCCTAGGGGTTAAACATTATCAATCAGTACTTTGTTATGTATTCAGCATGGTCAAGGCTTTGAGCTGAGCACAAAAAAGGCTCAGAATCTACATACACCTGCTAATTCAAATTCTCTAGCAAATACCACAGTTTAATATCCTTCAAGAGAAGGGAACAGGTAGCTCCCTTAAGTGTATATAAACTTCCATATTTGCCTATTTCAGATATAATCTAGCTTTACTTAAAGAGAAATGGCAGTACCCTGGGGTAGGATGGGAAGGGCACCAATTTCTTTCCAATCGGAAATCATGAGAATGCCTATCATTGACTGAGAGCTTACCATTTGCCAGGCACAGTGCTAAGTACTTTACATGTACTATATCATTTAATCCTTACAACAATCTTAAGAAATAGAGACTTTTAATCTGTGTTCTATAGGTAAGAAAATTTAGGCTTAAGGGAGTAAAGAGTTTCACCCAAAGGACTCAGCTGGTAGGTGAGGACACTTTAAATAACCTTGGCTCTTTCCGGAGCTTGCGCTCTTAACTCCGGAACTACCCATCTAACAGATAACCATTCATTTAATCTAATCTATGCACTGCTTAAATAGACTTATACAAGTTAAAGGTATGCTTTCATTCTAAAATAATTTAGAAATGGATAAGCATGATTGATTTTTAAACCATCAACTACCAGATTAAAATATTCCTTCAGTTATAAGATGTCCCATTTATGTACTACTAATTTGTGTACTGCCAATTACAAGACCTCATTGATAATAAGACACATGCCAATTTTTGAGATAGTCAAATGCAAGAAAATATAAATCTTAATACTGATGAAACAGGGTTTTTCTCTTTTTTTTGAGACAGAGTCTCGCTCTGTCGCCCAGGCTGGAGTGCAGTGGCGGGATCTCAGCTCACTGCGAGCTCCGCCTCCTGGGTTCACGCCATTCTCCTGTCTCGCCTCCCGAGTAGCTGGGACTACAGGCACCCACCACCACATCCAGCTAATTTTTGTATTTTTAGTAGAGACAGGGTTTCACCGTGTTAGCCAGGTTGGTCTCAATCTCCTTACCTTGTGATCTGCCCCCCTTGGCCTCTCAAAGTGCTGGGATTATAGGCGTGAGCCACTGTGCCCGGCCGGTAGGGGTGTGTTATTTTACACATTTGCTTCTCTTCTTTCTGTCATCCCTTTCCAGTCTCATACATTAGCTTCTCTTTACTAGTCTCTTAAAAGTTCGTGTTCCCAGAATTGGTGCTATCCTCTTTTTGCTGACTATACTCTCCTGGGCAATCTCAGCTAGGATTACAAGGATTCAACCATCTCCAGATGACATCTGTAAGTATATTTTCAGCTGATTCTTTCCTCAGACTCCAGACCATATTTCAATGGTTTATCACCAAAGTGATATTGTGTAAATCTCTTAGATCCAGCATGTTAAAAAGTCTAACCCTAAGCCTGCTTCCCCTTCTGAGGTCCAGGTCTTATGGTGGCAGTATAATGCAGTATACTGTAGGGAAAAAAGATGTTAGATTACAGGTCTAGGTTCAAATCCCAGCTCTGACATTTAGCTCCTGTAAGACCTTGAGCAAATGATTTAACTTTGCTTTAAAAGCCTGCTTCTTTATTTAAAAAGTGGAGTTAATGAAGATAGCTTGCAGAAGGTGGTAAAGATGAAGTCAGCTAATTATGAAAATAACTATTCCATTGTCTAAGACATAACGGGCATCCAATAAGTGGTTGCTATTTTTGCTATTATTGAGATCTTCTGCCCAGGAATATATGCTGGAAACTTGGAAAAGTCAATGTCAGGTTTTGAAAAAAATCTATTTTCTAGCTCTCACTCAAACTCCATGTCTACCCATATTCACTGAGTCTACTTGAAAAACTATTCCTTCTGTTGTATGTAAACTCTAAGTTTCCTCTTCTACATTAATATTTAATCATATTCAAGTCTCTCCCATTTAAAAATCACTGTCTTCCCATTAAGACCCGTGATATAATTTTCCATTGTTTCAAAGATCTCTCAAAAATTTAAGTTTTCTTTTTGAAAATACTTTTTTTTCCAGTTCATTTGTGGGCATTTTCTGTATTATGTCATTATTGAGAATGGAATTTTTGTTTGCTTATTTATTCTGTTCCCTGCGTCTCCCTGAAACTTTCTAATGGGTATGGGTAGTATATAAGAAAGCTATTGACATTTATCTGCTTTGTCCTATAGCTGACTATATTATTCCCTTATTAAACTTTTAAATTATGGAACCACTATGCTTTTACTAGAGAAATTTTAAACACACACATAAAAATTCAGATCATTTGCAGTCCTACCATCAAAGACAACTACTTTTAACAGCTGCTATATAATTTTTCTGCACGGCATATCATAAATTAAAATATATTTTATAAAAATAGGATCATATTGTGCATGTTGTTTTACTGTCACCTAGTAAAGATTTAGTGAATGTAGGTTAATACTAATGTTATAATCAACATTATTATCAACTGTCAACATAAATCTTCCTGCGTAAAGATCAGGATTCAGACTGATTTAAAACATAAAAACTAAGAAATGGGCTGGGTGTGGTGGCTCACGCTTGTTATCCCAGCTACTTGGGAGGCTGAGGTTGGAGGATCTCTTGAGCTGGGGAGGGTGAGGCTGCAGTAAGCTATGCTGGCACCACTGCACTCCAGCTTGAGTGAAAGAACAAGATTCCATCTCTTAAAAAACAAAACAAAACAAAACAAATCCGAAGAAATGTCTGCAAGAGACATATGACCAAATAAATAAGAATTGGATGAAATTATAGCTATAAAAATTTAAGACAAATCTGAATTCATGAGAATATAAGTGAAACAAGTAAAAGCAGGTTGTTTTTAGTTAATAAATGTTTACTTACAGTAAGGAAACAGTAGTTGTTTAATGCTATGAACATTTCCACAGCAATATATCAATAGAGGTAGTCTAACCTTAATAGGCTATAACACATCTTTTTTGGATTAATTAAAGTAAGAGGGCTAGAAAAATCTGGGTGGATGAAAGGATGCTTTTTTTTTAAAAAGAAAAACATTATAACTATCTTTATGTTTCCATACCAAAAATAATACATATAAAATAGTGTTGCTGGGCGTGGTGGCTTTGGGAAGCCAAGGCAGGCGGATCACCCAAGGTCAGGAGTTCTAGAACAGCCTGGCCAACATGGTGAAACCCCATCTCTACTAAAAATACAAAAATTAGCCAGGCATGGTGGTGCATGACTGTAGTACCAGCTACTTGGGAGGCTGAGGCAGGAGAATCGCTTGAACCCAGGAGACGGAGGTTGCAGTGAGCCGAGATTGCGCCATTGCACTCCAGCCTGGGCAACAAGAGCGAAACTCCGTCTCAAAAATAAATAAATGAATAAGTAAACAAATAAATAATAAAATACTGTTTCCCAATGTTTTTTCCTTTTTTATTTTTAATTCCTCCCAATAGCAGCTGGTAATTTCTGAATGTTTTCAAAAGTTCACACCACCTTAAAGAAACTTAAAAATCTCAGGTCTGCCTTTAATGTTTGAAATAATAATAATAATGATCACCATCATCCCAAACCTAAAACAATGTCAGGTTTTGGGAAAAAAACATTTTTGCTTAGAAACTTTGATCATGTGATGCCCACATAAGCACTGAGTATTCTTGCTTGAAGGAATCTTGTGTCCTTCAATCAAACTGGGTGTGGGAAAGAGAACTCAAAGTGGGCCAGGCTGATTGCACTGCTTTCCTTTTATAGTCACAAATGGAGAAAAACCAGCTCTAAAAATGTATGTTGGTGAAGTGAGTAGGTGGCATTCAAAGTCCACTCATTTGTTTTGGAGTAAATAGAGAAATGTTTTGCCCAAAATTTTTTCAAAGTGATTTTCTGGAAGTTATTTTGTCAGCTGAATGAAACTTGAGTCCCGAACACTCCCCATGAACATCTTTCTGACAAAGACTGCATGTAGGTGAGAAAGGGATTCTTATAAGCTCCAAATGGACTGTCAGCTGTGATGTGGGGATGCTATCATCCAAACTTACTCTTGAAGCAGATTAAGTGAAATTTCTCCCCTCTCTGAATTCATCTTAAGGAACCTGTTTTTTGAGATCTTTAAAATTCAGAACCATGTTCGAAACAGTATAATAAAGTGGACTCTGGTACAAGATTGAATTTCACTCATGGCTCTGCCTATTTTTTTTTTTTTTTGAGACAGAGTCTTGCTCCGTCACCCAGGCTGGAGTACAGTGGCATGATCTTGGCTCACTGCAACCTCTGCCTCTCTGGTTCAAAAGATTCTTGTTCCTCAGCTTCCCTAGTAGCTGGGATTAAAGGCATGTGCCACCATACTCGGCTAATTTTTTGTATTTTTAGTAGAGACAAGGTTTTACCATGTTGGCCAGGCTGGTCTTGAACACCTGACCACAAGTAATCCGCCTGCCTCAGCCTCTTAAAGTGCTGGGATTACAGGCATGAGCCACCGTGCCTGGCTGCTGGCTCTGCCAATTATTATACCTGAGTGCCCTAGGGCAAGCTACTATGATCCTCTGTGTCTCCATATCCTTCCCTGTAAAACCCTATCTGCATACTTCCAATGACTGTCTTCAGTACTACATGAGGTAATACATAGAATACACTTGAAAAATGTTAGTGAGTCTCATTAGCATAGCTGGACTTTCTCTGAAAAAACTTAATGTATCAAGGAATGATGTTGACTTTTTTTTTTTGAGATGGAGTCTTGCTCTGTCGCCCAGGCTGGAGTGCAGTGGTGTGATCTCAGCTCACTGCAACCTCCGCCTCCCTGGTTCAGGTAATTCTCCTGCCTCAGCCTCCCAAGTAGCTGGGACTACAGGCATGCACCACCATGCCCAGCTAATTTTTGTATTTTTAGTAGAGATGGGGTTTTACTATGTTGGCCAGGCTGATCTTGCTGACCTCAAGTGATCTGCCTGCCTTAGCCTGATGATATTAATTTTGCCCCTTGCAGTTTCAGTTCTTTATATGCAAAATCTTCAAATATAATACATCTTGCAACCATGTTATGCTTTGCTGAATGCTTGCAAGTTTGAAGCAATTGCTTTTGTCTTTATTGTCTCAGAAGTAGGGCAATATTATCCTTCAGCTCATAAATCTTCCCAAGCATGCTTCCTTCTGACATGACTGAAAAGGTCAAACAGAACATAAGGTAATATAAACACCCCGGACTGTTTCTTTTCACACTTTAGTTTCAATTTTTAATCTTAAAATCTTCAATTCATTTGTAACATATTTAAATCTAAAGTATAAATTTTAGATTTAACATATAGTTATTAAGACATTAATCAATGGTTTCAAAATTTTTATTGAATGAGCCAACTTTTCTCTACAGATTTGAAAATCTAACATACACCAAAATCTTCCATGCACTTATTATAATAGTTGTCTGTTTACTGTCATTCTCCCATTGGAACTTAAGTTTCACAAGGAAAGTGGTCACTTTAGTTCACCACTTGTTCACTAGCACTCTATTACTCTAGAGTAATATTACAACTTGTCTTAGTAATAATGACTGAAAATGGCTTTCCTCTTGATCTCTTAATGTGGTTACCATTTTATGGATTTTTCTAATGATGAACAAATGCTACATTAGTGAAACAAATCTTTTTTTTTTTTTTTGAGACAGAATTTTGCTCTTGTTGTCCAGTGGGAGTACAATGATGCAATCTCGGCTCACTGCAACCTCTGCCTCCTGGGTTCAAGCGATTCTCCTGCCTCAGCCTCCCGAGTAGCTGGGATTACAGGTGCCTGCCACCATACCCAGCTAATTTTTATATTTTCAGTGGAGACGGGGTTTCACCGTGTTGGCCAGGCTGGTCTCGAACTGCTGACCTCAGGTAATCCACCGGCCTTGGGCTCCCCAAGTGCTGGGATTATAGGCGTGAGCCAAATCTTAACTGGTCACATTTAGGAATCTTTCAATATTCTGCCAGATTTTATTAATATTTGCTATTTGACTTAAGATTTCCTATATGTGGTTTTAGTGGAAGTGTCCTTAACTTTTTTTTTTGGAGACAATGTCTCACTCTGTCACCTATGCTCAAGTGCAGTGGCATGAACACGGCTCACTGCAGCCTTGACCTCCTGGGCTCAGGTAATCTTCCCACCTTAGCCTCCTGAGTAGCTGGGACTACAGGTACACGATACTACTCCCAGCTAATTTTTTTTTTGTTATTTTTTGGAGACAGGGTTTCACCATGTTGCCCAGGCTGGTCTCTAACTCCTGGGCTCAAGCAATCCTGCCCCACTCAGCCTCCCAAAGTGCTAGAATTAGAGGTGTGAGTCACCATGCCAGGCCTCTTAATATTTTAAGAAAAAAAAAAATACAGAATTTAATCATAGTAAAGCAACGTGACTATAGTTAACAATATTATATAGTATACTGGAGATTGGTTTGAAATACTTAAGAATGCTGATCTTAAGTATTTTAACCACACAAGAGAAAAAGAAAAAAAAGAAAATGGTAATTATGCGGTGTCAGATATGTTAATTACCTTGATTGTGGTGACTATTTCATAATTTATATCTATATCGAAACATCAAGTTGTAGACTTGTACATAATGTTTTTATTTTTCAATCATACCTCAATAAAGATGAGGAAAAAAATAATTTGGTCATAGATACCCTAGCTTCATAAAATAAAATGCAAAGTTTCACAAGACATTTCCATGCTTTGAAATAGATTAGATAACATAGGACATTTGTGTTCCTTCAAAGTTTGACAGTATTGAGTGATAAATATGTCTGGAATTTGCATTTTGGGGGAGGGAGGAGTCTTTCTTTAAATTCTGTTTTTGTCAATGTCATTTATAGTTGTTAGCCATTTGAAGCTCATTTTGGTCATTTAAGAAACATTTTTGGGGCCAGGCATGGTGGCTCACACCTGTAATCCTAGCACTTTGGGAGGAGGAGGCGGGTGGATCACAAGGTCAGGAGATCGAGAGCAGCTGGACCAACATGGTGAAACCCTGTCTCTACTAAAAATACAAAAATTAGTCGGGCATGGTGACGCATGCCTGTAATCCCAGCTACTCAGGAGGCTGAGGCAGGAGAATTGCTTGAACCTGGGAGGCGGAGGTTGCAGTGAGCCGAGATTGCGACATTGCACTCCAGCCTGGGTGATAGAGTGAGTGAGACTCTGTCTCAAAAAAAAAAGAAAAAGAAAAAAGAAAAGATTCATTTTGCAGATTGAATTGTCACAGAGTTAAAACTGAATTGTCACAGAGTTAAAAATATTACTTTTCAAATATGTTTTTTAAAAATTCCCAACACGTCTATGGTTATATACCTCTTTTTATTCCTAATTTCATATTTTCTTTGAGATGGAGTCTTGCTCTGTTGCCCAGGCTGGAGTGCAGTGGCGCAATCTCGGCTCACTGCAACCTCTGCCTCCTGGGTTCAAGCCATTCTCCTGCCTCAGCCTCCCGAGTAGCTGGGATTACAGGTGCCTCACCACACCTAGTTAGTTGTTGTATTTTTAGTAGAGACGAGGTTTCACCATGTTGGCCAGGCTGATTCCTGACCTCTGGTGATCCACTGCCTGGGCCTCCCAAAGTGCTGGGATTACATGCGTGAGCCACAGAGCTGGCCTTCATATTTTCTTTTGATCTTAATTTTGTTTCAATTTTCAGTAATCCAGCTCTTAGATTGATCATTTTATTGTTTTTCTGCTTTTCTAATTCATTAATTGCTGCTATTGTCATTATTCTTTCATTTTTCTATCCTTAGTATTTTTTTTAGATTTTTCCTTGCATTGCTGTGTAACTCACTTATGTTTATGCTATCGAGCTTAATAAGGCAACAATTTTCCTCTAATTTTGATAAACCCTCTTCCCACCTACACATTTTGGTAAGTTATGTATGTTCTTGCCATTAACTTGTGAATCATTTTTAACTATAGTTTTGACGTAGCCTTTGACTTGTGTTATAGATAAGTTTCTTTTTTAAATTTCAAATTATTATTTCAGTTAATATTTGATGTAAATGTGTATTTGTCAGCATTATGGTGAGAGAATGTGGCAAGTCCAATTTCAATGCTTACCTTTATTTATTTATTTATTGAGACAGAGTCTCACTCTGTCGCCCAGGCTGGAGTGCAGTGGTGCAATATCTGCTCACTGCAACCTCTGCCTCCCAGGTTCAAGTGATTCTCCTGCCTCATCCTCCCCAGTAGCTGGGCTTACAGGTGTCCACCACCACGCCGGGCTAATTTTTTGTATTTTTAGTAGAGATAGGGTTTTACCATGTTGGTCGGGCTGGTCTTGAACTCCTGACCTCAGGTGATCTGCTGCCTTGGCCTCCTGAAGTGTTGGGATTACAGGTGTGAGCCACAGAGCTTGGCCAATTTCAATGTTTAAAATCCCTTAAAATTCACTTTGTGGCCAGTATAAATCTTATAAATATTTAATTGATCTTGTAAATTACTTTCTGTAGCATACAAAGTACAGTGTGTAGTTATTAGTTTAAGCTTTGAGCAGTCGCTCCTCTATATCTTTTTTTGTGTGCGAATGTTCATTTACTCTGAAAAAAAAGTCCAAATTGCAGCAGCAGTTGTGTTTCTTCCAATCCTTGTACTTCTAAATGTCTTCTGATAGGACGAAAGTTTTATGAGGATTGCTTTGACAGTGTTTACTGAATTTTTAACAGCAAAAAATAATAAAGTTGCACAGTATAATACTTTTGCCTCTAATTCAACAGTAGCACCCCAAATTTTTTAGTTTGTTGTCTGGTATGTGTTTTCAACCTCTCCATTATGATATTTTTAAAGATGTACCTTTGGATCATATAGTGGCTGAATTTTTTTTAAAAGCCAATTCGAATCCTTGTCTTTTAACAACATAGGGTAGTCACTGCATGGTAATAAATGTTTGGTTTTAATTTAAAGCTACATTTTGTTTTTTTATGCTTCCAGAATGGTTTCTTTCCCCCTCCCTTAGCCATATAGGTTAAGAAGTTCCCTCTCCCCTTAGCCATATTGATTAAGTTTTTTCCCCTCCTCTCTTTAATGAACAGAATGAGTAACTTAGGAAATTATTCATCCTATTTTTACTCTGCTACTGCTCAACTTTGAACTTTCTTTATCCTGTATTTTTTTAATCAATGCTAATTATAAAACAGCCATTTTTTACTCTCCTTGGACTCTTTTGTCTTCCTCCTGCCTAATTGTTGAGAAACATTCTATAATTGTAGATCCCTGCTATTAGTCTGTTACATTATTCTTTTTTGAGGAATCATTTATCATTAGCTTTATGGCACACCACTCTGTTAACAACTGCTAGTCACAATTAATTCTATGCTACTTAAAAAAAAAACTCTTACAATATCTTCCCTTTCTTGAGTTCTTTATTCTGACTAATTACTTATGTGGCTCCAGAATGTCTTTATAAATTTTGCTTTTTGGGGGATTTATACAGAAGTGGGATATGTTGTGAGTCTTTCAGTGACAAAGATGATCTTCCTGTTGCTCTTTGAAGAAAAGATGCCTCAGCAAGCTGTAAAATTTGAGGCTTTTCCCCTCTAATGCCTAAGGTGACGGATGCTCCATTATTTTTAGCATGCGGGACTATTAGGTAATTGGATACAAAGTAATTCTCTTTCTTTTGAGATAACTATCGCCTCCCTCACTCCACCTTACCTGACTCTCACACATCTGGATGCTTATAGTTCTTTATAGTTCTTATAATTCCTTAAAATATAATAATTTTGTTAGAATATGTTTAAGAGTGAATCATCATTACTTTCTATTTAATAACATTGAGATATGATTCTTGATTTTATCAACACAATCACTCCTCAATTTTCAATGACAATACACATTAGAAATTTAGAGGTTTTTTTTTTTAAAAAATTATTATTTTTGCAAGGTTGCTTCAAAGGAGCCCATTTGCTATGGTTGCTCACAATCTTCTCCTTTTGGAACAGATCCTTTTGGATCTTCCTTTTGGAACATCTTTCAGCTTAAGGCCCTTTAAAATCAAATCCAAATTTCTCGATATGACACATAAGTCTGTAACTCTCTTGACTTTAAACATAGCACTACTTCTTCAGAGAACAATCCTGTCACTGTAAGAATTTCCTGATGCCCTAAAGCTGACTTAAATACTCATCTGACATGCTCTCTTAAGTATATATACGTCCACTATTATTGAATGTATTCTCTATTACAATTGTATATTTGATTGCCTGTCTCCCCTCAACTGCATCATACATTTTCAGGGGTGAGCCAATGTCTTTTTCACTCTATCTCAGTGCCCTGCATAGTTTCTGGCACAGACATTTCCATGTCTGGTGATTTTTTTTCCACATTGCTTACCCAGATAGAGTCTACATGTAACCAATATTGAGAATTGTGAGTGTTCTATCAAAAATGTTGTGGGTTTTTGATATAAACTTTTAGGTTCCAGCAAAAGAAAAAAAAAGTGACTGCAGCTTAAAGATGACTCTCCTCTCCTTGTCTATCACTGTGACCCACAGGCAGCTAGCACTGTCTCTTCTGCAGTTAGCCTGACTTTGCTGAGAGTAAACCAGGTGAGAATTCTGAGCCATCGCATGGGTATGCGTTTGTGCTGTGAGTGGGGGACTCTGTTCTCTAGTACCTATGTAATTACCAGAGGCTCCAGACATTTCAAAATATGTCCCCCCTCCTCTTCCACAACTACTCTGTAGTTCACCCAGGTCTCTAGCTCCTGCTGTTGTAAGCTGAAGGGTATTTGTGAGCACTGGTCAGAGGGCCCTCTGTTTACTTTCCAGGCAGGGTCCTCCTTAGCATGGGATGAACCATAAGCTAACAGTTCTTGCTGGAACCAAGTTTTGTTAAGCTAGGCATTTGCATGGCATCTTTTCTTGGTGGTCTGCAGTGATAAAGACTTTTTCCTACTAATTTCATTTGGACACTTTAGAGGTGATACAACTGGAGTGGGATGGTGGAGGTGGTGGTGAACATGTGGTGTCTCATATGTAAGCTCAGGTCAACACCTTGAACCAGGAGCCCATCCAATATGCCCTTCAGCTGTCTGTTGCTGCCATATTGCTTTTCTTCCCTTTGATTCTACGGGATCAAATATGTTAGATTCTTTATACTCTGCTCGTTTCCCCATCAGCTTCCTCTTTTCTCTCCATGGGTTTGCCAGGTTCAATCCTCAGCCATCCTTTCCTCTCTTTCTACATATATTTCCTGGGTAATATCTACTTCCTGGCTTCAACTGTCACCTGTAACAGTGGTTCTCAAACTCCCCCCCCAGTTATTGTTTACATAGAGATACACTTCCATTAGACACAGTGATTCTCAATCACATGGACATCTTGAAATCTCAAAAGGGGCATTAAGGAAGCAGTTCTCACATCTAGGGATCTTTGGTCTGAGACACCTGTCTGTTCCATTTCTGGTAAATGGCATCATCACCCACTGAAATTGTCCACTCTAAAAGCCCTGAAGTCAACACCACTAGACTTGAGGACAGACAGGGTGTCTCTCTTGTTCCCCACCATATCTAACAGAATGCCTAACACATAGCAGCTCAACAATATTTGTGGAAGGAATAAATTCAATTACTAAATTCTGTGATTTCCAATTCTTATATTTTCAACTCATTCACTTCTTTTCAACTTACACTATGAGTACTTTTGTTAAAATCACCACTACTGTTTACCTGGCTTACTATGGGCCCAACCTCTGACTCTGCTTCCTCCAACCCACCTCCATCCTACAGTTATCTTTTTCAGTTACAGATCAATTCTTATTAACCTTCAATGTAAGGTCCTTTAAAATCAAATCCAAATTTCTCAATATGACACATAAATCTGTAACTCTCTTAACTTTAAACGTAGCATTCCTTCTTCTTCAGAAAACAAACGACCCAGATATAACTGTAAGGAGAATTTCTTGATGCCCTAAGGCTGACTTAAATACTCATCTGACATGCTCTTTTAAGTATATGTACTTCCACTATTATTGAATGTATTCTGTATTATAATTGTATATTTGATTGCCTATCTCCCCTCAACTGCATTATACATTTTCATGGGTGAGCCAATGTCTTTTTCACTCTATTTCAGTGCCCTGCACATTTTCTGGCACATAGTAAGCATCCCATGAGTATCTGATGAATAAATGTATTTCCAAATTCAGGTTCAGTATCCTTAATCTGAAAATACAAAATCCGAAATGCCATAAAATTCAAAGCTTTTTGAGGACTGACCTCGTGCTCAAAGGAAATGCTCATTGGAGCATTTTGGACTTCAGATTTTCAGATTAGGGATATTCAACCCGTAAGAATAGTGCCAATATTCCAAAATTCAAAAAAGTCTGAAATCCAAAACACTTCTGGTCCCAGGTATTTTGGATAAGGGATACTCAACCTGTACCACCAGTGACCATGGAAGCTGCTAATTTTGAAACTACAAAATGGGAAAGGGATCTGAACCCAGCTGGGATCCATAAATAGATACCAGGGGTGCATGAATACCATGCAGTTGTTCCTAACATTTTGTGTTTATATACCTTTTTTTTGAGGATGATTTTCAGGCTGTCAAAAACCAATAATTCTACAAATTTAAGAAATATTACTGTTGGTGTTTACTTGATTAGACAGGAATATGCTAAGTGCATTACAAACTAACAAAAAAAAAATAACCATTACACACAAGACACAGACACACATGCAGGGATTTACTTAATGCTATCAAGCCTTATGGTAAAATTGCCCAAAGGGACAAAAATAAGAAGAGTTAAAGGGCTGCAGGAAGATTGAAGAACAGGTGATGCAGAAAAAGAATTCAGAAAGGCAGAATAGAAGGAGAAAAGTTACCTCTGTTTACTCAGCCATTTATACAAGGTCCCTGTGCTGCCAGTATGTGAAAGATTGGCTTCATTATAAAGTATGTCAGTGTCTGAAGACAGTAATGTAATTCTGAAAGCTGTAAGCCAGGCGTGGTGGCTCAAGCCTGGAATCCCAACACTTTGGGAGGCCAAGGCGGGCTGATCACGAGGTCAGGAGTTCAAGACCAGCCTGGCCAATATGGTGAAACCCCATCTCTACTAAAAACACAAAAATTAGCCAGGGGTGGAGGCTTGTGCCTGTAGTCCCAGCTACTCGGGAGGCTGAGGCAGAAGAATGGCTTGAACCCGGGAGGAGGAGGTTGAAGTGAGCCAAGATCTGCCACTGCACTCCAGCCTGGGAGACAGAGCAAGACTCCGTCTCAAAAAAAAAAAAAGAAAAAGAAAAACTGCACACTTCAGCTTGCCCTAATGCTGCCCAACTTCAGGAGAATTCTGTTCTATAATCTAGTTGTCTTTTCAGTTCAGTCCAGTGAATCTCTGTTTAGACCCTGACCCTCAACAGTAGGAAAGAGAAAACAAAGGCTGACAGTGGCCTCAGCAATGAGCAAGAAGGGGCAGGGATCAGAGTGGGCGACACACTTACTTACTTCTCAGGTGACCATCTTTCTCTGACTCACTCTACTCTTTTATCTTTATTTACAGCACAGGTTATATACTTTTCTATTAGCAGGAATCTTGATACTATCTCATGCACTTTGGTAAAATGTATGTAAGTTCTGAAAAATCCAGGTAGTTTTGCAAATTCTGGGTATATTTTTACAAATGTTATGTTCAGCCTCTAATTAATTATTTATTGAAGGAAGTGGTATGATTTTTCTTTTTAAATTTGTAATTTTTTGTATCAGCACATAACATTTAATAGTGCCTGGTTTGAATTTTTTTTTTTTTTTTTTTTTGAGACAGAGTCTTGCTCTGTCGCCCAGGCTAGAGTGCAGTGGCATGATCTTGGTTCACTGCAACCTCTGCCTCCCGGGTTAAAGCAATTCTCATGTCTCAACCACCCGAGTGGCTGGTACTACAGGCGTGCACCACCATGCCCAGCTAATTTTTGTAGTTTTAATAGAGATGGGGCTTTATCATGTTGGCCAGGCTAGTCTCGAAATCCTGGCCTCAAGTGATCTGCCCACCCTGGCCTCCCCAAGTGTTGGGATTACAGGAGTGATCCACAGTGCCCCACCCAATTTTTAAAATGCTATTTTTTTGTAACATAAGATGTTGTTTCAAATCCACTAAGGTATATCAAATACTGTGAGTTTCTTCTCAAATATGGTGATAGGCTTGACTTTTGAGTGTTCTGATGCAACCTAACCTAACTTCCATTACCATAAAGTCTACAGAGTAGCTACTGATCTTACATCCAGAGTGGCTCAGTCCATGAAACCAACCTTGCCAAATGGGATGAAAACTGGATCCTCTTCCTCATTAACATCAAAGGAAAGCCAGAGGGTGGGAAATTTTGTCAAAGGGAATAAGTCATTGACTAGTTAATCAGCATCTAAATAATCAGGAATGGGCTGTAATTATTTGAATAACAATTCGGCCCCATATCATTAAACATCAATATACAAGAACAGCTCTGTAACAATATACAGGAATAGGAGCCTCATGAATTTGATATATGTACTAATAACCCCACAGTGTCTTACTGCAGAACTCCAATTGTATACATAAACAAAACTGTGACTGTTAGAACAATTAAGAATTTTTAAGGAAGTTTGTAAAAAATAAGTCTTTTCAAGGTTCTGTATTATCCTATCTGAAATTTCTGTAAAGTCTTAATCTACTATTTAAAAATATATTATTTTAAATCTTAAAATAAATTGAGAACTATTGTGGGTAAATTCCCAACAAATTCATGGTGAGATTTAGTTATCAATTATTCTGGCTGGAAGCTGGTGGGAAAGGGGGAGGAACAGGAAAGAAAGGAAAAAAAATGCTGTTTAATGAAGTCCCAGCTAACAGTGCACTTATTTGATACACTATTCAATTTTTTTAAAATTCCAGGATTTGCTTAAGAGTTATAATGGATTTGCCCTGTTATCTGTGCTGATATCCTTCTTGGCAAGGGATTGCTGTTAATAATTTATTGAAATATGGTTTCAGTTCCGTTATATTCATAGATAAGCTGAACATGTCACAGAGAACTTGTGCTTTATTTTTTTCTATAACTTACATGGAACTTGAAACCCTTTGAAATGCTATTGGGACTGTTGTGAGGAAAGAGAGACAGATGGAAATGGAATAAAAAGTTTCTATAACCTCGTTCCCTGCCTGCTCTACTTGCATCCTTATCCTTAATCTTGTTGAAATCATTGTGTCTTCCATCTTCTTTAGTTCTCACTGTCTCAAGAGAGACCCGGGTTAGGAGGGGACTTGAATATGATGCCAGGATCAATGCTGATAGTGAGATGAGGACCAGAAGAGGCTGTGAAGCCAGGACTAGAAATGAGGTGTTGGGAGTCCTCATGATCTAGCATCTACAATATATATTCTCTTCATCCATACAGGTGTGGAATTTGCAAAATCAATCAGATAATATTCACCCAGAAGAGGTCAACTGTCATGGGGTAACATAGCTTAGTACTCTCTAACTGGAATGTGCACATTATTAGGGAGTTCTTAATAACTTCTGAGAACTCCAGTGTGGAATGGAAAGGAAACATGGCACAAAACGATGCAGATGGGCATCACCTGGGGAATCCAGCAGTCTGTGCCAACAGATGGCCACAAGGTAGTATTTACCCTGATAAGCCTTGCAGACTCTGATACCCGGTCTCACTGACTGGACTCAGGAATGCAGATTTATGCTAACAAAACTCACAAGACACTGATGTACTGAGAAAAAAAGAATGTGACTTTATTAATTCACAGTGAACAACAGAATAGGGCATAACTGAATTACTCTATCAGCCTGATAGTGAATTATCTCCTTGAAAAGGCAGTTTCCAGAGGGAAGCTTGGTGTGTGTGGAAGCACAGCAAGTGGAGTTAATTATGTAGGATTCCAGTGCCACAGGGGTTAGACATCTGCCAGGTGGACTGAATGCTTGCCTCAATCTGGCAGGTGTTGTTGATCTGACAGTGCTTTGTTAGGAACCGTAACAGTGACATTAATAGCTTTACTTTTTCTCTGTTTTAGAGACAGAAAAACTGCTATTCTGATGGAGACTGTGTGAGTGTGTTTAAGATGTCAATGCCCTCGATTAGGTTATAGTAAAAACCTTACTCCCCAAAGAGTCTTTATGTCTCTTAAGATTATGTTGCCTCTCTTGACCTTAATCTATTAGGTGTTCACTTCTCAGTTTACTTTTCAGGGGGTAATTTCATGTCCCTGCTGCCTGGGATCAAGAGGGGCACCACATGGTGGACTCCACATTTGCCTACAGTTCCACAAAGTGTTGTTTAAATTCAAATCAACCTGTATTTACTGTGCCAACTTTATGTTCACTGCTGTGCCAGGTACAGAAGAATATTAAAAAATGTAACAAGAGCCTCAGAGGAAATGTATAACTACTGAGTGCCTACAGCCCTTTGTTCTACTTAAGGTACATTTACTCATTCAGTTTTCACTAGTATTTATAGACCCTCTACTATGTACCAGTATTTAGTAGGTACAAGAAAAATAAACGTGACAGGTCTTGTTCCTTTTAAGAGTCTAGCAAAGGAGCAAGATCAGAAAAAAAAAAAAGAAAGAAAGAAAAGAAAGATAGTGTACCAAGTGGTATAGAGCATGGTAGAGGGAGTACTTTTCTATCAGTGGGCAGAGATGTTAGTCAAATCTTTTTAGAAATCTGATTTTAAAACACATTAAATGATGACAATTGTTTAAAAATTTAATTTGAGTGGTATAAAGCAAAAAGTCTAAGTTCCTTTCTCGTTCCTTCCCCATGCCCTTCCTGTCTCTCAGAGATGGCCTCAGTCAGTAGTTTAGTGAGTACCTCCAGGTCTTTTTCTAAGTATATGAAACACACATATGCAAACATTTCCATTCCCAACATAAACACATTTATATATACACATAAATTTATATACTTATTATGTAAAATGTATATATTAAGACCCCTATTTACATAACACACACACACATACTCATTTACATGAAATACACATGTATGGGATCATATGATATATATATATATAGTTTTGCAACTCGTCCTTTTACATTTAATCCTTTGTTGTAAATTATAACATGTACATAGAAAAGTGCACAAAATACATACTTTAAATTTAGAAAATAATTATCCCGTACAGCTACCACCAGGTCTATAACTAGAAACTTCTGAGCACCCTAGAAACTCCCTGACCTCACCACCTCCAAATCATTGTGCTGAATTCTACGTTAAGCGCAAAAAGTTTCAGTTCTCCACTTCTTTCTGAATTTTCACTTGCCTTCAGACTTTAGCCTTTAATTCCTTCTCTTTTCAGCCCTTTGCTGCTCTGAGGATGTTTTCTTATACATACTCAACAGTTTCAATTATTTTTCAGCAAGAAGATTGTTCAAATAACCTAACTGCCATATTTCCAGGAATAGAAATCTGTGTTGCCTCTCAATTTCTTCCTGCGTTAACATTATATGTAAAATGTGGACTCTTACCTACTAGGTCATAACTCCTTAGGGATTAGAAGGCAAGCATCTTTTATTTCCCACAGCAAAAATAGTGAAATATGCAATAAATGCACCAAGAGTAGAGAATAATGGAATGGAAAAGAGAATGAGTATGTAACCATTCCTGCTCTTGAGGACTTTCCATTTTCTTTTCCAAAGGAAGATAAGATGTGTATGAATAAAACAATTTGACATGAAACAATTTGAGGAAATAAAAAGGTATATTTAAACACAATTCTTTGTATTCACTGACATGGAAAGATTTCCAATATACTTTGAAGTAAAAACAAATGACATAGAATTGTATATGTGTATAAAATATAACTCCATGTATCTATATATACATCTATATATAACCTCTCGTGTACACAGGTGTGGGTGTATGCATGGCTATGCATATTCTTGCTTATGCACAGAAAAATGACACATATGCTACAAACTGGGATTGGGGTCAGAGGAGTTATCTTTTCACTTTCAAATATCCTATATAATATTTTTGCCACAAGCATATATAACTTTTGTAGTTAGGAAGAAAACATATTAAGAAATATATGCTCAAGGGCAAATAGATATGATAATGGAAATCAAGAAGAAAAAAATGCAGGAATATATAAACTCTTGGGAAAAGCTTTTAGGTTTCCTTTTTTTTTTTTTTAATTGAGATGGAGTCTCACTCTGTTGCTCAGGCTGGAGTGCAGTGGCACGACCTTGGCTCACTGCAACCTCTGCCTCCCAGGTTCAAGTGATTCTCCCGCCTCAGCCTCCCGAGTAGCTGGGATTACAGGCGTGTGCCAACACACCAATTTTTGTATTTTTAGTAGAGGTGGGTTTTCACCATGTTGGCCAGGCTGGTCTCGAACTCCTGGCCTCAAGTGATCTGCCCGCCTCAGCCTCCCAAAGTGCTAGGTTGCTTGAGCCACCACGCCTGGCCAGGGAAAAGTTTTTTGGTAAAAGCCAGGACTTGAAATGGGCTCTGTAGGACTGGCAGTGTTTAAATTAGAGGACAGAGGTGGCGGGGGATGGGGTGGGGATTAGGCGGACAAGAGTTGTGTTTTGAGTAGACCTTTGGGAAGAAATAAAAATGGTATCTGAAGAGGGCCATAAGGAAGCTGGCTAAAGCTAGCTCCAAGTTTACATTGAGAGAGATGATTGAAAGGGCATAACAAAGCCACAGCAGAAAATGTGGAACATCATCAACATTAAGAGTTTATAACTGGTTTGATGGGAAAGAAAAGTCATTACAGGTCATTTTACAAGGTGTATATGAGATAATATAAACCTCATGGGGTAGTTTGTATAGAATGAGACAAAACATGTGAAAATCCCTGGTAATTTGCCAGTAATTACAGGTTTTATTAAGTTATTATAATAAAGTTACACTTTAGGGAGATTATCCTGGCATTCTTGTATGAAATGTATTACAGAGCAAGAAAGATTCAGAGCAAGAAAGACTCAGAGCAAGAAGATACCTTTGCAGGGTAATATATTTGAAAAAGCCTGCCTAGTTTTCACAATCTGAAAAATACAGATAACTGTCTTAACTCACAAGATTACTGTAAGGATTAAATATACATAAAATGGTATGGCCAAAATGTATTTGTTCATTTCTTCTCAACTGCTATTAGTCTAGATGAATGTTGACAAAAATCAGAACTTATAGCCTGGTCAAGGACCTGGAAAAGATAAAGGCCAGAGATTTTTTTTTTTGAGACGGAGTCTCGCTCTGTCGCCCAGGCTGGAGAGCAGTGGCAGGATCTCGGCTCACTGCAACCTCTGCCTCCTGGGTTCACGCCATTCTCCTGCTTCAGCCTCTCGAGTAGCTGGGACTACAGGCGCCTGACACCATACCCGACTAATTTTTTGTATTTTTTTTTTTTTTTTTTTTTTAGTAGAGACAGGGTTTCACCATGTTAGCCAGGATGGTCTCGATCTCCTGACTTCATGATCCGCCTGCCTCAGCCTCCCAAAGTGCTGGGATTACAGGCATGAGCCACCATGCCCGGTCAGAGATTTTTCTAAATAAATAATCAATAGGGATCTATTCATTAGATGTAGAAAGTGACAGCGGAAAAAGTGAAGATTTCTAGGTTTCCAGGAAGGGAGACTGGTGGAATGGTGATGTCTCTGACAGAAACCAACCTAGATCTGTGATTACAATATATTTGGGAGTTATGACAATCTTATCACGAGTTTCATCTCCTCCATCTCTGTTTTCCCTGCCCCAACTCATAAACTTCCTTGTATTAATACAAAGATGTCTTGGAATATTTTAAAACAAAAGTGCATTTACATTCATTTCATTTCGGAAAAAAATTCAAGCATGCATAAAAACCTTAAAATAATTGAGACATACAAAATTACTATATATTCAATTTATTGCATATTAGTATTACCTAATAGTACTAATACCTTGTTAAAAATAAAAAACTCCACATGTGACTTTAAGGAATAAAAATCCTACATAAATAAAATATTTAACAGATTTAAACATCTTTAAGGTTTAAAATTATTTGTATTTGTTCTTATGAGAACCAGAACATAAAATTATGAAAAATTTAAAAAGATCAATAAAAATTAATCACAAAAATGGTTCTGATTTACCGTGCTTTAAAAATTCTTTTCTTCTAAGTGGATTTTGACTTCTAAATTACATGTTACGATCCCAGAATGTAGCTTAAAGCAGGGTTTATCACAGCTCTACAGTATTCCCAAAGTCTAAATTACATACCTATGTTGCCTAGCTGGAGGACAAAAAGTTTTAGCACTATTACATGATAACATGCAAAAACTGGGCAAGCTTCAAAGTGATCTGCCACGCTTCAGATTCCTTACTTTTCCGTAAGGTCACATCCCTGTAGAAGATGACAGAGCCGGCAATTGCGTAACTAAGCCTCCAGAACTAGTTACAACCCTGGAATGTGACCATTCTTTTGCAATGCAGTTGGTCACCATCATATGAAAATCTTGAGAAATAAAATATCCTGTTTACCTGCTAGTTCCTGTCAGAGAATAACTCATTCACATAACAGTCCTTTAGTCTCAACTACCAACCTATCTTTTTTAGTACTTATAATTAGATTTTTAAAAGAATATTAAAAGTATTTCTACATATCCAAAAAGGTTAAAAAAACAAGAAGAAGAAAATAAATACATGTTGGCTTTACGATAACATAAGAAAGGGGAGGTGAGAGTGTAGAAATGAAACAAAATTGGCTATGAGTTGCCCAATGTTGAAGGTGGGGATGAGTACGCAGAACATTCTACTGGGCCTACTTTATATATGTTTGAAATTTTCCATCATAATTTCCTTCTTACCTAATTTTTCAAGATTGTCTCCTAACTCTACACCTAAAAAGAAACATTACAGTACTATTAATAGTATGGTAATAAATGTGTCACCTTTAAAATACTGAGTTAAGATTCTAAAAGCACCTGAAGCTTATTTGCTCAACAATAACAAAAACTATGCCAGACAATAATTCTTATCATGTGCACAGTGCTTACAGAAAGTACTTTCTTTCTTTCTTTTTTTTTTTGAGACGGAGTTTCACTCTTGTTGCCCAGGCTGGAATGCAATGGCACGATCTCGGCTCACCACAACCTCCGCCTCCTGGGTTCAAGCGATTCTCCTGCCTCAGCCTCCCGAGTAGCTGCGATTACAGGCATGCACCACCACATCCGGCTGATTTTTTTGTATTTTTAGTACAGACGGGATTTCTCCATGTTGGTCAGGCTAGCCTCGAACTCCCAACTCAGGTGATCCACCGGCCTCAGCCTCCCAAAGTGCTGGGATTATAGGCATGAGCCACTGCGCCCGGCATCAGCACTTTCATGTTCATCATCTCAACTGATGTTCAAGATGATACTGTGAGATACAGTGGGTGATATTCTAATTTATGAAAAAGAAACACGAGGTTCAGAGGAGTCAGGTGACTTTCATTTCATTAATTAATTTATTTATTCAGTATGCCAGCATATACTGAATACTACCATGTACCAGGCAGACCTGTCTTAAGTGTTAAAAAGAAAGAGATAAAGAAAATGTGTTCCTTCTTTCAAGAGGTGCATGGTAGAGAGAACAGATTTATAAACTGATAACTACCTGATGATGTCATCCATGCTACAGTTAAGTGTTTTCCCAAATTCCTTTTACTATGACCTGCAGCAAGAAATATATATATATTTTTATCATAACCCAGTATATACAACTGTATGTTTAAGTGAAAAAAAATTTCATGAAACAGTATTCTTCCTATGCATGATACACACTGGTGTTTTCTAATCCACTTTTTCAGAATCTTTTAAGTAAAATACTGTGGGTTGCAATCTATAGTGTGCAAAAGTGCTATGGTAGGAATGACCAGAGTTCTGTTGTAACACAAAAGGAAACACAAACTCTGTTCCAGGGAACAAAGACAGGCATTAAAGAGGTTGATCTCTGAGATGTATCACTACTAAAGTGGCAGAACTCAAACAAAGGTCTTCAGATGCTTTAATCCCTTTGTTCTTGCAATAACTGCTATTTTACACTGGCCAAATAAAAAGGAACAATAGACTGTGAACTCACTGATGAGCTATGAAGACAAGTCATTGTCTTGAAGGGATGTCAGCAACCATTTAATCACATCTACTGAATCCTCATTATGTGGCACAGCACTTTCTGTGTATTAGGTCACCCTACTGCTACCTGTAAAACAACTATAAGCATCTTTTACTAATATATCATATAATTAATGCTTCTTTCTAGGACTGTAAGGTTTATTCTACAGTTAACAGTCCTAAGTATTTCTTCTCTCAAAAATTCTGTAAAATAAAGGCTTGCCAGTAAGAAACCAGAATAATATATATTAGATAGAAAATCAGATACTAGAATTTTTAATCAACCACCAATCTATATTGTGATTTTGTTTAATGCATTAATCCTCTATCAGGGTCTCTAAAAATTGTTTTTGATCCAAGGCAGTTGTACCTACTACGTAGAGTTCAGTGAAGAGTAAGCAAACCCTGACCTGTCCACCTGTACTAGTATCTCATGCTGCTGCCCCCTGCTGTCTAAGAAAGACAGGGGCAAAATCTTGAAGATGATTTTTCTTTGCCATTTCCTCCATTAGGAATGTTTTCCATTTTTAGGTATTTGTTTTGCAAATCTATTTTGCCCAGTTTGTGAACTTGACCTAGACTGGTAATTTCTTTGTACCTTTTATCCATTAAGTAATAAAAAAGAAAAGGTGTTTTTCCTCATTGGCATACGATTAGCTTACAATAGTACTACTATTCATCTGGTGTTGAGTAAAAATTCACTGAAGATACTGAACAGTGTTGAAACTGAACAGAAAAGAGACAAAAGGAAGAAAGTTAATTGGATTTCATGAGATACAGAGGAACTACAGCTGTTTCTCATTCCCACTTCCCCAAGGGATGTTCACGCTTTGAACATCAATAATGATTTTGGTGGCTGAAGGTTTTTAAAAAATCATATTCTTAATTGAAATCAAATGAAATTGAACCAAACCCAAAACACCAATCAGCCCTTGTGTCTTTAATCATACAATTGTAGGGCCTTGTTAAATTGAAAGGGTTCTGGGTAAGGCTTTATAGGGTATTAGTTCAGTAAGAGAGGGTTGGCCAGGAGGAAATAAGAATGACATTTTGAAAAAGTTACTGAAAAGCATGAGCCTTTTGTAAAGATATCTGATATCTGGATGAATCTCTTTGTCTGGAAGACACGTTTAGGCTTGATAACTCTGAATGTTCCAAAGAAATCTGAATAAGTCAATGAACTACATACAATCTGCAAGGTTTTCAAAAAGATATTTGTGTTATATGCTACACAAAAGATCTATTTTAAGAGTTTTCTTTAACATTTTCAAAATTAAAACTAAAATCGTTTTAGTGTTTTATCATTTGATTCTCAACTAAATATTTACAGATCTTGAAAATTAAATTTTTAAAATATATAATTAATGCTTCTGTCTGAGACTATATGGTTTATTCTACAGTTAACAATCCTAAGTATTTCTTCCCTCAAAAATTCTATAAAATAAAGGTAAAATAAAATTAAACATTTTAAAAATTTATCAAATGATAAGTCATCATTTATCATCTATCAAATAATAAAACACTAAAACAATCAACTAAAGATATGTAGCTAAAAATAATATAAAACAGACTCCTGGCTTTTTAATCCATAATTATCCTTATACACAAAGTAGAACTGGGGAAACCAGACTCTATTTTGAGAATAAGACTGAATTTCATCTAGAACATAAGCTTGGTGTCATTTTATTTCCTAAAATCTTTAATACCACTTCCAACTTTGTATGAAGCATCTTCAAATGTCGGTACTTCTTTAGCTATCTTAAACTCAGTATGACCCAAACCAAACTCAGATTCTCTTCCACCCTTTCTTCCTGGCAATCCCTTCCCTCATTATTCTTAAATAATTCCAGTGCTCTCTAAAATGGGTCACAAGAAAATCCACTGGAAAGGAGGTTAAAATATTAAAAATTTTGTATGGGATACATGCTCAAAAATATTTTACTATTAAGGATGTGTGATTTAAAAAAAAGTTGAGACTACGAATCTAATGTAACATAGGTTGCCTTCACTGCTTTCAGTTCATCGATCTACTAAGTGCTTAGATTATTTCTCCCAGTCTCTTGCATCTCTCTTTTCTTTCCCATTTCCATTATCACTGCAGTAGTTCAGGTTCTCCATGTCTTGCTTGGACTTCTGTTGTGGTCTTCTATCTTGTCTTGCTTCCTGCAACATTTTTTTCTGACTCATCATCCTTCATTCTACCACTAGAAGTATCTTCATTAATCATATGCTAGCACTGAATAAAAATAAACACACAAACAAACAGCAACACATACAAAATAGTCCCAACACCCTAACAGTTTTCAAGGCTATCATCTTACCTCAATCTGGTATAGTGAAAAAAGGAATGGACTTCAGGACTGGTTCTGTCTCTTATAAGCTTTGTAACTTAGAGGGAATCACTCAGGCTTTCTGAGTTTCTACTTCCGTCTGTGAGTGGCCACATACATAGTTCACAGGATTGTAACGTGAATTCAATGAGCTAAGCTACTTATGAGAAGGAGCTTAGCACAGAGCCAGGCACGTATGAATTGATTATCTTGCTGTAGGTTCACTGGCTACAACCACTCTCTGCCTTACCCCCTTTACACTTGACCACCATATGGCATGTAACACACCAGACTCTCTGGGACATTCACTTTTCTCAAATATGACATATGCTCTCAGCCCTCTTTGGCTCTGAATGTACTATACTCTCAGCCTCAAATGCCCTGTACTGCCTTCCCCAGTGAAATTAAATCCATGCTTCAAGGCTCAGCTCAAATGTCAGCTCTTCCAGGAAGTCTTCCCTTGATTCTGCTGGTCAAAATTCATCACTTTCCTTTTGTGTTTTCTCAGCACCCAGCTTGCAGCTTTATTTTAATATTTATTTCTTTGTGTTACATTATCACATATTTACATATGTTACCATCACTGAATTGTAAGCTTCTAGAAGGCAGAAAGCATACTTTTCTTCTTTTATTCTAACCAATTAACACCTTGTACTGGAAGGAATTGAATAAATATCTGCTGACTGAATGAATAAATGCATCAAAACACTTTAGAAAGAAGTAAAATTTTACCAAAACAAACACCACTTATTTCAACTTTTGAAATAATTTTTACCTGAAAAATATACCATAATTTTATTTAATCTTTATAATTCATAAATAAAAGTAACAAGAAATGATCTAAAAATTAGGCAATTTTGATAGTTAAGACTCAATACATAGTATAAGATACTATTTTTTAACTATCAAACTGACTTTAAAAATTGACAATATCAACTGCTATCCACTGAAAGACAACCAGTGCATGTAACAGTAATAGAGGGTAATGATTCAAAGAGGAATAAATCAATGGCACATGCATAACATGAAATATTAGAAATCAATTTAAAATCATGTTTTTCAAATATTTAATGAGCTCACACTATACTGACTAAAAAAATGACACTAAACTGATCTCAGTTTTGCGAATATATAGTTTACAGAAAAAAAAGACTAAAAGAAACCACAAAATGTTATTATGTGGTTATCTCTGGGTAACGGGATTACAGGTGATTTTTATTTTGCCCTCTATATTACCTGAATCTTTTACAATATACACATTTTTATAGTCAGAAAAGTAATTCGAAACAGATTGAATATAAAGGAATTCTAATTAGAGCTTAATCAGATTTGCAAACACCAGAGTTTATTAGCAAAGTACAAGGCTTCCTGATTTTTAATATGAATTGCAATACATTTGCAATTAAGATGATGTAATTAAAAACTGGGAGTTAATGCTATAGCTTAGACAAAGATGCTAATAAAAGTTGTCCTTAATTCTAAACAGAAAGTAAAGGAAAGAAACATTTGATTCGTTATTCGGTAAGGCAGCAAAGCAGTGGCTCTGGAGGGGAAGGCCCTGGTTGGCATGACTTGCTCTCTGAGCTGCAGTCACGCTACTGACAAGTCAGGGACACTGCTGTTGCCCACATCTTCTCACTGCTATCTGAAGGACTGATGGAGACACTAAGCTACCATCAGCTACCACTGATGGAGACACCGAGCTACCATTCATAAAATCTCTACTGCCATGTCAGGGACGTGGCAGGCCTGCTCCTGCTTCTCATGTCTTGTGGATCTGGAGGCTGCCCCCCAATTTGAGGATGGGCAAGGTCAAGGCAGGGGTTCATTCTGACTTAAAAGGAACCTGAAAAGTCTGGTTAAACCTGTTAGTAAAGGTTAATTCTAATACAGACCCTGAGTGGCCTCAGGTGTTTCAGACTGCACCAGACATGGCTGTGAATGTGGCACTCACTGGTGAGTCCCTAGGCAAAGGGGGCTGGGGCAACTAAAGGAAGTGAACTGGGCTGGTGGGTGGAGATAGGGGTTGGGGAAGGACACAAAAAGATGAGGCAGAGGGTTGCCAGAACAAGTTTTGGAGAGCAGTGCCATGAAACGGGGAGAGAAAAGAGGAAACTAAGGGAGAAAGCAGAAATAGCCAGACTGTCAAACAGGGAGGAGTAAGGGGAAGAAAGTGTCTTCCTCCTTGTTCTCCCTGCCCAATTTACTCTTTATTCATGCTTACTTCCCTGCTTCTACCTCTTTTCCACATCCCCTCTGCCTCTCCTCTCCACCTCTTCACTACCCAAATCATGTTTTCATTCTCAAGAATCACTCCCACTCCCTCTCAGACAAGTGGCGTTTCGTCCTCCAGGAGTCAGAAAGTGAGAACCCCAGACAACACTAATCCGAGTGGATCACAAGGCCTGAGCTGGCTTCCCAAGCCCCCAAGGCACCCAAGCATCACGAATGAGATCTTGACTGATCCCGGCTGCAGATATGAGGGGTACAGTGCAAGAAGAGCAGCTGTACACCTCTCCGCTTTCTGTCCCTCCACTCCTGTCCTCATTTGCACTAGCTTCAGTTACAAAGGATGCACTGTCTTCAATTACAAACGACCCACGCGAATGTCCCATGATTAGAATTTATCATCTGATAACTGTACGGTCACCTTCCTTTCCTGGTGAATTTCTAAAATGTTATTTTAAAATGCCAAGACTGGACATGTTTAAAAGCAAATCTACACAATGACTGGGCCATGAGAATATTTAGTTAAAGTCATGAGGCCCTCTGGGAGGAATGCAGTATTTCCATAATTCATCATCTTGGTGCCCAATGTCAGTTTAATATGCCAAGAAAAAGATCAAAACAAAATGTCTGACACTGGGGTTTTTGTGAAGAAAATTGTATGTATTCTTTTTTGCAAACAGACATAAAGGTTGAATTTAATCAAAAGTGTAAATAATTGTTAAGTGTTATATACGCAGGTGCTAAGTGGGGGCAACTTCAGAGACTCAAGGATTCACTTTGGTTAAATGGCAAAAAGTCCATTAAAATTCATCTTTTGGAAATTATTACTTGAAAAAGAAGAGAACGATAATATTGTATCTGGAAATGTGTTCATTCTCCAGTTAAAGCGTGTTATTTTACACCTCATCAAACAGTACGATAATTTGTCTACAATTGCCAAAAGCAATGATGCTTGAAGTGAAAACTAAAATGTCCTTGCAGATAGCTTTGCTTTGTTCAGCAAATAAGTATAATTTGCTCTCATGTTAAGAGAAAACATTTTCTTATAAAATATATCAAGAAATAAAAAGGCAATACCTTCCTGAATAAAAACAAATATACCCCAGAGCACAATGTGAAACAAACAAGCTATTGGGAATCTCCCTGGAGAGGCTTCTCTGCTCACTGTACCCTTAGACTTTGAACTTTCTCAGGGGGTGCTGGCAAACTGCAGGATATGCAAACAGGGTGAGCTGATGATTTTCACTTCTTCAACCTCTTTTTGCAGCTCTCTCAGGAACTTAGACAAAGCCAAGAATGAAATGAGAGCTGCAGGGCTCTGAATAACTATTTAGCAGTGTTGACTACAAAAAAGAACTGTTGGGTTTGAGGTGAATGGAGTCGAAAGGACAGAAAGAGGTTGTTAGAGAGCTTAAAAGAGCCACAAGATGAAAGGAGACCCACTGCTGTCGACTGAAGGAAAGCCTTACTTTTAGCTAATTTGTTTCTTGGCATGGCCCCACAGTGCCTCTCTGAATGGCAAAACCCAATACTGGTTTAAGAACTGATTTCAGTCTCTGAGGTAATATGTAAAAACATTAAGTTCTCAAACTCAGCTCATGTTAGGGATTAGCACATATAGCCTAAGAAAGATATGCCAAATATGTGATAAATTATTCTCAGATTTAGCCCACTGGATGAAGGCACTTTGTTTTAGAAACACAGACTTTAGCAAAAGTACTCCAAAATAATCACTAATTTGAAAAAATCTAATGTCCTACAAAACAGATCACATTATCATTGCTGTACTGACTTCCCATTTCCTCCAACTTCTAAGATTTTTTCTTTTTCCTCAATAAAGTCAATCAACAAGAGGCAGTTTACGTAATAGTAAAGGGCATGGACTCTGCAGCTTGATTTCCTGAGTTTGAATTGTAAATATAAAGTTTGGCAAATTGCTCAACCTCTTATGAGCCTCAATATCCTCCTCTGTAAAATGGGGATAACACTATCTACCTACCTTATTGCACCTTAAATAGAGCTGGGTACATAGGAAGTACTCAAAGGTCAACAGTCGATATTAGTTAAAATTGTTACCACTCACCAACCACTGGAACAGAATAGAAAGCCCAGAAATAAATCTATGAATTTATGTTCAACTGATTTTTGACAAATGTGCCAAGAGCACACAATGGGGAAAGAACATCTCTTCAATAAATAATGTTGGGAAAACTGTAGATACACATGCAGAAGAATGAAATTAGACTGTTAACTCACAATATATGCAAAAATGAACTCAAAATGGATTAAAGACTTAAGTATTTAAGACCTGAAACTGTAAAACTACTTGAAGAAAACTAGGAATAGCTCCACGACATTGGGCTGAGCAATAATTTCCTAAATATGACCCCAACAGCACAGGCAATAAAAAAAATAGACAAATGGATTGCATCAAACTAAAACGCTTCTGCATAGTAAAGGAAACAACAGAATGAAAAGACAATTCACGGGTTGGGAGGAAATTTGCGAAGCATACATGTGATAATGAGCTAACATCCAAAATACATAAGGAACTCAAACAACTAAATAGCAAGAAAACAAATAACCTGATTTTAAAATGGGCAAAGGACTGGGCATGGTGGCTTATGCCTGTAATCCCAGCACTTTGGGAGGCTGAGGCAAGAGGACTGCTTGAGCCCAGCAGTTTAAGACCAGCCTGAAAACAGCCAGACCTCCTCTCTACTAAAAATTTAAAAAAATTAGCCAGGCATGGTTTTGTGTGCCTGTAGTCCCAGCTACCAGGGAGGCTACAGTGGGAGAATCTCTTGAACCAGGAAGATCAAGGCTGCATGATTTCTGCATCAAGGCTGCATAGTGGAGCTATGATTGCGCCACTATACTCCAGCCTGCGTGACAGCGCAAGACCCTGACTCAAAAAAAAAAAAAAAAAAAAAAAGGCAAAGGACCTGAACACACATTTCTCAAAAGAAAGACACATAAGTGGCCAAGAAATATATGGAAAAAATGCTCAACTTCTCCAGACACCTGGGAAATGCAAATTAAAATCACGAAGAGATAATCACTTCACATCTGTTAGAATGGCTATTAGCAAAAAGACAAAAGACAAGTATTGGTTTGGATGTGGAGAAAAGGCAACCCTGGTACATTGTTCGTGGGAATGTAAATTACTACAGCTATTATGAAAAACAGTATGGAAGTTCCTCAAAAAACTACAAATAGAGCTACCATATGATCCCACTTCTGGGTATACATACAAATGAAATGAAATTGGTATGTCAAAGAGATTTCTGCACTCCCACGTTCACTGCAGCATTATTCGCAATAGTCAAGATATGGAAGCAACCTGAGTGTCTACTTTTATTTTATTTTATTTTTGATTTTGTTGGGACAGGGTCTTGCTCTGTTGCCCAGGCTGGAGTGCAGTGGTGCAATCTTGACTCATAGCAACCTCTGCTTCTGGGGTTCAAGCAATCCTCCTACCTCAGCCTGCCAAGTAGCTGGGACCACAGGTGTGTACCACCATGTCTGGCTAATTTTTTTGTATTTTTTGTACAGATGGGATTTCACCATGTTGCTCAGGTTGGTCTCAAACTCCTGAGCTGCCTGCCTCAGCCTCTCAAAGTGCTGGTATTACAGGTGTGAGCCACCGTGCTTATTTTATTTTATTTTATTTTATTTTTGAGACAGGGTCTCACTCTGTTGCCCAGGCTGGAGTGCACTGGCATAATCTTGGCTCACCACAGCCTTGACCTTCAGGGCTCAAACGATCCTCCCACCTCAGCCTCCTGGGTAGCTGGGAATACAGGCACACACCACCACACCTGGCTATTTCTTTTCCTTTTGTAGGGACAGGGTTTTGCCGTGTTGCCTAGGCTGGTCTTGAACTCCGGAGCTCAAGCAATCCACCCACCTCAGCCTCCCAAAGAGCTGGGATTACAGGTCGTGCCACTGCACCCCGCCTCTAAGAGTCTCTCATCGATGAACAGATTTAAAAAATGTGGTATATACATATACAATGGAATACTAGCTAGCCTTTAAAAAGAAATTCTGTCATTTGCAACAACATGGATGAACCTGGAGGGCACTATGCTAGGTGAAATAAGCCAGGCACATAAAGACCAATACTGTATGATCTCACTTACACGTGGAATCTAAAACAGGCTAATTCATAGACTTTGAGAATAGCATGGTGGTTACCAGAGGTTGGGGGAAGGGGGAAGGGGTTGGGAAAATGTGGAGATGTTGGCCAAACTACAATGTTTCAGTTAGACGGGAGGAGTAAGTTTTAGTGATCTATTGCACAGCACGAAAATCACATTATTAATAATGTATTTGTATACTTCAAAATTACTTAGAGGAGATTTCAAAAGTTTTCACCACAAAAAAGGAAATGAGGTGACAGATATGTCAATTAACTTGATTTAATTATTCTGCAAGGTATACATATATCAAAACACGCTGTATTCCATAAATATATATAATTATTATTTCTCAATTAAAAAATTTTAAAAAATCGTTCCTACTTTAAGGCAATGACATCCTTATACCTAATCTTTTTAAAAAGCATATGATTAATATATTTAGTAATTTGCATGCCTGCTTTTTCAAGTTAAGAATGTAATTCTTGAAGGTTTATTAATTTGTCTCAAATATCCTATAGTTTCTGGCATATAATACAAGTTTGACAAATGAGTATACATATAAATAAAAAGAAAGAAAGAAAACTTCCAGGCCAAATAAGGTGAATATTTATAATATAAATTCTGATTTAATGAGCTTTTTTATTGAGTGTCTACTTTATGCTAGGCCCTGTGTGAAGACTTTCACATCATCTCATTTATAGGTTGAACATCCTTAATCCCAAAATCTGAAATGCTTCAAAATCCAAAACTTTCTGAATACTGACACATTGCCACATGTGGAAAATTCCACACCTAGTTGCAGTCAAAATGCAGTCAAAACTTTGTTTCATGCACGACATTATTAAAAACATTGTATAAAATTACCTTCAGGCTATGTGTGTAAGCTACATATGAAACATAAATGAATGCTGCATTTAGGCTTGGGTCTTATCCCTAATATATTTCATTATGTATATACAAATATTCCAAAACCTGAAGTCTGAAACACTTTTTGGTTTCAAGCATTTCACGTAAGTGATACGCAACCTATAATATGTCTATGGATAAGACACATCTGGCTGGGCACAGTGGCTCATGCCTGTAATCCCAGAACTTTGGGAAGCTGAGGCAGGTGGACTGCTTGAGCCCAGGAGTTCAAGACCAGCCTGGGCAACATGGCAAAACCCTGTGTCTACAAAAAATACAAAACTTAGCCAGGCATGGTGGTACACAACTGTAATCCCAGCTACTCAGGTCTGAGGTGGGAGGATCACCTGAGTGAGGGAAGTTGAGGCTGAAGTGAGCCATGATTGCGTCACTGCACTTCAGCATGGGTGACAAAGTGAGATCTTGTCTCAATAAAAGAGATACATCTATGTAAAGGCATTAATAACACAGTGGGTACTGGGCTATGCTGAGACTCATTTAGACTATCCCCTTTAGTTTACAACCTGACATGGTTGGTTATTTAAACTTTGTTGAGCTAATTTTCAAGCCATATGAAAAACTCATTTATATGCCTTGGAAATGTAGCAGTAGAGGGTGGGTATGACCATGATATGGGGAATGCTACTGCAGGACTGGTATCCTATATTCTAGCTCTGAGGAAGGGTGATAGTATCCCTTTGGAACATAAAAAATACCTTCGAGATATTTTTAGCACACACAGGGCCCAAGTTAGAGAAAGCCCTGCTATAAGAAATCTCTTTAACCACAGAATAAAGAACTATATATTACACACAAGACTTGGCAGCAACTCAAATTCCAAATGTTAGTTTTTCTTGCATTCATCATATATTTCATGGAAAATTTATATCGATCTCAGATCTTACTAGGAAGAAAATTCTAAGCCAGCATAAATGAATAAGTGGATTTCAATCTTCTGAAAGGGCTTTTGGGTGTGGCTGAGATAGCTAACTTTGAAAACTTAGCAACACAGGATACATTATGAGTAAGTTCTTTACTTTTTTTTTTTTTTAAATAATGATGTTAACTCACCAGATCCTTCTGAAAGAGTCATTTTATTACTTTCAATGAAGTCAAGCAGAGAACAAGTTGTAATATGAAACACAATTTATGCAACTATGTTGAAATTCTCTGACAGAGTTACATGTTCTAATGTAAGAATTTTATGGTAAAACAAATAATATCAAGAATTAGGTTAGGCTCATTTTTGTTTTAGGTTGTCACAGGAAAACTCTTTCTATACAAACCATTAAAATTCTAAGGCAAATGATAATGCCTTAATTTTTTTTTAATCATGTTCCCTACAGTTTAAAATTAAACAGCTGAAACTAAACCTCATTTGAAATTATACTGTTAGGCAACTCCAGAAGCTAAACACAAAAACATGTTAAAATAAAGATTGCAACATCAAGAGAAAACCATCCTCATATATATAGTTTTAGATTCTCAGCCATTTCTGACTCCTGCCCAAATGAGATCAACTGATCCTTCATAGGTTTTCCCACAGTCAGCCAACAAGCTACTCACTATTTCTCAGCCACATGGGTTTACTCAGAGAAATGCAATACATCTAAAAAGCCAATAGAAATCCCATGGGTGGGTTTGGTCTGCCTTTCAAAACCAATGAACTTCCCATTATATAATCTTTAATAGCAAGAGGGAAGTTTACAAGTCATACACCCAACTTAACCATAAGGCAGGCTACGTTGTATGCCTCACTGTATTAGGAAAGAAGAAGAAAGAAAAAGAGCTTTCTGAATGGCACGAACCATCTTGTCCAGTAATGTCAGAAAATTAATGAATCCTACTTGATATTGACAGTACTACCAGGTTCTTTTTCACAGTGATTTTTCAGTTGGTGTGGTGTTTTCAATCAGCGAAGCCCAAAGTGTCTAAAACAAAACTTCAGTGACATTTTATTAATTCTTTATAAAATAGAGTAAGTCTTATAACCACGGGAGAATTCTGAGAATCTAGCTTTTCCAGAAAGCCCAAGAAAAATAATTCAGTTTCACCATTCTCAAATTCATTTGACTTTGAAACAAAATAAACATATTACTCTATTTAATATCGTTGCACAAGCGAATTCACAAGAATGAAATGTGTTCAGAGTTCCTAGAAAAAATGTAGCAATACAGGCTGCCAACTTGTTCAATGTCAAGCTCTAGGCAGTATAGCAGCAGCAGCAGCAGCAGTAAATGACTCAGAGTGAATCACACTTAAGCTATTTTTGCTTTTAAAGTACTGCCAGGCACTGTGTTAATATTCAATCCAGAGTAAATTTAGCCCAACAAGAAAACAAGTGTTTCCATGGTTGCTTCTTCACAGTGTTTATGGTATATATGCAGCCATTAGGCACAGGAATCCAGCCAGATAAATTAAGTAGAAATGCTCATCTTTCATTTATATCCAGGCTTTGGAACACTGAAAGTACGAAAGTCAACTCAGGCTTTTCTTCCATCTCTTTCTGTCTATCTGCCTCCCCAGACCCCAAATAGCAAATATGTGGAGTATATTATTAATGGTTCATTTAAAAGTTTATCCCATTAAAGTAGATTTAGTGGACTGGTGTTCAGGGATTTTATCTGGCTCTATATTAAGAATCACAAGCACTCACATTTTTCTGATAATGTAACCACAGGGGACTAAAATGCTTAAAGTACCTAGCAAAAACTGCAGAAAATTTGGTCTGCAGAGACCAAATGGAGTCCTTATATAGTAGATGTTAAAATATTGGTTACAGGGGATAAATCACCAATATCTAACTGATTGTTTTATTGTGTTTAAAACACGTAACATAAAATTTAACACCTTAACCATTTTTAAATGTATGGTTCATTAGTGTCAAGTTTATTCATGTTGTTGCGAAACAGATCTCTAAAACTTTATCTAGTAAAACTGAAACTCTCTATACTAATTTATTTTTTACAAATCTCAACTTTTGGCCGGGCGCAGTGGCTCACACCTATAATCCTAGCACTTTGGAAGGCTGAGGCGGGTGGATCACCTGAGGTCAGGAGTTCAAGACCAGCCTGGCCAACATGGCGAAACCCCACGTCTACTAAAAATACAAAAATTAGCTAGGCATGGTGGCAGGTGCCTGTAATCACAGCTACTCGGGAGGCTGAGGCATGAGAATTGCTTGAACCCAAGATGCGGAGGTTGCAGTGAGCCAAGATCGTGCCACTGCACTCCAGTCTGAGCGACAGAGCAAGACTCTGTCTCAAAAAAAAAAAAAAACCCTCAATTTTTCAGAATATGCTATTTTTATCCCAAATGCATGTGGAGTTTTTATATTTGAATAGCACAGTGACTTGGGGAATTGCTTCTAGAACTTTTCCCTAATTAAACCTACCTGTCTGTTTGTATGTCAGAATCCTCAGCATTATCTGTAGAATAATCTAAGCTACAGTAGACATGGTGGTTAGTATTTTGGTCAGTAAAAAATATCAGTCTGCTTTCTCAGTACAGGTTTCTAAAGTGGGATGCATGCAGCTCAGAGTACATGCAAAATCTCAGAACTTCTATTTATAATTAACTTTTATTTTAAAAAGGAGAAAAATTAGGTTTCACTAATAATGCACATACTGATATTATGCAGAATATGTACAAACACGAATAAACAAATTATCAGGAGGCTCATATGACAGTAACAATTAAAATAGCGTAGAGACTTCTGCTTTAATGACCACAAATACCTGAGCCTTCTTGCCCTTCTTGTCTCTTTATTTTCTATCCTAGTACAACGGTTTTTGTTTTGGTTTTTTTTTTTTTCATATTTAGATGGTCACTGCCACTAAGTATAGTGGAAAAGGCTGGGTCAGCAAGCAACTGGAGAAGATAGAGAAATGGTAATTTGAGCAAGTCAAGTCTGGAAAACAGCCACACTAAGTACCTCAGCACAGCTGTAATAACAGGACTGAGCACAGTGACAGTCACACAAACCAGCCTAATCGAAGACTCATGCTCTGAATTTAAAAAGTGATCAGGGCCAGGCGCGGTGGCTCACGCCTGTAATCCCAGCACTTTGGGAGGCCAAGGCAGGTGGATCACGAGGTCAGGAGATACAGACCATCCTGGCTAACACAGTGAAACCCTGTCTCTATTAAAAATACAAAAAAACAAAATTAGCCATGTGTGGCGGTAGGTGCCCGTAGTCCCAGCTACTCGGGAGGCTGAGACAGGAGAATGGCATGAACCTGGGAGGCAGAGCTTGCAGTGAGCTGAGATCATGCCACTGCACTTCAGCCTGGGTGACACAGCAAGACTCCATCTCAAAATAAATAAATAAAAAATAAATAAATAAATAAATAAATAAAATTTTTTAAAAAAGTGATCAGTTTTCTTATGAAGATCTCTAGACCTCTAGGACTCCCTGAAAATTACAGTGGAGATTCAAAAGCTATTTTCAATATTCTGAGAAAGCCTAGCACAAGCATAATATGTAATAGACAGGATCTTTCAAAACACATGCCTCCTAGGGAACAACTATCAAAGGGGTAGCTTGGTGGTAAAAAGGTGGAAACTCCTAAAATAGTCTAACTTATCTTATGGAATCTTTATTTCCTATTGAAAGCATCTAGCACAGGGCTTGGCATATAGTATAGGTGCTTAATAAATCTTTGTGGAATAAATGGATGCAATATATAACTGCATCCACACAAATCATCCTATTTGAAGCCAATGCATTCTAAAGCTCTGTTTGTTACCTGTACGCTAACTGTGTAAGTAACTTTCAAAATCTCAAAGCCTAAGGGACTATAAATAATTTACCAGAACATCTTACTTTCCCTTGATCACTGATTTCACTAACTCGTCTTTACCCGAAAATTCCAGGTTGGAGTATAAACAGTATTTAAATGTCTACAAAAAGAACATTAAAACCTAAGCAGAGGCAAAGGTGAGAGAGTGAAGAATGGTTGAAGCAGGAGATTTTTCAGACAGTGAAACTATTCTGTATAGTGGACACATGACATTGTGCATTTGCCCAAAACCCATAGACCATTTTTTTTTTTTTTTTGACACACAGCCTCGCTCTTGTTGCCCAGGCTGGAGTGCAATGGTGCAATCTCGGATCACCGCAACCTCCGCCTCCCAGGTTCAAGCAATTCTCCTGCCTCAGTACGTAGCTGGGATTACAGGCATGTGCCACCACACCCAGCTAAGTTTGTATTTTTAGTAGAAAGCGGGTTTCTCCATGTTGGTCAGGCTGGTCTTGAACTCCTGACCTCAGGTAATCTGCCTGCCTCGGCCTTCCAAAGTGCTGGGATTACAGGCATGAGCCATCGCGCCCGGACCCACAGATCATTTGATTCAGCTATTCCACTTCTGATATATACACAAAAAAGAACTGAAAGCAGAAACTCAAACAGATACATGTACACTGATGCTCACAGCAGCATTATATCCAAAAGGTGAAAACGCAAATGTCCATTGACAGATAAGTGGATCAACAAAATGTGGTACATACAATGGAATATTCAGCCTTAAAAGAGAATGAAATAGTAATACATGCTACAACATAGGTGAACATTAAAGCCACTGTGGGAAGTGAAATATGCCAGACACAAAAGGACAATTTTTTGTTTGTTTGTTTTAAGAGACAGATATAGTCTTGCTCTACTGCCCAGGCTGGAGTGCAGTGGCACAATCATGGCTCACTGCAGCCAAGACCTCCTAGGCTCAAGTGATCCCAAGTAACTAGGACAATAGGTGTGTGCCAACACACAATTCTTGTAGAGACAGGGTCTCGTTATGTTGCCCAAGCTGGTGTTGAACTCCTGGGTTCAAGTGATAAACGCACAAATATTGTACAATGCCACTTACATGAGGTACCCAGAATAGTCAAATACATAGAGATAGAACCCGATTTAATAAATGGTGCTGGGAAAACTGGCTACCCATATGTAGAAAGCTGAAACTGGATCCCTTCCTTACACCTTATACAAAAATCAATTCAAGATGGATTAAAGACTTAAACGTTAGACCTAAAACCATAAAAACCCTAGAAGAAAACCTAGGCATTACCATTCAGGACATAGGCGATTCCTCAGGGATCTAGAACTAGAAATACCATTTGACCCAGCCATCCCATTACTGGGTATATACCCAAAGGACTATAAATCATGCTGCTATAAAGACCCATGCACACGTATGTTTATTGCAGCATTATTCACAATAGCAAAGACTTGGAACCAACCCAAATGTCCAACAATGATAGACTGGATTAAGAAAATGTGGCATATATACACCATGGAATACTATGCAGCCATAAAAAATGATGAGTTCATGTCCTTTGTAGGGACATGGATGAAATTGGAAATCATCATTCTCAGTAAACTATCGCAAGAACAAAAAACCAAACACCGCATATTCTCACTCATAGGTGGGAATTGAACAATGAGAACACATGGACACAGGAAGGGGAACATCACACTCTGGGGACTGTTGTGGGGTAGGGGGAGGGGGGAGGGATAGCACTGGGAGATATAACTAATGCTAGATGACGAGTTAGTGGGTGCAGCGCACCAGCATGGCACATGTATACATATGTAACTAACCTGCACATTGTGCACATGTTCCCTAAAACTTAAAGTATAATAATAATAATAAATAAAATAAAATAAAATAAAATAAAATAAAGTGGTTACCAAAGGTGAGGGTAGGGACATGGGGAATTACTGTTTAATGGGTACAGTTTCCATCAGGGTTACTGAAAAAGTTCTGGAGGTGGCTAATGGTGATGGTTGCACATCAGTGTGAACGTACCTAATCTCACTGAGCAGCACACCTAAAATGGTCAAAATAGTAAGTTTTATGTAATATAAATGTTAATACACGAACACCCACCCCATAAAAATATACACAGCATAAACCTAATGTAAAAAATGGGCTTAACTCAATAATAGTGTATCAATATTGGTTCATCAATTGCAACAAATATATCATTCAAATGTACAATATTAAAAATAGGAAAATAGGGGAAACTGGTGTGTAGGGGATTGGGGGAGAAGGTGGTATCTGGGAACTCTCTGCACTATCTGTTCCATTCTGTTAACCTAAAAACGGTCTAAAAAATAAAGTCTATTAATTTTAAAAAATTCTAAGCAGAGGCAAAAGGGGTTGGTCTGTGGCAAACTCCTTTCTTTCACGTAGGGTCCTGTACTGACCCCGCCAGTGACCCATTTCCTTGTTGAGACCGTGAGCCCCCATGACTCAGCCTCCTTGCCTGCCAATTCTGATCTCATTCCTTTAATGCTCATGGATTTCCTGGTCTTAGAGGCTTGGACCTGATGTTCCTACTCCCATGGGCCTTGGATGCTACTGCTATTCCCTAGTCTGTCCAGCTTGCTCTGACTTATGACTTGTCTTGACCTTACTGTTTGTGTATATTCTGCCTTCCAACGACTGGCCTGCTATTGACCCTTGGTATTCTAAACCTTGATACAGTTCCCTAATTTTGCCTACCAACCTGGTATTTATCTTGCTGGAAGGCACAGCCCAGCCTAATAGCAATTAAATGGGAAGAGTACTTAGGGGAATGATATTGGGATACAATTATAATATTTGAAAACATTTATTAACACTATAAATAAAAGTTATTTGTTTAATGTAAACTGCTTCTTAAAAGCAGATTTTATTCTACCTTCTAATTTCCTGCCTTAATTCTGTGTTCACAGAGTATCCAGATATAAAGTAAGAATTACAAACTGGAATGCCAGCAGGAAAGACAGTTGAAGTGGATCAGATATAAAACAAAAGGGAATGGTCAGAATAGTGACTAATAGAAAGGCACAACTCTTACCTAAACACATTTGAAACCCAACAAATCCCAACACTGTGTGAGCCAAACAAAACTCACATTTCAGAATGGGTAGCCTGGCGACCTCCAGGTCTCTGTACAGTTGAAGGAAGGAAGGAAGGAAGGAAATAAGGAAGGAAGGAAGGGAGGGAGGGAAAGAGAAAGAAAGAGAGAGAGAAAGAGAGAAAGAGAGAGAAACAGAGAAAGAGAGAAATAAAAAGAGAAAGAGAAAATAAGAGAAGAGGAAAGGAAAGGAAAGAGGAGAAGAAAGGAAAGAGGGGAGGGGGAGGGGAAAGGGGGAGGGGAGTGGAGGGGAGAGGAGAGGAGAGGAGAGGAGAGGAGAGGAGAGGAGAGGAGAGGAGAGGAGACATGGGTGCCTTAGGTAGACTACCATTTAATACACTAAATTTGAGCTAAATCACTCCACACAAACATATATTTACTAAAGTAACAAAGAAGCTTAGGCATATGAGCAATATGGGCAGTGAAATCACATTTTAAAACAGCTAAACCTTTGGCCAAGAGAGAATGCAATTAATAATGTGACTAGTTTCCTGTACGCTGCTGGCTACAGATAACCCCATGAAGATCTACAGGGCATTTTCCAATGGCACGATTCATTTTGCTTTCAGTGTCCTCAAAGGGGAAAATCTCACAACAGAGAATAAAAGCTTAAAAAGAAAAAAGGGTACAAATGTTCAACATTTCTTTTTCATACAGGTCGACTCTTTCAAAGCCAAATACTTAATTTCTTTTTTTCTTTTTCCCTATTCTCATTTTATAAAAGAGAATTAAATGGTAGCCAATCATCATTTACTGCTCAATATAATTTTTGGATCAGAAAATATTATTACATATTGATTTTTTTAACAGATTAGAGGATATTCTTCACATTAAGTCTACAACATATAAGACAAAGAGAACAAGGCCTCTACTTGCCTACCCCAAATATTTGAATTAGCAGATGAATCAGAAAAAGGTACACTTTCCTCCAGGCATACCAGGTACATGCCTCGGTGATTAGAACCCGGGCTGAAATCTAGTCACCCTCTGCCTCCTTAGTGAGGTGCTTTTATGTAGTACATAACAAACTGTGCAACTGTATACAGTGAACTGATCCTATCCTACATTTAAAAAATGTTATCTTAATAAATTATTTAGATTATCCAAGTCAGTGCTTTCTGGCCCACCATGTCTCTTCATCTGATCAACCATCCCTAATTTAGAAACTATTTAAAGTGTCAATTTAATTAATACTCTGGCAATGACTTCCAACGGTTTGGTACTGAACACGTACCTGAACCCTCCACTCAAACCTCAGCCTGGCTCACAACTTCCTTGCCCATTTTGCTCTTTTCACCTTGTTGTTCAAGAGGCTCCCACAATAGTCTGGCCATGAACAAAGCCTCCTGCACATACCGGGCTCTCACTGCCTCAGCTCTAGGAGGTCATACTTTAAACTCAACCAAGTCCCTGAGCTTCCCCTATTACCCCAGAATGGCATCTTTTTTGAGATTCTTCCCACCTAACTCACCCAGCTCTGCAGAGTGAACCCAGAAAGACTCTATCCTGGGCTACCAGAAAACAGGTCATAAAATCTTATTGATACCTTTAAATGAATATGTGTTCGCCTTGCTAACAAGGTAAAAGTCGGTAGCAAAGAGCCTGAGTTTGAACACTGAGATTCACACGTGTAGCAACAGATACTGACAATGTTAATTACACTAATTAACACAAAGGCAGAAACTAATAAAAAATATTTAGGAAGCAATGGCTCTCTCTTATTCAAAATTATAGAGACAGATGGACTTTGCCCACTTAGGCTAATCAATCCATAAACGTTTACAGAGCACTATGACATGTAAGTAAATGAGGATACCTGGTCTGACAAGTACATGCCAATGGAACAGAATATCAGAAACTAGAACTCTCCTGGAAGTTAAGGAATATAAAGTCAATGAAAATATAAGATTATCTAAGATTGCAAAGAGCTACTGTAATGAAGGGAGGTGGGACAGAAATATTCTAAAGGATAGCAAACAATATGAAGCAGAATTAGAAGTTGATCTGGGATATACAAGTGGCAGAGACCAAAAGGTTTAATAACCTACTGAGTTGGCAAGTGTGTGAAAAATGGGCTCTCATACATTGTTGATGGGGTTGTAGATTAATAAAATCCCCATAAAGAGCAGTTTGTCTTTCATAGTAAAAATCTAAAAATTCACGTCTCCTTTGACTCAGTAATCCCACCAGTATTTACCTTACAGATACAGGCCTACTTGTGTGGACTTCTGTATGTGTACCAGTGCACATGGCAGTGATGTTGGTAACAGCCACAGAATAACTACTAAGCCCACCATCAGGTGACTGGTTAAAAATTATAGTACTATTTTATATAGCCATTAAAAAGTGAGGCAGTGCTATATGTACTGATATGGAATATTCAAAATATATTATGTGAACAAAGCAAAGTAGAACAGAGTATCCAATATGCTACCATTAAAACACATGTGCAAGCTGTGCAACACAGAGACTATTTCCACAGGGATATGTAAGGAACTGGTAAGAGTAACTGTTTCCAGGGAGGCAGAGGCCCACTTTTCACCATAGTCTTTTGCACTTTGTGAAGTTTGTACTATGTGCATGTATCACCTAATAAAAAAGATAAAACCTTTAAAGAAGAGCAGAGAATATACATATATAATAATGTTATTATACATACACATATAAAATGTATAATAGAACAGAAGAGACTGTCTTGGGCAGGAGTGGTTAATGAAGGTTTCCCACAAAAGGTAGTGGGAATGAAATCAATCTGGGAGGCCAGGCATGGTGGCTCACACCTGTAATCCTAGCACTTTGGGAGGCCAAGGCAGGTGAATCACTTGAGGCCAGGGGTCCAAGACCAGCCTGGCCAACATGGTGAAATCTCATCTCTACCAAAAAATACAAAAAAAATTAGCCGGGCATAGTGGCATATTGGCACATACCTGTAGTCCTAGCTACTGGGGAGGCTGAGGCATAAGAATCGCTTGAACCCCAGAGGTGGAGGTTGCAGTGAGCAGTGAGCCGAGATCACGCCACTGCACTCCAGCCTTGGCAACAGAGTGAGACCCTGTCTCAAACAAAAATAAAAAAATAAAGAAATCAACCTGGGGAAGAGATGGCTAGGTAAAACTGGGAAGGCACCCTTGAGGCCAGATCGGTGAGAAAAAAAAGGAACAAAATGAGGCAATTTTTAGGCTGAAAAGGGTAAGATGGACCAGAAAGAGAAAGAGACTAACATTGTGCAGATGCTGAATGCTACTTCCCTTTCTACAGTTCTTCTATAGTATGTATTTCTCTCTTAAGTGGTCATGTGTGTATAATGTAATCCATGCACTTATTGAATGTCTATCATAAGCTGCTGAGGACATAAAAATTGATGAGATTCAGTCATCACCCTCAATGAGCTCTCTCTTTCAGGAAAATGCAAAACTAGGAGAGTAAAGGAAGAATTCCACAGAGAAAAACATGATTAGCATATATCAGAAAGCAATTATCTATTCTACATGATGTAGTAATAATGACAGTAATGAATAGCTAACACATAACATTTACTGTGTGCCAAGACACTGTTGCAAATGACTTTCATATATAAATTCATTGAATCTCCACAACAATCCTTTGAAGTGGGTAAACTATTATTATGTCATTTTAACAGACAGAGGAACTGAGGTATAGAGAGGTTTAGAAACTTATCCCGGGTTACAGAGCTAGTAAGGGGCTGAACCTAGACTTGATCTTAGAACACGTGGATCTAGAGTCTAAGCTATGAACTGTGACTATTCTGTAGAGACCTTGAAAGAACAAATGCTAATCTCAGAACAATAGTATCACCTAACATTTATTTGCATAGGACTTTGCAGTTTACAAAATACTTTCATGTGTTATCTCATTTCAACTTATGATCACTCTGTGATATATTCTCTTTGGACCGAACATATAGTCCAGATATTAAAATACATGAAATGATAAGAGCTATTATAAATTCTCCCAATTTCTTGTCATTGAAAATAAATGTAGTAGAAAAATTTCCCCTAAAGAATTCTCTAGAATTCACCACATGGTAGCAATTAAGTTAGACAGTATTAGTCAAGTATCACTACTTTCATAGGAAAGGCAATGATAAACTAGATAAAGGGATTCATTCATAAAGGTGTTTTAAATCCCATTTTAACAGAGAAAAACTACCTTTAATTTACCAAAATAAAAATCATGATTCCTATATTCTATTACTAATTATATATAGTTACATCAAGTACTTTGGAAATTGGTATAAGTTTAAATATGGTACTATTCAATTAGCACTAAATAAAATACATTTTAATTGATCCTTCTCCTTCTCAAAATAGTTTAAATATAAGCAACTAAAACAGAAAGTATGAAAAGCAAATTTACCTGTCAAATTTAGGAAAGGAAATTCCCCCAATTATTTCTACCGGTTTAGTCCCTAAATAAAGCCAGATATACTTGTAGAAAGTACCCAGTTGACATCACTCAATGGGGGTTTCCTTACTTTTGTCTATGTTGTACTTCTTCGTCAGCAGAGATACACATTATTTGTTTCTATTTTTTTTCAATCAATACATGGCTACAGAGTACTATTCAATAAAAACAAAATGTGCATTTCCCTTATAAAATAACCATTCTTTACTCAGTCTTCCAATTAAAGTACACAAATAGCTGACGATAGAAAATCAAATTGGTCACAGTGGTGCATGGCTGTAGTCCCAGCCACTCAGGAGACTGAGACGAGGGGATCATCTGTGCCCAGGAGTTCAAGACCAGCCTGGGCAACACAGCAAGACCCCATCTCTAAAAAAGTTTTAAGAGAAAAAGAAAACAAAATTAAGCCTTGGCACCATTGGAGAGGAAAAAAACATTGACAGCAATCTTCCCAGCATAATGTTTTCTACAGTCTTTCTATAGTCATGTTATTGCATGCTCTTTAATACTTGCCACTTGAAAAGACTCTAATTAGATAATTACCTTCTTGGGAAAACAACTCAATTCTAAATTGAGTAGGATTCCTACCTCTCCACTTATTCAAATTCTACCTCTTCTTCAAAGTCTTGTTCAAGACTCATTTTCTGTATGAAGCCATCACCCTCTGGTTTCAAAGATGTCTCCCTTCTCAGGTGTTAATTGTATGAAACACTTACGCTGGCACTCAATCATTTGTCTCCTCCTATTCTTTTTCTAATTCAACAGCACTCAGTTTATATTTCTCTCATGCTTTGAATTATAACTATTTTAAATATCTATTTCCACTAAAAGGACTAGGTCATATCCATCTATGTACTACCTTTGATTAAAGCATAGTCCTTGGTACATTAATAAATTATTTGTTGGGTATAAATTTTACCCATGCTATAAGCATATAAACTTCTTGAAAGTAAAGACTATGTCCCATGTTTCTTTTTCTCTATTCCTATACATCTAGTCCAGTGCCAGGCAAAAACAGACAGTTAAAGATACTTAACAAATACTGTATAGGTAAACCAGCTGTAGTTTTATTTTATTTATGTTACACTCTCTTTTCAAGTTGTTTTAATATCTGAATAAACAAACATGTCTTTCATCAAACAGATGAATCAGAAGAGTGAGATTACTTCAAATACCTCCTTGTTTTGCAGGGGTAATGTACTGAGAAAAGAGGATGAATGAAACACACACACACATACAGTCAATGATGTTTCAGCAGTTAAAAACTCGTATTTGAGTATTCAAAATGAACAAATGAATATGAGCTGGATGGCTGACTGACAATCTGGCCACAGTATTTTCTACCACCCTCCCATCAAGAAGCAGAGTCTATTCTCCCACCCTTAGAATCTGGGCTGCCTTGTAATTTCTTTGACCAAAAGTCTGACAAAAGTTACACTGTGAGATTTCCAAGTCCAGGCCTCAAGAGCTCTTCAGCTCCGGCTCTAGAGGCTCTTGCCTACCCACTGCTACCATGTGAACAAATCTGAACTCATCTGCTGGAGGCTGCAACCACATGGAGCAGGGATCAGCTGTCACAGCTGAAGACATTCTAGGCGCAGAAGCTCCCAGCCAATCTGGCAGTGTGAGGAAGCCCCTCCTAACCGGCAGAAGACTCACCCAGCTAAACCCCATCCAAATGACAAAGCCAAATAGTCACGAGCCAAATAAATGGTTATTTTAAGCTACTACGTTTTGGGGTGGTTTGTTCCACAATAAAAACTAAGAGAGCTGGAAACTCAACACCATTTAATTTAAAACTGGACACTTAAATGGTGTCACAATACTAATTTCTATTCCACAGCAGTTTTGAACTACAGCCACTGAAAATCATTCTTTTATGTTTAATATTTATTTTAAAATACCTTAAAAATCAAATTATGATTAAAGTAAAATTTCTAAATAAAAAGTAATTGCTAGCTTTGGGATGAACTGATTTTTTAAAATATTATCTAATAAATGTGTATACCTCATTTATATCACTTTATGTGCTATGAGAATTTTTTTTAAACTACACAGTGTGTTTCCTGCTTATAAAATTAGACAAGAGAAGTCAGGTGTGACCTTTACTCTTTATTGCTTTAAATACCAATTTCTGGGAGAGGAAAAAGAAGCTATGAAGAAAACTCTTAACCAATACTACCAATGAAGTAGAAGCAGAGAAAAAAAAAAACTGGTGAATTCCATCCCTCTGCCCCCATAATCTTACTAGGTTATGGAACTTAGTTTTTGAATTTTTGAATATGAAAAGTATGAATAATTTTATTTAGGACTCAGAAATGTGTGCATCCTTGGTAATAGGAAATTCAACTAAAATAAGAACATGATACTAAGAAGACAAACTTTCTCCCTTTAATGCTTTTTGGCCCATAAGCCCCTTGGTCCTTCTCCCCTCACTGCAGCACTCCTTGCTGGCTCTGCCTCTTCTTCTTCTCCCTAGGCTCTCTCTTCCCTTCACTCCTAGAGCTCCAACTATCACCTGGAAGCAAGTGAAAAGCCTTTCTCCCCCTCTCTTTAGCCATGGTCTTACACGAAATGTTTTCACTGCCAACCACTTGTTGAAGATTTATACCAAAATCCAGCACCTTAAATTCAGTACGCTTGACATTAATGAAAGTCACCTTCCCCACCTAAAGACCAGTTCTTCCATGAGACAGTCTACAACTTTTTGATGGTATCACCATTTTCCCAGTTACCCAAACTAGAAACTTCATGGCCAACTTCAACTCCTTGTTCTCCTAAGTCTACTTTATTTGAAATATTTGACAAATCCTATAGATACTACTTCTACAACACTTCTTGCATTCATTCTCTCCTTTCCAATTAGCCCATGGCAGTTCAGCATATCATCAGTACTTGACTAAACCCCTGTAACAAGATCTCTTCCCATACCAACTTATCCTATATACCACAACCAGACTTGCTTTCCTAAAGTTCAAATCTAATCAGATGTCTCAGCTAATGAAAAACCTGTAACCCTCCCCATTACTTATTAATCAAACTGTCCTATTCAAGGCAACAAGTAACTCCATAAATCTGTCCCAACTTACCCTTGTAATCTTTTCTCCCATATACATATGATCTGATCTAACTGGATTATTTTATTTGCTGTTCCTCAAGTCCTGTGACTTCTGTTCTATTTCTGTTCATGGCTTACAGTATTTCCTTACCTGGTCACGGTGATCAGAATACATATAAATATTTATACTGCTTTAACATTTAATATTATATGATAAAACATTTTCTGAACACGTCATTTTATAGATAATTTTCACAAAGCTCTTGATTGTTTCCCAAGTTTCTTGTTGAACATCACACAGAAATCTCTGTATATAAAACACTTAAATTTTGGACTATCATATTAGAAGTGATTCCCAAAAGCACACTTACCAGGACAATATATTAAAGAGTTTTGGCACACATTTTATATCTTTAAAATTCAATTGATTATAATTATCTTAAATCATTGTATTATAAAAGCTTAAGCTTGACCATCAGAGATAGCATATTTTATTAAGTACGATACTGGTATTTACAACCTATAATTCTAACCATTTTTTCTCAACCCTCTGCTCCTTCAGGTCCTCCTCCCCCACTCCCCTGCTTCAATCTCCAGCCTCCAGCCGAGGTGATTACTAGGTTAATGGTAAACAAAGAGTAACAAAAACAAAGAATAGCTCGCTGCTTCTCACAACTTGGTATTCTGAAAATGGAGTAAGATACTTTCTAGTTTTTGAAGTAGGGTTATGGGGGAACTTGTTATTTGAATCAAATGAGCCAGTCAAGAGAGAAGGTTAATGTGTTTCAGTCAGTGTGTCTCCTGGGATGCACCATCACCAAAAGCAGCAGATACAGAACATTTTACTGATGGATAAGGGACAGTATAATGCATGTCAAATATTAGATTATGAGTTGAATATTTCAGTTTGGGGTTCCATTTAGTACACTATTTAAATGAAATAATTAGGATATTTCAAAGCCACCATAAAATTTGCCTCAAATCCCTCTTCCTGCCAAGCACATACTTTTTCCTAATCTTTGTAATTAGATACTCTTCTCCAGATGAAAGCTTCTTTAAAGGTCTCACATTGTAGACATGCACTTGCTCTACCTTAGGGAAGACTCCCTGAAGTCAGTGATTTCTGCATTGAGGCAGAAGGAGGGACTTGCCTTAACCAAGGGAAGAGAAAGAGGGGTAGAATAGTCCATGAAGAGATCAGCAAGAGTGAAAGTCTACAGGTAAAGAGAACACAGTACTTTCTAGGAATGTTAAGTGTTTGGATTCCAAGGGCTAGAGAGGAGAGCGGTGAGAAAGTGAAATAGGAGCCTGGAGCCAGAAGGGCTGAAGGGAGCCATGGAAAGCCCATGCCCTACTTGACTCTTGCCAGTTTCCTGTGAGCAAGCATGACCAGGTATATGCTGCAGAATGATCATTCTGGTAGAAACTGGCCGGATCTAGTTAGAGCTGGGAGCATATAGGAGGCTGACAGCAAGATCAGAAGTAGAGCAGCAATAGTAGTGGGGGCAGAAAGTAATGGAGAGGGGACTGGTAGGGATTTTTAGGAATGGGACTAGACTTTTAGGAATGGGACTAGACAGCGTATCTTATTGAATGGCATAATTCTTACCCATCTCTGCAGTAGGAATTTTCTGCTTTTGGTAAATGTAAAGTAAAACCCCTGTGCTCTACAGCAGGAGGAAAATGTACATAAACAAGCTACTACTATATTTTCTTGACTCCATACAACTATCAAATATAAGAAGTATGGTCAACTTAATACTTTGTGTACGGGGAAAAATTAATGCTTCCATATAAAGGAAAGATGGAGGTTGTTAAGGCTGATGATTGGAGGAAGGAATGAAAAGTTCTTGAGTCTAATTTGTAAGTTTCCTACCTTAGGCAACTGAAGTGAAGTCACAGTATAGTGTCCTCTCGGGAAAGAGAAAGGAAGTACCTTCTATAAGGAAGGACCCAATGGTCAAACTGGGCAAGGAAGGTTGCCAGGAAGTCTGGGAACACCTCCAACAAACAGGCAGCCACACTTTGTGCTTAAGAGTGTAGTTGTTGCCCAGGTCTGCCAAGGTAACCTTCGCAAAAAGGGCCTTGACCTATCTTTTATTCCCAGGACTACTATGTGTCAAAGTATTTGTCATGAAATATTTGTCCCATGGGGGAAAAAAGGTCACATGAACTAAGTCATAACCCCCTTCTATAATCCTTTATTCACTTCCCAAATATATACTAAGCACTGGTTCCATGACAGGTACTGTTTTAGGCACTAGGGATATAACAGATTAAGACAGACAAGCATCTGTCTCACCGCAATGACATTCTAGCCAAATGTAAATTACACGATAAGGACTAGGGAATCCCATAGGAAAGTAAACTGACTAATATATCTAACACTGAAATTTTATTTTTTTAAATTTTTTTCTCCTACTTTCAAGCTAACAAGTTATATTTTATTTTTTAAAATAACCTGACTATGTTTACTTTGGAAAACCCTACTAAAAACCTTTCAACAACCCCACCCTACTCTCTATCTTCTCCAGATTTTGCATGTTAAATTTCTAGGACCTTGTAATCTCAAGAGACTAGTCTCCTTTTCTTCTCACCTCCAAGACATCAATTACTTACTTACATTCCTAGTGACTAGCAGTGCTCTGAATATAGTAGGGGCCTACTCACTAAAATATTGATAATGGGGGAATCTATGCACATGTGGGGTATATGGGAAATCTCTGTATCTTATGCTCAATTTTGCTATGAACTTAAAACTGTTCTTAAAAAAGAGTCTGTTAACAATAATTATTTAAGAATAAAGTCTATTAACATTTACAAGGTAGGGGTAGGATGAAGCATGGGCTGTATATATCTCAAAGACCTATGGGCTGGCTGTGGAGCCATGTGGCTTATTTCTCAGTAAAAGCTTCTCCCTAGGAAGCCATTTCTGCCTCCTTCCCTTCCTCTTTCTAGATATTAGTTATGCAAGGTCCATGGGTATGATACAGTCTATAATCTGGCAAACAGGTTGACAGGAGATGAGGGTACTAAAAAAATTATATATATACATACAGACACACACACACACACAACATTTACGATAAGTTATCTGGTGATTTTTTTTTTTTTTAAAGGCTAACTAAACAACTGAGCTCAAACAGCAAAGACCATTTTTTTCAATTTAAATCTATGTATATCTATAAAGGAATCCCTACTGTATTAAAGGCCCACAGAGTACATAGTGATAGCTGCAGCTCCATTTCATTTGCTTATAACAAATATTCATGTTTTCATCAGAGCATAGGAAGGTTCATGGTGAATACAGCAATTCCTGACACTTCAGTTTCTGTCTTCCTATCAAGAAAAGGTTGTCAAAACCAATACTGTACTGAAAAATGATGTGTTACCTTGTCAACATTTTTTTGTTCCCACCCTTGCCAATTACAGAACATTCCTTAACTACTTGAAAGTCCAGCAATATTTTATCCTTCATTAAGATCTTTAACACATTAACAAAATTATTAAAACATTGCTTATGCTTAAGAATTCATGCCAATTGATAATAACTTTAAAATGTTTATCCTTATACAATTTAAGTATATGTATAAATGAAAATTATTAAAGTAAATGCCTCTAATAAGTTCAAAAATATCAGGTAACTAATATTTGGGGAGTATATGACAGTTTATAAAACACTTTTCACATATAATATTTGATTTAACCCATAAACAACTCTGTGGGCTAGTTAGCATTATTATTATATTACTATACTTTGCATAAAAATATAATTTCATTGATGTGCTTTAAAAACCACAAACTATTACTTGGTTGTGCCACTATCTGAACTTACATTTTCTCATTTCAGATTCCAGTTATCTTTCCATGGTTTAGACAGTCTCTATCTGTACCACTGTTATCAACATATATAGGTGACTAAATAAATGAGTTTAAAAAGTTATCCAGGGCTGGTCCGTTCCAAGATGGCTGAATAGGAACAGCTCCGGTCTGCAGCTCCCAGCGTGATCGACGCAGAAGACTGGTGATTTTGGCATTTCCAATTGAGGTTCCTGGTTCATCTCACTGGGACTGGTTGGACAGCTGGTGCAGCCCATGGAGGGCAAGGTGAAGTAGGGCGGGGCATTGCCTCACGAAGGAAGCGCAAGGGGCCAGAGGATTTCCCTTTCCTAGCCAAGGGAAGCCGTGACAGACTGTACCTGGAAAAACAGGACACTCTCGCCAAAATACTGTGCTTTTCCCATGGTCTTAGCAACCAACAGACCAGGAGATTCTCTCCTGTGCCTGGCTTGGCAGGTCCCATGCCGACGGAGCCTTGCTCACTGCTAGCGCAGCAGCCTGAGAACCTGCGAGGCTGAAGCTTCGCAGGAAGGCGGGGGAATGGGGTGGGGGACGGTGGGGTGTCCGCCATTGCTAAGGCTTGAGTAGGTAAACAAAGCGGCTGAGAAGCTTGAACTTGGGGGAGCCCACCACAGCTCATCAAGGGCTACTGCCTCTATAGACTCCACCTCTGTGGACAGGGCATAGCTGAACAAAAGGCAGCAGAAACTTTCGCAGACTTAAACGTCCCTGTCTGACAGCTCTGAAGAGAGCAGTGGTTCTCTCAGCACAACGACTGAGCTCTGAGAATGGACACACTGCTTCCTCAAGTGGGTCCCTGAGCGCTGTGTAGCCTAACTGGAAGACAACTCCCAGTAGGGACTGACAGACAACTCATACAGGCGGGTGCCCCTCTGGGACAAAACTTCCAGAGGAAGGATCAGGAAGCAATATTTGCTGTTCTGCAATATTTGTGATTCTGCAGCCTCCGCTGGTGATACCCAGGCAAACAAGGTCTGGAATGGACCTCCAGCAAACTCCAACAGACCTGCAGCTGAGGGACCTGATTGTTAGAAGGAAAACTAACAAACAGAAAGGAATAGCATCAACATCAACAAAAAGGACATCCACACCAAAACCCCATCTGTAGGTCACCAACATCAAAGACCAAAGGTAGATAAAACCAAAAAGATGGGGAGAAACCAGAGCAGAACAGCTGAAAATTCTAAAAACCAAAGTGCCTCTTCTCCTCCAACGGATCACAGCTCCTCGCCAGCAATGGAACAAACCTGGACGGAGAATGACTTTGACGAGTTGACAGAAGTAGGCTTCAGAAGGTCAGTAATAACAAACTTCTCCAAGCTAAAGGAGCATGTTCTAACCCATCACAAGGAAGCTAAAAAACTTGAAAAAAGGTTAGACGAATGACTAACTAGAATAAACAGTATAGAGAAGACCTTAAATGAATTGATAGAGCTGAAAACCAAGGCACAAGAACTTCGTGATGCATGCACAAGCTTCAATACCCGATTCGATCAACTGGAAGAAATGATATCAGTGATTGAAGATCAAATTAATGAAATAAAGCAAGAAGAAAAGTTAGAGAAAAAAGAGTAAAAAGAAACAAAGCCTCCAAGAAATATGGGACTATGTGACAAGACCAAGCCTACGTTTGATTGGTGTAGCTGAAAGTGACAGGGAGTATGGTACCAAGTTGGAAAAAACTCTTCAGGATATTATCCAGGAGAACTTCCCCAACGTAGCTAGGCAGGCCAACATTCAAACTCAGGAAATATAAGAACACCACAAAGATACTCCTCGAGAAGAGCAACCCCAAGACACATAATTGTCAGATTAACCAAGGTTGAAACGGAGGAAAAAATGTTAAGGGCAGGCAGAGAGAAAAGTCAGGTTACCCACAAAGGGAAGCCCATCAGACTAACAGCGGATCTCTCAGCAGAAATCTTACAAGCCAGAAGAGAGTGGGGGCCGATATTCAACATTCTTAAAGAAAATAATTTTCAACCCAGAATCTCATATCCAGCCAAACTAAGCTTCATAAGTGAAGGAGAAATAAAATCCTTTACAGACAAGCAAATGCTGAGAGATTTTGTCACCACTAGGCCTGCCTTACAAGAGCTCCTGAAGGAAGCACTAAACATGGAAAGGAACAACTGGTACCAGCCACCGCAAAAACATGCCAAACTGTAAAGACCATCGAGGCTAGGAAGAAACTGCATCAATTAACGGGCAAAATAACCAGCTAACATCATAATGACAGGATCAAATCCAAACATAACAATATTAACCTTAAATATAAATGGGCTAAATGCCCCAATTAAAAGACACAGACTGGCAAATTGGATAAAGAGTCAAGTCCCAACAATGTGCTGTATTCAGGAGACCCATCTCATGTGCAGAGACACACATAGGCTCAAAATAAAGGGATGGAGGAAGATCTATCAAGCAAATGGAAAGCAAGAAAAGCAGGGGTTGCAATCCTAGTCTCGGATAAAACAGACTTTAAACCAACAAAGATCAAGAGACAAAGAAGGCCATTACATAATGGTAAAGGGATCAATTCAACAAGAAGAGCTAACCATTCTAAATATATATGCACCCAACACAGGCGCACCCAGATTCATAAAGCAAGTCCTTAGAGATCTACAAAGAGACTTAGACTCCCACACAATAATAACGGGAGACTTTAACACCCCACTGTCAATATTAGACTGATAAACAAGACAGAAGGTTAACAAGGATATCCAGGACTTGAACTCAGCTCTGCACCAAGCAGACCTAATAGACATCTACAAAACTCTCCACCCCAAATCAACAGAATATACATTCTTCTCAGCACCACATCACACTTATTCTAAAACTGACCACATAATTGGAAGCAAAGCACTCCTCAGAAAATGTAAAAGAAGAGAAATCACAACAAACTCTCAGACCACAGTGCAATCAAATTAGAACTCAGGATTAAGAAACTCATTTAAAACCGCACAACTACATGGAAACTGAACAACTTGCTCCTGAATGACTACTGGGTAAATAACGAAATGAAGGCAGAAATAAAGATGTTCTTTGAAACCAATGAGAACAAAGATACAACGTACCAGAATCTCTGGGATGCATTTAAAGTAGTGTGCAGAGGAAAATTTATAGCACTAGATGCCCATAAGAGAAAGCAGGAAAGATCTAAAATCGACACCCTAACATCACAATTAGAAGAACTAGAGAAGCAAGAGCAAACAAATTCTAAAGTTAGCAGAAGGCAAGAAATAACTCAGATCAGAGCAGAACTGAAGGAGATACACAAAAAAACCCTTCAAAAAATCAATGAATCCAGGTTTTTTGAAAAGATCAACAAAATTGACAGACCACTAGCAAGACTAATAAAGAAGAAAAGAGAGAGGAATCATACAGACGCAATAAAAAAATGATAAAGGGGATATCACCACCAATCCCACAGAAATACAAACTACCATCAGAGAATACTATAAACACCTCTACACAAATAAACTAGAAAATCTAGAAGAAATGGATAAATTCCTGGACACATATGCCCTCCCAAGACTACACCAGGAAGAAGTGGAATCTCTGAATAGACCAATAACAGGGTCTGAAATTGAGGCAGTAACTAATAGCTTACCAACCAAAAAAAGCCCAGGACCAGACAGATTCACAGCCTAATTCTACCAGAGGTACAAAGAGGAGCTGGTACCATTCCTTCTGAAACCATTCCAATCAACAGAAAAAGAGGGAACCTCCCTAACTCCTTTTATGAGGCTAGCATCATCCTGATACCAAAGCCTGGCAGAGACACAACAAAAAAAGAGAATTTTAGACCAATATCTCTGATGAACATCGATGTGAAAATCCTCAGTAAAATACTGGCAAATCGAATCCAGCAGCACATCAAAAAACTTATCCACCACGATCAAGTAGGCTTCATCCCTGGGATGCAAGGCTGGTTCAACACACGCAAATCAATAAATGTAATCCATCACATAAACAGAACCAATGACAAAAACCACATGCTTATCTCAATAGATGCAGAAAAGGCCTTTGACAAAATTCAACAGCCTTTCATGCTAAAAACTCTCAATAAACTAGGTATCGATGCAACATATCTCAAAATAATAAGAGCTATTTATGACAAACCCACAGCCAATATCATCCTGAATGGGCAAAAACTGGAAGCATTCCCTTTGAAAACCGGCACAAGATAAGGCTGCCCTCTCTCACCACTCCTATTCAACATAGTGTTGGAAGTTCTGGCCAGGGCAATCAGGCAAGAGAAAGAAATAAAGGGTATTCAATAAGGAAAAGAGGAAGCCAAATTGTCCCTGTTTGCAGATTACATGATTGTATAGTTAGAAAACCCCATCGTCTGAGCCCAAAATCTCCTTAAGCTGATAAGCAACTTCGGCAAAGTCTCAGGATACAAAATCAATGTGCAAAAATCACAAGCGTTCCTATACACCAATAACAGACAGAGACCCAAATCATGAGTGAACTCCCATTCACAATTGCTACAAAAAGAATAAAATACCTAGGAATCCAACTTGCAAGGGATGTGAAGGGCCTCTTCAAGGAGAATTATAAACCACTGCTCAATGAAATAAAAGAGGACAAAAACAAATGGAAGAACATTTCATACTCATGGATAGGAAGAATCAATATAGTGAAAATGGCCATACTGCCCAAAGTAATTTATAGATTCAATGCCATCCCCATCAAGCTACCAATGACTTTCTTCAAAGAATTGGAAAAAACTACTTTAAAGTTCACATGGAACCAAAAAAGAGCCCACATTGCCAAGAAAATCCTAAGCAAAAAGAACAAAGCTGTGGGCTACCTGACTTCGAACTATACTACAAGGCTACAGTAACCAAAACAGCATGATACTGGTACCAAAACAGATATACAGACCAATGGAACAGAACAGAGGCCTCAGAAATAACACCACACATCTACAACCATCCGATCTTTGATAAACCTGACAAAAACAAGAAATGGGGAAAAGATTCTCTATTTAATAAATGGTGCTGGGAAAACTGGCTAGTCATATGTAGAAAGCTGAAACTGGATCCCTTCCTTACACCTTATACAAAAGTTAATTCAAGATGGATTGAAGACTTAAATGTTAGACCTAAAACCATAAAAACCCCAGAAGAAAACCTAGGCAATACCATTCAGGACATAGGCATGGGCAAGGACTTCATGACTAAAACACCAAAAGCAATGGAAACAAAAGCCAAAATAGACAAATGGGATCTAATTAAACTAAAGAGCTTCTGCATGGCAAAGGAAACTACCATCAGAGTGAACAGGCAACCTACAGAATGGGAGAATATTTTTGCAATCTACCTATCTGATAAAGGGCTAATATCCAGAATCTACAAAGAACTTAAACAAATTTACAAGAAAAAAACAACCCCATTAAAAAGTGGGCAAAGGATACGAACAGACACTTCCCAAAAGAAGACATTTATGCGGCCAACAGACGCATGAAAAAATGCCCATCATCACTGGTCATCAGAGAAATGCAATCAAAACCACAATGAGATACCATCTCATGCCAGTTAGAATGGCGATCATTAAAAAGTCAGGAATCAACAGGTGCTGGAGAGGATGTGGAGAAGTAGGAATGCTTTTACACTGTTGATGGTAGTGTAAATTAGTTCAACCACTGTGGAAGACAGTTGGGCAATTCCTCAAGGATCTAGAACTAGAAATACCATTTGACCCAGCGATCCCATTACTGGGTATATACCCAAAGGATTATAAATCATGCTACCGTAAAGACACATGCACACATATGTTTACTGTGGCACTATTCACAATAGCAAAGACTTGGAACCAACCCAAATGTCCAACAATGATAGACTGGATTAAGAAAATGTGGCACATATACACCATGGAATACTATGCAGCCATAAAAGGGATGAGTTCATGTCCTCTGCAGGGACATGGATGAAGCTGGAAACCATCATTCTTGGGAAACTATCAGAAGGACAGGAAACCAAATCCACATGTTCTCACCCACAGGTGGAAATTGAGCAATGAGAACACTTGGACACAGGGCGGGGAACATCACACACCACGGCTTGTCAGGGAGTAGGGGTGCTGGGGGAGGGATAGCATTAGGAGAAATACCTAATGTAAATGACGAGTTGATGGGTGCAGCAAACCAACATGGCACATGTATACCTATGTAACAAACCTGCACGTTGTGCACATGTACCCTAGAACTTAAAGTATAAAAAAAAAAAAAAAGAAAAAAAAAAGTTATCCAGGGCTGCACTTGGTGGCTGATGCCTGTGATCCCAGCACTTTGGGAGGCCAAGGCAGGAGGATCACATAAGGTCAGGAGGTCGAGACCAGGAGCCTGGCCAACACGGTGAAACCCAGTCTCCACTAAAAATATAAAAATCAGCTTCACATGGTGGCAGGCACCTGTAATCCCAGCTACTTGGGAGGCAGCAGAATTGCTTGAACCCAAGAGTTGGAGGTTGCAGTGAGCCGAGATCACACCACTGCACTCCAGCCTGGGTGACAGAATGAGACTCCATCTCAAAAAAAAAAAAAAAAAAAAAAAAAGTTATTCAGGAAAAAGAATGTAATGACTAACATAAACTTTAACAAATACAAGGCAAATAACTCTGAAAGACAGTACTTGAGCATAACACAAATATCATGATTAAGACTATCAATAAATAGGCATATTTGTTTTAGAGTTATAAAGAAATATATTTCCCCCAAAATACTGTAAAGTGGGTTGATGGTCAGTGCCAGAATGTAAGCTCCATGAGCATAGAGACTTGTCTATTTTGTTCACTGCCATATTCCCAGCATATTAAATGAACATCTGTTGAATGAATGAATGCTAAGTACAACATCGAGTTTCAAAATGAGGCTCTGAGATATGGGTAAATGAAGTTCATTTATATTTAAAACCAGGACACCAAGTACAATTTAATTCATTAGGTAATTACTAAGTGACTTATATGTATGTGCTTATGACTATGCTAAGATATGTTTGTATGGATCCTCCCTTTTAAATAATAAGCTGCATCAGATCTGGAATTGGTGTCAGATTTGTATCGTTTAGAGCGCCTAGTAAACAACTTTCAGTAGATTATTTTCAACCCTCATTGTACATTAGCATTGCCAGGAGAACATTAAAAAAAAATGCCTGTGGACTTACCAGACACAAACTTAATCTGAATCTCTGGGGTAGAGACTGAACTCTGATTTTCTTTTCTTTTTTTAATGTTCACAGTTGATATTGACGCCTAGGGATGGGTGAGCACCTCCGCTGTAAACCAGTGGTTCTCAAACTTTGGGTTACAGGAGAATCATTTGGAGAGCTGAAAATTCAGTCTTACTCTCCCAGTTTCAGATTCAGTAGGTCTAGGGTAGAACCTAAAAATTTATATTTTTAATAAGTTTCTAGGTGATGCTCATGCTACTGGTATGAGAATCACTCTAAGAACCATTGCTACAGGTCACCTATAGTGTTTCTGGAATGAATTAAAGAATAAATGTAGAAGATATGCTAATAGACAAACATGAACATTATATGAAAAATTTAAATATAAAAAAGGTTAGAAAAACATAAATTAAAACCACAATGAGATATCACTACATACTTATTAGAATAGCAGAATGAAAAACAAAACGAAAAATAATCCAAGTGCTGGTGAGGGTGCAATTCTCATAGACTGCACATTGAAAAACAGTTTGTCCATTTCTTTTTTTTAAAATTTTATAAATAATATCGACAAAATGTCCATTTCTTATAAGCTAAACATCATATGCTTACTAATCCCAGCAATCATATGCTTACCAAAGCCATCAATCTTATGCCTGGATATTTACTCAATAGAAATTAAGACATATTCACATAAAACTCTGTACATGAATCCTAGCAGTTTTATTCATAATGGCCACCAGCTGGAAACAACTGAGATGTTCTTCAACTGGTAAATGAATAAACAAACTATGGTATATCCATGCGATGAGATACTACTCAGCAATAGAATGCAACAAACTGCAGATAACTAGCAATACTGTTAATGAATGTCAAATGCACTCTGATAAGTGAAAGAAGCCACTCAAAAGGCTACACACTGTACAATTCTACCTATACAACATTCTGGAAAAATTAAAATTATATATAGAAAAAACAAAACAGTGGTTGCCAGGGGCTGGGAATGGGGGGAGGAGTCAACTACAAAGTGGCACAGGAGAATTTTTTGTTGGGGGTTGATTGATAGAACTGTGCAGGACAACTGATTGTGCAGAACCTCATCCGTAAAATGGGATTAATACTATCTACCTACCACACTAAGTTGTTGTGAAAATTAAATAAGATAATAGATGGGAGAGTGCTTTGTAAGCTAAAATATGCCTTATGAAATACAGTCATGCATACAATACATTTTGCAAGCATTCCTCCTCCTCTTTCAACATATACAAAGAGGCAACACTCTCCACAAGAACCACTAACACTTTCTGATATTTCAAGGACAAAGTGACAAGGACCTGGCAAATAAATCAACGACATACAGTTAATGGGGATGATGAGAGTTAACAGAGAATAACAAAGGGTAATTATGAGGCTGCTTCTCACTGTCCACCAGACTGTCTCAGTGATAGGCAGAGACTGAAGGGGCACACTTAGGATAAAACTAGGGGTGAAGATAAAGCAGCCATGTACCTTTCTTCTTTCAATTCTTCTGAAATCTTAGAAGAAGAAATACGCTTTTTGTTTTGTTTTACAACACTTACCTCTTTTCTAAGAAAATATCCTCCCAAGCATGCTTGTCACTCCTAACCAATAGTTCTTTCTCAGTAAATTGAGGGATTTTGGTTTCTTGATTATAAAACTATATAGACTCTTTATAGAAAACTAGTGAAGAATAAATACATTTTAAAAAATGAAGGTAGATAAAGAGACAAGGTAGAAGCATAATGCTACAACCAGCAGTGTTTATTCTATGAATGTGGTTTAAAAAATATTTTTCATATGTTTATTAGCCATTTGTTTATCTTCTTTTGTGAAGTCTGTTCAAACCTTTGCTAATTTTTAAACAGAAGTGTGTTGTCTCTTATTATTAGTTCCAGTTTTTTACACAGTCTGGATATACTATATTCTTTGTAAGATACATGTTTTGTGAATATTTTGTCCTATGTTGTAGCTTGTCCATTCACTACCTTAATGTCTGTCGTGATAAGTTGGAGGTTTTAATTTTGATGAAGTCTACTTTACATAAATGTGTAGTTAACCTACTTGTAATCATACTGAATACTCAACTTTATACCCTGTTAACTCTTAATAGCATAAGCATTTATTTCCTGATGTTATTAAAACTCCTCACATCATTTTTAATGATTGCAAAATATTTCATTGAATTGATGTTGCATATTTTACATAACTAGCCTTCAACTATTATACGTTGTTAATATATTAATTACAAATAATATCATAAAGGATATCTTTGTAAATAACTTTTGCTTCATTACTTCAGAACATCTCCTTAAAGTATGGAATTCCAAAGAAAACATATTAGAATGATACTGAAAAGACAGCACATGTTAGCAGTAGAGCGCGTCATCATCATCTATCATCATCTGGCAGGCAGCCTTACAGATGAAGCCTTTCCCCTATGTGAGGACATGAGATCCAGAGACAGAAACTGAATTGCCAGAGTGGGTAGAATCCATTCATTAATGTCTAAGTTAGGTCTTTCGATTTCCATTATTGTGCCCTTTTTGTGATACCACATTAATGCTCCTAAAATCTTAAATTGAAATGAAATGTAGCAAGTCATTAGTATTATTTGAATGTGTAAAATTGTATGACTGTGCTCGATTTCAAATGTTGTTCACCAACAATGCATTTCTATACAAGTAGCTCTGAATTTCTATACGCAGTTTTTTCCCTATTTGCTACCATATACATATAATATTCAATTATAGCTGCTTTATAAAGCCAAATTACAATATTAACTTGAAACATTTCATTTGACTTCAAAATTTCAGATAGTTAATGAGTAAACCATGTCTACTTGCTATACACACAATAACACACCACGCACTAAGATGCCAAAATTCTACTTAAACTTTCTTTAAAAAAAAAAAAAAACCTTTTAAAAATGAAGTAGAAGTAGACAGAAATGCTCAATAACTTTGCCTGAAACTTCCAGTATATCTAACAAATATAACACTTAAATCATTCTAACTTCAGGAATTATAACTCAACAAGATAATTATTTTCTTAGGTATAATGTAACATCATCTCTGGGACACTTAAGACTTGGTCTTCCTAATCTAGATTCAGGCTACTTTCTGAGTGTGGATGGCATCATACTCTCTTAAAATAAGTCACAATGAGAGAAACACCCAGAGTTCACAGTTTGTGTTTAAACTTGCTGCTGACTCATTTGTCCCTTGATAACTGAACCTTTCTTCACTAACTTTAATTATAGCTATCTGTCATTTTAAAACTTCCCCTTTCCTTGTGAACGTATTTGCTATCCTTGTGGCCTCTTGACTGTGAGACACTGGGTAAATATGTCACCTCCAAGATTCTTATTATATGGTGTTCAGTCTGCTAAAAACAGAACTTGTACTTTTCATGCATTCCTTTCCTGCGTGTGGATGTTGTAAAGATTACGCGAGATGATGTATGTGCAAGAGATTACTGTTGTTATGTTTGAAATAAATTTCATGGAATTTGTTCTAAACTTGGGATGCCATAAATATCCTCCTCCTCTCTGCCATAACACACCAACTATTCCACCAGAAACATAATTCTTAGGCACTGTATTCTAAATGAATTGCCAAAACCATGGAGATCTGGAAAAGAAGAACTGCTATGTAATGTCTGGTATCATTACTACTCCCTAATCTCTAAATGCAAGTGACCGAAAAAGATTCTCTCTCAGCTAGATGAAGCAGATTCCTCCAGCGTCATCAAAGTACATCAAGGCAGTTCTATGATCTGGAAGATCCAAACAGATGATTCACTCTTCAAGAGTCCTATTAAAAGTCAATTTTTTTTTTCCAAGAAATGAATGGTATGCTTGAATTGAGAGAAAGAAAAAACACACAAAAGTGTTTTCAAGAATTGGTGTGGTATGTGGGAAAGAACATGGGCTGTGGTATCACCTAAACCTGGGTATGAATTTCAGCATCAGGATTTTAGGCAACTTATATTACATCTCTTTGCTTATTTTCTCATCTATAAAATGGATACAGCCATCTAATAGAGCTGAAAGAAAGAAATAATAATGCACATAATGGCTGGGCATGGTGGCTCACACCTGTAATCCCAGTGCTTTGGGAGGCCGAGGCGGGTGGATCACCTGAGGTCAGGAGTTCAAGACCAGCCTGGCCAACATGGTGAAACCCCGTCTCTACTAAAAATACAAAAAATTAGCTAGGTGGCGTGGCGGGTGCCTGTAATCCCAGCTACTCGGGAGGCTGAGGCAGGAGAATCACTTGAACCTGGGAGGCAGAGGTTGCAGTGAGCCGAGATCATGCCACTGCACTCCAACCTGGGCAATAAGAGCGAAACTCCATCTCAAAAAATAATCATAATAATGTACATAAAGTCTGCAAGTACAATAGCCTGAGCAGAGGTAAGCACTCAAACAATGTCGGCTGTTATTCATTAATTCAACCAGCACTCAGTACTTTAGGTACTAGGCATTATACAAAGCATGCCTATGACCTGTATTATAACTATCATCCAATAGGAATAGGGCAAACCTAAGATGAATGCAGAGTAGATGAGTGCTTTTACTATACAATATAAAGGACATGTAGAAAAAGTTAATTTCTCACTACAAAATAACTCCTGGACAGCTTAATGACCTCATTAAAACTCCACCACTATGGAATCAATCCTTTAATTTGAATTAATCTTTTTCTTAATTATTTATTTGGTCCCCCAAATCTACTTTAAAATGTAAACATTCCTAAAAAGTAACAGCTTTACAAAAGAGAAGAGAGAGAGTAGCTACACTTCTCTCCAATGTTTTCTCTTCATCCTTGGCACCGTCTGTCTTCTGGTTCTACTGTTCACTAGCTTTGTTGTTCTTGGGCATGTCACTTGATCTCTCTGAGGCTGCTTCACCATGAAGATGGGGATAACCTCTTCAGCTGCAATGATGTAAGTCAAAATTTACAGAAAAGAGAAAACTTATGGAGTGGGAGACACAAAGAAAGCAACAGGGAGGAAAGAGACACACAGAAAAGAGTCAGACAGATGCTGACTCAGAGAGGAGGAAAGAGGAGAGAGGCAAATACTCAAAGAATAAAAAATTTGTGTAGGGCAGAAATTTCACTCAATGAACATAAGCTCTCAGGATGCAATCCAGCCTGAAAAAGTCCATCTTGGTTGTGACATTTAAGATTTTTAGCATCTCCCAACAATTATTCAGCAAGTTAATGGCAATGGCTTCATCAACATCTTTAAGGAAAAAATGAAGACCTGCTGAGAGGCACAGAGATGGTAAAACCATAGAAGAGCCAGCAAACTTCATCAATTTGTTTGAATGTTCTAAGCAGTCACACTTAAGTGACTAAAGCCATATTCTGTGATATTAAAAAATGTGTATTGCTGTATATACTATATGTTTGTGCCAACATATCATTGTAAAGGGTTATATACACAAAATTATGTATTTACTTTTGTTGAGCATTTTAAGGAATTTTCAAAGACAATATAAATTTTTAACCTTTTCTACTGATTTTAGATCTCAACCCTATAAATGCTAATTTTTGTCCTCTATTTTTCTCTTCCTTACTGATGATGTATTGAGAGGAAAAGGATTTTTATCATCAGACTGCCTTAACTATGTTCTGACCCTCTTTTTCTAGGCAGCTTATCTGATCAGTTGAATAAATCTGTTCTAGGAATAACAGTTCCTTACTCTAAAGCCTCCTATCAACTATTAGTTCTTACACTTTAGCCCAGTTAGTTGCTTTGGCTTATTTAGGCATGTCTGGACAGGCCCAGGCAAGTTTTAGCCTTAAACCTTTCATAAGCAACTTCCTCTCCTTCTTTGTTCTTCGTTGCACTTACCTATTTAGGAAAGTTTTAGGCTATTAGCAAATCGAGTATCAGTTTAAGATTGTGAGGTTCAGCTCCAGCCAATGGATGCAGGACAGAGCAGTAAGGATGACCCAAATGCATAAGGGATAAACATGTCTGCTTTTCCTTTGTTCAGGTGTGCTCTTGTCATTATTCCATCTGTGTGGAGCACCCTTTCTGCAGAAAGTAAAGATTGCCTTGCTGAGAGGTCCTTTGTCTCTGTGCTGACTTTTCTTCGTGACACTGATTATCTATTTCTAACAACAGTTATACCTTATGACAAAGTAAAACATTTCTAAGTTGAATAGTATCAGGATGAAGGCAAGTTGGTCCATACTTTGCCCAGTTTAAATGCACTCAATATGTTTCTAGGAAAAGTCAAATATTTTCCCTATTGGCACTACCTTGGTTTACTTCTCATCTGTCTTCTTCCAAGTTTCAAAACTCACACATACCTTTCCAATCACTAGTCTTCTCTAGAACCACACTGTTCACCTGCATCTGGATGAGGGGGCTCCCATACCTGGCCCCCATCACAAAACCCCCATCTGCTTTTTCAATAGAACCCAACAGGTTTCTACAATACACATTCCCAAATGAAGCAAACTGCACATTTTGGCCTTAGTTCGCAGTATCCTGAAAGCAAAACCATTCACTCTTCTGAAGACATCACAAATTAACAGTAAATTAAACGGCTGCCGTCTCTCATTAAAGTGCCTAATAAGGCACTAAAAAAATTATATTATGAGAAAGTAAAGGCAAAGGTTACAAACTAACAGTTTTGTTTGAACAGTGTTTTTAAAATCTAGTAACTGAAAAACAGAAAAATCTAGTAACTTAGATTTCTGAGTTTTCTAAAACAACCTGAAGATCTGGCAACAGTGGGTCCACACCCACTCACAGCAACAATAGGCTGGCAGGGGTGACAGGTGTCCCCTTTCAGTAGCACAGAAGCTCTCAAGCACATGATGGTTTTTTGGAAGACTGCTGTGACCATCAAGGACCTGTGCTATGGTAATACTACACTGTACCTAGGCCTCATGCTGGAGTTCAAGGAATACAGCAGTAAGCAAAACATAAAAACCACTACCCTTGTGCAACTACACTGTGGTTTTGAGTAGATGCTGAAGGAGACGGAAAAGCCACCAACTAAAAATAGTAAAGCGAAGGTGTTCTAATGTTCCTGAGAAGACTTAATAGTATCCTTCAGAGAATCCTTTTGTAAAGTGAATGGCCGCTCCCTCCTTTTATCAGTTTTGAGATCTAGATTGGGTGTGCTTAAAATGAATCCATATTAATTGCTAGATTACAATGTGAATTCCTATGTCTCTATATGTCTGATACAAATATCATTGTCATTCAAAATGATTTATAACCTTCACTTGTAGCTGCAATTATCTCCATACCATATATTCTATATGTAACAGTGACCTAAATATACTGTCTAAATTTGTGGTGAACCTTTTCAGATAAGCATTTTTTTCATTAAAAGATAATATGATACGTTCTCCTTTAAGCTTAGCATTTAAATATACTAACAAAATTATATTGCATATTAAATTAACACTTAAAATTTCAGATTCACATTCAATTCTGTTTTTGAACATAAAGCAAAGCCCTTATATTTTGAAAGTTTCTAAATCTCAATCTTAGAAACTTTCAAAACATAAGGGCTTTGACAACTGCCCTCAATTTCTGCCTTTGCTGATGTACACTAAAATCTACAGGGCCTGATAGTCACGTAACAGGTAAATGAATAAAAGACGCCAGAAAGATTGCTTGATGACTTGAAGAAGTATCTATACAGAGGAGTTCACACATTCTAATTAAGTTCTCCTGATGTTAAAACTGCAAGAAACCATGAGCTGTAATATTGAAGGCAGTTTAAGGCAAGGAGAAGAGAAAATTATCCATATTGTCTAGCTAAATTAAAATTATTTCACCCAAGAAAGTCTGGTTATGTCTGCCTTAAACCGAATCATATTGTTTCATTTCACAACTTGGGCTAGTGAGAATATGATTACTGTTTAAGAAATTCTTCTCTGTGAAATTGTTCCCTAACTCAGTTATCACCACCATCACTATCCTAGTCATCTTGTCTAGAAGTGTAGAAGTTATCTTCGATCAATCTTGATTCTATGACTCCAAGAATTAGAAGTATCTAAGATAGGCGGTATCTGAAGGGAGAGTAGGCTGCTATTAAGTGACTCAAATCCAAGTCTTCCGTCTGCTAAGCCACATTCTTTCCATTATGCTGTACTAGCTCTTCCTCAATAACTTAAATCTAAAGCTTTTAGAGCTAGCAGAGTCAGTATCTCATTTAATCTTGGTAATGACCCTGAGATGTAAGCTGAGGCAGACCTAATTATTTCTAACATACAGGACACTGGGTATCTAAAGGATAAAATTCTTTGTTCAAAGATGTTATATCTAATGCCTAGTAATATCTATAAGACATAACTATTGGGAAAATCATTGTGTGTAACTGAAATATATTATCTTTAGAGTAACAGTATCTCTAAATGAGTGTAGTATATCTGTTAGGTTTGTATTCTGGGGATGGTAAATACTAGACATCTGTACTGCCCTCTCCTTTCCCACTGTTATCTTTTAGCACATTCTTTCCTACTGGGGCTGAACCCAGCCTCAAAATCTTTCTGTACCTACTGCTCCAGAGAGCCCCATATCAGTTGACTGGCATGGCATTCCTGTTTTGACTCTCCTCACTTAGGTCCCACATTGTATAACATTTGTTTCTGATGTTTTCTTTGCTTTTGAGTTGATATTTGTTATTAATGGTTGTCATATTATATCATGTTTGTATACACTGTCTTCTGCATGTACAGATTCCTGCTTTTTGCTTTTTATTTATTTCAGAGCCTCAACTGTAGTAATTCATACACAGTGAATCCTCAAAGTGTTCTGAATGTACTTGAGACAAATGGATGGTATTCAGGGAAAAAATATAAAATTAAAAAAATAAAAACTGCCGTTACTTCTGAATATAATTTAGATCAAGGGTCAGTAAACATTTACTGTAAAAAGTCAGATAATAAATACGGTAAGTTTTGCTAACCAGATGATCTGTGATGCACTCACTCAACCCTGCCATGACAGTGTGACAGTACCCACAGAAAACACATTAACAGGTGAGTATGACTATGTTCCCATGAAACCATTTATGGACACTGAAATAGAATTTTCATATAATTTTCACAAGTCACCAAATATTACTCCCCTTTTGATTTTTTTCTCCAACAGTTAAAAAACATAAAAATCATTGTTAGCTTGCAGGCCATAGAAAATCAGGAGGCAGGCTGAATTCGGTCCATGGCCCAGAGTTTACTGACCCCAGGCCTAGATCTAGAGTTGTCAAAGTGAGAACTTCTGGTGGTCTGCAAGATCTTTTCAGCAAGTTCAATTACCAATGTGTGAGACAAAATTTTCTTTGTGTACGTCAACAAAATAGACCAAATGCAGATGCAAATATGAGGAGCTAGTTACCTTCTATTTAAATAAGCCAAAAATTGAAGAGATTGACAAAAATGTAAAAGAATGCCACTCTTCTCAATAATTTTTCCTTTATGTTTATAAAATGTAAAGTGGTATCCCATATCAAATACTGTTTATATTAACATGTAATAGGCTTATTTTTCATATGTTAATATTTTTAGAATTCTTCAGTTTTGATTTCTAATATGATAAATGTCAGTTGATATAACCAATGAACAAAAGCTCTCTGGGGGCTCTCAGTAAATTTTAAGAATGTGACCAGGTGCAGTGGCTCACGCCTGTAATCCCAACATTTTGGGAGGCTGAGGCGAGTGGATCCCCTGAAGTCAGGAGTTCAAGACCGGCCTGGCCAACATGGCAAAACCTCGTCTCTACCAAAAATACAAAATTAGCTGGGTTTGGTGGCATGCACGTATAATCCCAGCTACTTGGGAGGCTGAGGCAGGAGAATCACTTGAACCTGGGAGGCAGAGGTTGAAGTGAGCCAGGGTTGCACCACTGCACTCCAGCCTGGGTAACAAAGCGAGACTCTGTCTCAAAAAAAAGAAAAAAAAAAATTTAAAATGTAATGGGAGCAGAAGACCAAAAACTTTGAGAACCAGCTGCTGAGCCACAGATAGATTAACTTACAGCTGGTGCACTGCCAGCAGAGTGTACCTAGGCCTGCCCTTGAGACAAAACCACCTGGGAGACAACTTCATTGCAAGCTGTATCTTGGCCTCTCCCCACCTAAAAGATTCCTAGCATTTCTCTGATTAGATCCTGATTTTGTCAAATGTAATCCCATGTATTTATGTTCTTATATAATAAAGTTAGTGAAGACATGGTGGTTATTTTCATAAAAGAACTCTTTGGATCTATGTAGACCATAAAAGCACTTCAGCCTTTACTCTGTCAAAACAGGCATCTAGAAGCAAGTCTCTCTCTCTGGCCTCTATTTTCTAATCTTTAAAAACAAAAAAATTATTATTGTAATTCCTTGCCGCCAGAACATATCTCAAAACAGATTCATTAGCTCATTTACATATCATAGTGTACCTTTGACCTGGCTACACAAATACTGTGGGAGCCTGATCCTAATTAGAACCCTCACAACAGTGTTAAATCTAAAGAAAGAAAATCCACTAGACATGGTACAAGTTTATACTTGTATCAACTTGTATTAGTATAATACAAGTATTATATTAATAATACTGCACTAAAATTACATTTTGCAAGTAAGGTATACAGATCTTATAGAGTATTTTTCAAAAGTATTAATATTTTGCTTGTTCTGTCATTTGAAATCTAAAAACTTTTTAAAATAAAATTCTAGGGGAAATTTTTATTTTAATTATTTTAGGGGAAAGTTATTTTAATTCCAGTGTTACAATATACAGGGAAACTTTATAAGGAAGTATTTCTTTCAATATAAATATACATAAGGTTTGACTGTCTATCCAAATAATGTGTACTGGTGGCCTGAGGAAACATTTTCTTTCTTTTTCCAACTCCATTTTAGAGAGATTTAAGAAGTAATAGCCATGATTTCAACATTTATCATTTTTTTGAATTATATGTTCTTAATTAGAAAGTGTTTCTCCATGAGTATGATTCTAAAAGTCTTCATCCTTTACCTTGTGGAATAATAACTTTGTAAACAATAACAAAAGAAGGAACAATTTATATTTTTGAATATTTGTCCTTCAACCTGTATTATAAAATTACTTAAAACTCAGGAATTGTGATTGGATGCTAAGTCTGCCACAGTTTATGAGTACTGGCTCCAAATAGTCAAATAAAATACATTTGGCTACTTAGACCAACACCAAAACTGAAATTCATTAGCATCTTTTTTTTTTCAAGATTGAAAAATTGCTATTTATTTGACAAAAAACTATTGCATTTAATAAAGAGATGTTAATAACTGGTACATATATTAGTTCAAAATATTTTCACTAAGCACCAAATAGAATAGTTCTCGGTCTTTTCACTGAGAATGCCTTTGAAAAAATGCCTATAACAATCAGTTTATTTAGGTTTTTAATCAAGAAATCGAAAGCTGCCAATCAGAGTTTCTAATTACCATGAGATGACCAGGTAAACAAACTTGAGGTCATATAATGTGAGCTTTTAAAAGCTTTGTTTAATCTCTACATCCCAACTGAGGGGTTTGTTGGCCTCAGGCTGGTAATCACAGGTCCATGTGCCAGATACTATACACACACACACACACACACACACACACCACTGAGTAATAAATATCATGGATAAAAGGTAAAGACTATATGGCCCATGTATATTTAAGGGGAATAATGTCTAATTCTCATGGCTATACAATTAATTCACTAGCATCTTTAAGATCAGAAAGCCATTGGCAAATTATTATCTCTTTGGGAAATTATTAATCATTTGAGGGAAGAGTGAAAAATACATTAGAAGAATGTTGGGAGCTGTGATGTTAAAAAAAAGAACAAAAATAAACTTAAAATATGGGGAAAATGCTTACTGGTTAAGTCTACAGTAAAAACAAAAGTCTCATCATGATTGCAAAACATTCCAAATTGTGAAACTTAAGTTATTTGTAAAATAGACAAAAGTGAGGCAGCTTCCTCAGTCATTTTTTGAGATCTCAGCATCAATTTAAAGAAAATGCTTATATTTAAAAGAAAGCCTATTTCAAAATACGAATCCCTACATTAAGCACATATAAGGACACGAGGTAAATTTATGTCTCATATCATACAACACTCCTGCTCCATGTGTGTGTAAATGAAGGTGTTGGGAGACTAAAGTTAGAAAAGGTTATTTGCTTCACTATTCACTTCTTTAAGAAATACAAGCGTCTCAATCCTAAAAGAAGCAAAGACTACAGGACTAAATAGATGCTAATGTGAAAAAATCAATTTATATAAAATTGGTATGTGGACCATATGGAAGAATGGGAAAAGAAAGGGCATATATACTTTACTGTGCAGAAATGATATATTATTTCTGGTAAATACTGTCTAAAAAATTTTTTTGGTATAAAAAATTACATTGCCTGCTCCAATTCTTAAGTCAAAATTATGTCCACTAAAAAACTTGAATGTAATAGTTTATTAAGAAGGCAACAATTTAAAAACCACATGGAATTTATACTACCACAATGCTAAAATGGATCAAGGAGATTTTGGTCTATAGTTGAGAAGATAAAGTGGTCTTCTGAGAGAAAACATAGCTAATATTACTCCAAAGAGGCAAAACCAGAATCAAAGTATGGTTATTTTAAAGCATGGCACAGCAGTTTAAAACTTGAACGATACCATTGTTATTTAAATAAAATAGTTTTCACTTTTATTTTGTTTTCCCAATTTCCCTCCCCAGCAATGGGACAATACACATAACTAGCTGCTGGGAAATTTTCTGAGCACTTTGTGGAAACTGTTGGCTTTCAGAAATGAGCAGGCTGATTTGAACCAAAAATTAGACAAAATACAGAATTGCAACAACAATAAAACGCAACTTAGAATGAGGATCAAGCCAAGCAGATAAGCAAACTTTATAAAATCAGTTAACTGGGGCTGTTCATCAAGTCAGTTCCCTAATTTCAAAAAGCCGAACCAAAGCAAAGCATGTTGACTTACATTGCTTCTTTAGTTCTTTCAGCTGTTGTTTAAACTGTACAAATTTTTCATTATTTTGAAAGTCTGCATCAGAATTCTTGCTCTGTAAAGCCAAAAATTTCTTCTCTACCAATAATTTTAAATCTGGTATTTTTTCTGGACGTTCTTCTTTCACCTAAGGGAGACAACAAAATTACCTGAGTTAAATGTTAATAATAATAGTGTTAACAAAGTTTTGCAACATTGTTTTTATCTCAGATAATTCAAAGCAAAAGATAGTGAGGTTGAAAACAATCTCTTGAACAAAGCACCAGAGAGGTTGGGACATGTTCTAGGACAGACTGCTGGCAAATACTGAAGGGACTCATTCATGCCAACTACTCATTCTATTTTGGCTTCCGTAAGCTAGTGGCCCTTCAATGATCCTACTAACTTGTTGTCTTCTGATAACTGCCAGGGAAAATCACAAATGTGGCAACTTCACCAGACCTGAGCATCACCACCCAAGTCTGCTCAGTCCTCTCTCACACTCACAAGTGGTTATTCCATCCTTCATGCTCAACATTTTTTTTTTTTTGGCCCTCCACCCTAGCAGGTCAGAGTCACTTCTGCTTTACAAAAGTGGCTGGGGCTTTAGCCTTGACCTTCCATAATGTCCTGCCATGCCAAGGAATAAGTGCCCCCTGGTTCTGTTCAAGGCTAAATTCTCAACCCATGTTCTCCTCCATCCCCAATATTATAAAATTATTTCCCAATATTATAAATTTTCAAATATGCAGAAAGGTTGAAGGAAGTATATTATGAACACTCATTCATCTACTTCCTAGGTGCCACAATTAACATTCTGCTCTGTGTATGTTATCACATATCTATTCATCTATCTATCTCGCTATCCATTCTCAACCCTGTTCTTTATTACATCTTCATCTCCTTCACAACAAACTTTCCTCTCAACGGGCTCTTTTCTCAAGAACCTTTACACAGGCTCTTCACACCCATTTTTTAAAACAAACAACCTCTTATAATCCCAACTCCCTGCCCCCAGTTATTTTCTGTTCATATTCCACCTCCTTGGGGGAAAAAAGGAGCCACTCTTTCCACCTTCTCATCCTCCAGCTTTAGCCACTATAGTCAAGCTGCTGCCTTATCACTTTGCTGCAGCTGCTCTCCATCAGGCCTTCATAATCGCTCCCTTTCATCACTGGCCCTTTCCTGATGCTCCTGCTGCCAAGCAAAACTCACCAAACTCTCTATTGTGCCCCATACACTTTAGACGGACTTCTACCACCACTCCAGGAATATTCAATTGCTTATTTTTATGCCTCTTTCCCCTAATAAACTCCTTGAAAGATGTCTGATTTATCACGGTATTACCAGTGCCCAGCACACAGTAGGTAGTACTCAACATGTATTTCAAATAAGTTAATCTTATTAGCTCCAAATATACCTACCCACTAAAAGCCACAATTTATTAGCTGCCATTATTATTAGTATATAGTACAATTTCTAGGCTGGAAGACAGCTTAGAGATAATCTAATCTTGATCTCCTCCCCCCAGTTTCACAAATAAATAAAATGATTTAGAAAGAAGTCAAATGACTTATCTTCTACATCCAACTAGTCAGAGGTAATGCTAAGACTACAAGTTAGATACAGAAAATTCTTGATATTGGTTCTAGTCAGTAGCATATACTTCTAATCTCTCTGAATCTGAGTTATCAATGCATATGAATTCAAAAGATTATCTGCAAAGTATATGCTTTAACTTTTGTCACAGAGAAAAGACATAATCTTCTTTTGCTTAATTGCTATGCATTTTGATTACTAAATAGAAAATGAGAATTAAGCATGAAACCAAAATGTGTAAAATTTATATTTTAGTGTAGGAACGGACTGTCTTCTTGTATTGCTAACCCCCAAGTGCTGGATTCACCATTAAAGAGAGTTTTAGAAAACATGGAGAGGCTTTAATGACAAGTGTTATATGTAATTAAGGATTTAACAGAAGTACTGTATGGCTAAAGAACGAATAAAGCTCAATTTGGAAAAGAGAAGATAGAAAGGCAATATAATAGTGCCTTATATCTCAAGAATAAGAGCTATTATACACGGTGACTAGCTATCCTCTACCTCTACATAATAGAACAAAATGCAAGAAGTTCAAAATTGTAGCATGAAGAATTGAGAGCAGACCTAGAAAATAAATTGCTGGTTCTTAGAAAAGGATTATAGGCGCTCTTTCTGGATTTATAAAATAAAATGGACTCACATCCACCTAAGATGTTAATGGTAACATTATAGGAAGACATTCAGGTGAGCCTTGTCAAGGTGTAATCAGTCTGAAATTATTATGTAATCTGGGATGATCTAAGCAGATAATAAGTAAAATCTGAATGTTGTTTTCCAACAAAGTCTCTAACACAGTCAACCTACTTAATTCCCACAGTTCCACTACAACCACTGCTGAGGAGGTGAAGACTGAGTGGGGGCAGTGAGGATGGAGGGGAGAGGCATTTTGAGGTCTGACAACATGACAACCTGAAATATGACTAGGAAAAGCTGAATAAACCAAATTTTTAGTGATTCACTGTGCTTTCCCCCCATAACCAGAACTTTTAGAAAACTGCTGTAAAGCACATAAATTCACTGCTGTAAATGTCTTCTCTGAAAGTTTGAGTCTGCATGGCCATCCATTGCAAAGAGAACTGACTGTACTCTAGCTATCAAAATGAAATTTAAAAACATTCAACTCATTATCTCTTTAAATCAATAAAACAAATGGGCACTAACTATTTTTTAATGGTTTCTTGCTTTGTTTGAATATCTAAGAGACACAGATTAATGAAAGGAAAAAAAATTGAGTGGCTAATCATGTAGCATGAAAAAGATAAAGATGCCCCTCTTTTCTTAGGAGAATTTTTGTTTGTTTGTTTTAAATTAAGAGACAGGGTCGGGCTCTGTCACCCAGCTGGAGTACAGTGGCATGATCACAGTTTACTGTAGCCTTTAACTTCCTTGGTCAAATTTCAAATACCTCAAAGAAATTTGAGATGGAGAGATCTACTAGATTATTAGGTCCATCCTTTTCCCAATAATAAAGTCTACCCAGATACAGGACTTAGAATCTCAGTGAATTAAAAGATACTAGGTATATTAATTTACTAGGGCTGCAATAACAAAGTACCACAGATTAGGTGGCTTAAACAACAGAAATTTAGTTTGTCACAGTTCTGGAATTAAGAAGTCCAAGATCAGGGCAAGTCCAAGCAGGGCTGGGTCCTATGGCATCAAATGGTCTTCCCTCTACACAGGTCTGTGTCCAAATTTCCTCTTAAGGACATCAGTCATATTGGATTAAGGCCCACTTACTGACCTCATTTTAACTTAATGACTTATTATTATCATTTTTTTTTGAGGCGGAGTCTCACTCTGTTGCCCAGGCTGTAGTGGCACGATCTCGGCTCACTGCAAGCTCCACCTCCCGGGTTCACACCATTCTCCTGCCTCAGCCTCCCAAGTAGCTGGGACTACAGGTGCCCGTCACCATGCCCGGCTAATTTTTTGTATTTTTAGTAGAAACGGGGTTTCACCGTGTTAGCCAGGATGGTCTCGATCTCCTGACCTCGTGATCCGCCCGCCTCCACCTCCCAAAGTGCTGGGATTACAGGCGTCAGCCACCACGCCCAGCCAACCTAATGACTTCTTTAAATACCTGATTTCCAAATACAGTCAAATTCTGAGGTCCTACTAGGGGTTAGGACTTCAACATATGAATTTAAGAGAAACACAATACACTGGATTAATGTTTATATCATTATAATTTAAAAATGAGAGAAGTTACTGAGAAGTAAATAGTAGGTACCATACTTACATGATAAAAATTTAATTCTGCCCTTTGACAACAAAAGGTCAGATTTTTCTGTACCACCCGCTTACTCATCCAGTATTCAGTGAGTGCTCTCTGTGTGCTAAGCACTGTAGCTAAAATGAGAGTAGACCAGAAGAGTGGATCAGGAGCAGACGGTCAACAGCTCTGGAGGCCAGGTTATAGAACTGAGACCTGACCCAACAGGCAGCGAGAAAGACACTACAAGATTTCAAGGGGTAAAGTGATAATGAGAGTTTAAAAAAAATGATTACTATTGTTAATGCCTGGAGGACACACAACTGAGAGGGAGGGAGAGGGCAGTTGCTGCCATATGTTAACTAATGGCAGAGGGGCTGGCAACTGGGATGCTGTTTTAGAAGCAGAATCACCAACTCTTGTTGTGAGAGGAAGACAAGAGAGTAATGATGCCTCCAAGATATTTAATGTGGACAGCTAGTCAAATGCTATTGTCTTGAGGAAAGCAGCACAAATCACTGAAACTGTAAGACTTTGAAGTGAAGTTACCTAGTACGAAGCTAGAAACATTTAAAATGAGGGCACTGGAAGAAAAAGAAGAGAGATGCAAAAGGAACTCTGAAAAACTAAAGAAGAAAACCAGCAGTGAGGAATGCTACAGAAGAAAGGAAAGAGAAAATTTCCATTAGAGAAGTGCTTGTCCTTTGGGGAAAATGATGCAAGTGAGCTTAAGTAAGAAAAGGGCTAATCCTTAAATCCACTGGATTTAATTATAAGGCATTCTGCACACAGCGCTGGAATTATGGCTCCATGAAGCTTCTCTCAGACAAGGATTATGTCCCTAGTGTCTGGCCCGCTGCCTGTTGCACAGTGGGTGCTCAGATGATGTGGGTGAACGAGTAAATTATCAGAAGGCTAAATTACACTGTGTTGAGATGAGAAAAGGGGTTAACAGAGTTCTGTGTGAACCAATGAATATAGTTTGATGGCAAAGGAGGAACAAGATGAGAAGCAGATCATGGGAATGAGAGTGCTAAAGATACTTGTTTATTTGTATAGAGGAACAGGAGCTAGAAGTTGTTATGATAGAGGAGAAAAAACTTTGAGCTCGGGATCAGACAGATCTGAATCCACTCTGGGTTGAAATTCTTCAACCCAGAAATTCTCTCATCTCTTAATTAGGAATCAGGAACACCCACTTCAGTGCTGTGAAGACTTAACTAAACCAAGCCTGTGTTTAACTCTGGCCCATAGTAAATGATCAAAAACTTTTATTCTTTTCCTTCTAACTTCAGCATAGAGACTTTAACAAAGTTGTGGGTAGAGGAGGAGGTGATAAAGAAACATACATAGAAAACTATTAAGAGAAAGCAAGTAACAAATTTCATTTGAGAAAACCATTCCAGTACTAGGGCAAAAAATAGAGAAGTCTGCAACCAGCTGGGAAAGCATGTCAATTGTCCTTACAGGTGTCAGAAATGCCTATGGGGCTAGACCAGCAAGGATATGAGGAAACTCACAATAAGTGCAGGCCAATAGGAAGTGGTGAGGACTGTGTGAAGTAATGGTACAAGTCCCAGGTAAGAGGAAAGCTGTTACTCAGCTGCCGATGTCTGCTGCCAGGTAAGAAGGCAAGCCCAGGCTTTTCCAGGACACTTAGAAATCGGGATCTTTATGAGACATTTTTCTGGTTTTTAAGACAATGTATAGTGTCGCTGTGAGGTAAATAAATGAAGCAATAAAGCGCTCACCTGTCTGATGCAGAAAATATTCAATAATGAGTAGCTGTTAGTATTGTTGTTACTATTATTATCTATCTATACATATCTCCAGTGTTGCTGAATACACAGGTCTATAGCTCATCAAGACTGACATAAAGACACCCACTTGGAGCAACCAGTGTATGGATTTTAATGGAAACCATGGAAATGAATGGGATCACCAAGGAGACTGGATAAATAGAAACAAAAAAAAGGACCAAGACCAAACTCTGGAGGATATCACATTTTAAGGGCGGCTAGAAGAGTTTAAAAAGAAAAAGTGTAAGAGTTAAGAAACAACCAAAAGAAAATATCCACAAAGTTTAGGAAGGAATTTCGAGATCTGTCAAATGCTGCAGAGAAGTGAAACTAAATAAGAAGTGAAAAGTGTGCATTAGATTTTTGAGTCACTAGAGACTCTAGCAAGAGCAGACATATGCGCAAAGGCTGACTCCAAATATCCAGGTCTTTGTTTAATAAATTGCTGCAAAAAGAAAGAAACAGTAACAGGAAGAAACACGCAAATCCCCAGAAATTCCACAGACTCTTCAACGAATTGCTCATTTTAGCTCAAAATCACTTGTGAATACTTAGCTACATGTAATTAGAACCCAACACCCCTGTGACTGCAACATTTCTCTATGTCAGCAAGGAGAAGGTAATCAATGAGTTGACTGTTAGGAACTAAGTTAGGGCTCCAAATGGCTCTGTCCATATAGAGGCTTGTTGTTTCAGGAAAAAAGATAATGGTAGAAACAAAAAGCAGAACTCAGTCCTCATCCACGCTGAAACTACATATTATTTTCACCATATTTTAACACAAATATTAAATGTATTTATATGATGATAATATAACTCATTTCTTTCAAACAATATTGTATGCACATGTAATTACTTAAAGTGTGTCATTTTATTGCCACGGGGCAAAGTCAAAGTCTCCTCCTCTTCCAATTATCATTATTGCCTTATAACCATCGTTTCACTGGGAGGGGAGATCACAGGAGCTAAGGATATTAATGAGCTGAGTCATTCACACACTTTTTGAATCATGTGAGAATCTAGTATAAAATTAGTCATTCCTGTAACTGAACCAAGACCCAGATAGATTGACTTTCTCCAAAACAGCCATTGTTAGATGTCTGCCTCCCAAAATAACACATACCCAGTGATTTACATTTAGGAAATGACACAGCCTTCAGAAGTTTATCACAGACACATACTAGTGATAAGCAGTTTGCTTTGTGTTCTGCTTAGTACTAGTACTCTAAGTATGCCAACTTTTTATTCCAAGTTTTAATTCATAGTGATCTAAGGTTATGGGACTGCTTTCATGCTAGAAATCCAGAGGGAATTGCCTCAACTGATCCTAGAACATTCATTCAACAAATAATTACTGAGTCCCAGTTGGGTGCCAGGCATTATGCTAAGCACCAAGACATTTAAGGAAGTTGGCCCACACTTAATGACACACCACCAACCCAATTCGTCATGCACAGGGTAAATTTATATAGGCCAACACTGTCTCCACCTTTATATAGCAAAAAAAAACTTGGTAAAGTTGTTCTTAAAAGGCATGCCCAAGCTGAGAATCATCATGCTTTCACTGGGTATAACCTAACTGCATGTACATATGGACACACTATATTTTCTAGAGTTTAGTATATTGCCTCTGTCCTATTTAAAAATCACACATACTAATGATGACCAGCATGGATTATACCCCTTCATCTCATGCCAGTTTCTGTTGCCAGTTGCACAACCTACACTGAACTCTATTGGACCAAATTATCTGTAGCTGAGTGTGTTTCCTAGTGCCATTATTTAGCATGGTTTTGACTTTTGACAAAACACTTAAGAGAGAATACTTCCTTGTTGAGCATTACGACACATCAAGTGGACTTCACGGTTTGCCAAGGTGTTGTAATACACTACTATTAAGTAGCAGCCAACCAAACATGGAAACACCTTTCCTCCTTCGAGCCTTTCGGAAAAATTGTGAAAATGAATAAGCTTAAACATGGGTAAGAATGTTATTTGTCTAGTTTGAATAGACCAGTCTTATTAGAATAGACAGTTGTCTAACAGATGGAAGCTGAATGAGGCAACCTGCCATCTATGTGCATCTGTTACTAAACATTTAGGCTGTTAAAAATTACTCCAATAAATTTCCCATGGCACCATGCCCACTATAATACGATGACCAACCGGAATGATTTATTTACACAGAATACAGCATTAGAATTCCCGTACTGGTGGAAAAGAAACGAAACTGATTTTACATCTCTGGCTTTTTGTGTTGTTTTGGCAGAAATTCACAGAAACATGCATTATTTATTTATTCATTTATTCATTCAGTAAATATTTACTGAACATCTACCACATGTGGGAACCATGCTAGGCCTTGGAGATATTATAACAAACAGACAAAAGTGGTCCCCATTGTGCTCAGAGGTTTTTGGATCTAGTGGGGGAAACAAATATTCAAATAATCAAGCAGATTATTGCAAACTATAAAAAGTGTTGGGAAGGAAATATATCAAGTGCTGGGAGAACATACAGCAACATAACTATACAGGATACCATTTCACAGGCAATCTTTTTAACAGTGCTCAATTTAAACACAGGTCATACTGAGGGCAAGGTGAAATGAGGATTATCAGTATTGTTGTTAACAACACTTTGCACTTACACAGCACCTTTCGTCTGAGTGGTTCAAAGCCTTATATACACAAAAATATCATTATCCCAATTTCACAGATATGAGGAATAGGCAGCTCGCAGTAGTTCAGCATCTTGCCCAAGGTCATAGTGAGTCAGTGTCAGCCAGTTTCAACTTACTCAAACCCCCGTTCACCTTAAATGTTTTACTTTGCTTGTGCCTCCAAGTAACAACACAGAATAGATTTAATTTTATGAAAACATACATGATTTCAGACATACATCCTAACTTTCAGTGGTCACTTGTCAGTCTTCATATGAAAAGACACATATTCTGAATATGAAACTGCCTTTCCTGTCCACCATACCTCTGCCATCCACAGAATGACTGAATGCCTCATTCATCACCATGGTATCTCACTCAAGATTTAACAGTGAAAGAGTACAATGATGGTATGATGCTAATGGATTGCTCTTCTTACCACATACCCTATCATCTAGAAGATCATCTTTCAGAATGCTGAAATCATCTTCTGAAGATTCAGTTCCAAATAAAATTAGATAGGGTGGTGTCTCCCAAGATGCTCAGAACCAGTGAATAATACAAAACATTGTTTCTCCCACAGCCATAATACAGGGCCCAGTAACCAAGGGACAGAAGCAGAATTAGTTACACATCTTCTCCTCCCCCTCATCACACCTAATGACCAACTTGCAATTCCCCCATCACTGCGACTCTGGTTCTGCTGGTTTAACAGTCTCAGCACCCAAGTGAAGAATGATTTCACCAAGGGACTCAACAATACCTCCACTGATTTGGAAGCTTAAACTGCAACCTAGCAATTCTGAACTCCTCATGACACAGAACAGGGACAAAAAGGGAGGTGACAGAATTGGTTGTGTTAATGAATCTTGATTATCAAGGGTAAAGAAGATTGTTGCAACAGGATGAGAGAAGGGAGGTGTGTGTCTGGAACCTGGAACACCTGTTGGTTTGACCACATCTAGCGGTGAAAGATAATGGAAGATAGAAATAACTCCATATAGGCAGGACCACCAACAACTCAAAGCCTCCTTCCTCACCCCTGTGAATGACAGTCTAAAGTGTTGTCAGATAAACGTCAGTCAGATAAAAATCTACAGATAAAAATCTACAATTAGCTGAGAGCTGGCTGAGGGCAAAAAGAACATGGAATGAGTAGTGGAGGAAGGGAATTAAAAATACCAACTTTGGATTCAGAACCAATAGCAAAAGCTAAGACTAAAGTATCTATTCATATTTATTTTTTGGTCTGACATAAACATATTTATGTTTTTAACCAATTTCCCCTTCTCTTTTTCTCCTAATGTTTTATAAAAATAAGTTGCTGGCTCACTAGTTGTAGAGCGACATAAGGCAACCTTAACAAAAGGAATAAGCTCAGCTCAGATATCTTGGACTTCAAGCTGGAAACGGTACCTGGTAAGATGTATCATTCCCCCTTTTGGGGAGGGGGAGAGCATATTTTTCGCTTTTAGAAAAATAGCTGCAACACCTTAGGAGGAAACATTTTGTTGTTGCTGCCACTATATTTGTAAATTTAAGTCTTGGAAAAAAGTGTACACAGAGGTTGAGTAGCCAAGCTTACCTGTCTAGAACTGTTTGAACATTTATCCTAAATCTGGGAATTTCTCACTTTAGGAGTGATATTGCACTGCAGTAAGAACCAGAAATTCTCTCAGCTTTCCCTGCAGCAAGAATACAGATATGCCACCTCAGTCCTTTGCCTGTAAGACTTTAATTCTTGAGAATGACACGAGGGAGGTGCAGCACAGAGGGTGGCTGGCAACAGACCCTGGAACCAGATTATCTAGGTCTTTAACCTTTAAATCCCAGTTCTGCCTTGTATTAGCTGTGTAATCTTGGGCAAGTTTCTTCACCACTCAGACAATCAATTTCTTCATCTATAATCTACTTAACCTTTGAGTATTAAATGAATTAATGTAGGTAAAGAATTTAGAGTTTTAAAATACAGTAGCCAACATGGTCATTAAAATCTAAATTAATTAAAATTAAATAAAATTAAACACTGAGTTCCTCGGTCACACTGCCAAGTGCTCAAGAGCTCTCTCTGCATGTGGCTAGTGACTACCACACCACTCTGGACAGAGCAGATATAGAACGTTTCCATCACTGCAGGAAGAGGCACTGGGAAGTGCTGACTTAGAGAATACTCTCTAGTACTTGGTAAGCACTCAAATGATCACAGCTGCTATTATTATTACTGGTATTCTTATGGTCACATTGTTGTTATTATTATTATTATAGCAAGTTTAAGATGTAGCCAGACAAAATCTGGTAGAAGAGATGAACAAGTCAGAAGCAATTTAAATGCTGTAATCTGATCAGAATTAGCAGCAGTATTAGTAGCAGCAGCTGCTCTCAACTATTTATTATTGGCAAGGTACTGAGGTAAGCACTTCATACTGTTTATTTTATTTAACCCTCCCCCAAACAAATAACATTATAGGTAAGAATGAATACATCCTATGCTATTGATTAGGAACTGAAGCTGAGGAGCGGTCTAATTACAAGGGGTTGAAGAGCTCAGTATTGGAGCTAGGACTGACTGCATTAGCAGGTCTGTTATATCGCTAAGTCCATGACATACTACTAACCCTAGACTTCAACTATTTACTTAGAGCCTATTAGAGGCCACACACTGCTCCAGGAGCTGGGAACACAGCAGTCAAGAGAACCAGTTCCTGCCCTTGTGGAGTTTGTATTCTACTTGAGTAGAAGAATAATAAGAAAATACGTAACTAGCTAAATGGTATAAGTGCCATGGAGAACAATTGAGCAGAGTGGAAATGAGTGAGCTCTTCTGTGATGGACGGTCAAGGCAGGCTTCAATGAAAAGACGACATCTGAACCAGAGACCTAAAGAAAATGAGGGGGTGAGCCATATAGTTGGAGTCACAGTAAAAAGGGTTTGGGAAGTAACAGGGGATGAGGTCAGTAGTATTAATCAAAGCAGGGTGCGAAGTGGGACAGATGACGGAGGGCTTTAGCTTTTATTCTGAGAGAGATGTGTGAAGGTTTTGCACAGAGTAGTAAAAACCTCTGATTTTCTTTTTAAAAGGGTCATTCTGGCTGTGAGGATGAGAACCACTTTAGGGGAGGAGGAGCAGAAGCAGGAGAGCAGTCAGTAGGCTGCTGCAGGCATCCAGGTAAAAAGTGATGATGGCATGGATTAGGGTGACAGTAGGAGAAACAGTGAGAGGTGGTTAGACTCTAAATACATGTTGTAGGTAGAAATAATAAGGTTGGCTGGGTGCGGTGGCTCACGCCTGTAATCCCAGCACTTTGGGAGGCCAAGCCGGGTGGATCACCTGAGGTCAGGAGTTCGAGACCAGCCTGGCCAACATGGTGAAACCCCATCACTTCTAAAAACACAAAAGTTAGTCGGGCATGGTGGCACATGCCTGTAAATCCCAGCTACTCAGGAGGCTGAGGCAGGAGAATCTCCTGAACCCGGGAGGTGGAGTTTGCAGTGAGCCGAGACAGCGCCATTTGCACTCCAGCCTGCCCAAGAGGCCAAGAGAGCGAGACTCTGTCTTAAAAAAAAAAAAAAAAAAAAAAAAAAAAAAAAAAAAAAAGAAATAAAGAGTAAGGTTTATTGATGGACTGGATATGGGCTGTGAAAAAATTAAGGAACAAAGGACAACTCTGGATTTTGGTCTAATTAAAAATGGAATAGTAATACTGCCATTTTCTAAGATGGGGAAGTCAGGAGGAACAGCTGGTTTTGGAGAAAAACAAGAGTTTAGTTTTGGAAGGTTAAATGTGCAATGCCTATGAGAATGAAATAAAGTGAAAATGAAGAGAAGACAGTTATATGTCTGAGATGTGGTTTTGGAGAGAGGACTAGGTTACAGCTACAAATGCTATGAAAAATGATTAACTTCATGATGTTATGAGAGCACATGAGAGTAATCCACTTGGCAAACAGAGATGGGATGATATCAGAGCAGGCTGTAAGAAAGGAGCTAGCCTCAGTCTGTGGAGAGTAAGAAAGAGTCAGCTATTTGGAAATGAAAAAAAAAAAGCACTCCCAGTAGATAGTGTGTGCTAAGGCCAGAGGCAAGAGAACATTCAAAGAGCTAGTGTAAAAGAATAGTACAAAATGAGACTAGAGAGGTAAGGAGGGGTGTACACCATGTAAAGAAATTTGAGCTTAAAGCTGAAAGTAACAAGGAAAAACTGAAGAAGGTAAAGTTATGGAAAAGGCAGGAAAAAAAAAATCAAATGTTCACTTTAGAAAGATCTCGTGGGCTACCAGATAAGAAATATAGGAGAAGACAGCAACTGTGTGCAGCCAGTGTGCCCAAGGGGACTGAAGACTGTGAACATGGGAATGGAGGTAGGTGAATTAATTTGAGAAGCAGGAAAATTTGGAGATGGAATGTAAAATGTGAAGAGCTAAGTAGGGGAAGTAAGGACGACAACAGATTTCTGATAGGAGAAACTGGGTGGATGATATTACCATTTACGAAGTTACAGAATCCCAGGAGAAAATCATGGGGAAAACGTCACTGTGGGACACTGAATTTAAGGAGCCTATAGCACATTTAAGTAGAGAATGTCAAATCTATCATTAAGTTTATGTGTGTGGTTCTAAGATGAGAAATCTAGAATGGAAATAAAGATCTGGGACTCAGCAGCATAAAGACAGCAATTCAAGTTATGAGCATAGATGCTATTTCTCAGGAAGAGTATGCAGTGTGAGAAAGAAAATCGAAGAACGGGTAGGAATAGCAGGCTTTACTGAGTGAAGAGATGAAGTAGGATCTACCAAAGAGATTATGGAGGAGTGACCAGAAGCTAGAAGAAAAAACAGATGTGTTGTCATGAAAGTCAGGGGAAAATAAAAATTCAGGAAGGAAGGAACAGTTGTCAATAGCAGAGAGGTCAAATAAGAGAACAACTGAACAATATTCTCTGGATTTGTTACTAGGTGTGTAACCCTGGGTGAGTCACATAACTGCAAGCCCTAGCTTCCTCATCTACACAAAAATGCTGTTATTATCTACTATACCCTGGTTGAGAATACATGGTAATGTGTATAAAGCACCTCAAACAGTGTTAGACATACTAGGCACTACAAATAGGCTTCATTCTTATTACCACATATCTTCTGTTTGTCAGACAGGCAGGCCAAAGTAACAAAAAGAACAAGCGTTGAAAAGCACCAAACTATACCTATAGTCTGAAAGCCTGTGTGCCCTCCAAATTCATATGATGAAATCCTAACCCTTAAGGTGATGGTATTAGGAGGTGAGGCCTCTGGGAAGAGATTAGAGCACGAGGGCAAAGCCCTCATTAATGGGACTTGTGCCATCATAAAAGAGGCCCCAGAGAGCTTGTTTGCTCATTCCATCTTGTGAGGATATAGCCAGAAGGTGCCACTAAGAACCAGAAACTAGGCCCTCACCAGATGCTGAACATGCCAGCACCTTCATCATAGATTTCCCAGACTCCAGAACTGTGAGAAATACATGTCTGTTGTTCATAAGCTACTGGTTTATGGTATTCCATTACAGTAGGCCAAATGAACCAAGACAAATGTCCATTTGTCTTTGAGAAAGGGCAACTGGCAGAAAAGACTCTAGACAGTCTTCTTCCTTTTCTTCCATCCTCCTCCCAGTGTTTCCTTTCTCACTCCTTCTAAATGCAGCTTATAACACAGAAACTTCCAAGAGCTTGTCAATGGAATCTATTTAAGCACATCTCAGCATTTATACAAAGAACAGTGTTTCGCTGCCATTCACTACAATCTTCATGAGCTTGTGATATAGACATTATGCTCTTAGGAAGAGGCAGCTTAAACTCATAAGTAGTCCACAAAAAAAAATAAAATCTTTCATAGAAATTAAACCCATCGATTAGTGATTTCAAAAATTCTTCCAACAGGTTTTGAAATGATAAGCCAGGTAATGTTTATCAAATGAAATACCCGAACTGTATGATTAAGGAGACCTTTGAACAACCAAACTGACTTTCAGCTTGGTTCCAACATTGACAAAATGAGTCAGAGAGAAGTTTCCCAGATGGCACTCAACATATATTTTCCTATCAAGGATTAAAGTTCTGTCTACCCTTTCCTGTCCTCACCTCCTCAAAGACATCACAGCATGTGGAACTGAGAAAACTTCCCCCAATGCTTGCATTTCTAATGTAGAAAACATGTTTCCTAAAATAAAAAAAAAAAATCTTACAAGAAAAAAAAAAAGAATTCCACTGATTTTTCCCCCCAAGTCTAGCCTAAACTATTCCCATCCCTTTAGCATAATTTCTTCCATAGCCTCTTTGCCTTAGGATTGACTTTGCAATTTTTTTTTTGAGACTGAGTCTTGCTCAGTTGCCAGGCTGGAGTGCAGTAGCACGATCTCAGCTCACTGCAACCTACGCCTCCTGGGTTCAAGTGATTCTCGTGCCTCAGCCTCCCGAACCCAGCTAATTTTTGTATTTTTAGTAGAGATGGGGTTTCACCATGTTGGCCAGGAGGGTCTCAATCTGCTGACCTCATGATCCGCCCGCCTCAGCCTCCCAAAGTCCTGGGATTACAGGCATAAACCACCATGCCGGGCCTTGACTTTGCAATTCTTTTAATGCAACTCTCAATACACAAAGCCTATATTATGTTCCCTTCCCTAACTGCTTATTCTGTTTTACATCAAATTCAAGATTTCGAGCAATCAAATTTCTAACTAATGAGAATCTCAACTTTCTTCTACATATTTAGATAAACCTCGCTTTACTACACAACTCAGTAGTGGTTGGTCATACCAAAGCTTATCTGGTGGTAAAGAGCCATCTTGCACTAGAATCGAAACAGTTAGCTACTAAAGGCACAGTGAAAGTGAAAGAAGTCTGCCTTGCTCCAGTCTTTGTGTGAGAGTACATGTGGAGGGGAGATGAGGTGGGAGACAGTGGAGGAGGAATCCACATACGTGGTGCTCTTTTTATGAGACATCTTACTCTGTCACCCAGGCTGGAGTGCAGTGGCACCTTTATAACTCCCTGCATCCTTATACTCCTGCCTTGGCCTCATGAGTAGCTAGGACTACAGGTGCATGCCACCAGGCCTGGCCAACTTTGAGTTATCTATCCTGAGGAACGTAAAAGACTTCGGAGGAGAATGGAGATGGAATAGTGCTAAGTCTCATGGAAGTCCTTTCTTATTGAGGCACTCTAAACCAGGAAGACCAGTCTTCCATAGCTGGGACCACTGGGGAGTACCCCAACTAGATGGTAGCAGAAGTGTCTTCCCTGGGTCCTCTGGTCATACCCTCCACAACTAGAGGATCTTAAGAATCAAAGAACTAATTCACCAGAAAGACAGGAAAATGTGAATTGTTTTCTTCCTTCTGTTCTTGCTAAGCATCCATTTTAAAAAATCTATTTAGGGCCAGGCGCGGTGGCTCACACCTGTAATCCCAGCACTTTGGGAGGCCAAAGCGGGGAGATCGCTTGAAGTCAGGAGTTTGAGGCCAGCCTGGTCAACATGATGAATCCCCATCTCTACTAAAAATATAAAAATTAGCCAGGTGTGGTGGTACGCACTTGAAATCCCAGCTACTTGGGAGGCTGAGGCGCAAGAATCTCTTGAACCTGGGAGGCAGAGGTTGCAGTAAGCTGAGATCGCGCCACTGCACTCCAGCCTGGTGACAGAGCGAGACTCTGTCTCAAAATAAAACAACAACAACAACAAAACCTATTTAGTATGACTACAGTAACTGAAAAGATAAGCAAAAACATCTATTTTGAGATCGTAACATTTTTTCAAATCCATGAATTAATTAATTTCCAAAGTGCCATGACTTTTCTAATAAATAGTAAGTCTGATTTCAAATCCCTTGTCTTTACACTATACCACATGTCCACAGCCCAGAATGAGGGCAATCCAAGGATATGAGGCTGAATCTTTTCCCTGTTATCACATCTCACCCAACACAATAAAGATTATGAAATTATTAATACTCCATCAGTTTATTAATGCTCTTTATCCTTTACCTGCTCTGTTCACTCCCATCTAGCAGCCTATCAAATTCTCTGGCACTGCTTTCTCTATAATTAATATGGCTCCCTGAGATTTGAAGTTACTTCCCACTAGCACACCTATCAAATTGCCTTTTGCCTTCTAATTCTCCTCTATTTAGAAAGATTTTCTGACTAAGTGAAAATGAATTCTATCCATCACAAGTCTAATCAAAAAACTGCTGTATTATAGAAAAATTAGAACAATAAACAAAATAAAAACCACACTTAGATGCTTCCTAACATATAGAATACTTCTGAAGATAATGTATATAATTTTGATTCTCAGTGATTAGAGAGATTAAATTACTTCTCCAAGCCAAACAATAGGTGATGGAACTGAGACTACAGTGTGGCCAAGTCTGCAAATAGATAATACTATTACATGTTGCACTGTAAGATAATATCATTAAACCACTGTTTCCAGATGTGATGGCCACCCAGTAAAATCCAGATTTTCTAGTTATAATCCAGTTTCCTTAATTCTCCCATATATTTTACTCTGAAAGTGCTGAAGAAGGCACCACTCATTGGAAAATACCATCTTATATTAGAACGACATTTAAATGTTTTTAAACCAGCTTTCATATTGTTTTCCAATTTAATTTCACAACTACCTTGTGCATGAAGATGAAAAGAGGCAATTAATATTTTCTGAATGCCTGCTACATGAGGCCTCATCTTTTGAAGGCATAAATTAAGTACTTTACCTAAGTTATCTCATTTAATCCTTGCCACAGCCCTATGAGGTATCACTGTTCTCTTTTTACAGATAAGGAAATCGAAGGTTTATGAAGACAAGTCACTAACCCAGTGTCACACTGTTAGGCCAGGGAGGAACAAGGAGGAGGCTAGGTCTTCTGACTCCAATTGCAGTATCCTTTTCACTATTCAGTGAAACATTTTTACATGTCCCATGTAATGCCACATACAGACCTTATCACTGTCTTCTATCATGGAGACTTATCCCTCACTACTTCTAAGAATTGATCATGAACAAATCTGTAGGCTAACCTGGCAAGAAGAAAACAATTATTCAACCGGAGATAACTGAATACTGCCTGGCTCATAACAAGCACTGGAGACATGTTAGCTAGGCTTGCTATTATTATGGTAAGAACTGAATATTTTAATAAATATAAACATAAACCATATCATTAAAACTAGAAAAAAGTTTATTTCATTTTTATTTTACTTTAAATTCCTAAAATTCCTTCATATTCACACCACTACCACTTCAAAAATATAACACAAAGTTTTAAAGAAGTAAATAATACTGGCTCTTCAAAAGTTTTTCTTATTTTTAATATAACCGTTACATATAACAGTATTCTTTGCTTCAAATAGTTCCTTAATTCTAATAGAATCCCTCTCTAACACACGCCACATCAGTGTGGGGAGTCACTTTTTGTTTTGACTAAATTTCCCAAAACTTTACCTTTGGAAAATTTACAATAAGAGATGTACAAAATCATAAATATACTTTATAACCAAGACTCCCTAAAAACATTCTTACTCTCAACTGAAAACTACAACTCAAAGTGAATTCAATGAATAGCATCCATCTTGAAACAGAACTGTCATGAAAACAGCCTTGAATTACATGTCAAAACACTGAGGTTCAAGTCTCACCTCTTGAGACTAACCAAGTGATCTGCGCAAGTCCCTTAACCTTCTTGAGGCTCAGAGTCAACAATAGCCACCTTTCCTAACTTTGTAAGGTCACTGTGCTTATTAAAGGGATTGGGGACCTGAAAGGGCTTCTCACCCTTTCACTGAGGGAAAGAATGTTGGTTTCAGAATTTCAGTCAAAGGGCCAGGAGACTGGAGTATGAACTGATGATACTTACAAATCTGGCTTAAGTAAGCCCTGTGCAAATATTAAATAAGTGGGGAAGCTAGAAGAGAGGTGGATTCATTATCTTATCCAGACCTGGGCTAAGGCCTCCAACATACTTGAAACAAACTCCAAGCTAATATTCATACTACAAGTGGGCTTTGTTAACAGCTTTATAGAAATTGGATCACAATGAACTATTTATGGTTAAACCTCTTTTTTCCTTTTTTATTGGCTAGCCAGAAACACAACCACTGACTGTCATTTCTGTGGGAAACTGTGTTCCAGAATTTGATTCAGAGATCTAAGCACTGGGAATGTATCTTTCCTCCTCTAAGAGCTAACAGGGACTCCCTTCCCATTCTTGTTGGTAGAATCAGGAAGTTTCTTTCACTCTTCAGTCTTGTGGCCATTCAGATATGGGTTGTCAGATGAGGACTGTATGTGGTAACTATATAACCACCTTTCAATTTTGTGGGGCAGGGGGGTAGTCAAAACATTCCTATCTACAATCTCGTTTTATCTACAATTGCCCAATGAGGTATGTAGGCCAAGTACTATTATTACCCCATTTTAGAAATGAGGAAGCTGAAATACAGAAGTTACGTGACTTGTCCAAGGTCACAGCCTGGTAGAACATGGATTAGAAGCCAGATCTTTATTTCCCAGCTGGACATGCTTATCAATCAAATACCAACTGCTTACAAAATGGGAAGAGGGAAGTAAAGATGATTACGGCTTATTCAGACTTTATTTTTAACTAATTATATCTGGCTTTGTGAATTTTTATTAATTTCACTTTTCATTGCTGTCTGATGAGTTAGTCATGAAAACCATCAGATCAGAAAGTATAAATTTTTGAATTGTTTATTTACTTTCATTTTTTAATTTTTTTGTAGAGTCAGGGTTTTTCCGTGTTGCCCAGGCTGGTCTCAACCTCCTGGGCTCAAGCGATCCTCCCACCTCGGCCTCCCAAAGTGTTGGGATTACAAGTGTGAGCCACCAAGCCTGGCCTTAGAAAGTATAAACTGTTTAACATTCTTTCTTCATTGCTATATACAGATATTCAACTTTAAGTATTTCATAATAAAGTGACTCAGTGACAAAGCAGGCCCAGTCTACACCAGTCACTTGTTGAACTGTTATATGAGATTTATGCAAAATTCTGAGGGGGCAGGATGGTAGACAGGAATAAACCTTTATGAAAAAGATGACTAAAGTCAAAAGGTAAATGTGAATCTTATACACTTTTTCCTTCCAGTTTAAGCTGTGAGTTGGGAAAATAAATATAAGGAAAGTTTATCGCCATTTATTCCAAGTTTAGGTGGTTTAGAGGAGTTCACCAATTTAAATCAGCCTGTGGTAGGTGTTTTTGTGGTAAGAGAAAGAAGTAAAAAGTTAACAGGACAGAACAGTAAGACCTTGCCCTTATATAGCACTCTTACCTCCCAAGTACTTTCACATAATGTTATCTCATTTTTTTAATCAAGAAATCACTAGATAGGAGGGGCAGATATTATTACTAAGCTGATTTTGCAAGCGAGCATAGAGCCTATGAAAATTGCTTATGGCCACACAGCTATTCAGTGGGCAGGCACAGAAAAAAAAAATCATTAATTAAATTTAACTCTAACACTGGAAAATTTACGATTGTAACAGGACCATATATGACACTTTACATTATAAAGCCAAAACGGTTTAATTCTACATTCTGAGAGCAGTTCCATTACTATTATAAAACATGTAGTATAACATGTTCAGTTTCACCTACATTATTTATAGGTGCTTTAAGCAGTAACAAGAATTTCTTCCAAGAGAAAATTGAGCATATGATGTTTTTGCTGAAGCTTTTAATTTTCAAACAATTAAAATTTTTTTTACCAACTTCCTGAGAAGTATTGCTGCAGCTTTTCAAAACATGGCCTAACTATACTTCATGTGTCAAATTCAATTTCTGATTTTGCAAGAGAAGAACTCTTTGAGCACACCCAGAATTTATTCCACTTAAAGTTCCTATTTAGTATTTCATGTGGGCTTCTGTTCCATATAGGGGGCTAAAATAAACCTCAGGGTGACAGAAAGTGACCTGATGGGTAGAGAGGACTTGCTTCGTGGTACCAACAGCACTCCAAGAACCACAAATAGCCGAGGCAACTGGAAGGCAGGCAGAGAAGCATGTGAGACCTTGCAGGTATCAGCCAAGGGTAAGGTAAAAAGCAAGCAAGTCAGAATGTCTGGAAATCAATCCTGTGGTGCAATCATATTCTACTATTTCTGGTTACCGTTTCCGATTTTTTTTTTTTTTTTGAGACATTGTCTCACTCTGGCACCCAAGCTGGAGTGCAGTGGTGCAATCTTGGCTCACTGCAACCCTCCTGGGTTCAAGCGATTCTCATGTCTCAGCCTCCCGAGTAGCTGGGATTACAGGCATGTACCACCACACCTGGCTAATTTTTATATTTTAGTAGAGGTGGCGTTTCACCATGTTGGCCAGGCTGGTCTCGAACTCCTGGCCTCAGATGATCCAACCGCCTCAGCCTCCCAAAGTGCTGGAATTACAGGTGTGAGCCACCACACCCAGCCTTTACTGTTTCCAATTTTAAGTAATACTGACTTGATCTTTCTGAATATCAGCTTCCACAAGAAGATGACTAAATGATAATTTGAAGATGAAATAAAGGATAAAAGAGATCATTAAATTTAAAACTATTCATAACTGACTGCATTACTCTAACCCAAGATAAATAAACATAATGATTTTCACTAAAGAGTGCTGTATTATTAGACTTTTTTTTTAAAAAAGGAAGTCCAGAAAAAAATAAAATTCTTAAAGCTTTAGTGGTTTAAATATCACACTGGCCACAACACAAAAGAAGGAAAGTGCCACCATTACCAGAAACTTGATGCTGTGAGAGAGAAACAATGGAAAGAAATCCTCTCCATTCTCCCAAGGACAGTTCACTGGGCACTGGCTCCACTGCACAATGAAAGAACTTTTCCTTACCAGCACAGTTGCAAACTCACACAGGGGCTTGAAAAAATAAAATCCATTCACATACTCTCCATTTATATCCTTCTCGTTCTCTCGCTTGTCAGCAATGTATAGAGATTACACACTTGAACCAGAGCTGACAACCTGCATGTGATACATCAGAGGCATAAATCCAACACATTTTTCTCTCCCAATTACTTTTTCAAATAAGTGTTACTAATAAAGTAAATAAAAAATACTTAAAGATGTAAGCAAGATAGTTTAATAAACAGCATGATTGTGTACTCGTACACAGAGAGAAATACATTTTAGGGCTGAATTTCCTCAGTCTTCATTTAAATAAAATGTCTAAGAAAACACTGAAAGTTATTCCTGAATTAAAAACTGTGAATGTTTACTTGTTGTCTGGTTCTTATCTCTAGAATGACCCCCTCATCACTATTAATGATCACATATTAAAGGGTGCGGTATCTTTTTCATTGTTATAGACATAGGGAGGGTGACTATCAGGGAAGTTCAAATGCAGCTGGCCAAATGTCACATTGTTCACTGGCCTCTGCATTGGCCCAGTTCCCCTGATTCTGAACAATCCTTTCTGGTCACAACACTGACTATGAGCACTAACTTCCATACCCCAAGCCACCCCCAACCCCTTCCGAGGAAAGAGGCCCTTCCTTCAGCCTATCTCGGAACATCATCTCTAGCCTTTCCCGATGGTTTCCTGCTGCCCACTCTACTCTCCAAACTTTAACTTGAAATTCCCTTTCAGACAGTATTTGAATTTGGTCCAGAGAAATGAGTTCTTTACAGAACGTTCTAGGCAACCTTATAAATTAGTGTGACAGAACTGTTTTAGGTGCTTTCATGCTATCACTTTCATCCTTAATGAAACTCTGTGACCTAAATTATCATCCCTACTTTCAGAAGAAACTGAGGCTCAGAGTTAGAGTGCATGAAAGCCAGAATTTAAGCAAAGACTCTTTTCCCTTACTCTGAATTTCCTATGCACGTTTTTATTGTCTCTGTCAAACTATTTCACCGTTAAAATTTTTTTGTAGCTATTTGTGTACATATGTCAAGAGGCTTTTGTTTCTTTATTGGACTAAACATACTATTGGCACCAACTGAACAATTTTTTTTTTTTTTTGAGACAGAGTCTCACTCTGTCACCCAGACTGGAGTGCAGTGGCGCCATCATGGCTCACTGCAACCTCTGCCTCCTGGGTTCAAGCGATTCTCCTGCCTCAGCCTCCCAAGTATCTGGGACTACGGGCATATGCCACCACACCCAGCCGATTTTTGTATTTTTAGTAGAGACGGGGTTTTACCATGTTGGGCAGGCTGGTCTCGAACTCCTGACCGCAAGTGATCCACCAACTGAGCAATTTGAGACTAATAAGCAACTCCAGCAGTCCACCCTTATCCACAGGAGATACATTCCAAAACCCCCAGTAGATGCCTAAAACCCCAGATAGTACCAAACCCTGTATAGTCATGCACTGCTTAACGATGGGGATACTTTCTGAGAAATGAGGCAATGCTGTGGAACATCACGGAGTGTACTTACACAAACCTAGATGGAATAGCCTACTACACTCCTGGGCTCTATAGTAAGCCTATTACTCCTAGGCTACAAACCTGTACAGCATGTTACTATACTGAATACTGTAGGCAACTGTAACATGACAACTATTTATGTATCTAAACATATGTAAACACAGAAAAGGTACAGTAAAAGTATGATATTATAATCTTATGGCACCACCATCATATGTATGGCCCCTCGTTAACTGAAATATTGTTATGTGGTTCATGACTGTATGACTATGTTTTATCCTATACATACATACCTACAATAACGTTTAATTTATAAATTACACACAGCAAGAGATTAACAATAACTGATAGAAAAATAGAATAATGATAACAGTATACTGTAATAAGTTATGTGAATATAATCTTTCTTGCTCTCAAAATGTCTTATTGTACTGTACTCACCCTTCCTCTTGTGATGAAGACAGGACAGAGCAGCAAGGCACAAGGTTTCATCACACAACTCAGAATGAGGTGCTATTTATTTATTTGAACTGTTTATTTCTGTAATTTCCTGTTTAATAATTTTGGACCAGAGATGGCCACAGATAACTGAAACAGTGGAAAGTGAAACTGTAGACAACCAGTGACTACTGTGCTTTCAACTCCACGCTGAAAAATGCATTCATTTTACACTGAATTTTAACATTTACTGATCCATTCCCCAGTCCCAGTTCAGTCTATTTCCCCATCTCTCTTCTGCAGTTAGCCCATTCAGCACCACTGCCAATTAGTGGGGAAAGGCCTAAACCTCAAGCTTTTTAATACTTATTAATTACGTGAAAATTGTGAGGTTGGAAGGAAGTTAAATTGACATCTAAAATAAAGGTTTAATGCTGTATGTGGACTATCTACAATGTCAGAAATAATCAGGAGTTTGCTGTGTTAAGGAACATTCATATCATTTGGGTAATTCAAAGAATTAGCTGCTAGGATGGCCTGGTGCCACTGAGGCCAAGGTGTTTAATAATCACACTGGGCGCCTCAGTACCTACCTGGAGTGCTGTGGTCAGCCTGGCCCTTCAAAGGTCCATATGCGTTTCCTGCCCATTCTGCTGCTCCTGTGTGTCTCCTGCCTCTTCTGTAAGCCCCTCTCTTCTTTTCCTCTCAAACATTTCCTTCTCTCCTTTTTCTCATATCATCACTGCACAGAGGGGTCTTCTTTGCTTCAAACACAGACTAAGCATTCACCGCATGTTTTTAAAAACTGTCCCTTCCTCACTGTTGGAGTAATGCAATGGAGAAAGGGCCTGGCCCTTTCCTGACCTTCAACATGGAAACATCTTTAAGGCTCATTTTGGAAGGGAGTTCGACATACTTCCCAGTTTTCTGGATGCCACAAGAAACTCTGCCACAAAGTGCTGGACCTATCTCACAGCCTCCTTCGTAAAATTAGGGGGTTGAAACCACAGCAGCACTTCCCAAAGTGGGTTCTGAAGAATATCAGTCCCTCCTCCAGAGAGATGTTCTAGTTAACTAAGTTTACAACATTTCTGAATATCCTCTTCCTTTGGAGAATCACATTGCATAAAAGCACATTAAAGGCTTTGGAGTCTTTAAGGAAATTCTTTTAATCAAGCATTCCCCAAACTTATTTGACCACAAAATCCTATTTTCCTATTATACTTATTCACATCCTGATTAATTAGTATTATGGGGCAAACTCTTGAAAATGCTGCACTAGAGGCACATTAAGGCCCAGTAACAGTTTTATAAGTCTGATTAAAACCCAACATTTAATAACTCCAAAATACTATGATGGATTTCTATGAGGTAACGGTGAAAATCAGTCTCAATATAACATATCTTCACCTATTAGCAGCTATGTTACTTCGAAACCTAAGAAATTTTATATCTAGATTATTTCTTATAGAGGTAATTCAATTAGTGGGATACTATATTCAGAACTAATTGTCTCTGTCTCTGTTTATTAGGCAAAATGTTACCGAACACAACCTTAATTTGAGAATAACTGTACAGGGAGTTCTAAACCACCGAAATAGAAGTTAATTACCAGTAATCACAGAAATAGACACATTCCAAGTGTCTGAAGAGTGAATACCTAAAGTCAACTTTCTTTCTCTGGTTAATTTCCACACCTGAGCAATGTTCCTACAGATGAAAAGCTCACATATAACTCATTTGAAAACTTTTGATAAGAAACATGTTAAGAGTTGTCTATCACTGTAGAATGCCATATGCAGCGAGTAGAGAAGAGGTGAGTCTCCTAGTACTTTCCCCTCTGGCTCGAAGAGCTTTTCACTAATTTCACTCTCCTGTCACCTCCTGCCTTTTTGCTATTCTGCTGACAAGAGTAATTTATCTCATGCTCAGGAATCTCCTGTCCTCAAATTTTATAGCCACCGAACGAATTTCCCCCTCCTTCTTCTTTTGTCAATGATTCACAATGCCTAATAGAGTGGGGTATATTCTTATATTCAGTCAGTAAGTGGTCATATATAATAGGTTACATCCTGTGGCCTAGAACTGCTCTCAGGTACCATAGAATAAATTATTAGCTTTCTAAGGGAGAAATTCTTCCCAAATTTGGTTTAACTAAAATGGTAACTTCCAACCTGCAAGATACCCTATAGAATTTCATGTTAAAGTAGTGGATATTAAGGTAACTGCACAGTAAGAAAAAGGCACAACTTACCAGGTGATGAAGGGTGAACAGCAAGGAGGCACAGGGAAGTGCTATGTCAAAAACAGTCAAAACTAGTTGCATAATGAGAGAGCTGAGATAAACTATACCTTTGACCCACATTGTTCCTTTATTATATCTAAGATTGCTTTGGTTTCAATAGCATACATCAAGTACATTTCTTCTCTTCTAACTCTCAACACATTAGTTTTAAAAGGCATATAAAATGTTCAGGTTAGCATATCAAGTGAAAAACCACACTACATAGGGCATATCCATGAACGAATTTATAAAAAACAATACAAATGGACCAACCTAGCACCTACTTGCTCCAGTTAAGAAGAAAAATATTCTCCCTCACCAGGCTTCTAGTAGGAATTGTTATAAGATATTGACTTAAAAAAACAAATATGTAGCTGTAATCCAATATAAATGCTTTAAAATCTTATACAATTTATAAGATGCAAGAGCATAAAAGAGGGTATTAGAGGAAAGTGAAGACATACTTGGATTTTTCAATAAATTAACATCCAGAAGCAGCACATACCAAAAGAACAATATACAGGTAAATTCTGAAAATTCTTTTTTTTTTATCTTTTTGAAAATTCTTTTAAGAGGTAAAATGTCTTAAAACTACACAACTAAGGATCATAATAAAAACAATAAAAGCTGAAGTATAATGTGACTCTCAAGCTTTAGTTACTTTTGCTAAACTCTGAGACTATACTGGTCACCAAAAACATTTTTTTTTTTAAAGAGATGGAGTCTTACTATGTTGTCCAGGCTGATCTTGAACTCCTGGGCTCAAGTGATCCTCCCACTTCAGCCTCCCAAGTAGCTGGAACTACAGGCGTGCGCCACCACACCTAGCTGAGAGGATATATATTTTATCATCAATTGCTAAATATATATGACAGTAATCTCTGAACTTGTTGGGTCATTCTCATTTAGCTACATTCCCATCATTTTCCCTGTGAGAATTAAGGTTAGAAAAACATTGCAAGGACTACCCCCATGATAGTGGTTGGATTTGTTACCTCTTATCTGAAAAAGCACATACCTAAAAATGGACGTGAGGATTCCCTGAACTAAACTGGTGTTCACTCTCCAAACCTACCCTGAGCAATTTGAAGCCCACAGTTTGGAACTATAGGTTTAGTTTAAAACAATCATAAACATATAATCAGAAACACACAGTACTACCACTGGGTTTATTTAATAGTCAATAAAAAGTCTCATTTTAAGAGAGATAACCCCTGTTTAAGAAGTAGGATATTGATAATAAAATAATTCTTAAATCAACTACTGCCATGACTTGCATTACTAAGCATAGTTCCTGGCACATAGTAGGCACTCAAAAATCTATTACTAAATGAATCACTGACCAATCTTAGGTTACTCAACTATTCTATAAACATTAACTTTCTATATATAAAGGTAGGCCTTCTCTGGCCTAATTTTCACAATAAGTCTTTGGATTGATTAAGGCACTCTGAAGCTGACATCAAGACAATCAGAAATAAGATGCTTCCATTTCATGCAAAAGTTACACAGAATATATATTTCCCATGTTGAGACTCATTTGACTTGAATCTTAAATATCATTTCCTCCAGAAGGAGTCTCCAAATTCTTCCCTGCCCTGAAGACATTATTGCCCCTGGGTTATTAACTCTCCCTGAATGCTTTATTTTTAATTTGTAGCACACACCACAGCAGTAATTAAATAACATTTGTAAAATATTTGTCTTCTGTTCTGGACTTCGCATATCCTGAGGTGAAGGTCACATGGACTTTGCTGATTGACTTCCTATTTCTTGCAACTAGAAGTGCCTGGCACATGGCTGTTCAGTAAATATTTATTCAAAGATTTATTTGAGTATTTATTCAAATGTTCATAAATTTATTCATTTATTTATGAAAACTGAAAAACAAAAAGCCAGCCAATAGTGTCTCTTCAATGTACTTAATAAAAGCGTAGAAAGCAAGGGAGGAAACATCAGGTCATCAGAAGTCTAGTGTTCAGAACATCATTCTGTTCTCAATATGAAACTGAGAAAACAGTTTTTCCGTGGCAGTAATAGTGATTAAAAAAAAGTGTGTATCTGTGTACTGTCTTATAGCTCTAAAAACACTTTTATGACATGTTGGTCTTATGACTGAAAATATCAAAAAAGTTCATATAGAACTCTCTGAGGATCTAAATGCAGTTTTTAAAGAGTTGTGACAGGTATAAAACCCATTTAACCTGAAAGTTTTTATAAATGACTTAGAGACTATCTGAGAATTTTTTTAGTGTTCACTGCATAATATTCTCTCAACAAATTAGCTGGAATGAGTCCTTTTTTTTTTTTTTTTTTAACTTTCAGAGCACTAAAATAGATGCCAATTCCAAACAAAATCTTTGGGCACTGTGGAGTATAGTAGCCCTGTTTTCTTGAGAGACAACGGAAGGTAACCTGAGAACTTCTGCTAATTGCCAAAGGGACTTCCCAGGGATTGTTGGTAAGTTGACCCATACCTCTGAGGTTCCAAAGAAAACTTCCAAAACTTTTCAAAAGGAGCATAATCTTTAGAATTCTGAGAAGATGAGAGTGGAAGAGAGATGTCTATTTAAATAATAAATTCAAATGCTCTTTAATGATTAAAAAAGTTTTTAAATCAACTTTCTATGACTATGTGAAAATTCATAAACAGAAAGACCACAGGGTAGATTTGAATCTAGGCAAATATTATAGTAACGGAAGTATCGCAATTTGCAAAAGTCTATGACAGAGCAGTGGGTTAAATGGGACTTGTATGGCTTCCCATTAATTGCCTTTTAAAAAAATAATCTTATTTTAAACAACTCATTCATTTCAGAGGCCATGAACACCTTGTGCAATAATTTAAGTAGCCTATACTTAATCCTATATGACTCTTGAATTCCAGAATAGGACAGGTCAAAGCCAAAAAAATACCCTGAAATAAAGTGAGCAAAACAAAATACTTGCTTTTTAGAAGATTTTGTTCCATCTCTCTAAGGGGTTCTGTTTGGAAATCTGAGTTTGCAATAATATATTATCTTACAGCCCCATCAAATTTGATGAATGCCAAAGCATTTTGATATACATTATCTAATCTGATTCACATAATCATTCTGTGAAATACACAGGGCAGGAATTTCACAGACAAAAAACATGAGTTTTCAAGAGGTTAGGTTTCTTGACCAGGGATCATAACTTAGAAAGTAGAAGAACCAGGGCTGGAAAAGCTTCAGATCCCTAGACCATTGCTATTTCTAAACAAGTATATTATCCCGGCCCCTCCCAAGCTGCTGTTCATTCTTATCGCTCACTAAAACAAGCAATAAGATAGCAGTATCCTTAGCTTCAAGTACATAAAGTGATGTAAAACATTTCCCTCAAAATGGTCATATCCCCATATAATATCAAGTCTTAGAAACCTTATGAAATTGTGATTTATTATTCTTGGTCTGGTATCCAGCTTGCATAGAAAGCATACCTTTGTATCATAAAAGAAAAATAACTATGTTTTTTCTTCCTATAAAAGAACAGAGACCTTCCTGATAAGCATCGGAATCACTAAATCCAAGTTGTTCCAGTCTATTCTAGTGTGAGGTTAGGGCTGAAAAGTGAGATAAAATCTATCTTCCCTGTTCGAGGATAATGAGATGAAACCTCAAGATGAAAGAAATGTTGTTAACTACTGAATGTGAGAAAGAGTGAGAAGTTTTAAACTTTTTTTTAAATGAGTGACTCAATGTCCTGAAGGGGGAAAAGTTCAATTCTTTTTTTTTTTTTTTTTTTTTTTTTGAGACGGAGTCTCGCTCTGTCGCCCAGGCTGGAGTGCACTGGCGTGATCTCAGCTCACTGCAACCTCCACCTCCTGGGTCCAAGCGGTTCTCCTGCCTCAGCCTCCTGAGTATCTGGGATTACAGGTGCATGCCACTACACCTGGCTAATTTTTGTATTTTAGTAGAGACAGGGTTTCACTATGTTGGCCAGGCTGGTCTCAAACTCCTGACCTCAGGTGATCCGCCTGCCTCGGCCTCCCAAAGTGCTGAGATTACAGGCGTGAGCTACCGCGCCCAGCCAAGAGTTCAATTCTTGATGTAAAAATACCTTAAGTATCTGCAAATCCTAGAGTTTAATAGGGAAAAAAAATCAACATAACGTTCTTTGACTCCAAAATCTTGTTTTCTTATCTGTAATATACACTGTGCTATTGCATTTGCACAGTATGAAAGTTAAAGATAGAAAGGCTTATCAAGTAAGTGCCACATAATGTAAGGGTCAAAGCAAGATTGATCCATGTAACAAGCCTAACTCTAATCTTTGGCAGTAAACACTTGACTTTCTTCTATAAAGTCAGCCTTGTTCTTTTAAGTCAGTGGTTTTCACCCTTGAATGCACATTAGAATGAGTTTCTAAAAAATACTAGTGTCCCAGTCCTGCTCCAGACTAATGAAATCAGAATCTCTGAGAGTTCAGAAACTGGCTGGTTCTAGGGTTCGGCTGAAATTGAAAGCCTCTAGTCTAAGTGCCATCCAGTTTCAAATATGATGTCAACATAACGGCACTGTCATATTTTCCTATGGAAGAAATATTCATAAGACCAGGACTAACAGTCACAATAGCCAGAAACGTCAAAATTTTACAAGCTGAATGAGTTTATTATTTGGATATAGGTGATATTCTTAAAGTTAGTCAAATACTATAGTTAAATACTAACCATTAAAAAAAGCTTACTCTAACTATATAATGCTCATTTCATTGGCTTAGGTATTAAACATGATTTAAAAATGTATCTTCTACTGAGTAATCACTGATCTTGTAAAATATTTGATTTTTGGAATTTTCCCATAGCTGTAAGTAAGAAAAGGCAAATAACGAAACCAGAAATACAAGACATCCTATTACACAGGTATACAAAATCAGTTCAACAGGGAGTTTCCACTGCTCAGAGGACAAAAGACTTCTCAGAAACATGACTGCAATCGTATTGCTCATTTCTTACTCAACACAGTACTACTGAAAAGGATGTTGCTATGTTCCCACCTTAACTGCCTTATGTGTTGTTCCTGTGACAGCTGGAGTCAACAAAGATAAGTTTGGCTTCTGGAAAAACCAAAATACCGATCTTCTTTATTTTTAAACTTGCTTAAAACTCTTCCATATTATCTGATTCTAAGAATTTGGCAATAGATGCATATTAAAGTTAGAGAATGAGTAACTAAACCTGGTCTCAATTGTATGTTTAAGCAAATAGAACAATAAAAACAAGGTGCATGCAATTTTTAGGATTTTATAAAAATCTCCTCACATTCAAAGGAGGCTTACACTAAAATTTTGAGACAAAAAATTGCAAGCAATCTAAAATAGATTTAATATGTTAATCAACCTAAGTGGCCTAGCCAGGAAAATACTTAGGATTCCAATTTTATGAGACTTCCAAATTTAGAGGAATTTAATAGCTGCTACATTAAGGATAAGGAAACATTAAAGATTAGAGAAGAATTTTGATTTTGTGTTTCTACTTCTCGGTCAGTGAGTTGTAACCAAATATATAACCAGGGAGTGGTATAAACTTACATGATTTATTGTAGATTGAACAGCCTTTACATAATGGTTTAGTTGCCGATCCAATGTAGCAAATTCAACCATTGCCTTGTCCATACTATATTCACTACTCACTTCAGCTGAAAGAAAAAAAAATTGCAATTATTATTTTCCATTTAAAATGCCATATCTGGAAAAAGTTGCATCAATACAATCTACATCAGTCAATGGTCTAAATAATTTTGTAGAGCTATTACATCTTTTTAAAAAAACCTCCTCAAAAAAATAAAAAATAAAAAAAATAAAAAAAACCTCCTCACCATATGATGCTTCATTCAAAATTCTAAGAATACACTCAGTAGAAGACAGCTCAAAGGCAGTGGTAGGTTGGAAAGAAGAAAAGACTTGTATTAAGGAGTTCCAGGCTGTGCCCTTACTTACATGATCTTAAATCAATCACTACACCTCTCCCAGCCTCAGTTCCCTCATCCATTAAGCAGCTCTGTCTTATATCTGTTGCATAAACTGTGAAGGATTGTTAAAGGTCAAATAGGGAAGATTCTCACTTTTAATAACACAGAGCTAGATTATTTGGACCAATCTTCCTAATGAAAACAATCAAAGATAGCAGCCGGGCGTGGTGACTAACGTCTGTAATCCTAGTACTTTGGGAGGCCGAGGCAGGCAGATCACTTGAGGTCAGGAGTTCAAGACCAGCCTGGCCAACATGGTGAAACCTAGTCTCTATTAAAATACAGAAATTAGCTGGAAATTGCTTGAACCCAGGACATGAAGGTTGCAGTGAGCTGAGATCATGCTATTGCACTCCAGCCTGGGCAACAGAGTGAGACTCCATCTCAAAAAAAAAAAAAAAAAAAAAAAAAGAAAGAAAGAAAAGAAAAAAAGAAAAAAGAAAACCAAAGATATCAGATACAGTAGAAAAAAAATAAATCTTAAAAACAAGAGTCACAAGGTAATAAGAAATAACCAGGGCAAAATCTAGAATAAAACAAAAACGAGAAGTGGGGCAACAGAATGCCAAAGTTACATACTATCCCACAGTAAGCTGAGATCCCAACTCTTTGTATAAAGATGAACCAAAAGTAATCTCTCCCTGCTGCCTGGGACCGAAGGGAGGTTAGCCTTGGCCATGAAGCAGAACAGGGAAAAGGGAAGAGAAAACAAACTTGTTTTCAGAAAAACTGGCCATAAGGCAGTCCTCCTGGATTTGCAGCAGCCTGGGTTCCCCTAACCTGAGTGATCCAGAGACCCTAGTCTCTGATCTTGGTGGGAGGTGGTCTCAGGCAGATAGTACTCACAGGTGTCTGGCAGAAGCAAATATAACTACTTTCTGGAGAAGGCACTCTTAATCTAAGTGTCAAATAATCCCTACAAATACTTTTTAAGAATGAGCAGATCACAGGAGAAAAGGCTGAAACAAAAATAAATATAAAAACAAACAAAAAAACCTTACATACCTATAATACACAAGAAAACAAGCCACTAAGAATAACAATCAGCAGAAACAGATCCACAAATATTTCAGTTATTGTAACTATTTATATTAGTCAGAATAAGAAACAACTATGTTTACTATGTTTAAAAAATTAAAATATCCTCAGGGAACAGGAGTCTATAAAAAGGGACTAGCAAATTAGAAAAGCAAGGTAATGTTGTTACAAGTGCTTTTAAACTGTTTCTTCAAGCTCTAACATAATTTAATAGATTAGGAAAAGATAGTTAACACAGGAACATAAAAATTTCAACTAAAAACTTTGAATTTAAGATAACTAAATGAAAAGAAAATAAAGCTTTCTTTCATCACATTTGGGAATGAACCTACTCAAAGACTCTCCATTCATATATCTTAGTGCAGACAAATGTCAGTTTTTCTTTTCTACTCTGAAGAATAATACCACAGATGATTCCAAAGTAATGAAATAATGTAAAGTCCATTCACATTTGGCTTTTAAAACATATGCTTTAATTTTATAATAGTTACTTATAAGTATATTTCATAGACTATCTCCTGGGTTAACATGCTTCTGGTAGAAGACCCTTCAGCTTTTACTATCCAGGCAGCAAAGAATACACAAATATCTCAATGTAAGTTAGGGGGTCAGGGGAGGGTGTAATGTTTACATAAGAAAAATTTGTATTTACATTCCCCAAATTAAATATATGTTTAACAAAATGGTGCGTGAGAAAAGGCTCAGGTCATACTCCAGGTAAAATTGTTAGACTATTAGAGTCACAGTTTGTTGTTGTGAAAATTTCTGAAAGTCAACAAAATGGACATATGGCTTGGTACCAACATATATATGTTGCTATATATACAGCAACCATTTGTTAAAAATCATATTGTTTCATGATAAAGAAGTGAATTTTAAACAACTTACATCCTAATGTAATGGATGTTTTGTAATTTATTTAGGCATTTTACTGTACTTAGTTACATTTCAGTAAATTGATTAGGGGTTTTAGTTAACCTGTAATTTATTTTTTTCCATTTAAAATAATGAAAAATAGACTATTGGTTTCACACCAGCCTTACCTAGTTAAAGGAAAGTATTGTTTTGTTTTGTTTTCCTTAATGGATCAGTATATTTTATGAGTATTAGATTCTGATACTGGAACTGGTCAAAAAAGTGGGTAAGGCTGGTAACCTGAACAAAGACTAACAGTATAAACTGCTTTTCCAAAATTCTGCTGATTAGGGGTACCCCAAAACCAAACAGGCACTCACTAAAGTATCTGTTGGGAGCAAAAGTCTGAAGCATAAGAAATGAAAGTCTGTAAGGGGCTTAAATCAGTGGAAATAGATATAATGTTAGCAATCTCCCTCTGGGATTAAATGAGTTAATTTCTGAAAGCATTCAGAATGTGCCTAAGATATTCAAAATGCTACAAAAGAGCTGCAAAACGAAATAAATGAGATGATAAGTTCTCATTAACAGGGTCCCATATATGCTACTAAGACCTGAGCCAGATAGTAAGCTGGTTCAAGGCCAAAGAGACCTTCCTGCAAAGGAGGAAATGGGCAAGGCTTGGGTCAGTTTTGATGGCATGAAGCTTAAGGAAAGAATCTCTGGAGCCTAACTGGCTTACAGGCAGCCTCAGTTCAGGCTCCAGGGCCCAAGAATGTTGGGACAAGCTGCTGAAGAACACTAGGAAAGACTGGTGCAGCCCAAGCAACAAAGGGAACAGGAAACACCAGAAGAGATCAGGAAGGAAATTCTAAAAAGAACTGAGGATCACAGCACACCTGGAAGCAGTGCCGTCAGATAACTGTAGTCAGAGGGTCTTGGTCAGCTGTAGCAGGGGGCTGAGAGACCAGAGACCTACGATGAGAACTAGAAGGGACTCCCACAAGAGCATCTTAAAGACAGGTCATGAGAACGTCCATGTCAAGTAGCAACCTGCCACAGCAATTTTAAGAGGATTTTCGTAATTCTTTTTTGTTCTTCTTGTTAACCTTTATTTCCCGACTGCAGTAAAAACCTCTTGACTTTGGAGGGGGAAAAAGGGATAAACACAGAAACACAGAGTTACTGACTAAAAAGTTGCTGGGGGTTGGGGTGGTTGTGGAGGTACTGATCAGGCAGAGGCTCCCTGCTACTTGATTCCACAGTATATCTTCCCACCATCAAAATTCTCCCACTCTTTCACTGAAAGCCCTTTTTGAGAATATATACCAAATTAAATCCTACATATCCATCAAGGGCTGAGCTCAGGCCCTACCTGCTTTTAAATTATACCAGCCTAGAAGGATTTCCTTCTTCACCTAATTTGCCTTAACACATACACTCTTGATATCTTGGGACCACCACCAATCTTTCCTTTCTTATCTGCATTTGTTTCCTTTCACCAAAGAGATTTTAATCCATTTGAGGACAAGAATGATGCCTTAGTGTTCTTAGGATCCAACAAAGAATTATAGCAACTCTTCCTTCAATATTCTTCTAAGGCCATTATATTTCATAAATCTGAAAATTAAACTTTCACTAAAATATAAATTGTCCTATCAAAGAGATTCAACTGAATTAGAACATAAAAGAGGACATATGATATAACTTCACTTGCCTATTTTATATTTTCAGTGTGACTTTTCTATAGGAAAAGAGATGGCACCAGCACTGGAGTGGTGGGTAGAAATCACACAACGATGTTCAAATTCACAGAATGATGACTCCAGAGAGAAAAGCATTGCTGTACAACACTTCTGCAAGTCTGGCATTAGGGAAGTTCAGTGCAGATGATAAAACATGGAAAGTAATGACAATGATTATATATGTATATATAATAGCTGTAGCTAACAATTAGGGAACACTGTTATGTGCCAGCACATCAAACTTACATCAAATCTCAGGGCAACATAAGAGTTAGGTAGTTTGTTTTTTTTTGTTTTGTTTTTTTTATACTTTAAGTTTTAGGGTACATGTGCACAACATGCAGGTCTGTTACATATGTATACATGTGCCATGTTGGTGTGCTGCACCCATTAACTCGTCATTTAACATTAGGTATATCTCCTAAGGCTATCCTTCCCCACTCTCCCCACCTCACAACAGGCCCCAGTGTGTGACGTTCCCCTTCCTGTGACCATGTGTTCTCATTGTTCAATTCCCACCTATGAGTGAGAACATGCGGTGTTTGGTTTTCTGTCCTTGCGATAGTTTGCTGAGAATGATGGTTTCCAGCTTCATCCATGTCCCTACAAAGGACATGAACTCATCATTTTTTATGGCTGCATAGTATTCCATGGTGTATATGTGCCACATTTTCTTAATCCAGTCTATCATTGTTGGACATTTGGGTTGGTTCCAAGTCTTTGCTACTGTGAATAGTGCCGCAATAAACATATGTGTGCATGTTATACCCAAAGGATTATAAATCATGCTGCTATAAAGAGTTAGGTAGTTCTATTTCCATTTTACATATGAGAAAACTGAAGTAACTTGCTCAAGGCCACAAAGGTAGTTAGCAGCAGCGCCAGGCCTCCCACTCTGGCTTTCTAACTGCCAAGTCTGTACACTTGCCCACCTGTGCAAAAAGGTATTTAAACACAAGGAGGACAAGCACCTCCGACTCCTCCATGAATATCCAGGGAACAAACCTTCAGGTAGGAGAAAGTCAAAGACCCAGAGCCTCAGCTCAGCTCCGTTGGCAATCTGTTAGCATAAAACAACACTTCCAAGGAGGACACTAGACAATGCCACTCAGAGGCTATCAGACATGGTTCTGGAAAGCTCTTTCCAAATTCCTTAAGAAATCTGATAACAAAAAGAAAATTATTTTTCCCCTTTTTGAAGATTAATAAGTTTTAATATTGGTGAAAAGTGACCTTTCACATCAGCAAAGCTAATCTGAAGTGCTGTAAGAGCAACCAAGTCACTCAGAGAATGCTAGGAGAATAACTAAGTCAACTCCAGCTGCTAAGAGGTCAAGCTTGTACTAGGCCAAGAGCACCGGCAGCAACAGAGATGAAAGCAGCTCCAGACTGACTACCAGGCAGCAAATGAAGAGCAGCAGGAGAGAAATGTTCAAGGTGAAGGGAGAATACTGGAAGGCTTCATGTTGCAGAATTACTTCTGAATAGAGCTCAAAGTCAAAAGTCACTTTTATTAGCCACACATTTGACTCCCCCGACCCCCAGCCCTGCCAAGCGAAGTCTGGGAGGCTAGGAATATTCAAATTCCTTCACTAAGCCATTCTGTGAGCGTTTATTTATTACAGCCAGCCCTTGCTTTCGTTAATCAAATGAACCTAAGTGATATATTTGAACATTCATTTACAAGCCAATAAATACATGGAGAAGTATCACAGTGGGGCCTTGGTGACTCTGTGAGACCTGTCACCTGATACGTCAATTAAGAAACTGTTGCAAGAAGTTAGTACAATAACTAGCTATCCCCCCCGCACTGCCACCCCACAAAATCAAGTCCAAAGGGCACAGATAATCCCTGATTTACATTATAAAATTCTAGCTGTTTCTGTAAGTATGCCAGTGCCAGGGCTGTCATCCTATAAACCTGCATGTCTGTACCCAATGACCCCAGTCACAAGCACAATGCCAAACCATTGTGGACTGAAGTGTTATTCAAACCAGGAAGGGCTACTGAATTAAATCCATCCTTTAAAGATGGTTTCTATTTCATTTTGCTTTTTCCTACTGAGTGGCAAACCCTGGAAAAACAAAGAATGATTATCACTGAAGGAGGGGGTTTCTTTTTAGAGTGAAGTGCTCTAATATTTACATAATACAAAAAGTCTCTAAATGGGTGAAGTTGGCCTGCGTATGATTTTCCTAAAGTCAAACAAACCTATAATTATGCAATCTAAGCAGTCACACTATTCATTAGACATGTCATCTGTTACTCAGTGTCAAAACCCACTAACAGCAATATTATAACTACATTACTATTCTCTCTTTTTGAGGTATTGAATAGGCATTAAAGTTATATGATCAACAGAACATTAAACAGAAATGGGTGATTTTGTGTTATAATCAAATTCAACTTAAAATTCATGAGACTTCAATGAATAGAAGATGATGAATGAGGCACAAACAAGTATGAAAGAATGAAAGCAAGGCTGGTTGTCTCAAATGTGAAAGGCTAGGGGCAAAATGAAGGAGAAAGGATCGTCTAAGAAAGGAAAGGAAGGGAGGGAACAAACTAGCTATTTTTATAGATGTAGACTCTCAAGCAAGACCAATTCCAGGTCCTTTGTGACTAAGAGATGTAGGCAGTAAGCCTGTAGCAATACGGTCCTTATGTAGCACAGCATGGACTCATGAGCTTATCCGGCGCCAGTTCCAGCATTGTCTAAGGTCTGTTCATACCGTATTTGTTCAGTATAATGCCATTTTCTAGGCTACAGGTTAAAAAGCAACAGCAGATAGGAGAGCAGAAGATTCTTTCTATTGGCTTTCCCAAATCCAGGTGGGCATGGCTAACAGACCAATCAAACTTTCATTCCAGAGCAGCAACCAGTTCTGCAAGAAAGGGACAGAAGTGATGTGCTTTTTGACCAACTATTCTAAATAGGGACCTTCCCTAACCACAGCTGCCCTATAGCTGTAGCCTAAGGCATGCACTGGAGAGAATCCCTGAGGCCCAGGCCTGAGGCTTGGGAAGCAGAGATGAAACAGGTCCGGTAGTACATGGTACCCAGAGCCAAATAAGATCCCTCAACAACCCCAGGTCTTCAGTAGAACTGCCTTTAATGAATCAGACATGAAAATAAGGACTTTCCCCCCCTCTTTTCCCTATCACGTCCACACACATTTATCTCTATACTACTTCATTACACTACCAGATATCATTTTGCTTTGCTCTCTGTTTCCTATGATCTCAGCCACAAGGTCCTTTTCCAGAATCCTCCCTAATCTCCAGAAAAGAACCAAACACTTCATACCTTATGGGTCTACAAAACTTCTTTACCTTTACAACTGGGACACGTGGATGTGTGTCTGTGTGTGTATGTGTGTGTTAGGGAGGCACACCCTCAAGACAAATTTCACCTACTTATTCCTTCCAACTTTATGTCTCTGATTCAACTGTATAGTTTTGCCCACGGCCAAGCTGTTTCCTGAAATTTGGTCCTAAACAAATAAAAATCGCAGAATCAGATGTTTTTTATTCTACAAAGCCATGTACAGGCATGTCTGAACAGGAACACCACCAATTATATATAGTGGATTAAATTCAACTCCACGCATTTTATTAGTAAAATACCAGGCTAAGACAAAGTAGACATTTAGTGTTCTTAAGGGGTTGCTGACTCCAATTCAACATGACTCATATACTCAGAAGACTCTGATAAATATTAAATGTCATAAAGTACATATGTCCATTTTGGCAAGGAGGAAGGAAGAAAAGGCGGCAAGGGATTGCCTGATTGTATTTTAAATTTCTTAGAATAAATGGGACGTATATTGGGAGATTTTACTTTCTGAAACAGAATATGGGTATTTCCTAATCTCTTCAAATTAAAACTTGATTTTTCTATATTTTGTAAAGAAGACATCTATTCTTTTTGGATAAAATAAAACAAATCACAGTATCAAGCATACCTCTGACCCCACCCACCAAAATGCAACACACAAAACAAAAAAAACCCTTCTTCTCTGAAACTATAGCTCCAACTATCTCTAGCAACACACATCTATACATGCACCTACCTCTGTGTGTGTGTGTGTGTGTGTGTGCGTGCACCCACACTGGGGGTGTCCTGGGAGCCTAATGTTAAGTAATCACATATTTATCAGGAGTTGAATTTAATGACTTACTCACTCCTTGAGCAATATTTAATAGAAACTTGGTTACTTCTCCCTACACTGCACTTTGAACTTGTAATTATTCCTCCACATAGATATTAGTGTGGCAAAATTAAAACTGAATACATGGCTGGGTGTGGTGGCCCATGCCTGTAATCCCAGCACTTTGGGAGGCTGAGGCGGGTGGATCACCTGAGGTCAGGAGTTCGAGACCAGCCTGACCAACATGGAGAAACCGTCTCTACTAAAAATACAAAATTAGCCAGGCATGGTGGTGCATGCCTGTAATTCCAGCTACTCGGGAGCCTGGGGCAGGAGAATCTCTTGAACCTGGGAGGTGGAGGTTGTGGTGAGCCAAGATAGCACCACTGTCCTCCAGCATGGGCAACAAGGGCAAAACTCCATCTCAAAAAAAAAAAACTGAATACACATTTTATAACTGCCGCCCACTAGAAATCATAGTGAAGAGTGTCAGCAGTACATGATACAAGCTAGTAAGTGTCAGGGGTTCTTTACAAACACAGTGAATATGGGAGAAATCCTCAAGAAGTAGTCACCTTTATAGTCATGTTTAGTTTACCCGCCAACACAATTCCCTCATCATCGTGACACAGAAGAGAGACGATGTAATACAGTAATCAAAAAAGCTAGCTCTGGAATTAGACTTCATTCAAATCTAGGCTTTATGAAATTACATGCTAGCTATGTAGTTTTTGGTAAGTCATTTTACTAGAGTCTCAATTTCCTTTTATATATAATGGGTACAATAACAGTAACTACTTCAGAAAGCTGATATGAGGACTAAATGAGATAATGTAGGTAAAATGATCTGCACAGGGCCTGGCTCACAGTAAGCACTAACAAAATATTTGTCATTATCATTATTACAGAATAGATAACTATTCTGCAAGTGTAATTAGTCTAAATACTGAAAGCACTTTGCCTTTGGAACCAAAAGGTAGCAAGTGAAAATCATCTTCCTAGCTCTCTTAGCTCTCTAGGTTGTTTTTTACTAACTTCTAAAGCGTGAAACTGAACTCACAAGACTGCAATAATGCTCCATAAGAAGCACTGTAAACACCATACCCCTCCCCCAAGTTCAGAAACTCATTTGCCCGGCAAATGCTTATTGAGCACTCACCACATGTTAGGCAGAGGGGAAAAATGTTTCAAAGCAAGAAGAACGGGCAGCTAACACTGCCTATAGAAAGAACAGGTTTAGCTGGTGAGGGCAAACTTGAACTGTGTCTTGAAGGATGAGTAAGTGTTCATCAGATGTTCACCGGACTGGGGTAGAGGCTAAACAAATGCCTCACTCCTCTCCACAGAGACTACATTAGAGTTAAAATGGTCAAACAAAAACACTTGGGAATGAAGAGAGGAGAAGGACATAGATTTTTAAAACAGAACAAATCTTCACGGAGCACTGAGTCTGTGCCAGGCACCCTGCACCTATTACCTTATCCAGTTCTTTGTTACAACAACATGAATTCAGTGTTATTAAACATATTGTAGAGATAAGGAAACAGATGCTCACAGACACTAAATCATTTGCCCCAGATGACATAGTTAATAAATGATGGAGTTATGACTGACCTCAAGACTGACAAAGTCAGCATGGAAGGCACATGCCAGTGTCTGGACTATTACACAGAAATCAATAATATACCCTTCATGCAAAAGTCAGGGAGTAATGAATAATCTGTTCTGTACTAAAGGAATTCTCCTAAACATTACCTTCTTTTAGGAGAGAAAATGAAAGAGAGACTGATTGACTTAAATAAATTGCTCTACCTCAGAGTGATGGAGACCACGACATCTTTGATTATATAGACAGATATATCCTTAGAATGTATGTTAATATCTATAAATGACTGTGATAGTGGTATAATTCAAAATACTGTTTGAAATAAAGTATATGAATTCAATTAATAAAAATCATAGAAATCAATCTTTGCCAGCCATCAAAAACACTATGGAAACTCAGGCTATGGGAATCTGTCATTTTAAAGCATATCCGCAGACCCCCTTTGGCTACCTAAAGCCTCCAAATCTTCACGGCCAGGTGTCTTTCATTTGACTTATCTTTTTTCCACATCTTTCTTGTCCAATTCTATCTAATCTCTGGTAGACTGAAAAGAAACTGTGAATTTAAGGCCACAAGAGCATTTCCCAGGCAACATATTTTCAACAACTGCCACTTCTCTCTGGTCTTCAAGTCTTTGGCTGTGCTCAAGTCTTACCTACAGTTGCATGACTTGGAAACCCAAGAGGCTTAAGAAACAGAGTCTGGCTTTGACCAAATACCAAAGCTCTTGCATGAATTTGTGGCAGCCAAGACAAAAGAAAGTGAGGCTTAAATCTCATATGTTTTTTTTTTTGAGATGGAGTCTCACTCCATCACCCAGGCTGGAGTGCAGTGGCATGATCTCGGCTCACTGCAACCTCTTCATGCGATTGAACCTCAGCCTCCTGAGTAGCTGGGATTACAGGCACCCACTACCACGCCCAGCTAATTTTTGTATTTTCAGTAGAGATGGGGTTTCACCATGTTGGCCAGGCTGGTCTCAAACTCCTGACCTCAAGTAATTCTCCCGCCTTGGCCTCCCAAAGTGCTGGGATTACAGGCGTGAGCCACTGTGCCTGGCCTTTATATGATTATTGAAAAAATTAAATGAGAATGTAGGTAAAGCACTCAACATAAGGCCTCCAACACAGGAGACTCTTAACAAATGGGGGTATTTTGCTGTATTAACTGTACTTTGCAATATTCCCAATACAAATCTTCTTCTTCACTTAAGCTAGTATCTACTGAATCATGGGGTTTCCCCAACTACTTAAAAAATGTTTTTAAAATTAATAAAGCATATGACTAAAAAAGTAATCAAGCATACGGTTGAAAAATTCTAACAGTACAATCATGTGGTATCTCCAATTCCCAAATGCTCTCCTTAGAGGCAACCATTGCTGTGAGGTTCTTGGGACAGTAATCCCATGCAAATATTCCATGTGTAAGGCATCCCTTTTAAAAAGGACTACAGAAATTCAAATACTTATAGAAACAGCAGAAATAAATTAAAAACATCTACACCTGAGGAGAAACTACTCCCAGGAAGTTTCACGATGAAAATTGTATCTCTGTGCTCTACTTTTCAGTAAGTGTAGGTGAACAGAAGGAAAAGTGAATGTCTGGTTCAGTTTAATGACAAAATTTCCACTATAAAATGACAACATAAGGGCAAACAAATATATGTGGGAAGATGATATAGTTTGGCTGTGTCCTCACCCAAATCTCATCTTGAATTTTAGCTCCCACAATTCCCATGTATCATGTGAAAGACCCAGTGGGAGGTAATTGAATCCTGGGGGCAGGTCTTTCCTGTGCTGTTCTTGTGATAGTGAATAAATCTCATGAGATCTGATGATTTTATAAAGGAGAGTTGCCCTGCACAGGTTCTCTTACCTGACACCATGCAAGACATGACTCTGCTACTCCTTTGCCTTCTGCCATGATTGTGAGGCCTCCCCAGCCATGTGGAACTGTGAGTCAATTAAACCTCTTTCCTTTATAAATTACCAGTCTCCGGTATGTCTTTATTAGCAGTGTGAGAACAGACTAATACAGAAGACAACACATACTATATTAAAAACAAAAAAAGAGTGATGCTAAACAAAGATTAGAATATGAGTGTTAGTGGAGGAACTTCCATTCACTCATTCAACAAATATTTACTGAGCAGACCATGTGCCTAGCACTGTACAGGGTACCCTGGACACAGTGGTGAATAAGGCAAACACTGTATCTTCTCTCAAAGAGCTTTTACAAACTTCTACTCCATGTAAAATTTCCTAAAAAGCCCTGATATAACTATCTGGAATTTGTTTGGCTCTTAGTGTGATGGCAAAGCTTGTTCCACCGCTGAACAGTTCCATTTATTAGAGTCCTTCCAAAGACAGAGCTGATTCAGCGCCTCCCTAGAACACTGCCAGGCAATGACAACAATAAATCCAAATTGCTCATTCACACACATTAACTTATTTACACCACATAACTTCTGCATAGAGTAATTTTACTTTCTGCTTCATATGGTTGAGGAAATTGAGGCTCAGAGAGGTTAACTACTTCCACCTCAATATCAGAAGCAGGCTGTAAATTCTGGTCCTCTACTCCAGAGCTACAGAAAAGCTACCTCCTGGGTCAAACAGAAAGTCTCAAGTCTCTTCCAGATTCCAGTGCTTCAAAGATCTGAAGGTAGCCACTAAATATCTCCTACCCTGCGAATCTTTGCTTCCCAGGATAAATAACAATCATCAAATTCCTTTGACCGAGTTGACCTGCCTTACTTAAACATGCTTCATTTGTCACTTTAAAGATGAACTTCAGAATAAAAAGCAATAATTACAGCCATAAGTTAAACAACGAAGACTATGATAATACTACTATTACATTTGTACTACCTGATCACACACTGGTCTTGTCAATTAAAAAAACAACAAAAAAACCAGCCAGGCACAGTGGCTCACATCTGTAATCCCAGCACTTTGAGAAGCCAAGGCAGGAGGATCACTTCAGGCCAGAAGTTCGAGACCAGCCTGGGCAACAAAGCATGACCCCACCTCTACTAAAAATAAAAAAATCAGCCAGGCACAGTAGCATGCACCTGTAAAGTCCCAGCTACTCAGGAGACCGAGGTGGGAGGATCACTTGAAACCAGGAATTCAAGGCTGCAGTCAGCTATGATCATACCACTGCACTCCATCCTGAGTGACAGAGATTGACCAGGTCTCTAAAAGAGAAAATAAATTTAAAAAGAAAAAACTCAACAAAAAGTACTATTAAGCCAGATCTCTCCCTTCCTATATTAGTACTGCTGACTTTTACAATCTAAAATGCAAAACTTAAGACTATCAGATTTCATGAATTTGAAACCTGACATTTTATTTCATTCAGGAGGTAAAAAGAAAGTCTTTCTGAATTTCAATCTTATCTAATTCATCAGCTAGTCTCCCTGATTTTCTGTGACACATAAATTTGACATAAATTTTCTTGGTTTTCTATCAGGAAGTTAAATAAACAGCAAACATCTATTGAGCACATACTATGTGCCAGACATTATGCTAAGCAATTTACATGCATCATCTCATTTAATCCTTACTACAACAGCTCTGTGAAGAAGACATTATCATTATTACCATCTTATGAAAGAAAATACAGGCTCAGAGAGGTTAAGTACCTTGAACTAAAGTCATATAGTAATAAGCTGCAGAAGCAGGACTTAAATCAGGACCTATTAAATAACAGAGTCCATTCGCCTAACTACCTCAATAATCACCACCCTTTGGGCATAAACATTTCTATGTCATAAGACTTTGTCAAATTCGCTCTTAAGATTTATGCATGTTAGATCAGAAAACATGCCTACTGTGCCAGAGAAACCACACCAGTAAAAAAAGGAGCAGGAGAGAATTAGGGGGATCAAGAACAAAAATATCAAGTAAGTTCATAAATGAGATAGCCACTCAAAAAAGGTTAATTACCTTTAGCTTGCATGTGGATAGCAACTGCCTTAGATTAGCATATCTCTACACTTATTTTAAACACATTTATACCAAGAAAAAGATACGAATAGGGTCAGCCTCCTTTAAAACAGAAAGTTAATGAAGGAACAGTTTAATTAAACAAATCAGCCCTATAAGCATTAAGATTCCAAGATATCTGACAAGAAGTTGATTAGATTATAAGATCCATGATGACAGGCTGTAATCTCTGTTATTTACCTAACTCTCAAATGTCCATCTAAATAAGAAGTAGTTTGTGGGGAGAAACATTTCTTTCAGGAAAGAGTAGAAGTGTCACGATCACAAAAGGAGGGAACAACTTCATTTCATATTCCTATCTGTCGGAGAATAATTTCTATGATTATTGTTGGAAAGTAAAAAAAAAATTTTGATTTCATGAAAATAATAGCAAATCAATCCTTTAAAATTTAAATCACTGACACCACCAAAAAATAAGTTATCATAATTAACTACAAATATCATTATACTTATCCCATTCAATTTGCATTTCTCCTTATATTTACACCTCCACACACTGCAAGTTTCTGAAAAGATGTCTCACATTTTAGAAGGTAATTTTTATTTTTTCCTTACTTATATTGACATTTTAAAGATGTTTTATTTTCAATTTAATTGACTGAAATCATCAGTGACTTCCAAGATTGTTTTTCCATCTTTAAAAGCTTCCTATTGAAAAATAGTAATAATTCATAAACACCTAAACCTACCAGAAGCCTCAAAAAAACTCTTTGTTGAGTGAAGTAAACTACTTCTATAATGGGAATAAGCACCCACTAGTGTATCTGTGTTTGGATGACAATTATAATGAACTGCAAACTAAGAAATAAAGAACTATTAATATTCACTGAGTAACTGGTTCTGAACTCCAGGGTATCAATTATAACACCACAGTACTATTTATAAAATGGGAGGTTCTAATCAATCACATCCCACATGCAGGCACCTAGTCTCTGCAACCAAACAGAACCAAACTATATGCAAGACCTAAAACATAAAGTCATCTTAGACTCCTCACTCTTACTGTCCACATCTAACTAGTCACAAATGTCTATCTATTCTGCCTGCTAAAGTCAGCTAGTATTTCCTTTCCAACTATAGCTGCCTTAATTTCAATCTTTGTTTCTTCCTCAGATTATTGATTTGTTTCCTTCGTCATTTCCTTTTCCAATCTCTTTTCTTTTCCCTCTAATAGTTCTTCCATGATGTTGCCAATTCTCTTTCTCAAGTACAAGTCTGGTGTTACTCTCCTGTTTATCAAAAACCTGCCATAATACTTCCACTGGCCATTAACAGGGGCTAGATTTGTCTGCTGTCTCAAACAACCAAAAAAATAAAAATTAAAAAATGTTTTAAAAAAGGTTTATAAGATACTGGACATCATCATGCAAGGAGGAAAGAACAAGAGTGACTAGAAGCATACAAGGTAAGCCATATAAATGCCCACCTTAGTATCCTGAGAGAGCCTCCAGGCTGCAAGGCATGCAATATCAATCAAAACCTTGGCCGACTTCTCTGTAGAAATTGACAAGCCAAGTCTAAAATTCACATGGAAATGCAAAGGACCTAGAATAGCCAAAACAACCTTGAAAAAGACAACAATGGAGGACTAACACTAGCTTATTTCAAGATTTATCATAAAGCATCAGTAATCAAGATAGTGTGCTATTGGCATGAAGATGGAAAAAGAGATCAACAGCATTGAATTGTGTCCAGAAATGGATATATACCTACATGGACAACTAAACAGACAAAAGTGCAAAGGCAATTCAGCTGAGAAAAAACAGTCTTCAGCAACAAATGGTGCTAGGACAATTGGCTATCCACATGCAAAGAAAAAAAAAAGAAGGAAAATACTGAACTTTGATCTATACCTCGTACCTTATTCCATATACAAAACTTCAGTCAGAAAGAATCACAGACTTAAATACAAAACCTAAAACTACAAAATTTCTAGAAAAATACAGAAGAAAATCTTTGGGAACTTGGGTTAGATAAAGATTTCTTAGATACAAGAGCAAAGCACAATCCACAAGAGAAAAAATTGGTAAACTGGATGTCACAGAAATTAAAAACTTCTGTTCTTCAAAAGAATCTGTTTGAGCCAAGCACAGAGGCTCGAGCTTGTAATTCCAGCTACTTGAGAAGTTGAGGTGGGAGGATCACCTAAGGCCAGGAATTTGAGACCAACCTGGGCAATATAGAGAGAGCTTGTCCCCCAAAAAATCTTTTTTAGGCCAGGCACAGCAGGTTACAACTGTAATCCTGGCACTTTGGGAGACCAAGGCAGGTGGATCACTTGAGCTCAGAAGTTTGAGACCAGCCTGGACAACATAGTGAAACCCCATCTCTACCATAAATACAAAAAATTAGCCAGACATGGAGGTTGGCATTTGTGGCATCTGTGGTCCCAGCTACTCAGGAGGCTGAGGTGGGAGGGTTGCTTGAGCCTGGGAGGTGAACTTTGCAATAAGCCAATATTGAGCCACTGCACTCCAGCCTGAGTGACAGAGTGAGATTCCATCTCAAAAACAAAACAAAACAAAATTTATTTTTCATTAGCTGGGTATGGTGGCATACGCCTATAGTCCCAACTACTCAGGAAGCTGAGACAGGAAGATCACTGGAGGCCAGGAGGTAGAGGCTGCAGTGAGCTATGATCATGCCACTGTACTCCAGCCTGAGCAACAGAGCAAGACCCCGACTCTTAAAAAAAAAAAAAAAAAAAAAGGAATCCGTTAAAAACAAAGAGGCTGGAAGGAAATACTCACAAATCATATATCTGATAAAGAATTTTTATTCCGAGTATACAAAGAACCCTCAAAATGCAATGATTAAAAAACTGGTCCAATAACAAATGGCAACACAAGATTTGAAGATACTTCACCAAAGAGGTAAATGCCAAATAAGCACATTAAAAGGTACTCAATTTTAATGATCATTAGAAAAATCAAATTAAAACCACTATAAGATACCATTGCATATCTATTAGAATGGCTAAAAGTAAGAAGACTGCCTGTAGCAAGTGTTGACAAGGATGGGGAGCGACTATAGAGTTCCCTTAATATACTCCACACATAGATCCCATATTTTCAGACTTGCCATAATACTTCCACTTCTAATAGTAACTCTATTACTAAAAAAGTACATTTAACTATATAATTTAAACCACATTTAATATAATGAAATCTCATCATAATGACTCAGAAGTCTTCATAACATAATGTCTGGGTGTCCTCGTTACAGTTTTTCTGTTAAGTATGAAAACATTCATCAATACAGATTTTTTACATAACAAATATGAAAGAAACCAGCTTTTAATGTATAATCCCCTCACCAGAATATGATTGCTTTGTACTATAATTTGCTTTCTCTAATCTAGTCATTCTCAAAGTGTGGTTGGGCTGGACTAACAGCACCATCACCATCAACTGGGAACTTGTTAGAAATGCAAATTCTCGAGTCCTGCCCCAGAGGCCTGAATCTGAAGCCTTGGGGGTTGGAGCCCAGCAATCTGCAGTTTAACAAGTCCTCCAAGTGATTCTGATTAGTGATAAAATTTGAGATCCACGGTTCTAATGTATGATACAAAGTTAAAAATCATAAACGGCGTTTTCTCTGAGACTCTTTCTGATTTCACAGAATTTCTTTTTTCTTTTTCTTTTTTTTTGTTTTGGTTTTTGTTTTTTGAGATGGAGTCTTGCTCTGTTGCTTTGTTTTTTTGAGATGGAGTCTCGCTCTGTTGCCCAGTCGTGATCTCGGCTCACTGCAACCTCTGCCTCCCAGGTTCAAGCAATTCTCCTGCCTTAGCCTCCAGAGTAGCTGGGGGGATTACAGGTGCGAGCCACCATGCCTCACTAATTTTGTGTATTTTTAGTAGAGATGGGGTTTCACCATGTTGGCCAGGCTGATCTCGAACTCCTGAGCTCAAGTGAATCACCTGCCTTGGCCTCCCAAAGTGTCAGGATTGCAGGCATGAGCCACCACACCCGGCTGAATTTAAAGACAAACTATTACTTCAAATCAATGTTTTCAACAAATGTAGAACTCAACCAGCTGTTTTCCCATTTTACACCCCTGGATTATTTCAGTCTTTCATTAAGCTAGAAAACCAAAACTGGATGTAAGATCCCAAAATAAAGCATTCCATAAAAATGTTTGTTTTAAAACAAACTTTTCTACTTAAATATCCTAGTCATTTACTCACATCTATTTTTTGCAACTGCACTGAATATTCCTTCTAAATTTACTAGATTTGCTTCTAATTTCAGCTACAAATTATCATCCTCTAGTGGATATCTGCAGTTTTTAATTTAAAATGGATTTTAAAAATCTAATTAATAAATTTTTTAATCATTTCATAGAGACACTGAAGATAGAAGCAGAATGAAAGTGGAAATTATATTGGATTGAATCAGGATATCTGCAACTGTCAATTTTCTCTGAGACTTTGAGTTAATAACTTAATCTTACTGGTGCTCAGTTTCCTTACTTTTAAGAGAGAGTTAGATGAGATGACCTGTAAAGTGCATTTCAGGCCTAAGGGTCTATAAATCTAGTCTTATCTCATGTTCTATGTTACTGTACTTTTACATTCATATGACATTGCCAAATTATTTCTTAAGTATTGTATCCATTTTTAACAATTTAAAAATTGGGCTGGGTGTGGGTGGCTCACACCTATAATCCCAGCACTTTGGGAGGCTGAGATGGGTGGATCACTTGAGGTCAGCAGTTCAAGACTAGCCTGGGCCACATGGCAAAACCCCATCTCTACTAAAAATACAAAGAATGACCCGAGTGTGGTAGCGTGTATCTGTAGTCCCAGCTACTTGGGAGGCTGAGGTGGGAGGATTGCTTAAGCCTGAGGAGGTGGAGGTTGCAGTGAGCTGAGACTGCACTAGTGTACTCCAGCCTGGGCAACAGAATGAGATCCTGTCTCAAAAAAAAAAACCAAAATTTTTTTTTAATTTAAAAATTGTCTTAAGATACATGCCTCTCCTTAGGATTCAAGAACACTGCTATCACACTGCTTCCTAGAGAGCTGAACACAGAAGAATATGAACAGGTCAGGCACAGAGGCTCATGCCTGTAATCCCAACACTTTGGGAGGCCAAAGAAGTGGGAGAATTGCCTAAGCCTGGCCAACATAGTGAGACCCTGTCTGTACAAAACATTTTTTGAAAAATTATCCAGGTGCAATGGTGTACGCTTGTAGTCCCAGCTACTCAGGAAGCTGAGGTGGAAGAATGGCTTGAGCCCAGGAGTTGCAGTTTACAGTGAGCTATGATTGTGCCACTGTACTCCAGCCTGGGCAACAGAGCAAGATCCTGTACCCACCAACTCCCCATAAGAAGAAGAAGAATATGAATACACATATATTTTTAGTTGCTGAAACACCAAAATGGCAATTATTTCTTGGCTTAATTTACCTGAGAAACTCTAAGGATGCATGACATGAATCCCCCAAAGCAAAGCTTTTACAATGTTGTTAACATAGACTCTGGAGACAGGCTGCCCAGATTTGAATTCTGGAACTTAAGAACTTTTACTTACCTGCAATTCAAGTTAGTAAACACACAGGGTGCACCTACTTGTGCAAGGCACCTCACCATTCAAAGTGAGGGGATAGGGCTCTCAAACTTCAGGATGTATCAGAATTACTTGGGATGCTTGTTTAAAATGCAGATTTCTGGGCTCTGCTTTCAGAAGCTCCAATTTTGCATTTTTAAAATATACATCCCAGGTGCCTCTAAGACTGCAGTTTAAGAAACATTTCTGTAGGGGTTTCAAAGAGACATAATCTCTCCTCTCAAGTACTTACAATCTCCAAGCATTTTTTTTTTCCACGTTAGAACTCAATGAAAAGCTACCATGGTGTTGCACCTGTTGGCTGGGCAAGGTGTGCATAAGTTCCAATATCTATATCCTGATGTAATGATGTAACTCAATTCTTGGCCTTATATTTGAGATCTGCCTCATTCTCTAAACCCAAGCATCTGTAGGCTCTTGCCTACTGAAGTTTTGTTATATATGAGTGAATTCTGACTTCGGAAAGCAGAACATCTTTAACCCTGATTGCTGACCTATAAATCTGACTGCAGCTTCATTCACTGCTCTGGTCTTAGCCTTAACACTGCTGCCAGCAAACATTCTAGTATGTCTTCAGTGCGTATATTTTCCAAGTACGTATATATTTTCAAAAAGAGATTGCAGTATGTCAAGACCCATGTAAATTTCACTCACAAAGAATTATAATGTATCCAAAAATAATAATAATAAACTACCACAATGCCAACAATCAGGAATGAGGGGATCCTGTAATAGAATCCAGACTATGACAACAATGTAACTGTATTGCAAATGCATGACAAATGTCACTGAAGGAAGTGGAGAACAAAGGGAAATGACCTAAGTAACCTTGGAAATGGTGTTCTGACTGAAAACCATAACACTAAAGGCAAAAGAACTGTCCGTAAACCCTAAGCTAGCTGATGAACTTGTTTGTCACAGAAGCACAGGCTAATAATTCTGAAAATGCTTTACATGTATACTGGAGGCACACACAGAAGCAAATGTACAGTGGACGGTGGGAGTCCAGTTTCTTAATGTTGGTGAGGGAAATTACAAATCAGCAGGGAAAAAGAAAAGAATTTAACCACGCAGCACTAGATTAGCGTTGAAGATAATGGTGTGAACACATGTTCCCCTTAATATAGATACAGATGAATACACATACAAGTGACAGGTATGTATGTACACATACATTAGCCTACATACACATATTTCCTAGCTCTGTCTGCTGAAAGGGCTTAGAGGCAGTCACTTTCTGGTAGCAGCAAGCACATCTGGAGCCCAGATCTTGGTTTCTCAATACCACTTTCCAATCAAAAAGAACCAGGGCCCTTGGAAAAATAGCTGATCCTAAGGCAGGGGCAGAAGCAGAGAAAACAAAACTCTTTACAGAATTTCAAATAATTTATGTAGATAATTACTCCTCCAGGAGGTAGAGTTTAATTATGTCCCCTTGAGTGTGGATACAGCGAGCTACTTGCTTCCAAAAAACAGTATGTAGAGGGAAAAGAAAGAAAAAAGTACCTTTCCAGTAAAGAAACTTGACAAACACTACTAGGGCCAGGTGATCAAGGTTGACATTACTGGTCATGTTGATGACTTGCACTAGCTTTGATATGACGTGATGAGAAGGGCCCTTGACCTCTGTGCTCTTCTTCCCAAAAACCTGTAACGCAAATCTAATCATAATAAGACATCAGACAAACTCCAGCTGAGAGACATTCTACAAAACACCTAAGCAGGATTCCTCAAAACTGTCAGGATTACAAGAAAAAAAAAAGCGAAACCAACTAAGAAGCGTCTACGAAGATGATGATTAAATGCAATGTGATATCCTGGATTGGATCCCAGACAACGTTCTTTAAAAGGATATCAGTGAAATCCAAATAAAGTCTGGAGCTTACTATTTAGTTTAGTCAACAGGAATGTACCAGAGTTGTTCCTTAGTTTTGACAAATGTACCATGGTAGTATAAGATCTTCTTAACAACTGAGGGAACTGTGTGAGGGTATGGGTATATGGGAACTCCACTATCTACAACTTTGGTAAATCTAACATCATTCCAAAATAAAAAACTTATTGAAAAAATAAAAAGGATAGAGAGAGATTGCAAAATGAGGTGAAAGAAACTGCAAAAAGAGATGAAGTTGCATTTAAAAAAGTTTACATGATTTAAAAAGTAATTATTAATTCTATTATTTAGTATAAACAATTTTTAACTTGCATGTAAATAAGGCACCAGTCAGACATCATTCCAGCAATTTGCTCTCAGTATTCAGAATATCAATGAAACACACAGACACACACACACACACACACACACACACACACACAGAGCCAAATCTTTTCCTAACACTATCTTCAAAATGAAAAGATTTAATGGACCTGGGTTGCAGGGTGGCAAATAAACTAAGTAGGAATGAAGAAGCACTTCTATTAACTAGTTATACAATCTTAGACAAGTGACTTCATCTCTCTGGGCCTCAATTTCCTGATCTGTAATAGCAATAGGCTTAAAAAGATGTTTAAGTATCCTTTCAGACCAAACACACAATAGTCTATAAAGGTCATTACCAACCTCCTTAAAATCAAATTCCTCTAGATTTCCTCCTACCCTCCAGTGGCTCCTTCTCAATCTCACTACCTGCAACTTTACCCAAACCCTAAGGACACTGGCCCGGGCCTTCTTGTCATTTCACGTATTCCCTCCCCACCTAAGAAACAAACATTCATTCTATGGCTTCAATTTTCATGTATAGGCTTTTGTCATATCTATATCTTTATCCCAAGCTCAAAAACCAACTGTTTATTTGTCATCCCCACTTGAATGCATCTCTAAAACTAAATTTATTTCCTCTGTAAAACGTGTTCTTATCTGCTGTGAGGAGATTAATGGCCCTCTAATAATCCCCCAGTGCCACAATTATGTTATGTTACATGGAAAGGGGGGATTAAGATTATAGATGGAAATAAGATTGTTAATCAGCTGACCTTGCAGTGGGGAGAGAATCCAGGCTTATCTGGGTGGACCTAATGTAATCACAAGGCCCGTTATTAATGAAAGAGAAAAGCAGGTTAGTTAATGTCATAGTGATGCAGGATGAGAAAGACTCAATGGGCCATTGCCAGGTTTGAAGATGGAAGATGGCTAGAAGCCAAGGAATGTGCACTGCCTCTAGAAGCTGGAAAAGGCAAGACAATGATTTTCCCCTGGAGCCTCCAGAAAGGCACATGGCCCTGCCACACTTTGCTTTTAGCCCAGTTAAGATTCACTTCAGGCTTGAGATTTGTGTTGTTTTAAGTCACTAAGTTTGTGGTACTTTGTTCCAGCAGCAACAGCAAAGCATCACACCACCTTAGAAAATGGGGCCTCCATTAACATAGATGCGTATGTCAGAAATTTGAGTATCACCATTGACTTCTTCCTTTTCCTCAATTTCCATATTCAATAAACCATCAAGTTTCATCAATTACTCCTCCTTTGTCTTTTATAAATTGATCTACTTCTCATCAATCCCTTACCACCTTTCTAGTCCAAGTCACTACTACCTAATAGCTGGGAACTACTACAACAACCTCCCAACTGTTAGGCACACCTCCAGGCATATTCCTAGGAAGCCATTTCCCACATTATGGCCAGAGAATAATGCAAAATAAAATTATCCTATTCCTATTTTTAAACTCTTTAACACCTTCCCATTGCCCTAAAGTAAGAGCTTCTTAATTTGACTTACAAGAGCCTACTACCACTAGTCTGGCCCTCTCCAAGTCTCTCCAGCTTCTGCTCAAAGCACAATGGCCATGTCTATTTTAGTCAATGCTGTATTTCTAATAAAGGTGAGCATCCCCAATTCAAAAATCCAAAATCTTCAATGCTCCAAAATCCAAAGCTTTTTTGAGCGCTGACATGACACCACAAGTGGAAAATTCCACACATAAGTACTTAACACAAACCTTGTTTCATGCACAAAATTACTTAAAATGTTGTATAAAATTACCTTCAGGCTATGTGTATATGAAACATAAGTGAATTTCATGTTTAGACTTGGATCCCATCCCCAAGGTATCTCATTATGTATATGTAAATATTCCAAAATCTGAAATCTGAAACACTTCTGGTCCCAAACATTTCACATAAGGGATACTCAACCTGTATTATTAAGTTTCAGCCAAGACTCCAAACCCCTCATAAGCTTACCACTCAGAAAACAAAGATAAGGCAGATACAGGGTAATGCTCAACAAACTCCAGAACGACCCAAGAACTCTGGAAGGCTCCATTCCAGAAGAAGAGAGGGAGACAACTAACAAAAACTGCATCTTCCATGTAACACATTACATAATCTTTCTTTGTTAACTGGTTTAAACGCCTATTTTAGTCTATCCCACAGGAGCACTCATCTTTTTTTGCTTGAAATGAAATCCCATACTAATTTTTCTAAAACTAGAACATACTTTTGTTTCTTAAACCATATCATAAACATCATTTTTTCCTATTAAGAAGACAATCTCCCCCCACACAGAAACACACATGGCCCTTACTATCATGTACTCCCCCAACCTCAGCACACATTCTCAGTGCCATTCCCCATCCTAACAGTAAGACATACACTTTAAATTCTTTTTCCACTAATTCCCTTTATAACCAAAGCAAGCATTTACAGGCTGATCAACCAAGTTGAGAAGTAAATCTTGGACAGCAAAGCATGTAACTGTTTCATCAAACCAGGAACCATGAAAAGGAGATAATGTCCATATTTTTCATGCATGGAAAAGAATGCTAAAGAAGTGAAGTAACTGGTTCAAACTCACAGAGCTAGCAGATAGCAGAACTTGCATTTTAACTCATGGCTGCCTGTGTTATGTACATTATCATTTCTGAGCCAAAAGCTCCAAAGCATCCACCTCTCTCACCTGCGAAAGAACCAAATAATTATAAGCAAAACAAAATAACTGACAGATAAAATAAGAACGCTGTGTGCCAAGTGAAAAGCATTTTATATACAGTATTTAATTCTCACATCAATCCTAAATAAAGTGAGAATAAGGGAGATGTGTGTGGGTACAAAGTTAAATACTTATTAGATGTTAACTGCTATTTTACAATATTATCCTCATTTTGCAAATGAGAGAACCAAAACTTACACAATGCTAATAATTGCCAGAGCTGTGTTTGAACCTAGCGACCTGATTCCAAAATTGTTTCTGAAAGCTCGAGGTTATTCTGCCTAGCCAACAGAATATGATGCCCTCTTTGCCAAAAAGGGAAAGAAGGAATCCAGCAGCAAATAGGACTTTCGTGCATCAAGTAAGGTACTACATCTTCTTGAGGTAGTAAGTGCTGAAGCTATAATACGTGGTGGTAAAATTCTTGGAAAGGCCCAACCTGAAGTTAACATGCAGTTCCCTGAACCTGCCAGGTGCTGGGACACTATTCCTCATGGTCTCACACATCTCCTCACATCTTGTGAGCAAAGACAATAACTGTCCCCCTCGTTTTTTTTTTTTTGAAACAGAGTCTCACACTGTCACCCAGGCTGGAGTGCTATGGCGCAATCTCGGCTCACTGCAACCTCTGCCTCTGGGTTGAAGTGATTCTCCTGCCTCGGCCTCCTTAGTAGGCACCCACCACCATGCCAGCTTAATTTCTGTATTTTTAGAAGAGATGGAGTCTTCACCAAGTTGGCCAAGCTGGTCTCGAACTCCTGACCTCAAGTGATCTGCCCGCCTTGGCCTCTCAAAGTGCTGGAATTACAGGTGTGAGTCACCCCGCCTGGATGACTAACTGCCCTTTTATAGTTTTCAAGGATGTTTGTATAATGAACAAAACCCTGGAAGATTGAGGTTGTGCCTCCTTCTACATCAGAGGGCAGTATAATAAGATGATGTCTTCCTCCATGGCAAAGGTCAGGGAAGTTTACTGCTCGTTACAAAAATCTGGGTCCCTTAGCCCCCAAGTTCCTCAGCTGTGACACAAACCCTCCACAGTATCACCCTGGGCCCTTCCTCACCAATGTAGGACTTGGGACAGAGGGGACAACAAGGTGAACTATGATACTCACACTGTTTGATGTGCAATGTGCAACAAGTGATAAAGACCTTTGTCTCTGACTCATAAGCTCTCACCTTCTGCCAACATCCTGCCACACTGTGGCAGACTAACCTGTTAGCTTTCACAGATCTTGACACCAAGCTGCTCACAGCTCTTCTCATCTTTGCTACCCTCAGAAACACCCTCTCCCACTCTCTAGGGAATGCCTACTCATCATTAATGTCCTCATTTCCAGTACAGAAGTTCTACTAAAGGTCCTCTGCTAGAATTGACCACTAACTCCATGGTGCCTTCACTGTTTCCTGCAATTAGGTTTCTATCACAGCACCTTCACAGCTTTATTCCACTTGCTTATTCATGTTCTGTGCCAGTTATCAATTAATTGCCTCTCAGCTCAAAATTCACCCTTCAATACCCGCTCTGTGATAATAGATGGAAGTGCTTGAAGCATTTTCTCTTACAGTGAGAATGATGTGAAGCTTTCTCAATAAAGGGCGTTAGAAGGCCACTGCAGGAGGAAGGGAGCTCTCCAGATAACATTACACTTAATATTGAAAGATGCTGTTGCCCTAAGATCAGTAAAAAGGATGTATGCTCTTGACACTTTTACTCAACATTGTACTGCAGGTTCTATCGAGGACAATTAGGCAAGAAAAAGAAATAAAGGGCATCCAGATTGGAAAGGAAAAAATAAAACTATCTCCATTCACAGATGACATGATCTTGTATGCAGAAAATCCTAGCTGGGCTCACACCCGTAGTCCCAGCACTTTGGGAGGCTGAGGCAGGGTGATCACTGGAAGTCAGGAGTTCCAGACCAGCCTGGCCAACATAGTGAAACCCCATCTCTACTAAAAATATAAAACATAGTCAGGTGTGATGGCGGGCACCTGTAGTCCCAGCTACTCAGGAGGCTGAGGCAGGATAATTGCTTGAACCCAGGAGGTGGAGGCTGCAGTGAGCTGAGATCACACCACTGCACCCCAGGCTGGGCAAAAGAGTAAGACTCTGTCTCAAAAAACAACAACAACAACAACAAAATCCTGAGGAGGCTGGGTGCAGTGGCTCATGTCTATAATCCTAGTACTTTGGGAGGCCAAGGCAGGAGGATCGCTTGACCCCAGGAGTTCATGACCAGCCAATCCAACATAGCAAGACCTTGTCTCTACAAAATACAAAAATTAGCCAGGTGTGGTGGTGCAAGCCTATAGTCCCAGCTACTCAGGAGACTGAGGTGGGAGGATTGCTTGAGCCTAGAAGGTTGAGGCTACAGTGAGCTGTTGATCACCCCACTGAACTTCAGCCTGGGCAACAGAGTGAGACCTTGTTGAGAGAGAGAGAGAGAGAGAGAGAGAGAAATCCTGAGGAATCCACTTTAAAAAATCAAAATATGAGAACAAATAAATGAGTTCAGCAGTTTCAGAATGCAAGCATGATCAATATACAAAAATCAACTGTATTTTTATACACTTGCAATAAACAATCCAAAAGTGAAATTAGGAAAACAATTCCATTTATAATAGAATCAAAAAGAATAAAATGTTTATGAATAAATTTAACAGAAGTACAGTGAAATATTATTCAGCTATAAAAAGGAATAAAGTACTTACTGATACATGCAACATGGATGAACCTTGAAAACCTTATGCTAAGAAAACAGCCAGTCACAAAAGACCACATATTACATTACTCCATTTATATGAGATGCTGGAAATAGGCAAATCTATAGAGACAGAAAGTAGAATAGTGGCTCCTTAGGAATAGTGAGAATGGGAAAACAGGAAGGCAATAGCTAAAGGGTACAGGGTTTCTTTTTTTGAAGTGATGAAAATGTTCTAAAATTGACTGTGGTGATGGTTATATATCTCTGAATATTCTGAAAACCACAAAATTGTACATTTTAAATGGGTGAATCATACCTCAATAAAGTTGTTATTGTCACCAAATAAAAGAATAAAAAAGCTAATGGGATTTAGAGGGAGTGACTAACTGAGAGGAATTTTTTTAAAAAACAAGGTGAAATACTATTAAGAAGAATTTAAGGTGATTAAATACTAAATTAATTATCTGCTGAAATGAATTTCATTACAGCAAAATTGCATCCTATAATGAGGGATTCTTTACTTAATGTTCCAAACTTAATAGCTCTACATATAACGGCAAATAGGACTGGCATGGGACATGTTGATCTACACAAGATGCACACTTGTGTGTGTGTGTTTGTGTGCGTGTGCGCATGTACACATGTGGGTTAGCACTGCAGAAGATATTCTGGATGTGAGTAGCATCTCAAACTTTGTGACTTCAGATAAGTCACTTAACCCTTCGAGCTTTAGCTCTTTCATCTGTCAAGTGTCTCCTTCATTTTCATAGGATTGTTAAGAGAGAAAAATAACTGCAATAAGATTTATAAATTTGTTGAGTGATATCTCCATATCTTTATATTTCAGAGAGAAGGTGCTTAGTAAATATTGTGGAACTTAGTAAATATTGTGGAACTAACTTCAGAAAATGTAAAGGGCTTTTGGAAAGGAGGAAACTAAAACATAAACTTTATTATAAACACACCTGAGTCTAGGAGAACTTTATAGGTAAGATTTTTCAGTAACCCATGATATAGAAGTTGTCAAGGCTTATATCGTACTCTTTGTAAAAATTATTTCCTACCAGTCATTTAATGAGTTGGCCAGAAAAATATATATATATATTTGCAAGAACCATTTCTGTTATCTTCCCTATAATCCCTTTTCAGGTATCACTTTATATTTTGATTTTATGAAATTTTAACCCATTCTTAGCCTTTAAAGACATGAGACAAAACTATCAAACTTCTCTAGACCACGGATGAGTAAAGTGCAGCCCACTACTATTCAAATCACATCCATTTGTTTACATATTGTTTATGGCTGCTTTTGAGTGAAAATGGCAGAGTTGAGTAGTGCAACACAGACTGGAACACGAAGCCCCAACTTGGCTGGGAAACAGGATATTATTAACTGGTCTTTTCAAACCCCTGTATCTAGTGGTGAGAATACCTTATGCTAAAGTATAAGGTTGAAATATATATAGTATATAGTTGAAATACAACTGAGTGCAAAGAAGTGCTCTGCTGTTTAGATGGACGAATGTACAACAAACAAAGAGGAACCCAAGAAGAGATCAATTTGGTTTGGGTGGGAGAGGAATGTCTGCAGAAAAAAGATGATACTTAAGCTTATCCTTGAAAGATGAATTGGTGCCCTCAAAGCACTCAACAGAGAAAGGGCATTCTAGGGAGAGGAAGTCATGTGAGCAGAGAAAAGAGGCTTAAAGAGCATATGTTGATGGCACTTAAACCAGGCTCCATGACTGGAGTATATAGAGTATAAGGGGATATAGCCAGTGACATCATGCACCTTCTGTAAGTTATGCTCAAGGGTTTAAAATAGTTGTAGAAGGTAATAACTACCATTTTTCGGGAAGCAAATGCCAGATGCTTTGGTTATGGCTAGAGAAACAATCAAACAAAGATGATCCAAGAAGTCAATTCACGGTAATCAAGACTTACAATCCTAGTAAGGATCTAGAGATTTGTTGAAGTATCTTCATATCTTTGTATTTCTAGCATAGTACATTTCATATAATAGGCAGCATTTTTTTTTTTTTTTTTTTTTTTGGCTCAGCCAGAGAACCTTCTAAGTCAATCATCAGAGTTGGCATAGAATGGACTCTATAAATGGTTTTAATGAAGAACTCATCTTCAGGCATAACGGTGTCAGAGCTCTGCAAAAGAGCTATCTACACTGAGCACAGGCCTAGGTCAATAATGCGTAGGTAAGAACTTATCTCAGAGCTTACTGCAATTGGGAAGGGGTTAGGGTTACAAAGGATGATGGGTGAGAATATGTAAGGAGTAAATAATTAAAATGTATATTTCCAATCTGAAATCCATTATTGTGGTTAAAAAACAAAAACCACTCCTTCAGAGATACAGTATATAGTCCTTGGTCAACCTCAAGGTTCAGTTTACTCATATGTATAATGGTAATGATACCTACCTACCTGACAGTATTTCTGTAAGGATTAAATGAATGAATACACATAAGGCATTTATAACATGCCAGGTACACAAAAAGCATCACAAGTTGGCTATTATTAAGTTGCCTATTAAATTAGAGTCTACAAAAGATGTATGCCTATGGGATACAGAATCAGGCTGCTAGGTCATAAAATGTAAAAATACATTCACAGATTCTTGATTGAGACATACAGATTCATGGTCTCCTCATTTGGCACACATTACTTACTACCATGTAGTTCTCCTGATCTTTGCATGGATACCTATTTGCCTTATCTGCTAACAAAATTATTAGCCTTTTGAGGGCATGAGCCAATAATAATTGGTGACTGATCAACATAAAATGCTAACAATTACCTAACAACAGTGGCAATCAACCAACCTCAAATAAATGTTTGAATCAGTATTGTACAATAAAGGGACAAAATTACCTTGTCCAAAATTACCTGCCCAAAAGAAGAGGAAGCGCAAATCTTTGTCTTGGAGTAAAATCTGCCACTGCTGTCACCACCAGTTTAAAAAGACAGTAACTCTGAATTTTATAAATATTCTCTTTCCCTTCTTCATCTACTGAGCACGCTACCTATAACTTCTCACCATGTATATATAGCTTTTCCAACTAACATTTCTTTCTCCTCACTTATTCAGGCCACTTTCTCCTGGCTCTACTATAATAGTAGTAATAAACACAAAACCAAAAGAGTTAATAAAAGATGCCTTCCAAGTTCTTTTTCAGTAAGTTTAAGAAATACAATGAAATAGTGATGAAAATCACTGTGTAGCATTTTTCAATCAACCTTCGTTATGGCAGATGTGCAGTAGAATGAAGAGGGAAGGGTAAATTCAAAAGTAATAAAGCTTCCTCTCAACTTTAGTCAAGGCATACATGTCTGATTCTACAAGGCCTTCAAAGAAATTCATGCAAGGAATGCGCCTCTTGCGACTTGGTCACATGCAAAAATGAAGCAAGAAGCACATCTGTTTGGAGCTTGCCCCAAATGCCTCAAGTTCTCCTCCAAACTAGGTTCATAACTCCCACCCACAGAGAGAAAGCCAGTGCCTGAGGCAGCACCCAGGGACAAGCAAATTAGCATTTCCAAGGTCAATTGCTGACAGGCCTAATTGTTTATAGCAACTAGAGTACAGTATTCTGGCTGCTGAAGTTAACAGGCTTAACCTCTGGCTTGCCCAATATCGTAAGAAACTAGTTTACCACATCAGCCACAAAATATGAAAGTACTGTAGATGTGGATTCAAATTATCATGACATTTCAAACAGAAGCAAATACTAGCAGGATCCTCAGAAGTAAGTCATTTTAGGCTGACTAAACTATTTTTAAAATTGGCATTTTATGTATTAAAATACCAATCACACCTAGGGTAGAAAAGTGACAAATACAAAAGAAATCAACAGATAATAACTCGTTTTACCGACTGGTTTGATTTGAGTACTCTCCAAAACTTCTAAAATGTTACATGATGATTGATTTAAATATCCTTATGCTTTCTTGCCCTTCTCTGACACAGTCACTGACAAATGAAATAACCTATATCTGTGCTGTTATCTAATACAGTACCCACTTTTCACATGTGGCTACTAAATATATGAAATATGGCTAGTCCAGGTTGACATGTACTGTAAGATTCTAATTTTAGTATCAAAAAAGTCAAAATAATATTAGTAACTTTCATATTGATTATATGTTAAAATATTTTAGACATATTTGTTTAAATAAAACATTTCTAAAAGTAATCTTTCCTCTTTCTTCTTACTTTTTGTAATAAGGACAGCAGAAAATTTTAAATTACACATGTGGCTAACACTTTATATAAATAATGCTTTACATATATAAATAATAATGCTTTACATATATAAATAATGCTTTACATTTATATATAACAAATAATTTCATTTATAAAGTACAGAAAGAAGAGGGAGAAAAAATAGGTCTGGATAATAAAATAATCTTCTCTAGAATAATCAAGTTGGTTTAGCTATGTTAATTGCCAATCTACAAAAAGCTCCTTTCTGCTTACTAGAAGACGTAAAATTTTATGTCTTTTAAAAAGGAATCTGATGTCTCAAAAATAATCCTAAAGTCTGTTCTATCTACTTCTTCCATAAGCTGTCATCTTTGCTTAGCATTAAACTAGTCTCAATTATTTCCAATGATCAAAGAGATATAATAAAGTGCTAGTCTAATTTTAATCTGATTGAGTGACTCCAATTCCATTTTTTCTGTGATGGTCATTTTCAAACCCTGTTAGGCCACTGAAACCTAAACCAAGCTTCAGCTCCAAAGACAAAAAAGCAGAATTAATAGAAAAATTATTCTCAGGATTCTAGAAAAACCCAGATGGTATTCAGATACTATACACGCTGTTTTAAAAACTAAAAAGTGACTCATTTACTGTTTCACAAAGTGACATCCTAATGTGAATGGGAGAGCTTAGCAAACAGGGGAACACAGCAAGTAATTATTTCCACACACGCCATCATGTGGAGAAACCATGCCAACTTTCAGGTTGTTACAGTCGGTGGAGGAAAGAAAATCTGGAGGTGTTGGAATGATTGGAAATTTATGGAGTGAGATTCCACGGTAACAGGAGGTGAGATGAGGTGAACAGCAGCCAAAACTTTCCTCTCAATAGCTCTTAAAAAGGAAACTACTCAACTTTCTGAGTAAGGAAGCCAATAGGAAAGCACATTTCACCCTTTTTGACATTCTAAAACTGCCCCAAATACAACTGGGCCACTGGAGGAAGGACAAAATTACAAGAAATTTATGCGCACAATATGTATAAGTCTTTTAAAAGTGGTTTTAAAATGTAATCGATAACAAAATCAAGATCCATTAACCTGGAAGAATAAATACTTATGATTCATATGAAATGTTTATTTTTATTTTGTGAAAGGATCTGCATCAATCACTGGTAAATGAAACTGATTAACCCACACAACTGAAAAGGAGAGCAGCAAAGGTGAGAGGTATAGTCCTCATTCCTGGAAGAGTTGATCTAAAAATTTAACCTTAATAGTCGTATAGTTCTCTGGTCTAATAGAATCAACACATTTTTACTTTTTATATACATGAGATAATTCAGGCTCCAAATTCCAATAATTTAGTGATTGTATCTTTTATATAATCCTAAACTGTGCAATAAGCACTGTTCAAAAAGCCAATAGCTACTTCATAAGAAGTGTTCTGGTGCCACCTAGTGGTATTTCCTACCAAATGGGAAATACTGACTAGAGAAGGGTTCTCAAAGTGTACCCGCAGACCCTGGGAACTTCTCAGAAATGCACATTCTTAGACTCATTCGAGACCTACTGAAACTCTAGTGGCAAGGTCCAGCAATCTCTGTGTGTGTGTGTTTGTTTGTTTGTTTTTAAGACAGTCTCACTCTGTCACCCAGGCTGGAGTGCGGTGGTGTAATCTCGGCTCACTGCAACCTCTGCCTCCTGGCAGGTTCAAGTGATCCTCCCACCTTAGCCTCCCGGGTTCAAGTGATCCTCCCACCTTAGCCTCCCGAGTAGCTGGGACTAGAGGCGTGTGCCACCATGCCCAGCTAATTTTTGTATTTTTAGTAGAGATGGGGTTTGGGTATGTTGGCCAGGCTGAGGTCACGTGACCTCAGGTGATCCGCCCGCCTCGGCCTCCTAAAGTGCTAAGATTACAGTTGTGACCCTTCTCCATGCCTGGCCCAGCAAGCTCTCTAAAGTGATGCTGATGCACCCTCAAGTTTGAGAACCTCTGGCTAAGACATTTCATACACAAAAATTGAATGCGGTCTTTAAAAATTAGGTTCAAAAATTAACAAAAGGGCTTATTTTCTCATTTTGGAAAGTAACTTCCTACATTCTTGATCCAGATATTTGTATTAAGAGAACACAATCTTGAAAGCCAGTTACTAACGCATTTATATATGGATTCAACACCTAATAGGCATTAAAGTCCCAGACTCTGAAGACATCAGATGAACACACTGAGATCTTTGTCCTCAGGAAACCTAGTTAAAAGGGAAGACCAGTTTGTGACTAGCCTGGGCAACATAGCAAGACCTTGTCTCTAAAAATAATAAAAAAATTAGCTGGGGATCGTGGTGCACGCCTCTGGTCCCAGCTACTTTGGGAGGCTGAGTTGGGAGAATCATTTGAGCCAGGGCAGTAGAGACTACTGTGAGCTTGGGCGACAGAGTAAGACCCCATCTCTTAAAAAAATAAAATAAAAATAAAAAAGGTATAAATGCAAAAAGCCCCATGGAACAAAGAAAACGCATTAACTGGTATCAGGATATCGAGATATCGAGACATGGCAAATTATGGTATCTTAGGAAGGAGGAACACTTACTTGGAAACACACAAAAAGCCAAAGAGACTGAAGGCTGGGAGCAGTGGCTCACGCCTGTAATCCTAGCACTTTGGGAGGCTGAGGCGTGAGAATTGCTTGAACCTGGGAGGTGGAGGTTGCAGTGAGCCGAGATCATGCCACCACACTCCAGCCTGGGTGACAGAGCAAGACTCTGTCTCAAAGAAAAAAAAATAAAAAGCCAAAGAAGCTGAATATTGGTGATTTTTTAAATTAAGCAGCAGCTACCCTAATGCTAATAGACACCACTGCAAGTCCACTGTATACATCTGCTTTGTGTAACTATATTATAAAGTAATCAAGAAAAAAGCAAATCTGATGAAGCTCTGCTAAATTGTTTCTTTTCCATTTAGGTCTTAGAGGAGAGCGCCTGTAGTCCCAGCTACTTGGGAGGCTAAGGCAGGAAAACTGTTTGAACCCAGGAGGTGGAGGTTGCAATGAGCCAAGATCATGCCACTGCCCACCAGAGTGGGTGACAGAGAGAGGCTCCATCTCAAAAAAAAAAAAAAAAAAAAGTTATATGCTTAAGTAAAAAAACTGGATCAAGAGATATATCTTCAGTATGGCCATTGGCCCATATAGTGATAATTAGGCACTATGCTTTGTTCTGTGGCTCAAACTGCAAACATATCACTTAGAAGAAAATAAATCACCTCTGAAAAGCTAGCCTTGCAAGCTCAAGACTCCATGACAGGTAACATCACAGACATTACTGCTAATGACATAAGTAGGTTAAGGAATTTCAAAGACCTGCTCTATTGATTAGTTTTTATTTTGTCCTTTCAAAACACAGACACTCCCATGTGTGCACATATACGCACACACACACGCACACACAGAGCAACCAATTCTAACATTATAAAAGCAACTATCCATAATAGGATGAGTTTCTGACAAAAGGCTTTCTTCCAAACCTTCCCTATACACAGAAATAAGTTAGTAAAAATAAGTCACAGAAAGCTGGGTCAAGTAAAATGGAAATAATAATAATTTTTTTAACATAAGGAAGAAAATCTTTGATCTCATTTTTAAAAATTAACTTTCTTTGTTGTCATTGTCATTGCACTGAAGGACCTGTGGTGAGCAGTGTATGAGCCTGTGTGCCATACTGCCTTGCCAAGTTCAAATGTTCTGCCATTTGTTAGCTGTGACCTTGGTCCAAAAATTAACTTTTTGAGCTTTAAGTTTTGTCATTTGTAAAATAGAATTCATATTACAAGCCTCATATATTTGCAATAAGAACTGGATGTCTGATACATCACTAACAGCTGTTAAGGATTACTGCCATTCATCCATGGTTAGCAGAAAGAGGAAAGAAAGGAAAGAGACTACAGATAAATCGAGGTCATGGGGCTGGAGTTGGGCAAACTGGGTCCAAATGCAAATTCCCAATTTGCAACTTGGGTGTGTGCCTTATGGTAAGTTGTTTCAATTCAATGAGCCTAATTTCCCCTTCTGTGGAGTGAGGATGAGGATATTGACCTCTTTCAGTGATTTCCACAACATACACCTTTATTTCATACTTGCCTATTGTAGGCTATGACAGCTCCCTTTTCTTCACCTACTTCAACATTTTTGTAAACAGTTGCATCAGCAAGCATCTCCCAGGTCAAGACTAAACAATATACTAATGGCCATGAAAGATTTATTTATTTATTATTATTTTTTTTTATTGAGACGGAGTCTCGCTCTGTCAATCTTGGCTCACTGCAACCTCCACCCACCTGGTTCTAGCAATTCTCCTGCCTCAGCCTCCCAAGTAGCTGGGATTACACACATCTGCCACCATGCCTGGCTAATTTTTGTATTTTTGGCAGAGATGGGGTTTCACTGTGTTGGCTAGGGTGGTCTTGAACTCCTGACTTCAGGTGATCTGTGTGACTTGGCCTTCCAAAGTGCTGGGATTACAGGCGTGAGCCACTGAGCCCGGCCTGAAAGATTTAATAGAAACATCTTTCACATATTTCCAAGACATAAATCAATGTACATGGAATCTCACTGGTGGAGAAAAAGGATGACTCTGAAGCTCCTCCAATATATAGGCTTTGTTACTTTTAAAGCCCTTTCCCAAACCTGTCTACCAAATGCAAATTTGCTTCAATGTCAGATATGCCCAGGGGGGTGCTGGTAACTGCTTCATAACCAGCTCTCCAGCTGTTGGGGAGGGTCTAATTTGTGACATTTGCCCATTTCCATGGGTGGAGTCAATATTCCTACCGTGGCTTCTACAATCCAACACCCAAATTTCTTAGTTACTTGGTTGACTGACTGGTTCACTCAAAAAGCATTTAAAGAGAACCTAAAATGTACAAAGTCCACTGCCAAGCTCTGAGAGTTGGAGCATGAGGATGGCTGTATGGGAATCCTAATCTCAAGGACATACAGTCCAGTGAGGGAAATATGACACATAAAGAAACATAAAATATAAGGGAAACACGAGGAATGCTATCAACTCTGAAAATAAGGAAAAGCCTTAACTGCCAGCAAAAAGAGCAATAAAGGTCCAAGTATTATTTACCTAAAGAACCCTTAGTATTGCCTATGTTTTCCACTTCAAATTTCAAAAATTCTCTAAGTAGATTTTTTAAACCAGTGACTATGTATGTGTATGTATGTGTATATGTATGTATGTATGCATACATTAGTGTGTGTATCAGAGTTTCTCAGCCTCAGCACTAATGACAGCTTAGGCTGCACAGTTCTTTGCTGTGCAGGGGCTGTCCCATTCACTGAAGGCTGTTTAGCAGCATCTGAACACCTAGAGGCCAGGGCACACATGCTCCCCGCATCCCCGAGTTGTGACAGCCAGAAATGTCTCCAGACACTGCCAAAGGAACCCTGGAGGGCAAAATCACCCACTGCTGTATATACATATGTACGTATGTATGTATACATGGATATGGATGGGGTATAGGCATGGAGTGCATATATAATCCATGAACATGGGTGTGGGTATATATGAATGAGTTAGACAATCAGAGGAAATTTTTATAGTAATTTTCCTGTTAGGTTTTAAACACATTCTTTCATTTATTGAGTGCTTACTGTGTATCATGTACCTATAGGCAATAGCAGCGGGTAAGGGTATCTGATAAAAACCCCTGCTGTCACAGAGCATACATTCAGGGCAGACACAGACAATAAATAACATTAATAAAGCAATTATACAGTATGTTAGAAAGTGAGGTAGTGGTAAGTATTAAACAGTCGAGAGAAAAATAAAGCAGAGAAAGGGGTAAGAGATTCTGAAAGGAGTGGGATGAAGGACATGCTGCAATTCTAAATTTCAAGGGCCTAGACATACCGGGCAAAATATTTATGTTCAGATTTTCAGAAGATCATGTGCTTATAGGTAACTTCTTGAGAATACAATCTAAAAACAAGTCTAAATCTAATTAGATTTAATCTTAATAACTGGGAATTTACTTCTTTTGGTTCACAACCAAAGGGAGAAGAATCCTATCAAATTCATAAAAGTAGTTGTCACACTACTCCTCTACCCTCTACCCAATCCTAGAACCTGCTAAACCTCACTCATTCTGAAAAGCTCCCAGTCCCTGAACAACCAATGGGCAAAAGCATTCATGAGAGATTACCTAACCACTAAGGTCCCTTTCAGAATCAAGATGATATTAACAGATCATCTATGTGAACATGGTGGATCCTGCTGATGAGAAAGGAGAGGATGACGGGGGAAATGAATTATGAATTTCATTCTGGTAAATCTTTCTGCACACCTAAACTGGTGTTGAAAGGTTGGTTTACACTTTATTGTGTTCAGGTTCTAATCCACATCATTGTGAACATTTTCCTTATGATTCTTTTTATTAGTACACTTTAATCTCCTCCCCCAGAAATGTATTTCTCATAAGTTGTTCTTTTTACCCATTTAACTATATATTTTTATTTATTTATTTTTTAGAGACAGGGTCTTTCTCTGTTGCTCAGGTTCAAGTGTAGTGGTATAATCATATCTTGCTGTAGCCTTGAACTCCTGGGCTTCTCCTGCCTCAGCCTCTGGAGTAGCTAGGACTACAGGTGCATGCCACCACACCTGACTCATTTTAAAAATGTTTGTAGAGACAAGGTTTCACTATGTTGTGCAGAGTGGTCTCAAACTCTTGGCCTCAAGAGATCCTTCTGCCTTGGCCTCCCAAAGCACTGGGATTACAGGTGTGAGCCACCACAACAGTTCTTTACTTAACTATAAAGTCTACAATGGTAACACTAAAATGAATGAATAAACACAGTCCTAGGAAACACAAAGATATCAGCAAAAAAGAACTGAGTTTTTCAAAGTTGGATTTTTCATATTCTGTAGGTATTGACTCACCCCCCCCCCCATTTTCTGTTAATATATATTCACTTTTAAATTTATTTTTAATTGACAAAAATTAAATATATTTATGGTATACATTTTGTTTTGAAATATGTAAACACTGTGGAATGGCTACATCAAGCTAGTTAACAATACCTCACATACTTAAATCAGTTATTGGTAGTGAAAACACTTAAAATCTACTCTCTTAGCAATTTTCAAGTATATAATAGTTATTAACTATAGTCACCATATTATACAATAGATCTCTTGAACTCTTTCCTCCTAATGGTAATTTTGTATCCTTTGACCAACATTTCCCCAGTCCTCCCACCCTTCCCTTCCCCAATCCCTTGGTAACCATCATTCTACTCTCTGTTTCTATGAGTTCACCTTCTTTAGATTCCACATACGAGTGAGATCAAGCACTATTTATCTTTCTGTGACTGGCTTATTTTGCTTAGCAAAACATCTTCCAGATTCACCCATGTTGTTGCAAATGACAGTATTTCATTTTTTTTTTAAGACTGAATAATATTCCATTATGTATACACAGCACAGTTTTCTTTATGCATTCATCCATTGATAGACACTCAGGTTTGCTTCTGTATCTTGGCTATTGTGAATAATGTTGCAGTGAATATGAGAAGGCAGATATCTCTTTGACATACATCCTTTGGATACATACCCATTACTGGGATTGCTAGATCATATGGTAGTTCTATTTTTAATTTTTAAAGGAACCTCCATACTGTTTTCCATAATGACTGTACTGATTTACATTCGCACCAACAATACACAAGGGTTTCCCTTTTCTCTACATCCTGGTGTAGGCATTGCCTTTTACTTTTAGTACTATATACAGCATAATTAAGTATATATGTTTAATAATCTTCACTAATTTAAGTTATAATGCTATTTTGCTGGTATAGTTGGCTCCAGTTATAAAAGCTGTATAAGCATACAAACATTGGCTTCTTAGGGTTATTGTTATTTTTATTATCATTGTGGCCACCACTCACCACTAGAAACCACCTACTTCTAGTTACTCCTTCTATTCAATAATTATGAAATAAAAGACAGGAACAAGGTCAAAAAGAAATCTCCCCGACTCAACTAGACTCCTAATAACAAAAAGCAGTGCTCTAATGGAGAAATATATCACAACACAGTGAAAAATCCAGAATGTAAGTCTTTCTAAAAAATCAAGCCCTGAAAATATCAGGTCAGTTGTATTGACATATCCAATTATCAAGTAATTTTCAAACCATTTTTTTTTCTTTGAGACACGGTCTCACTCTACTGCCTAGGTTGCAGTGCAGTGGCGTGATCTCGGCTCGCTGCAACCTCTGCCTCCTGGGTTCAAGCAATTCTTGTGCCTTAGCCTCCCAAGTAGCTGGGATTATAGGCACACACCACCACACCCAGCTAATTTTTCTATTTTTGGTAGAGATGGGGTTTCACCATGTTGGCCAGGCTGATCTGGAACTCCTGACCTCAAGTGATCCGCCCGCCTCGGCCTCCCAAAGTGCTGGGATTATAGGCATGAGCCACCGCAACCAGCCTCAAAACATTTTGAACATGAAAGGTTTAAGCAAAATGCTTATCCCTTTTTCATAAAATAAGGTGATGGGTGATAGGGTTATGGATGATCACAATTTTCTGGGAGTTTTTTTTCACCCATACTTACCAAATTTCTAGATTTAAGAATGTCTTATTCAGGAACAAAACTAGAATCTTACCCCCAAAGCACCCGGATTTAAAACTATTCTCTCAAGGAAATGCTTAACATTTGCAAATGTAAAAGGTCAGTTATTCATGAGGGCAGTAAATGTCCCTGACCATGTAATTTTTCACTTTGCTGGTTGTTTTTTACTCATCATGAACTCTGAAGTAACTGCCACACAGTGAAAACTTTTTTGGCTGCGTGGGGATTAAGGTAAGACAAAAGGAACTAGATCTAAAAAGGTGATGATTCTTAGCCAGAACACAAGTTGTGGATGTATGAAAGAACAGACTATCATTCAATCAATTTGATGAATCACTTCCATGAGTCAGGACTGTAACCAGCTGCAAAGAAGAGCAAACATGAGAGCTGTTGCTTAGCCAAACAGGGGTTTCTTTTCCTGCCATTACAAGAACTGAAAGTAGACAGTCTAGGGTCAGTACAAAGGCCCTGAAAGGTCCCAGCTCCTTCCCCCCATGACCATACATGACCTCCATGAGAGGATGTTTCAGAAAAAGCATGCAACCTCATTTGGGTATTTAAAAAAAAAAATCAGATAACATTATCCTCAAAAAAAAAAAAAAAAAAAAAAAACAACAACAACCAAAATTATCTAAGCAAAACGTCGCTAAATGTCATTTGACTGCACAGGCCATGACGCTGGCACAATACATTTTTTATGAAGTGTAATGGTGAAGGGCAGAAACTATGAAGTCAGACTGCTTATAATCAAATCCCTACTCAAACATTTACTAACTTTGTGACCTTAAAAAATGCATGTAACTTCACTAAGCCTCAATTTTTCTCATGTGTAAAGTGGGGACAGCAACAGTCCCTACTGCACAGGATTACTGTTAGGATCAAATGAAATAGCACATGTAAAAAGAGCACCAGTTAAGTATGTAACAAATTCATCATCATCACCATACTTTAGCATAGCTCAACAAATACCCAATTAACTGCCTGACCATAGTAACTGTAATCTTTCTGCCCTATAGCTCCGAAATCACAGAAAGAAAAGCAATATATAGAGAAAACTTTAATCCTTTACTTCTAAATGTTGCTATCAAATATTTAGCAAGAATCTGGTAAAACTTTTAATCCTCATGCACATACATTTTTGTAGAATTGCAGAGCATTAACCAAACCTCTGAAGCCCATTCACAGACTTGCCCTGGCAGAGAGGCATGAGAAGAGATGACACATCTTTGAAAACTACAAAGATGTAGTTTACATCTTTGAGGTACATTAACATTTTAGAGAAGGGAGATTCCTCAAATTTACTTAACTAAACCTAAAGCGCTTACTAAAACTACTTAAAGATGATTTAAAAATAATTCCAGTTAATTAGGTCAGTATATTCTGTGTAAGATGGCAGAAAAGTACATAATAAACTCAAAAACCTGAAAAAAATAAGCTTCGGTAATCTCAAAAAAAATCTCCTAATGTAACAAATTTCATTTCCCAGTTAGGTCAAAGAAGAAGGTAATACTAGAATATCGACAAATTTAGAGAAAAATGAATAAACATGGTAGTGGTGAGTCTAATTGCCTAGACACCATATATTCTAACGTAACACAGGCAAAGGTGATCATTTCAAATAAGCTAGAAAGTTGAACAGGGACAAACACCTGGTATAGGAATTAGGAATCTGCAACCAATAAGAAACAAAATAAAACACATCACCACCCTAGTTCTTGGGAGCAAGAATCTCCTTTACCAATAACTTAATAATACAACAACAGGAAAATGTCAGGGCAAAGTGATAAAATGATACCTATGTGATCATTATCATTTGGTTTATCAAAGTTCACTCTGATTTGAGATGAAATCAGGCAACCCAAAAAGTCAACAATCTCATAAAACTAAGGAAAACAGTATTTCTGTTCTGGGATAATCCATGAAATTCCCCACTTGCTCTTCTGCACTTTAATCTCTCCCAATCCATTCTCTGTTGTCCAACACACCCACCGGTCAACTCAAACTCAAATGCACACCAAATTACTAGTAACAGCTAACAATTACTGAGCACTTACTACTATTCTAAGTAATTTGTAAAATATTATCTCGCTAATCCCCACAATAATGCCTTTTATAAATAGGAAACCTGAGGCAAATTGGAGGGTAGAGAATTTGCCCAAGGTCACAAAGATAAGAGAGGGCACTGGGATAAGAACCCAAGCAATCATCTATTACACTATTATGCCTGTATTACAATGAGGGTATAAGATACATAGCACACAAATCAAATCCTTTTTACCTTAGTTACAATACCTTAGTCAAAGTTATTTTCTTTTTCACTTGAGCTACTGACATAATCTCCTCTTTGGCCACCTGAAGTCTTTCCTTCCTCAGTACTGCTGTGGACAGTTATCTTTCTAAAACTGGATCTTACCATATTTTTTCCTCTACTTTAAACCTTCCAATGATAAGGTTCAAACTCCTTGGCAAAGCATCACATTATAGGCCATCAATGTTCACTTAATGATTGAATAACAAGTATATGTCTTATTTCCTACCTAGACTGTAAACAACTCAAAGGAAGAAACCTTTATTTATCTTTGTAGTTTTGGCAACATATCTGATGAATTAGTGACTTAGCTGGACTCAGTCTTACACAGACTTCCAAACTCATCCATCTTTCTTACCCTCTTCACATCACAGGCCCTTCTTCTAAGTTCTGACCCTCAAATTTTACTAATTGCTGGTTGTCATATATGATAGCTATTGAATTAACATTGTGGCTGAGAGCACTTAGCATATATTATCTCATTAGTCCCAACAATCTTATGAAGCAGGCATTTTAATCCTATTTCACAGATAAGAAATTAGAAGCTGAAAGAAGTTAGGTACCTTACTCAAAGTTACAGAACTTATGACAGAGTTAGGACTGGACCCAATAGCAAGCGTGCACTTAAGTGCTGATACTGGCTGCCTTAGTATCAGCCTTCTACAAGTCTTTCATCTACTGTTACAGGCTGATCTACCCTCCAATTTCCTTAAACAACCGGTGTTTTCCTACTCTCTGGGTCCTTGGACAGCACCTCAGTCTGGTATCACATTAACACTGCTCCCCTAACAAGTTCTTGCTGAATTACCCCAGTGGGAGTGATTGCCCTTGGCTTTCTCTCTGCAGAGGACTTCTCATGTCATCTACCTCCTATTCATAAGCAATCAAACTCAGTTTGTTCTCAGTGTGGTCTTCTGAGCCATTTCAGGGGGTCCGTGGGTCAAAACTATTTTCATCGTAATTTCTTCTGGGCCCTTTCAGGGGATCCATGGGTCGAAACTATTTTCATCATAATTTTTTTTATTTTTTTTTTGAGACAGGCTCTGGCCCTGTTGCCCAGGCTGGAGTACAGTCGTGTGATCTCAGCTCATTGCAACCTCTGCCACCTGAGCTTAAGCTGTCCTCCCATCTCAGCCTTCTGAGTAGCTGGGACTACAGGTGTGCACCACCATGCCTGGCTAATTTTTGTATGTTTTGTAGAGACAGGGTTTGCCATGTTGCTGCAGGCTAGTATCAAACTCCTGAGCTCAAGCAATCTGCCCAGGTTGGCCTCCCAAAGTGCTGGGATTATGGGTGTCAGCCACCAGGCCTAGCTTATTTACATCATAATTTTAAGATGCTATTTGTCTGGGTTTGTTTGTTTTTCTTTTTCTTTTTTAACATTTGCACCATTAGTACAAATGTTGAATGTTTGTACTAATGGTGCAAAAGCAATTGTGGAAAAAACTGCTGGTGCCTTAGCAAAAATCAGAGCAGTGGCACCAAACTGTTGCACTCTAATAGATCATTGTATTCCTCTCTACCAAGCACTCATAGTAAAACAAATGCTAGTTTCATTTAAGAATGTCCTTGATAGGCCAGGCCTGGTGGCTCATGCCTGTAATCCCAGCACTTTGGGAGGTCGAGGAGGGTGGATCACGAGGTCAGGAGTTCAAGACCACCCTGGACAACATGGTGAAACCCCGTCTCCACTAAAGATACAAAAATTAGCCGGGCATGGTGGTGTGCACCTGTAATCCGAGCTACTCAGGACTCAGGAGGCTGAGGCAGGAGAATAGCTTGAACCCAAGAGGCGGAGGTTGCAGTGAGCCAAGATCGTGCCACTGCACTATAGCCTGGGACAGAGCAAGACTCCATCTCAAAAAAAAAAAAAAAAAAGAATGTCCTTGATAAAACAGTACAATATAGAACAATTCACAGACAAACTATGGTTATTCAGGTTTGGGTATCTGAAAGACATTTTCTCAAAAATGAAGAAAGTGAGCCTGTGCAACTGTAATTTCAAAGACAACAACTAACAGCATTTGTTGCTAATGGTAAAATGAAAGTTTTTTTTTGTTGTTTTTTTTTTGAGACAGAATTTTGCCCTTTCACTTAGGCTGGAGTGCAGTGGCGTGATCTCGGCTCACTGCAACCTCCGCCCCCAGGGTTCAAGCGATTCTCCTGCCTCAGCCTCCCGAGTAGCCGGGATTATAGGCGCCCACCACCACGCTCAGGTAATTTTTGTATTTTTAGTAGAGACAGGTTTTCGTCATGTTAGCCAGGCTGGTCTCCAACTCCTGAACTCAGGTGATCCTCCAGCCTCGGCTTCCTAAAGTGCTAGGATTACAAGTGTGAGCCACAGCACCCGGCCAAAATGAAAGTTGTTTGTTTTTTTTTTTTGAGATGGAGTCTTGCTCTGTCGCCCAGGCTGGAGTGCAGTGGCCTGATCTCTGCTCACTGCAACCTCCGCCTCCCAGGTTCAAGCTATTCTCCTGCCTCAGCCTCCTGAGTCCTGAGTAGCTCGGATTACAGGTGCGCACCACCACGCCCGGCTAATTTTTGTATTTTTAGTAGAGATGGGGTTTCACCAAGTTGGTCAGGCTGGTCTCAAACTCCTGACCTCGTGATCCACCTGCCTCAGCCTCCCAAAGTGCTGGGATTACAGACATGAGCCACCACACTCAGCCCAAAGTGAAAGTTTTAAAGAAAAAATTAGAACTTTGAAAAATTTGTGTTCACCATTATAAATTTGAGAGCGTATGACTTTTCTGATAAGATCAGTGGTGATATTAGTTATTTGCAGCTTTATAACATCTTTTCTGTTTTCTCATTGTTTTAGTATTTTAATATGTGTTTGTCTTCCCACTAAGATGGTAAACTCTATGAAGGGAAGAACTACTTAATACTTGTTTATGTCCTCTTTAAAACCTAGAGCTGAATTATATGCAGAATAGTCACTTGGTTAGTTTATGTTGACTACTTTGTTATTTTGACTCCTGGTATTAGTTAAAATGTGTGTGTGTGTGTGTGTGTGTGTATGCACACACACACGCATGTATTCATATACATATTGAGTTCATAAGAAGTCCAGGCTCCTGGTGACTCTGTGTCTGTCTAAGTTGTTTAGTTCACTTTTTTTCCCATATAACTTGCTCAAAATTTTTCTTAAATTAACTTTTTTGGTAAATGCAAAATCAAGTATTTGCTGTAAAATTAATCCAAATATTAAAAAATAAATACATCTTTCTTTTAAAAATTACTTAATGACAATCTGCGGCACTAAAGCAGGGGTTGACAAACTAAGACCTGTGAGCCAAATCCGGCCCACTGCCCATTTTTGTAAATAAAGTTTTATAAGACCACAGCCATGCCCATTCATTTACGTACCATCTATGGTGGGTTTTGCACTACAACAGCGGGTTGTGACAGAAACCACATGGCCTACAGAGTTGAAAATATTTGTTATCTGGCCCTTTATAGAAAAACTTTGCCAACTTTGGCTTTAGAGCATGAACCTTTCAAAAAATGATGTTTATAATTCTTCTTAAATTGCACATGTTGTATTTTACAACAAAATATACCTCTTATTTAAAACAAAACAAAACCAAGAGAAAAAAAAAACTCTGTAGCTAAAACTCCCAGGAATCTTCAAAAAGAATCCTGAAAAAAACTGATACAATCTCCCAAGGGGTTATGTTCCAGTCTTCTCTCTTATGGTTTAAGATTTTATTATGACTTTTATCCAGGCCTATCTATCAAAGCTAAATTATGATCACCAAAAACATAATCAAAAACAGACTGGGTAGGGTTAAAACATTTGGAGGCCACCCACTAAAAAGATTATGAGTGACACCTGCTGTTAGCCGTAAATGAATAACTGTATGGAGCTGGTCCACCTGCCATGAATGACTGAAAAACTAAACAAAATATATGAAACAATAGCTGTGGGACAGTAGGACAAAGGCGGGACAGGACTGTAATTACTGCAATAAGGGAAAACTGGGAAAAGTCTTGCAATGGCCTCCTCCCTGCGCAAGGGAGGAGGAATCCAAGGGAGTTTTTGAGACAGAGTCTCACTCTCTTCCCCAGGCTGGAGTACAGTGGCACAATCTCGGCTCACTGCAACCCCCTTCTCCCATGTTCAGGCAATTCTCCTGCCTCAGCCTCCCCAGTAGCTGGGACTACTGGCATCCTCCACCATGCCTAATTTTTGTTTTTTAGTAGAGACAGGGTTTCGTCAGGTTGGCCTGGAACTCCTGACCTCAGGAGATCCTCCTGCTTCGGCCTCCCAAAGTGTTGGGATTACAGGTAGGAGCCACCATGCTCGGCCTAGCACAGCAGTCTTGAAGGATTGAGGAGACAGAGACTTCAGTTCAGGGAGGCTGAGGCAGCCAGCAGGGTTTGCAAGAGAGTGAGGGAGCTATGCAGATAAAGAGCTCTAGGAATCTGCACTGGGGTCCCCTTGAGTCTGATGCTGAGTCCTAAGATGCTGAGCAACAAATACTGACAGCTATAAAGTGAACAACTCCCAGGTTCAGTCACGTAGGACCTAGGACCGGGAGACACTCAAATTCCATCCAGCCAGAGTAGAGCTATCGCACTGAACCCTCGGGGCAATCAAGAGAGACTCCAGAAGGGCCATGCTTTGTAACAAGGCTAAATTAGCCCTAACATAAAGGCTATATTAGACTTGACCTAACAAAGCTTAACGATAAGCCTAGAAAGGATCAGCCTAATCCACAATCACTTAGCTGCACACCAAACAAACTCCAACACTATTTAAAAGAGGACAACAAGCTGGGCATGGAGGCTCATGCCTGTAATTCCAAGATTTTGGAAGGCCAAGGCAGGCGGATTACCTGAGGTTGGGAGTTTGAGACCAGCCTGACCAACATGAAGAAACTCCGTCTCTACTAAAATTACAAAATTAGCTGGGCGTGGTGGCGCATGCCTGTAACCCCAGCTACTCCGAAGGCTGAGGCAGGAGAATCGCTTGAACCCGGGAGGCGGAGGTTGCAGTGAGCCGAGATCGCACCATTGCACTCCAGCCTGGGCAACAAGAGCAAAATTCCGGCTGAAAAAAAAAAAAAAAAGACAACAAAATCCAAACACTCAACAACATAATACACATAGAGATGACAGAATTAACATACAAGGATATTAAAATAGCTATTATAAACATGCTCCATATACTCAAGAATGTAGAGGAAAATATGGACACAATGAAGAAAGAAATGGAAGACTAAAAAAAAAGATTCTACTTAATTCTTTGTTATGTCTTCAACAATTAAAAATACAGTAACTGAAATTTTTAAATTCACTAAATGGAATTATCAGATTAGACACTGCAGTAGACAAGATGAATGAACTTAGCAATAGAAATTATTCAAATTGAAGCTAAAGAGTAAAAAGACTGGAAAAAATCTATCAAGTTCCACTGATTTATGGGACAATATCAACCCATCTAACATACATGAAATGTGAGTCACACAGAAGGAGAGGAGAGCAGAGGAATTAAAAAAATATATTTGAAGAAATAGTAGCAGAAATTTTTCCAAATTTGATTCAAAAAACTATAAGCTGACAGATCCATAAATCTCAAACAATATCAGTCAGGACAAAAAAAATCACACCACGGCACATCACAAATTGCTCAAAACCTATGCCAATAAAAACAAAACAAAAGGATCATGCTGCTCCTCTGGCTCCATGTGTAAAATAAAATAAAAACGATTCTACTCCAAAGAAAGCAAATAACATCTTTTTTCTTTTTTTTTTTGAGACAGAGTCTTGCTCTGTTGTCCAGACTGGAGTGCAGTGGCTCGGTCTCGACTCACTGCAACCTCCACCTCCCGGGTTCAAGTGATTCTCCTGTCTCAGCCTCCCGAGTAGCTGGAATTACAGGCACCTGCCACCACACCCAGCTAATTTTTTGTATTTTTAGTAGAGACGGGGTTTCACCATGTTGGTTTTGTATTTTTAGTAGAGACGGGGTTTCACCATATTGGCCAGGCTGGTCTCAAACTCCTGACCTCGTGATCTGCCGGCCTCGGCCTCCCAAAGTGCTAGGATTACAGGGGTGAGCCACTGCACCCGGCCTGCAAATCACATCTTTCTAGATCTTCTTGATTGAACAAATGTAGGTAAAATTCATTAAAGTTGAACTTTTCTCATTTTTGTTGAGGCCTTCCTTTGCTGGTATCCCTAGCATAAGCTTAGTCTATCTACTGGTTAATCAAGTATGACCAAAGTATAAACTACTGAAAAATAACAATATCATAATAAATTTATATACCTTACAGTTCACAAATGTCAAATACTTTAGATTGTATGCTCCTTGGGGTCAGGATCTTCAAATCTTTGCCCATACATTTCTAGCGCAGTTTCTCATGGAACTTAACTGTCTGAACACACATGAATGAGTCAATCTTATTTCACCCTCAGTACCCTGCTGCGGTGTGTAGAATAAAATGAGACAACAGATGCCTAGAGGGGTTAAATCATTCCCCCAAGGATACTCAAAAGGCACCCCCAGATAAATACCACCACACAGTGTTACCTCAAAGTAGACACAAAAGAGGTTTTAATTTTACTTACTCTGACTTTCCACAAGATCCAAAGCAACACTAGAAGCTGTGTCCATACCAGAGTTGATACAGGCTTGGAAGTTTTTCAAGGAGGAGAGAGCAGACTCTACACCACTGAAGGAGATGAAACCAGTTGAACCTGAATTTGAACTGGAACGTCCTGGCATCTTGAAATTAGTACCTAAGTTTTCAAACACAATGAAACAAGATTCGTAAGTCAGAATAATAACTGCACAGGAAAATATTAATAAAACTGCTGTAAACATTCATACAAATGTATCCAATATCTCATAAATGCCACACTATTCTGTATATCCTATAGAGAAGACACCAAATCACTGTGCCACTCACCTGGGCCACCAAACACAGCTGGACTCAATATATGGGGAAGGTAAGTGTCCTCAGTTTTTGGAGAGAGATTACCCTCTTCCAAAAGAGTGCTTGATTCTGTGAAGAAGTCAACAATAGCACAGTTCTTAAAAGCCTACAAGATAAATGGGTTAGAAAAAGTAGACCACTCATATGATGCAATTTTCCAAAGAGAAAAAAATACTAATAAAATAGTTTATTAGTAAACTATTTTGAAAACCTGTAATCGTTAAACTATCCAACATATATGCATACTGAATTCTGGAAACTGTAAAAAAAAGAGAAAATCTATATTCCTGCCAGTTCCTCTGGCTTCTAACAGATTAATAGACTTGGTGAGATCCCAGAGTCAGTGAAAGCAGAATTTCTGTATAAACTTGTCTTCTGGCAGCACATCCACTATAACAGTTTCAGTTATTACCTTCATATTTAACACTTCCTAATCTATATCTTCAACCACAATTTGTTTCAGCTTAGTAAAGCAATGTAAAGCTGCCTACAAAAGGACATCTCTGCTTAATTCAGAAGCCATTTGAAACTCAATCCACTGAAACCAACTAGAAAAGTGGGGAGAATTCACAGTTTTAAAGGGATGGGAGGGCTATTAACAAGGCTCTATGGCAGCAGAAAAAGGGGTATTTTCATGGAATCAGATAGACATAACATGAAGACTGCTAAACATCTCTGAATCTCAGCTTTACCATCTTTAAAATGGAAAGGAATAACCATGGTATGGTATAGCATACAGTACACAATTAATTAGCATTAGAGCCTTCCCTTCTGCCCTTCCTAAGTGGGGAACTGTGTAGTATCTCTGGCATTTCCATCCTCATCATTGCTACCACCTTCATCTCACAGCTGAACTACTATTGTAGTTTCTCCATTATTAGTCCTTTTTAATTAGGTTCATTCATTCATTTCACTCATAAGTATTGAGTACCTACCATGTCAATCATGAGACCCATTCAAAAATCCACAGGATATAAAAAGAGAAGGGCATAGAGACATGCAAGATGCACAGAGATGCATAAGATTTCTAATTTGAAGTGTTTGTTTACCTCAAACATCCACAGTACAACTCATTGTCAGTTCAAATATTTAGTATCTCTTTAAGTGCCAGGCACTTCCTTTAGCATGAGAATACCACAGTTTTCAAGATGAGCACTCTTAAGACACTCTCCTTTTAAAGAATTATTTTGTTATTCTAATTTGATGAAAACCTATCATGAGCCAGGCACTATCCCAGGCACTAGAAATATTCAGCCTTTGGCCAGGCGCAATGGCTCACACCTGTAATCCCAGCACTTTGGGAGGCTGAAGCAGGAGGGTCACCTGAGGTCAGGAGTTCAAGACCAGCATGGCCAACATGGCAAAACCCTGTCTCTACTAAAAATACAAAAATCAGCAGGGCATGGTAGTGGGCACCTGTAATCCCAGCTACTCGGGAAGCTGGGCAGGAGAATTGTTTGAACCTGGGAGGCGGAGGTTGCAGTGAGCCAAGATCATGCCACTGCACTCCAGCCTGGGCAACAGAGCAAGACGCGGTCTCAAAAAAATAAAAATAAAAAAAATTCAGCCTCTACTCCCAGGGGCTCACCACTGAGTAGGAGAGACAGAGATAAAACATAAACCTGATAATTAAAGCAACATGGGAGTTACTGCAAAGCTGAGGCACAGATAAGAAAATGCTCAACTTTGCCTGACTGGATCAAAGAAGGGAACATAGAACTGAGTTTAAAGGATAAAAGACGAAGTTTAACAGATGGAAGGGTAATGGAGAAGGGCATTCAGGCAAAGGAAAAGGCAGGTAGGAATGAAGTGCACAAATCATTGCAGAGTACATAAGACAATACTTGACTTTTCCTGATTCTATTATGCTCTTTTACGACTCCTCTCACTAGAAACTTCCAACACTTCCTCCTCTATCCTCACTCTCACTGAAAGATCTAGTTTCCTAATTTCCTGAGGAAACAGAAGCAGTCAGAATAGAAATTTTGCAAGCTCCCACCGCTTACCTCTCCACCTATCAGCATCAGTTCTCATACACTCTGCTTTCCCTCCTGTTAAAATGAATAAACTGTTGCTCCTAGATAAGGCCACCTCCACTCCAATTATCCACTAGATCCTATCCCTCCCTCCCTACTCTAAGACATTCTCCCAGCAATTCTCCCTGCTTTCCTGCATCATTAAATTTTCCCTCTCTACTGAATCATTCCCTTCAGCAAACAAATACACCATTACTTCTCCCATCTCAAAAACATCCTCCGACTTTCCTCCCACTTACCCCTCTGGTTACCAGCCCCATTTCTCTACTCAGCCTTAGAGCAAAACTCGTCTGTAGATTTGTATACATTTGTCTCCAAATCCTCTCCTTCCATTCCCTTTGGAACCCACCCCCACTAGGGTTCCATCTCTATCACTCCACTGCAACTGCTCTTGTCAAGGTCACCTGAAAAGACTTAATGTTAAATTTGTTATCAATGCTCAGCCCTATCTCCTTTGACCTATCAGCCAGCAGTATGCAACACAGTTAATCACTCCCTTCCTGATGCACTTTCTGCACCTGCCTACCTTGTTCTTGTTCTCATTCTCCTTTCTGTTTCCTCTCCATCTCCTTGAGCTCCATATGTTGTAGGGTCCCAGGTTCAGAATCCAAGCTTCTTTTTCTTCTCCTTCTATACCCAAATCAAATACAGCCCTGCCTCAGGGCTATGCCTTCTTGGTTCCCTCTGCCATGATACTGGTCCCCTAGATATCTACTAGGTCAATTCCCTTACTTCTCTAAGGTCTCCCTTTGAGTATCACCTCATCAGTAAGGCCTTCCCTGGCCATCTGATATACAACGGCAAGCCCTCCCAATCTCCACCCCCAGGCATTCCCACCCTTCTGCTTCTGCTTTATCTTTCCTCAAGGCAGGTATTGCCAAACGACATTCTTGTATTTATTAGGTTTATAGTGTCTAGTCCCCAATTACACTGTAAGTTCCTTAAACTTACAGACTTTTTGACTTTTTCTGTTTTGTTCACTGCTGTATTCCAAGCACCTAAAACAACGCATGGCACATTAGTGGCCATTCAACAAAGGCTTGCTGAAAGAAGGAATGAATGTAATACTATGTATCTCCAGCACCTAAAACAGCACATGTCTCCAAAACTGTAGTATAGGTGGTATGCCCAGGGCTCAGTGCTCTGATCTCTCTTTTCCATCCTCTCCCATCCACCTAGTGTTCCCAACTAGACCCATTCCATCTAAATACCATTGGCAAGATCACTCCAGAACTTAAAACGTCCAACATGGAAGGCCCACATTCCTTCTCTCCCACCCTACCCCTCCCCCAAACCTACTCCTTTTACAACCTGCCCCATCTTACTAAATAGCAACTCCATCCTTCCATTTGTTGAACCAAAACTCTTGGTTCATACTTGATCCTTCTCCTCCTCCCCTCATATCCTATACCAAACTCAACATCAATTTTGCCAGCTCTGTAGTCAAACTATCTCCAGAATCCAACCACTCTCACCAATTCTGCTGATAACACCGTGATTCAAACCATCATCTCTTGCCTGAATTACTCCAACAGTCTCCTACCTGGTCTCCCTGCTCTCAGTCTTGCCTCTTCCACCCTATTCTCAACACAGCAGCCAGAGTAAACCTTTGAAAATGTACGTAAGATCATGTGACTCCTCTGCTCAAAAACTCCTAAGGACTTCCTGACTCACCGGGAGTAATGGCCAAAGAGCTTCGTAATAACTGACAATAGTGGTTCTCCAAATGGTTCCTGACCAAGTGTCACCAGCATCACCTATGAACTTGTTAGAAATGCAAATTCTCAGGCCCCAACAATCTACGTTTTAACAAGTCCTCTATGTAATTCTAACTCTGATATATCTAGGAGACATGTAGTGTCAGTGTATTGAATCATCTGATGGGCCCATTAAAACACTGATTGCTGGACCTCACCCTCAGAATTTCTAATTCAGTATGTCTGGGAAGGGACCTAAGAATCTGCATTTCTAACAAATTTCCAGGTAATGTAGATTTTGCTGATCCAAGAATTACACTTTGAAGACCACTGTTCTACATTATCTGGCCATTGCTAGTCCTTTAATAACCCAGGCATGCTTCACCTTAAGGTCTTTGAGCTTGCTAATAAGACAGAGATGCCAGTAATAAAGACAGAAAAAAGCAGGAAGGGTTGGTCCTAACTCCCTCCTGCCTATATAATAAAATTCAACATAATTAGCACAGTATCCAAAGCTTTCTACAATATAATGCAAACACGCTTTTCAAATCAGAGATTCTACTTTTCACCAAGACTTAAATCATACATTTCATATAACCTTAACTATTTGATATTCCAGAATAAACATAACTCCTTTCTGCCACAACCCCTCAAAACAGGCTTGGCAGAGAACAAGTTCCATATTAAAAGAATGAACCAAGTACTATGAAGTTGAAAAAAGAAACCGATTACACAAACCCACTATGCTACAATGTTCAAGAAAGGAAAGGATTATAGGCACAACAGGGGAGACATAGGCTTCACGGAAATGAAGGCACTTAAGCTGGACCATAAAAGGTACTCAGGATTTGGAAAGGTCTAAATTATCAGGGAGAGCTGTTCAGATGAAGGAAGCAGTGAGATGAAAAAAGATCATAAGGTAGTAAACGATGAGATGAGTTCCCTTTGCCTGGCATACAGGTACAAAGGAATGGGAAGATAACTGGATTTCATTCTTTGGGAATATAGTGTAGACAGCCTTAAGTACAGGATAAAGATTCACTCCAGTTGGGTCTAGTGGTCATCATGGAAATTTGAGCTCTATGTATTTTCAAAACTTTACCTTAAAAATCAAGACCTGAAACAAATATGGCAAAATGTTAAAGATGTTAAAATCTGGGTGATGAAACAAGGGTTCTTGTTGTGTTCTTTTCTGGGACTTTACAGTTCCACATCAAAAAAGAAAAAATACAAACAGGAATAAAAGCCAATGATGATCTTCAAACATTTGCATTGAAAGAGACTGCTTGTTTACAATCTCACTGTATTATACCAAACAAGTTGAGACATTTTACACAATATAAATACAAACATACACAAAAAGATGGAAAAACATAAATTCAGAAAAACCAGGATCAAAAAACAGAAATTTACGGGCAAACCAAGCATATGAGAAAGTTATAATGGAGTCACGCACACTTTAGGATTCTACACAGAGGGCCAGGTGTGGTGGCTCCCGCCTGTAATCCCAGCACTTTGGGAGGCCGAGGCAGTTGATCACTCGAGGTCAGGAGTTCAAGACCAGCCCAGCCAACATGGTGAAGCCCCATCCCTACTGAAAATACAAAAATTAGCTGGGCATGGTGGTACACACCTGCAGTCCCAGCTACTCGGGAGGCTGAGGCAGAAGAATCGCTTGAATCCTGGAGGCAGCAGTTGCAGTGAGCTGAGATCACAAAAAGACTCCGTATGAAAAAAAAAAAAAAAAAAAAAGGATTCCACACAGTACTAGTAATACACATTTGGTAGTGAGCTTCCTCACAATCAAAACAAAAAGTGACAGTTATTTTCTCCAAAAAAAAAAAACAAATAACACTAGAAACTCAAGAAAAAAATAAAGCTTTCCATGGCAATCAAGGCAAGTATGGATCATCATATATGAGATAATGGGTTACACTGAAAAAAATAATCCTCAAAAATATCCTTATAGTAAATGCAATAGCAAACTTCTAGGACTGTTTCTTGAGACTATTTCTCAGGGCAGGTAAGGACAAAACACTTGTGACAGATACTGGACAGGTGCCCACCAAAACCATTTCCTCTTCAACCCGGTTACATGCCTATATATGCTCCACATTTTCCAGCCTTCCTTGAAGTTAGCTGTGGCCTATGACTGTACCCAAGGCAATGAAATGTGAGCCATTTCCAGGCCTAATCTGCAAAAAGCCACATTTTCCCATTTGATAGCTTGATGCAGGCAAGCATAGGGACCTTAGTAAAGCTATATGCTGATGATAGAGAATTACTGCATGGAAGGAGCTCAAGGCCCTACATCACTGCTTGGAGGAAAACTACTCACCTATCAGGCTCCATGCATGAAAGAAACTTCAACTGGGCAAAGCCATTTAGACTTGTGGGGTTTACCTGTTACAGTACTAAGTATTAATCAAAAAACACAAACCTGCAAGGACCAAATGATATAATTCCAGTATTCAATTTTCTTTTCTTTTTTTTTTTTTTTTTTTGAGATGGAGTTTTGCTCTTGTCCCTCAGGCTGGAGTGCAGTGGCACTACCTTGGCTCACTGCAACCTACGCCTCCCAGGTTCATGCAATTCTCTTGCCTCAGCCTCCCCAGTAGCTGGGAGCTACATGCCAGGCTAATTTTTGTATTTTTAGTAGAGACGGGGTTTCACTATGTTTGCCAGGCTGGTCTCAAACTCCTGACCTCAAGTGATCCACCGGCCTCGGCCTCCCAAAGTGCTAGGATTACAGGCGTGAGCCACTGCCCCTGGCCTCGGTTTTCTTTTTGTTTTTGAGACAGGGTCTTGTTCTGTCACCCAGGCTGGAGTGCAGTGACATGATCATGCTCGCTACAGCCTCAACCTCCCAGGCTCATGTGATTCTCCCACATTAGCCTCTCAAGTAGCTGGGACCACAGGCGCGCGCCACCACTTGGCCAATTTTTCTTTTTTAATTTTTAGTAGAGACGACCATCTCCCTGTGTTGCCCAAGCTGGTCTCAAACTCCTGAGCTCAAGTGATCCTCCCAACTCGGCCTCTCAAGTGCTGGGATTATAGGCATGAGACACCATGATCAGCAGAAGTATTCTGTTTTCTACTCAGTCTTGATTCTAGTGTAAGTCTAAATTGTCCAGAGCAGCATTGTCCAATAGAACTTTCTGTGATGAAAACGTTCTATAATCTGCACTGTCCAATATGATAGGCACTAGGCACATGTGTACTGATTATCTAAAACCTGGCTGGAAAGGTGGCTCATGCCTATAATCCCAGCACTTTGGGAGGCCAATGTGGGAGGTTGGCTTGAGCCCAGGAGTTCGAGACCAGCCCAGGCAATAAAGTGAGACTCTGTCTTTACAGAAAATAAAAAATTAGCTGGATGTGGTGGTGCGGGCCTGCAGCCCCAGCTCCTCAGGAGGAGATGTGGTAGGATCGCTTGAGCCGGGAGGTTGAGGTTGCAGTAAGCCATGATCACGCCACTGCACTCCAGCCTGGGCAACAGAGCGAGACCCTCTTTTCTCAAAAAAAAGAGAAAAGAAAAGAAAAGGAAGAGACGCCAGGGACTGCTCTCTCTCTCTCTCCCTACCATGTGAAGACACATAAAAAGGGCAGCCATCTACAAGCCAAGAAGAAAGTCCTCACCAGAATCCAACTATGCTGGCAACCTCACCTTGAACTTCTGGCCTCCAGAACTGTAAGAAATAAATTTCTGTTGTTTAAGCCACCCAGTCTATGGTATTTTGTTATGGTAGCTTGAACAAAGACACAGTATCTATGAAGATTAATGCAATCCAGTATAAATGGAAAGTATCTACCAAACAGTAGCTGTCACTATTTGTTTGAATGCAAAACTCACATTACTTTAGTGAAACTTCACTTTTGCAGAGGACCAAGGAAAACACGATCATGCTCTTCTGTAATTCTGGAGTAGGGAAAAGATTAAGACTGAGATTGAATTGAAAAGCAAAGGCAATGGATGGTGCAGAAAGATGGAACAGACATACTTTTCTCAATCTCTCCCAATAAATACAGCTAAGTACAAGTCAAAGACAACTCCTTTCTCTGACTCTAACAGCACCTTCTTTGATATAATTATAATTATAGTCACTCCACTTTGTTAGTGACTATCTTGCAAGATGTTAGCAGTGCTTCACAAACAGCAAGTGCTCTGAAAATAGTCAATAAATGAATAAATTAACTGTCTGCTTCAGTCAGATTCATAGCTCTCCTGTTTCCTTCTCCCCTTCATACCCAATATTCTTAATCTCAGCTCCAGACTTTGTTCAGGCTGGGTGTGGTGGCTCATGCCTATAATCCCAGCACTTTGAAAGGGCAAGGCAGGAAGATTGCTTGAGGCCAGGAGTTTAAGACCAGCCTGGGCAACACAGCAAGACCCCAACTCTACAAAAAAAAAAAAAATTTAAACTTACACAGACATAGTGGCTTGCACCTATTGTCCTAGACCCTCGGAAGGCTGAGGTGGGAGGACTCCTTGGGTCCAGGAGTCCAAGGCTGCAGTGAGCTATGATCATGCTACTGCATTCTAGCCTGGACGATAAGAGTGAGACGCTGTCACCAAAAAGGAAAAAGAGGACTTTTCCTCATCCTGCTCCCACCATGAGAAAACCTTCTCTTCAGTTTTCTTTCTATTTATTTATTTATTTTTTGAGACAGAGTTTCGCTCTGTCGCCCAAACTGGAGTGCAGTGGCATGATCTCGGCTCACCTCAACCTCTGCTTCCTGGGTTCAAGGGATTCTCCTGCCTCAGCCTCCCGAGTAGCTGGGATTACAGGTGTGTGCCAGGACACACCAATTATGTTATTTATTTACTTATTTATTTATTTATTTATTTATTGTATTTTTAGTAGAGAGAGGGTTTCGCTATGTTGACCAGGCTGGTCTCAAACACCCGACCTCAAGTGATCCGCCCGCCTTGGCCTCCCAAAGTGCTGGGATTACAGGCATAAGCCACTGTGCCAGGGCCTCTCTTCAGTTTTCTATCTGCCCACATCTTACCCATATGCTAAAGTCTGAATGTTTGTGTCACCCAAAATGTATATGTTGAAATCCTAACTTCCAAGGTGATGGTATTAGGAGGTGGGGCCTCTTGGGAGGTGATGAGGCCCACTTTCATGAATAAGATTAGTGCCCTTTTAAAAGATGCTCCAGATAGCTGCTTTGCCATTCCACCATGTGAGGACACAGCAAGAAGCCACCTATGAACCAGGAAACAGGCCCCGGAACTGTGAGAAATAAATTTCTGTTGTTCATAAGCTACCTAGTTTATGGCATTTCCGTTACAGAAGCCCACATTGACTAAGATACCATCTTTCATGGCTTGGTTTAAGTGGTTCTCAACCAAGAAGGATTTTACCCCTCTCGCAAGGGGACATTTAGCAGTATCTGTAGACTTTGTGGTTGGCATCTAGCGGGCAGAGGCCAGGGATGCTCTTAAGCATCCTACAAAACACAGGACAGCCCTCACCCTGACCCCACAGCAAAAAATTATCTGGCCTAAAATGTCAATAGTGCATCAGTTGAGAATAACTGGTTTAAATCAATCTCTCTTGGATCCCTCCCCAGGTAATAACACTGATCTTTTTCTTCCCGGTACCTATGATCTCCAAGAAAGTTTAGAACAAGTTGTGCATTTCCTGAGTTTTTTCTCTGCATGTTATTTATAGACAATATGTTGACTTCCTTTAAATCCATGGGAGCCTTGTACAAGTCAGCCAGAGCTGCCTCTCCTTTTTCAACATGCAAGGATAATCCCTTCTCTCTGAATCCTTCTCATACAATTGCTTTTCCCTCCCTCATGCTACCATTATCCCTATCACATGCACATGTACACAACACACTCCTATTATGAAACTCATCACAACTATTTGCTCACATGTCTGCAGCTTCTTTAAACTGACACCTCCTTAAACTAGAACCCTGACATATTCTATTGCATATAAAGCAATTCCTCACACAAAATAGGGGACCAATAAAGATTTGGCCAGTTACAAAAATAACAACAGACATCATCATTTCTCGGTCACCTACAGAATGCCATAAACTGGTGTCCCGGCACTTTATTCTCCTTATCGCTAATTCTCACTGCAATCTACATAACTGAAGAGGAAATTGAGGTCCAGAGAGTTTATTCAAACGACCTTCCCGTGGCCTTACTTTTAAAGTCAGTTCAAACAAAATCTATTTGGATCAAAAATTCGTAATCTTGCCCCTACACACTTGAGGCGAAAGGATGGAGAGATGGCGTCTCGGACAGGAGGGTAAACTGTCCCAGACTCACTACCGTGGCGTGAAAAGTTCCACAACCATAATCCGGGTAGACGGACCCCCGGCTCGGAGTCCCCGTGGAGTGTCCCTGAGGGTGGCGAAACTCCTGCCACCCTCCCCATTGCCGTCCCCCGCTTCTTCCCTACCTGGTAGTCCAAGCTGTCTCCGTCTGGTGGCACCCCAATTTCCCCTGCCTAGACCCACCTCCTTTCCTCAGCCCCCTTCGCCTGCCGCTGAAAAGTGAGAGCGGGCTCTTGCGTCATCAGCCGTCGCCGGCGAGTGGTCACATGATGCCCCTCCCTGCTCCCAGCCGCTTCGGTCATGTGACCGCCTGGGGAGTCAGGGGCGGAAGTCGGGGTCTGACCCGCTCCAGGTCCGGGACTGCGGATAGAAGAGGACCGCCGCCTTGAGGGAGGGGTGGAAACTGGGTGCCGGCTCCGCGCGCGACCTCCGGCCCTGCGCGTGCGCCGTGGCGCGGCCCGGCTGACAGGTGAGTGGGGATGGAGTGAGCGCGCCCCATTTTTGCATGGCCCCCTTCCCCTCCCCGCTGGGCCGCGCTGGCCACGGGGAGGTCTGCAGAGTCGCGTGCAGCCTGGATGGGGGACTCGGGATGGAGGGCTTAGGGGCTTTCTGGGGCGGGGGCTGTAATCCAGCTCTTCGTCTCCGCTTAGGGGGAAATCATTTTGCACACCCCTTCCTCGCTTTAGGAAGCACCGTTCAGCTGCTTGGTCCGAATCTCATCCTTCCAAGTTTCCGGGAACACTGCTGTATGGATGTCGTCGTTATTTCTCTTTGCTTTTGAGAAAACTGAAAGGCTAGTAGTGAGGACTTTTACAGGCTGACAGACGTGGATTTGCATTCTAGTTATGCCATGGGCTGTGAGTTTGGGCAAGTCATTGCTGCTCGCCGCGCCTTAATGCCTTCACCTGTGACATACTGATGTCAAAATCCTTTGCATTTGGGGGAAAAAAAAAAAGTTCCCAGGGCCCTGATTCCTGGGATCGGAATCAGGATTATGATCGGACAGGAGAAAGAAAAAAAGTCACAGAGCCATAAAACTGGGTCTCCTGATTGCAAGCGCATGGAGCTCCCTCAAACATAGGTGAGGCGTAGTGAGGGCGAAGTTTTACTGTCTTTGTGCACTACAAGGGACACCTTCTCTAATTGTCCTTCACCTGCCTTTCCCAGGATTTCAGGTTCAGCCTCATTTCAGAACTTTTCTGGAAAATATATGCAGCTTGCATTTATCTTGATCAGCAACCGTTATATTTTGTTTGTGATAATGGATTTGTGGAGACCAGTGCTTCCTTTATGGAACTGAGGTTTTGCGAAAGGCTAAAAATAGACCTGCCTTCTTTTGTCCTCTGAAGAGGGTAAACTGTTTGTCCACGACAATTCGATTTCCTTAAGAAATATTATTCTGTACTCAGGGTAATTGGTGTAAGGATGTCATGCCTTATTCTTGAAAGCATGTCTTTTGATTAGGATTACTTCCCAAACTGAAAATCACAGTTCCACGCCAAATTATTAAAAATGAAGTTACCGGCACTTGTAAAAGAAAATAAGAAAATATAGTGGGATCTCTGGATTTCATGCCAATAATAATATAGCCTGTATTGAGAAAACTGATCTTCAAGTGTTCTTGATCCCTAGCACCAAGAGAACCTCTGAAAGGATAATTTAACATAGCTTCTTCTACAGTGTTTATTTGGACCTAATTCTAAAGTGGTTTTTTAAGACTTAGCTGAGTCTTAACACTTTGTAAAGCCATCCACCTACCTCTTAGCTGCAACTTGATTAGGCATTTTTAATGATGGTTCTTAGATTCTGTTCTTCAGGACTAGTCCTTCAGCCAACGAGGGGGCTATTTACCAAATACTCTAGCCAAATTATATTTGTACAAATTATGGAAATTCCATTTGTTACATGGAAAATATAACTAGTCCGGGTTAGGAGGTCTAGTACATAAAATGTAACTAAGTGATTTCCTTCTTTCAGCTAATCTTGTTTTAACTTCTTCCATCTTCAAAAACTTAGCAGGAGATGCTTGCATTATTAGAAATAGAAAACACAAGTGCCCTTCATGGGGCAAAACAGATTACAAGCAGTGAGTTCATTTCAGTAAAAGTATATTAAATATAACTCATATGCTTTTGCATTAAAAATTTAATATAAAGTTTATATATAGAATTTTAGAAAGGTGATTTACCTAGGTAATAAAGACCCATAATATTTGTTTTACTATTGCCGAACATATTTGGTTATTATTATCCTCCTCATGTTCTTTTAAAGTTGTCTACAGCGTAATTCTTGAGTAAGGGACTAAGGATTAAAACAAGAGATTGACACACGAAAGTCTTGATCTCTGTCGTTATCCCAGACTGAAGCTTCCCCGAATGTGTGCATGCAGGTGCTGAGTCTGTCTGTCCTTCTGTATGTTGGGAGAGAGTAGAGTAAAGGGCAAGTAATGTTACTTTGCTTTAAGTTGTTTTTCCCAGGGCCACATTGTTGCCCTGTCATGGTATCCCAAATCGGGTAGCCATTGGACCTGTTAATCATAGCTTGTCCTCCTCTTCATGAGTCTAGAGCAAGCTTGTGTAGCCTGAGGCCTGCAGGCCACATGCGGCCCAGAATGGCTTTGAATGTGCCCCAATACAAATTTGTAAACTTGCTTAAAACATTATGAGATTTTTTTGCGATTTTTTTTAAGGTCATCAGCTATTTTTGGTGTTAGTGTATTTTATGTGTGGCTCAAGACAATTCTTCTTCCAATATTGCCCAGGGAAGCCAAAAGATTGGACACTCCTGGTGTAAAGTTTCATCCTACTTAGACCTTCTGGGTTAGTTTGGTGGTCTTCAGAGGGCTTTAGTATGTGACTGTTTTGCCCACTGTCCATTATTTCCCCTTTCCCTCTCTGCTTTCCCAAGCCAGACCATATCCATGCAGAAAATGAAATGAAATTATCTGAAATTCAGCCTGTTAGAGATCAGTGTGGTTTAACAAGCAAGTATCACAGAGGAAACTAAAAGAACTTGTTAATAATGTATGCCTTAATGTGTATTACAGGGTACCTTCATGGGAGTTCTAGACAGCTGTAGTGGCTTCTTGGCTCTCAGATCCAATCCAGTCTACTTCTTCTGTTTCCGCCCCTAGCTGACTCTGCTCCAGCCACTTTAGCCACCTTGCTAGCCATCTAGCACATTCCTGCCCTGGGGCCTTTGCACTTACTTGTAACCTCTGCTTGGGATGCCATTATTAGGATCATTATCTATTGCTGCATAATAAACTATGCCAGAACCCAGTGGCTTAAGACAATAAGCTTTATAGCATCTATGGTCCGGAGGGTAGGGCATAGCTGGCTGCCTTTGGCTCTGGGGCTTTTAGAACATTGCAGTCAGGCTGGGAACAAGGAGCTATGGTCTTATCTGAAGGCTGGACTGGGATTATAAGGGATCTACTTTCAAGTTCACTCAGGTGGTTTTTGGCAAGCCTCAGTTCCTTGTCATATGGGCTTCTCCCCAGGGCTCTCTCACACCATGATATGTTGCTTCCCCTGGACTAGCAAGCTACAGAGGGTGCCCAAGCCAGAAGTTAGTCTTTTCGAAATCTAATCTCAGAAGTGCACTGTATCTTTTGTTTCTATCCTATTTCCTTCCCCCCCTCCCCCTTTTTTTTTTTTGAGATGAAGTCTCACTCTGTCACCCAGGCTGGAGTGCAGTGGTGCAATCTCGGTTCACTGCAACCTCCGCCTCCTGGGTTTAAGCAATTCTCCTGCCTCAGCCTCCCGAGTAGCTGGGATTACAGGTTTTTGCCACCATGCCTGGCTAATTTTTGTATTTTTAGTAGAGCCGGGGTGATCCCGGCTCTCCTAACCTCAGGTGATCCATGTGCCTCAGCCTCTCAAAGTGCTGGAATTACAGGAGTGAGTCACCACACCTGGCCCTATTCTCCTCTTTAGGAGGGAGTCAGTAAGTCAGCTTATACTCAAGGGAAGGAACCTACATAGAACATGAATACCAGGAGGCAGAGATCATTAGGGACCACTTTAGAAAGCTGCTGACCATACCCAGATATCCATACTGCTTGCTCTCTCATTTCCTTCTGACTTCTGCCCGAGGTGCTCTATGGAAACTAGCATATGCCCCATCCTTTATTATGTTTTTTCTTCACGGCACTTATCACAGCCTAATATATAAAGCTCATTTTCACAAATTTCAAGATACATTTGTAATCAAAACTTTTTCTTCTCCTTTTTATGAAACATTTTTCTGTATTTTGTAATCACTCTAGCATTTTTCAGATATGAACTATTCTTAATAGCAAGAATCTCCTATACTTGACATGTGAGAAAATTTTTTTTTTTTTTTTTTTTTGAGAGAGGGTCTCATTGTCACCCAGGCAAGAGTGCAGTGGCACGATCATGGCTCACTGCAGCCTCAACCTCCAGGGCTCAAGCAATCCTCCCACCTCAGCCTCCCTTGTCACTGGGACTACAGGCTCGCACCACCATACCTGACTGATATTCTTTTGATTTTTAGTAGAGACAAGGTCTCGCTATTGTTGCCCAGACTGGTCTTGAACTCTTGAGCTCAAGCATTCCTCCTACCTTGGCCTTCTAAAGTACTAGGATTACAGGTGTGAGCCACCGTTGCCAGGCCTAAAAACATTTCTAAAGATTGTTCCCTCACCTACTTGTTGTTCCCTCACCGACTTCTAGTGGTTTTTAGGACATAGCTCTCTTTTTCCAAAGATAAGACAAATGGCACAATTCCTGTAAGGAAATTGCAATAATCAGCGGAAGCAGAGAACTGAAAAGATGGGGATTGGAGGAAAATGCAGTAGTACAATACAGAAATAGCTACATGGACATTATTATACAAAAGCAATGACTATATTGCACAGCATTATAGAAAATGAAATATCACAATAACAGCATCAGCATGCTGTTTAAATTGACAACTTGTACTGTTAGTCCTCAAAACTGAATCTCAGCACTATGGCAAACTACCCCAAGACTTATTTGCCCAAAACAATACAATATGTTAAAAATTTATCATGATCCTGTGCATTAGGAATTGGGAAAAGGCACAGAGGGCTTTGCTGGCTGCAGAAGCCGAATAGCCTCATCCCTTATATGTCTAGCACTTCAGCTAGGAAGACTTAAAGAGCTGGGGGCTGAGTGGACCAGGTCAACCCAAGTCACACGTCGGCACTTCAGTTTCTGCTGTCTGCTGGCTTTCTTCATTCTCTTCTGTGTCAGGACTTTTCCCTCTCAGCATGGTCTTTCCTCTTTGTAACTCCTGTGATCTCTCTAGCAAGATACCCAGACATCTTACATGGCAGCTTCGGACACCCAAAGAGAGCAAAAGGAGATACTGCCAGGCCTTCTCAAGGCTTAGGCCTGGAATTGGTAGAGAGTTAATTCTACAGTATTCTTTGGGTTGAAGGAAGGAAGGCACAAGCTGTTATGAGCTGAGTTGGGTCCCCCCAAAATTTATATGTTGAATTCCTAACACTCAGTAGCTCAGAATGTGACTATATTTGGAGACAGGATTTTTAAGGCGGTGGTTAAGTTAAAATGAAGCCACTAGGATAGGCCCTAATCCAATATGACTGGTATCTTTGTATGAAGAGGAAATTTGGACACAGAAATTTACAAAGGAGGGCCAGGCTTGGTAGCTCATGCCTGTAATCTCAGCACTTTGGGAGGCTGAGATGGGAGGATTGCTTGAGCCCAGGAGTTTGAGACTCCCCTGGGCTACATAGTGAGACTCCCATCTCTATACAAAGAAATGAGCAATGGGGTGGCCATGCGAAGACACAGGAGGAAAATAGCTGGCTACAAGCCAGTGAGAGAAGCCTGAGAAGAAAACAGTCCTACCAACACCTTGATCTTGAAGTTCTCGCCTCCAGAATTGTGACAAAATAAATGTGGTTGTTTAAGTCACCCTCTCTGTGGTGCTTTGTTACGGCAGCCCAGCAAACTAATAAAATGCAATCCAGACTCATTGAGAGGGAAAATAAGGTTCAGCCCTTCACTTAAGGTGCTGTATGGGCTGACTTCATGGCAAGGAATTGTTGGGAGCCATCTTTGGCAACCAGTTACCACATTATTATAATCAGATTGCTTTCCAAGCCCCTAGAACTAAGAAAAATGATTGTTGCAGGGGAAGGCACACAGGCCTGAACAAGAAGGGGTACTCAAGTCTGTGGGCAGAGGGGAATGTAAGAAGGAGTAGCGTAATGAGACAAATTACCTACTTCAAGAACTTTCTGAAACCTCATCAAGTCCGAGGAGTTATTTCATTTGTGTAAGTCTTTCTCGCTTCCTTCTCCAGTTGCCCTTCGCCTTCTACCATCTGCTCACCCCTGCTATCTGCACTGGCTGTAGGAGGAAGCTAGTGGGAAGGAAAGGGATGGGTCAGGAAGCAGTTTTATCGAGAGTCTCTGTGTTACAGAAGATGCTTAGAAGGCACAACCTGGGTAGTGACATGCTCAAAGACTTATGTGTACAGGAAAACATCACATGTATGTTTTGTTGGTTGGTTGGTTTTCATTCCTAGTGACATCTTTTTTTCCCTTTTCCTTGTTACTTGGCTTCTGCCTCCGCTTCTCTCTCTGTTCTCTCTTTGACAGCTTGTGAGATCCCTTTGCATGTTTTAGAAATCAACCCTGTGTCTGCCCTTTGGATTTCAAATCCATCTTCTAAGTCATTTACCATGGAAAAGTTTTTAAGTGTTACATACTAAAATAGGTCATTCTTTTTAGATGCTAGGTTTCTTTCTCTAGCCCCGAATTCCTAGATGTCACTTTACTAAAGATCACCCAGTATAAGAATACCTTTCCCAACAGAACACCTAATAAATGCTCCATACTGACAATTAAATGTATGTTACACTTCTTATTTCTTTATTGTAAAGACACACTGAAGCACTTCATCTCTCTGATTTTTTTTCTTCAGGGCTCATCTCCAGCAGTATAGCAGGCAGCTAGAGAGGACAGACATCACCTCTTGTAACCCTAGTATTATTTATGCACTCCTTATACTTGTCAGTGCCAAGGAATGAGTTCAGCACAAAGGGCACAAAGATAAATATTGTTAATTTCCTGTTTGCCTGCTGCAGTTTTCTATAAGACCAGTCATTCTCTACTCTTTTAATGATCCTGGCTTCACATCAGAATCATCCGGGGAGATTCTTAAAAACAGAGATGCTTAGGACTACCTCTAACCTACTTACCAGAAACTCTAAGATGCTAGGTGATTCCCTTAAGCAGCCAGGCTTGAGAACCACTGGACTAGAAGGTGAGATGTTTAAACATCTTCATATCCAGCCTGGCAAAGAGGTATTCAGCAAGGAGTGGTTGGGTAAAGATCAATCCTTGCCTTCAAGAACTTTCAGAATGAGCTGTAAGCAACGATAATATTCAGTATGCTAAGTGATCTAACCATCCTCAGAGAGTGCATTGGAATACAAGAGAAGCAAGTAATGGATTCTGCTAACAGTGCTAGATACCTAAGTGCTGAATTTTATGAGACTTTTGGACCAGTTTGATTTAGTATTTATAAATCATCTTCACAGAATTTTGCAGAACCTAGCATCTGTAATTTTAAAAGGAATCTTGGACATGTTCTTACCTTAAGCTTGCAGTTCCATTTCTGGGAAATAATTGGACAAATGCCTCAAAATGATGTACAGGGATTTGTCTCTGAGCTCTCTTTATAGCGTTTGAAATTATTTGCTAATATATCAAATAGTAGGAGATAGCTTGTATAATCAGGGTACATTGGAACCACACATGCCCAGTGGTTCCTTCTCCCTAGCACAGAGATGAGCTGTATCATATCTTTTTCTCAAGAGAAGTGACTAACATGTTGAAGAAGAGGCCAAGAGTGTTAATCTAGCAAAGTCCCTCCACATGGAAAATATGAAGAGTGACAGATAAACACCCTTTCCCCTATAAAGGAACTCATTATTTCTTAAAATTTTTTTAGTGAGTTTGGGAGAAAAATGTGTTTCTTATGTGTACACATGTGCTTCCTTAAACAAATTGAGATTTTCACACTTTTTTTGGGGATACAGGTTCTTTAATGGAGGAGCCAATCTCTCTGCACACCTGGTTTCATCTAATAATATACAGACACCAGCTCTGAGGCCAGTTAATCATCCCCAGTGTCCAGGCACAGAGTAGTCGGTCCGCCTCACAATGTTGGACTTTCTAGCCGAGAACAACCTCTGTGGCCAAGCAATCCTAAGGATTGTTTCCTGTGGTAATGCCATCATTGCTGAACTTTTGAGACTCTCTGAGTTTATTCCTGCTGTGTTCAGGTTAAAAGACAGAGCTGATCAACAGAAATATGGAGATATCATATTTGATTTCAGCTATTTTAAGGTAATCTTCCTCTATAGCATTTTTATTGTTGTCTTTTCTACAAAAGCGTGTTTTCTCTGGGAACCATGAAACTCTGTAAGGTTAAGGAATTATGGAAAAAGCTAAAGAGAAGAGCTTTTCGACTAAACTTAATATTAGCTACTAACTTGAAAATAAGTTGAAAGTATTATGTCAAAGCCCTAACACAATATAATTGTATTTTTAAAAGATAACTTTGATATTTCACATTGAAGGGCCCCATACTTAAAAGCATGCTAATCTTGGGTCCAATTCAAATTCATTTCTCTCAAAGGGATTTTATATCTAGGCTTCTATTATCTTCACTACTTTCTGTTGCTCTGCTTTAAGTTTGGGATGTCTAATAACATAAGAACAAATTTTTAAAAGACTATTTAGAAATTGTCACCAACAAGTATGCTTTTATTGACATTTCACATGTGTTTTTTTTTCTCAGGGTCCAGAATTATGGGAAAGCAAACTGGATGCTAAGCCAGAGCTACAGGATTTAGATGAAGAATTTCGTGAAAACAACATAGAAATTGTGACCAGATTTTATTTAGCATTTCAAAGTGTACATAAATATATTGTAGACTTAAACAGGTATTGATCTATTTAGGAATAGCTTATTCTGGTAGTAAATAGTGGAGAGGGAAAAGGACACATAGCAACGTGTAAATCTCTCTGAGTTACTACAAAATTTCCTAATTTAGTTTATACTGTATATAGTTGTCTTTTCCTACCTGTGGCACTGGTCATCTTAAGAATTTTGAAGTTTTACTATAATGTCCTGCTCTTATGAGGTGTTGTAATAAACTTAGTTTAACTAAGTCATATAGTTTCCAATCCTGTTATTTATTATCATATCCTAGTGTATTATATGTGAAAAGTGGGAAAAAGAACTTATCTTTATCATTAACTTTCTGTCTCTTAATACACTTCTTAAGAATTCATTACTCATTAACTTTTAGACTAGATATTCCATGTTCTTCTGCCTTTACTCCTAGATACTTGTAATTCACAAATCAGGACTAGGGAATATTTCTTTTACTTGGAACAGCGATAAATATCAAACTGTGGCCCTAAATCAGTTTATAAGACTGTATTCTTAAGAGCATGAAGGACCATGAACTAGTGGAAGGCCAGAATGCCTGGCATCCTGCCTTATCTTTTAAAAATCTTTCCTTCTTTAAAGATGTTAAAGTTTCTATTATAAATTAATAACTTGCACTGTGGTTTTATTTCTAGATATCTAGATGATCTCAATGAAGGGGTTTATATTCAGCAAACCTTAGAAACTGTGCTTCTCAATGAAGATGGAAAACAACTTCTAGTAAGTAATAATGATTATTTAAAATGAAATTCAAGAATATCAAACATAGTATCACTTTTTTTTCTTTTAAGTCACAAATATATACGAAATACCATTCTTTAAAGAGAAGCGAAATGAGCTTTTAATTATCTTCTAACTGGCAGGTCCATATCTGAGTTTAGAACATAGACTTTGAACAGAATTTAAAACAGTTAAAAGTTATGTGGAAGTTATGAGCCTCCTCGGTGTAAGAATTCTGTCTTCTTTACTTTTTGCATCCCAGCCATCTGTCCTGATACCTAGTACATACTAACCATTTAAGAAATGCTGATTGAATAAGTGAATGATTTTATGATGAAGAGGTATACACAATATTGGGTTGCTATTTTGGTGTCCCAAGCAACATAGCCAAAATAGGTCAACTGAAAAATTATCACTATGAATTAAAATCTGTTTTACATAAACTTTTCAAGGCCCATTCGGCAAGAAGGTAAGAGCTCCTTGGAGGAAACCTACCTTTTCCTTGAAATCTAAAACTTTTTGAAGAAGTGTGAGCAAAGCAATATTTTTCATGATTACCGACTTTACTCCCTAAGAATGTATAATCTAGTGATTTTGGCTTTTGTCCTCTTCTCTTCTTAGTGTGAAGCACTGTACTTATATGGAGTTATGCTACTGGTCATTGACCAAAAGATTGAAGGAGAAGTCAGAGAGAGGATGCTGGTTTCTTACTACCGATACAGGTATTCCTGGGCTAGGACTACACTTCCGAAACGCTGCTGTCGGTAAAATGCAGTGTATGTCCCCATATTCCTTATACTGTGAACAGCAGTAATCCAAGAATAGATAAGAAAGTATACGATTCAGCCGGGCACAGTGGCTAACGCCTGTAATCCCAACACTTTTGGGAGGCCAAGGCAGGCAGATCATCTGAGGTCAGGAGTTTGATACCAGCCTGGCCAACATGGTGAAACCCTGTCTCTACTAAAACTACAAAAATTAGCCAGGCACGGTGGTGGGCGCCTGTAATTCCAGGTACTCAGGAGGCTGAGGCAGGAGAATCGCCTGAACTCGGGAGGCGAAGGTTGCAGTGAGCGAAGATCATGCCACTACACTCCATCCTGGGTGACAGAGCGAGACTATGTCTCAAAAAAAAAAAAAAAAAAAGTAAGATTCTTATGTCTTGTGAGCATATTGTAGGTATATAACAATTACATATTTCATAATGATTATAAATTATATAATCTATGTATTACATATCAAGTATTCTATATATTATAGATTATTAGAAGTATGGATTATGCTGTCCCTAATGATAACTCCAATTTTAAAAAGGAGTCTGAATTGTGAACTTTCTTTACCTTGAGGCTAAATTTCAAAGAATCTTAGAAATCTAATGAAGATTATTTTTGCTTTTGTTGTTTAAGTTTTCAAATATTACTCCTTGGCAGATATAAGGAAATAAGTGTGCTTTCTGTTGTCATTTCAGTTTGATGACTTTGAAAAGTTGTCATTCAGAGTCAGGTTGAAAGTGAATTCTCTCCCATGTTTACATAGAAACAAAAACAAATCAAGCAACAGCACATATCCACAAATCATTTGTTGTGTTTATCTATACAGAACTGTGATTCTTCAGGAAGTAAGGTCTTGAAAACAGGAGCCACCTTAACCAACTTTTTAATTTTAGTGTCTAACGCACAGATTTTCAATTGGTTGAATGAGCTAAAAATGGAATACCAGGTCAATGTCGGAGATAGTCAAGATTCAGAGAAGAAACTGTCAAGAAGGAGGAGTCAGGAGCTTGAGCTAAAGATGTAAAGAGTAGAATTAACATTTTCAAACTTAAAAATTAGGACAAAGTAGACAAGGAGAAGGGGGTTCTTTGGGGACATTATACTTTTCGGCAATACCAGGTACTACTGTGTCCTCAGCAGCAAATTAGTCTTAGGCTCCTCAACTAGCCTTTTCCTTTCAGCTGAAGGGAGTGTTCTAGCAGTGTTCATTCATGTCAGTTTGACCAAGCTGTTTTAACATCCATGTTTTTAAAAATGAGATTTGAATGGCCTTTCCTATATTTCTGAGAGTACCTGGAAAAACAAAAACTATACACAGTGTAAAGAAGAAGAAAAAAATATTGGCTTATGAAGCCCAGTTTTGAAAATATGGCTTTGTCCCCTTTGGTACAACAGCTAATTCATTAGAATGTGAGCATTTATTATTGAAGTGACACTGAACACTTCCAAGTCACAGTCGTGGCAAAAGAGATCCTTACAGCAAATAGCAGGTCATATCCAAGTCTAAGATTCTTTGAATCTAGTTCATTTCTTTCAGAGCTTACTATTCCACCCGGAAAAATCACAGACCTGTTTATTAGATCTCTGTAGAAGGAACAGCTTGCCAAGAAAAAAGTTAGATATATTTTACTTTAAATTGACATAATATTTTTAAATTATTTTTTAATTTGTAAAATGTCAGGTTCACATTCTTTACCCACAATTTTCAAATCCAAAGAGCTCTGAAAAAATATATATACACGAGTATACACACAACACACATGTACATATACATAGTAATTCATTTGGCAGCAAAACCTGATGTAAGCTGAAATCATTTGGAGTCAAAACTTGCCTGGAATAGGTGTGAGGCTATATATAGTCTTCACTTATCTCACTTTTGTAAATATTTATAAATTTTCCTCCAGAATTATTCACTTATGTTGATCATGAGATGCCAATTCAGACCCTGCTGGAGTGTTGTATTGTGTATGATCTATATGCCATATGACTCTTACTATTTGAAAAATGCTATATTCCGAAACAAATCCACTCCTAAGGATTTTGGAAAAGGGATTATGGACCTTTACATAGTATGAATACCCATCTTCTAAACAGGCTTTCAAAAATATAATTTTGAGGCCGGGCACAGTGGCTCACACCTGTAATCCCAGCACTTTGGGAGGACAAGGTGGGTGGATCAGTTGAGGTCAGACATTTAAGACCAGCCTGGGCCAGCATGGTGAAACCCCATCTCTACTAAAATACAAAAATTAGCCAGGCACGGTGGCAAATGCCTGTAGTCCCAGTTACTCAGGAGGCTGAGGCAGGAGAATTGCTTGAACCTGGAGGCAGAGGTTGCAGTGAGCTGAGATCACGCCACTGCACTCCAGCCTGGGTGACAGAGCAAGACACCATCTCAAAAAAAAAAAAAAAAAAAAAAAAGGTTATATATACATACATAGCGAGACTCCATCTCAAAAAAAAATGTATATATATATATATATATATATACACACACACACACATATATATACACATAATTTTGAATCTTGAGGATATATTGAGGATATAGATGGACCTGTGATCATATCTGAAACTATATTGAGTCAAAGTAGAATGGAATTCTACTTTATTGGACTTTTCAGTTTCTAATATGTGTGTTTTGGGTCTTTGTTTCCCATTGTGAATATGACTCAGTGCTGCTCGATCTTCTGCTGATTCAAATATGGACGATATTTGTAAGCTGCTTCGAAGTACAGGTTATTCTAGCCAACCAGGTGCCAAAAGACCATCCAACTATCCCGAGAGCTATTTCCAGAGAGTGCCTATCAACGAATCCTTCATCAGTATGGTCATTGGTCGACTGAGATCTGATGATATTTACAACCAGGTGGGAATTAAATCTATTAAGACCTATTAAGACAGTTTAACAGACTGATTTCACTTCCCTCTTTAATTACTCCTTTCCTTCCTTCTTTCCCAAAAGAGTAAAAGCAGGTAGAACCTTTTAAAACCTTTTGAGCTACACCCCAGGATGATAAAGGAAAGAGGGTTATTAATTTTGCCAGAATCATATATTTCAGGGAGAAGATGGAATTTGAGCTATTGGGAAGAAGATGCATTCTTTTAGTCATTCATTCAAGAAATGGTTGTTGAGTATGTGATACGTGCCCATTCACATGCGCAATGCTGGGGACCCATCACCGAAGAAGACAGGCCATGTCCCTGCCCCTACTGAGCTTGTAGCTTAGGAAAGGCAGATGACAGGATTATAGTAAAGCAAGATGGGTGTTATCTTAGGGTAAGCACAGGGTGCCACTGGAGCATGCAGCAGTGGCAGCAAGGTCACAACAGGTGACAAAAGGAAGGTAAGAGGAGTGCCAGGAAAGGAGGCAGCCTGAGCAAGGCTGTGAAGATCATGCAGCATTTGAAAATCGCCCCACTCCCCTTGCCAGTATGTGTAGTAGTCACTTCCTTTTAAAAAACGCCAAATAAAATTACCATTTGACTTCATTCTTCTGAAGAAAACATAATTTTAGATGTTATATATTTAAATATTTGTAAAAATTATAATTAGGGAGTAAAGAGGCCTGTGATAACTGTGGATATCATTTATCACAGAATGAACCTGATCTGTGCAGTTCTTTAGGTAGCTTGTTAGTTTTTTGTGTGAATATGTTAAGTATAAATAAGAGGGTTTTTGTTGGTGGTGTTGTTGTTGTTGTTTTAAGACAATTCAAAATCAGAAGCTACCCACAGATGCCAGGTCTCCATAATAATTGTTGCCATTCATTGAGAATTCAGTCCAAACCAGCCACAAAGGAGGTTTTGTTCCCATACCATTTTCTCTGTTCCTCACAATAGCCCTGTAAAGTAGATGGCATTATCCCCCATGTTGCTGTTGAGAAGAATAAGACTTGGAGAGCTTAAATAATTTCCTTAAATTCCTGTTACTAAGTAGCAGAACCATAACTTGAATTTGGTCTGTGTCAATTCAGAGCATCTCATTCCTGATTGCCTCTCATTCCACGTCCTTCTGAAGGCAATGTGCTTCCATTTCCTCCTTGCCCCATGATCTTTATTAGCACAAGGGTTAAGCTGTGATTGTGCTGTGTGTCCACCCCACTCTCTGTCCTGCACCTCCCCCATCCCTGGTCATGGGTGATGGAACAGATTCTGTCTCCAGGTAATTTGGAATTGGGCCTGAGAAACAGTTTCTGGATTGGAGTTTATCCACAACATGCAAAATTGGGAGTTTGTGGGCAGCCTCATTCTGCCATGTATATGGCGAGTAGCCTGGAGGGAGAGAAAAGGTGGGCCAACACATCAAGGGGAGAAAGAGCGAAGGCATTCCGGTTCCCAGCCCCAGCCGCTTCCTGTGGCCTGGCCACATACCTGCCTGCAGGTTTCATGTGACATGGCTATGTCTGCCCTTATAACAATTTCTCTCCTTTTTGCTTGTGGTAGCTCAAGGTGATATGTGCTTTGTGCATCCAAAGATTTCTAGTACGTGAGGGGATGAACCCCTGGGGAACACCAACATTTAAAAGGCAGAAGATGAGGACTCAGCAAAGGAGATTGAGAAGAGAGAGTGGTATCTAGGAAACCAGAGAAGGAGAGATTTCATTCCTCAGAGAATTTAAGTGAGAGTCTTAAAAAGAAGCCGTTGAATTGGATGGTTGTGAGGTCATGAGCGACCGTAGGGAATTCCACTGGGATGATGATGGAGGTCGAATTTCAGTGAGTTGAATAATAAACAGAAAGTGAGAAAATAGCAACAGTGAGTGGAGCCTGTCAGTTCTAAGGGTTGTCTCCAACAGGAAAGATACAAAAATGGAGAAGTGGTGGGAGACACAGGAATGGGACTTTTTTTTTTTTTTTTTAAGAAAAGACTTAGAATTGCAGCGGTCAAGGGCTGGAAGAAGAGAATATTATGGTGTTAGGAATAAGAAGGAAGACCTTGGCAAGCAATGGTACAGTCTGAGAAGGGCTTCCAGTGTCCAGGATCCTGAAAGGTGATGGGCTTTGGAAAAACTGATGTGTCTTACAACCAGAGAGTTTAATTTGAGCATGTCTACGTGCAAATGTTGCCAACAGCTTTCTCGGGGTGTCGTCTTGACATTGCAGGTCTCAGCGTATCCTTTGCCGGAGCATCGCAGCACAGCCCTGGCAAACCAAGCTGCCATGCTGTACGTGATTCTCTACTTTGAGCCTTCCATCCTTCACACCCATCAAGCAAAAATGAGAGAGATAGTGGATAAATACTTTCCAGATAATTGGGCAAGTATTGCTAATTTTTTTCCTCTACAGTAAATGTGTTAGAGAACTAACTTCCCATTCTTTTGGCCTTTAACCCACAGGTTGTAATGTTGTAAATAATGGGACATAACATCACTTAGGTAAACTTGCTCTAACTGTATTGAGAATTTTATAATTATAACATGAAGGAATAAATGAGTCAGTAAAACTTCCTGAAGAACCCACTAGTCTTTTTCTAAAATGGATACTCTCAAGATTAAATCATTTATTAAAATGTCTCTTGCTTTAGCTACTGAGATTACAACTAAGTTGTGTAAGAATTTATTTATTCTTTTCCATTTTCTGAATCTAAGATAGCCAAATTCATCTAATTTGTCACTTTGTGAATAGGAATTTCACTTTAATAATAAAGTTTTACCTATAAGCTAACTGTAATGGGGTTACTAAAGTTTATATTATTGCAAGGATATGCTTGTACCTTTGTAAGCATTGTTTCATTTAAAAATATTCTTATAGGAATAAAGCTTGCTTCATAATATATATGAAATGAAATATATGAAAACAAAGAGGCTTTAACAAAATGCAGGGAGTTGGATTATATTCGCATGTAGCAGATTTTGTTCTGCTTCTATATCGGCTGTTGAATCACATAAACTATCGTTATGAGGGGCCTTCAATTTATTGGTAGTATGAGAACAGCCTACATTAGGAAGTGGTGGTTCCTGGCCAACTGTGAATCATATTAGTGAGCTCAGAGTTGAGCAGCCAAGAGGAAAACACTGATAGTGTGGCTTCAGGTTCCTAAGTTTAATAAAGAAGTTTTGACCATGATACTATAATTAAAGACATATTTATTATTAAGAAAGACCAAAATCCAATTACATGAAACCTGTAAGATACACACCTGAAAAAATACCCTAGCACAGTGAAAATGAAGGGATTTTAAAAAAAGATATCCCAGGCAATTGCCAACCAATAAAACAACTGGTGAGAAAACATTAATATTACACAATAGAGAATTTCAAAAAGCAACGTTAATAGGTGTAAAGAGATCTTTATACCTATTAACGTGAATTAACAATCAGGAACACTTACTTAACAATCAGGAACACTTACCTATATATTTGGAAAATCTTGGTTTTTCATTGGAATGGAATTTAAACATGGAGTGGGTATTGCCTTCTATAACTTTAGTATTCAACCCTTTGCCTTGAAGTGAGTAGGAATTTAACAAATTCTGAATGTCTCCTCTTTCAGGTAATTAGTATTTACATGGGGATCACAGTTAATCTAGTAGATGCTTGGGAACCTTACAAAGCTGCAAAAACTGCTTTAAATAATACCCTGGACCTTTCAAATGTCAGAGAACAGGTAGGTTCTAATCTGGGGACATTCTCTGATAACTGCAGGCCTAGTTTATGAAGTAGCAAATAAGCTAAGTAGATTTCCCAAGGAATTTGGAAGATAATCACTTAGATAATTTAATGCAATGATTAATAAAAGGTGAATTTTATAGGTTAGAATAAGATAGGTAATTGTAGGTTTTGTTATATAGTATATGTAAATTGAAGATTAGGATCCCAAGGAAGAGTCAGTACCCTAAGACAAAGAAGCATGGCATATGCCCCAAATGACTTAGTTTACTTTTGCTTAAAGACTATATTCTCATGGCCAGAGTTGGTTGTACCAATAGCTGGAATTAATATGTTTTTATAAGTAGGATGAATGATGAAGATGATAACTGAATATGGATAATATGTCCTGTCACTGTAATTTAAATTTATCATTTGTGTTGTGCTAAATAAGCAACAAGACTCAAGACATTCATCTTAAAGGTTAAACGGTTATATTCTATCTCTTTTGTTCTTACACAAGGCAGAAGGGAACATCCAAGTAAGTAGAGGAATAAAGATAAAATCTTGGGGAGCATACTTGATATTTCTAAATGGTTATGTTCCTCATCCTGGCTCAGTTACTGAGTTTCCTGTGTGGATAAAACAATATTGACTCAAAAAACTTCATCATGTTTTATTCAAGTAAATTGAATTCCATAAATAATGCACAAAATAATTTCAATGTTGGCACATCTCCTAGAAATATATTAGAGAAAGTGGCACTTTTATACTTAGCAACATCAGATCATTAATTTTTCATTGCTAAAATCCCTTTCTAAAATTGCATTTTCTCATTTGTGACATTTTTAAGAGGTTTCTTGATACCACAGATTTCAACTAACTTGATGAGGTTAATGATGTTTAACATTTGACTTCCTTTAAGTAAAGCAGAATGACCAAATTTTCCAAAAAGCTGGTTTGGAAATTCATTTTTGATATACTAAGGTGTATTTTTTGCTAAGCTTTCATAAGCCTGTAGAAGAAGTCTTATATTTTAAGTGTTTCTGCTCTGTTCTGCCTTCTTTGTCAACAGTATTAGCAAGAACAAGCAATTGAACTTCTGTCTTTATTTTCTTTTTCATCTAAGTTAATAATAGAAGAGTTCTGAGGAACCACCTGGTCCAAGTCTCCGTTTGAAATTTGAAGAAACCAATACACAGGGGTTAAGCCCCAAGTCACACCAAAGTTTAATCACAGCCAGAACTAGGATGTAGTCTCAGAATTCTAAGTCCAGTGCTTTTTTCAAATATGTTCAATAAGCCAGTTGTCTTTGAGCCCAATAAGTATAGTCCATATGTTATTCATCTTATATAGAAATGTTATCTTTGAGCCCTAGAACTATAGTCCATATGTCATTCATCTTATATAGAAATTACATAAAAATGTTAATGTTTGAGCCCTATAACTGTAGTCCATATGTCATTCATCTTGTACAGAAATTATATAAAAATGTTAAAGTTTGAGCCCTATAACTGTAGTCCATATGTCATTCATCTTATAGAAATGTTATCTTCGAGCCCTATAACTGTAATCCATATGTCATTCATCCTATATAGAAATGTTACTATTTGTCAGTGAATTCATTTGAATGTGATTTATTTTCAAGATAAATGACTTTTTAAATGTAATTCAAGTTTCTTATTTGTCAAGGCAAGCAGATATGCTACTGTCAGTGAAAGAGTGCATGCTCAAGTGCAGCAATTTCTAAAAGAAGGTTATTTAAGGGAGGAGATGGTTCTGGACAATATCCCAAAGCTTCTGAACTGCCTGAGAGACTGCAATGTTGCCATCCGATGGCTGATGCTTCATACAGCAGACTCAGGTAATGCACAAAAGGGGTGGCCGTTTATATTACTCCACATAAAGACTCTCAGAATCAGGACCTACTTCACGATGCAGAGTGGTTTAGCAGGGAGAGAGGCCTTGGATGAGAATCAAGTTGCTTTTTAAAGTTAGTCATTTTTTGTCAACTTGGATAGGCCACTAGCATACCTGAAAAGCTCTCCCCTGTCAGGTACTGTTAGGTGCTAGGGAATAAGAGGATGTTTATCTCTCATGTTCAAGGAGCTTGTCACTGATCAGAATGGGGAGATCAAATGTAGACATATGAAAAAATAGAACTGCAGATCTGTGGTAGGCAGAATAGTGCCTTCCAGCCCACACCCAGAGATGTTCATGCCCTAGTCCCTGAACCGGTAGATATATTACATGAAAAAGGGGGATTGAGGTTGCCTATTAGCTGACCTTTAAGGAGATGTTTCTGGATTATCCCAGTGGACTCAGTGTAATCATAAGGGTCCTTGCTGTGTGTGGTGGCTCATACTTGTAATCCCATCACTTTGGGAGGCCAAGGCAGGAGGAGAGCTTGAGCCCAGGAGTTCAGAACCAGCCTGGGTAACACAGTGAGATCCCATCTCTACAAAAAGTAAAAAAATTAGCTGGGCATGGTGGCACACACCTGTAGTCCCAGCTACTGGGGAGGCTGAGGTGGGAAGATCACTTGAGCCTGGGAGGTTGCAGCTGCAGTGAGCCAAGATCATGCTACTGCACTGCAGCCTAAGTGACAGAGCAAGACCACGTCTCAAAAAAGAATAATAAAATAAGAGCCCGCCCCCCCCCCCCACTTTTTTTTTTTTTTTAAGACAGGATCTCAAGTTCCCCAGGTTTGAGTGCAGTGGCACAATCTCAGCTCACTCAGACCTCCTGGGCTCAAGCGATACAACTTCCGCAATCCCCGCAAGCAGCTGGGACTACAGGTGTGTGCCATCATGCCTGGCTAAGTTTTTTGTATTTTTTTGTAGAGACAGTGTTTCACTGTGTTGGCCAGGGTGGTCTCAAACTCCTGAGCCCAAGCAGTCTGCCCACCTCGGCCTCCCAAAGTGCTAGGATTATAGGTCTGAGCCACCATGCCCAGCCTGTAAATATAGGGGTCCTTAAATCAGGAAGAGGGAGGTAGAAGTGTCAGAACCAGAGAGATAGCATTGTGACAAAAACCTGACTGGCCATTGCTGGCTTTAAAGATGGAGGGGGCCACAAGCCAAGGAATACAGGCAGCCTTTAGCTGCTGAAAACAAGAAAACAGACTTTTCCCCTAGAATGTCCAGAAGGAGCCCAGCGCAGCCATCACCTTGATTTTAGCCCAGTGAGCCCCATCTCAGATTTGTCACTTCTGGGATGGTGAGAGAATAAATTTGTGTTGTTTTAAGCCACTGAGTTTGTGGTAATTGTTAAAGCAGCAGCGGGAAACTAATTCAAGGTCCAAGGCAGTAAACAGACACCAGGTGTGTCAAACAGACAGTTGGTGTGATTTGAGTTCAGAGTAGAGAGGGAAACATTGCTTGGGATAGGGGAGCAGAGGAGGTCAGGAAACCCCATACAGGAATCAGGAGCCAACCAGGCGTGTGATGAGGTTTTGAAGCAAAAAGCAGAAGAAATTCTAGACTACAGAAATGATGGAATAAGTGATACGATTTTGAAAGTACAGAAAAACATATGGGCCCACTGAGTTGATGACCTGGCTGGACCAGAGTGCTTATTTAAGGTAGATTGGATCTTAGCTTTTTATGAGTCATGGTCTCCTCCGAGACCTTCTGTTCACACAGTTTGACCATCAAGTTCAGATTGTGAGAAATGCTTCAACCTCTGGTTTAATGGTAGAAAAATAAGTAAGTTGAATTAACATCTCTGAGCTTGTTCAGGGCTGGCACAGTTTCTTATTCTTCGTAAATGCTGGATCAACACTAATTAACCAATGCATTCCCTCATCCAGGACTGTATACCCCTACCCCTAAGAGGTGTGTCATTCAGCAGGCCTGTGAAGCCCTCTGCTTTTTGTTTTTCACTCAACAAACTTTCCTTGAGGACCAACTCTGAGACAGGCACTGTGTGCAGCACTTCTTTGTTCTTCCAGATAAGACTGTGTCTCTTTAAAAAACTGTGCACACAAGACTTCTCTGTAGCCTTCCTTTGTAACATGGTAGCCCCTGTCTCACAGCTCTTCCAGCCAAGATGACTTCACAGTCCTTCTAGCTACCGTCTGCTTCCACTTCCTATGGGTGGTCCACAGTGAAAACAGCAGTTGGACTTCCTCATCCTTCGTATCTTTGAAAATGTGTGGAGTTTCCCCTCAGCCTTCTCTCCAGCTTCTTAAACCTTTATCCTGAGAGCTGCTTTCCAGTTTGTTTCATCATCTTGTTTGTTGGCCTATATCCATTTACAATTTACCCACAGTATGAACACGATGGCTGAAGTTTTTAATCCCTGAATCTGTTTTTAATTAGTTGAGTTTATTTTTTACATAAACTCCAGTTCTAATTTGAGGATTTTACTACATTGACTCAGCTTTTAATCTTCTTTACCAAAAGTCTTGCATTCACAAGCGTATAAACAACTCAAGCCCTCACTTTATCCTGTCATAAAACCAACTGGGGTTTTCTAGTGACTCAGCCTCATCTTCATCTTCTGTGTGACTCTGCCTGACGGCCCTGTCTATGTTCGGAAAGCCGGCAGTCTCCTGAATTCGCACCCATGCCAGGGACAACCTTGGCTTGCCAGAGGTCTGTGGTTTTATCTTCAGCCACATTTGTCTTTTGCGTTTGTGCCTGGCAATTGTCTGACCTGATTGCACAGGGTCGTAATTTATCAGAAACAAATGATTGACCTATCTGATTGTGAGTCACACATGGGAAAAGCAACTGCTTAGTTAACTTTTGTGGAATTTCAGTCATGGTGTTCAGAAAAGCAGGCCTAGTCTCATTGCCTCCTGTTGAGTTGCTGGAGGCATTTCCCAGTCTTAGGATGCTTGTACAGAACCTTGTAAAGAAATATTCTCTGAGGAAATAAGGGATGAGAAAGGCTGGCTGGCTACTGAAGTTTGACCCCAAAGTTCTGATGGCTCTGCAGTTCTCTGGGTATGAATCCTTAAGGGTCAGATCTGAGAGAGATGGTCAGGCCCTGGGAACCCCAGAAGCAAACCTGGTTTATACCAAGAAGCTAAATGTTAAAGCACATTGAGGAATACAGAGTGTTTGTCCAACAACTGGGTACTTAAACATTCCCTATGCAAACATGAAAGCAGATTAAAATCAGGAGATTTCTAGTTTAATTAAAATTAGTATAAAGACAACTGGAGCTCCTTCTGAGTTTGTTTGATTTTTGTTTAGTTAGGTAAATATGGAGCTGAAAATTTTCACTTTGTGTAATCAGTGTCACCAGTTCCAATATATTTCTTCCCACATAGTTCTGGCAAATTCATGAAAAATCAGAACTTTGCAGTTTCCCATGAAAACTGAGCCTCTTTTCCAGGTTGTCACGAGTCTCCTCCTGATGGAGTAACTTAGAAATCAGCATATAAGATGACCTTCCACAGGCTTCATCATAACTAAAGCAACAAAACCACCCATGACATATACATATATCTATACAACATTGTTGTTCTGTACCTGCCAGACATCCTGAGATATTGATGGGGGCAGGACTAGGAAGGCAGGAGGGGGCACATGTAATACTAGTGTAACTACCATATACCTTATACCTATCAGCTGTGAACTTTTTGACAAAGTCTGTTTAAGTCTTAGAGTTTTTATTTTGACTTTATTTGTCTTAGTTCATTTTCTGCTGCTATAACAGAATACCACAGAGTAGGAAATGTATAAAGAAGTTTATTTGGCTCATGGTTCTGGAGGCTGGGAAGTCCAAGAGCATGGTGCCAGCATCTAGCAAGGGTCAATATATGCCAGATAGGCAGAAGGGCAAGATAGTGGGTGCAAGAGAGAGCTCACTTTTATAGCAAAGCCACTGTTGGAATAACTAACCCACTCCCAAGATAATGGCATTAATCCATTCATGAGGGTGGACCCCTCATAACACAATTGCCTGCCAAGGGCTCTACCTCTTAACGCTGACACAATGGCAACCAAGTGTCTAACATGTGAACTTTTGGAAGACGCATTGAAACCGCAGCAGTAGCTTTGCCTTGTAAGTATTTTGCCTTATTCTACTTACTCTTTCTTAGATAAGTAATTGGCCTTATAAACCAATCTAAGCAAATATCAATATTTTTTATTCTATTCTTTTAACTTGGCGTTTATTTCATTTGAAATGGTTTAGCTTGGCAGATAGGATCATCTAAGAATTAGGACATCCAGTATTTTTACCTTGGGTCAATCACTGCCTAATTTTGTGACCTTGGCCTAGTGCCTGGGTAGTGGATAGTTCAGAAAACTCTGACTGCCTGCCATGCCCTCTGGCCTCTACAAGAAGCAGGATGGCCAGAGGTCTGCTGCTTCTTGTTTGGGGGTCCCTCATCTTTGTGTGAGGAACCCTTCCTTGTTGTGTCGGGCATTCCCCACGACCACTCTGGCTTCAGTGATTCACTACAGGGACACAGAGGACTCAGCATCTAGTAGTACTCACAGCTATGATTTATTATAGCGGAAGGATAGAAAGCAAAATCTGCAAAGGAAAAGGGCACACGGAGTGAATTTGGAGGAATGAGGCACAAGCTTCCGAGCATCCTCTCCCAGTGGAGTCCCACAGGGCACACTTAATTCCCCCAGCAGTGAGTCATGACAATGCATATGAAGTGTTGTCAACCAGGAAGGCTCATTAGACTCAGCTTCCTTCGGTTTCTATTGGGGGCTGCTTACATAGGTAGCCTCTGCCCAGCATGTACCAAAATTCCAGACTTCCAGAAGGAAAACGTTGTTTGTACAATCATTTAAGGCTTAGTGAGCTGATCTTGTGAGTTCTCAAAATGATGGCAGCTCTTCGTGAAATTCAAGTTCCCAGATGCCAGCCAAGAGCCAACCTTGCAAACAGGCCTCTCTAGGGATAGCAGTCCGTTACTGAATGGCAGGGATCAATGTCTAAAGCAAAAGCAACTCCGAACAGACAGGACGTGAGGAAGCCACCCAGCTATGAAGTAGTACAAGGAGGCTCTGCCCATTCGTTTTAGACAGTTGCTATAAACAAACCGCAGAATGCTCACAAAATTTGGAAACACTGTTCTGCAGCTTGCTTTTTGTCATTCAACAATCTTTCAAGGATGGCACTCCATGTCAGATTCAACTGTCATTTAACAGTTTAATTGTACTCCATGGCATAGATGTACTATATTTCACCATCTTTTATTGATATACATTTTGCTTATTACTTTTTAAATGGTTAAAATGAAGGAAAATATTTAATAATTTATCTTATTTCATAGATATTTTCTACACATTTAGTAAGCAGGTAACACTTTTCCTGTTTCTAGCCTGTGACCCAAACAACAAACGCCTTCGTCAAATCAAGGACCAGATTCTAACAGACTCTCGGTACAATCCCAGGATCCTCTTCCAGCTGCTGTTAGATACTGCACAATTTGAGTTTATACTCAAAGAGGTAAAAATATTTGAATGAATATCACCACAGTCTTAGCTTTTTTATGCTTAAAAATATTTTTTAAAAAAAAGACTAGGATTGCTTGCTCTGTCTCTGATTCAAGGTACAGATTTGAGCTGTTGAGATAGTTCTTATAGTTAAAGGACAGGAATAAACATTTAACAAGCCTGTAGTGCCTCCTTTCACTGGGGATACAGTGATGGGGAAAGGTACTCAAGATGGTAGAGGTTATAGCCTAATGGGGAATATAGACATTAATCAAAGAATCACACTAGGCCAAGTGCAGTGGCTCATGCCTGTAATCCCAGCACCTTGGAAGGCCCACGTGGGCAGATCACCTGAGGTCAGGAGTTCGAGATCAGCCTGGCCAGCAGGCTGGTGAAACCTCATCTCTACTAAAAATACAAAAATTAGCTGGGCATGGTGGCACACGGCTGTAGTCTCAGCAACTGGGGAGGCTGAGGCATGAGAATCACTTGAACCTGGGAGGCGGAGGTTGCAGTGGGCCAAGATCGCACCACTGCACTCCAGCCTAGGCAACAGAGTGACACCCTGTCTCAAAAAAACAGAATCACACTAATAAAAATGTAAATATGAACTCAGATATTTGCTCTGAAGGAAAGGAATGTAGTTCTCCAGGTACCTAGAATAAAGTATCCTGTTGCATCCTGGTAGACTTCCATGAGAAGAGACGCAAGAGCTTCTGAAGGGGCCTGGGGAAGGGATCTGTTAGTGTTAGGTAGACAAAGGTAGGGAGCGTGATGGAGAACATTCCAGGGACAGGAAGAATATCAAGTCGTCTTTGGTGAGGAGGAACATAAACAATTCAAAGACCTGAAAGACCAGTTGGCTGGAGGAGAGAGAGTGAGAGAAAGGTAGTGTGAAATGAGGCTGAAAGGTAGGCAGGAGTCAGCCCATACTAGGCCTTGCAGGACTTTGGTCTTTATCCTAAGAGCCATGAGAACCACTGGAAAGGGTATTAACTGGGGTGGGTGATTTGCATTTGTACAAGGTCATCTTGAGGACTTCAGGCATCTGAGTTCACTGAAGGAAATGCTGAGGTTAGTCTTACCTCTGAAGAAGCCTGTATGGGCATAATAAAAATGATGGGTACCTGGGAATGCTCAGGTTTTATAACCAGTATCCCTGGGGGCTTGGATCAGGTGGGCCCAGGAACTAGCCCAGACATTTATACCCATTCGGAACAGATCCTCATCTTGCTTCAGTATGGTTACTAGTATATTAGATGTTTCTTTATCTTCTAGGTTTCTGAGGATACTATATTCCCCTACTAAGTAGCTCAGAAAAAATAGATACTGACTGCTAACATAATGATAATGCCTGTGCTTAGTGTTTTCAGTGATTTGTCTGGGCATAATTTTATCAAATCAGATAAATGCTGCTCCTTTTTGATCTATTAATAATTTTAATGGTTTCCCTCTGAATAGCAAATAGTTATTGAATACCTACTCTGTTCTTTGCCAGGTGCTGGAAATTTAAATATGAACAAAATGTGTCCCTACCGTCTAGGAGCTGCCCTGTCAGTATAGTGAGGGAAGAAAGACAGATTAAGCCAAGATGAGAAAACAGGAAAGATCCAAGAACAGGAACCAGGTCAAAGCAAAAGTGGCCTTTCAAAGGCAAATGAAAAAATGCCCGCAAGGAAGAAATGCCCAGTCGAGTGCAGTGGCTCACACCTGTAATCCCAGCACTTTGGGAGGCTAAGGCGGGTGGATCACCTGAGGTCAGGAGTTCGAGACCAGTCTGGCCAACATAGCAAAACCCCATCTGTACTAAAAATACAAAAATTAGCTGGGTGCAGTGGCGCGTGCCTGTATTCCAAGCTCTTCAGGAGGCTGAGGCAGGAGAATCACTTGAAAACACAGGCAGAGGTTGCAATGAGCCGAGATCATGCCACTGCACTCCAGCCTGGGCAACAGAGCAAGACTCTGCCTAAAAAAAAAAAAAAAAAGGAATGAAAGAAATGCCCTCAGACCAGTTAGAATTATGAACTAGAGCCCCAGGGACCCAAGAGTTCTATAGATAATATGTAGTTCAGCATTGTTGAGTGGAAATCAGGACAGACCTAGGCTATCTGACTGACCAAGCCTGTATTTCTAATGATAAGTCTGTTCTCTGGAATCTATTGAAACAGAATGGACAGCTTCCTTCTGTCTATCCAGGTAGACAGGAAACAAGACAGCATAAAGGAGTACCACCTCATTAGAGGTCTTCAGGAAAGCTCTGGTAAAAAGAAAAAAAAAATACCCAATACAAATTGCTCAAAGAAATGATACATTTGAATTTCTGACATTTCAGCTGGGTTCTTTAACCTGTGCTTCCTCTGTCCTACTTCCCATCCTGCACAGTTCATAGAGTCACTTTCTGACTATCCTATAGACACAGTAATTGGACCTGTGTTTTTTCTAATCTTTATATGACAGCACATTTCCTAATTCAGGGACCATCCCCTATCCCAAATTCCATCCTGTGAGATGTGAAACCTGTGAGTTCATGTGAATGAGTGTTTGAAGGGCTTGACGCCATGTAGTCTCTTACGAAGGCTTCAGGGTGCTCTTATGTTGTTGCTTTGCCATTATCAAATGGCATTGATTGATCCGAGGGACTCAGAAAGTTAGGGTAGACTCTATAAATAATTTCATTATTCCTCATCCTCTCCGTCATCATTTTATTGGTTAGTCATTCTGCCAGATCACTAAGATTCTTCCTCTACAGGCCCCGCAAAATTCCACAGAGCCCTGATTCTCCACCTGCAGATGGAGTCTCCCTATCCCATTGCTCAGCTTTTCAAGATTTATTATGATGCTGGCAAGTGAGGAATTTCTTAAGCGAGAAATCAGAGTTCATGCCTGTTTACCTCCTAAGAGCCCGGTGTAAAAGACCATCTACCCTTGTCTGAGATGGCGTGTCCTTTAGTGAGAAATAAGTATGTTTTTTAAGTTTGTTTCAGAAAAAAAAAAAACCCAACCCTGAGTTACACCCGTTTCTTCTCTGCCCAAGACTTTGTAGAATTTAAATGTTATGAAGGAGTGAATTAATAAACAGAATTAAGGCGGTACAGTGGCTCATGCCTATAATCCCAACAGTGTGGGAGACCAAGGAGGGAGGATCACTTGACACCAAGAGTTTGAGACACCAGCCTGGGCAACATAGCAAGGCCCCCATCTCTGCAAAAAAAAAAAAAATAAATAAATAAGAAAATTAACCAGGTGTAGTGGCGCATGCCCATAGCCCTAGCTACTTGAGAGGCTGAGGCAGGAGGATCACTTGAACCCAGGAGTTCAAGGTTGTAGTGAGCCATGATCACCCCACTGCACTCTAGCCTGGGCAACAGAGTGAGACCCTGTCTCTCAAAAACTAAATAAATAAATAACAATAAACACAATTACTTGTATAATAATAAATAAATAAATAAAAATAAACAATTAAACTTGTATAATAAAACAAAGAACTTTTGCAGGTAATCTAGTTCATTCCCCAGTCATTGGAGAAGGTAATACACAAACTGTCCCTGACTGTTTACGTTAGAATTGCAGACATTGTTGCCTAGAAGGAACCATAGAGCAGTGGTCACAAATTTAATCTCACATTAAAAATGCGGATTTCTGGCCCTATTCAAGACCGCCTGAACGAGAATCTTTGGGGGTGGGCCTTGAGAATCTGAAAACTTTAAAGCCTCCTGGTGGTGCTTATGTGCTGTTGGTGTTGGTGTGAGAACTACTGTTTTGGAGGTGGTCTGGCTTTGTCCCTGAATTTCTGCAAAGTATCAGTGCCTGAGGAGATGACATCAGGGTCAATGTTAATTTATAGTGTAGCTTCTTATTTAAAATTTAAATTGGGTTTCCTCAAGCTCTCTTCATAAGCTGCCTAGTCTGGATTTTTCTCTTAAGTAAATAAATATTTTCTGTTGCTTCAACAGATGTTCAAGCAAATGCTTTCAGAAAAGCAAACCAAATGGGAGCATTACAAGAAAGAGGGTTCGGAGCGGATGACTGAGCTTGCTGATGTCTTTTCAGGAGTGAAACCCCTAACCAGAGTGGAGAAAAATGGTAATTACTGAAGAGGAAATACTGGTGTGTTTGGAATGTGTGCACAGGTTATTTGAAACCTTGGAAACTGGCAGGTTAAAAAGACTTTATGTTCTCATTATTGTATCCTATGATATTCCATCTTTAGTGTTGCTAATAAAGATCTGAAGGTTAGTTTTGGCTGCGTCTAGCTCTCTGCTCTCTTGGGCAATGTTCATATTCATTTTAGAGTTCAGGTTTTATATCTTATCTTTGAAATGTGAGGTTATGCTAAACCAGGGGTTTTGGTAACTCCAGTTCATAGACAAGAGTTTAGAGAGTCACAGTTGGCCTCCATCTCCATGGTATGCAAAACTAATGTGTCAGTTTAGTGATTTGGGGAAAGGGGGGAAAGGATCTATAATTCTCATGATCTTCTCAAGAAGAATACGTCACCCAAGAATGTCATAATCTACCAGCATAGATGATATCTAAAATTCTTCTGATTTTGCTTGATTCTTGTTCACGAATGCACCTGCTATCTAGTAGCAGAAGAGGGTACTGCAGACTAGTTTTGAAAAAACACAAACTAAAATTTTACTTTAATGATTTTGATCCTACTTCTTCTAGGAAATTTTATTTATAGGAAAGTTCTGGCATCATTTCAAATTTTTTATAAATAAGAAATTTCTAACTGCTCCCAAAAAACCATTCTGAATTTTATGGTGACAAACTATTTTTTTAACGCTTAATTTTGTTTTAACTATCAGATCTATTTCTGATGAAGTTAATTATACTGTAGAATTGCTTAGTAGTGTAGCTTCTTGTTTAAAAACTATTATTTTTAATCAGTATGAGCTTGTGATTACTGTATTTTAGCTTTTGTTTATTTCTTTGATGCTGAGTGGTTGGTCAAAAATATATTTCCAAATTGTATTATTGTTCCTATAGGGAAAAGCCAGCCAACGTATAACGATGTGATATAAACTAGAAACATGTTTTGCAGGTCACCATATTGTGATATGAAACCTGAAGTCTAGAATGAATATTATGGTTATCATATTGTGACCTGCAAAACAATCACGTGTAACAATCTGACCCGGTTAGCTGCCTAGAATTAGTGCATTAATCTCTGTGATAGTGTCTTTTAGGCCCTTACAAATACCAACTTTGTTTCAGAGATGAAATAACAATTTTACATTTTTTTCCAGCTGTATAGTTTAATTACAGCTTAGGACATACTTTCACAGTTTTTTCTCATCCTTACAACCCTGTAAGATACACATCTTAATCCTTATTTTATATATAAGGAAACTGAGGCTTAAAAATGTAATCATTTGCTGAAGGTACAAAGGTGGAGAGCCTGGGTCTCACTCATCTCAGACCCCAAATTTCATGCTCTTTCTACTACTCCATCGCTGCCCCTCAGCCCTACAAAAATCTTCAAAAATGAGTGTTTGTCATGCCAATTCTTGAAATAACTTAGATCGTAAGTCTTTAAGGCCTTTTAATAACGTGGGACCACCCCATTGATAAACAAACAAAAAAAAAACTTTAGGGGATCAACTTGGTGAGGTAAAGAGCACAGAGTTTTTGAACCTGGACAGATAATTGTAAATCCTGGCTCTGCCATTTAGTCACCGTGTCACCCTGTATAGCATTCTCAGTCTCTCTGAGCATCAGCCTCTTTATCTGGGAAATGGCTAACAATTTCCACCTCCCTGTATTGCTATGAAGATCAAATACTTAGAACTTTGCCTGACACACTGAGGGTAATCAGAGCATGTGGACACCCTTCTCTTTCTCTACTGTATGAAATGTCTGCCGGTTCCTAAGTGCAAATGGCACCCCCTGCATTGTTCAGACATCCCTGTGACTCACCAGTCACACCTTACACTTCTGTCATATTGGTCTCTTCTTTGCCCTCCAAGATATGCTCTTGTCATTCTTGCCCTGAAGCCTCTGCCTGTGTCTGCCTTTCATCTGGATACAATTCCCTTCTTCATCTCTCCGATGATCTGATCTTTACTTTTCCTCGCTTCTCCAGAAAATTCTCCCTGGTAACTAGGGTCATCCTTCAGTTCCTTTCCAACTCTTCTCCACTGCCACCACCACCTCTACACTTTATAGCATGCACTTGAGCCTTTAGTATTTGTCTGCCAAGTGCTGTAGACTAAGCTATTTATGTAGAAAGTTTATTCTACTATGTCGCATGCTCCAGGCATTTTTGTCGTTTGGAAAATTCCTAGTGTTAGGCCCACGGTTAAAGCTCTGAAGAACTGAATTTATAAAAGATTATTTAGTTAAATTCAAAGCCACAGCTACAGGAATTCGAGGATTTCAGTATTTTCTTATTTCTGTATTACTAGAAAACCTTCAAGCTTGGTTCAGAGAGATCTCAAAACAAATATTGTCTTTAAATTATGATGATTCTACTGCTGCGGGCAGAAAAACTGTACAACTGATACAAGCTTTGGAAGAGGTAAGGAAACGCTTTTTAAATGCAGGTTCTTGGATCATGAATCACACCTTATGACCCACCCAGCAGTCTGTTCCTGTAAATATAGCTGAGAGACTATTTCATCAGAAGTAAAAGCGATGTGAATTAATATGTTTCCTGTAACGTATACTGTCCTAAATTTGGGGAAATAAATAACTAGTATGAAGAGAATGGTAGCAAAAATTACGATATTGTAACTTGAGGAAACATGTAATCTTAGAAACATAATTATAAAAATAATATAGAAACATTGGGCAAATTGTGATAAGGAGGTAAAAGCAAAAACAAAATTGCATGTGTATACCATTTTTAGGGTTGTAAAAAAGTGTGTGCCTTGGGGGAAAAAACCAGAAAGGAATACACAAAAATGAAAATAATTATATAATGGTCATATGCTTATAAGTGATATATTTTCTTTTCTGAAAAAAATAGTTTATTGTTTTTCTTTCAACTCAAAAATGATTGTACCAAAAAAATTATACCTCACCACTCTTAAATTTTAATTGTGTATTTAACTAGATTTAAAATGATAACTAAAAGCAGCAGAAAAATAATCATAAACTCTTTTTTTTTTTTTTGAGACGGAATCCAGTTCTGTCACCCAGGCTGGAGTGCAGGGGCACAATCTTGGCTCACTGCAACCTCCGCCTCCTGGGTTCCAGCGATTGTCCTGCCTCAGCCTCCTGGGTAGCTGGGACTACAGGCGCCTGCCACCATGCCCAGCTAATTTTGTATTTTTAGTAGAGACGGGGTTTCACCATGTTAGCCAGGTTGGTCTCAAACTCCTGACCTCAGGTGATCCACCTGCCTCGGGCTCTCAGAGTGCTGGGATTACAGGCATGAGCCACCGTGCCCGGCCAACTCTATTATTTAAAACATCATTTTTACTCATAATCTATAACCCTATCCAATTGGTATGATTATATATTTTTAGAGATATAATTAATACTGTTTTCACTTGGAATATTTTCTTACAGGCTTTTTCTTATTTCTGCAAGGTTTTTAGGATGGTCGCTATAAACAGCAACACAGTAAAATAATTCTACCAAAGTTTCTTATTCCAGAACAATTGCACACTTGTATTATTTCTACTTTGCTTGTTTGGATTTTTTTAGTCTATAATATGATCGTAAACAACTTTGTAAATCTCAAATGCTTTTTATCATTTGCCTTATTTATTTTGTCATATAACCCAGGCATCTTCAGTTATATACATTAAAATTTCAAGACATTGTAGAATCATTGTTTTGTTTTTAAAAGTGCATCAAAAGAACTTAATAATACACAAATTCCAACACATGGTTGTGATATACACAATAAGCAGCGGAACATTTTCTAATCCTAGAAACTTGTGCATTTTTTAATAGCTTGGCTCACGTTTCTGAAATTTATAATTTGAAATAAAAACTTTATCAAGAAATTGTCAGAAGTAGTGTGCTTTATTTGAAGTGTTTTCAAGAACAAATGAGCACCATAGAGTCCATTCAGGATTTTTAAATTAAGTATATTTCTGTAACACAGGTTCAAGAATTCCACCAGTTGGAATCCAATCTGCAAGTATGTCAGTTTCTTGCCGATACTCGAAAGTTTCTTCATCAAATGATCAGAACCATTAACATTAAAGAGGAGGTTCTGATCACAATGCAGATCGTTGGGGACCTTTCTTTCGCTTGGCAGTTGATTGACAGGTAATGTAGGCAGCCTGACATTTGCTGTAGATGAAAGGCCCTAGGAACATCTTCTTACCGTTTCTTTTCTTTTTACAGTTTCACATCCATCATGCAAGAAAGCATAAGGGTAAATCCATCCATGGTTACTAAACTCAGAGCTACCTTCCTAAAGGTAAGCAAAAAACAGTGAGATTCTCTGTTGCTAGGAAAGAGTTGGCCTTCATTCATACCTCATTCATTAATTCAGCCCAGGATTTTATCCTTTTAGGAAGGTAAATAATTTCAATATTTTTATAGACTGAAATTGTTAGCAGTTTTTCCACGAGAGCATAATTTCAAAGATTCCAGAAATATTTAAAGTTTTAATTAATGTAAGTTGGAATGTCTTCAGGAATACTATTTTTAGGTGAAGAATAGATTTTTTTTTAAGTTTTATCTGTGTACTAAAAATGTGAGTCCTTTGTGTCCTTTATTCCCTAGGCATGAATTAAGTCCTTTTACTTATTCATTCAAAAAATTACTGAGCCTCTGCTACAAACTAGTACTAATATCTACAGTAACAGGGAATATTGGTGAACAACAGGCACAGTCCTTGCTCTCATGGTAATTTCAGTTCGTGGTAAATGAACAAAGAGTCTACTCAGTGTCTTCTTCTTCTTCTTTTTTTTTTTGAGATGGAATCTCGCTTTGTTTCCCAGGCTGGAGTGCAGCTCCTCCTCCCGGGTTCAAGCGATTCTCTTGCCTCAGCCTCCCAAGTAGTTGAAATTACAGGTGTTCACCACCATGCCCAGCTAATTTTTACTATTTTTAGTAGAGATGGGGTTTCACCATGTTGACCAGGCTGGTCTTGAATTCCTAACCTCAAATGTTCCTCCTGCCTTGGCCTCCCAAAGTGCTGGGATTACAGGTGTGAGCCCCCACGCCCAGCCTACTCAATGTCTCCTGACAGAGCTACCATGTACCATGTACATCAATTCTGAGATGCACCTTTTTTTGGGACGTGGGAGTGAGGGGGATGGGGTTTTACTGTGTTGCCCAGGCTGTGTCTCAAACTCCCAGGCTCAAGCGATCCTCCTGCCTTAGCCTCCCAAGTAGCTTTAATTATAGGCATGCACCACTGCGCCTAGCTACTACAATTCTTTTCATATTTTAACATTTCTGTAACTGGGGATGGGTTTTATCATTGATGGCATATCATAGTTTAGTTGTCAGCATTTAATTTTTTTCTGAATGGCACATAAAATAATGGCACTTCTTACACTTGACGGCATATTAGATTGGACAGATTCGGTAGAATCTGTCAATCAGATTCTATCAGAACGTCAATCAGAACGTCTTGATTTCCACACAGGAGTAGCTCTTTTCTGTGGCACAGTGGCTCTCAAACTTGAGCATGCATCAGAATCACCTGCGGGGCTGGTTGTAACACAGATTGCTGGGCCGCACCCCCAGGGTGTCTGACTAAGTCAGTGTGGAGTGGAGCCCAGTAATTTGCATGTCTAATAAGTTCCCAGGTCATGCGGAAGCTACTGGTCCAGGGAGCACAGTTTAAGAACCACTGCCATCACAGTTAACTTGGGTTTTTCAAAAACTGTATTGTCAGAAACTATTAATGCCCTCTGTTGGGTAAAACCCAAATGTTTTGTTGTATGTTACATTTTCTGGAAAGAAAGATTTCTAGGACTCTTTTTGAAACAAGAAACAGATATACCTTATTTTTCTTCCAGCTTGCCTCTGCCCTCGATCTGCCCCTTCTTCGTATTAATCAGGCAAATAGCCCCGACCTGCTCAGCGTGTCACAGTACTATTCTGGAGAGTTGGTATCCTATGTGAGAAAAGTAAGAAATGCATCAGGGTGATATTTACTCTTGCCAGATAACTGCTGTTTTAAATACAAAAAGTATGCTTAGGCCCCCCAAAAGTATATCCGTGTCTCTTTCCCTTTTAAAAATTTGATTCCAGAAATTTGCAACACCTAAAAATAAACTTACCCTTATTGCTACTGTGGATGTACAGATGTTTTTACTTGCCAGGAACTTTTATTTCTGTGTTTTAAGTGTTGGTGGTATTCACATCTATTTTATAGATGTAGAAACAGAGATTATAATAGTTTCTTCAAAATCACAGAGCCATATCTGGTAAAAGAGCCTGATCTAGATCCAGCATCTCCCGGTCAGAGCCCAGTTCAGGTTTTCATGGGAATTTTGATTCTCGTTTTAATAAATTCTGATGGAGCATGGAGCCAGACCAGCCTGAATTCAAAATTTACTGGTGTCGCATTCTAGCCAGTCCTCTATAGTGATGTTACTTAACATTTTTGAACCTTGATCTTTTTAAAATCTGTAAAATGGGAATGATACAGTCTTTTGCAGCATTTTTAGAAGGATTAGCTTTATATTCTGTAAGCAATTAATGTTTAAAGGAATGGAGCCCTGTGCCTGCCAGCAGTTATTAAAACAGCTCTTTTACATTTTTCAGCATCCCCCTATATAGACAAATTAGGCATCCTAATATTTGTCAGCCAAGAAAAGTAAAACAGATGTTCATTGCGTTTCCTGCTTTCCTTTTCACTGAAGGTTTTGCAGATCATCCCAGAAAGCATGTTTACATCTCTTCTAAAGATCATAAAGCTTCAGACCCACGACATTATTGAAGTGCCTACCCGCCTGGACAAAGACAAGCTGAGGGACTATGCTCAGCTAGGCCCACGATACGAGGTGCTGTGTCCCTCTGACTTCTGCCTTTTCATATTAAAAACTAACAGTCATGAAATATCACAGGCCTGTGTCACCTGCCATATTCTGGGGACCACCAGACCAATTCTGACTTGTTGTCTCACATTTGCAATGGTAAACGCGTTTTATGATTTTAGTACAATCACACCTTTTATTCTTGACATTTTCCTGGTGTCACTTAAGGCCTTGTTCGCCTCAGTATTCTCAGGGGAAATGAGGCTTAGCTGGTCACTTTTTCCTATAACAGTCTTGCTAAAGCAGCCCTTGTTCTCTTTGAGCTAGATGACCTGACTTTTCATATTCATGTTCCTTTTTGAGCAGCTCAAAATAATCTATATTCCATTAACCATTTCTTTTGGGCAGATTTTAAGCTCACTCAATAATAGTTCAGCAGCCTCAGAGGTTCTTCTCCCCAAGCACCTCTGGTTTTTTTCTCCCTGAGCTTAGAATTTAAAGACATCAAAAGTAAAATCAAGTGAAGATTGAAAATATGATGTACAGTGTCAATTTCCCATTCTGATACAAGTCCAAGAAATATGTCAGGGACTTAGATTATCAAGCTTGATATTTCCATGTTTATTCTGATTCAACAGTATAGCTAGCACCTGCCTACCTTATCAATGTCTGCTGCTATTGCTTGCAAATAATGGGGAGGCCAGGGAAGGGGAGGTTACCTTCTCAGTCTCATAGTCTTTTCTAGCCAAAAGGGCCCATCTAGATCATTGAATTCTGCCCCAAATTTTAGACATGAGAAAATGAAGCCTAAAGGAGAAATGCTTTGTCAAACATGAAAGAATAAACTGTTGTCTTCTGACTCTGTTACCCAATATGTCTAACAGTGGGCTTTCAGTTGTACCACAGAGCCTCATTTCTGTCCAGAATATGTGGACACAGGTGTCCTAAAGCTACAAGTTCTTTTCCTGTTATCTTTGTTCATTCCAGGACTATTAGACAGTGATTTTTCATACCTCTTTTTCTTTGTTATAGGTTGCCAAGCTTACTCATGCTATTTCCATTTTTACTGAAGGCATCTTAATGATGAAAACGACTTTGGTTGGCATCATCAAGGTAACAGTTTTGTTAGTCTGCGTGGCCTCGCACCATGACTCTTAGCTGTTTGGGTTTTTGTGGTAATTATCATGTGTGCAAAAGGGAGTGACATCATCTGGCTGTTTGACATTCCAATTTCGGTCTTCATTTTACTCATTTATTTTATTTTAGTTGAGTTTTTTGAGACAGAGTCTCTCTCTCTCTGTTGCCCAGGCTGGAGTGCAGTGGTGCAATCTTGGCTCACTGCAACCTCCACCTCCCGGGTTCAAGTGATTCTCATGCCTCAGCCCCCCAAGTAGTTGGTACTACAGGCATACAACACCACACCCAGCTAATTTTTGTATTTTTAATAGAGACGAGTTTCACCATGTTGGCCAGGCTGGTCTCAAACTCCTGACCTCAAGTGATCCATCTGTCGTGGCCTTTCAAAGTGCTGGGATTATAGGCATGAGCCACGGTGCCCAGCCCGTTTTACTCACTTATTGATGGAGGAAGAGAAAGCATTGTAATCTTTATTTCTCTTAGTACTTGAAGGTAGTGGGAATTTCTTTATCTTGTAGTTCTGCAGAAAATGTGTGGTGCTAGTACTGTTTTATCAAAGAGTTGTTTAAATCCAAGAAAAATATATTTGATTGAATTTTGGGAAAAGCAAAAAAAAAAAAATTCAATTTCCTTAGTCAAAATTGCTTTATTCTTCTCTCTCTCTGTTTTCCTTCCTTCATTTTTAGTACTTTTATTTCACACCCCAGGTACAGAGAGCTAAGATAATCATATCCCTTTTTTTTTTTTGAGACAAGGGTCTTGTTCTGTCATCCAGGCTAGAGTGCAGTGGTGCAATCTCGGCTCCCTGCAGGCTCCACCTCCCGGGTTCACACCATTCTCCTGCCTCAGCCTCCCGAGTAGCTGGGACTACAGGCGCCCACCACCATGCCCGGCTAATTTCTTGTATTTTTTAGAGACAGGGTTTCACCGTGGTCTTGATCTCCTGACCTCGTGACCCGCCCGCCTCGGCCTCCCAAAGTGCTGGGATTACAGGCATGAGCCACCACGCCCGGCCCATATCCGTCTTTTAACAGACCACTATCATCACTGGGGCATGCAAGCTCCTGTCATCTTTTGTTTGTTTATTTTTTTCTTCTCCTGGATCCCTGCTTCCATTTCCATTACCCATAGCACCAACTTTGTGGATTTGGTAATTGTTCCTACATATGCAAGTATTCTTATTTTTAGCATATGGCATTATTTGATGTGTGCATGTGCTTTTGATTTATCTCAACCATATTGTGCTCTAAGTCTCATTCTTTTTCCAGCTTCTCTTACTGGTTATTGCTTTTGCAATTTATTTATATTGCTATAGGTCAGATAGTAGGTTACTTTTTACTGCTGCATAGAATTCCACATTTTTCTTAACCATCCAGCTTGGGACAGACACCTGTGCCCCCCATTATCACAACCAATGTCATGATGAACGTCTCTGAGCATATCCCCACTCCAGACCTGTGCAAGAGTTCCTCTGAAATCTACATTCTTTTCAAGTGGCCGCAGACCAATCCATAGTACGAATGCACCGTGGTGTATTTACTATTCCACCACTGATGGATGTTGAGATACAAATGTTCCTTGACTTACAGTGGTGTTACATCCCAATAAACTCATCACAAGTTGGAAATATCAGAAGGCCATTGGGACTTAACGGCTTATATCTTCACCAATACTTGATATTATCCACTTTCTAATTTTGTTCTCCCAAGAGGTATAAAGTATCTCATTGCTTTTTTAATTTGGAATGTTATGGTGAGTAGCGATGGGCCCATTCATATAGTTTATGGTGCTTTTCTTTATTTTTCTATATATCTGACATCAGTAGAATCTCAACATTCCTAATTGCCATATTAATATTTGCATTATTAAAATCAAAGAAAATAGAGGAAATGTACCTAAATGGAACTTTGGTATGTGTTTTCTGGAAGTATGCTAAAGGAAATACCATGGTATTTCCTAGAATATTAATAGAATTTGCTAAACATGCTTTAGGCCTGATCCCAGGTGAATTCAATTGATGTGTAGAGAATGTACATGCATTTTAGTCACTTCTTACACACAGGATGATAAATCCTAGGACTGCAAAGTGACCACTGTAAGAAGGATGTAATAAAACCTCTTACAGGTAATTAACAATAATTATCAAAAGAATTTTACCAAGACTGCTTGGTAAAATACTGATCTTTTCCCACAGTGTTTCAGATTATAACAGCAGAAGGAATACTCTGCTGACCAACTACATTCAACCCAGTAGACTCTCTCTGCTAGTCTACCAATAACAACTAAGGGCTTTTAAAAGTAATCCTGTGGCCCTCGCTGATCTTTAACCTCAGAGTGTTGAGGTTGTGTTTCAAACACTTATAAAAAGTGTAGGTTCAGTTTGGTTGATATTGACTTAAAACAAGTGAGATATACACAGAGATATAAGCATTCATTGTTAGAGGCAGCAAAAAAAAAAAAAAAGAAATACAGGTCGTCTCAAACTTAAAATGATTCAACTTCATATGATACCCATACTGTTTTTCACTTTCAGTATAGTATTCAATAAATTACATGAGATATTCAATACTTTATTATAAAATAGGCTTTGTGTTGGATGATATTGCCCAACTGTAGGCTAATGTAAGTGTTCTGAGCACATTTGAAGTAGGGTAAGCTAAACTATGATGTTTGGTAGATTAGGTATATTCAGTGTATTTTTGACTTCTGATATTTTCAACTTACGACGATTTTATTGGAATGTAACCCCATCTTAAGTCAAGGAGCATCTGTAATCTAAACATCCATCATCAGTAGGGGAATGGTTAAATATTCCATGGTGCATTCGTACTGTGGATTGGTCTAGAGCGATTCAAAAAGAATTTAGTACTGGAAAATCTCCAAGGTGGAAAATGAAAAAAGCAAATTGCAGAAAAACATGTATGTATGTGTGTGTGTGTGTGTGTGTGTGTGTGTGTAGTGTGTGTGATATACATGCATGCAACTATGTGTATATATGTATAATATATGTGTGTGATATACTTGCGTGTCTCTGTACATATACATGTATATGATCCCATTTAGATTTTTGAAATTAAATATATGTGTAAGGATGGATATTTATGTATATAAACGAATGGAGAAAGGTCTGGATGATCCATATGAAAACAGTTACTGTTGTTAACTTCAGGGGAAGGGAATAGAAATGTGAGGAAGGGGTGTGTGAAGATGGCTTTCTCTTAGCTGTGAACACTTCCACAGATTAGTGAGAATGCGGGAAGGATTAGAAGAGCCGCATGCGATCTTTAGATTCACGAAAGCATTGAACTCTTTTAGTAAATCTGTTCTTGTAAGGAATATTTCTTTGAAAGCTTCATGATACTTCTTTGATTCTGTACTCATTGACTATATCTTTATAATTTACCTTTTTATTGTATAATAAAGCACAGATGCTGAAAACTAAAGAAAGAATGATGTAGCCTATTAGGTTATTACAAGGTAAACACAAGTCATTCTGACTACCACTTAAGAAATAGGATTTAGTGAGCCCCACTCCTGAAAGCCCCCTCATGCACCCTGACCTCATCTCAGGCCTCCTGTGTATAGTTTTATTATCCAGTGAAACTATATGTCATTAATTTCCAGACTATAGCTTAGATTTGCCCATTTGAAAAACTATGTTATGTCTTTTAAGTCTTTTTTTTTGAGACAGAGTTTCACTCTTGTTGCCCAGGCTGGAGTACAATGGTGCAGGCTCACCGCAACCTCCTCCTCCCGAGTTCAAGCAGTTCTCCTGCCTCAGCCTCCTGAGTAACTGGGACAACAGGCATGTGCCACCACGCCCGACTAATTTTGTATTTTTAGTAGAGACGGGGTTTCTCCATGTTGGTCAGGTTGGTCTGGAACTCCTGACCTTGGGTGATCCGCCTGCCTCAGCTTTCCAAAGAGCTGGGATTACAGGCGTGAGTCACCACGCCCGGCCCTCCTTCCTTTCTTTCCCTTTAATTCATCTGTTGAAGAACATAGGGCCTTTCACCTTCAGTTGCTCCACAGTCTGGATTTCCCTGATTGAACGATCTTGACGTAGTTTAATGTGTTTCTCTGGCTTTTGTGTTTTTGTAACCCCCTTGCAGTTGTCTTATTTGAAATTTAAATACAATCAAAACTGGATGGAACCCATTAATTGCCTTTATGACCTTTTAAAATAATGGTTCTTTACAAATTAAAAGTAAAAGAAACAAGTCTCAGAGAATTCAAGGGAGTATGTAAAAATCATTTGATGTTTTATGGATCTGATAAGAGACTTTTTAAAGGAATAACAAAACCTTTTCATTATAGGAGAAATAATTAGCAAAGTAAGCTTGTAGAGTTAGATAGCAGATTTGCTTTCTTATTTTATCTCCCTAATTCCAAGAATGCTGAAAGAAAAGATAATTATTCAATTTACAGAGTGGCCCGACCTCAAATCTGAGTTTGCTCATGTGGATATAAGGTGCCTAGAAATAAAATCTAAAGGAAGAACATGCATCTGTAAATTCAGTCATAGGTCCTTCATCCTGCCCCTCCAAAAAGAGGGGCCATTAATGAGAATGTGAGGCCATTTAAAACTCCAAAAAGAGGGGCCATTAATTAGAATGTGAGGCCATTTAAAACTTTCCTTATTCACCGTCTTTGAAATGTCTTGTTGTAAAATTACCATCATGAACTTTGCTGAAATAAACAGAGTCCTAAAAAGGTGACAGGTTTAATAATTCCATCCAAGCTGTGCAAGATCACAGGGACAGGAAAGGAAAAAATTCAAATCATTTAGTGAGGAGGTAGGAAAATGCCCCACTGCAGATTCTGAAAGCCATCTTTCCTCTGGATTTCGTTAGGACTGAATTTTTCGTAACTATCATTTAATACTTTTGATTGGCACTTAGGTGGATCCAAAGCAGTTGCTGGAAGATGGAATAAGGAAAGAGCTTGTGAAGCGCGTTGCCTTTGCCCTGCATAGGGGACTGATATTCAACCCTCGAGCCAAGGTACCCAGTGACCAGAGTGGGCCTGTCCTCTTCTCCGCCCAGCTTGCAGCATGGACTAGAATGCCATTTTTAACCTATCGCGAACAAGACCTTACCTCCTAGCTAACGTATATCAAATATGTGATTTTCAACACAAACAACTGATGTGCTTTTTGATCTTATAATCCATTCATATTATAAATTTATAGTATAAATATGAAATTTAGATTTTATATTTAAAACTTCATATTTTTAAAACCAGTGCTTCTTTCCTCCACCTATTGATCCCATTTCAGAATTAAACTGATTTTATGATTCAGAAGTACTTCTTATAGTTAAAAGAATTTGGTAACCCTAAAGTAGATAGGAACTATAAAGGTTATAATTTTTTATTTTGCTTTATCTGCTAGGGAATATGGTCATTTTTCTCAGGAGAAAAATAATAGGCCTGAAATCTCTATTTAGGATCTTTATTATCATAGTAAATTCAATTTAAAATGTTTTAAGTATTCTGAGACTAGATAGATTTATTAAATGACAGAGAAATCACAGTCATTCTTTTTTTTTATTTCTTTATATGAGGCTTCCTTCCCAAATGAGTGAAATCATTTATTTGCTGAATGTCTGACATCAGTTGTCAGTCATCCTAGATGAAGTAGGAAATGAGTATTCCAAAACTTAAAGTATATCTTAAACTATGACTGTGGTCTCTTAGCTGCTGTACTATTGACTGATTGATTGATTGAGACAAAGTCTTGCTCTGTCTCCCAGGCTGGAGTGCAGTGGCACAATCTCGATTCACTGCAACCTCTGCCTCCTGGGTTCAAGCGATTCTTGTGCCTCAGCCTCCTAAGTAGCTGGGATTATAGGTGCCTGCCATCATATCCGGCTAATTTTTGTATTTTTGATGGGGTTTCATCACGTTGGCCAGGCTGGTCTTGAACTCCTGACCTCAAGTGATCCACCCATCTCAGCCTCCCAGAGTGCCGAGATTACAGGCATGAGCCTGGCTTATTTTTTATTTTTTTAAGATTAAGTCTTGCTCTGTCTCCCAGGCTGGAGTGCAGTGGCACAATCTCAGCTCACTGCAGCCTCCGCCTCCCAGGTTCAAGCAGTTCCCTGCCTCAGCCTCCCAAGTAGCTGGGATTACAGGTACACACCACACCTGGCTACTTTTTATATTTTTTTAGTAGAGTCAGGGTTTCGCAACGTTGGCCAGGCTGGTCTTGAACTCCTGACCTCAAGTGATCTTCCTGCCTAAGCCTCCCAAAGTGCTGGGGTTACAGGTGGGAGCCACCGCATCTGGCCTGCTATACTATTTAAAGTCTAGTTAGATATTAGAACGAATAGTTGACAATCTACTCCAGTGTAAGAGCTTTATGTTTCCCCTTTTCCACAGCCAAGTGAATTGATGCCCAAGCTGAAAGAGTTGGGAGCGACCATGGATGGATTCCATCGTTCTTTTGAATACATACAGGACTATGTCAACATTTATGGTCTGAAGATTTGGCAGGAAGAAGTATCTCGTATCATAAATTACAACGTGGAGCAAGAGTGTAATAACTTTCTAAGAACGAAGGTATCTAATAAATTTTAAAATTCTTGACTATATTTGTTATTTCTCATGTTTAGAGTACACATCCCAAACCTCAGAAATGTCAACAAGAAAGTTTACTAGATAGTCTCAGTACCTTCAGAGTACTTTCAGGAGCCAGGAGGGTTGCAGAAAAGTGGACATGGCATGTAACTTCCGGGAGCTCACTGTCCTAAGAAGGCAGACATCATTAAATGGCTACAGAATGAAGCTGTTTGTTGTAATTGTTATAACCCAAGTGATTAACAGTTCAAAAGACTTTTAGGACTCCTTTGTTTGTGTTCAGCAGGGTACATACTGAGGAGTGGAATTACTAGGACCTATAATGGGTAGTTCTATGCTTAACTTCTTGAGGAACTGCCAAACTGTGTTCCACGGTAACGGCACCATTTTATGTGCCCAACAGCAGTGTACGAGGGTTCCAGTTTCTCCACGTCCTAACCAATGCTTGTTATTTTCAATTTTTTAAAATTATAGTCACCCTAGTGCACATGAAGGTATCTCATCATGGTTTTGATTTGCATTTCTCTAATGCCAATGATGTTGAACAGCTTATTGGCCATTTGTATGTCTTCTTTGGAAAAATGTGCATAAAAGTCCTTTGCCTATTTCTTTAATTGGGTAAAAAAAGAATACCAAATGCATAAGTGCCAAAATTGAGAAGTTTGATTTTAGTAAGTAGTTAACAAGGAGCCACTCTGCAAGTTTTCATGTGGGAACTGACATGATTTGGGTGACATTTTCAAAAGTTTAAGTCTATTCCAGCCTTATGATATTTTGGATTTTTATATTACATGGATGCATGTCAACTCATAAGACAGAAAGCCGAAGTTCCCATGTCTCATCTTAGTTCTCGCTTCTCGTTTGTCACCTCACCTTTTCACAATGTTTCTTTGTTTTTTATAAATGTTATATGTGGTATTTCTGGGAGACTATTATTAATGCAGTTTTAGAAGTTTCCTCTTCAAAACCAAGAAACAGGCCAGGTACAGTAGCTCATGCCTGTAGTCCCAGCTACTTGGAGGCTCAGGTGGGAGGATTGCTTGAGCCCAGGAGGTTGAGGCTGCAACAAGCTGTGATCACACCACGGCACTCCAGCCTGGGCAACAGAGCAAGATCCTGTCTCTAAAATAAAAAACCAAGCCAGGCACAGTGACTCACACCTGTAATCCCAGTGCTTTGAAAGGCCGAGGCAGGTGGATCACCTGAGGTCAAGTGTTTGAGACCAGCCTGTCTCTACTAAAAACACAAAAATTAGCCAGACCTGGCACACGCCTATAATCCCAGCACTTTGGGAGGCCAAGGTGGGAGGATCACTTGAGATCAGGAGTTCGAGATCAGCCTAGCCAACATGGTGAAACCCCATCTCTACTAAAAATACAAAAATTAGCCGGGCATGGTGGCGGGTGCCTGTAATCCCAGCTACTCAGGAGGCTGAGGCAAAAGAATCGCTTGCACCCGGGTGGTGGAGGTTGCAGTGAGCCAAGATCATGCCACTGCACTCCAGCCTGGGGGACAGAGCGAGACTCCATCTAAAAAAAAAAAACAACCTTTATTGTCACTCTTTATGCAATATTATCTTTGTAAAATTATATGGAAAAGGGATAACTAGGTTATCTTATCAAAGGTTTACTAAATATTGATGGTTTTGTTTTCTAGATTCAAGATTGGCAAAGCATGTACCAGTCCACTCATATTCCAATACCCAAGTTTACCCCTGTGGATGAGTCTGTAACGTTTATTGGTCGACTCTGCAGAGAAATCCTGCGGATCACAGACCCAAAGTAGGTGTACCTGAATTCTACAGAGCCCTGAATACTGCAGGCAGTCTCATCTGCATCTGTGGCCCTGTGGCACAGCCCCTATTCCAGTCACGGGGGTCCTGCACTTGTCAACTCATATTCTGACCCTTTAGGGCAAGGGTCCCTAACCCCTGCGCTGCAGACTGATACCGGTCTGTCACTCGTGAGGAACCTGACCGCACAGCAAGAGGTGAGCGATGGGCAAGCAAGCATTACCACCTGAGCTCCACTTCCTGTCAGATCAGTGGCCTCCCAAAGTGCTAGATTCTCATAGGAGCGTGCTAGATTCTCCCAAAGTACTAGATTCTCATAGGAGCATTAGATTCTCATAGGAGCGTGAACTTTGCATGTGAGGGATCTAGGTTGTGCGCTCCTTAGAAGAATCTAATCTCTCCCCCGCCCCCCTGTCTCCACAAAACGATTCTTAGCTCAACACACAAGCACTTTTGATAGCAACAACTAATATTTATTGAACACTTATCTATGCACTCTTCTCAGCACATTATACACATCCAGTCATTAACCCATTTACAGCAATCTTATAGGCATTATTCTTATTCCCATTTTAAAGATGAAGTAACTGAAGCACAGAAAAGCTTAGTCATTTGCCCAGCATCACACAGTTAATAAATGACGGACCCAGAATACACTCCAGGCCCTCTGACTCCAGAGCCCAGCTCCTAGGCATTGTACTGTGAAAGGCAGACTGCATAGCTTTGTATACAGCCAATCACAGTCTACATACGGGTTATGTGGGCTCTACGTTCAGCAGTAACTGGGTGAAAATCTCATTTAATTAAAACTGCTCCTGAGAATATTTTAGGTGAGCACCACGGCAGAGACTAGCATGCTGCCTCTAGTAAGTCCAGCTGAGCCAGTTTTCCTCCTTTTTCTTCATTTGAGCCTCAGGAGAAGCTGTTGGTACTAAGATCAGCTTGGGGAAGAGCAGGTTCTCATGTCCACCCCTGGGCACAGGCTCACTGAGCAGAAGGGTTGGTGGAATTACCCAGGAAAAAAGCGATGATCTTTGTTCTCTGACCACCCAGGCACGTGTAGTTGATCTTGTGTGAGTTAAATCTTCTTAGGACCTGGATCCTTTGTGCTGTCTTCTTTCTAATCCAGTATTTTGTCCTTCGAAACTTGTGAAAGTTGAGAAACTATGCATAACCTTATTCCAAAATTTCTAGCAGAAATAAGGAATTTTGACTCATGGGACAAAAAAAGTAAGTGATTCAAAAAGTTGTATAGCTCCTTCTTTCTTGGTAGCCTTCAATCACCGAAGCCTTTTTAGAAAACTATCCACCCAGTGCCCTATTAGTGCAGGCAGAGAGGATTAAGTGTGACCAGAATTTCCACATCATATATGAATTTTATCATCAGAATTGGGGGCCTCCCCAGTGACACATCAGAGTGTACTTGGTGGCAGAAGGAGTCTTTGAAGCAAGCAGATGGAAGTTGTAAGCAGTTTGGGAATCCTCTTGTTTTGTTCTCCCTATTTACTTCCTGATTTAAAACCTCCCTTGCTTCTAGGCTCTTTCAACCCCTTCTCACGCCTCCTTCTGGTAAAGGTATGTGGTGGCTTTGGACAATAGGATATGTCATCTGTGGAGCTTGCTGAAAATGCAAAGGCCAGAGCTCTCCCCCAGAACTATTAAATCAGATTCGTCAGGAATGGAAGCTGGGCATCTGTATTTCAGACAAGCTCTACCAGGGACTCAGGGTCCCTCTCTCAGTGTTTGAAAACCATTGAAATGGTGGTTAAGGGTGGTGGTCAGACCTATGAGAGCCTCAATTATCTATAAAATGAGGATGAAATGGTTTGTATTCCACAGAGCTATTATGAGGATGAAATAGCACATGGAAAGGTCTTAGCACACACAGCACCTGGTGCACAATAAGTGCCCAGTAAATATGGTTGGTTGTTGTCACTGTCATCATCACACTTCTGAGTCTAAAAAGAATCATTTGGAGAGGACCAGAAGATGGCATCTACAAGTTTAAGGAACTGGGAGGAAAAAGCAAATTGCTTTGTCGTCATAGTCTCAAATGTTAGGTAGCATATGGAGATTCTAGGTTCCTTTTTTATCAAATGGAAATGACACAAGGCCTTGTTTTGTCTCCAAACTGGAAATTTAAAGGAAGGCTGCATAGAGAGACAAATGGGCTCTAAAGTCTTCCAGCCTGACAGCTGAACCTAACCTTGTCTTCTCAGCATGATTCCAAGTCAACACCCTAACTCAATGGAAATAAATGACTGAAACCAATGATATGGCATAGGGCAGGAAAAGGGGGTCAGACTGAATTTTACCTTCCTGTTCCATTGGGTGTCACTGGGAAGACGCATTGGGTGCCTGAATACAGAGGTTAGAAAACACAGATCATGTAACTCCTGTTCTTCATATTTGGTGCCGCATGTCCTGTTGAGTCCTAACATCTCTTTAAGGATGAATTCTGAGCCATTCTGGGGTTTTTGCATTGTTTTCATTTTAGAATGACATGTCACATAGACCAGCTGAACACTTGGTATGATATGAAAACTCATCAGGAAGTGACCAGCAGCCGCCTCTTCTCAGAAATCCAGACCACCTTGGGAACCTTTGGTCTAAATGGCTTAGACAGGCTTCTGTGCTTTATGATTGTAAAAGAGTTACAGGTGAGCCTTTTGACTTTCATGCCTGTTTTCTGCCACCCTGGGGGAGAGGCAAGAACATATTTTAGTGGGCAGTTTGAACTCACTTAACCTTTCTTCCATGATTTCTTACACTGACTTTAGGCATATGATACCTACTGGGTAGATCAGAGCTGGGAATAAACTAGAATTTGTTTGGCCAGCATAGTACTTTTAGGATTAGACTGTTTTTGTAAGTTTCAACTTGGGAAGATAAGACTTTTTAATCCTTGAAGCCAGTGACTTTTCCTAGCAAGGGATGTTTCTAACAGGAACCTGAAGTTGCTTCTTTTTGCTGTCATCCTGTTTAGAGGTTTTGTGTGACTTAGGCCCAGCCTCTGTTCTGCATAGCATTTTAGGTAACTGGAGAATTTGCTTGTTTAATTCATTATGTTTGGTTCTTTGACCGTGCCTTCTTGTTTTTAGAATTTCCTCAGTATGTTTCAGAAAATTATCCTGAGAGACAGAACTGTTCAGGACACTTTAAAAACCCTCATGAATGCTGTCAGTCCCCTAAAAAGTATTGTCGGTGAGTGTCCTGAAACTACCTGAGGCGGGGATGACACTGTAGCCTTTACGAATGTACTAAAGAGAAAATTATGTTTTAACTTTTCAGCAAATTCAAATAAAATTTATTTTTCCGCCATTGCCAAAACACAGAAGATTTGGACTGCGTATCTCGAGGCTATAATGAAGGTATGTTGTAGAAGAGAGGGTGTACAGTCAATACTTACATTTTTAAATTTTTTATTTTCTTGTAACTTTGTTGCCCAAAAAAAGCTACTCTTCTTTCTTTTGTCATTAAATCAAAAATATTTTAATACTTCAGTTTATCATTTTAAAATTCATTTTGTTTATCTCCGTTTCTGGATCTGTTCTTGATTAGGCTTTTTAGGAGCCTAGCGTTTTCCTTTTGTTCAAGAAAACTGGCTCTTTGTAAAATGCCTTTTGGCTAGAGGTGCTTTTATATATGAAAATTGAACTTTTCCTTGCACAGTAATACTCCCTTTTTACATAACAAAGTTCATTTATACACACCTCATCTGCTCCAAGCTGCTGTTAGAACAGAACATTGTCTCTCTGCCCTCTTGTGTCTGCATAGATGTTAGGAAGCCAGGTTCTTTGGGGCATAAATTATCCTTATACTCTGCAGAAAGCAGTCTTACTTTGGAAATGAATAAGAAAGACGAAGAGATTAATTTGCTGGATGGAAGTCTAACTTATTTTAGAATCCAGCTGCCTAGTTTCCTGCCTTTACTCGGCAGTAGGAGCTCCCAGGGACCCCTGCATCTTCTGCGAGTCTTCTTTCATCATCTGATAATCTGAGATCATCACAGCCCATTCTTGCACACCCATTATACCCAGGGCATTGTCAGTTGCTGTGAAAGACAGAGTTAAATGAAACATGACCGGTCTCCTTAGCTAACTCACAATCTAGCAGGGAAGAGTAGACTTCCTGGTAGAAAACTGGTTTGTGGTCAAAAATATCACATACTGTAGAAAAGTCTAGAATTCTAGAATGCTAAGGGAATTTTGAAAAGTTCCATTCTCTGATTCCCAATTATATAAGTTTCTCATTGAGACAGCACTCATTGGTATCTTAGCCAAATTCACAATATATTTCCCATAATTTTGGTGAGTGGTTGTTGTTGTTGTTGTTGTTTGGATCATTAAACAGAACAGGTAAGGCAAGGAGCCCATGGCTCTGCTAGATATCCTCTCGTGATGTGGGTCTGCCTTCCCCTAGCCTCATGATTGTCAGATATTAAGCGCTTCCCAGGCCAAGTTTCTAATTGCTGGAAAACCCTTTAGGAGGAATAAAGAATCACCCGAGTTTGGACAGGTGTGAGTCCCAACTCTGTAGGAGGCGTTAGGGGGATTACAGGGATTCTTCCAAGAAACTGGAAGGTTTTCCCCTTGCTTACTGGAGGGTTCTCAGTCCAGTAGCTATTCCAACTATTGGTTATAGTTGCCAGTAATTCAGTAACAGCCACGTGACTGTGACCGAGTCAGTGATCTTTAAATAAAGCCCCAAAGGACAAATTTGTCTTTTTGTCTTGAATTAGGGTGCGTACAGTCACGGAGCCAGTGTTAATAATCTGGAACAACAATGGAAATGTTCTGTGCTATTCGATGATGACAGCAGCTCCTAGCCCTGTGTAGCTATTGAGCTCATGAAATGTGGGTTGTGGGACAGTGAAATGCAATTTTTAATTTTATTTCATATTAATTTAAATATAAATAGCCACACATCGCTAGGAGCTGCTGTACTCAATAGTGCAACTCTAGAAAAATCTTGGAGAAAGAGTGATAAGCCAGATATCTCCAAAGAGGCAAATGAGTAGGTAGAATAAGTTTCTCATCCATCCCAGGCTCCTTAGCCTCTTCAGCAGCTTATTAAAGCTTGAAGTGCGTGAGTACCAAAAATAGAAAATGTCACTAACAAAGATTCATTGTGCAGTAAACGAGAGCAAGTTATATTAAACTGACTTTATTTCTATTTCCAGTTCTAGATTGATATTTTCAAGAGGATCCTTGACACAGAGTATACTACACATAGAAAATTAAGCAAAGAATTATATGGGCCAGATACAGGGTTTCAGGGACATTTTTATGTGGCCTGAAAGAACCTACTATTTTCTTGGATTTGCTGCATTCTAATTTTTAAATAATGCTACTCTATAAATTCAAACACTTCCTATTTATAAATAGCATTTTTGGATTGACGTTTTTCACATAAATAGAGTAATAGTCTTGTATGAATAGTGGTCAAAAATAATACATCTGAGGTCATTTAATACTTTTGACCATTACAAGCTCCATTTAGCTAAGTAACTTTTGCTCATTCTTAGAGAAGGCCACCCTCCTTTTCTTTTTTTTTTGAGACAGTCTCACTCTGTCGCCTGGGCTGGAGTGCAGTGGCACAATCTTGGCTCACTGCAACCTCTACCTCCTGGGTTCAAGTGTTTCTCATACCTCAGCCTTCCAAGTATCTGGGATTACAGGTGTCCACCACCATACCCAGCTAATTTTTTTATTTTTAGTAGAAACAGAGTTTTACCATTTTGGCCAGGCTTGGTCTCGAACTCCTAGCCTCAAGCGATCAGCCTGCCTCGGCCTCCCAAAGTGCTGGGATTGCAGGCGTGAGCCCCTGTCTTTTCCTTAACTCTTCTCTGCCCCCAGCAACTCAGAGGAAATGCATTTATTTCCACCTTATTGCTGCTTGCATTATAATACTGTCTTCCCTCCTCTCCCCACCTCCCTCACTCCCCTTTGCCAGTCTTTTAGGAATACTTTGTCCGAGTAGAAAAGAAGACATTTATAGGCAGAAAAAGTTAGAGTGTGCTGTTGACCTTATGATGCAGACAACATTATGAGGGCAAACTGAACTCTCAAGCCTGACCCAAAGATCGCTTCCTATCATCCAACCATTGCAGATAATCTCCAAGTATCATTTATGCTCATAGCTACTTTTAAAGTACTGTAGTTAATACACCATCCTAGCATAACTCTATATCACAGATTTGTTCTTTGAATGGTTAATTATATTTCATTACAACTGGCTTCCACTGTTACCCTCTATGTTTTATTTTGTACATTCAAAAACGTTATTCTGAAATGGTGTCCATAGGCTTCACCAGATTCCCAAAGGGGTCCAAGGCTATATTAGTCAATTCTCACATAATAAAGACATACTCAAGACTGGGTAATTTATAAAGGAAAGAGGTTCGATTGACTCACAGTTCAGCATGGCTGTGGAGGCCTCAGGAAACTTACAACCATGGTGGAAGTGGAAGCAAACATGTCCTTCTTCACATGGCAACAGGAAAGAGAAATATAATCAAAAGGAGAAAAGCCTCTTATAAAACCATCAGATCTCGTGAGAACTCATCCACTATTACGAGAACAGTATGGAGGTAACCACCCCCATAATTCAATTACCTCCCACTGGGTCCCTCCCATGACACATGGGGATTATGGGAACTACAATTCAAGATGAAATTTGGGTGGGGGCACAGCCAAACCATATCAGACACACAAAAAAAATTAAGAACCCTGGATTAAGGGGCTATCATTGTTAAAATTTTCGTGAAAGATTTTATGTAGATTATTTTGTAATCCAGATAATTATAGAACCTATAATCCTGAGTGGCATGGACAGACTTAATATTCACCCAATTTGAGAATACTAGTGTGAAATGGCATTCCTAGAGCTTGAGAAAGTTCCATTTAGGATAAATAAAAGGAAGTAAGTAAGACTTCTCACAGCAGCTACTAAATTTGGAGCACTTATTCCAAAAGGTTAAAAATATAGCTTCAAAAAAGACATCTTTGATACATGAACAACTGAACATTAATAGATCACTTTGTGAATCATAGACTTTGGGGTATTTTTAGGTTGGGGTATGGGAATCCATCCAGACATTCCTTGAAGGGCCTCTGGTGCTTCATTAGATCCAGTGCTGGTCTTAGCCAAGAGATCAGTTCAGGAAATCCTTATTTTTTTTCCTGTAGAGTGATGTGAAGGCCCAGTGAAGAATTGTCATCTTTGTGTTTACCTCCTCACTGTCACTCTGAAATGCTTGAATGCACTACCTGTTCTTTCTCTTGCTTGTGCACAGGTTGGGCAGATGCAGATTCTGAGACAACAGATTGCCAATGAATTAAATTATTCTTGTCGGTTTGATTCTAAACATCTGGCAGCTGCTCTGGAGAATCTCAATAAGTAAGTGCCAGGGTTTGAAACAGCCATCCGTGGGCTTGGATTGTTTATTATCTACGCACCCCAGTTTCTTCAGTTCTTACTCTTTTAAGTTATTTTTGGGTGGAAGGTCTGAATTTACAGGCTTCCTTGCCACGGATAATCAAATCTGTCTTCGGAGCCTCTTTCCTCAGTATTGTCCCTCCGTTTATCTCTGTCTCTCACTCACTCTCTCTAATGGATTCGTGTATTCAGCAGACAGGTACTGATCACATGATTCAATACATGTCTGCTGAACAAATGAATTCATTAGAGAGAGCGAGTGAGAGACACACCAGACACTGCTAGATACTTGCACAGATTTTAGAAAGCAATTATTACCAAAATCCGCAACTGGCTTTTTACAGGGCTGATCACTCATCATCCAGAGGGCAGTTGGAAGTGTGTTGATTACCAAGAGTGGTTATGGAGGCCTGTCCTAGAGGGAACTCATATCCTCCGCCTCACCAGCAACCTGCTGTCATTTGAGGCTGCCTACTTACAGATAAATAATCTGTGCTTCTCACTCACCAAGTCAGTGCTTTTGACAAAGCAGGTATTAAGAACAGTTCAGTCAATACATGAAAATTTGAATGGTGAATGCATTTGATTGAGGTTGATTCCAAAAGATGAAGTAATTCTAGGTCAAATTTTCCACTTAAAACCAATCACAGGCATGGTTGAGAATTAGCGAGATCAAGCTCTCATTTTACAGATGAGGAAACTGAGGCTTGAAAAGATTACATCACTGCCCTATATTAACTCTTGTATAAATTCATTTACTCACTAATGTTTATCTCCAGGGTTTTTCTTCCTTTAGGGCTCTCCTAGCAGACATTGAAGCCCACTATCAGGACCCTTCACTTCCTTACCCCAAAGAAGATAACACACTTTTATATGAAATCACAGCCTATCTGGAGGCAGCTGGCATTCACAACCCACTGAATAAGGTGAGTAATTAAAATATATAATGGCGGGGATGGGGGTACAGAATGGTATTTGGCCCAGGTAACAGATTACTGTGCAGAAATACCAGAGGAACCTGGGTTCAGACCCCAGAGCCTTCATTCCATTCAGTTCCCTGCCCTTTCTAAGCAATCATCACACTTTCCCCGCCTGGCTCAGGTCTGTGAGAATCAAGTGCTATAGCGCTGGTGAAAGCTCATGACAAAGGGGAAGGTGCTGCCTCCGTGTAAGAGATTAGTTTTGGGTTTCACTGGGGTTTGCCGTTCAGTCATCAAGGCCCAACAAACCCAAAATGGTAGCATTGATCTGTCTTGCCAAAGGTGCTTCCCCTTGTGGCTGACAGTAATCCCACTCATCATAGAAGCTACAAACTCTTCCCTGCAGTTGTGAGCTCAGAAAACCTCTAAGAACTGAAAGTTTTTTCATAACTCGGTGCCAGATCTCTTTGCATGGCAAAATCTGTCCTGAGCTGACATAAGGCTGTTTATACTAGTTATTTATCCTCCTTACTGTAAACATTCATATATTTTGATGCAGACTTTGATTATAGTAACTTTGATTATAGTGCATTACGCCAGCCCCTATATTATCTTTCTAAATCTGTAAAATTTGAAATTCTGAAAGCTGTATTATCCCTTGTGTTTTGGATAAAAGATTATAAACCTGAATAGTAGCTAATGTCTTGAATATTTACTGCATAACAAGTGCACTGTCTTAACCCTGATTGTGGATTATCTCACTTCATCTCACAACAAGCCCTATGAAATACGCCATTATGAGTTGAGGAACCCGAGGCTCAGAGAGGCCAGCTAGCAAGTGGAGGAGCCAGGCAGTCTGACCAGAGCCCCTGCTTCTGACCCGTGTGCTACCCTGTCTCCTATGGAATCGGCCAGCTGGCAGTCTGGACCTGGCCATGTACGCCCTGACTGTAGTTTCTGCCGTGACATCTGGGAGACTGCTCTGTGACATTGCCTAGGGGACAGCAAATGACAAGAAGAACTTTGCTCTCTTTCTACTTAGATACCACCACTCGCTGCTACATGGATCTTTTCCCTTCACTCTCCCTCCTCCTCTCCTTCTTCCCTCTTTCCCTCTCTCTCTCTTCTCTCTCCCACACTCCCCCTATATTCACCTCCAGCTCTTCCTCAACTGCTCTTCATTTTGCCTTCCCCTCCCATTCTTGCTCATCACTCATTCCTCCCTCCCTTTATTAATGACATTAACAGGATTCAGGGGAAAAGTCTTTCTAAGCAAAATTGTTTTCTTCCCAGAAGGGCAAATTATGATACAGGTATTTATGTGGCCAGGGCCAGGTGTGTTAAATAAAACTCTGAAGGCAGCAAATTAATGGAACCATCCACATTTCAGGAAAGCCAAAGAGCAAATTGAAGTAAAATGGAAGATTTTCATTTGGAAACCTGTTCTGTGGTATTGTGCAATGTGATTTAACCATCTATTTTTCTTACCTTTCTCTTTCCAGATATACATAACAACAAAGCGCTTACCCTATTTTCCAATTGTAAACTTTCTATTTTTGATCGCTCAGTTGCCAAAACTTCAATACAACAAAAATCTGGGTACGTATAACATTTATTATTTGCAATGAGTAACAATACCAACAGATTAACATTTAACTAAATAGCTTTTTGTATAGAATGCCTATGTCGGATATGAGATCTTTTCTTAGTTAAATTTATGTTTATGAAATTCGAGTCTTTATGCCTTTGAAATACAATGCCTTTTTATGAACTGTAGACAGTGGGTTTATTCTTATTTTTATTTATTTATTTATTTATTTTTGAGATGGAGTTTTGTTCTTATTGCCCAGGCTGGAGCGCGATGGCGTGGTCTCAGCTCACTGCAGTCTCTGCCTCGCAGGTTCAAGCGATTCTCCTGCCTCAGCCTCCCAGGTAGCTGGGATTACAGGCACGTACTACCACGCCCATCTAATATTTTTGTATTTTTAGTAGAGACAGAGTTTTCACCATGTTAACCAGGCTGGTCTCGAACTCCTGACCTCAGGTGATCCGCCCACCTTGGCCTCCCTAAGTGCTGGGATTACAGGTATGAGCCACCACACCTGGCCGGATTTATTTTTTTTTTAAGTACACTTATTTATTTATTTTATTTTATTTATTTTTTGAGACAAGGTCTCACTCAGTCACTCAGATGGGAGTACAGTGGCACAATCTCAGCTCACTATGGCCTTGACCTCTCGTGCTCAAGAATCCTTCCACCTCAGCCTCCTGAGTAGCTGGGACTATAGGTGCACACCGCCATGCCCAGCTAATTTTTTTGTATTTTTTGTAGCAACAGGGTTTTGCCATGTTGCCGAGACTGGTTTCAAACTCCTAGGCTCAAGCGATCCACCTGCCTCGGCAACTAAAGGGCTGAGATTACAGGCGTGAGCCATTGTGCCCAGCCCTAGACAGTGGATTTAAAATCAACAAAGTATGGTCTACCTCAGTAAGGGTTCATTGTCCAGCTTGTAGAATGTGAGGGACCTTTGTTTTGATTCTCTTCTTTAATGTTTAGGCAGCTAATTGTGGTGTGAAAGAAACTTTTTTTGGTTGATGTTCTGTTCTTTCAACAGGATGCATGTGCCAGCTGTGTATCTGGAACCATGATGGGAAAAGTAACAATATAGTTAAGGAGATAAGACTAATATTTATACATGAACATTTAATACTTTATGTATGATTGTATGTCAGAATATTCTGTACAAACAAGAGACACCAAAGCCTTTCAATATGTCTGTTCTCTCCAGGAATATAACCCTAATTTATTTTTGTCATTCGTCAGAATATTTTTGTAGTTACATAATAGATAACAAAGTGTTTCCTCTGCCTTCAAACTTTGTATCCAGCTAAATGACATTTTTAAAAATCCACTATAGACTTTAGTTTACTTTAAAAGCATTATAAGAGCATTTCTACAAATGTAATCATTGTTTCTTAACTAGAGATTCCTAAATATATTTCTTCCTTACAGTACTTTCCTATTTCATAAGCTTTTTTAGGGTGAAAATGTGGAATCTCTTTAATGTTTTTATTCTCTCATTCAAAAGTAATCATTGATTCTAGACACTGCTTCCATGACAATGCCTGTGATTGTCACAGAAGGCAGAGCATGATCTCCTCAAACAATACTTGCTGTAGGAGGGAGGGAACCAATGTGTGTTTGGAATCTGGCTTCACCACTTATCACCTATGTGACTTTGGCCAAGTCACCGCAAACTGAGTGCCCAACAGGTGCTGAGTCCCTTTCTATATATTGGTCAAAATCAATTTAAAGGGCCATCCCAAGTGTAATGTAAAGGTTCATCTGAAGATTCAGAGATTCATGTTCTCTCTCTGTTCTATGTTATTATTCAATAGGAATATATGATTCTTGATAATGAACTGTCAGTGCAGAAAGAACCTTCTTTTCATTAAAGAATAACTTTTTGTTGACTTCTCATTCTAATTTTTTTTTCATTGTGTATATGATTAGGGCCTGGCACCTTGATTGTAAAGCTGCTTATGGAAAGTATCACTCTCCCTGGAATTCCCAGATCTTAAAACATAACACAACAAAATCTTTATGTATCCTAGAAATGTGGTGTTTATAACTGACTATAATTCTTCTCATCAATAAGACTGATGTGTTAATGCAGGAACTAAATTACAGTAGGACTGAGGAAGGAACAATTGTTTGGTATCTTTGTGGGTATTCAGTTGCTCATATAAGGGTGAGACTATCTCTAGACTATTCTGTTCCATTGATGTGTTTGTCTTTTCTTATGCCAATAATGTCTTGATTATTGAAACTGTAAAGAGAGCCTTGAAACTGTATATCCGAAAAACATTTATTTAACCTTGTAAACACCGTTCTCAGCATTGGCCTATGAAATGCATACCTGGCTTGGTCTGTGTTTGAAGAAAGAAGCTTCGTGGTGTAGTGCTAGTTGTAGAAGTGTTTGTTGTTAACATCACTCTTGCTTTCCACCTGGAAAGGATTATTTCTCCATACTGAGTCCTGTTAGGATTCTTCCTCCATGTTCTGAATTGCCAAGGCCTAGGTTAGGTTATTCAGGATCACTTGTTTAGGCTTCTCTGGTTTGGGGAAGATTTTCCGGTCTTCACAAGAAGTCAAATATGGGACCTGAGGGTCTGTCTAACCAGTTAACTTGATAAGAAACTGCCAACCCTTTGTCCAAAGTGGTTGTGCCAGTTACACTCTCACCAAGAGTGAGTATATGTGTAGTCCACATCCTCGCCATTATTTGGTGGCGTCAGTCATTTTCATTTTAGCCATTCTTTTTTTTTTTCTGAAACAGAGTCTCACTCTGTCACCCAGGCTGAAGTGCAGTAGCGTAATCTCGGCCCACTGCAACCTCCACCTCCTGGGTTCAAGCAGTTCTGCCTCGGCCACCTGAGTAGCTGGAATTACAGGCTACAAGCATGCATCACCATGCTCGGGTAATTTTTGTATTGTTAGTAGAGACAGGTTTCACCATGTTGGCCAGGCTGGTCTCGAACTCCTGACCTCAAGTGTTCCACCCACCTTGGCCTCCCAAAGTGCCAAGATTACAGGCATAAGCCACTGAACCCAGCCCATTTTAGCCATCCTGATGGGTATCTATGGTATCTTGTTGCAGCTTTAATTTGCCTCCCTGATGATTAATGATTTTGAGCACTTTTTCATGTGCTTATTGGCCATTCCTTATATCCTTCTCTGCGAAGTGCCTGTTCTAGTCTTATGCTCGTTTTTAAATTTTTTTTTTATTACAGAGTTGTAGTAGTTATGTATATATTATGGATACAAGTTCCTTATTAGATATGTTTTGAGAATATTGTGACTTATCTATGTATTTTTTTACTGGTAACTTTAATGAGCAGAAGTTTTTACTGTTGATGGTGTCCAGTTTATCCATTTTTTTCCTTTATAATTATTCTTTTTTGTCTTGTCTAAGAAATCTCTGCCAGGCCAGGCACAGTGGCCCATGCCTGTAATCCCAGCATTTTGGGAGGCTGAGACGAGAGGATCACCTGAGGTCAGGAGTTTGAGACCAGCCTGGTCAACATAGTGAAACCCGTCTCTACTAAAAACACAAAAATTAGCCAGACGTGGTGGCACACGCCTGTAATCCCAGCTACTTGGGAGGCTGAGGCAGGAGAATCGCTAGAACCTGGGAGGCAGAGGTTGCAGTGAGCCGAGATTGTGCCACTGCCCTCCAGCCTAGGTGACATAGTGAGCTCCGTCTCAAAAAAAAAAAAAAGAAATCTCTGCCTTCTTCAAGGTCACAAAGATATCTTCGATATTTTTTCTTACAGTTCTGTAGTCTTTGCTTTTACATTGAGGCCAGTGGTTCATCTCTAATTGTTTTTTGTGTACAGTATGAGATAGGGGTCAAGGTTTGTCGTTCCCCCATAAGACTATCCAGTTTCAGTACCATTTGTTAAAAGATTTATCTTTTTTTATTATTTGGTATATTTGTGACTATTCAATTACTCATAGAAGGGTGGGACTATCTCTAGACTCTATTCTGTTCCATTGATCTATTTGTCTGTTCTTATGCCATAGTGTCTTAATTATTGAAACTGTATAGAGAGCTTGAAATCAGGCAACCTAAACCTTCCCAACACTGTTCTTTTTCAACATTGTGTTTCTTCTGGAAGACCCTAATCTCTGTCTCTGGTTTCCCATGCAGCCACCCAGGCAGAGGTCAGGGTCTCCACATTTTGGCAGAAATCTTTAGTGTAGAGCCAGGTGCAGTGGTACACACCTATAGTCCCAGCTTGAGCCCTGGAATTCAAGGCTATAATGTGCTGTGATTGCACCTGCGAATAGCCACTGCACTCCAGCCTGGGCAACATAGCAAGACCCCATCTCCAATTTTTAAAAAATCGTTAGTGTAAAGGCCAGCTTTGATACTCATTCACTTCATAAATATCCTTCTTCCACTCTCTTGATTTCTGCAGATTCTTTATGTATATATATTACTCAACATTTGTTTAAAGATACCCTAAAAGTATTTTATCCAGCTTTTCACTTAAGATAGTAGTTCAGGGTATCTAGTATGTCATGCTGCCGTTAACAGAAGTCAGTTGTAGTGATTTTTTTTCTCATTTACATTTATCTGTATCTTTAAAAATTGCTACAATAATATATGTTAATTGAGTAATTCAAAAGAACCAGTAATGATAATTACAAAATTTAGTAACCGTTTTATTGGTTTTGAATCCTTCAGACCCCTGGAATGCCCTACCAATCCTGTGGCTAATTCAAAATATGGCCCAGAATTGTCATTCCCTCCAAAATATCATCTGCCAGCGAGAATATGGGCCCCAAACATTTTGACCTTCACAGCGTTGGTATTTAATGAATGTTGCTGAAGGCAAGTACTTCATATGGTGTTGCAACTTGTTCCCTTGCAGGAATGGTCTGCCGAAAACCGACCGACCCGGTTGATTGGCCACCACTTGTCCTGGGACTGCTCACTCTGCTGAAGCAGTTCCATTCCCGGTACACCGAGCAGTTCCTGGCGCTGATTGGCCAGTTTATCTGCTCCACGGTGGAGCAGTGTACAAGGTACAGAAGACCAACCAGGACTACGTGGGACTTCTTGTCACAAAACCTAACTTAAACCTCACATTACCAAATTCCTCTTATCGCCCTAATAGAGATGGGAAATGGTTGCTCACCCTTCTCTGTAAAGCAAGTCAGGGCATACCTCCTTGTTTAGAGCAATTACAGGTGTGTCCATCCTTAGTCACCCTGCCAGGGGAACTCCATCCGGTCTACTCACATTGATTTTCCAGGAGTGACTCAGGACCATGAATAGTAACTACCATGGGGAAGAAAGTGCAGCCCTGTTCCTCTGCACTCTTGGATGCAGCTCTTCAATCTCAGCGAGCCCCTGCACTCCTGCTGGGCCACTGCCAAGAGATGATTCCACTCACTTCAGTGGGAGTCAGAGAACATATCAGTGTGTCAAAGCCTGGGCAGTGTCTGCATGTAGAGAAGCAAATTTCACAAGAGTTGCTATTTGATACAATGCTTATAAAACTTTAATTCCTGCCAGTTCTTTTCCCCTGCCCCTAAATGTGGCTTTTCTGGGATAAAGAAAAAAAAGTTATTTCCATGAGATGCTGGGTCCTGTGCCTCCTTCTCTGCTATCCTAAAGGGTCAGCCTGGCTACATAACCTTTGCTGTCATGTTTGCTTGGTCATTTTTGCCACTATAATGTAAAAAACGAATCAAAGCGGCTGGGCACAGTGGCTCAAGCCTGTAATCCCAACACTTTGGGTAGATTACTTGAGGTCAGGAGTTCAGGACCAGCCTGGCCAACATGGTGAAACCCCATCTCTACTAAAAAAACACAAAAATTAACCACATGTAGTGGTGGCCACCTGTAATCCCAGCTACTCAGGAGGCTGAGGCAGGAGGATTGCTTGAACCCAGGAGGCCTCAGAGGTGCAGTGAGCTGAGATCATGCCACTGCACTCCAGCCTGGGTGACAGAGCGAGACTCCATCTCAAAAAAAATAAAACGAACCAAAGTGATCTTCTAAGTCCACACAAAATACTACTAAGTCCTAAAACTGGAAATGATTTTCGAGGTCATTTAATTGACCTCCCACTAAGTGCATGAATGAGCTCTAGGACATCCTTGACAGGTAGTCATGCAGCCACTGCTGGAACACTCTCACCGAGGGGGCTTGTGCTACCTCTCCAGGCAGCACAGTCCACTGGCTAAGTCTTGTTCTCATTAGAAAGTTCCTGATTGTGATTATTAGAACCTGTGTCTCTGGATGTTTCACTCGCTGAGCTTTTTCCTACCTTTTGAAATCATACAGAATAATGCAGTCTCCCTCCTTTGCAACATCACTTCCGATTTTGTATGCCATCTGTTGTCTTAGGTCTTCTCAATGTTTAGATAAGCCCCTTCCACCTGTTCCCGATGTCTTGCAGTTTAGAGGCTGCTCACCATAGTGAGTGACTTTTTCTGGGTGTTCCAGTCTGTTTTTGACCATCTTAAAATGTGGCTTCCCAAACTTGTATTGAGATTCCAAGCACAGCCCTCCCCTTGGCACAGAGGAGTATTACACGTCTTCATTCTGGGCCCTCTGTGGACAGTACAGCAGCTACAATTGCAGTGATGAGTCCTTTTTTTTTTTTTTTTTTTTTTTTTTATGAGAAAGAGTCGCTCTGTCGCCCAGGTTGGAGTGCAGTGGCGTGATCTCGGCTTTGCAGTGATGGGTTTCTTGACATCCAGTGCATACCAGTGGCTCCTACTGATTTTGCATTCTTTCTAAACCCCAATGTCGTTATTTCCCGTGAGCTGCAGTCAGGCCAGCTCCTCCTCCTCTTAGTTAATGAATCGAACAACAAACACTGGTGTTTTCCTGGGATAGATGTTAAGACTTGCTTCAGAAACAAGATTTTTTAACAATTGAAAAATAGAGGAGAACTCAAAGTCTCAAAAATGAAATTGTAACAATCACGAAGTGAGGTCAGTTGGCAAGGAAAGCAGTAGGCTCATAAAAACCCAGCGCCTCTGGCCCAGGCTCCCAGAGAGGAGGGGAAGGACTCCAGTTCAGGTGGTGCGGAGGTGATTAGCAAGTAACCTCCACACAACTGGCTGTCCCAATTGTAGCTCCCTAGCTGTCAACTTGGACAGGTTCTTCTTCCTCTCTTTCTTTTTCACTAATGGCAGTAAAGGCTTAAGTGTGGCTCTAGTCCAGCATGTTATTGGCAACCCTGAGGGTGGTGATCAGGCTACAGGAGACCAGCTGTAAGTCAGGCTTTCTGATTCAGCAGAGCAAAGGAATCTAAGGAACCTGTGACGCATGGGAATTCCTTCCTTTCTCTTGCTCCAAGCAGAGCAAATATAGCCCTGGTCACAGATTGAAAGATTGAGAGCAGGGAGAATTTTTCCAGGTACAGTCATTCTTAACCCATTCAAAAAGCAAAGTTCATCAGCGAAATTAACCAGTAATGTATTAATAGTACTAAAAGTTATTTGTTAATCAGAAAATGCCAATTGGTACAGGAATTGGAAATCGTTTTAACACCTAAAAACTCCTTTTGATGTAAACAAGAAGGAACGTTAGCTCTATAAGGAGCCTGGCATGTACTTTGCTGTATTCCCAGCTCTGGAACAGTGCTTGGCACTGTAGTTGCTGAATGAATGAATACATGAGTAAAATCCCATATGAAAAATTGCTAGATGCTGTATTTATTTGATACCGTCAAATATGCAGTACATGCCAAGCACATTTCCAGATGCTGGAGAAACAAAGATGAACATATGACCTAGGCCCTCGAGGAGTTTATACTCCTGATGGGAACCCAGCACACCATTGAAAAATTAAGAGGCTTGGAGAATGCTGCTAACTATTATGACAGCCCAGGAGAATCAGGGAGGATTCCACAGGAGAAGTACCCAAGCTGAGACTCGAACAATGTCTAGAAGTTTACTTTCAAATCAGTGTGCAGGCCAGGTGCGGTGGCTCACGCCTGTAATCCCAACACTTTGGGAGGCCAGGGCGGGTGGATCACCTGAGGTCAGGAGTTCAAGACCAGCCTGGCCAACATGGTGAAACCCCGTCTCTACTAAAAATACAAAAAATTAGCCAGGCATGCTGGCGTGCATCTGTAATCCCAGCCAGTCGGGAGGCTGAGGCTGGAGAATCACTTGAACCCGGGAGGCGGAGGTTGCAGTGAGCCGAGATCATACCACTGCACTCCAGCCTGGCTACAAGAGTGAAAAGTCTGTCGCAAAAAAAAAAAAAAAAAAGTGTGCAGGGATGGGAAAGTATGGGACCTGCTAGGTATTGAATCATGTAAACAGAGGGAGATGAGTCTGGATAGATAGCAGGGATCGTGTTGTAAACGCCCATGGAAACCGTATAGAGAAGCTCACATTTACCCTATGGGGTGGGCTCCTGAAAATACATGAGCAAGGTAACAACTTGACAGGAATTAAGAGCATGCTCAATGTTTTTGTTCATCTTTGACTTCATTAGGTAATCTGTTGGTAATTTAGTCTTTCAGGATTCTGACCAAAAGGGCTTATGATGTGCAAAGCAGTTAATTGATCTAAACTGTTCTCTATCACAGCCAGAAGATACCTGAAATTCCTGCAGATGTTGTGGGTGCCCTTCTGTTCCTGGAGGATTATGTTCGGTACACAAAGCTACCCAGGAGGGTAAGTGATAGATAGTAAAGAACAATATTAATAGTTGTAAAAAGATGCTAATAATAGTGGCCCTGGATTCATCAGGAGTGAAGCCCAATAGGTCGTTCACAGTAGATGCCTCTGCGCCTCTCGCCACTGCTCTACCCCCAGCTCTGAAATGTCCTTGCCTTTTCCACCATGGGAATTGCCTTGCAGAGTTTAACACAATGCCCCTCCCGCCTCTTCTTCCTCTCCACCATGTACTCCTGTCAGCAACTCATCTGGTTCAGGAGTTAAGTGAAATAGGCAAGCCAGGAGGGATTCCTTAAGTGGCCAGAGGAAAGAAATAATCATGGTGGTTTGTTCTTTCTCTCTCCACTGACCTGGTTCCCACAGCAAGCACAGTTAAGTTCATGCCACAACTAAATGTATATATGAGCACTGTTTCCAAAAATGGCAGACTACTTTTTACCTGCCAAGACATTCTTTCCTATCCCTTTCTCATTAGTAATTCCACTTTGTTAAATTTTAGCTCAAAGTGGAGAGCTTGATACTGAAAAATACAACTTTCAGCAGATACTGAAAATCATTTGATTTTTAGAAATTAGTAGGTTAGGAATCAAAGATACTTTCTTACAACATGAGCCAAAGATGAACTTTTAAAATTAACTAGCAATGTCAGTACATAATAGTGAAATGTTAGTGGCATTCCCATTAAAGCCAGGACTGTCACAGTGTCATGACAACTATACAGACTCTTGCAACTACTTTTGTTATACAGGTGCAAGACAATAAGAAATGAAATGAAAATAAAATGCATATTGGAAAGAAGACAAACTCTGTATTATTTGAGATTAATTGTCTTCCTTTTTTATTCTATTTTTCCATAAGTTATTGGGATACAGGTGGTATTTGGTTACATGAGTAAGTTCTTTAGTGGTGATTTGTGAGATTTTGATGCACCCATCACCTGAGCAGTATACACTGCACCATATTTGTAGTATTTTATCCTCACTCCCCTCCCATTCTTCCCTCCAAGTCCCCAAAGTCCATTGTATAATTCTTATGCCTTTGCGTCCTCATAGCTTAGCTCCCACATATCAGTAGGAATATACGATGTTTGGTTTTCCATTCCTGAGTTACTTCACTTGTAAGAATAATCTCCAGTCTCATCCGGGTCACTGCAAATGCTGTTAATTCATTCTTTTTTATGGCTGCGTAGCATTCCATCGTATGTATATATCACAATTTCTTTATCCACTCATTGATTGATGGACACTTAGGTTGGTTCCACGATTTTGCAATTGTAAATTGTACTGCTGTAAACATGCATGTGCAGGTATCTTTTTTGAATAATGACTTCTTTTCCTCTGGGTAGTTACCCAGTAGTGGGATTGCTGCATAACTGTCTTCCTTGAATACCCAATAGAATCATGTGAAAAACTATCAAAATAATACAGAGATCAGAAAACAAGCTGGCTACAGAATAAATGTATGAAATACATCAATCGATTAAAAAATACAGTGTGAAAAAGGACCTATTCACAGAAATAACAAGGCAATGATATAGCTAAGAATAACCTCTATAAGAAATATGAAAGAACACTTTATTAAAAAACTATAAAAATTTTAAATATAAAATTTGAAAGTCCATGTTTCTGAATGAGGGTCCTCGAATATTACAGAGATAATAGTTCTATCTAGTTTATAGGTTTACTGCAGTTACAATCAAGATTTCAGGTACTTTTTTAACTTCAAAGAATATATTTTTTAAAATGTCATAGGACTTAGGCAAGTCCTTTTTTAAAAAAAAGATATTAAAATATTATATCAAGTATTAAAACACTGTAAAACTGTAGAAACCAAAATAGGGTGCTACTGGTATGCAACTAAATAGAAGGAACAATGAGCAAGAATATGTAGCCTAGAAACACACCCTGTGCATACAATGGTACATAAGGAAAAGTAGCATCTCAAATTAAGAGAGAAAGGGAATATTAGTCAATAGATGTAAGTTCACACAGTTAAAAAAATAGCAACTTAGTCCCCTTTACATCTCCTATGTTATCAAAATTAATTACAGATAAAGGGTTAGTGTGAAATATGAAACAAATAAATTAGCCGAAATTTTAGGCAAATATGTATCAGCTCTCAGAAATTCCTAAGTATAAAACCAAAAGAAGAAACTATAAAGAAAAAGATTTAGAGACTTGATTTTTTATAAATGCTGAATGTAATTAATTCTGTGTCAGTGTCTCAGTTAAAAAACAAAAGACAAAAGAGGAAATACCAACAAAGGACTAGTTTCTTGATTTATAGTGTGCTCTTCAAATCTTCAAGTTCAGTATGAAAAAGATGTCCAAGCCAATAGAAAAAAAGCAGGGGAAGGGCAAAGGAAATTAAGAGGCAGTTTTCAAGAAAATAGAAATGACAAACCTTCGGATTCAAGGGACAAAAATCCAAATACGAAAATTACTGTTTCCACTTATCAGGTTGGTGAAAGGTAAAATGTTGGGCCCCCATTATTCGGAAGCATTTGGAGAAATGGGACTTGTAAGTGCTATTAATTGGAATGTAAATTGACAGCCTTTGAGGAGGGCAATTTAGCTTTATCTATTTTAAAAAAACATTTGTAATATACTTACCCTGATCCCAGCAATTCCACTGCTAGGAATTTTACCTGCTGGATATATGTGCAAAGGTTTACCAAGATATGTGCCCAAGGATGTTCATAATATAAGATTTAGCAGAGGTAGAGAAGGACACAATATTATGTGATCCTAATTTTGATTGTGTGTGTGTGTGTGTGTGTGTGTCTGTCTGCATATGTAAGTAAACTGGAAAAATTCATTACAAAAGTTGCCAGTTTTTATTTTCTTTAAGGGATTAAGATTAAAAAAATATTTTTTTAAATTTTAAGCTCTGGGCTACACGTGCAGAATGTGCAGGTTTGTTACATAGGTATTATACATGTGCCATCTGTCGCCAGGCTGGAGTGCAGTAGTGAGATCTGGGCTCACTACAGCCTCCGCCTCCCTGGTTCAAGTGATTCTCCTGCCTCAGCCTCCTGAGTAGCTGTGATTACAGATGCGTACCACCACGCCCTGCTGATTTTTTTATTTTCAGTAGAGATGGGATTTCTCCATGTTAGTCAGGCTGGTCTTGAACTCCTGACCTCATGATCCACCCACCTCAGCCTCCCAAAGTGCCAGGATTACAGGCGTGAGCCACCACGCCCAGCCTAGGTTTTAAGCCTCACATGTATTAGGTATTTATACTAATGCTCTCCCTCCCCTTGCCCTCCACCCACTGTAAAAATAATTTTTATACTCTTCTGCATTTGCTAAATTTCCTCTCATTAGCAGGTTATACCTTTATGATCAGAAAAAAAATTAAACACTGCTTCTAAAAAATACTCATCTCCAGCACTTGGAGATCACCTACCTCTACATTCTACCCAACTGAGCCCAATTTAGTCTTCTCAGGGCTTTGCCCAAGAACAGTTCAGGAATGCATGCCTCTGAAGGCCTTCCTGCTCTTCCCCTTCTGGCCTTGGTATCTCATTCTCATTCCTGCCCTCCCCTACCTCTCCAACCCCATCACTTGCCAGCCATCCTGTTCTTCCTTGTTGGTCATCAGTTAATGAAGTGTATTAGGTGACCTGAGTACTTGTCAGTACTTCCCAGAGGCAAGAACATTCCTCGCAGATCAAGGTACCTTTAAGAGCCAAGAAGCTCAGATTTGGAGGCGGGAGAGCTGTACTGCATCCCCTCAAATGTTAGCAGTGCCAAGAAATGAGACGCTAGTCTAGGGGGCACCACAAGCAGAAAGGGGCTGTTTCAAGGAGTCGTCCGCCCATGGGAGTCTCCTCTTCTATTATTCACCTTGCTCCAAGGATATCTTTTCTTTTACGTATGAAAATTTTGTAATTGTTCAACTATAACACCATGAATAATTTAATTCTTTAATTTTTCAGGTTGCTGAAGCACATGTGCCTAATTTCATTTTTGATGAGTTCAGAACAGTGCTGTAACTGTTTTTCCTACTTCTTCAATGGAAGGATTGTCCTTAGATCTTCCCACCATCACAAATGAATTTGAAGATGAAAAGAAACTCAGTTGCTCATACAACTGCATTTTTTCTGTCTATTATGGGAAACATCAGACGTTCTGAGTAAGATATATCTCATGGCATTAGTTAATATAACTGATATTGTTTAAATCATGGTATTACATGCAATTTATATCAGATAAAAGCAGAACACATTTTTGTACTGCCTCTCTTAAATGCTGAATGTAACTGTTATGTATAAATCCATTTAGTTTTATGTTCTAAAGAACTATTTGTGCAACTCCAGATTTTCAGTAAAATAGTATTACTAGTACCCAAAGTCGTCTCGCTTATGATTCAAAAACTGTGTATTCACCCTGTAAAAAACCCTGTTTGGAATAAGAGATGACTCTGCTAGGTATAATAGCTCACCCCCAACAAGCTGGCAGGCACGTGGTGATAGCCAGACTAGTAGCAAATGTAGTGGCCACACAATCTGTGTCATGTGCCATTGAAGTTTCTTGGTGTCTCATCATCCTCTTCCAATCCCACATGCCCTAGGGGGTCCACAGCATTCCTTCTGTAGGACTCCTTAACAAAGCTGCTCCTTCCGGTATCTTCCTCAGCAACCTGAGTCCTGCCCCAAGTCCCCACAACCGTATCATTATCCAGAGTCCTTTTTGGTAATAGCCTTCCCATAAGCTTAACTCCCTCGAAATCCTAAATCATTTCTGCATGAAAATTACCCTGAAAAGGAAGCTGCCACTATTAGTCTGTTCTCACACTGCTATGAAGAAATATGGGTGGGGACACAGAGCCACACCATATCACTGCCATCCTACTGTGGCAACTTGGGTATCAACAACTTGGATGAGAGCAAGAAAGATGTTTCCACCCTAAATCTCTATGGTTATGTCCTTCTCTGGAGAGGAAGGAACAAACCAAACCAAACCCAGAAGCCAAAATCTGTTTGACAGTCATTTTGCTAGTGGTGGGGGAAGATGTACTGATTTGCAATCAGGAGGGTAAGTTTGAGTCCTGGTTCTGCCACAAGCTACACCTTGTCCCAAGCCAGCCTACTGGCATCATCTGTAAAATTAGGACTAAAGGATTTCTCAGGTTCCTTCGGTTTTCTCATTTTATTTCTTTTGTCAGAAGGCCTCAAATTCTGATATTGAAGGGAAGAAAAGACTTTACAGGCTTTGATTATTTCACTATCATAGTAGAAAGGACTTTAAAGGAGTCTCAGTGGCGAACAAGGGTAACCTCGAATCCTGGCCATGAGGGCACCGAGGCCAGGGCAGAATTTTAAGAGAACTGTTGCTTGGTACGTAGGGAGCTTGGAAGTCTCACCCCCTGCAAAGACGGTGTGTGGGAACATCTATATCTCAACGATAGCGTGTTATTTTTCATTTGTAATCTTGTTAACAATAACCACATGAAGTGAGATCTTTGTTCTCGAAAAAGAAAGCTAACTAACTGCTAAGAAGGCCAGATCTGGGAAAGTGAGTTTTTAACCAGAAAATAGAAGTTTAGGGTCAGTTAGATGGGAATCTTACGAAACCAAGCAAATGGGTCCACCATATGCTCTACTAAAACAAGGCAGTGATGTTTGAAACTGATTTTGCTAGTGATTTGGCCAGTGAAGAATTTTTTTCAACTGAAAAAACTTAAAAATTGAAATTTTTATTGTAAAAGCTTTGTAAGTTATATTTTAGCCCTGTTAGAATCTCAAGTAGTAACTTCATTTGCCAGGTTATATTTTACTGCTCTTTCAGAAGTAACAATTTACTTTCATGGTATTTGGAGATTTACTGAACTTTTATGATGATACCCTTTGAACATCCATAGTCTCTTCAAATTTACTATAGATAAACTCAGTAAATCCTAACGGATTTTAAGGTATTATGCCGGGTATTACAAGTGCTTACTTGTTCACTCACTGTTTCTTGATGTCATCCTGGGCTGCCTTATAAATGTTGCTATACAGTGGAACTTATAAAGCCCTTGATTGCCTTTCCTGTCAGAATCTGATATTTTCAGAGAACTCAGCAAAGAACCTTTCGGTTCAAATCTGAGTCACAGCCCCAAAATAAAATAAATAAATAAATAAGTAATTTTTTTTAAAGAAAATAACCTTATCAAATTGCTTCACTGGATAGATGAGGAAATCAAGGTCAAGACATTAAGGCAACTTCCCCAGTTATTTAATAGAACAGGTTTCCCTCTGCACTTTTCATCCCACTTTGGTTTTCTTTTTCATTATCATGAAGCTATGTAAACGAGCCCACAACAAGAAACAAAAAGACACGAAAGTTCATTCTTCATTTTATTTGCATGTCCCAACAACTCATCTCAAATACTAAATTCAAAAGAAAAACTGTAGTTCTCCTCAGCATTAGCACTAATTTATGGTAACAATCATTTCTTTTAAATGTCTAACTTATTTAACCCCTTCATTTTAAATTGCAAATTAAAGCATGTATTTACATATTTATATACAAAAAACTTCAAAAACAAATTAATCCAAATCTTGGTCCAAGAGTTTCCACTTTATAAGTGGTATGGTACTATGCTATATATATCCTCTTCCAAAAGTCTCTTAGGACTTGGTAAGTTCCAAATATTCATTCACAAATGGTTCCCCTTTAAGCTTAATGAACCATATACTTCATTTCTGAGTAAATTAGAGGAAATATTACAGAACACGCTTTGTACAATACAGCACCACTACTGAGAAGGGCTCGAGGTTTTGTAATCCAAGGTTCTGACTTAAAGCAAAAATACACGGCATAGATTGCAACAGCAAAGAAGTGTCCAATTAAAACTAGAGGGTTAGGAGACAATCTGTAATAGAAAAAAATACATATTGGTAAGACTCAGAAACTAAAATTTACTCCAAAGGTTCCAATTACATATAATCTACGAAGCTCAACAAACATCCTACTTTTTTTTACCCAAGCATCATAATTCTGTATGAAACATTCTACATTTTAGAGGACGTCACAAATATGTCTGCATGTTAAGTTTGATGGCAGGAGCAAACCCCCCACCCCCCTTTTTTTTTTTTTAAGAAAAAATACTTAGAATATATCCCTTTCAGAAAAGCTAGTAACTCCTGTAACTCTAGTTTACATAAGTCATATATTTTTAGCTGTTTGTTTACTCATCCTGAGACACCACGCTGAAATATCTAGATGGCCTGGTCTGTTGGGATGTAGGGCTTTTAAAAATATCAGTATTAACATTCAGATTATAGATTATGAGAAATGACTCAAAGGATCACTTTGCAAATGAGAAATAACTCGATAGATTTCACTTTGTAGACTTTCCAAGAATAGTTCCACATATGTCTGTACGCTCAAAACTAATACTGGGTTGTATAAGTCCCCGTACTTCAATGAAACTAATTCTTAAATTAAAATTTCTCAATTATTCCTGGCTCCCACAGACCAGAACATATGGATAAATCCATAGGCAAAAAACAAGCTTCTATTTTAATCAAGGGTTATAGCTTCCTCTACCACCACCTTTAACTGCTGTTCCCTAGAAAGAAAACAGTACTAAATATTGCGTTTCTTCATTTCTTTGGGCCACCTTCTCATTGGGATACTAACAGATAATAAAATATCAAAATGTGTAAGGAAGAAAGATTTGCAGTAATTCATCAACTGAACAGTCCTAAGAAAATCTGGCAGGTTTGTATCCTCTGTGCCATCACAACTTACACAGAAAGCAGCCCAACAGGACCCGCAACACATTCGCCACCAAGTTTGAAATAAAGAAAACAGGCTTTTCTTAGTTGATGCAGGGAATCTAAAATAAAATTGTAAAATAATCAAATATGTGTACACACTTATGTAGGATGCTAATGATATATCAGAAAAAATGAGAAATAACAAACGCTACATCTTGCAGATAATTTTTAAATATCTAGTCCTAGAATTTCAACAACCAGGATTTCTTCTGAATTCCATAATCAGCATTATGGAGAGTAATATAAATATGAATAAACTTTTTTCTGTTAGTAAATAACTACTAATATTTAGGTCTTGGAAGAGTTGTTTAAAAGGTACTTCCTTGATTTTGCTGTTAATTCATTAAGTGATGCAAAATACTTTGGAAGCTCTTTTTAACACAATTCTAGAAACCAAATTCCCAGTCTCTAAGATGTCCAACCAGTATCTCTAACTAAGCAGTAAATTATCAAGTGAAGAGAGCTGTGAGTAGCGATAAATAATAATTCCTTATATCTATAAAGTTTTTAATACCTTTCAAAGTAACTCATAAAACCCTCACAATGTAGTGTAATCAATTGATAACCTTTTTAACCATTTAGAATCAATGTTCTGTTCAGGTATGCCCAGATTTTTCTTTACAACAGATTTTAAAAAGTAAAGGATGCAACAGGTAAACTTTTGCTCCAATAAAGGTCTTTCCTCCTCCAATCTTGTAACTTTTAAAAAATGTTGTTTTGTTGGTAGATTTAAATTCATAATGTTAAGAACTCAAGAAGTTAGAAAAGCTTAGAAAGAAGAGCTCAGAAAAACTCTTAAATTTAGTTCTTTTTATTTGCCCAAAACTCTAAACTTAGTTCTTTTTATTTGCCCAAAACTCTAAACTTAGTTACTTTCATTTGCCCAACCAGCCATTTTAACTTCTATGCCAATTTAGCAAGAGAAATTTGTTTGGAAAAATCATAACCAGTGAGATTGGTGGGGTTTTTGTTTTGTTTTTTTTCCTTAGGAAGAGTTAATGGTTATAGAGGCTACAGAAAGCATTTTTATTGTATCATCTTTTGTAATTATAACCACAGCACTTATCACTAGGGCCTCAGCCAGATCATACAAATAGCTATGTTGCAAATATACTAGAGTAGTGGCATATGAGTCAGTATTTATTCTTGAAAACTGAAAAGCCTAGTTTCATTAACCTACTATTAAACTGATGTGTACACTGCTGTGGTGAGGAGGTGGCACAGTTGCCTTTTCTCCTCCATTTCTTTTAATTTTTTGTTTGTTTGTTTTAGAAGATGAAGTCTCACTCTGTTGCCCAGGCTGAGTGCAGTGGCACTTCATATAGCTCACTATATATAGCTCACTGTAGTGAGCTATATAGTCCCAAATAGCTGGGACTACAGGCACACGCCACCATGCCTTGCTGATCTTTTAATTTTTTGTAGAGATGGGGTCTTGCTTTATTGTCCAGGTTGGTGTGAAACTCCTGGCTTTAAGCGATCCTCCTGCCTTGGCCTCCTGAAGTGCTGGGATTACAGGCATGAATCATTTCGCCTGGCCTCTTTTCCTCCATTTCTAACACTGCTTCTGCTAAGTTGTGTTTTCTCTAATATATACATTGACCGTGACCTCTGTATAATATGGAAACAGTAACAAAAGCACCAAAATAATCCAAATAAGTAAAGGGTGAATGCATTGTTACTTGTGCTTTTCAACAGGGACAAGATTAACAGCTTGTATTCATTTTATAAAATACTACTTTAAAAAGAAATTGAAACTAGTGTTAGGAAGAAAAAGACTACATTGCCTTTTAATACATGGCCAAAAACACCTTCCATCACAGTCTTGTGTGTGTGAGGACAAGCATGATCTAGTCTGCACCAGAGGAATTCAAAATAATGAATATGTTACTGAGGCATTGCTATTAATGTTGTCTAAGGAAATTCCACTACCTTCCAAACTAAAACTAAAACTACAACTATTGCTCAAAATGGAATTTTAAAAAACTACCAACTTGGGAGTTAGCAAACTCAGGTAACATTTTTATTTCTGGACAAATCACTAACTTGTTTATTCCTTTCCTACGCTAAAAATCTGCAATTGAGTAATATTCACTAAAAAGTGTCTACACTTACCATCTGTGGCAGAAAATAATTCATAAAGAGCCTGAGCAAGGATATTCACGACAAAGGAATGAGATGTTTTTCTTGCCCAGTAAAATGATTTTTTGGCCTAAAAAAGAAATAGCTCATTTATTATATGGTAAGGATAAAAAAGCACAAACTGATGTTTATAATCCCCTCAAACTGATACTTATCCTTCTAAGGACTATCTGCAAGTAATATTGCCTTATGTTTATCATTTACAAAAAAAATAAAAAATCACCTTCAGAGCAATGGGTTATATGACACTGAAGCTAAATTTACAACCACTATGAGCTAAGTGGCCCATAGCAATCAAGTGTTACATAATATTCAAATTTAGAAATTCTCTAAGATTCACAGGTTGCAAGTCAGGTTCTTTAAGCCTAAGCAAGATGCCTAAGAGCTATTATAAAGCATCAGGTTCCTTAGTACAGATCTCCCCATCAGAGCCCCACTGCTCTTAACCCCCAGAAATAAATCCATTTTGAGACATTTTTGTCAAAATAATTGATCTTACCTCGAAAATAGCTGCATCATCATAAAGGTCAGGGATACCCTTTAGCAGTTTTCTCCATAGTTTTATATCTTTAAAAGCAACAGTCATTCCTCCACCAGTAAGTGGATGCCTCATATTATATGCGTCTCCCAAAAGAAGAACACCTATGAAGAGAGGTAATGAAGATTTTATTTTAGAGCATCCCTTGAGACAAAACAAAAAGGATAACTCAATGTATAAAGATTACTGATGTAAGCTAATAATAAGAAAAATGTGAAAATACATGAAAACAAATCATGATTAAAATTTGCTGAGGCAAAAATTCAAGAGTTGTTTGAATCAATGTTGGGTACCTAATAGGTGGCCAGGCACTGGGGATATGGTAATAACAAGAGTGTGGCCTCTGCCCTCATGAAGCTCATATACAAACCTAATGACAAGTCCAATAATGTCAATACATTTGTAAGGCCTCCTTAAAATATGAAGAAAATAAAAAGAATCTACAGGTATCCAGGTATACAAAGCAAGTCCTCTGGCGATCATCCCCCTCCCACACAGGAAAGCACCTTCATAAGAACCAAAAGTCAGCCTGGGTACCAGCTTGGCCAGTGAGACAGAGCACCAAGTGGGTTCCTGGGGTCCCTGATTCTAGGTCTTGGCACCTGGACAGCATTTTTGGATCCGTCCTGGGTGAGAGGGGAGCCCATTGTACTGAAGGGAGAGACCCAGGTCTGGCAGCATTCACCACCAGCTGACTGAAGAGCCCTGGAGCCTTGAGTGAACACCAGCAGCAGCCAGGCAGTACTCACTGCAGGCCTGGAGCACTGGTGGCCATGGGGAGAGGCTCCTTCTGCTTGAGGAAAGGAGAGGGAAGAGTGGGAAGGAATATGTCTTAAGGTTTGGGTGCCAGCTCAGCTGCAGTAGAATAGAGCACCAAGTAGATTCCTAAGTTTCCCAACTCCAGGCCCTGGCTCCCAGACAGCATTTCTGGACCAGTCCTGGGCCCCCAGGAGCTCACTGCCCTCAAGGGAAGGGCACAAGCCTGGCTGGATTTGTGCTGACTGTAGAGCTCTTGAGTCTTGAGGGAACATCAGCGGTGACCAGGCAGTCATCACCACAAGCCTTTCACCAATACCCAGTGCTGTACTGGCTTCAGGTCTGACTCAGCACACGCCAGTCATGGTGGCCACAGGCATACCTGTGTCACCCGTCCCCCACAGCTCCAGGCAGCTCAACAAAGAAGGACAGACTCTGTTTGGGGGAAAGTAAGGGAAGAGAACCAAGAGTTCTTTTCCTGATAATCCAGGGAATTCTCCCAGATATTACCCAAGACCACCAAGGCGGTACCTCTACAAGTCTGCAAGGGTCACAATGTTACTGGACTTGGGGTGCCCCTTAATACAGATACGGCTGCTATGACCAAAGACTTAGATCACAACACTCACTTCCCTTTGAATACTTCAAAAGCGTTCCCAAGAAAGATGGGTACAAACAAGCCCAGACTCCGAAGACCACAATAAATACCTAACTCATCAATGCCCAGACATTGGTGAACATCCACAGTCATCAAAACCATCCAGGAAAACATGAACTCACTAAATTAACAATAATAAATAAGGCACCAGTGACCAATCCCAGAGTAACAGAGATGTGAGCTTTCAGAGAATTCAAAATAGCTGTTTTGGAGAAGCTCAACAAAATTCAAGACAACACAGAGAAGGAACTCAGAATGCTATCAGGTAAGTTTAACAAAACAACTGAAATAATTTAAAAGAATCAAGCAGAAATTCTGGAGATAAAAAATTCAATTAACTTACTGAAGAACATGGCAGAATCTCAACAGTAGAACTGATCAAGCAGAAGAAAGAATTAGTAAGCTTGAAAACAGGCTATTTGAAAATACACAGAGGAGACAAAAGAAAAAAGAATAATCAAGAATGAGGCACACCTACAAGATCTAGAAAATAATTTCAAAAGAGCAAATCTAAGTTCTTGGCCTTTAAAAGGAGATAGAAAGATGAGGGTAGAAAGTTTATTTGAAGAAAAAATAACAGAGAACTTCCCAAATCTAGAGAAAGATATCAATATTCAAGCACAAGAAAGCTACAGAACACCAAGCAAGGATTGGTGATTGATTTAATCCAAACAAGACTAGTTCAAGCCATTTAATAATCAAACTCCCAAAGGTCAAGGATATAGAAAAGATCCTAAGAGCAACAAGAGAAAGGAAACAACAAACAATGGAGCTCTAGTATGTCTGGCAGTAGACTTAGTGGAAATCTTACAGGCCAGGAGAGAGGGGCAAGACACACTGAAAGTGCTGAAGGAAAAGAACTTTTATGCTACAATAGTATATCCAGTGAAAATATCCTTCAAACATGAAGGAGAAATAAAGACTTTCCCAGACAAACAAAAGCCGAGGGACTTCATCAACACCAAACTTTCCCACAAGAAATGCCGAAGTGAGTTCTTCAATCTAAAAGAAAAGGACCTTAACGAGCAGTAAGCAATTACATGAAGGTACAAAACTCACAAAAGTTAAAAAGCAAGGAGGATAAAGTGTAGAGTTTTTATTAGTTTTCTCTGCTCGTTTGTGGAATCAGTTGTCATCAGTTTAAAATAATCGGTTATAAGATATGACCTGCAAGCTTCCTGGTAATTTCAAATCAAAAGCCTACAAGAGGTAGGCAAAAAAATTAAAAGCAAGAAATTAAAACATACTACCAGAGAAAATTACCTTCACAGAAAGGAAACAGGACGGAAGAAAAGACAGCAAAACAATCAGAAAACAAAAACAAAATGGCAATAGTACGCACTTACCAATAATAACATTCAATGTAGATGGACTAAACTCCACTCGAAAGGCGTAAGTGGCTGAATGGATTTAAAAAAAGAACCAACGATCTGCTGCCTAAAATAAACACACTTCACCTATAAAGCCACAAAGAGACTGAAAATGAAGGGATGGAAAAAGATATTCCATGCAAATGGAAACCAAAAAAGAGCATAGTGATATTTACATCAGTAAAATAGATTTCAAGACAAAAACTATAAAAAGAGGCAAAGAAGGTCATTAGATAATGATAAAGGGGTCAATTCAGCAAGAGGATGTAACAATTACATATGCACCCAATACCGGAGCACTCAGATATATAAAGGAAATATTATTAGAGCTAAGGAGACAGACCCCAATACAATCATGGCTGGAGACTTCAACACCCCACCTTCAGCACTGAATAGATCATCCAGACAGATAAACAACAAACATCAGACTTAATCTGGACTACAGGCCAAACAGACCTAACAAATATTCACAGAACATTTCATCCAACAACTGCAGAATACACATTCTTCTCCTCAGCAAATCGATCATTCACAAGGATAGATCATGGGTAGGCCACAAAACAAGGCTTAAAAAATTCAAAAAACAATTGAAATCATATCAAGTATCTTCTCTGACCACAGTGGAATAAAACTAGAAATCAGTACTATGAGGAACTTTGGAGACTGTGTATACAAACACATGGAAATTAAACCACATGCTCTTGAATGACCAGTGGGTCAATGAAGAAATTAAGAAGTAAATATAAAAATTTCTTGATAGAAATAAAAATGCAAAGACAATATATAAAACCTGTGAGACACAGCAAAAGCAATACTTAAAGGGAAAGTTTTTAGCAGTAAGTGCCTACATCAAAAAAGCAGGAAAACATCAAATAAACAACCTAACAGTGCATCTCAACCAGAAAAGCAAGAGCAAACCAAACCCCAAATTAGTAGAAAATAATAAAGATCAGAGCCAAAATAAATGAAATGAAAAAAATACAAAAGATAACAAAATGAAAAGTTGGTTCTTTGAAAAGATAAAATCAGCAAACCTTTAAGACAAACTAAGAAAAAAGAAAGAAAACCCAATTAACTCCTTTTCCTGTTCCTATGTCAGCAAATGGCTGGCAAAACTATCTAAGCCAGAAACCTGGAATTTACATCAAGAGATTTCACTCTCATTATAATATCCAAATCATCACGTTTTTTACATTCTACATCCTAGATATTACCCAAATTTATTCATTACCTTTCATTTTACAACCCTAGTTCTGGCCTTTTATCATCATTGACAGAATAATTAATCTTAGTGTATGTTTTACTAGACTTTCCTCCAAACCATCCTCCACAAAAATGTCAGAGTATATTCCTGAAATAAAAGTCTAATCATGCCACTGCCTCTTTAAGAAAATTCCATTTACAAAAGTATCAAAAAAGGTAAAATACTTAGGAATAAATTTAACAAAAGAAATGCAAAACTTATACTCTGAAAACTACAAAATATTGTTGAAAGAAACCCTTACCTTTCAGTCAAGGGAATTTTGACCACAAGGGCAAGAAAATTCACTGGGGAACAAACAGTCTTTTCAACAAATGATACTGGGACAACTGAATATCCACACACAAACAAATCAAGCTGGACCCCTTCCTCTCAACAGACACAAAATTTAACTCAAAATGGATCAAAGAGCTAAATTTAAGAGGTAAAACTATAAAACTCTTAGAAGAAAATATAGGAGTAACAGGCCAGGCATGGTGGCTCATGCCTGTAATCCCAGGACTTTGGGAGGCTGAGGTGGGTGGATCACCTGAGGTCAGGAGTTTGAGACCAGCCTGGCCAACATGGCGAAACCCCGTCTCTACTAAAAATACAAAAATTAGCTGGGCACGGTGGCGAGCACCTATAATCCCAGCTACTCGGGAGGCTGAGGCAGGAGAATTGCTTGAACCTGGGAGGCCGAGGTTGCAATGAGCCGAGATCGCACCATCGCACTCCAGCCTAGGCGACAAGAGCGAAACTCCATCTCAAAAAAAAAAAAAGAAAAAGAAAACATAGGAGTAAATCTTTTTGAACTTAGATTGGACAAAGCCTTCCTAAATATGACATCAAAAGCACAAGCAACGAAAGAAAAAATAAACATGAAAATTTAAACCATGTGTACTTCAATGGAAACCATTAAGAAGAATGGAAAGAAAACCCACAGAATGAGAAAAATTTTGCAAATCACATATCTAATAAGGGACTTGTACCTAAAATATATAAAGGACTCTTGAAACTCAACAATACATAAATTTTAAATCTGCCCAATTAAAAAAATATGCAAAGTCTAAATATACATTTCTCCAAACAACAAATGGCCTATATGCATATGAAAAGATGTTCAACATCATTATCTATGAGAGAAATGCAAATCAGCACAATGATAAAAGGCCTAGTTCACACTACTAGGATGGCTATGCACACAAAGATAATACAAGTGTTCACTGACAAGGATGTGGAGAAATTAGAACTCACACACTGCTGAAAGGAATGTAACTGGGACAGCTATTTTGGAAAACAAGTCTAGCAGCTCCTCAAAAAGTTAAACGTGAACTACTATGTAATCCAGCAATATCACTCTTGGGTATATAACCAAGAAAAATGAAAATATATGTCCACACAAAAACTCGCACACAGATGTTCATAGCAGCATTGCTTGTAATAACCAAAAAGTAGAAACAACCCAAATATCTATCAATTGATGAATGGCTAAACAAAATGTAATATAGCCACACAATGGAAGATTATTTGGCCATAAAAACAAATGAAGAACTGAAACATGCTACAACATGAATGAACCTCAAAAACATTGTGCTAAATGAAAAGCCAGTTCCAAAGGGCTTTACTATACAATGCCTTTAGGAAACATCCCAAATAGACAAATCTAGACACAGAAAGTAAATTAGGGGTAGCCTAGGGCTGAGTGTTGGGAGGAAATGGGGAGTGAATACCAATGGGTACGGGGTTTCTTTGGGCAAGATAAAAATGTTCTAAATTTGATTGTGGTGGTGATGCACACACTGTGAATATACTAAAAAAGTCACTGTACTGTACACTTTAAATGGGCAAACTGATTTGTGAATTATATATCAATAAAGTTAGTAACAAGAAAACACTTCAAATGACTTTCCATTGTCTGTAAGATTAAATGTTAATGGTCTGTCTCCCACTCTGACACCCACCCTATGCTCCTGCCATAGGAAACTGCTTGAGTTCCTTGAAAGTGCCACCATTTCTCATCCTTTGGCAATGTTATTCCATCTACCTAGAAGTTCCTCATCTTAGTGTCCACCTCATGAACTCCCACTCATCCTCCAGGTCCAAGGTCCTTTGTTTCCACTGTTTCCTGAACAACGTCCTCCCTAACTACCCCTCCCATTTCACAAGCTTCCCTCCCTGCTCTGCACACTTCTTGACACTGAATCTGTGGGTTTTATTTATCAACAGTGTTGTAAAATTATCTGTCTACATTCCTAAGTAGAAAATTGCCTTCTCTAGGTCAAGGTCAGTTTTTTACCTGTTGTTTCCCTGACTAGCACAATACTTGTATACACTCAATGTTAACAACTAAATAGATCATAAAACTAATTTTGGTATTAATAATGCACTAATCCACAGTGACAAACTATCTGTCCCAGAAGTTATTCGTAACAGTATAAATTTAATCATATATTTGTCATTTGGAATACTGATTCCTTTATAAAATAAGCCCAAAAAATAATACCTCGTTTCTTCACTGATGAAGGAGGAAGGAAGCTTGCTGGCATGGACCTCAGATGAGAATTGTCAGTGGCTTCTAAGAATGGTTCTTTCAGGTGATCTGCAATAAATCCCACCAACCCAAAGAAATGGGTCATAACACTTCAATTTCAAAGTATCACATATTTTCTTATCAAGTATAAACAAATGCCTACTATACATCTGTTATGGTTGTTACATATATCCCTTGTGATAAATCAAGAACTAATTATTTCATTAATAAAATTATTCATTAAGCACTTAGCTGTTAATGCCAAGGAATGACTAAGGAATCTAAGAGAACATTAATATAAACATACATACAACTGAATGAAAAAACAATGAGGCAAATTCAGATGAAATGAAACAGGGAGAAAACCACCTACCTTTCTTCCAAATGTTAACAGACTACTGTCATATTTAATATTTAATGTATTATAATCAATATATTCTTGTAATAATCAGATGAAATACACTACCAATTCACAAACAGCAGGAGGGTATGTACACTAGAAAAGGAATTCGAGGCCAGCCCTACCTCTCTGAGCTTCAATTTCTTCATCTATAAAAATGAAATGGTTTGATCAGCTCATCTCTGAGATACTTCCAAACAAGCTTTAAATTTCTGTGCTACTTATATAGAAAATGAACTGTCATACAATTCCCAGTGTGATCTGGGAATAGAGGAGCAGAAGCCTCTGTTAAAAATTATTCCATTCATATTAAGGAGTAGAATTTTGGTAATCTAACTAATATTAATATAAACCTACCAATGGTTTCTCTCCATAATTTCAGGGCACTCTACTCCAATTAACCTCTGGATTGGAAAAAAGAAAAAAAAAAGAAAAACCACCACATTTACAATAAAAGAAAAATAAATGCTAAAAATATCAGGTAATGGATGACCCTTTTCATAAATATTCATAATTTCCCCATCTGAAAGCTTCAAAAGTGGCTTAACTAAATGAAAATTTATTGAAATGTTTCCATGTACATGTTGAAAATGTCATTATTTAAAATCTAAGTTTGCCCACTTCATTTCACTTCATTTCTGTTAATAATTTGTTACTAAAGTGGTTTCACTTAGTTTAAAAAATAACTTGAAAAAAACGGAATATTTAAACAAAATGTACTCATACCAAAAATAGTTTCCTATTACTCTAATCATATCATAATTGACAATGAGGGTTTCCCTTCAATTTTATCAAAATTCTTAAATTTTTTTTACTTTTCTTTCCTATATCATCCCATTCTCAAAAAAAGATCCTAAAAACTGTACCATGAAAACTTTAGATTTGTGAAAAAGTAATTTTTATTAATGTTTTTACAAAGCTATCTAAATCTCATGAAGCCTTTATATTCAACTCAAAACTAACATGATCCTGAAGATCCCTTACAATTCTCACATTCTGCGGACAGGACATGTCTGTTCAAACAGGCACATATGAGCCAGACAGACCTGATATCAACCCTGGTTCTGCCATTACTAATAGTTTATACTTGGAGGAGCTAACTAATCTCTCTGAACCTTAGTTCTCCCATCTGTAAAATGAGAATAATGATAATGCCTACCTCACAGAGTGGTTACATAGATTAAATGAAATTATGTTTGCTAAACACTTTATAGTAAGCATTCAAGAAATGGTAGCTGTCATTACTACAAAAACCAAGCACAAAAATATTTAGGTATAAGAGATAAAGAATTCAGAGTCAGATTCGTGTCCAGAGACTACCTTTAAAAATACCATATATGCCAATAAAAACAATTATTCTAAAAACTATGCTATTATGTGACAAAAACATATCAAAACTTTTTTTTTTTTTTGAGACGGAGTTTCGCTCTTGTTGCCCAGGCTGGAGTGCAATGGCACGATCTCGGCTCACTACAACCTCTGCCTCCCGTTCAAGCGATTCTTCTGCCTCAGCCTCCTGAGTAGCTGGGATTACAGGCATGCACCACCACACTCGGCTAATTTTGTATTTTTAGTAGAGACGGGGTTTCTCCATGTTGGTCAGGCTGGTCTTGAACTCCCAACCTCAGGTGATCTGCCCACCTCAGCCTCCCAAAGTGGTGGGATTACAGGCATGACCTACTGTGCCCGGCCCGAAACTTTTTTTTATTAATTTGGGAGTTTGTTTTGCTGTTTTTAAGTGCTAGTTTAAATAGTTCAGTTCCAGAATATCTGGTTGACTGGATGAATGTTTCACCTGCCATCCTTATCTCTGGCCTATTTTAGACACAGCCTTTGTAAGAACTGAAGATGCTATTTCTTACCAGGTATTTGTGGGTAAATTTTTTCAACCATGTATTCTCTTAAATTCCTTGGCATTTCTCCTCTAATGTCAACAAGTACTCGAGTTTCACTGGATGAAATCTGGTAGATGAGAACTGGACTCGGGTTAGCTAAAATAAGTTCAGCATGATTTGCTTTAAACTGTGGTGCATTCTAAAACAAATAAAAAGAAAATGTTTTAATAATTTTCAAATTTCAAGTTTCTTTTATTGAAATTACAATAACACACTCCTACAGTACCTTCATAAGAAAGCCAACAAAATGAGATGATACAGAAACTTTATTGGAGACCAGGCTTTTCCTGAACTTGGAGAAAAGCCCATCTGCAACAACAGTCAGTGGAGCATGGAGTTCCTATAACAGAAATGAAGACTACTCAGTTTAGTAGTCAGAAACACACAGTAAAAAAAGCCATTCTTAAAAAATGTGCGTGAAGAGATTTAGATATATTATCAGATAGCATTATAGAGAGTAGTTGAAGATAATACTATTGAAGAAACTGTTACGTGGGCTTCAGATAACGCATGACCAGTGTTTAGATACTTCCTCTGAGTCCCTGAGGATCATCTCCCTTTGTAGCCCTCCCATGCAAACCATCTGGGATTACTCTCCACTTTGACAGACAATGGGGGAAACAACTACAAGGCAGGCATGTAACACAGAGCAGTCAATCTCATTACAAATTCAAGGGACTAGCCAGATTCTTTCATTCTAAAATTTCCTAACTTCATATAGTGCTTTTAGTCAGCAGCTAGGGCTTAGAAGAATTTTTGTACAAATGACTACATGTATTTATAATACTACAGTATGAGCAGAGAAAACATTCCAGTCACCTTCATTAGAGGACAATTTCTAAGAGGTGGTAACCCTATGGGGAGCAGTCCAGAATTACATGTTTTTTACTACGATAATTTTTTTTTAAAAAAAGGAAAAATTGGCCGGGTGCGGTGGCTCACGCCTGTAATCCCAGCACTTTGGGAGGCTGAGGTGGGCAGATCACCTGAGGCTGGAAGTTCAAGAGCAGCCTGACCAACATGGAGAAACCCCGTCTCTATTAAAAATACAAAATTAGCCGGATGCGGTGAAGCATGCCTGTAATCCCAGCTACTCAGGAGGCTGAGGCAGGAGAATCGCTTGAACCTGGGAGGTGGAGGTTGCAGTGAGCCGAGATCGCACCATTGCACTCCAGCCTGGGCAACAAGAGTGAAACTCCGTCTCAAAAAATAAAACAAAATAAAATAAAATAAAATAAAAGGATAAATTGTTTTTAAAAAGATTCTCTTACTATTACCTGAGTTAAATTGCTCATTTTATCTGAATCATTTCTTTTATGTTGAATCTTGCCTTCTTTCCCCTGCTAGTTCCCCTCTGCTTCTCTGCTGATGTATATTACTGTTTCAAAAACTATTCACATTAGTTCTGTTTAAAATGTTTTTTGCATAGCATTCTGAAGTCCTCTAAAGAACAATGTGTTGCAATCTGAAACCCATCCTGTTGCATATGGCTTAGAAAGAACTCAGTTCATTTGATAAATAACACAGGCTGAGTATCTCTAATCCAAAAATCTGAAATCCAAAACTTTTTGAGCAGTAATGTGACAAACAAAATACTCATTAGATCATTTCAAATTTCAGATTTTCAGATTAGAGATGCTCAACTGGTAAGTATAATGCAAACATCTGAAAAAAATAAAAAATCTGAAACACTTCTGATCCCTAGCATTTCAGATAAGAGATACTCAACATGTAAACCGGTAAGCCTACTTTTTTAAAGGGGTAAGTGAAAAAGCAGGAAAAACAACATCTCTTAGGAAGAGGTGACATTTGGTATTTCTCACCTTGATATCTCCAGTCTCTTTATCCTTGTACTGAACTCCCATCACAACATCATCTTCCTCTAATAACTGTAACACAACACCTTCAATAAACTTTGCACTAAAGAATAAAAAAAAATACATTTCTAAAGCAGCACATTTCAGCAATTTAAATTAAATATAAATTCCTTATCTCCAGTTTATCCATATAAACTGGACATGCATGTGTGTGCAAACACGTGTCCAATGTGTGTTTTTTATTTTCTAATTTATCAACATTTAATACATATTACTAATGATTACATTAGTAATCATTAGTAATCATTAAATATTTTAAAAATATTTTAAAAAGTAACATTGGATTTTCATCTTAATTTGTTAAAAATAAATTAATTTGTTAAAAAATAAAATATAGGCAGAGAAACTTTACATACCCTCATACATTCATACACAGAGGGGAAAACAAGTATTGGAATGCATCCTGCAAACTGTTAAGAGTAATTATTTCTGGCAGGGCACGGTGGCTCACACCTGTAATCCCAGAACTTTGGGAGGCCAAGGTGGGCGGATCACAAGGTCAGGAGATCAAGGCCATCCTGGCCAACATGGTGAAACCCCGTCTCTACTAAAAATACAAAAATTTGCCAGGCGTGGTGGCATGTGCCTGTAATCCCAGCTACTCGGGAGGCTGAGGCAGGAGAATTGCTTGAACTCGGGAGGCAGAGGTTGCAGTGAGCCGAGATTGCAACACTGCCCTCCAGCCCGGGTGACAGAGCGAGACTCAGTCTCAAAAAAAAGAAAGAGTAATTATTTCTAGTCAGAAAGATCACAGGTAATTTTTATAATCTTTATATTTGGGACTATTTTTCCATTTTCTTTTTTTTTTTTTTTGAGACCAAGTCTCGCTCTGTCGCCCAGGCTGGAGTGCAGTGGCGCTATCTCGGCTCACTGCAACCTCCACCTCCTGGGTTCAAGCAATTCTCCTGCCTTAGCCTCCCAAGTAGCTGGGACTGCAGGTGCGTGCTACCACGCCTGGCTAATTTTTTCTTATTTTTAGTAGAGACGGGGTTTCACCATATTGGCCAGGCTGGTTTTGAACTCCTGACCTCGTGATCTGCCCACCTCAGCCTCCCAAAGTGCTGGGATTACAGGCATGAGCCACCGCACCTGGCCGATTTTTCCATTTTCATACAGTGAACATACTCTTCTTCCATGGATATCAAGTCTTTTTAGTCCAAAGGATTAAGTCCACTTGCTTCTTCACTTGCTTTGTCAATACTTTAGTCTGTGTCAGTCACATGAGGGTTCTCACGCTTAAAACTTCTTCAATTAGTGTTTTAAAGGTTACTGGTAAATATAAGTTAATAAACAAGAGAAGAAGCCAGTCCTAACAGACTGGGTCTTTAGTGAGAATGAAACAGGGATTTCTCCTTGCAGTTTTGTATCCTGACTTCTAATAGAAAGTATCGTAACCACAAACTCAAACTCCAAAATGTGCACAAATGGACTTATGCCTTAGTTACAAATATATCCTCTAAATTCCCGTCACATAAAAATTATGTAATTTTCATTTAGTCAAAGGAGAACTCTTCATAGTTCCATGTCAAAGGAAAATTCTCTATATGATATTCTTAACAAAAGCACTGAATATCTAACACTCTTTTGACTGACAGTTTATTTTAATATACATATGTTCTAGACTATGCCCCAAAAATTCATTAAAATTTATAAAATCTTATTTGTACAAAGGTCAAATTTAAATGCATTGATTCTTTAGTAATTATATATTTGAAACTGTGGTCTTACTTGGGCTCTGCCATAGCTGCTTTCCGGAGACTCATGATGAATCTTCCGTGATGGAAAGCTCTTCCACTCTGCACTTGATTGTTTTCTGACAGAGGGTAAGGAATCTGAACCTCTGATTTGCTTTCCTGATCATGAATCATGTAACCATTTACAACCTGGGCATCAAGACCTTCCACTGTATCTGCAAAGCAATCGAGTTCAAAACAATCAATTCTGTTAACACACCCAGCGTTAAACTAAGAACCAAAGAAGACACACACACATCAAAAATGAGTCTCTGCCTTCAAATCTGGAGAACTGAACAAAACTAATGTAACTATTTCAGAAACTGTGAATGCTTCTGGAAGTCAATGAGAGTCTTAGCAAATCTGTAATATCATTTAAAGATAACAACATAACTATTTCAGGTCTGTAATTCCACTTCAACTTCAGAAAGAAAATGCAACATGAAATAAACCATAATCCTCTCCTGAGTAAACCTGTTCTGCCATAAAGACATAGGAACACATTTAGTCCTTCTTAACACTTCTTTCAATGTATGAATATGTAGATTTGTCACCAAAAAGAAATAAAAATAAAATAAAACCAGTATGGAAACTCAAAAAAAAACCCCAATTTATATATAATGACTGAATATATGAAAAAGTAGATTTTCCAAACCAAATGGAAAGGGTAGAGTTATCCCCCAACTGTTGATGATTACATACTATCCATTAAAAGTGACTCAGGACAAACTGCAAAGAACTTTTTAGTACATCAAATAATTTAAATGGCAGCAAACAAAACACTGAATTCATCAGAATCATGTAAAAACTTCTTTCTTAAATCTAAAGCAGCAAAAGCAGTTGAAAAATAAAAAACTTTCAATAGAAAATATCACATTTTTAAAGTGCCAACCGAAAATTAGAAAGTTAAAAAATTAATTTTAAAAATAAAAACTAAAACAATACTTTGGGAAAGACATATGAAATAGAACAAAAGATTAATACATGTATATATAATAAAATTTACTCATTAAAAACCACTGGAAAAATATTAAGACGCCAATAGTAATGGACAAAAACATGTATGGATGATTCATATAAAGCAATATAGAAACAGTGAACAAATCAGAAAAAATGTTCAAACGATAAAAAAAATTAAGTAAAAATTGAAACAACAGGACACCATCAAAATCACTGATGAGATTATGATAAAACTGATAAATTCATATACTACTGGTGATACTATGAACTAATATTATATTTTAGAAAATATAACAATAATTATCAAGAACCATGAAGAAATTAGCATCCTTCGATGTAATAATCTTACTCTTGGAAATCCATGTAAGAAATTCATCCTAAAGACATAATATTTAATAATCTTTAAAGTTACATGCAAGAATAGGTTCACTATAGTGTTACCTAAAAAAGGATAACTGAAAATAACCTAAACATTCATCTAAGTTTGAAAAGTGAAGTACATTATGAAGTCAACTGAAAAACAACTATGCTTGGGCTTAAAAAGATACTGATAAAGAATGGTTAACAGTATTGGAAATATGTTTCTGTCAAGTGAAAAAGTGGACTCTAGTATATATATTAGTGACATAAAATGTTCAAATATGGTATTGACTGGATGTCTGTGTCCTCCCAAAATTCCTAAGCTAAAACTCTAATCCCCAATGTGATGATATTTGGAGATGGAGCCTTTAGAAGGTGATTAGGTCATGAGGGTAGACTCTCACGATAGGATTAGTGCCCTTGGAAAAAAAGACAGGGGAGGGCTTGCTTCTTTGTGTCTCTCCCACCTTCCCCACCCCACCCCACCCCACCACCCCATCCCCACACAAAGTAGACAGTGCATAAATATTTCCTAAATGAATAGCCAGTGCTTAAAAAGCACTGGTTGAATGGATGAATGGTGCTTAAATAAAAGATTCTAAGTAATAACACTGTAACAAGTATACAACATACCCTCTACAAATGACAGTTCCCTTCGCCTTTCACAAAATTTAATGCCCTCATTCTAGGATTTTCCAGTCCTTAATTTTGACCATTACAATCTTTTGGCCATTTTATTATATCTCATTAAGTCTAATTCACATCTAATCATACTATTAAATGCTTATTTTATCCTTTGCTCTCACTTTCATGCAAATTTGTTGGTAAATGAGTATAGAAAATTTTATAAATGAAAATAAAATGGAATACCTTCTTACTGGTCATAGGATGGTCTAAGTGAAGAGTGCTTGTTCATACCACGTAACTCTCCTGAAAATCAATATGAACCTACCTCCAAGACCAAGGTCTTTGAGAACATGATAACCACCCGGCTGCAGGAATTCTCCAACTATTCTGTCAGGCTCTTTTAAGTCTCTCTCAATGACTGTCACCTTTCTTCCATCTCTGGAAAGCACAGCTGCCAAAGCAGAGCCAAGCACGCCAGCTCCCACGATGATAACTTCTGGGTCATTCTGAGAAGATGTTGATGTACAGGCAGCTGTTCCTATTAAGCTTGTTTCTGAAATATTGGTTCCTTTTCTGCGCTGTTTAAAAAAAAAAAGGTAAACTAGGTATCCAAATTTGTTAGATTCAAATCATGCTACCGCTATGTGGACACACTGGACTTTTGCATCCTAGGCTAAAGCTAGATACTAAATATTATCAAACCAAACAAATTGTTACATTTTAAAATCTAGATAATATATAAAAATCAATGATATCAAAATATTCGTTAAATAAAAGTGTGTCATATTATCCCAATAAAATTAAATATTTATTGTTTTCTAAACATGATATTTGGAAAATGTTATACAGACATATTTAGAAATCCACACTGGGCCGAATATAATAAATGTTTATAAGGGGCTTCAAAGACTTATTATAGGGCAAACTGTATCATTAATAACTAAATTCTTCAAATATATCCTGGGAATCGACAAGATGCAAATCACTTACAACTTCTGATTTGAGTTCATGTTACAAACTATTCGGCACCTTTTAGACATTTTCTTTTTTTTGTTTGTTTTTTTGTTTGTTTGTTTGAGACTGAGTTTCACTCTTGTTGCCCAGGCTGGAGTGCAATGGCGCAATCTCGGATCACTGCAACGTCCGCCTCCTGGATTCAAGCAATTCTCTGGCCTCAGCCTCCCGAGTGGCTGGGATTATAGGCATGTGCAACCATGCCCGGCTAATTTTGTATTTTTAGTAGAGACTGGGCTTCTCCATGTTGGTCAGGCTGGTCTTGAACTCCCGACCTCAGGTGATCCTCCTGCCTCAGCCTCCCAAAGTGCTGGGATTACAGGCGTGAGCCACTGCGTGCGGCCTTAGATATTTTCATTATTCATCTTTATTTTCTCTTTCTGGATTTTCATTTGAAAAATCTATGTTAATTTAATATCACTTTTATATGACAAAAGGATTGTCAAATCCTGCCTACCAATCTATTAATTGAAGATTATCTAAATAAACAAAATTACAAGAGAAGAAATAACTCATACCGACTCTTAGATTTGACTTGTTTACAATTTTGGTCCTTAACATATAAGCACATATTTAATTTATCCCTCCTTTTTCCCCATCCTGATACTCTAAGAGATCCTAGTCAAAGAGGTGGTCCCCAAAAAAGGAACAAGGAAAAACATTAAACCTGTCACTGGCTGAACTGACAGCAAAACTTTAACTTTGATCATAAAAAGATGCAAAGTCTTGTTTTGAGAGATTTATGACCACTAAGAACAACAGTGCACAGTGGCTTTTTAAAATGAACAATTCAATTTTGTAGTATTTCTTCTTGGTAGATGGATTCACACATTTGAATACATTTCAGATACAGAATTGCAAGGAACCACCTTCCTTGAGTTCTTTGACCTTAATGATTAAGATAAGACTAAATGCCATTTGAAGGGGTTTTTAAAAAATAATCAAGCAAAAAGGAAGACGAAGCCTAAAATCCTTTAGAACTTTACTCTGTGATTCTAATATCCACCCAGCATTCTTTTACCTCTATAGTGGACTGGGAATTTGTCTATTCTTTTTTTTTTTTTAATTTCTCTCAGAAAAATACTTTTCTGTCCTTTTACTATGGGAAGATCTCAATATTCTACTCTTCCCATTAGTATGTCTTAATGGCCAGAACTGACTATATTTAAATTACTGTAGGGGGCAAGACAAGCCCCTTTTGTCATCTTAACCAAAAATGTGCTTCTTCATAAGTTTTTCCTGTTTTATATACACACACACACACACACACACACACACACACACACACACCCTGAAAGGAGAGCTCTGGAGGAAAACAGGCCTTGCAGAGCCTGATCAGTAGAGTAAGCACTAATGGGAACTTAGTAGTCAATAGATCACAATCTAACAACTCCCTGGTTCACAAAAAAATAAAGAGAAAGCCTGGGGCGTTCACAAAATGGAACCAATATTGATTGCTGGTAACCCAATTTTCCTACTCCAAAATTTCTCTACACAGCATGAAAACAGGAACAGCATTCCAGCCACCTGAACTAGAGCTCAGTGACCTTAAGGGAAATTATTTCAGACCACAATACAAAAAAGTTCAAATTAAACATTAAGGATTCTCTCTCCCTCCTTTCCCATTCCTCAAACCCATGCACCATGTCACTGAACTCAGCGCTACTCATAAAGCTCACCCTAAGAGATGTATATTACCCCTAGGCTAATATTAACAGCTACTATTATCAGGCGGTTATAGACTAGGTATTAACTACCAGCAAGGGTGGTGCCATTCCCGTCTAATGGAAGAGGTAACAGATTCTCACAGAAATTAAGCAATTTGCCAAAGATCTCACATCCAGAAATGGTGGCGCAAAAATTTAAAAAGCAAGTGGGCGTTTACTGCTATAGTCTCTTGCCTGATAGCCCTGCTTCCATTCTTGTACGCCTACAACCCATTCTCCATACAGCAACTGCAATGTTCTTTTTAAAAGGTAAAAGTCAGGCCAGGCGCCGTGGCTCACGTCTGTAATCTCAGCACTTTGGGAGGCTGAGGCAGGCGGATCACTTAAGGTCAGGAGTTCGAGACCAGCCTGGCCAACATGGTGAAACCCTGTCTCCACAAAAATACAAAAAAAAAAAATTAGCCAGGAGTGGTGGCGTGCACCTGTAATCCCAGCTCCTTGGGAAGCTGAGTGAGGCACGAGAATCGCTTGAACCAGGGAGGCGGAGGTTGCAGTGAGCCGAGATCACGCCACTGCATTCCAGCCCGGGCGACAGAGCGAGACTTTGTCTCAAAAAACAAAAATTTTTTAAAAAGTAAACACCGAATAAAGTTACTCCCATACTTAAAATCCTCCAGTGTTCTTGGGAGAACTCTTGGGAAAAAGCCCGAACACTCATTGCCAACATGCCCTAAATGATCTGGCCTAAACTCTTCCCCCTCATCTTCTCCCAGTGGCCGCCTCTGCTCCCTTTGCAGGAATCCCAACTACACCCTTATTTGAAGACCTGGCCTTTATGTTAGGACATTACTACAAGCATTTACTCAATGCTCCAATATTCGGGGGAGGAGAACTTTGAGCCCAATGCCTCAAAATGTTGAGCATTCTCCTTCTGCCTGCTTTTCAAACTGTTCTGTCACTTTCCCCAGTCAGCTGTCACTTCTTACAAGCAGTGGACTTACCCGCAGCACGTTTCTTTCTTCCTCAGGCACAAATCCAATCCTTACCCAAGAACTTTTTAAAAACTTTTTCATCATGGAAAGTGGTTGTTCTTCTCCTTCAAAATGAAATTCTAACATTTCGTTCCATCTTTCATAATCAAATATCCAACCTCCATCTGAGGCTCAACCAATGCTAAATGAAACAAATGTCTTCACTCATTCTTAAGAAGGTCAAAGATGTAACCAAGGCACAGCAGAGTTTAAAATAAAAAATACATGAGAATGTATACAAGCATCTAACCTGCCGCCTTTTGCAATTCAAATAAAACTTATATTTGAGTGAACCCAATCCTACTCCTAAATAAGACATTCATCTGCCCGCTTTGAAATCAACCTACCCTCCTGGCCTCGAGCTGCTCCTTATTTTCTGATTCAGGGGGGGATTTGGCCCAGAAGAAGCCAATGAAAGGCAGGCCTGAGAGAATATCCGAGAAGAGGGCGAACTGGGAGCCGCTCTGCTGGCGCCCGAGGAGACCCCCGTTTCGGTGGCGACAGCGGTAGGAGAGCACCAGGCCCAGCGAGAGGAACACCAGCACGCACAACAGGACCTCCCTGTTGGCCAAAGTGATGAAGTCCCCGAACTTCTTATAAAAATAGGTGAAAGTGGCAATGCCCAGAAAAGTCCACATGGTTCCAAGGCTTCTTTGGTGGCACCGGTCAAGGCGGAGATTATCTGCTCGAGTGGGTTTAAGGTTCTCCCCAAAATGAGGTACCAAGAGGAGCACGGAGAGCCGGCCAGACTCCAGTAAACAGTGTCCCAGGACGAGAAGTCCGATCAGACCAGTTTTTAAAAATCATATAAAGTTAGTGTAAAAGTATGTGAAGCCAAGTTGTATAGGGCGTAGAAAGCAGTATTTAAAAATCGCCTGCTGGAACAGCTCCCGAGCAGACTCGCTCCTCCTCGCCCAGGAAATCCAGATATTCCCTTTTTTTCTTTTTTGATGGTGTTCCCTGAGCGGTTGCTGCGGGTGATGGATACTCTTCTGATACTGGCTCTTCGTGCTATAATTTCTTTTCTCACCAAGAGCAGGTGCCCTTTCAGAAGGGAATGGGAGTGGAGGGAGGGTCACAGAAACACCTCGGCACTGGGGGAAACGTGGCCTAGCCTCTGGCGACGGCGAGCAGCGGCCGGAAGGCACGGGGGCTGCGGGCCGGCGCGGGTTCAGAGGCTTCTTTTTCCGCGGACGGAGACACTGTACAGCCCAACCTCGGGAAAACGCCAACGCCGACGCCTTCTCCAACAAAAGATGGCCTCGGACTCAAGAGTGCGGCTCCAGGGCAATGCAGCCCCAACCTAAAGATTTAGAGGCCTCCCGTTTCGCTGGCCCCCAGAGCCGCCCACCGCGACTGCACTTCCCCACCGATAAAAGGTGGTTTCCAGGGTACCTCCCTCAGATGGCGGCGGCGGCTCCCGACGGCTTCCTCACCAGCATCCCTCGCGGGCGGCGGCTCTCGCCAGCGCGGCGCGGCCCCAGTAACCAGAGTAACCGTCGCACGCCCCCACTCGCCGCCAGGCTCCACGCGTCTCAGCCAGCTGGGCGGGCTCGGCCCAGACGAGGGACCGGGGGCGGGGCTCAGGCGCGAGTCCGCCCATACCGCGCGCCCCGCGTGCTGCCCCGCCCCCTACCCCTGCTCCTGCCGCCGCCGGCCAATGAGGGCGCGCACCGCGCGGTAGGCCGAGATGGCGCTATGCCGCGTTTGGCCAATCGGAGGCGGCGCAACCTGCGCGGCGACGCCCCGAAAGGCGCTAGGGCGATGTTGCGTGGTGCGGGTTGGGGCGTGGGGATGGGCGCGGGCCGGCTCCGGCGTGGGTGGGGCCAGGGGTCGCCTAGGAGGCGCTCTGGGGCCGGGATCGGCGTCGGGGTCGGGGTTGGGGTTGGTTCACCGCAGCAGCCCCAGCTCCTGCGCCCTCCCTGGACTGAGGTGTGCTCGCTTTGAGGAGAAGCCTGGAGTGATCCGCTGCCTCGGGTCGGAACGTTTCCATTCATTCCGCTAGCATTTATTGAGCGCTTATGATATGTCAGTCCCCGGAGTCCGAAAGAGGAATCAGACACAGCTTCCCTGCCCTGTGTATGTGGAGAGGGCGGAAGGGAGGGCCATGAGTGCGTGGAGAGCCTGACATTCCAGCTGAAGCTGGAAGAATGAGTAGGCTTTTGCCTTAAGAAGAAAAGGAGAGGACGCTCCAGGTGCTCAGGCTAGAGATACACGGATGCGCCCAGCCCGTTCTCTCAAGACCAGAAACGTTGGGGGTGGGGGCTCGGAGGCAAAGAAGTCAAATAGTCGTGTCATAGGTGTCCTGAGAAGGGGGTGGTTAGAGAGGGAGCCATGGAAACCCAAGAGGTGGTCCTTCCCTTGGCCTGGAGAAGTCTGGTGAGGCGCCCAGGGGGAGGTTACACGGTGTCCAGGACAAGCAGTCCGAGGGAGCAAAAGTGTGCAAAAGTCTCGGAGTGAGACAGCCCTTATTCTACTACGATGAAACTTACCTAAAATTTATTGAGGCTTAAGACCTCAGTGTCTTTGCTCATCCTGTTTCTTAACTCTGGACTTCCTTCTTTAACCCCTATGATAATAGGTGCAAATCCCTTCTGCCTTTTGGAGCGTGGCTGCATTGTCACCTCTTCCACCAAATCGCCATTGACCTTCACCAAGTCACATAACTTTATTCATACTTTTTAATCTCTAGATTCCCTAAAGATCTGTGTCTGATAAGATCACCCACAGCACCTAGCACAATGCTCTGCCCTTAATTTATCCTCCATAACATGTATTTAATGAATGATGAACGACACTGGCGCATAAAAGCAAGACTAGGCAACTAGAGTTAGGAGACCCAGATTCTGGCTACCGCTAACCAGACTGTGACCTTTTACAGATGTTACAAGTCACTCTGCCTCTGTGGGGAGAAGGCAACTTCTTCATGAACTCGAACATCCTTTGCAATTCTGTATCAGATACTTGGCAGGGTTTAAAAAAACATGGCACCTCTTATAACTTTTCACCCCCAATATTATGTTTTATCTGCTAATAAAATAATTATTTGGTAAAACACCCGCACAGGCGTTCACTTGACCCTCAAAACAACTTTGATTTTTAAAATGAGGAAAATGAAAATTAAAGAGGTTAAATGGCTTGACTAAATCACAGCTGTGATTAAATCGTAATGATGAAACCAAAAGTCAAAGTCCTGGTCTCCAAATCTTGTGGTTCCCCAGTATGCATAATTATCAATAACTGCCTTGCTTTCCAATACTTTTATTCTTTCTTCTACAATATTCCTCACTGTTACCAGTAAGTTTGGCTGTCTGAACTGACATCAAATTTAAAAGGACTGCAGAAAAGAGAATCAGTTCAATGTATGGGAAATCATTTCCTGAAGAGAATTCTTCAATAAACTGCTTATTGGTATCTGTGAGTTCTGTTTTGTTAAAATAATAGAGGAGCAGCTGACTCTTTTATTATTTTTAAATTTTTGTGACAGAGTCTCGCTCTGTGGCCCAGGCTGGAGTGCAGTGGCGCAATCTCAGCTCACTGCAACCTCTGCCTCCTAGCTTCAAGCGATTCTCAAGCCTCAGCCTCCCGGGTAGCTGGGACTAGAGGCACGTGCCACCATGCCGGCTAATTTTTGTATTTTTAGTAGAGACAGTGTTTCACCATGTTGGCGAGGCTGGTCTCAAACTCCTGACCTCAAGTGATCCTCCCGCCTGAGCCTTCCAAAGTGCTAGGATTACAGGCATGAACCACCAAGCCCGGCCAACTGACTCTTACAGATGGGAATACAGTTATCACCAGGATGGCTGTTACCTGCTAACTCTGTACTCAAGATTATCATAAAAGGAATTTTTCTTATTAAGTAGATAATTTTTTAATCTCTGGAAAGCGACTTTCTTCATATGTTTTTATCTTCACAAAGTCATTCTTACAATGTCAGGTCTGAATCCTTTAGGCAGTTCAAGATCCACTTCTGAATTTGGGGCAAAAAGAGCACTTGTAATACCTACCGCAGAGCACACTCTGAATGCCTATATCTTCTGAACTGAATTAAATGTTATATAAGCATTGCTTAAGTATTTTTGAATCTTGCCATGGTTCATTTATTCAAAAACAAATCTGTCATTGAGACCTGAAGGGAAAGCAATGAAATGTGAGACAAAATCAGCTGCTTACTGGCAGAAAGCCATAATGCTATCAAGTAGGTACATGAGAAATACTTTCGTACAAGAGCTCACACATATAGTACGGGTAGCATTCTAAATACTTTTCATATATTAGCTCGTTTTGGCTTCCTGACAACACTTTTAGGGAGATACTACTTTTTTTTTTTTTTTTTTTTTTTGGAGATGGAGTCTCGCTCTTTCACCCAGGCTGGAATGCCGTGGCCTGATCTCGGCTCACTGCAACCTCCGCCTCCCGGGGATCAAGCGATTCTCCTGCCTCAGCCTCCCGAGTAGCTGGGACTACAGGCGCAGGCTGCTACGCCCGGCTAATTTTTGTATTTTAGTAGAGATGGGGTTTCACTGTGTTGGCCAGGCTGGTCTCCAACTCCTGAGCTGAGGCAATCCGCCCGCCTCGGCCTCCCCAAGTGCCAGGATTACAGGCGTGAGCCACCACACCCAGCTAAGATACTATTTTTTTAGCCCCATTTTACAGACAAGAAAACTCATGCACAGGGAAGTGATCACAGCTAGTGACTAGCAGAGTCTGAATCCAAGCCCAGAAAATGTATGTGAGGAATTTAGGAATGTGTGACTTGATTTTTCTCCCCACACAAAGACCTAGTTATCTTGAAACAAACAAGCACATCTGATCTCTTTTTTGCTTAAGCTTTTGAGTTTTCACTGTTAGCCTAGTTTGGCACACCAGGCTAGATTTGTGTTTTAAGTGCCATTCTCAATGCAAGAAAAAGTCCCGCCCAGCTTTCCTCAACTACCCATGCTTTGAGACCTCAGATTAATCATCTTTTTTTTCCTCAAGTTTTCATAATTCCACCTCTGTTGTAGCAGTCACTCACCAATTTGTACTATAATTATCTACTCACAATGCCTTTTCCAAGTTGTCGAAAAAGAGCTCAAGAGAGGGTTCTGAGATCTCATGCAAAAAGGAATTCAAGGCTAGTAGCAGAGCGCAGTGAGAAGAGAGTTTATTAAAAGCTACTCCATTACAAAGTAGGGCATCCCCAGAGAGTAAGAGGAGGCACGTCTTGTCTGTAAGTTTTCCTTATACAGAGGTCTTATCTATGTAAAAAGCTAAGCTGTGTCTACATGTCGGTGAGCAGACAGCATTACAAATTATTCTATTGATTTAAAGATAACTATCCTTGACATTCTAGTGTGTGAATACATCAAAGCTTAACTGTAATTATCTTGAAAACATAGATTGTTATGGGTATTGGGACATGTGGGCTTTCTGCTTTTGTAGGAGTGTGTCCTTGTAGTAGGTATCTTTAGGCTGTTTCCTCAACTATAAACGTGTTATGATTATGGGTTGTGACCGAAAAGGAATGTGCCTTGTTAGTCTCAAGATGGAGTTGATTTTTAAAGTGGTGCCACTCTGGCTCTCCTAGGCTCCTGCTTCCCTAACACAAGGGATTCAACTCCTCAAGACAAGGACCATGTCTTATTCACAGTTGTATACTCAGTATTTGGCATATGGTAAGCATTTCCTCAATGTATTGAATACAATCTTTCTTTTTAAAAATGTTATCCCATTGTTTTGGTAGCAAACGAAATAATTGTCTTCTCAAAATTTTCTTTATTTTTTATTTTTTATTTTTTTATTTGAGACAAGGTCTTGCTCTGTCATCCCAGTTGGAGTGCAGTGGCACAAACATAGCTCACTGAAGCCCTGACCTCCCAGGCTCAAGCCATCCTCCAACATCAGCCTTGGAAGTAGCTGGGACCATAGGTATGTGCCACCACACCTGGCTTATTTATTTATTTTTCATAGAGATGGGGTCTTGCTATGTTGCCCGGGCTGGTCTCCAACTCCTGGCCTCAATCAATCCTCCCACCTTGGCCTCCCAAAGTGCTGGGATTACACGGGTGAGCCACCATGCCCAGCCCTTCAAAACTTTATCACTCACCATTTACCTCATCCAAAGACTTTTAACCCCAATCATGTAATTGTTGGACATCCCCTCAGCACTTACATAATCTTTTGCAAATTCTAGTTGCAAGTGATGGAGCCAACGGTATTAATTCGGAACATTGTTTTCATTTTCTTTTTCTCCTTTATGGCTCATAAAACCATAGTTAGAGTGACCATCAATCCAATTTAATGTAATTATGTAAGAAGTGTCTACTTTGTGTCAGGCACTGTGTTTGGTGCTGGGACGCAGGCAGTGAATAAGGCAGACATGGTACCTGTCATTTTGGAGTTTAGAATGTATTGAGAAAACAGCAGTGAACAAGTAATTACAGATGTCATGTGTATGAAGAAGGAGGAGGAGGAGGAAGAGAGAGAGGAAGAGGAAGAAAGAAGGAGAAGAGCACCACCAGCAAGCAGATGTTGCTCTGGAGGGTAAGAAGTTATAAACAAAACTAAGGGTCAAGAAAGGCCTACCAGAAGATGTTACTTTTAAGCTAGGTTTGAAGAATTAGTAGGGGTAGGCAGGTATAACCTCTGTCAATGTCAGTGATCACACCTTACCTTTCTTCTTCCCTTTCTCCTTACTAAAACATTATACAGCCAACAAAATAAGCTTTTCACTCTTGATGGCAGTATGATTGGAAAGATGAAGGTTCTATTCTTCTGAGCAGTCTTATTTGATATCTTTCTATAAGTGTCCATTCTGTTTTTTTCCTCAATATTGTTAATTTGAAATAATATATAAAGGTCAATCTCTAAGAAAGAGTTTATTTGGGAAAATGCAGGAATTGCAATTCAGGACACCCAGACCTGGGCAGCACCTGGGTGTGTCCAAAGAACGAAGGGAAAGGCTGAGGTTTTATTGGGAAAGTGAGGAAGGTACACTGTTTTGAAAGAAAGTTCATTGGTGCCAGCAGGAACTGGCAAGTTCTGCTTGATGAAGTAGCAGCAGTTACCAGGTAAGACATAATCTTAAAGCCACAGGTAGGTCTCTGTGGGTTTTTTGTTGAATTGCAAAAATAGTTTATGGAACAGGTGTATGGGAACTGGGTGCCCTTTCGTATGACCTCTGGACTCCATTTTAGTTGGTAATGACAAGACTGACTCCATTTGATACACTCAACTTTCACAATGTCAATTTTAAAAACTAGAAAATATTCATTTGCTAAATCAGAGTTGAACCTAATCTCCTAGATTTGGAGTGCACTTCATTTTCTGAACTGGGTGGCAATACATATTGAACTAGGCAGCCTCTTCCTCAAGCATTCTTCCTCTTGGCACTTCAGGCTTTGAGCCTTGGCTCATTTCCCTAGTTCTTGGAGCACATCCTAGTGATATCCACTGGAATTGTGCTGAGAAAAAGAAAAAGCCAGAGTAATTATTAAAATGATTCAACGCAAGGTGAATCTCAGCTGATCCTAAGCCAAGGAGAAGGGGAGTGAGGAGGAGGAAAAAGATTAACTAAAAAATCTGCCTTAGAAGGTTTTCATCATATTGATATATTGGCCATGAATTCCAATAATATGTAATTTATTTACCTATTAGTTGTTGTTCTCCCCCTCTCCCCAAAAGGATTTAACAAAATTACTTCACTGGGGTAATTTAAATTGATAAAATTTCTGAAAGTAATTAAGCAATATGCCTTGAAAACAATGTATACCCTTTGATTCAATAATCCCACTTCTAGGAATTCACCTGAATCAGTAAGGGTTCTCCAGAGAGACAGAAGCAACAGGATATATGGAAGGGAATTTATTAGGGAAAATTGGCTCACACTGCCACAGAGATAAAGTCCCACCATAGGCCACGTGCAGGCTGGAGCATCAGCAAAGCCAGTAGCATGGCTTAGTCTGGAAGCTTCAGATGATGCAGCTTGAGAACAGTTTGAGAACAAAAGCCTGACAATCCTGGGAGGACCCTGGTGCAAGTCCCAGGGTCCAAAAGCCAAAGAACCTGGAGTCTGATGTCCAAGCGCAGGAGAAGAACAGGCATCCAGATCTGGAAAGCAGACAGAGAGCAGAGAACAAGGGTCTCCCATCTTCCCCCTTTGTCCCAGCTGGCCCCTAGCTACCTGGATGGTGCCTGCCCATATTGAGGACAGGTCTTCCTCTCTCAGTCCACTGACTCTTGTATCAGTCTCCTCTGGAAACACCCTCACAGACCCATCCAGACATAATGTTTCCCTAGCCATCTAGGCATCCCTTAATCCAGTCAAGTTGACACCTAAAATTAACCGTCGCAAGTCCACCCCTTGTTAAACTATCACCCATACACATCTCCTTAAACCATACTTCATCTCCAAATAAAAACAATAAAAAGGTCATAATTCCACCTAACATGATAAAACTATCCTGTGTACAACCAAAAACGCACAAATCCCATCCCCAGAAGAGAAGGTGAACTTCTTTAGTGATGTTTACTCTTCTCCTGATATCCCATAACTTAAATACTGTGATGTAAAATTAACAATACTTAAACACTAAAAGTCAATAAATTTTATGTTAATGCTAAATGAATAAGAGAGGAAAGACAACAAATATCTGTGTAAGATGTATGTATCTATGCATGAAGGTATTCTTAACAAAATAGGGAGGAAATAGTCATGACAATTACAGTCCTCAATTCTGTTAACTGGTCATGTGGGTATAGCTGGTATTTATAACTACTTTCTTCTATCGTATATGCTGTATTCCATTTGCCTTCAAGTTCAGCAAGCACCTCAGCTGGTTGTGGTTCTCTAGCTGGTGGGGTGACATAAGCCTTCATTCCTAAAGGGTCTGGGCCATTCGTAGTCCTGCCTAGATTCAGTTATTGTATAATAGTTTCCCATTGACCTTAATCATAAGGCATGGTAAAACTAAGGGACTTCCTATATTTCAGACAAACTCTTCCTTATCTCTATTGTGGAGTAATAGTCCAATTTCACCCTTGGTAGTACAGATCAATCACCTCAGCCAACACCTTAACTACTTTCTTAGCCTGTGTGGAGTCCAGGTTGGCCCGGTGGCAGTTTTAAACTTCCAATTCAATGAAATCATTGTTGTGTCTGCTGGTAAAAGTATTCCTCCCTCTGGAACTAATGCCTCTAGGCCAGCAGAACATGTCATTGGAACAGAAAACAAACATTTTGCTAGTGGGTCACTAGGGGCAATGGTGAGTGGTGCCACTCCCATTTTCACCCCTTGATTGCTGGATGCATGAGTCCTGGCTATGGGAGAAACAGTATAATATATTGGATGCTGATTCAGAGCATATACGGCCTTCTAAAGAACCTTGTTCCAGTCCTGCAAAGTATCGTCACCTAGCTAGCACTGTAACTGTGACTTCAGAAGGTCATTCTGCCATTCTATTAAGCCAGCTGCTTCAGGATGATGGGAAACAAGGTAAAACCAATTAATTATATGAGCATGCGCCCATTGCCACACTTCTTTGGCTGTGAAGTGAGTTCCTTGGTCAGAAGCAATGCTGTGTGGAATAACATGATGGTGAATAAGGCATTTGGTAAGTCCATGGATGGAGTTTTGGCAGAAGCCTTGCATGAATGGAAGACAAATCCATATCTAGAGTAACTGTCTATTCCAGTAAAGGCATACGGCTGTCCCTTCCGTGATGGAAGCAATCCACTGTAATCAACCTGCCACCAGATAACTGATCACCCTGGGGAATGGTGCCATATCAGGAGCTCAATGTTGGTCTCTTGCTGGCAGAATGGACACTCAGAAGTGGCTGTAGCCAGGTTGGCCTTGGTAAGTGGGGGTCCGTGTTGCTGAGTCCATGCATAAACACTATCCCTGCCACCATGGCCACTTTGCTTATGAGCCCTTTGGGCAATGATAGGGGTGGCTAAGGAAAGAGGTCTACTGGTATCCACAGAACAGGTCATTCTATTCACTTGATTATTAAAATTCTCCTCTGCTGAGGTGGTCATCCTTTGGTGAGCATTCATATGGCACACAAATATCATCACATCTTTTGCTTACTCAGAGAGGTCTATCCACAAAACCTCTTCCCCAAATTCCTTTGTCACCAGTTTTCCAATCATGTTCCTTCCAAGTTCTTGACCATTCAGTCAAACTATTGGCTATCGCCCATGAATCAGCATGTCATCACACATCTGGCCATTTCTCCTTCCAAGCAAAGTGCACAACAAGGTGCACTGACTGAAATTCTGTTCACAGGAGGATTTCCCTTCACTACCTTCCTTCAGGGATGTTCTAGAAAGGGGCTGCAGTGCTGTAGCTGTCCACTTTCTGGTGGTACTTGCATATACGAAGAACCATCTGAAAACTAGGCCCTAGTATTCTCTTCCTCTGTCAACTGATCATAGAGTCATCCCCATGAGGCCAAAGTTGCAGGCTGGGAGAGAGGAGAGAGAGAGTGTAGCAGCAGGAAACATAGGCATTTGAGTCCCTTCCTCATGGAATCTCTTGCCTTCAGGACCTGCTCAGGCTGATCAATACCCTACTTCCATTTGATGATGGAGTGCTGCTGTACACACCCAACTTTATGGCTTGGTGGGTTAGATAACACCCCATTCATGATAGGCAGTTCAGGTCACATGGTAACTTGGTGGCCCATGATCAACCATTTAGTTTCTGCTAAGGTCCAGTAGCAGGCCAAGAGCTATCTTTCAAAAGGAGGGTAGTTATCTGTGGATGATAGCAGGGCCTTGCTCCAAAATCCTAAAGGCCTCCACTGTGATTCACCAATGGGGTCCTGCCAAAGGCTCCAAACAGCATCCCTATCAGCCACTGACATCTTAAGTACCATTGAATCAGCTGGATCATATGGCCCAAGTGGCAGTGCAGCTTGCATAATAGCCAGGGATCTGTTGCAGCCCCTCTTGAATCTAGAAGCTTTTCTAGTCACTCAGTAAATGGATCAAAGCAACACACCCAAGTGAGGAACATGTTCCTTCCAAAATCCAAATAGGCCCACTAGGCATTGTTTCCTGTTTATAGCAGGGGCCAGATGCAAGAACTTTACCTTAGAAGGGATATCTCGACAGGCCCCACACTACTGGACCCCTAGAAATTTCACTGAGGGTTGGATTCATATCCCACCCTCTGACACACAAATGTCTTACCAGTAAGTCCAGAGTGGTTGCTACTTCTTACTCACTGGGTACAATCAGCTTAATGTCATCAATGTAATGGACCAGTGTGGTATCTTGTGGAAGGGAAAGGCAATCAAGATCTCTGTAAACTAAATTATGACACAGAGCTGGAGACTTGATATACACCTGAGGCAGGACAGTGAAAGTATTTTGCTGGCCCTTATGGACAGGTATGGAGAAAAATGCATTTGCTACATCAGTAGCTGCATACCAGGTACCAAGGGATGTGTTAATTTGCTCAAGCAATGAAACCACATCTGGTACAGCAGCTGCAATTGGAGTCACCACTTGGTTAAGCTTACAGTCATCCACTGTATTCCCCAAGATCCTGTCTTCTACACAGGGCAGAGAGTTGAATAAGAATGGGCAGGGAACCACCACCTCTGCATCTTTCAAGTCCTTCATGGTGGCACTAATCTCTGAAATCCCTCCAAAGATGTGATACGATTTCTGATTTACTATTTTCCCAGGCAGACGCAGCTCTAATGGCTTCCATTTGGCCTTTCCAATCATAATATCCCTCACTCCACAGGTGAGGCAACCAATGTGGAAATTCTGCTCAGTATGCTAAGTATGTGTATTCCAACTAGGAATTCTGGAACTGGGGAAGTGACCACAGGATGGTTTGGGGACTCACTGGACCCACTGTTAAGTCAAACCTGAGCTAACACTCCACTGATCACCTGACCTCTATAAGCTGCTACTCTGACTGGACGGCCACCATATTTTGGGTCTCCTGGAATCAATGTCAGTTCAGAGCCAGTTGTCAGTAGTTCCCTGAAAGTTCTGATTATTTCTCTTTCCCCAATGCGCAGTTACCCTAGTAAAAGGCCGGAGGTATAAACAGTATAAAGGTTTGGTAGTATACCCAAATGAAGGGTAGGGTACCCTTTATTCAAGGGGTTCTGGGTCTGTAAACTGGCTCAAGTGTGGAAATTGAGTGGCCATGATGATCTGTTTTTAATATTTGAGTTAGACTTTTGTTCACTTGACCTGGAAGTTTTCTGCTTAAGAATGTAGTAAGCTTCCCATCTATTTCACTTCTAGGAACAACAAGATTAATTAGCCAAAGCCAAATGTCTACATGAGTCAGATTATTCTGATTGTTGGATTGCCTCTGCTGTTCGCTCATTATGATAACTATGCCCACCTTGCCTTTGGCAGTTGAGTTTTGCCACTTGGACCCTGCCACCTTGGAATCCAATTATTCCCATTCTTTCCCAATCAATGCCCTCACTTTAACAGTAAACATCCTGTGAGGCTGAGTGCACCTTTCTTCGTAGGTAAGCTAGTTGCATGATCAGGGCTTGTGTTTGGTTTTCAGTAATTTCAACCCAAAGGCTACTGGGGAGAAGATTCTCCTTCAGGGAACACTTAGAAGTTTCGAGACTATTTATGTATACCTGGAGCTGAGAATTCAAATCCCTGAGCTCATCCTTTTCTTTCATTACTTTGCCCAGCAATATTAGTAGCAACCAACTAATGTCATTATGTTTCTTGATTTTCCACAAATATCCTAAAGTATCATGTACAGAATCACCAAGTGCATTGCTTCTTATAAGTGGTGAATTAGGAGTGTCACATGCATTTATTTTGCGTATCTCTATAAACAACTCAGCCATGGACTATCAGTGCTGTCTGTACTATTAGAAGTAGAGAGTCTTTAGCATTTTTAGCTCTAATCAGATTAAAGAGCCAATTCCAGAAACCCCAAAACCAGTTACGAAAATCCACCCTTAAAATTCTGTTCCTCTGGAAGTACTCCTGGTACCAAAACCTCATCTTATTTCCCTAGTTCTTAAAGCAGCTCCTGAAGATGTCCCTTGAAATTATGTCTAGGGCAGCAAAAGGAAAAGTCAAAGTAATTCTTAAAATGATTCAACCCAAGGTGAATCTCAGTTGATCCTAAGACCAGGAGAGAAGGAACAAGATTATCTTATAAAAACCATCTCAGGCAAGGTGCAGTGGCTCATGCCTGTAATCCCAGAACTTTGGGAGGCCAAGGCAGGAGGATCACTTGAGCCAGGAGTTCAAAACCAGCTTGGGCAACATACAAGACCCCATCTCTACAAAATAAAAGTAAAAAAAATAGCAGGGCAAGGTGGTGTGCCTATAGTCCTAGCTACTTGGGAGGCTGAGGTGGAAGGATTGCTTGAGCCTGGGAGGTCAAGGCTGCAGAGAGCCGTGACTACACCAGTGTACTGTACAGCCTAGGCAACAAAGCAAGACCCTGTCTCAAAAACAAAACAAAACAAAATCTCAAGAGAAGGTTTTCATCATATTAATGTGTTGGCCTTGAATTATAATAATATATGATCTATTTACATATGATTTGTTCTTCTTTGTCCCCCAAAAAAAGGTGTTTAAGAAAATTCTTCCACTGGGATACTTTAAACTGATATAATTTCTGGAGAGCAATTAAACAAAATGCCTTTAAAATCATTTATGCCCACTGATTCAATAATCTCACTTTTAGAAATTTATGCTAAGGAAATAATTAGACATGTACTTTAAGATTTATATTTTTTTAAAAAAAAGCATAAAAGCAAGACCAAACAATCACAACCACAACAGTAAAACAAAACAGCAGCTAAAAACAGCCTGTTCAAAGTAGTATTTTTATTTTTACTTTTTTGAGACAGGGTCTCACTGTTGCTCAGGCTGGAGTACCATGGCATAATCATGGCTCACTGCAGTCTGGACCTCCTAGGCTCAAGCAATCCACCCACCTCAGCCTCCTGAGTAGCTGGAACCATAGCCACATCACCATGCCCAGCTAATTTTTAAAAATTTTTTGTAGATATAGGGTCTCACTATGTGGCCCAGGATGATCTTGAACTCCTGGCCTCAAGTAATCCTCCTGTCTCAGATTCCAAAAGTGCTGGGATTACAAGTGTGAGCCATGGTGCCCAGCACAGCAGTGGTTTTTTGTTGTTGTTGTTTTGTTTTGTTTTTTAGACGGACTCCCTAGGCTGGATTGCAGTGGCATGATCTTGGCTCACTGCAACCTCCACCTCCCAGGGTCAAGCAATTCTCCTGCCTCAGCCTCCCGAGTAGCTTGGATTACAGGTGCACATGCCACCACACCCAGCTAATTTTTGTATTTTTAGTAGAGATGGGGTTTCACCATGTTGGCCAGGCCAGTCTCGAACTCCTGACCTCAGGTGATCCACTCACCTCAGCCTCCCAAAGTGCTGGAATTGCAAGCGTGAGCCACCGTGCCTGGCCAGTGTTATTTTTAGTAGCAAACAAGTAGAAACAATATAAATATCCTACATTAAAACAATTACATTGTTATGACACAACAGTTCAGTATATTATGAAGCCACTAAAAGCTTCCTAACAATTTTAAAACAAGTAAAATGACAAATGATGTAATATTAAGAAAAAAATAAGACACAATGCTACACTCACACACACACACTCACACATACACTCCATATAATCCAATTTTAAATATTTATTCATATATATGCTTAGAAAAGAGGTTACTGGGAAAGACCTCAGCATTTTCAAGGTAAGTAATCTCTGGAAAAAATTATTATGGGTCATTTTAATTCTGGCCTTCATACTTAAATGTATTTCCTAATTTATACTTCTTTGTATATTTTACAATTAGTAAGTATTACTTTAATCAGAAAAAAGCAATGTTAAGGGGGAAAATCTTTCACCTTTGTCTATCAGTCTAATGAACTAATATGTTCTTAATGTGAACATTTATCCATGACTTAGTAAGGCTCAAAATTAATAATGTTCATTTCTCAATCAAGCTTTCATTCCATCCCTCAACCTGTCAAATTCTAGAATATGTACTGAGTTTACCATATTCTAGAATATATACAGAGTCAAGCAATGTTACATCAGAAACCTGGCTGTCTTAGCGCCCACAAGCCACCTCTGCTTGGAAGCGGCTACAGGCGCACTATGTCATGATTGCCTGGCATTCTGTTTCCATCTGTATCCTTCTAACTAACCCCAACACTTGCACCATCCTCAGCTTTGACTTGATTCCAACCTCATAGCAGGGGTAGAGGGGAGGGTGATGAGAGGAAAGGATGGGGAACAAATTAAATGGTAGGAAAAAGCTCATTTGAGCCCAGGAGTTCAAGGTTACAGTGGGCCATGATCGCACCACTGCACTCCAGCCTGGATGACAGAGCAAGACCCTGTCTCTTAAAAAGAAAAAATCTTAAATTTGGGTTGGCATATGGACAGATGAGGCAGAGGTTAGGGCCAGAAAGAGGTAAACAAGAACAAAATAGAAATAAAAGAGATAGAGGAGTGACAGGTAGGGTATTTTTTTTTTAAACTTTAATTTCTGTAGAGACAGGGTCCCACTATGTTGCCCAGGATGGTCTCCAACTCCTGGGCTCAAGTGATCTTCCCACCTCTGCATCCCACAAAGTGCTGGGATTATAAGCATAAGCCACCACACCCAGCTGGGAATAATTTTTAAACAGAAAATGCAGCAGTTGCTCAACTGGCTGCCATATTATAAAAATGATGTGCTACATTATCAGCCTCCTGAACAGCTTGCTATTATTCATGTCCCCACACTCTTATTCATGGCCCTTCCTACTCATGTCATAAATAATAATAAAAAGATTGCACTATTTTAGTGGCCTCAGGGGACAGTCATATCTCTGAGGCTAACTTCAAAGACGATCCAAAGACCCATGCTGGTCTGGAGCCACCTTTGATGATAACAATGGTAGTAACAGTTAATACTGAGTGATGACTAAGTATCAGGAATACTGAGCACTTTACATACATCATCTCACTGATACTCACAATAAACCCATGAGCTAAGCGTTATTAATGTCTCTATTTTAGAAACCTAGAAATAATCCATACAACAAATGATTAAACATTTCTGTCCCTAAAGTCTATCTCTGGCAAAATTATGAGCAAATGAGGTGGAGAGAAAAGGAAAAAAGTATTTCCTTAACACCTATGATATGCCAAGTTCACCTCATTCACTGCTTACCAAATCTACAAGGTAAGTACAAAATACAAAGCTAGAAAGTGACTGAAATTTAAATTTGAAACAAGTTTTAAACTCGTCCTGTAGAGTCCAATCTGAAGCTCAGGGTAGTGAATTATCAGGACACTTTTTATTTATTTATTTATTTATTTATTTATTTAGAGAAAGGTCTTGCTCTGTCACCCAGGCTGGAATGCAGTGGTGCGATCTTGGCTCACTGCAACCTCCGCCTCCTGGGTTCAAGCAATTCTCCTGCCTCAGCCTCCCGAGTAGCTGGTACTACAGGCAACACCACCACGCCCAGCTAATTTTTTTTATTATTTTTAGAAGAGATGGAGTTTCACCATGTTGGCCAGGTTGGTCTTGAACTCCTGACCTCAAGTGATCCGCCTGCCTCGGCCTCCCAAAGTGTTGGGATTACAGACATGAGCCATTGCGCCCGGCCAGGACACTTTTTAAATGTCCTCTAAGGTTAGTGTGAGGATACACCCAGCCTCCTATCACAGCAACTTTCATTTACAAACCAGCCCAAGGAGATATTGAGATTATACAATCTAATCCAGTAGACTTTATTCACTGGTGAAAACCCCTCAACCAAAACCCATAGACACTTCATATGCCAGACTCTGTGTTAGGCTTAAGGGTTACAAAACTTGATCCATTCAGTCACAAAAATGGATCCATATCCTGGAAGGGCATACGCTTAGACATTAGCATAAAACACATAAGCATATGACACCCACTCAATAACTATTAAGAACAACTATGTGCAAAGCACTGTCAAACTTCGGAGAGCCTGCATTTTCACAGAGCAAACTTAACCCACTTTAATCTATTGTTATCTCTAGCTTTTCAGATCATCTATTAAGTTTGAAGATGAAGGATTCAGTAGAGTAAGTGTAGTTCCAGAGCTGCCAAGGAGAAAGTAGCCAAGCAAAAAGCTGCATGTTTTCCTACAACTGCATTGTCCTCACATTTGCCCCTCCCATTGTCACATGACCTCTGCTAAATACATGTTAGGCATCAAATAAATTTTTGTTGAATGAATGGTTATACTACTATGCTTTTTAAAAAGCATAGTAGTCCCCCTTATCTGCTGGGGACACATTCCAAGATTTCTGGTAGATGCCTGAAACCAAGGACAGTACTGAATCCTATATGTACTAAGTTTTTTCCATACATAAAGTTTATGTATGATAAAGTTTAATTTTATCACATAAATTAAATATGATACATTTTAATTTATAAATGAGGTACAGTAAGAGATTAACAATAACTAAATAAATAGAACAATTATAACAATATACTGTAATAGTTATGTGAATGTGGCCTCTCAAAATATCTTATTGTACTGTACTTACCTTTCTTCTTGAGGTAATGATGAAATAGTACAATGGCTTCATGATGATATGAAATGAAATAAATGATGTAGGCATTGTGATGTAAATAGAAAACTCCAGAAATAATTTCTAAGTTTTAAACTGCCTGCTGTTCTGAGTAGCATGACAAAATGTCTCACTGTCCCACCATTTCTGGCCTGGATTGCTATAAATCACTTAGTAGCCATCTCAGTTATCACATCTACTGTTGTGGTATCACAATGCTTATCTTCAAATAATCCTTACCTTACTGAATAAAGGCCCCAAAGGGCAAGAGTAGTGATGTAATATTTTCAGACCATGGTTGACCAAGGGTAACTAAAACCCCAGAAAGCAAAACCTTGGATAAGGGGGGACTACTGTAACGACAGTCTTGTTGTTACCAAATGCTATGAGTTGAGTGTTCCCACCAAAACTCATGTTGGGACCTTAATTCCCAGTGCAGCAATGTTGGGAGGTGGTACCTTTAAGAAGTGGGGCCTAATGGGAGGCATCTGAGTCACGGGGGCTCCCTCTGCTCATATGGGCAGCATGCTGCCAATTCTTCTACAGTTCTTGTCAGTGAGTGACCTCTCTCTCTCACGTGAGACCTCTCTCTCCCATGAGACAGGATTAGTTTCTGAGAGCGAGCTGTTATGAAGTGATTACAACTCTCATGTTCTGCCCCTTTGCACGTGCTCCCTTCACCCTTGACCTTCTGCCATGTTATGACACAGCACAGAAGCCCTCACCAGAAGCAAGCAGATGCTGGCCCCATGCTCTTGGACTTTCCAGCCATCAGAATCATGAGCCAAATAAACCTCTTTTCTTTATAAATTACCCAGCTAAGGTATTCTGTTATGGCAACACTAAAGATACTAAAACACCATGATTTCAGAAAATGAGACTGGCTGAGATCAATGTGTCAGATTAACGTATAAAGGGCAATAGTCACAGTACCGCTGTACTCCACTACCTCTCACCATCAGTGAAGAAACTTCTACAGCACTAAGGAGAAGGCCCATTTGGTAGACCCCACTTGGATGACTTGGGATGATGGGATTAAGACTTTACCTTGATTACAATAGAGACTTATGCTTACATGCCCTCTGGTAGGCTGTACAGCAGTTAGGGAGTGAGTTCCCTCCTATAGTTGTGAGTATATGCATTGACATGGCTCTCCCTATGCTATGGTATGGAAAATATATATGAGCTCCTTCTTTGAGTAGGAAAAATATACATTATAGGTCTCTTCTATTTAATTAAAAAGAAACTATGAAATAAATCACTCATAAATAAAGAATGCTTTCTTTATTCACATGCTGAGTCCTTTATGCTAGCAAGAAAAATAGAGAATATAGAATTTCTTTCTCATGGAGCTAAACAAAGAGCCTACTTGCTGATTAATGAAACTGAGATAAAAGTATCACATATTACGTTTGACTATGTTATCTTCTCCATCATAAGGTACAAATCTCTTGTTTTCCTCATTTTCAATCCAAAGAGACAAGGATTTTTGCCAAATTTTTCTACTAATGGAGCCCATCTTAACCCATCTAAGATATGAACATCTTTATTCTGGTAGACATCAAGGTTTGTGAAATAGGTTTTATATATTGCCAGCCATCATAGTACATTGTATAGGTGATGGTGACAGGACATAAATTGTACCTGTTATTAATCTCTTCAGATGCAAATTAACTTCAATTGAACTTGCGACTTTGTTCTTTCCCAAGTTAAACCAAATCCTTTGTTTCATGAATAAAAAGAAAATTTAGTAAAATTTCCTGTTTCTTTGTTATAGCTGCTTACAAAGTGAATAAAAGTGTTTTAGACAGTCTGCAAACAATATAGTCCTGTGCTTTTCCAATATTTTATCCCTTAAAATTCCTGAAGTTGATCATAAAGAATCTACAAGTAAGATAAGTTTGGGGCTGTACTACTACTTCCTATTTCTAAAACATGTGGATAACATTTTTTTTCAGTTTGTTTCAATTAATAATAATAGCAGCAACTAAGTATCATTTATTGATACCCTGCTATGTTTAAGCACTGTGCTATATGCTTTGCAAACATTCATTTAATGTTTATGGTAACCCTGTAAGGTAGGCATTATTTCTGCTTTACAGATGAGGGAACTGAGGCTCAGAGTGGTTACCTACCACAGAGCATTGATTTTGTATCACCCCAACCACTGCTGCCTTGTAACTGAATTTCAGCCTCAACAGCAAACTCCTAAGTTTATCAGCCAACTCCTAAGCTGATAACTCCTTAGTTATCAAGCATTAATCAAACTGTTACCATAAAAACTTGTCCTGAAATATTACAATTTAAGAAAATTTGGGCAATACTAGATAACATACAAAGACAGAAAAATACTCAGGTGAGGTCACACAAAAGCCAATAATGGGCCAGGTGTGGTGGCTCACACCTGTAATCTCAGCAGCTTGGGAGGCTGAGGGAGGAGAACTGCTTGAAGCCAGGAGTTCAAGACCAGCCTGGGCAACATAGCAAGACCCTGTCTCTATAAAAATTTTAAAATTAGCTGGCTGCAGTGGCATGTGCTTGTAGTCCTAGCTACTCAGGAGGCGGAGATGGGAAGATCCCTTGAGCCCAGGGGTCTGAGGGTGCAGTCAGCTATGATGGTGCTAGTGCACTACAGTCTGGGTGACAGTGTGAGACCTTATCTCTTAAACAATTAATAAGGGCCGGGCGCAGTGGCTCACGCCTGTAATCCCAACACTTTGGGAGGCCAAGGCAGCTGGATCATGAGGTCAGGAGATCGAGACCATCCTGGCTAACACGGTGAAACCCCATCTCTACTAAAAACACAAAAAATTAGCTAGGCGTGGTGGCAGGCACCTGTAGTCCCAGCTACTCGGGAGGCTGAGGCAGGAGAATGGCATGAACCCGGGAGGCAGAGCTTGCAGTGAGCCAAGATCGCACTACTGCACTCCAGCCTGGGCGACAGAGTGAGACTCCGTCTCAAAAAAAAAAATAATAATAATGAATAAGAAAAAAATAAAAATAAAAAGCCAATAATGCCTAATGTTTTCCCCCTTTTTTGAAAGCAGAAAATTTCCCCCAAATTCTCCAATACCTTTATTTGTTAGTTTTTGCTTTATTTTTGTAATCAAATAACAATACAAAAACACACAAATACCCCGCCAGCATCAGGTGCACCACAATCATGAAAGATAAAATAACCCCCATGCAATTAAATGACCATCAGCTACAGAACTTTGCAGCAGCTACAACTGACCCATTCTGGCTTCACATTCCTAATATGCATCTCTGCATATTATTCATAAAATACATTCTGAATCCAAAAATTAGATGAAATCATGGGCAACTCAGGAGTCCTAATCTTCCTACTCATCTACCTTTTGCACTAGCAGGAAAAAAATGGGAGGAAGGGAATAGGATATATCTAATAATTTCCAAAGCATCATTCCCATAGGAATGAGTAGGGAAGATGGGACCTCAGTTATCAGATCCATATACCAATTATGTCAAGAGGCAAAAGAAAACTGTCAGTACCAAAGCTAAGAAGTCTCAGTACTCCTTAATGACAAACTGTCCTTGGACACTGGCTCAGATTTAGTGAGTTAATTATTAGAAAAAGAACCCAGTTCTTGAGCTGACCAAGAATTACATAATGGGATAATTTAGGGAAAAGGCTCTTCATTGCAAATTTTAAGATAGAATTCAGGAATCCTGCCTTCTATTCTGGCTTTGGTCAAGACAGTGAGGTCATATCACTAGATAACTCAGTTGGCAGCACATGAATTAGAACACACAATCATTAAAATATCCAATGTCTAAACCCAGTGTCTTCAATACTCTATCCCAATTCTACTCTATATTACAATTCTTTTTGGAGAGCAAACCCTCCAGAACACACTTCTACAGTCTTTATAGGAAATATTTATGGGTCTGTCAAGAATGATGATCTTGAATGAAAGAACCTTCTATAATATCCAATACAGTAGCCGCTGGTCACACAGAGCTACTGAGCACTTAGAAAGTGGCTAGTGTGACTGAGGAACTGGATTTAAAATTTCAATTAATCTTAATACAAATAGCTACATACGGCTAGAGGCTATGGTACTGGACAGTATAGTTCTAGATGGTACGACAGTTAATTTTTAGTGACTAAAAATGCATTTGAAAAAAAAAAATCTTAAGCCCCCAACAAAATAGCCAGGAAATCACATTATTTGCTCAAAAATACCCTTTCTTTGGGTAAACCCCTGAGGCCAGTAATGATGTATCTCTACCCAATAAGGGAAGAGAAAATAAAGTAATTCAATAGCAATTCTAGCTTCGGTTCTCATGGTTCCTTTGCTTACTCTCAGGATTACTCTGTATGTGTTCTTTTGAAGCTATTACTATCTTACCTTAAATTTTTAAAAGTCCTCCTTTCTTCATCCTTGGTGGATGAATCTCTCACTGGACAGATCCAATAACCTGGTGATTGGGGTCTTCCCATCCTTTAAACTGGGAGGTTGACTTTTTCCAAATGTTTTGACAAACACATCAAAGAAACTTTATAGCACAACAATCACAGAATACCTAAATTGTCATGGTCCAACAAGGAAGAAAAAACCATCACCAACCAGGCTTTGGGACTCAGGAAGATGAATTTGAGACGGAAAATGAAGAGATGAAGGGCATTTCCCCTGAACAGTTTTTCCAAGTCCATTCATGAGGAAAATCCCCAACGTCGGGAGACTCAAAAGGCTTTTCTACGTGAATTTTCCGATGCTGACTGAGGTAGGCACTTCTGCTGAAGCATTTCTCACAGCTGGTACATTTGTAAGGTTTTTCCCCTATGTGGGTCCTCCGGTGCCTGATAAGGTTAAAGCTCTGACTGAAGCTTTCACCACAATCAGGACATTTATAAGGTTTCTCTCCTGTATGTGTCCTTTGGTGAATCACCAGGGTGGAACTCTGACTGAAAGTTTTCCAGCACTCAGAACATCTGTAAGGTTTTTCTCCTGTATGTGTTCTCTGATGTCTAATGAGATGGGAGCTAAGGCCAAAACTCTTCCCACATTCACAACATCTATATGGTTTCTCTCCTAACTGGATTCTGCATTCTTCTATCACATTGCAGTTCTGACCCAAACTTTCCTCATATTCAGAACTTTCATAGGATTTCTCTCCTGTGTGCATTTTCTGGTGTGTAATAAGGTTTGAACTACGACTAAAATTCTTCCCACATTCTGGACATTGATAAGGCTTTTCTCCTGTATGTATTCTCTGATGTTTTATTAGAGTAGAATTACAACCAAAGCTTTTTTCACACTCAAGACATTTGTAGGGCTTCTCACCTGTGTGTGTCCGCTGGTGGCGAATGAGGCTGGAACTCTGACTAAAACTCTTCCCACAATCAGGGCACTTATAAGGTTTTTCTCCAGTGTGAGTCCTCTGATGTTCTATTAGGACATAGCTGTGACTGAAGCCTTTTCCGCAGACAGAACATTCATATGGTTTTTCACCTGTATGTGATCTGTGATGCTGAATAAGGTGAGAGCTGCTGCTGAATCTCTTCCCACACTCGGGACATTTGTAGGGTTTCTCTCCCGTGTGAGTTCTCTCATGGATAATAAGATGGGAGGTATTGCTGAAGCTTTTCCCACATTCACCACACTGGTAGGGCTTCTCTCCTGTGTGCATTCTTAGATGCTGAATCAGGTGAGAACTGTTACAAAAACATTTTGCACACTCAGAGCATTTATAAGGCTTTTCTCCTGAGTGGGTCCTCTGGTGAGTACGCAAATGAGAACTATTACTGAAGCTTTTCCAACATTCGGAACATTTATAGGGTCTGTCTACAAAGGATGAATTCTGCTGGACACAGGCATTGGTATGTTCTCCTGAGTCCCATTCCTGGTGATTGGGTTTTTCCTCCTCTTTAGCTATAAAATTTCCCCAATTCTCTGACTTGCCATCACTCTCATAGGAATCATGACACCAAATCTCATCTTGAACCCATGTCAGTGGCATTTCTTTTGCATCCTCATGCTTATAATGTTGTGGTCTATGTCTTTTAGACCATTCTGAAGGTTTCTCTTTAAGTTTATCTGCCTTAGAATTATTGTGGTGAACAGTTTCCAAATTATTCATACTTGTATCTCCTGCAAGAATAAACAAATATTCTAACCATATTCCAAATCTCTGCCAGAGAAGTAAATTCTAAATTGCAGTGGAAGAGAGGAAATAACACTGTAAAACCTCATAAATAATTTCATATAAAAAAGTTTTTAAAGACAGTTTTACTTCTTTTCCTCTGTTTACCAGAAGCAGGTGGATTTTTTTTTGTACCTAGCAACAACAATAATGAATTATTTGAATCATTATTGGCAAAGGGAACATCAATCTAAAAATAAATGCATTAGGTTTTGTTCTAGAAGACTTAAGAGAAAAAACAGGATTGATGTGAATAGAAGTTAAATTGAACAGGATACCATCTCAGGTAAAAACTAGACAATAGCTTTGCTAAAATCTGAGCAAATGCTATAGAAATAACAATAGCCACTATTTATTAAGAACAGTAGCTTTGGATACGGTATCTCACTAATTCTAAAATATATGTGAAATAGATATTATTCATTTTCTTAAAGATGAGAACAATGAGGCTGAAATAATTAACACAGCTTATAAGTGACAGAACAAGGAATTAAATTAAGGTTTGTCTCATTCTAGTGTCCTGTTCTTTCTACATCAAATTTCCTAAGGATTCAGATCATCGTCTTGATCCCTCACCTGTGAAAGGGCTTTTCAAACTCTCCCTCTCCATAAAGCTGTTAGAATCTGAGACCAACAGTTTTTTTTCTTGCTCCATCACAATGATCACAGCCAAGTTAGAGATCAGAAACCCTGTGGAAGGAAATAAATTATGTTTGGAGGTATTTGTTAAAGCTTATTCTTCCTCCTTCCTTCCCAACCATTCCAACACAACAATAGGAGGCATAGAATGTTCCATGAACCATACCGAAAATAAGAAACACAACTTTTAGCAGCCCTTTTAGAAAATCTTATCTCAGATCTAAGTGTTTAGAATTAAGGGTTAACCCTGAAATAACAATGCAAAAAAGTAAATCTTCACATTAAAGGTCTGAGGATCAAGCTTCAAAGACAGAATACTAATCCTCATTGTCCACACGTAGCTTAGAAACACTTTTACTTTAAAAAGCAAAGTATTTTTTTTAAGACACCAATAATAAAACTTATAAAGACTTCAAGGAATCAATATGAAGGCATAAGCAGCAGCTAAAGAAAAAAAGCACCCTGTTTAGTTTCAAAAGAATAACTTGGTCTTGACAGAAGGAAACCTTTGAAGTCAATTTCAAAGGAAAGTTAGGATTTATATAACCAGTAAAGAGAAATTAGGACAAAGCCGAGGTGGAATAATTATAGCCAATAACCCTGCAATATAAAAAGGAGGCTAAAGAGGGACCTCTTCCTCCTTGCACTTAGTTCCTAAGTCTATCATATTCACAATATCCATTTCAGCCTAAACTTCGTCTTCTGGAGCCAACAATCACTAACCTATTTTAAGGGACTAGAAAATGTTCCATCCTGGCTAATGCGGTGAAACCCCATCTCTACTAAAAATACAAAAAATTAGCCGGGTGTGGTGGCGGGCGCCTGTGGTCCCAGCTACTCAGGGGGCTGAGGCAGGAGAATCGCTTGAACCCAGGAGGCAGAGGTTGCAGTGAGCCGAGATCGTGCCATTGCACCACTCCAGCCTGGGTGACAGAGCAAGACTCTGTCTCAACAAAAAAAAAGAAAAAAGAAAAAGAAAAAGAAGAAAATGTGATCTATCACAGGAAGGCAGTGACATATGGACTTTTGGCATCCATTTCAGAATATAAAGAGTATCATTATTTGGGAGAAAAATAAGGACGTAAAAGGATATACAAATGCACACATTTTAAAAACAAAAAATAGTATATGTACTTATATTGTATCTTCACCATTACTGCCTATTATGTGCCAGGTAGTGAATGAAATAATTTGCACACATTTGTCATTTAATTCTTACAGTAGCCCTCTGAAGTGTATGAACAACTACCAGCATTTTATAGGATGAGTTTGAAAGGTATTAAGAAACTTTCCTAAGGTCACCTAGAAAGTGGTAGAGCAGGACTGAGCTCCAAGTCTGTTTGGATGCTGACCTTTTTCACCCTCTGATCTATTATCGTAAACTAGAACAGGAAGCAGAGCTGGGCATAATCCCAAACTGCAAAGAATCCTCAGAGTCCCTTTATTTTAGAATATTTAGAATACTGGCATTTTAAAACAGAGGTCTACATTCCTAAACCTTGTTAACAAAGTGAGTCGACATTCCCTAAGCACACTCAGCAAGTGGGGATTTGTTCTAGAGAAACGTGAAACTAGTCTACATTACTAATATCCCCAGTGTTTGAGTTGGGGGGGAGAAAAAACCATACACCTGAATGCAAAAAAAGGAAGGGGGTGGAGTTGTTCGAATGGAGTTATATATTTTGCTGTCCTAAGTTACATATTGTTATCAAAGTATTTACAAAAGCAGCAAGAGTCTGGGCAACACATTACCATCTCCCCCATTTTCCCTACTAAAATACTATTAAATTTGGCAGCAAAGGAGCCCCCGGAACAGTGGCTCAGCAAAATGGTGGCAAATGCAAGACCATACAAGGCTGCCATTAAGATGTCTCTCCACGGGGAAGGAGTGTTTTCACTGTTCTAGAGCAACAATGTGATCAGAGTGGGGCCGTGCTTTGATCAGAAAGCCTTCAAAGAAAATGCACTGCCTGAAGCCTAGTTTTAAGAACCGCTGGCTGGTACAAGTTGGAGACGCTGGGGGGTGAAGTTCCAGGATACCAGACGGTCTCCGGCCGACAAGATCCCGTAAGGGACCCCGCGGACAAGGATGACGGTGGCCCGTCGGCGGGAGATGCTGGGCCTTCGCCCCTGGCAGCAGCGGGAACTCTCTCCCGGACGTCCACTGCAGCCTGGACGGGGCTGTTTCCACTCCTCTAGCCCGCAACCCTCGGCTCCCTTCCCCCCAAGAAGGAACTCACTGTTCTGGGTGCTACACCCAAGGCGCCCTGCACCCCCAGCGGTCCGGGAGGAAGGTACCCCCTCTCCCTCTGACCCCACCAACCCAGGGTCCTAAACTCTCAAACCCGGAAGGCAGAAACAGGAAGTTACCCTCATCTCCCCCGGCGGCTTTGCTGGGGCCGTTCTAGGAAACAGTGATGGCCCACTCTCGTTGATCTTAACCCTTAGGGTCCTGGACCAGAAGGAGCGTGGGGGTGGATTTCCTTTCCCTGTGCTGTGACCAGCCAACTGTGAACCTCATTTCTCTCACTTGTCAGGCGGCTTACGACAGGGGCCTGATTGGAGCTTATACTTTTCCTTGCCATCAGAATATCATCAGATTAATTATCATCACTATTAGAATCAAAATCAATCTAGTATTTTTCTTTTTTGAGACGGAGTCTCGCTGTTGCCTAGGCTGGAGTGCAGTGGCGCGATCTCGGCTCACTGCAAGCTCCGCCTCCTGGGTTCACGCCATCCTCCTGTCTCAGCCTCTCGAGTAGCTGGGACTACAGGTGCCTGCCACCATGCCCGGCTAATTTTTATATTTTTCGTAGAGACGGGGTTTCACCGGGTTAGCCAGGATGGTCTCGATCTCCTGACCTCGTGATCCGCCCACCTCGGCCTCCCAAAGTGCTGGGATTACAGGCGTGAGCCACCGCGCCCGGCCTCAATCTAGTATTTTTAAACACCTATTGTTTCTGTTCCCACCGCTATGAACATGGATATATATTTACTTACCTGTGAAAGTTAGAAAGCTAAGGCATCCATTCACATATAAAACAATTCGTTTACAAGGCACCCTTATTAACACCTAGAAAAGTAGTTAATCCCTCCTCTTTCATTACAGAGAAAATAGAAGCCAATCCCTTCATCTCACCTCTACCAAACAGAAATCTACTCAAGTCTGCACCCTGCCGTTTTCTTTCTTCCCTCCTGTTACAATACAGAGTCCCTCTGTGACCTTTTTTTTTTTTTTTTTTTTTTTTGTGATGGAGTTTCACTGTGTCACCAGTCTGGAGTGCAATGGCAGGATTTCGGCTCACTGCAACCTCTGCCTCCCGGGTTCAAGCAATTCTCCTGCCTCAGCCTCCCAAGTAGCTAGGACTACAGGTGTGCGCCACCATGCCCAGCTAATTTTTGCATTTTTAGTAGAGACTGGGTTTCACCATGTTGGCCAGGATGGTCTTGATCTCTTGACCTCATGATCTGCCCGCCTCAGCCTCCCAAAGTGCTGGGCTCTTTGGTATTTTAATAAGCCCTTTACTGGTACTCACTTTCCTACCTATCTTCTTGGAAACTTCGCACTACCAACTAAACTCTCCATCCCTCCACCCCCATCCCCAAATAGTCCCTCAGCTTTTCTTTTCTCTTTTTACTCACAATGTTTCCATTTCATCAATTTTCCACTAACCTTAACATTTCTCCTGCAACAACAACAACAAAAAAATCACTAGCATCACCAATGACCTCCATGATGTTAGTTAGTGCAACTGGTATTTTTAGTTCTCGGGTCCTTTTTCAGGAGGTTTGATATGGCTACGGACTCGTCTTCTAGAAACACTCTTTTGAGGTGACATCACATTCTCCTCCTTTTCTTCCAACATCTCTAGTCAGTCCTGTTAGTCTCTTTTCCAAGTCAGTCCCTCAAGATCATCCTCTCCTCTTATCACTGAATGTTCTCTGCCTAGGCAATCTCATCCACTCCCACATTTTCAAATACCACCTAGGCAGACAACTCAAAAATTTACTTCTCCAGCCCAAGCTACATGTCTGAGCTCTTCACTCATAACCAATGGTCTATTTGGCATCTCATACAGGAAGTCTCAATAACACCTCAAAACCAAAATGTCAAAAATCAAAATCATAATCTGTCTTCTCTCTCACTGTTCTTCTCCATATACACATATAAACACAAAATAAAACAAAATAAACCTGTTTCTCTTCCAATATTCTTTCAACCATCCATCCAGTTATATGGAAACCCAGAAGCCCTTCTTTTCACTTCCCTTTCCTTACCTTCCATATACAATTCATAAATAAGCCTCATCTGTTGTGTAATAAATAATTCTCACCTGTAGTTGTTTCTTCTAACCACCAGGGTCACCTCTAATTCAAGCAACCATCACCCCCCATTTGAAGGATTTCCATACCCTCCTAACAGTCCCATAGATACCCATCCTTGCTCCCTCTCATTCACTCTTCCCTGTTGAATCCAGAGGGATCTTTTCCAAAAATGAACCTGATTCTTCCATGTTCCTTTGCCTAATTGAAGCTTACTCATCCTTCAGATTTCAGCTTACACATCACTTTCTCACAGAAGCTTTCAAGGCTCTTCTACATGCTCTTCTCCTACCATATCTTTTTTTCCATTTTAGCCCATGTCATGACTGCAGCTTTGTGTGATTGATGCATTATTTTGCCTCTCCATCCAGATAGCAAGCTCCATGAGAACAAGGCCTGCCTCCACTTTTGCTTGTAATTCTATCTTACAACTTAGCACAGTGCCTGACTCCTTCATTCATTCATTCAACAAATATTTGTTGAAAGCCTACTATGTGCCTGTTACTGTGTTATCCTAGACACTGAGGATACACCAGGGAACCAAACAATGTGAGGGAGATCATAAATGAACATCAACAAAAAGTAAACAAAGAAATGTATGTTAAGCAGTGATGAGTATTAGAAAAAGAAGTAAAGGAAGTTAAAGGAAGTGTACTATTTCAGGTAAGGTGATCAGGGAAGTCCTCTCAGTAGGCAGATATTTCAGCAGAAGTATGAAGGAAGAAAGTCGTGGGCCTCATTGTTATTTAAGGGAGGAACAATTAAGACAGGAACAGTAAGAAAAAGGACTCTGAGATGGAAACTCAAGAAACAATAAGGAGCAGAGCAAGTGAAGTGAACAGTACTTGGAGGTAAGGTCAGAGAAGTTTCAAGAGGTTAGATCATAATCATATAGGCCGTAAGTGACAGACACAGAGATGAATCACTCAGAATCCAAGGAAGTACATGTTGCCCACCTTTGAGAGTGCTGTGAACAGAAAGCTTTCAGCTGTTAGCTCCCTCAGGGAGTGCTTCAGTTTCAGAGAATAGCCTTTCTGGAGCTCATGCCCTTTCCAAGGCAGCCCACGTCTGGGGACTGATCAAGGCAGAAATATAAAAGGCTGTCCATGTTGTCCAAAGCAGGATAACTCTTAAATGCACTATTTCAGCTCCTGAGTGTTGTTTGTTTGTTTGTTTTTTAAGACAGTCTTACTCTGTCACCCAGGCTGGAATGCAGTGGCACAATCACGGCTTACTGCAGCCTCGACTGCCCAGGTTCTAGCAATCCTCCCATCTCAGCCTCTTAAGTAACTGGGACTAAAGTCACGTGCCACAATGCCTTGCTAATTTTTTAATTTTTTTTGTAGAGAGGGGGGTCTCACTTTGTTTCCCAGGCTGATGTGAACCCCTGGGCTCAAGCAATCCTCCTGCCTTTGCCTCCCAAAGTGTTGGGATTACAGGTGTGAGCCACAGTGCCCAGCCAACTCCTGAGTTCTTGATGGCCTTGATGGAGGAATGTGTTGTCAGGCCCAAATTGTAGGTCTTCCCCCTCTGCTCAATCCTGATTCCTTTCTCACCCTTCCACAGGTTTGGATACCAAGGCCATTTCCTAATCAACACCCTGGACACTAAACTCAGTCTCAGAATCTGCTTTCTCAACAAACAAGCAAATGAACAAAAACCTCCAAAATACATACATAAAATGAAATGTCCTCTCTCATCCCTGCCCCCAGCTATCCAGTTCTTCTCACCACTGGGGCAACCAACGTTGTATGTTTCTTGTGTATTATTCACAGATAATGCCATATGTGAGCAAATACCTACCTACCTGCTTATATACATATGTATATATACACATATATAGGTAATGAATAAAGATAGATGACATATATTCATACATTTCTTTTGCTACACATATAGTAAACTATTCACTTTGTTCTAAATTTTAGTTTTTTCACTTAACAACATGGAGAGTTTTCTTTTCTTCTCTCTTTTTTTTTTTTAATTTCTGAGGCAGGATCTCACTCTGTCCCCCAAGCTAGAGTCCAGTGGCATGATCTCAGCTCACTGCAACCTCAACCTCCAGGGCTCAAGCAATCCTCCCACCTCAGCCTCCCAAGTATGTGGGACCACAGGTGTGTGCTACCACTCTCAGCTCCAAGCTAATTTTGGGTTTTGGTTTTTTTGTTGTTTTTGTTTTGTTTTGCTTCGTTTTTTGTAGAGACAGGGTCTTACTATGTTGCCCAGGCTGATCTCCAACTCCTGGGCTCAAGCAATCCACCTGCTTCAGCCTCCCAAAGTGCTGGGATTACAGTCATGAGCCACTGCACCCAACCGAGAGTTTTTTATAATAGTACAGACATTTATCATAGAGCTCCCAGTATTCTTTTTTTTAACAGTTGCATGATATTCCATTGGGTAAATATAACAGTATTTATTTAACCTGTTTTTTATATTGCTTCTGAACTTATACTATTACTTATGTTGAAATGAATAATTTAACCTTTATTTTTTTAAAGCTGTGGTGGATATTGTATATTGGTTTGCTCAATAACCATTACCACTTTCTTTCATTATGCGTTCCTGCAGAGAAGAGTTGGTGTTATGAACTGAACTGTGTCCACCAGAAATTCTTTTTTTTGTTTGTTTTTTGTTTTTGAGATGGAGTCTCGCTCTCTGTCCCCTCAGGCTGGAGTAGAATGGCACCATCTTGGCTCACTGAAGCCTCTGCCTCCTGGGTTCAAGCAATTCTCCTGCCTCAGCCTCCCAAGTAGCTAGGATTACAGGTGCATACCACCACAACTGGCTAATTTTTGTATTTTTAGTAGAGATGGGGTTTCACCATGTTGGTCAGGCTGGTCTCGAACTCCTGGCCTCAAATAGTCTGCCCACCTCAGTCTCCCAAAGTGCAGGGATTACAGGCGTGAGCCACCACACCCGGCCTTCACCCAAAATTCTTATGTTGAACCTGTAATCCCCAGTGTGGCTGTATTTGGAGATAGGGCCTCAAGGGAGGTGTTTGAGGTTAAGTGAGGTCATAATGGTGGGGCTCTAATCTGATAGGACTGGGGTCCTTGTAAGAAGAGGAAGAGACACCGGAGACATCTCTGTCTGTGTACACACAAAGGAAAGGCCAGGGGAGAACATAGCAAGAAGGTGGCCATCTGCAAACCAGGAAGACAGGCCTCATGGAAACTAACACTGACAGTACCTTGATCATGGACTTCTACCTTCCAGAAGTGTGCGAAAATGAGGCCATGCATGGTGACTTACACCTGTAATCCCAGTACCTCTGAGACACGAGGACCACTTGAGCCAAGGAGTTTGAGACCAGTCTGGACAACAGTGAGACTCCATCTGTACAAACAATTTTTAAAAAAAAAGAAAAAAAAAGCTTTGCATTGGTGGCACATGCCTATAGTCCCAGCTACTCAGGAGGCTGAGGCGGGAGGATTGCTTGAGCCCAGGAGTTCAAGGCTCCAGTGAACCATGATTGCACTACTGCACTTCAGCCTGGATGACACAGTGAGACCCTGTCAAAAAACAAAACAAAACAAAAGAAGCAAAAACCAAAAAACCCCAGAACTGTGAGAAAATGAATTTCTGCTGTTTAAGCCACTCAGTCTAGTATTTTGCTATGATAGCCTAAACAGACTAATACAGTTGAAAAAGCTAAACATTACATTTCCAAGACTTCTTTGAAGCTGTAATTGCCATAGTTGTAGCAGCACCTTTGATTGACACTCCTGGAAGCTCAGCCCACAGTCCATTTCCTCAGTCCTCCCAGAGATTCCAAAAGTCCTTTAATCCTTGTAATATATCTATTATTCCTTATGTCAGCTCAAGTGAATTCTATTCTCTGTAACTGACTCTAGTTAGTACACAGCTAAACTGCTGGGGAGGCTCTAGTTTGGGGTTGAGGGCACACGGACAAAGTTTGTGCGTTCCCTGGAGTAGCAAGCTTTCAAACAGAACTTCCAGCTGGAGGATGGCTATATGGTGTGTGTAAGCAGGCTGAGCCTGGCACCACAGGTCCAGCTCGGAAATGAAAGAAGAGTGACGCTTGCCTTCTAATTATCTGTTCTAGCCATGAGCAAACTGTTATTGGAAGATGGAGGAAGGGGGTCCGATTCTCAACAGTGGTGATATCGCCCCCAAGGGGACAAAAGAGTTCTTCAGGGGGAGCATGAAAAAAAAATACCCTTTTCATGCATAAAGCACAGACATACATCATAGAAGACTTAAACAGTTATACAGTGTATTTGTGGTGTTACATTTTAATGGAGGGGGAGTGGTTAATAAAAAATGTCTGAAAAGATGGGGTGGGGGATGATAAGGAAAAGAGGGTTGAGAAGCACTGCTGTAGATATTATGAAGAGCATGTCGTATGCCAGCAAACAAGATGCCCATGTTGAAGCTGGGTGAGGTGGCTCACGCCTGTAATCCCAGCACTTTGGGAGGCCGAGGTGAGAGGATCACTTGAGCCCAGGCGTCCGGGACCAGCCTGGCAACTTACAAAACAAAAAATTTAAAATAAAAAAATTAGCCAGGCATGGTGGCACACACCTGTAGTCCCAGCTACTCAGGAGGCTGAGGTGGGAGGATCACCAGAGCCCAGGAGTTCAAGGCTGCAGTGAGCTATGATCACACCACACTACACTCCAGCCCAGGTGACAGAGCAAGATCCTGCCTAAAAAAAAAAAAAAAATTGCCCCATGTTTTAGGATGTTTTAGGATGAGCATGAGAAAGGCCATGTTACTGCCAACTAAGCAGCTTTTTCTTAACAACCATATTGTTTGGTGATCACAAAGCAAAATTTAAGCATTTTATATTCTAACATTATAAGTATTCATGTTCCTTATATATTTGAGTTACACTTTAGGAGGTTATTTATTGCGGGATCTGGCCAGCAGCCCACAATGCAACGGGGCTCTCTCTTTGTTCCCAGGCAGATCGGCAGGTAGAGAAATAATAGACACACACGATAGTGAAAGCTGGGTCCAGGGGGGTCACTGCCTTCTGGTCCCGCTATGCCAACAATGCACTGGATATACCAGCATTTATTACTAAGTTTAGTGAGGGCGGGGGTAGGTTAGTGAGGGATTTAGGGTCATTTGATTATGAGGTGTGATGGTCACATGGAGATGAAGTAATTCTTTAACATAACATCTGTATGCAGAAGTACAGTATACAGGGATAAGAATTTACAATATAGTGTGTGCATCAGTAATTTCTAACAGAGCCTTAAAACAGAAACACAGTCTTTCCATAACCTATGATTAGCAAGATATTAATCAGAGTAACAGTTGCAGCAAAAGCTGGTTACAAACAATCCATAGAAACAGGACGTGAAGCTAGACAACTGGTTAGACCAGAAATTCTCGGAAGGAAGTATGCCTTAACCCTAAAGAGGCCTAGAAGAGCCGTGGCAAGATGAGGGTGTTTATAGCCCTATCTTATCCATATGGACAGGCGCCCCCCATGCGTCCGTTTATAGGTTCTCCACAAGGGTCGCATTCCATTCCCAGAGCTATGAACATTTGCTTTTCTGGGATAGGAATCTTGGTGATGTGAAACCTCCCTGACTGCACGTCTGTTCATAGGCTCTCTGCAGGGGGAAGCACATCACGCGCTGTTGACTCGTTCTGGCAGTCCAACCTGGCATTGTCTTTACACAATCCTGCATGCAACTTTGTATTTACAATAATCAGGAGTGTTTCATTTTTTATTCCATAGCAATAGTTTCGGGGGGTCTCCCTAAAGTTATTTGGAGGTTTGGGGTTGAACTGCAATGCATTGTAATTTTCCCTACATAAAATAATGAGAAATAGGCTCCCAGTTGGCATTGACACCCAGAACCTCAGATGATAAGGAACAAATTTGTTTAAAGTTCCATCAAAAGAGAAAGAGAATATGGATTTAATGAGGACTTGGGCTGTAAATGGCAGAAGGTTTTCTGGGTGGGATATAAAGACAGTACTTCTGAACATTTTATTGGCAGGTACCTCTGCAGGAATTTGATAACAACCTGGGACCTCATGCTGGTTATTTTTAATTTGTTCCCTCCGAATATATTCTCTGACCTTTTCTATGCCCAAGGAAGTTGATCTTTGTAGGCTGAGACTGATCTTTACGAAATATGTTACCCTGACTCCCTTCTCTGTGTTTTGGTTAGGCCAATGAGAGGCACTGACAGGAGATGGGGACGGGGGGTACCTATTCACTGTCCCTCTCTCAGCCAGTTGTGATTGGCAGAGACTCTGTGCCTCTACCCAAGTCCACGCATGTAGTTCGGTGACCCCTATCCCAAGGCTTGCAGTTCCCTGGGTTCTGCTAATGGCTCCCTTTCCATTCCCCTCCAGGCCCACAGGTAGAATGCCTTCACAACATTGCTAAGTCCTTGGTGCACTCTGGTGCACAACCCTGTTCACAACTCTGTAAACAGTTCACTAAACTGGCTTCAGTTACCCCGTTGCATGGGAAGGGGTAATACAGGTAACTCCTTCTTGTCCATCTTTCAGCATGCCATCTGTTTCCTCTTAAAACCCTAACTGACAGGATACTCTCTCCAGAAAACAAAATAGGTGGACTTACGAAAGCTTCGCATGTAATACTAAGGGCTCCTCAGACTCACTCTGAAGCCCAGCCAAGGATGTGGAGAAGGCAGAGGACTCAAGGAACACCAGTTAAAAATCTCTCTTCTCGGATTTGGTAAGCCACCAACACTGCATTCCCTTACACATCACAACCTAGCATTTGAGGGTAAAAGTAGTGGATGCACCAGGTGGTGAAAGGGGTTAGAGATTTGCCTGTATCTTTCCCTCCTTCTATCTTTTTTTTCAGAGACAGGATATCACTCTGTCACCCAGACTGGAGTGCCGTGGTACAATCATGGTTCACTGTAGCCTCAAACTCCTAGGCTCAAATGATTCTCCTGCCTCAGCCTCCTAAGTAGCTAGGACTCAAAGTCTAATCAAACAAGTGGCCTTTCTGGTGTGGCCAGACCCTACCCTGAGTCATCTCATTTGTGTAAACTCTCCAGGGGCTCACCAAGAGTAGCCTCATTAGCATAAATGCAAGTGAGGTCTGAGGGGCCCACCATGAATAACAAAGGTGCTCCTACCACTCGCGATATTCCAAGGGTTGAGAAGCCCCTTTCTAGGAACCAGTGACAAAGACCAGCCAAATTCTTTATTGTATAAAAGCAGCCCTCCTGTCTACCAATCTGATCCTCTTCCTTGCACCTCCTGCTTGCCTCAGATGGCAAAAGTTTCCTAACTCTGCTGATTTCCCACCACCGCCCGAGGAAAACAATGACAATCTCTCCTCCTTCCTGCAAGCCCAGGAATTCCCCTGTGGCGAAGATATGGGTTTGGTACTGAGCTGATTATACAATCAGAACAGCTGGCACTAAGTTGTCAGTTGTCAGTAGGTTTTATCCTACTATCGGTAGGTTTGCATTTTAAGGGAGGAGGTGGTTAAAATGATGAGTTGAGGCTATTAATTGGCAGGTAGTGCAAAGCTGTGTAATGAGGGGCAGCGTGATGTCATACTGCTAGCAGTAGCGAATCTGTACAGGTCTGCAACAACCTCAATTCTTGCCTTCTTAGAAGAAAGAATTCCACCAAGGGGCATAAGGCAGAGGGAGAGGCTGAGGCAAGTTTTAGAGCAGGAGTGAAAGTTCATTAAAAAGTTTAGAGCAAGTCCGGCCGCGGTGGCTCACGCCTGTAATCCCAGCACTTTGGGAGGCCGACATGGGTGGATAATGAGGTCAGGAGATCGAGACCATCCTGGCTAACACGGTGAAACCCCGTCTCTACTAAAAATACAAAAAACTAGCCGGGCGTCATGGCGGGCGCCTGTAGTCCCAGCTACTCTGGAGGCTGAGGCAGGAGAATGGCGTGAACCCGGGAGGCGGAGCTTGCAGTGAGCCGAGATCGCGCCACTGCACTCCAGCCTGGGCGAGAGCGAGACTCCGCCTCAAAAAAAAAAAAAAAAGTTTAGAGCAGGAATGATCGGGCGCGGTGGCTTACGCCTGTAATCCCAACACTTTGGGAGGCCGAGGTGGGCAGATCGTCTGAGGTCAGGAGTTCGAGACCAGCTCGGCCAACATAGTGAAACCCCGTCTCTACTAAAAATACAAAAATTAGCCAGGCGTGGTGGTGTGCTCCTGTAATCCCAACTACTAGGGAGGCTGAGGCAGGAGAATTGCTTGAACCTGGGAGCCAGAGGTTGCAGTGAGCTAAGATTCTGCCACTGCGCTCCAGCCTGGGTGACAGAGTGAGACTCCATCTCGGGAAAAAAAAGTTTAGAGCAGGAACGAAAGGAAGAACCCTTGGAAGAGGGCCAAGCAGGTGACTTGAGAGATCAAGTGTGTGGTCTGATCTTTGACTTGCGGTTCTATACGTTGGCATGCCTCTGGGGTCTTGTGTCCCTTCTCCCCTGATTCTTCCCTGGGGTGGGCTGTCCACATACACAGTGGCCTGCCAGCACTTGGGAGAGGAGCATGCGCAGTGTGTTTACTGGCGTTGTATGCATGCTCAATTGAGGCATTTTTCCCCTACCCAGGCATTTAAACTCTGCTATTTTGCCTCTTACTGACTGGAGTTTTTCCCTCAGGAGGTGAGTGTTCCTGGAGGAATGTCATATACCATTTAAACTCCGCCATTTTGCGTCTTAGTGACTTGACGTGTTTTTCCCTTACCAGTCAAGTGTTCCTAGAGGAAAGTCATATATCAGTTAAACTCTGCTATTTTACCTCTTAGTGTGTATGCTTGAGCCCACTCGCCCAACTCCTGAGATCTTACTGGAAGCTGCTGATCACCAGTTTCAGGTGTTTCAATTTATTAGGAGACTGCCCTTTCCTAGATACAAGCTGCAACCAATTATTATTTTAGAGAGGCAGTTTAACAACTGCCTGACTATCACATGATGGTCACCTGGCATTCCTGGCTGGGGGTTGGTGGGGGCGCTCTCCTGCTCTGCTCATGTCTGACTACCTACCTACCGTAACAATAATCAGGGCAAATCCTTTGCCTCAGAAACAAGATCTGTGACTCTTGACCAAGAAATTGAATCTAAGCCTCAGTAACTTGCATACAGTAATCCTCATCTTCCAGAGTTATGGGGTTTGCTGTGATTATTTTTGGTGGTGAGCTTTCTGGTGCTTGCAGGAGATCTCTGGATCTTTTTCTTCTCTCCAGCCTCTCCCCTCCCTCTGCTTCCTGCGTCATTGGGCCTGGAAATGTATACAGAGAATTGTTACTGAAACGATCACTGCTCTAAGTACCTTTGCACCTGACTCAGCACCTCTGGGGTGGAGCGAAACAGAGTAGAGGCATGGCTTAGGGAGTGAGTATGGGCTGGCACAGAGCACCAAAGCTATTGGAAGCCCAAGAAGCATAGAGTCCCGATGCAGAGGCTTGCCTATATTGAAATGGCTAGCTAGGGAGATGGCAACATCTCTTTTGAAGGTGGCTGGGAGAGTGGGTGTGGGCTTTGGGAGGGGAAAGAATTGTTCAAGATGATTTGACTCTGGTGCTACAGCAAACCCAGGGCATCAATCGAGTGGGCTGGAGCACAGTGGCATGATTATGTCTTCTCTCTTGTTAGCTTGGGATAGCACTTTCCTTGGTTAGGTCAAATGCTCAAAATTCCATGCTGTGTCAGCAGGTGGCTTCAGAGGCAGCTGTTTGGTAAGACGGCAGCAAAATGAAAGGCTGCAGAGCAAACCAACACTGCATAATCTCCAGGAATCTTTATGCAAACATAAAGCGATATTTGTACCAATTAGATTTAACATGAATAAATGTGGATGTAACAGTGGATTCTGAGCATAGATACTCTGTGATGTGAATCATTTGGAATGAATTCCTAGAGAGAGAGTGCCTAGGTGCCAAATACCTCGCTCCAGAATGTTATGGGTCACTTTTCCTCCTTGGCCACAGATTTTCTCTAAAGTTAGTTGTCAAATCTTCTCATCTTGGCACCCCCCCATCTTCCCCCACCCCTACCTCTGCAAGCCAGTCTTCCTCCAGAAAACAAAAGATCAAGATTAGGTAGGTCTCATTCCTGGCTTTATAGGAGAATTCTGGTGCTTGGGGGCCAGTTCTAGTTCTTGGAGCCCCAAAGCTGTAGAAACCTGCAAAACTGGTCTCAAGTTAAGCAGGAACCTGAGAGAGGAGGATACCCATTGGAAATGTGAGGTTCGAGTACACATTATGAAACATGGCCTGAGAAGAGCGCCTGATTCACTTCTAAATATACCAAAGGCTGGAAAGCAGGGTGCTTGCCAGTCAAACTGTGAAAACAGCAACATTTTTCCAGGATATCTTTCTGGACTCTCTCTGATGCCAACACCCTACCCCCTACCTTCAACTCTGCAGCTGCCCTCCAATTTAAGGTTGATCTACCATCAGTGAGCACCCACCAGGTGTCACTTCCTTTAGTCTCCTGTATTTTATTCTTTGTCTCTTAACTCTTCCTTGTAGGATCTTATATTTTCAAGGGTCAGGTTGAATGGAATTCATGGAATTACATAAATCTAGAGTTGGAAGTAGAAAAGAAGGGAGAGGAGTAAAAGAAGGTCGTGAGTGCCTTCCACGACCCAAACACTGTCACATCTGTTCTCACCTCACAATCATCCTGTATGAGGAAGGGAGTAGTATTCCAATTTTTCTCACTTTTGAGGAGAGGGACAGAAAGAGCTTGAGGATAATCACAATACCACTAGGAGGTAGTGGGAGTGAAGGCCCTCAACAAAACCTTCTCCTGCCCAGGGAAGAGCCCAACAGATCTCTTTTGAATTCACGAACATGTCCCCTCTTCTGTATTTTCTACTGCAGTGAATGGCATCCCCAGGCAATGAGCTGCATGAGACTACAACCTGGGCACCGCCTTTGACTATGCTTTTTCCCTTATCCCATAATCAACCACGCACCAAATTCTGTAGATATCACCTCCTAAATAACTTTCAAAAAAGTCCCCTACTCAGCATCCCCACTGTCACTTTCCTAGGTCACCTACCATTGTTTCTTGCACATGCCTCTGTCTGCTCCATGTTGAATTAAGAGGTGTGTATGGTGGGATGGGTGGGGGAGCGTGCTGAAGAAGAGTGAAGAGCTGCAGAAGTATCTTTATATTTGAATTGCCCTTTCACAATATTAAATCAAACAATAGTATATATGGAATGTTTAGAGCATTGTGCTTAACACTGTACCTACTCAGTACATGGGGTGAGTATTAATAGGGAAATCACATGCAAATGACTTCCTGGTTAATGTGTTTATTCATTCATGCATTTGTATATTTATTAGAGAGAGGGTCTTGTTCTGTCACCCAGTTTGAGCTTATTGCAGCCTCAAACTTGAGCTCAAGTGATCCTCCCAGGTGCAAGCCACGGCACCTGTCCAGGTTAATGTGTTTAATATCGTAACTGCAACTCTGCTGGAGGGTAATCCTTTGTCTTCTTCTTCTATCTGGAAGCCATCTTTTAATTCTCCTGAGACTCTTCCTCCCTTTAAATTCCTTACTAAATTCTTTTTATACTAGATTTCAGAACAGAATGTTATTGATTTTTATAATACTCACTTGTCAAAAAATGTATTCGATCCAGGGAGGCAATACATAAATACCCACTTTAAATCTTTCTGCCTTTGTTAATAGTATATTGTTTCAGGGCTAGCAACCTCTGAACAGAGAAATATTGTCAGCTTTATCTAATGATGTAAGTAATGCGTTGGATTTCCCAGAGTCCATTAAAAAGTCGCTTTTCTCAGATAAATGTTTCGCCTGTCATCAGAAAATGATAGCCAAATTGGCAAGTGCACAGGTATTCGTAACTATTTAAAGAAGATGTGGAAATTCTGCACATTGAACCTCAGAATAGGAATTCCTCTTAAAGTGCTAGGAGACACTTGTGAATGTGTGGGACTGTTTTTGTTATCCTTGGTTGGAGCTATCAGGAGTTGACGGGCAAGTATCCTAAAGTTCATATGTTGACGCCCTAACCCCCAGTGTGCCTATATTTGGACATAGGGCCTTTAAAGAGGTAATTAAGGTTGAATGAGGTCATATGAGTGGATCCTAATCCAACATGACTGATGTCCTTAAAAGAAGAGGAAGAGATGCATGCGCAGAGGAAAGACCACATGAGGAGAGAAGATGGCCATCTGCAAGCCAAGGAGAGAGGCCAAAGGAGAAAAAAGATCTGCCCACACCTTGACCTTAGATTTCCAGCTTTTGGAATTGTTAGAAATAAATTTCTGTTATTTAAATCACCCAGTCTGTAGTATTTTGTTGTGGCAGCCCTAGCAAAATAAGACAGTAACAAACAGGAATGCCAAAGACCCTACAAAGGACAGGATGGCAGATCCTGCACACTAAAAAGTTGTCCTGCCCAGGCTAAACATGGTGGCTGATGCCTATCATACCCACCCTTTGGGAGGCTGAGAGGTAGGAGGATTGCTTGAGGCCAGGAGTTCGAGACCAGCATGGGCAACAAAGTGAGACCTTGTCTCTACAAAAAAATACAAAAATTAGTGAGGCATAGTGGCTCACTCCTGTAGTTCCAACTACTCGGGAGACTGAGGTAGGAGATGGCTTGAGCCTAGGAGGTTAAGGCTATAGGGAGCCATGATTATGCCACCGCACTCCAGCCTGGGTGACAAGGTGAGAACTCATCTTAAAAAAATAAAAATATCCTGCCCAAATGCAAATAGCATCCCCTTGAGAAACATTAATCTGTTCCCAACTCTTCGCATTATAGATAACCCCATTAGACTTCTCTTTGAGGAAAGGCACTATATTTTATTTATCTCTGTCCTGCCAGTGGCTAGCATTGTGTCTGCCACTCAGTGGGAACTTAGTAATTGCAAGGGCATGATATTTTAAAAATCATGTGTGTGTCTGTGCATTTTACCTTTCATCTCAGTTCACCTGAGCCATACATCTGCTTGGGGGTATGTCATGCAGTTCTTACTACTGAAGGGCTGCAGAGACAGAGTGGGATACTATTTAGCTTTTAACATAGAAAAATAAGATTTTGCTGCAAGACATTGATGACATTCTTTGCCAAGCTACTGTCTTGAGAAAGGACTGTCTAAAGTTCTTTAACACATCAAGGGCCTGTCTGGGGCTCCGTCAAAGAGTTCTTCTGAAGGGAGTTCCAGAAAGACAAAGTGAGTGGGTCAGGGTCGGGGAAGTCCTTTGACTGAAGGTGAAGAACTTTAGATTTAAAAAAGGTTAACACTGGGAGGGGGAACTATTGTCCCTCTCCTGCCTTTTCTCGTCACCCTGTCTGAAAATGACACCCCAGTGACCTATGGTTATCTGACATTTTGTTTTATATGTGTTTGTTTCTCTGTTTATTATCGTTCTCTTTGACTAGGATCTTAACTCCACAAGCCAGTTCTTTGTCTATTTAATTTCTGCTGTATTCTCAGCATCTAAAACAGTACCTGGCAGTTCAATAAATCTATTGAATGAACAAATGAGTTTTCTTTTCTCTTCCTTTCCCTGCAACATCTAAAAAAAGAGAAGAAATCATTTCATTTGAGAGCATATCTTAAAAGCTTTTGCTTTCGAAGCCATTCACTGGATTTTCTGTACTTCAGAGGAAATCCTAGAAACTGGCCTAATAAAATCTCATCCTGAAAGATCTAAGAACAGGAGCATCTCTGACTTATTGCTTATTGCTCTGCATGCCACGTTTGTTCCCTTTGAATTCCTTTACAAAGTTTATGGTGTGACAAATAGCATCTATAATGACACCGGGCCACTAATTGCTCAGAAAGTGCCCTGATAAAATAGAGTTGATGCCCTGGGTGCTTGCCTCTTCCTGGCAGGCAAACCTGGGCATGTTTTCCGTGACTGGTGACCCCTTAGTAGAACCTCACAGGTTCCTGGGTCTTCGTGGGGCTGCCGAGAGCAGCATGTCATGTCACTGAAGGAAGCTGTACGTCCTTCTCATCCATCATCTCTGTAGGAAGTGCATAGGGGTGAAAAGGTGAAGACAAGATTCTGCATTAGAAAAACAATTCTAGCAGGAAATCCTGTGCATTCAGATCACTGAGTTTTGGTCATCAGTGTTGGGACTTTTCTTACACACACACACACACACACACACACACACACACACACACATCCTAGGAAACATCAGGCCAAGTGATCAAGAATGCGCATCTTCACAAAGGGTTGTGACCATCAAGTTCTTTGTTCGTTAGTGTCCAGAAAGTTCAACCACATTCCTTTGGGATGAATTACATGGTGACTATTAGGGTGGGAAAAGGAAGGAGAAAGGGGAAATTCACAAAGGGCATGGCAGTTTACAATGGACAGTTCCATAATGTCAAATTCACATGCAGAACAAGTGATTTGTTACCTGGGACAGGGACTAATCTAAAATGGATTCTCTTCACCTGCATAAAGGAGAAACCTATTGAAAAATAAGATTTTGCTGCAAGACATTAATGATATTATTGAGGATAATAGGATTGGATAACAGGACAAAATAATGGGCTTCTGACATATATTGTCACGATAAAAAGGACTTTCATCTGTTTAGCGGTGAAAAGCTGACCAAGTGCTTGCATGCCAATATGCTACTTATTCTCATCACAAGTTTGTGAAGGAAAATATGTCCCTTCTACAGGCAGGAAAACCGAGGCTCCTGAGAGGCGGAAGTGGGTTGCCCAAGCCGGTGGAACCAGTGATGGAGGCAGGTCTCGGGTTCTGGTCTTCCAGCCCCACGGCAGAGTGTCTTCCACTGCACCTGAATGCAGCACTCCGTGATGGGTCTTAAGTAGAGTGACCATGTGATTTATCATTGAAAATGGGACCCTTTGGAGACTAAAAGAGGCTCCATGAATAATTATGCTGAGACAATAACTGGAAACCAGGACTGTCCTGTGACTACTTAGATGAATTGTTGCCTTCATCACAGGGCAGAAGCAGAGGGGACCTGCACGCCTCCCTGCTCATCTGCTGCAGCAGGGAGAGCCCTGTCATGGCTCAGAGCCAGACTTCTCTTTCCTTTGGCAGGAGACATAAATCTTTATCTCTTTTTTTGAAAGCAAGTGGCCTTTCAGTCTTGAGTGACAAAGGTCAATGAACGGATGTGGTTGGGAGTAGTGCAGTCACGAAGAGCCAGTTCTCCCTTTTCTCTGTGCCACTGTGTCTGACCAGTTTGGACGCCAAAGCTCCAAAACTGTAGCCAGTACTTGGAAGATATAACCAAGAGTAAAGGAAGAAAAATGACTCATCTGAAGAATGGAGAACGAGGCTGATGAGAACTGTCAGAGACGACAACCTGGGCAACTTCGCTCCGACAGCTGAGCAGCAAGCAGATTGGGTGTCACCATTAGTCTGGGGGCCTCCGCTGGGAAAGGCAAATTTTATCATGTGGATGAGGTCATGAGGCTTCCTAGAGAGGGGCACAGTCTACCCCACCTGGCTAGCTAGACCATTTGTCTTCTGGTCAACACTAATATGCCGGTGGTGACTGCAATATCTATTATGGCAAACACCTGCTCCTGGATACAGTTGCTGCCATAGAAGGGCAGGATGAAATGATTAGTAATTATATTTTTTCTTTCTTTCTTTATTATTATTTTTTATTATGGATGGGGTCTCACTACATTGACCAGGCTTGTCTTGAACTCCTGGCCTCAAGCAATCCTCCTGTCTTGGCCTCCCAAAGTGCTAGGATTACAGGGCTAAGCCACTGCACCCACCCAAATCTTTTCTTTTCTTTTTTTTTTTTCTGAGACTGAGTCTTGCTCTGTTTCCCAGGCTGGAGTGCAGTGGTGCCATCTCAGCTCACCACAACCTCTGCCTCCCTGGTTCAAATGATTCCCCTGCCTCAGCCTCCCAAGTAGCTGAGATTATATGTGCGTGCCACCACACCCAGCTAATTTTTTTGTATTTTTAATAGAGATGGGGTTTCACCATATTGGCCAGGCTGGTCTTGAACTCCTGACCTCAAGTGATCTGCCTGCCTTGGCCTTCCAAAGTGCTGGGATTACAAGCATGAGCCTCTGCACCTGGCCTATATTTCTTTTTCATGTTTTGAAACAGGGTCTTGCCCTGTTGCCCAGACTGGAGTGCAGTGGCACAATCATGACTCACTGCAGCCTGGATCTCCTGGGCTCAAGTGATTCTCCCACCACAGCATCCAGAGTAGCTGAGACTACAGGTGCACACCACCACACCTGGCTAATTAAAAAATTAGTAGAAATGAGGTCTTCCTATGTTGCCCAAGGCTGGTCTTGAACTCTAATGATATTTCTAATAATAGCATTTACAATTGCAGAATGCTTTATTATTTTTAATGTTTTTACCACTGCTTTAAGTTCCATATAAAGTACTTAAAGCAGTGTCTGCCTGATGTTAAGAAGTGCTATGTATTTTCTATTATTATTATTGCTGTTATTATTTCATTTGACTCTCACAAATAGCCTACAAAATAGGTTGAACAGATATGATAGAGAAAGAAACTAAGCATAGATTGACCAAGTTTATTTTTCATCACTACTCAGCCAGTCTCTTTCAACAGCATGACTCTGGTCGTATCTTCAATCCTGTGATCTCAGTCTATATCGCAAGACAACAGACACACCAGGAACATTTGGATTCTTGGAACTCTGAAGCAAGTTTGCCTGCTGCCACAAGCTCATGGGTTTCCTAAGGCTGCAGTGTGACTGGGTGATTGGTTGTATCAGTGTGTGTTGTGCCCTGTCTGACTTTTGTTCTATCACCAGTGCAGTAAAAACAATGTCCCATCACAGGCCCCACCTTATTGAGCCCTCTCTCTATAGCTGTCTTAGCAAAGAACCCAAGGGACCCAAAGGCATCTGTCAGAACACATTTTGCTGCATTTCCAAGAAAATGCTCATAATTCAATGGGCTAAGAAAGAATTGTCCTCTCTTAGTAACCTAGGGCATTGCTGATTAGCTTTCTGCATTGAAAGTGGAGAAGTGAAATCAACATAAAAGCAAGTTGAAGTTGTTTCCAGTGTACATATAGACAGTTTGCCAAAATCATGCCCTTAGAGTAAAAGAAGAATCAGAAGGAAAGGTCACTATGGGTTCACCCACGGAGAAAGATGATACCTGAGTGGGGTTAATACAACATTGTGGGCCAGCTCAAAGTTAAAGCCATTTGCGAATTAGACATGGAAACCACAGTGGTGGGTGTTTGTGTTTGACTCTGATGACATCAAAAAGCAGGTGACATCTTGCTGTGGGTGTCTCTGGAAAGACCCAGACTGTGGGCCTGGAGGTAAACCTTCACTGGTATTAAAGGTGCATCTGAAATTATGAAGAGTTTCATCTGGGAACTGCTGTAAGCAGAGTTGGTGATCTTGACATACCCATGTAGGGAGATGTGCAGCTAGCCAAGGCCTCTTCGTGGAGTGCTAAAAATTGAGAGACATAAAGGAAATCAAGACTATGCATCAGCCCACCAGAGGGAGCTGACATTGCCAGAGAGCATTGCTGATATCCCTGGGCTGAGAGCTGTTCTTATTCAGGACTATTTAGAAAGCAAATTTTAAAATTGTGCTCTTTTTACTGCTAAAACAATCAGAAAATCCAAGAAAAAGATTGTATCCAAAATTTCATCAGTTATTGCAGCAAGTATTATTTTCTTTTTGTTTCCTCTAATTTTTATTTATTTGCATACAAGTTTTTCTGTTTTGTTTTGTTTTGTTTTTATTTTTGTTTTGAGATGGAGTTTCGCTCTTGTTGCCCAGGTTGGAGTGCAATGGCAGGATCTTGGCTCACTACAAGCTCTGCCTCCCGGGTTCAAGCAATTCTTCTGCCTCAGCCTCCCCAGTAGCTGGGATTACAGGTACCCACCATCATGCCTCACTAATTTTTGTATTTTTTTTGGTGGAGACAGGGTTTCACCATGTTGGTCAGGCTGGTCTCGAACTCCTGACCTCAAGTGATCCACCCGCCTTGGCCTCCCAATGTGCTGGGATTAAAGGCATGAGTGACCATGCCCGGCCGCACACAAGCTTTTTTTGTTTTGTTTTGTTTTAAATTATTTTGTTTTATTTATTTATTTTTGAGAGGAGTTTTGCTCTTGTTGCCCAGGCTGGAGTGCAATGGCACGATCTCAGCTCACTGCAACCTCCGCCTCCCAGGTTCAAGCAATTCTCCTGCCTCAGCCTTCCTTGTAGCTGGGATTACAGGTACCCACCATCATGCCTGGCTAATTTTCATATTTTTTTTTTAGTAGAGACGGGGTTTCACCATGTTGGTCAGGTTGGTCTCAAACTGCTGACCTCAAGTGATCCACCTGCCTCGGCCTCCCAAAGTGCTGGGATTAAAGGCGTGAGTCACCATGCCCAGCCGCATATAAGTTTTTTTTTTTTTTAAAAAGCAATTTTATTTTATTTATTTATTTATTTTTGAGGTGGAGTGTCACTCTGTCACCCAGGCTGGAATGCACTCTCAGTCACTGGGTTCAAGCAATTCTCCTGCCTCAGCCTCCTGAGTAGCTGGGATTACAGACATGCACCACCACACCTGGCTACTTTTTGTATTTTTATTAGAGACAAGGTTTCGCCATGTTGGCCAGGCTGGTCTCGAACTCCTGACCTCAAGTGATCTGCCTGCCTCAGACTCCCAAAGTGTTGGGTTTACAGGCACGAGCCACTGTGCCCGGCCTGCATACCAGTTTTTAATATAGTTGTAGTGAAACTATACAGAATATTGTGTTATACCAGTGGCTGTCAACCAAAGGGAAATTTCCTCCCAGGGAACATTTGGCAATGTGTGGAGACATTTTTGGTCATCACAGCTAAGGGAGTGAAGGGAAGGAGGTGGCATGTGATATGGCATCTAATGGATGGAGACCAGGGATGCGGCTAAACATCCTGCAATGCACAACATAGCCCCCTACAACAAAGAAGTATCTGGTCCAAAATGCCAGTAGTGCTGACATTCAGAAACTCTGTATTGTATTAACACTTTTAAGAACTAATTTTACTTAATATACAGTGTTCAATATTCCTACGTTGCCTTTGAACTAATTTAATCTGTGTCTTAGGTTGTATATCATGCATACCGAATGAAACTTAATGAGCGTATAATATTCCATTGAGTTAATATGAAATAATTTACATAACTAGCCCCTTGTTGTCAGGTATTAAGGTCAAGATACTTTGCTATTGAACATAGCACTGCAATGATCATTATGCAAATGTCTTAATTTGAAACATTTCCTTTGCATTAATTTCCAATTGTGACATTCTAGATCCACTGCAGAAAAAGAGGCTGGTAAGGTTCTGTGATTAATATTTTATATTTTAAGTTCTTGAGAACAGTGACTTGCCTTACTTAATATTTTAATTCCTAAAATTCAACATTATCTTGTATATGCCATGTCTCAATAAATGCTCATTTAATGTAAATCTTCTTTATCATGTTAATAAAGTATTCCTCAAGATCTTGTTTCCTAAGAACGTTTTAAAAGCCAAGATGATCATATTTTTTTGATATATGAAACATGATTTACTTATATTAACTAATTCCCCAGGGTTATTCTTGTATTCTTGAAATTAGCCCTACTTGTCCATGGATATTATTCTTTTCACATATTGACTGATGTGAGATGTTGGCGTGTCATCTAAGTTTTATTTGCAACAGAGCTTTGTTTATCATTTTATTTTTTGTGCAATCTTTGCCTAGGCAGGTATAAAGGGAGCAGAATAGTGGCAAAATGTTCACACAGATAGAGCAAGTTAGTCACAGAAGAAAGCAGAGGAGATGATCATGTGAAGAAATAAATGTATAGGGGAGAAAAGCAATAAATCATAACTTCAACACACAGCCTTTCTTCTTGGTTTCTTTAAAGACAGCAAAAAAAATATGATGCCAGACTCACATAAATCGAAGTAGATAATGTCATTCTCAAAGAGTTTATCCAGCACTCTCCCATATGTCAATTATTCAACAACTATTTACTAAGCATCTACTACACTCAGGTATTCTGTTGGATGCTAAGGAAATCATGGTGAATAATTTGTTCTATGTACAGCCATATCTTAAGAAGTACATTCTAAGTAGTGCCACTCTTACATTGAAGTGCTGGAGGAAAACAAGTGATTTCCTAAATTACAACAGTAATATAGGCTTAGTGTAAAAAAAAAAAAGAAACAAAACACCAAACTTACACATATCCATAATTTTATTACCATGCTAATATAACTTTTTCTTGTTATCTATAAACTTATAACAAATCCAAAAACATAGTGGTTAAAAACAATTTATTATTATCATTCACAGGGCCTCATGGGCTCAATGAGGCAGTTCTTAATTAGAGTGTCTCAAATGGTGGCAGTCAGAGGGCATCTTTTTTGCCCATGTGGTTAGCTTGGGCTTCCTCACAGCATGATGGTTTCAGAGTGCTCAGACTTTTAAGACAGCATCTGGCATCCTTCAAAGCAAGTGTTCTAAGAGTCGCAGGCAGAAGCTGCAAGGACTTCTTAGGAGCTAGCTTCAGAAGTCACACGGCATGACTTTAGTAGTATTCTGTTGACCAAAGCAGTCACAAATCAGGCCACATTCAAGGGAACAAAGGAATAAACTGCAACCCTGGCTTGTGTGGATATAGGGAGAAGAAATTTATGCTGGTCAGCCATCTTGGAGACAAGCTACCATAATTATTTATCTTTTGTTAGTATGACTTTTCAAAAATTTTTCTACATAACCAAAATATAACCATTAAAATCAGGAAATTAACATTGATACTAACTGCAGTCTAATCCTCAGAACCCATTCAAGTTTTGCCAGTGATTCCAACAAAGTAATCCAGTTCAAAACCACACATTGCATTTAATTGTCAAGTCTTTTTGGTGTTCTTTAGCTTGGAAAAGTTCCTTTGTCTTCCCTTAACTTAAATGACCTTGGCAACTTTGATGATAGCTGACCAGTTATTACATAGAATGTCCCTCAATCTGAGTTTCTTACAATGTCTCTGATGTTTCCTTAAGTTATGTATCTTGGGTAGAAATACCACAGAAGTGTTGTATTCTTCTCACTGATACTATTGGCTGAGGCATAATTTACATCTGTCTCACTGCTGTTGATATTCAGTTAGATCACTTGATTAGGGTGGTATCCACTAGGCTCCTCCTAGCAGAGAACTAGGAATAACTTCCAAATTGCTCTTTAACCCTTTGTAATTAATAAGTGTTTTGTGCAGAGTTATTTTGAAATAGATATCCTGTTCCTCATCAAACTTTCAATTTATTCATTTATTTCTATCTTTATGGACGTACACCTTCCTATTTTATTCAAAGGGATTACGGTAGTTTTCTATTGCTGCTGAGACAAATCACATTTTAGTGGCTTAAAACAACATAAATGCATTATCTAACAGTTCTTTATGTCAGGAGTCTGACACAGGACTCACTGGGCTAAAAATCAAGGTGTTGACAGGGTGGCATTGCTTCCTGGAGGCTCTAAGGGTGAATCCATTTTATTGCCTTTTCTGTCTTCTAGAGGCCACTCACATTCCTTGTCTCCTGGATCCCTTCCTCCATTTGGAAGCCAACAACACAGGTTGAGTCCTTCTCATGCTTCCATCTCTCTGGTTCTCTGTAGTCAGGAAGGATTTCTATTTTTAAGGACTCATGTGATTACACTGGGCCTGTCTAGATAATCTGTATTAGTCAGTGTTCTCTGGAGGAACAGGACTAAAAGGATAGATGTATATATAAAAGGGAGTTTATTAGGAGTATTGACTCACACAATGCCAAGTTGAAGTCCCACAATAGGCTGTCTGCAAGCTGAGTAGCAAGCAAGGAAGTCAGTTTGAGTCTCAAAACCTCAAAAGTAGGGAAGCCAACAGTGCAGCCTTCAGTCTGTGGCAGAAGGCCTGAGAGGCCCTGGCAAACCACTGGTGTAAGCCCAAGAGTCCAAAAGCTGAAGAACTTGGAGTCTAATGTTCGAGGGCAGGAAGCATCCAGCAAGGGAGAAACAGGAAGGCTGGAAGACCCAGCCAGTCTAGTCCTTCCAGGCTCTTCTGCCTGCTTTATCCTAGCCATGGGGGCATCTGCTTAGATCGTGCCCATCCATATTGAGGGTAGGTCTGCCTCTCCCAGTCCACTGACTTAAATGTTAACCTCCTTTGGCAACACCTTTACAGATACACCCAGGAACAATACTTTGCATCCTTCAATCCAATCAAGTTGACACTCAATTTTAGCTATTACATAATCCAAGATAATCTTTCTATTTTGGGGTCTCTAATCAAATCTGCAAATTCCCTTTTCCCATGCAAGATTCCATGTTCATAGATTCCACTGATGCAGGCATAGACAACTTTGTAGGCCATTATTCTGCCTACCACAAGGATTATAATCCCTTATATTAATTATTTTGATGGTCAAATTGTCTCCAACTGGCTATTTGAGTTATCTACAAGTTAGCTTCTGGGTCCTTTTGATATGACTCCATAGTCTTTGAGAGCTTCCTTGCTTTCTGGCACAAAAATATCTTTTAGATTCATCTTGTACTTTTTAGTCCAAACACTAGAATCAGTCATTTCTCCAAAGAACCTTGATTCCTTTTAGTGGAGAATGGTATTTAGAAGCCAAAGTCAACACTTTATTATAAAATTGGCTTTGTGTTAGATGATTTTGCTCAACTGTAGGCTAATGTAAGTTTTCTGAGCATGTTTAAGATAGGCTAGGCTAAGCTGTGATGTTTGGTAGGTTAGATGTAGTAAATGCATTTTCAACTTATGATAATTTCAATTTACAAGGGTTTATCAGGATATAATCCCATCACAAGTCAAACAGCATCTGTAATGTCTTTGTCAGCTAATTTTAACATCTGTGTCAGTTTCTGGATTGGTTGTGATTGACCCATTTATCTCCATACTCTGGAGCAGATCTTTTTGATTCTTTGCATGCATTGTAATTTTTTATTGGCTGATATACTTTAAACGTTATCTTGTTGGGGCCTGGATATTTTTGTATTCTGATAAATATTTTTGAGTTTTGTTCTAGAACTCAGTTAAATTATTAATACTTGGAAATAAGTTGATCCTTTCAGGTCTTGCTTTTAAGATTTGATAGGTTGCCAGGCGCAGTGGCTCACACCTATAATCCCAGCACTTTGGGAGGCCGAGGCGGGCAGATCTCCTGAGGTTGGGAGTTGGAGACCAGCCTGGCCAGCATGGGAAAACCCCATCTCTACTAAAAATACAAAAATTAGCCTGGCATGGTGGCAGGCACCTGTAATCCAAGCTATTCAGGAAGCTGAGGCAGGAGAATTGCTTGAACCCAGGAGGCAGAGTTTGCAGTGGGCCGAGATCATGTCATTGCACTCCAGCTGGGAAACAAGAGCAAAACTCTGTTTCAAAAAAAAAAAAAATTTGATAGGTTGAACCAGAGCAGTATTTAGGCTAGGGCTAATTGTTTCCTACTAACGAAGCAAAAATCCTTCTGTGTACTCTATTGAATGCCCTGTGGAACACACAATTTTCCAGTCTGGCATGTGGGAAAAGGCACATTTTCCAGTCATGTGTGAGTGTTGGGTGCTGTTACCTTTAAATTGCTTGTGGTTCTTTCTCTGTCATCCAGTAGTTTCTTATATGTATGCATTAATCATTACTTAGCTGCATACTCAACGGAAGCCACCTCCATAATTCTCTGTACCTCTCTCTCCTCTCTGGTACTCTGTCCTTCTTATTTGCAATTTCTGGTTCTCTTCATTTGTTCCTGTGGATTTTGATAACCATCTGGCTTGGTGTCATTGTCTTACTCTGACACAACTTTGCTCTCACCCACTTCTGTGCTGTTATTGGCAAATAAGTCATATTTCCATATGTTAGAGTGAAACAATACAATTATCTATATATCGTTTTATACAATTGTTTTTTAAATCAATTGAAAGAATGGAGAAAGAATATTCGTGTGTAGTATCTTTTATAATTGCATAATTACTTTTACTGGTGCTCTTAATGTACATGTGTGTGGATTCAAATAACTTTCTGGGGTCATTTGTTTTCAGCCTAAAGAACTGCCTTTAGTACTCCTTGTAAGATACATTTACTAGCAATAAATTCTCTTTCTTTTCTAATAGGGAAAAGTCGATTTTTCCTTCATTTTGAAAGCTTTGCTGAAGTTTCTTTGCTGAAGATTCTTAGTTGACAGTTTTCTTTTTCTTTCAGCACTTTACATCTGTCATCCCACTTCCTTTTGGCTCTATTGTTTCTGATGAAAAATCAGCTGTTAATCATATTGAGCTTCTTTTCTATGTGATGAGTCATCTTTCTCTTACTGCTTTTAAGATTTTCTCCCTATCATTGGCTTTCAGAATTTTTCCATGCTATATCTGTGTGTGGATCCCTTTGCATTTATTCTACTTGAAGTCTGTTGATTTTCTTGAATGTTTAATTTTTTTTGTTTTTAAAAATCAAATTTGGAAAGTTTTCAGCTATTCTTATTTTTGAACATTTTTTCTACTCCTTTTTCTCTCTCTTTTCCTTCTGATACTTCCATTACTCATATGTTAGCATGCTTTATGGTGTTCCATATTGAGGCTCAGTTCATTTTTCACTGCTTTTTCTCTGTTTTTCAGATGGTATACTCTCTACCAATCTATCTTCAAGTTTGCTAGTTTTTTTCTTCTGCCAATTCAAATCTATTGTTGAGCCTCTCTAAAATTTTTATTTTTAAATAAAAAGTTTTAATTTATTTTTCAACTCCAAAATTTTCAATTGGTTTTACTAATTTATATCTCTTTATTGATAGTCTCTATTTGATGTGACATTGTTATTTTACCTATTTAATTATAGTTTCCTTTAGTTCTTTGAACTTACTTATAGGGTGAGAGTAATTGTGATCCTAGTATTTTCAGCACGCTGTAACCTGTCTATGAGAAAGGGGGCTAGGAGAAACCAGGGAGCACCAGACCTCTCAGATGCACTCACTTGTAATTAAGTCCCTGCAACAGGTAGCCATGGGCAATGAAAAAATGCTAATGGCTTGCCCATTCAGAGAAGATACCAAAACCCTTGGCTGAGAGCATCCTCAAGATCCTACTGACTCTTTCTCTACAGTGTCTCCTTCTTAGCCTCCATCCCAGTCCTGACCCCACCTTCTATTTGAGCCATTACCACAGCCTTCTACCTACATGCTTCTAATTCCTTAACAATAATACAGTTAGTCCACTTACTTAAAATACTCAATCAGGGCTCCTCCAGAAGGTGTGCACACTCAATCTTCATTTATCACTCTTCGTGTTTCATCTCTATTGTTATGCATTTCAATCCCTCTGTGTCTAGCATCACGGAAGATGTAATTATTACCAAGGGCTTACTATTTATCAGGCCCCATGCTAAGTGCTTCCCATGCAACAGCTCATTTACTCCTCACGGCAACCCTACAAATTAGGTACTTTGACAGATTATAGAATGAAAGCTTAGGAAGGTAAAGTAATTAGAACATTTTCTTACAGCTAGAAAATGGTAAAGACTATATTAGAAAGAAAAAGAACACAGAGTTTCTGACCTAAAACTTGATATCTAATTGGAATGATAAGACCAACACGTGAAATAATTAGCAAATGTTGTAAGATGTTGTGCTTACCTGTTTTTTCCCCTTGTTATAATTTATTTCCTCGCTTTCCAAATTATAACTGCATCCAGAACAAAGATTTCGTTTCCCACTATTTGTATATTTCAAAACACGCAGTGCTCTGCTGGGCATAAAATGAGTAATCAGTATATTGGTGCCAGAGGAGAGTGAGTGTAGGACTGAGCACTTATGGAACAAGTAGAAGGTCTAGAATATTTAGGTTTCATTAAATGCCAGCCAGAAAGAGAATCTGAGACTCAGAGGGGAAATGATGCATTCAAGGTCACAGAGTTAGAGAAGGATTAGACAGAAACCAGTTCTCCAAACTCCCTGCCCAGTATACCTTCCCCTAGAGCCCACTTAGTTCAGCCCAGGGCATGTGGTATTCACACCATAGTTCTCTTATTTATGGAACTAAAAGGCCCTGCATCCCATATCTCAAAATATACAGCTTTTCTCCTTGTAGCTGACACCTACCTCCAGAGACTTAGCTCAAGACGAATCCAGAGCTCTCTGGTCCAGTGGAGATGCCTCTAGTCCCTGTCACTTTGCACTTTGGGTATTTCTCAATCAGAGTGTTCCTGGGTATTTCTCAACCAGTGTCCCGACAGGGACCACCCTTACTGATTTACTTGCCTGCCCTCCCATCAGATGAGAAACTTTCTAAAGTCAGAACCACGGCTCCTGTGACTTGGAGAAATCATTACCTAACACGGTGCCTGGCATGTGACCTCCTAAAAGATGCTTAGTGAATGAATGACTGCAATCCAGGCAACTCATATGTGATGTGGTCAGGATCAACTGTGGCTTCTTGGAGAAAGAGGCAAACTGACTTGAGATGAAGGCTGAGTGCAGCTCACCCATTCAAATCCTGGTTTACAGCTCTGTGATGTTTGGTTAAGTCATTTTTTAAAAAATTCCAGTTTCCTCATCCGTTAAAGTTCGAGTTGATAATACTTACCTAGGGTTTTTTGAGAGTTCACTTACAGAATTAAAGAACTGGTCACATAGGTACTCAATTAATGTTACATTTCATATAGCATCATGGTGACATCATGTGATATCCCAGCTTTGCCACTTTGTAACCTCAATGCAAGCTTGCCACTTGGGAACCAGGTGGAAACAGGTGAAATAACACAAGGTGTCCCTTCATTTCACATGTATTTGAGGGTCTCCAGCATGCTGCTTGCTTCTGGGAAGACAACAGTGAATGCAACAGACACAGCTTTGCTCTCTTGTGGAGAGTACAGTCTAGGAGGGGAAGTAGACAATCTAGAGACAAACACATGAGCAAGCCAGATAGTTTCTGAAAGTGGGTAAGTGCTTCAAAGAAAATAAAAGAGAGAAATAGGATAGAGAATGGCGGGGGTGGTCCAAGAAGGTCTCTTTGAAGGGATGACATTTTAGCTGAGACCCATAATATAAGAGCCAGCCGTATAGATGGGAGTATGCTGTGGTGAATGATTAGCCAGTACGAAGCTCCTGAAGCAGACAGACTTGGGGTGTTCAAAGCATGAGAAGAAAACCAGATTGGGTTGGAGCACAAAAGGTGAAGAATGGCAGAGATGAGGCTGCAGAAGAGCAGAGACCTGATCACGGAGGACCTGGAGACCTGGCTAAGGAGCAAGGAGTCCTGGGAAGCAAAATGGGAGGTCACAGAAAGGCTCTGAGCAGGGGGTGATACGCTCTAGTTTGCATATTGAAAAGATTATCTGGGTGGGTGTCAGGTTAGGAAAAGGCATGGTGGATAAGCCCCATCTTCTGAGCTGGGTTCTGCTACCCCAGGGTGCTTCCAACAGACATTTAAGTGGGAGTCAGGAGCTACAGACAAGGGGCTGCGTCTGTAAGAAGCTTCTAGGCTTTTACACTTCCCTATGCTGTTTCTGTAACCCCATATTCTGTAAAATCCTATGCCTTGTGGATTTGTCTTTGGAGAATGGAGCAATAAGGTGGAGCCAAAGATAAGGAATCCAAAGGTGTAGAGTGGGAAGAGGCAGCAGGCCCAAGAGCCAAGGCCCCAGGGAAGCAGCAAAAAAATTGGAAGGAAACCCCAAAAACAGCAGGTCTGGACTTGAGAAGCAGAAAGGCTTATGAAGCAGAAAGAGAGAGAGAAAGGGAGTTTTACACCTCATTATACCCATTTACTTACACAGGCAGCCCCTTTATCACAATGCATTTCATAGCTCAGCTCTTTCAACAACATCGAATTATATTGCCTAATTACTATCTCTATATCACCTACCAACATTTAACTCACTCTTTCCTCGTTTCGGCAGAAGAACCCTACATGGACAATGGATTTTTTTTGGCAATAGGGAACCAACTCGAGATATTTAAGATGTGATGATGAAAAGCAGGGTTGAGAAAGATTTTACCCCAGTAGGTTGTAGAAATTTCTGGATGCAGAGAGACCAGCTGGAGAGCAATCCGGTACAGCCATCCAGGCCCTATGAACTCATGACTTGGGCAGTTGTAAAAAGGAAACCAACCTGAATGCAAAGGGAAGGCAGGTCTGAGAGTCTGTTCTTAATTTTCCTTTTGGTCTTTCTACCTGGATCTCAGATACTGCTCTGTGAATTTAAAGGGACATTTTGTGTGCGTGTGTCCAAGTTCATGAATGCTGTGCTCAGCATGTGCTATTACTCTGTGAAAGTTATGAAGTAATTCTTAAGGAAAGAAATAGGCCATACACTAACTGGGTGAACAAAAATAGGTCATGGCATGAAGATAGAAGGGCTGCTGGCCAAGGCTGGGGAGCCAGAAGGCAGCCCTCTGCTAGGACACAGGGCAGTGCCCATCCTCACTGCTCGGTCCCTGCCATGAACCTGTGATAGGACAATTGTGCTGAACATGGCCACTGCTTCTTACCCCCTTGGGAAAGGAACATCCTTCTGTTGCTTAGCCACCTTAAAAGGTAGAATTCCATCTCAGTGTTCAAGTCTTGGCTTACTAGCTCTGTAATATTTGGTAAGTCACTTAATTTTTTTGAATCCCAGTTTTTTCACTTGTGAAAATAGGAGATGATAGTGCTTACCCAGGGTGTTTTGAGAGTTCAGTCACAGAATTAAGAGAATCAAGCACGTAGGTGCTCGATTAATGTTCTTTTCCATATAGCAGTGTGGTGACATCATGGGATACCCCAGCTCTGCCACTCTGTAACCACCCAGAAAGCTTGCCACTTGAGAGAGCTCTGTAACACCTGCATGCCTCAGTTTCCCTACCAACAATATGGGAACAATCACAGTCTAACCCATGTCATGGAGTTGTTAGGAGAAGTAAAGGAGTTCCACATGGGAAGTGCTGAGAGCAGGGCTGGCACACAGACACCCTGAAGGATTAGATTTTCTTCTTCTTCTTGTTCTCAGACTGCTGGACACACTTCACAACTGTGTTTCAAAGGATGAAATCACTTGACAATGTTCAGGTAGAAACAAGCCACGCAGTTCCCTTTGTGTTTGCACTTTTAGTACAGACGGGGTTTTGCCATGTTGGTCAGGCTGGTCTCGAACTCCTGACCTCAGGTGATCCACTCGCCTTGGCCTCCCAAAGTGCTGGGATTACAGACATGAGCCACCGCACCTGGCCTCCATGTCTTTTTCATTAGGTGCCCAAATAAGGCAAGCAGCCTCTATCTAAAATATGCAGATCTCATGACAGTTTCCCTAACCCTAATGACAGTTTCCAGAGAGAGGGTGGAAATTGGCAATAGCTCTTCGAAGCTTCCACTGGTCATGCTGCATATGTCACTTCTGCTTACATTTCATTGGCTGGAGCAAGTCATATGGTCAGGCATGACATCAGCAGGGCAACCTTGGGCAGTTAACAGTTAACAGTTGGCAGTTAACAGTCGGGAGGGTAAAACACAATCATGGTGCCATAAAAGAGTGAAGGAGCCGGCATTACACACAGACAGCCCGCAGAAGGGCAGCAACGTTTTGGAGCTCCTTTTAGTTCTCTTTATTGATATATTTTAATTGAACCCAGATTTTTTTTTTCCTGTCTAGCCCTTGGAGACAAGCTCTGCCAGAGCTCGTATAGCAGAGAGAAGGTCTTGAGATTAGTGATACTCAGCGTTTCTGACACTGGAGACCTGCATAAGAATTTAACAAACTGGGAAGCAGTTTTCATGACAACCCTTTTCATTGCATAGATGTTACCAAGAGTTTGGGGGTGTTTTTAAGAAAAGCCATTAGGCTGGAAGTCAGACACACCTGGATTTGAGATCCGCTCTGCTACTTCGTACTTGCGTGGTTTTGAGGAATCATTTGGCCTCTTTTCAGGTTTTAGATCCTTCACCTGTAAAATGAGGATGGTTGTGAGAAAGGGAAATTGCTCTGTAAACAGTGAAGCACTATTCAAATGCTCAGGCTTTGTAAAAAATTGATGGAAAATGTCATAAGAAGTGGGCAGTTCTGGTTTGCTTCCATTGCTATAGGAAGCTGGCACACACAAGAAAGTTTATTGACAGCAGCTGAGATGTGCTGAAGCTGGTAATTATCTTCAAGACAGGCTGAGTTTTGATTGTACGTAAGGGTGCCTGGTAGACCTATCAATCAGACATATGCCTTGATGTAATGCTGACAGTCTATTTACACAGAGGCAGCTGTGATATTATAAAAGAATGAAAGGCATGCTGAAGGTCTAAGTTGTTGTAGGATGGTAAAAATCTGGTGTGAACATGAGCGAAAGAGTTTCTGAATTTTCATTATGATCCAGCATTTTAGAGATGTATGAAAACTTAGCAATGATTGAATTCAACCCCTTCTCCGCATGGATAAGGACACTGACACCCATTAATGTCTGAGTGGTTATTAATGCAGAGAGAAAAAGTCACTGTTACCTGTCTTTTATGAATGTGCTAACTCATTAATCTATAAACAACACTTCTTCTAATATTTAGCATTTAACAATTCCAAATATTTATTCACTATTTACACATAATCAGCAAAAGCACAAAACTTCGCATTAAATCTCCCCAGACATTTAAGCATTCATTACAAATTTGTAATCAAGCTCTTAGATAAACAAATAATTAAAACTATGAATCTAATAAATCAGATTTGTTGGCATGCTCTAAACACCTTAAGAAGTGACAATACATGCACAGAATGTCACTTTGATTACCGAAATTATTATACTATGGGGAAATGGCTTGCTGAGACCCTGAAGAGCCAGAGAGAAGATACTGCTCACACATGTGAAGGATACACACTCTGTTTTCTCCTCCTTCTGTATGAGAGAGCCTGCTGATGTTTTGTGACTCAAAAAGTACGAGGAGGTCTATGAGCATATTTTCAATTAAGCGCATGAGTTGTCGGCATAAATTCTTTCTGAAATGATGATACAATTCCATAGCAAAACCAGGTTATAGTATAGTGGAAATGAGTACCTTAGCTCTGTTAGCCTCCTACTCCAAGGACTGTATTTCTGAAGGGAGCACACTTGTTTTGGGAATTCTGGGAGCCAAGGGCTGGCTGCACTGTGAATGTGTTTTGCTGCTCCAGCTTCTTATGGCCCCAGATTTCTGATCATATTCTGCATCCTTGGCTAATTCTCTCAGGAATTTTACAGTGAAAAGGAGAACAAGAGTGAGAACACAAGAATAAGATCAAGAAAGGTCTCTTCTCACCAGTGCTATAATCCACCTGAAAAGCTGTAGCCACTTGCACTACTAAAACCAGTCATAAAAGTGCTAATACAGTACACTATGAATTTAAATTTGTGTCTTTATTCTCTTCATTCTAATTGTTACTGTTTAATGTTATAGCTTCCCAAGGTTATTAGTGTTATACCTTTCCAGTATCACAGTAATTTTTATAGGATATAATTGCTATACTTTCCCAGACAGAGTCACTGAATTTACAAAAGCCCCCAAAGGAAAAAAAAAAAATAGGACTTCAGAACAGCTGAGTTTATAGGTTCAGGAGTTTTGACACAGAACTGGCCATTCCTGAGACTGTCCTTGCCTGTGTGGTTGAAGATGGACACGAGCACATCAGAATTCCAGCAGCAGGGTGGGAAGAGGAAGTGGAACGGAAGAAATGCCTTTTTCTTTGACAAGCGTGACCCAGAAGTTTCCTCTCTCTCTTCTGCTCATTTTTATCTGGGAACTTGGCCACACCCAGCAGCAAGGGAGGCTGGAAATAACGCTGCCCATGCCCAGACCAAAAATGGGGTGTCTTTTTAGTCTAAAAGGAGGGAGGAACTAGCACTGTGTGACATCTAACAGTGTCTGCCACTGTCCATGCTTTTGGCCACCAGATATTTGTGGGTCCTCCTCACAGACACATCTACCCTCTCTCTGAGGGAGACGAGGCCCAAATGCCTCGATTCCATGCAAAGATCAGGAGCACCTGCAGGAAAAGCACTTGGGACCAGGAGGAGCTCCTGGAGAAGCTGGATCACTCTGTTACCCCCAAGCTCTCCCTTACCCCATACTTAACAGTGGTTCTGTATAGGAAAATTGCAATAACATTTCCCATTCTGAAAAAAGATAAGAAAACACGTATAAGTTACTCAGGTCCATATCAATGCTCAAATCTTGCTGAGCAGGAGCTAAAAAGTCTTTTTTCTATGTTAGCAGGCGAATCTCTGGGTCAGTCCATCTGGCAACCCTGGTTGTACTTTCCAGGAGAGCCTCCCTTGGCTGACATGGTCCAGAAGATTCTCCCCTGTCCATCTGAAGCAGACATTTAGGCGATGGCCCTGGGAGGGGTGGGGAGGGGCTGCAGAGCTTTTACAGTTCCTTCCCTCAGGGGCATGGTTGGGGCCCCCGGCAGCCTCCTGGCTCCAGGGCTTTGACAAGTCAGACTTAGAGTTTCCTGGGCAGTAAAATTCCCTAAGAAACCCACGTAGGCTTTAAGAATATTTGCTTCCGGTCCAGTTCATGCACAAATAACTAAAGACAAAATCTGGTTTGGCATGCTTTTAGCCTAAAAACTTTATTTACTGATGTCCACGCTCTGCTTAGCCCCAGTGTCTCAATTTAAATGCAATTGTCCTGAGTCTATCCGAAGAAACAGGCTTGAGTGAGAGGCAACATCCTTGATTTGATCTTTGCTGCTGTCTGTTACTTGACAGAGAGCTCTGGATAGCGGTGCTTGAGGAAGGCTTGAGGACAAAGTCTGAGCTTTTGCTAATTCTTTGGAGCTTCCTTGAGGACTCAAATGGTGTCATGAGTTCTCTCTCTCTGTCTCTGCATCTCTTGGCTGTGCTGCCCTCTGGGTCTCAGGCAGGCTTCATCAGTATACCTAGGCCTATAGAAGTCATTACCACATCTGATTTTCCAGGAAGACACGCATAATCTCCTCTAGCATCCATATATAAAGGATTAGAAAAGTTCCCAATTGGCCCAGTTGACATCCGATACCCACCTGAATCAGTCATTAGGCCCAGGGGATGGAGTTCTTTGGCTAGCCTGGGACATCTGCCCATCACAGCATGGAGCGTCACGATAGGGGATCTGACTGGGACCACATAAAGTACATGAGAGGTGGCCCTCTTTTTCCTCCCACAAGAAATGGAGGGAGGTGCTGTCAGACAAAAGGGGAAGGTAGGCTTGGCAAGCAAAAATGAAAGGCATCCGAGACATCTGGCCACCAGCAGGGGCCACAGTGCTCGCGGGGTCTGGAAGGCTTAGTAAAGATGGGTGGAACTACGCAGTAGTAGTTAATAAGGTTTGCTAAAACCTGGGCCATCTCTCTGCAAGTGTCCTTATGTTAGTTCAGAGGCCCAGAGCAGGCCAGGGTAGAGGCCACATGGAGACAAAGCAGCATTTCTTCTGCAGAACTCGGCTAAGTGTAGTCTGAGCCTGGTGCACCCCTGCCTCTGGTCCTGCCCCTGCTAGATAAAGCTCAGAACGAAACGTCTTTCTCCTCCCACTCCTCTTTCTCTTTGCCTTCTCTCCAAAAGAACCTCCCACCGGCATCCTTAGCCTGATCTGGCCCCTCCACTGGCCTCTGAGTGTGGAGTGAGACAGAGCTGAAATGGAGAAGCCGGGCTTGGCTGGAAGCGAGGAGGGTGGAAGTGAAGTCCGTCACCGCTGGTGGGAGGTAGGTGAGGGCAGAGGCCAGTCACCTCCTACACCAGCCTCACTGGCCAAGTTGGTCAGCGCGGAATGGAGTCTCAGCCTGTCTTCTTTACCTTCACCACCTTTGTGAGTGTGTGGGCCCACAGAGCAACTAGGGAAATCTAACCTAACAGCAGGACTCTTCTACTCGTAGGTGTGTCCTGGCCTGCAGCCCCCTCCTCCTTGTCCACAGGCCTTCCATTCCCCCACCACGATCCTGCCTCAAAGTCCCAACTCGCTCTCCTTCACCCACGAATCCATCCCTAGAACTTTCTGAGCATGGGCGCTGTGCCCACAAGGCTGCTTGTCCCCACATGTTTGAGAAGCTGCCAGGATGACGAAGCATTCAGGCAACATTTGTTCCTTTGAAATTGTGCCCCTCCATCCCAGCGTCCTTCCTGTGCCCCCACCTTCCCTGAGTTCCTGGAGCAACGGCTTCCTGATGCTTCCGTCTCATTGTCCCACTCTGGCTGCAGGGTGATGGAGTAGCAAGTGGAGTGGCCCTGAGGGATGGTTTCCTGCCCCTGATGCTTCTCCCTTAGCAGCAGCTGCAGGCAGCACTTCCTGGAGCACAAGGGCCTCAAGCTCAGTCTTTCCTAGTGCAGACATTGCTGGAAATTTCCCTCTCAGCTACCTGATGCTGCCCACTCACTCATACCACCCTCGGGGGAAATGAAAGTGTGTCTGTAAATCAGGAGAAACTCAAGAGAGTTCTGAAAGCCTCTTGATGATCTAGAAGGGTTGATAAGCTAATGTCAGGTGGCCAGTGGGTTGGGAATTTGCCATTCCTTGTTGTTTCTGGAGTCAGAAGCCCTGTTTGAGCCATTGGTGGGGAGGCTGGGACCTGCTCCGTTATCCACCACTTCACTGTGGTTGATTTTATTTTCCAGTGTCGGCCACAACAGTATGTCCCCTCCTGCATAGCTTCCTGAACTGTGACCTTGCCACTCTTCCATCACGAGGTGGTGTCTGTTTCACCACCTCCTGAAGCTGGGCAGGCCCTGGAAGTGATGCTGTGCTACTCCCAGGCAGAGCCTTTCATGGGCCCGGTGGCTTTGCTTTCTGCCTCTTGGAAGCCGGCTACAATGAAGGAAGTTTGTCTATATCCTGAGACCACTATGCTGTGAGCAGCCCGTGAACCCACCGGAGAGGTCTTGCAGGAGGAAATGGCCCATGGAGAGAGAGAGAAGCCAAGGATCACAAGGCACCAGACCCAGAACTTTTAATATTACAGAATTTTAACAATTTCTCTGATTCTATACTGTATCTCTCCTATGCTTAAAGTCTAGAATCCCAATGGCATTCATTAACATAATCACTGATCTTACAATATATATACAATAAATTTATATACGATAAATAAGATCACTGATCTTACTATATATCTTACGATATATAAATACTGTAATTCTTACAACAGATAAATATATTTTACATTATTCAAATATTATTATTTGAAATATCAAATATTACTATCTGAAATATTATTATTATAAAAGACCACTGCTTTATGACTATACAGTCAAAATACTGAGTCTTAACGTGTTTTGAAATGATTCTTTTCCCTGCATGATTATATCATCAACTTAATGTCTAGTTAGGTTCATTTGTTTCCATGGTTTTCAGGTTTTAGAGACTGTTTCTTTTTAAAAATGTAAAACATGTACGTTGTTCCAAAGTCAAAATATGTCCCCAGGTAATTTGATTTGAGTTTAATTTTGTTTTTCAGCCATGTAAAACATATTGAATAGCTGACATTGTCCAAAAAAGTTGACATTCCATCTCTCCATCCTGTTCCCTCCAATCCTCTATAATAATCATTTCCTTTAGTTTTGGGATTTATCCTTCCATTGTTTCTTTTCAAAAATATAAGCCAATATGCATTTACATGTTTATATGTCTATTATATTACCCCCTTTCTTATGAAAAGGCTTGCACACTATAAACACTAGTGTGTATGCCTAAGAGCTAGGGTTTCTATCTATCTGTATTAATTGAAGTATCCGAACGGCTACTATATGCAAAGCTGGGTGGTAGGCACTAAGAGTCAAGTCTTCAATGGAGAAGAAACACTTATACACCAGGTCATTTCTATGACTCAATGTCAGATTTTCAAGGTTTCAAATCCTATGGCTGATTTCTCCCATGTGATTGGGGTCTACCCTAAATCTGACCTGTGATGAAGCTCTTGTTTCTGGGGATAAATGTGCCGAGAAGTCTTTCATGTATCCACAAATGAGGATGTTCTTGATTAAAGAAATGGCTGAGGTGAGGCAATTTGCTTGAGACCACAGAAAGTTCCTTTAGAGAATGTTCCTTGACTTGCCTGGGATGTGTTCCTAAAGATGCTTCAGGTAAAGATTAAGCAAGTGTAGAAATGGAGTGGAGTGACCTAGACCTAGACCCTGCCCTTGCACTTTGTATTAGCTACTGAATTCCATTAAATGAGTTGTTAAATTTTTTAGTCATTTTTAGGCATGTGACCTCTGTATTTCCTATGAAAATATCTATGGGTCAATTTTACATATAAATTTTTACATATAAATATAAATTTATTTTTACATATAAATGTGTTACTTTTTATTATAAAGATTTTCAAACATAAAAGTAAAGAATGCAAAGAACTATGTAATCATTGCCGTTTCAACAACCATCAACATGTTGCCATACTTGTTTCATCTATCCCAACTTTTGTTTCTCTGAAGTATTTTAAGGCAAATTCTATGTATTAGATCATTTCTATCTTAAATACTATCGGGGAACCTGCCCCGATAGCCACGTAGGTGCTTTTCTATTTTCCCTAAGCGTTGGCCGGTTTGAGAAATAAAGGGACAAAGTATAAAAGAGAAATTTTAAAGCTGGGCGTCCGGGGGAGACATCACATGTCAGTAAGTTCCGTGATGCCCCACAAGCTGCAAAACCAGCAAGTTTTTTTTTTTTTTCCCACTATTTCTTGAATTTTATTGAGATTTGTTTCAATACATGATTTGGGGGAGGATTCTTTAGAAGACCATTAAAACCAAGTTTATTAATTGTGTTGTTCAAATCTTCTAAGTTTTTAGTAACACTGTGTCTACTCGACACGTGTGTTGAAATTTCTCAAATACATGGTGGGTTTCACAATTTCTCCTTACAGTTTATGTTTTCTGTTTTATTAGGTGCATGCAAGTTTAGAATTGTTATGGCTGTCTGGAAAATGCAGCTGATTGGTAACTGATCCTCTTAAACGCTGGTCACGCTTTCTCTGTGCTGAAGACTCCTACTTCCTTTTGGTTTCCCCAGCATCCCGGCCATATCTCTGTATCTTTTCCCATCCTTTTATGTTAAACTTTTTTATGTCCTTATGTATTAGATGCGTCTCTTTTTGAAAGTATATAGCTAGTTTTTTTTTATGTTGTTGTTTTTGTTGTTGTTGTTGTTGTTGTTGTTTTGAGACATGGTCTCACTCTGTTGTCCAGGCTGGAGTGCAGTGGTGCAATATTGGCTTACTGCAACCTCCGCCTCCTGGGTTCAAGACATTCTCATGCCTCAGCCTCCCAAGTACCTGAAGACTACAGGTGCACACATACACATTTGATTAGTTTTTGTATTTTTTTTGGTAGTGATGGAGATTCACCATGTTGGCCAGGCTGGTCTCGAACTCCTGACCTCGAATGATCCGCCTACCTTGGCCTCCCAAAGTCCTGGGATTAGAGGCATGATCCCACCCTGCCCAGCCAATTTTTGTTTAAGAGTCAGGGCCTCACTCTGCTGCCCAAGCTAGAGTGCAGTGGTGCACTCATAGCTCACTATAACCTGGAACTTCTAGGCTCAAGTGATCCTCCTGCCTCCCACAATCCGATAACCAGCAAGTTTTTATTAGGGACTTTCAAAAGGGGAGGGAGTGTATGAATAGGGTGTGGGTCACAAAGATCACGTACTTCACAAGGTAATAGAATATCACAAGGCAAATGGAGGCAGGGCGAGATCACAGGACCACAGGACCGGGGCAAAATTAAAATTGCTAATGAAGTTTCGGGCACCATTGTCATTGATAACATCTTATCAGGAGACAGGGTTTTGAGAGCAACCAGTGTGACCAAAATTTATTAGGCAGGAATTTCCTCTTCCTAATAAGCCTGGGAGTGCTATGGGAGACTGGGGTTTATTTCATCCCTACAGTTTCGACCATAGAAGATGGCCACACCCAAGGGGGCCAGCTCAGAGACCCACCCTCAGGGGTGTATTCTCTTTCCCAGGGATGTTCCTTGCTGAGAAGAAGAATTCAGTGATATTTCTCCCATTTGCTTTTGAAAGAAGAGAAATATGGCTCTGTTCCGCCCAGCGCACCGGTGGTCAGAGTTTAAGGTTATCTCTCTTATTCCCTGAACACTGCTTTTATCCTGTTCTTTTTTCAAGGTGCCCAGATTTCATATTGTTCAAACACACATGCTCTACAATTTGTGCAGTTAACACAATTATCACAGGGTCCTGAGGCGATATACATCCTCCTCGGCTTACAAGATGACAGGATTAAGAGATTAAAGAGAGGCATAGGAAATCACAAGGGTATTGATTGGGGAAGTGTTAAGTGTCCATGAAATCTTCACAGTTTGTGTTTAGAGATTGCAGTAAAGACAGGCATAAGAAATTATAAAAGTATTAATTTGGGGAACTAATAAATGTCCATGAAATCTTCACAATCCACGTTCTTCTGCCATGGCTTCAGCCGGTCCCTCCGTTTGGGGTCCCTGACTTCCTGCAACAAAATACATCTTCTAAAAAAAGTAAGTGGTGAGGGGTAAGAAGGGGTATTTTCTTATATAACTGCAAGGTCAGTATCTCAACGATAAAAATAGCATTAAGTTTTTATTATCATCCAATATCCAGTCTAATTTTAGAATTTTCTATCTAAAAAAAAAAAAATCCAAAAGCCCCCAAAACCTGTTTTTGCCAATAGTTTAAATCAAGGTCTAAACAAAGCCACTCATTGTATATGGGGAACCTACCACAGGGCATGAACTGACAAAAAGTGAACCCAAAGTAGCTTTTTCACCAAAAGCTGAAAACAGACTGTCAAGGACAAGAAGCACCAGCTAACCCAAGGATGGTTTGATCTTCAGAGCTGGAGGGTTGTTGAAGGCACCTCAGACTTTTCTTCTCTAAGTTCACATTCTCAATTATTTCCATTGTTTCTCTTATGACACAATTTTTCTCTTCCTTCCCATTCTCCTCTTCTTAACATGCTCCAGTTGGTGAATGCCTCAGACATACTACAAGGAGTTGCTATCTTCAGTTATCAGAGCTTGGATCAGCACTGGTGTTTCTATTTTAGGATAAAGTGAGCTAATACCTTTATAGGCAGGTGGGTTGGTCTTGAGCTCAGTGTTAGTTTTAAATGCAGATCTGGGACATCAACTCAGAGCTTTGCCTAATTCTCATTTTCCAGATATAAGCAAGCCCTTCTGGTTCTAACCGTCCTTTTGTTCCTACTAAAATCTTGTTTTACCACTTAGTCATTTGCAAGTATCCAGGGGTCCATCTGGCAGAGCATGGTTAAGAGTGTGGGTCCTGGAGTCTCCAAAGCATGGCTTCATGGTTAGATTGCACAGACTTTGCAGTCAATCTTCCCAAGTTCAAATTCCAGGTCTGCCAACTACGAGCTGGGAGACTTGGGCAAATTATTGATCTCCGTTTCTCCATTTGTTTATCCATATAATGGGAGTGGCAATAATACCTACCTCATTCGGTTGTTGTGAAGACTAAATAAATAGAGGCAAAGTCTGTAAAATGTGCTTGATGCAGAATACGTGTTTGCTATTTTTATCATTCCACCTCCACCACTGAGATGCTGTGAGACCTTGAGCAAGTCATCTAACTAGAATATGTTTCCAGTTCTTTATTTCTAGTTTGGGGATTACAAGGAAACTACTAAGGAATCTTGCAAAGATTAAAAGAGATAATTCACTAAAAGCTGAAAAAGGTGTCTACTACACAATACACACTGAATAATTATTAGCTATTATTAATTTGGCACTTTGTACTTTGTACAAATCCCAAGCCAAAAGTCAGGTGTGCCAGAAATACTGGCATCTCTATTTTCTATAAATCAACTTGATTTCAACTCCAAGCCTTCATACTGCCTCCGTCATTCTTGGAATTTCTCTTCCCTGGGTCCTCCAGAGTTTGTGTCAGGGATCTGAGATCTTACATAATACCCAGGTTTCCAGAGAGTCCGACCTGTTAGCAGTCCCCCCATCCACTCAGATGTCCATTAGCTCATCCCAGGAGGTCCCTGCAGCTTCTTGCTACACTTGGGACTCCAGGTCTTGGCTAAACCTGGAGACCTCAGCCCAGAACCAAACCTCCTGATGCATCATTTCCAGCCACAGCCTCAGAACACTCCTGGGACTCACCAACCTCTCTCTTAATTCTTACTCCAGTCTCTGGAAATCTCTTCTTAACCCAGAGAAAAATCATTTTGTTCTTAAATCCTGTTGATCTCAGTGGATTTTTGGAAATAAAAGTCAGGTCACAAACCTCCCCAGAGGCAGAGAAGCAGCACAGAGCCTGCTACCTATGTCCTTGAGTGGGAGGGGACAATCATAGGTTACCATCTCACAAAGCTCTCTTTCCCCAACGTTTAGAAGTGCACGAGCCATCACACAGAAAGTTCATCTCTCACAGTCAGTGGGTGGACACCCACAATGCACCAGGCACTCTGCGTAGCACTAGAAGAGAACAAAGAGCTGAACTAAACTTGAACTCTGCCCTCAATTAGTTCTTCCTATAGAGCAGAGGTCCTCAACCAGGGGACATTTGGCAATGTGTGGAGACATTTTGGGTTGTCACAACTAGATGGGAAGAGGGGAGTATTACTGGCATCTATTAGGTAGAGGTCAGAGATGCTACTAAGTCTCCTACAACACACAGGACAGCACCCCCACCCATTGCCCCCCACCCCCAAATGATCTAATCCAAAATATCAATGGTGATGGACATGAAAACTGTCATGCAAGGCAGAAGAAAAGTGACAAGGTGACTGTGCCAGAGTCTCATCCAACCAAGATCCCTGAACAGAAAATTAACTGGGAGGATGATTCCTGGGAAGTTTTCACAGTGGAGGGATGACCTGGGATAACATGGAGCCAAGACTTCAGCTCACGGCCTTTCCACGCAATTGCAGACAGCGGTTGTCTAGATAAGACAGCACTAACGTTCACAGTGGCTGGCTCCCTCCAGCCTGGCTCAGCTCACTCCTGAGCTGGAGCGGGCTGCTGTGCTTGAGGTCCTGCCAGAGAAGTGTCTTCTCCATGGGCCTGGGGGCTCTGGTGTGCAGCTGGGGGCTGCACTTCTCCACACACGTCTCTGGTGCTGTCTTCCCCCAAGTGACCAGTGACCCATGACCAGGTTAGTCAGGTGAGGAAAGCTGGTTCCTTAATCAGCCTCACAGCCAGTCCCCCCAGGGATTCTGATAGCTCTAGAGAGGATCCCAGACAGGGACTTTAAAGAAAACAACAATAAAAACTCCATAGTTAATTCTAACGTGCAGGCAGAATTGTGACATTTATTTTACCAAAAATCCTGTCTCATTGCTTTTGCCATGGAACATCATTTAGAAGGACTTCCATACACCAAAGCTGCCTTAGGCAGGTGAAGAAGAGCCCGTGGAAGAGGTGGTATCTGTGTCAGGTCTGGAAAGACAGTTGGGCTCTGGCTTAGAGAGTGGGGACACACTTTTCTGATGACCTTGACCTGTTCATAGAGGGCATGGGATTAAAATCATGGGATGGCACAATGCTCTGTTTCAAATTTCAAATATTTCAAATGAGTCCTGTTAATCAAGATATGAAGATCTCTATTTAGAAAACTGTCCACATTAAGAGTCTATTATTCACTTTTATCTTCAACCACTTTTAGAGTATGGAAAATAAAGTTTAATTTACAGAAAACCTAGCATTCTTAATGGCGGATACAGTCAACAACTTCAGGGTTCTCTTTATTTCCTACTCTGGTTGTGGAGTGAGAGAAGGCCTCAGCCTACCCTCTCAAATATTTTGACAAGGTTCTTGTATTAGTCTGTTCTCACACAGCTGACAAAGACACACCCGAGCCTGGGTAATTTATAAAGAAAAAGAGGTTCAGTGGACTCAGTTCCACATGGCTGGGGAGGCCTCACAATCATGGTGGAAAGCAAAAGGCACCTCTTACATGGCAGCAGGCAAGAGAGAGCTTGTACATGGGAACTCTTTATAAAACCATCAGATCTTGTGAGACTTATTCACTATCACAAGAATAGCACAGGAAAGACCCAGCCCCATGATTCAATTACCTCCCACTGGGTCCCTCTCTCAACACATGAGAATTGTGGGAGCTACAATTCAAGATGAGATTTGGGTGGAGACACAGCCAAACTATATCAGTTCTATTCTTCCTGTCTTCAAGGCTACACACCGTCCCTGAGCCATCTCGTCCTCTCTGATGGCTTTTGCTGCCAGCTCTGTGCTGCTGCCTCTCAGTTCTACTCCCGACCAACTTCTCCAGCCATGTACATCTCACTGCTTCCTCCTGGACAGTTGACATTCTCCAACTTGTCATGTCAATAACCACTGTATCATTCCCCTTTCTGGTCTCCCAAGCTGTCACTCTGATTTCAGTGACTAGCAGGCAAATTCACATTTCTCCCTCTCCCTCACCACTCCCACTTCCCAAGAGCCACACATTCCAGGTGGTTCTCTGCTCTCAGTGTCTCCTGATGCAGTCCTCTCCAGGGAGGGCCTCTGTGAGACCATGATCACTTGACACCTGGACTGGAGCAATAGCCTCCTACGCAGTCCCTCTGGGCTTATTCTTGTTCTCTTCTTTACTCTCCACCTAGAAACTAGAGTGAGCTTTCTAAAATGTACCAATGTTAATGATTTATTTTTGTTATTACGGCTGTGACTTGTGGAGCATTTACTATATGTTAGTCACTATGCTGAATTCTTTACATGTACATAATATCTTTTAAAAGCTCCCTAAGCACCCTATAAAAAGATATTCTCACTATTCCCATTTCACAGATATGGAAACTGAGGCCCAGAGAGGTTAAATATCTTGACTGGGATCCCATAGCTGTTAAAAGGGAATGCCCGCTCAAATGTTACTCTTCAATGACCCCCAAATCTTGACTTTTGGGGAAAAATGCACACCTTTAGTTTGGTTACAGGGTCCTTTGTGACTCAGGCTCTGCCTCTCTGCGCTCCACCCTGACCCCCTAGGCTTGAGCCTTGTGGAGCCTCAGGATGCCCATGTCCTGTGGGTATCTTTGTTCAAGTTGTTTCTTTGCCCAAGAAGCCTTCCCCATGCAGTCCGTCTGGCAGACAGTCTCCCGAGGTTCAGCTGAAAAGGTGCATCTTCCATGAAGCCTTTTCTGACTGCCTCCCACCTCCACCCCTTGGAGTACTGACCTCTTCCTTCCTTAGGCTTTTCTGTGGCCGGGACTCCACGTTATGACCTAGTTTGTCACTGTGGGTGAGGGTGGGGACCAGATCTGATTCTTCTTGGTGTGCTAGTGCTCTGTGGGTGGCTGTGGCCTTATTTCTTCATGCCACCTGGAAAGGGTTTCTCCTTCTCAGTGGTGTGGATGATAATAATTGGGTGTGACGTTAATGTCCCTTAGTGAAGAAAAGAGTGTGTTGGTGGCTGACTGATGTTGTTGGATTGTAGCATGGCTTGGAGAACAGAGGCCCTCAGAGCCTGGGGAGCAGCCTCTCTGGGACAACAGAGAGCGCAGGAAAAATGGAAGAGCCATCTGCTGTCCTTTGGGTTCTCAGTTCCTCATATTCCCAGAGGGGTCTGGTGAGACTAGGGCTGGTCCACCATGCAGTGGAAAGTATCAGATTCCAGTGGCTCTTCACGAATGCCTTGCAGCCTTGCAGAGCAGGAGTGCAGCCCTCATGCACCCTTCTCAGGCTGCTCCTCTGGGGCTCAGCTTCCAGTCCATCACCAGAGGCCTCTCCCCACCATCCTTGGTGGTCTGCTGCCCTGCCTCCCTCCTTAATTCACTGTGTAAGCAAGTTGGCCATGTCCCCCGGCTTCCTCCTCCTTCCTTTGAAAATGGAGCATGACTTGCTCCTCCACTCGGCTCACTTGGTGATGGGTGCCAGGGGAGAATGCCTGGGAAGTACTTTCATTTCCTTAGGAATAAGGATGCAGGAGAAGCTACACCAAGGAGCACTAATATTAAATCATAATTGAAGGCCCAGCCATCTCGGGGTGAGGCTCAGGATGCTTACTGTCTGCTCCCCTTCTCTCCCTGTTTTCTCTCCCACATCCTTCCAACCCATGGACTCAGAGAGGCCTCATGCCTGACACCGCTGAAGGAGGACGGCAGGCTGGAGTGGTGTTCAGACCACCTTGAAGCACCCCTGCCACATCCCCACTCCCACTCCCACCCAGGTCATCTCCACCTGGGCTTCCAGGTTCATAGGGCAGGACCCCCCTCACAGTAGGTCATAAGGGCATGCGGGAAGGGAATTGTGCAAAGAATTGTATCTTTATTGACAACAGATCAAGTTGGTCTCTTTGATTTTCTTATGCCCAAATACATAGCTGGTTCTTCGTCCGAATGGTTGCGACAGTGCCCTCTTTTGGCCCTCTGGGTTCTGGCCACGTGCCTTTCTCCAGGTACTTACATTATGACTGTGATTTGTATCATCATAACTTGTGGTCAGCCCATTCCCTGCCCCCTCATATCCCTAGCTGCTCAGGAGGAAAGGTTGTATATGTTATTGATCTTTGCATCCCCAAGCACTTAGCAAGAGCCTGGCCCTGGTAGGTGCTCCATGCTTGTTGAACAGAAACAATTGTGAGAAAATAAATCTCAGTGGCGCATCATCTCAGCATTTGCTTTCAATTCTTGTTTCATCATTTTAACAATTACTATACTAAAGGCACTCATGAAAGTCTGACTTATATAAAAGGGAAACTAAACAGGCGTCGGATGCTACCTGTTGTCATCTCCTTCTCACCACCGCCCCCGCTCACAAGCTCATGGCCCCTTCTCTTTCCTTGAAACTTTGCATGTGCCATTCCCTCTTTTTCAGAACCCCCTTCCTGTCATTCCTCACCTGGCTTACTTAACTCACCCTTCAAAACTCAACCCACATGTCACTCTTCCCTGATCTGGATTTTTAGGCCATGTTCTGCTACAGGACACAGAATGATAAATGCCTCTTTGTGCATTTGTCTCTTCCACTCGAATGCTGGTTCCTTGGAGGCAGAGCCCAAGTCTCTTACTATGTGAAACCCAGTCCCCAGCACTTGAATTCATGCCTTCAACAAATACTTTTTGAATGCCAACCACATGCCAGGCACTGTCATTGTGTTACACTGGTAAACTGTCCTTGGGTGGCCCAACCTCCAAATGGCTCCCAGCAATATTTGCCTCCTGGTATTCATGCCCTTATATGGTTTCCTCCTACTGAATCAGGATCAGCCTGAGTAACCAATCAAATGTGGAGGGAGTGACGATATATGACTTTTGCCATGTGGCGTAAGACTAGATCATCAAGGCAGTTTCAGCTTTCTTCACGGTGTTTTGGATTGCTTGCTCTAAGGAGTGCCAGCTGCCATATCAGGACAGCAGTCCGTAGAGCTCCATCAAAGGGTCAGTAGAAAGGCCCCCTTGGGCAGCACCAGTCAGCCATGTGAGTGAGCCACCTTGAAATTGGATCCTCCAGGATCTGCCAAGCCTTCAGGGGACTATAGCCCAAGCTAGCATCTGAGGTGCAACCTCAAAGAGACCCTGAGCCAGAACTGCCCAACTGACCCGCTCCTAAACTCCTGATCTACAGATGCCTTGACCATTGTTTAGAACCACTAAGTTTTGGGGTGAGTTGTAATGCAGCAAGAGATAAATGATGCAATCCTGTTGTCATGGAGTTTACATTCTAGTGAAAGAGATGAAATAGAATTGTTGTTGTTGTTGTTGTTGTTTATTCAACACCACCAGTTAGTGCTGTGTGCTGAGAATTCAGCAGCAAACAAGACATTAGACAGAGTCCCTGCACCCATGATGTGTAAGTTTTAGTGACGGAAACAGGAGATAAAGCAAACAAGTAAATTATATAAAATGCTAGCCCAGAAGTGATAACAATAAAGGAAAACTGAGCAAGTTGGATAAAAGGGCCCTTACTGCGAGTCAGACTGCCTACTTTGTACTAAGCAATTTTCTCCCTTATCTCAATTAGTACTCTACAATTTTTTTGAGGTTAGTAGTTTATTTCCATTTTACAGGTGAGAAAATTGAAGATTAGAAAAGCTAAATGAAGCAGCCAGTGCCACACAGTTGGTACTGAGCTCAGCCAGAGTGTAACCCAGGCCACTTGGACTCCAAAGTTAGTGCTCTTTGCTGAACACCAACCAGATTGGTCATTAGAGATTTCAGTTGCAGCCCTCACCCTGGGGCTCACCCTTTGGCACAGCCCATACTTGGCATTGACTAGGTGCTTGTAATACATTGGCAGAATGAAGGCCCCAAAATCGCCTTCAGGCTGGAACACCAAGGGCTGGCAGGGACACCTAGGCCTCTACTTTCTCTAACTCTGGAAAATGCCAGGCTACATTAGGCCTATACACAGGCCTCGCAGGCTGAGAATATACACACAGGTCCCTAAACCTTAGCTGCCCTAGTTGTCTATAAACAGCAATGCCCACTCCCCACAAGCTCCCTTTCTGCCTTTCTATGTCCACTTTATTTGCCCTACATTGAAGGAGCTACAGCTTTTCCAGTCAGGCTCAGCTCACCACCCCTCCCTGTCTATCCTCGAATCTGGAGTGCCTCTTGGTTCCTGTTATTTATTTATTCTTTTCTTCTTTTGCCTTCCTTTCTTGTGCCAAGACCACTAGATGGAGATATATAAATACTTACTGAACGCTTACTATGAATGCCAGGCACCATTCTAAGTGCCTTTCCTGCATGATTTCATTGAATCCTCATGACAACCCTTTGTGGAGGTCCATTATATTCCTGACAGAGCTTAAGGCTCAAGGTCATTCAGCTACTAGGTGGCAGAGCTGGGATTCAAACCCACATCTCTTTGAGTTCAGACTTCATTTGTTAGCCAAGATCACACACTGAGCTGGAAGAACTTTGAAGATGGGTGATTTCCAAGATCATCTTGTCCATTTTATTTTTTTGCCCCTGGGCAGGGCTGAAGCCAGGTTATCAGCAGAATATTACAACTAGACATCTTCATTTAGCGCAAGAGAAAAGAAGAAAAAAAAGCCCATCCCTTCATAGCTCATTGCAGCATGTACAAGGATTTGTAGGTTTAATACTCTTACTAATGTCTGGCCCAAATCATTGATTTGCTAACTGTCTAAGTGCCTACTATGTGCTAAGCTCTACTGTGTGCTGTGATAGACTTGGACCTGAGTTATCATGGAAGTACAGAGAGAAGCACCGAACAGACTGGCAAGTCAGGGATGCCCACCAGGTGATGCTAAGCTGGACTCTGGAAGTCTTAGAGGTGCCAGGCAGTGAGGGAGGCCATCCAGACAGATGGAACAACATGTGCAAAGTCAGGGGGTGTGGCTGAGGACAGCTTGCTCCAGCATATGGCTTGTTCAGCTTATGAGAAGTGTTAGGGAGGAGTGAATAAAGGGATTAAGAGATGGGTAGGAGCCAGATCAGTGCCAAGGGAAGGAATTTGCTCTATATCTGGAATCCATTGCAGAACGATTTAAGGGTTTTAGGCAAGGCACTGACATAATCAAATTTGCATAATAGATTATTTCATCAGCATTATGGATGATGAATGGGAAAGACCAATTAAGGAGGATATTGCAATGGTTAGGCAAGAGATGATGAGCAGGGAAGACAGAGAGATATGGAAGAGATATATGAAAAAGATTTAGGAGTAGACTTGTCAAGACTTGGCAATTGCTTGGGTGTGGGGTGAATGAAGAAGGAAAGCACTGAGGCTGATTCATCCAGGTTCTTGGCTTGGGTGTGGGGGTGGATGGAGGCACCATGAGTTGAAATGGGAATAACCAGGAGGAGGAGCAGGTCTAGGGGAGAGATATTGATATCTTAATATCCCCAGGCTCCTTAGGGCAACTCATATTTCAGATGAGAAAATAGAGCTCAAAAAGTTGATGTGATTTGGTCAAATGGACAATGAGCAGAAGAGTGTTAAGAGTGCGACTCAAACCTAGATCTTACTATTTCTGAAACTATTTCCCCATGCCTAAGCACATCTGTTTTGTAAGGAGCATAAGGAAGGCTCAGCACAGAGTAATGTGGTAAAGCAAACACTGACCCAAGTCAACCTGCCATTTTAATATTCATTCATTCATTCATTCAACAAGATTTATTGAGCACATACCACACTCCACGCATGACGGGTGCAATGGTGAACCGTGTAGGCAAAGACCCCGCCCACATTGAGCCTACGGTCCACTTAGAGAGGCAGGCAATATACAAATATACAAAGACCAGAGTGATGAAGGAGAACCATGCAAAGACCTGGGAAAAGAGGGTTCCCAGTAGAAGAAACTTAAAATTCAAAGGCCCTGATCAGGTAGGAATAAGCTTGGAAATTCAAGAAATCACAAGAAAGCCAGTGTGCTGAGAAAGGAGTAAGTGTGGAGGAGAGTCATCTGAGATGAAATTAGAGGCAGAGGCCACAGCCTGTTGGACTTGTAAGACATGATCAGTACTTGGGATTTATTCCAAGTGTGATGGGAAAAACTTGGAAATTTGGAGCAGGACTGTGGCATTATTTATTTACTTAATTTATTAAAAAGATACTATTTATTTCCAGACAATTATAGATCCATGTATAATTGTAAGTAATGGTGCAGATAAAACCTGTGTACCTTTTACTCATTTTCTCCCAGTGGTAACATGTTGCCAAACTGTATGTAGTACAGTATACCCAGGATATCTCTTTTTTTGGTTTTAAATTGTATTCTCCTAATGTAATGATGTTAAACATCTTTTATGTGCATATTTACCATCTGTACATCTTCTGCAGTGAAAGCTTTGCTCATGTCTTCTGCTCATTTTCTTTTTTTAAATTATCTTTGCTTTTTATTCACCTTATATTAAAAAGGGGTGCAAATACAAGAAAATAAGGTTATGTCAAAGTTTAGTTTTTAAACCACAAACTTCTAGAGTTTGTTTTAAGGTTAATACATGGAATGCTAGCTTTTTAGTTACCTGAGAATCAGGAAATTCACATGAACTTAATTTCCTATACTGACAAAGAACTATGGCTGTCTATGGCTTTGTCAAGTTCCTAGGCTTCATCCAGCACAAAATTGCACTTTTCTTGATATATATAAATTAAATAAAATGTATACAACTGTCGTTCTTGTCTTGCCACCCCTTATGCCTATAGAAACAGCATTTAAAGTTTGTAGGAAATAGAATTTTGGCCTTTTACAAAACAAACACTCTGTTTCTTTAACTCAGAATTCTGGAAATGCAATCACATTCTAGTATTGTGATTGCCAAAATATTTTTGTCATCGGACATTAATTTTTTTCAAGTGTCTGACTCTAACCAAGAAAATAATAAAAGAGTATCAGAAGTTTCCTGTGACTACCATGACAAAACGTCAGTATCCATGGGGTTGTTCCTAATGGTTTGTGAGGATGCTTCAGCCTGATCCAGGTCCATCTAGTCTGAGGCTGTTTTTCAATTCCATGCTTCTATCTGCCAGAAGGATCTTTTTCAGTAAAGAGGCCATCATAGGAGGCAACGGAGCTTCCGGCTGTCGTCCAAGGAATGAAAGCAGGCGCCTCCAGATGAGGCTACTTCCCATGAACATAATTCCTGTAATCAGCCAAAACACTCTAGGGTCCTCTTCAAGGAGGATTCCAAAATCATTCCAAAAGCAATTCCCATTAGTCCAAAGAGTGAAAGAGAGAAGATTCCCATGGTCAGCAGTAGATTCAACCTCATCATCACATTACGGTGGCTGTCCAGATTGATGAAAATGATACTTCGTGAATCATCAGTCAGTACCCTAAGCTCCCAAACTGTATTGAAGAGATCGTCAGCCAATAGGTAGTAGTTTTCCAACAGCAGGTCCATCTCTTCTGTGTTAGGGACAAGCTACCCCAGGACCTGCCCCTGCCTCTCAGTGCAGCTGACCCCTACGCTGAATACTCTGCAGCTGCATTCCTGAACCCTTATCTAGGTGCTCCAGCAAGGTCACCAGACTTGCTTACAGCCCTCCGGCTGGCACGGGGGAGGTCACGAGAAACGTGGATAAACCTAAGTAACACCCTCTTGTAAATTCCTATTTTCACAAGATAATATATTGTAAGCCGGTCACGAGATGCTATGTGGTAAAGTTAACCGAAAAACAACCCCAGGGTCTCTTTCCCCAATATAAACCCCTCATTTTGTAAGCTCAGGGCTGCCTCCTCTGACTGTAGTGGAGCAGCCTGGCAGGTTAATAAACATCCTTGCCTGACCTTGGGTCTCTCTCTCGTCTTTTCTCTCAGCTAACCTTACATTCTGCATGGCGAATCCCAGTACTGCTCTTTTCAAAGACTGGTGGGTCACTCCATTTTGATAGACAGAGCTCTTCTAGTAACTTTTCCTCACCCAAGATCTCCAAAATTGACTCTTGGAAAATTTTAATATCTGTTTCTAACTCTGATAGACTTTTGTCATTCCGTAGTAAAATATGCGGTTAGCTTTTGTCCACAGAAGAATGTTTGAAAGCTTCTAAGGTCTCAAAGGTCAGTGTCTGCAAAACGCTACGTTTCCTCTAAAGGGGGTTGATCCAGTATTTCAGGGGTGCTTCCATAGCACTAAACTCAAAAGGTAAAGAGTATGTAACAGGTTGACCCTCTCCAGACAACTGTGAAGGGAGTTCCCAGAACAGCCATTGCTCTAAATTTAAATTACCATCATCTAATATCAGGAGACACTCTGGAGTTATCACAGCTTTCAAATACTCCATTGTCATGATAAACCTGCCGTTTCTGGTTGTGATGCTCACTACATGCTGAAATCTCAAGTCTCTGGCTTGAAGACCTAACTCTTGGTATAAGTCAGTTTTCTTCCTTTCAAAAGGAGTAACATTTCCCTGTTTGTCAAATTTTGTTGCGGTAAATACTGGGGCTACACTGCCTACAGTGGCTTGAGAGACATCAGAAGTTCTAAACCCATGCATTGCACCTGCTACGCAGAGCCGGCGGGCCCACACAGGTCAGATCCAAGGCCAGGGAAGTCCCATTGCATGGGTCAGGAGGCAGGGCAAGCTCTGCAGGCATTCATGGCACTACAGCTAGAAGCAGGCAGTAGCCAGACCCCAAGCCCTCATGCCGGACTGTGGCGGCTCAGTCCGCAGCACTCACCTGGCGCTCTTTTGCTCATTTTCTATGTTTTATTTTCTAAACAGTTTTTCACTGTTCACTTTTGAGAATTTTTTATATATTCTAGACACAAGTTCTTAGTAAGATGTGTGACTTGCGAATATTTTCTCCCAGTCTGTGACTAGCTTGCCTTTTCATCTTAACAGGGCCTCTGCTGAGCAAAAGCTTTTAATTTTGATGAGGTCTAATTGATTAATTTCACCTTTTATGGATTGTGCTTTTCATGTCAAGTGTAGGAATGCTTTGCCTAGCCCTGGAGCTAGATTTTCTCCTGTGTTTGTCTTGGAAAGGAGAAGAGTAAATTGACTAAAGCAATGTAGGGTATCTGGGCAGAACTGAGGAGTCACTAAGGGCAAAGGAATGGGAGACGGAGGAGGCTTCAAGGTTACTGCTGGTCCCTGGAGGGGGCACCATGGGTAGCAGCTCCTTCCTCTTCTAGCTTGAGTTACATGGGCAGAGCAGATGGTCATCTTGGCAATATGATGGGAGGCTTAGGTTTCTTCCTCCCCCACAATACTCACAGACCCTGAATAAATTGTCTAGTTCTTTGATTCCCTCAGAGCTTTATCCGCAATCACATGTTTTCACTACATTGTCATGACTGACTTCTCATAACAGCTCTGTAGGGAGGACATATTATTATCCCCTTTTACAGAAGATACAACTAAGGCCAGAGAAGGGATGGGACTGAACACAAATCTCCTGATATGGAGAGGAATGACTGTTCTTCTCTACCAGCTGAATCTTGAATTCCGCCACCAGTTATTTCATGAGGTCAGTGGTTCTCAAAGGATGATCCATGGGCCCCTAGGGATGCCTAAGACCTTTTCAGAGGGTCCTCAAGGTCAAAGCTATTTCCCCAATAATGCAAAAACATTATTTGCCTTTTCTCCATAAGCAAAAATTCTCCATTTTCACGTATGATGCCAAAGCAAAGACAGGTAAAAAAAACTGCCTTAGCATGAATTGAGGCAGTGGCACTGATTCTTCATCCCCTCAATCACTCACAGGAGAGGTAATAGCCAGTTTCACACTGATTTCTTAATAAATGGGAAGTCCACACGAAGTATTTCTGCTGCATACCAAAATAAAATGGTTGTCTTGAGGAAAAGTACTTCTGCAATTATTTAAGTTGCAAGCTGAACTATTTTTTTTGCATGCAATGCAAGTTTTACTTGAGATAATGGCTGACAAACTATACTGATTTAGACTTGGGTATTTGGCAGGCATTTTCTTAACAAATGAACAAAGTGAGCCTGTCACATCAAGGAACGCCACTGACTGTTGCCAATGACAACATTTGAGCTTTCAAGTGAAAATTAGAATTTTTCAGAAAAAAGTGTTATTTGCCACTATGCATTTGATAGCTTTCCAATACTTAAAGATGTTTCTGAGGATATCAGTGGTCATATTAATAAATGTGATTCTTTGCTATTGCATAAAGAAGTATGCTTCCAGGCTGGGCATGGTGGCTCACGCCTGTAATCCCAGCACATTGGGAGGCCAAAGTGGGTGGATCACGAGGTCAGGAGTTCAAGACCAGCCTGGCCAAGATGGTGAAACCCCATCTCTATGAAAAATACAAAAATTAACCAGGTGTGTTGGTGGGCATCTGTAATCCCAGCTACTCGGGAGGCTGAGGCAGAGAATTGCTTGAACCTGGGAGGCAGATGTTGCAGTGAGTTGAGATCGCGCCACTGCACTTTAGCCTGGATGACAGAGCGAGACTCCTTCTCACAAAAAAAAAAAAAAAAAAAAAAAATGGGAACAACAGACACTGAGGAATTCAAGGCGAGACAGAGAGGGAGGCAGTAAGGGTTGAAAAAAGCTACTTATTGGGTACAATGCTCACTACCTGGGTGACGAATTCATTTGTACTCCAAACCTCAGCATCATGCATAGGTACATCATGCAATATACCTATGTAAGAAACATGCATATGTACTCCGTAAAATAAAAGTTGAAAAAATTTCCTCCATTCTAATTTCTACTACTGCAAAGATTGATAGGTACAACCCGTATAAACAAAAGCTCTTTTAGAGCCTCAGTAATTTTCAAGAATGGGAGGGGACAAAAATGTTGGAGAACTCTTTGCTAAAGCAGTGAAGTCTCCTATTAGCCACTGTGACCAAGTGAGGCATTATCCAGCATTAGCATTCTTTCTCAGATTATTCACCCACCCTAGGCTTCCATGTGACCCTGAAATAAGGGACTTCACTTCCAAGTTTGGCCGAAGATGCTATCAGGGAATCCAGGATTCTGATTATGGTAACATACCCTTCCCACCTCCTTTTCCTGTTCTTCCTCCTAATGGAAAGGACATGGGCTATGAAGCAAGCAGACCTTGATCTCAGCCTCGGCCCTGCATAAAGTAAGAAATAGTAATGCCTAGCCTTCCTTAGCAGGATTGTTTGGAGGATTAAATAAAGTCATGAAGACAAATCTGTAAAGTGCTTACAAATGGAAGTTACGATCATTTTCTTTCTTTTTTTTTTTTTTAACTTTGAACCCTGAGAGGCTAATGAAGTTATGATGATTTTCTAACAAAGGGAGTTCATTCACATTTATGGTCTATTGATGTGGTGTTTCAAAAAACGTGTCCCAAAGAGGTCTTGCATGTAAAGACAATAGCACTAGTGCACAGTTTCAGCTTGCAAAGAGCTGTCAGTCTCAGGGTAAGATGAGAGTAAACATTGACATGACAGTGTAATGCAGTTAATCTTTGAACTCTTAACCAAAATTTCCCCCAAGCACCCACTCATGCTTCTGGCTACCTGTGACTCCTTCCTTGTTCAGATAACTGAACAAGTTGCCCCTGTGCCTCAGTGAAGGGATGATATAGAAGAATTAGAGAAAAAGTTTTCAAGTGTCTTGTTAAAAGCTTGTGCCTGGCCTGGTGTGGTGGCTCACACCTGTAATCTCAGCACTTTGGGAGGTTGAGGCGGGCGGATCACGAAGTCAGGAGTTCGAGAGCAGCCTGGCCAACATGGTGAAACCCTGTCTCTACTAAAAATACAAAAATTAGCTGGGTGTGGTGGCAGGCGCCTGTAACCCCAGGTACTTGGGAGGCTGAGGCAGGAGAATCGCTTGAACCCAGGAGGCAGAGGTTGCAGTGAGCCGAGACCATGCCATTGCACTCCAGCCTGGGTGACAGAGTGAGATTCTGTCAAAAAAAAAAAAAGAAAGAAAGAAAAAGAAGGAAGAGAGAAAGAAAGAAAGAGAAAGACAGAAAGAGAGAGAGAAAGAAGAAAGAGAAAGAAGAAAGAAAGAGAGAGAAGAAAGAAAGAGAGAAAGAAGAAAGAGAGAAAGAAAGAAAGAAAGAAAAAAAAAAGAAAGAAAGAAAGAAAGAAAGAAAGAAAGAAAGAAAGAAAGAAAGAAAAAAAGAAAGAAAGAAAGGAAAGAAAAGAAAGAAAAAATAGCATGTCCCAGATGAGATCTGCAGTTGAGATATTATAAGGCGAGACAGGGTAAAGTTTCACTTTCTTCCTCTGAGACTAGAAAAGAGTCTTTATGGGAACTCTGAAGGGTCAATGTCAGTGGGATGGGTGGGGACCAAGATGAAGGGTCCAAGCCTAGAGAAACCATGTACAGCAGAGCTGTGCCAAATCAGTCTTCACAGATCTGCCTGGCTTCCATTCCAGCAGAGTCCTAAGTCAGAACCAGAGGGTTCTCTGAAAACTAGATTAGCACCTGCAGCCTGTGGCATTTCTATACCTCTGAGCAATGCACTTTGCCTATGCTGGGGAGCTACAGTGCACCTCTTCTCCTTGGCATCTGACCTCATTTGCAACCAGCATGTTGCCCTCTGATAATTAGCAAAAGTGGTGCCCATGTGTGCCTGCAAGGTTCTGTTCAATCACATTCTGACTAATCTTGTACAGACAACCTTCTTTTAATGGCCCAAGTCCCTGAGTAATTAAAGGGTAGAAGGAAAAGCCTCACAGTCTGTGCTTGGTTGATACCAAATGGAATCAGCCCCAAATCTTCCCCAGTCACCAGTGAGATAAACGCTCAAGCAGATACAAGAACAGGGAGCAGGAAGACCATATAGGAAGTGACTGGTTCTTCTAGGTCTTCCTGGGCAGGAGCTAGTGGGAAGAAGAAGACCAGGGAAGGCTTAAGAGAAGAGGTAACATTTGAACTGAGCATGGGTGCTGGGTCGATGACAATGAGTCATGGGTATCTCCACAGAACTCAGAGGGTCCAATCCAGGAAAAAGCTGTTTCCTGGGAAAGAGGAGCATGTGAAGAAGGCATCACTAAGAACCTGAAGTCCAGTGGGGATCCAGCAGACATCAATCCTTCTGGAGAAAATGCTGGATGGCTTTGTTCAGAGCATAACGATTACCCCATCTGCATATCCCTCCATGAACGAATAGTGATTGATACTCCCTGCACCAGGTTCTGGGATGGGTGAGGAGCTATGCAGCAGTAGAAGAGCTCCAATTTATGTACTGAGTATCTAATATATGTCAGGCACTGTGCTCGGCATTTATATTTACGTCAGAATTAGCCCATTTCATCCCACAATGTGGTATATTAATCCCCAATTTACAGATAAAAAGACTGAGGCTCAAGTTCCTACAACTGGTTAAATGGTAGAAATCAGATTGGGACCCATGTTTATATTCTACCTTGATTTCCTGCTTGAGTAGCCTAGAATTTTTTTGGGTAATTAAGGAATACACGCTTGAAAAGGCAAATAATAATACAAGAGGATGCCTTTCTATTGTCCTCCACAGATACTTGTGCTCATGAAGCAACCTCACTGTCTGGGGTGGTACCCAAGGTTCATTGTCTCATGGCCAAGGAAATCAAGGATGAGGATACACAGGGAGTGAGGTTAAGAACAGAGGTTTAATAGGCAAAAGAAACAGAAGAGCTTTCTCCTGCAGAGTGAGGGGTCCCAAACAGGTTTCTGCTTCCACGGTGAAATGCAGGGGGTTTTATAGATGAGCTGGTTAGGGGTAGGTGTGCCATTTGCAGAGATCATGGATTTTTGGCTGTCCTCACCCTAATTTTTTATTATGCAGATGGGTTATCTACCTGACGGGTGCTGTGTTGCTTGTTTCTTTACTGTACATGTGGTAACAAAGTAAAGGGAAGATGGAGTCTCCATATTGGACATGCCTGGCACCCAGGTAGCCCTTTTCTGTTGGCACAGCTGCCAGCATTCACCCATATAAGCTTCCAGCTTGCTTATCTATGTTTGCAGTTCAATTTTTCAGGCTGCTCTTTGTTAGAAAAAAATAATTTTTTGGGCTGCTTTTGTTCAAAGGGAAACCTTGCCAAGGACTCTTTGACACTCACTATCTGCCTAAATAATTTCTTTCTATCTCCTGTATCACTTATATCTATCTGCAAGTCCCATGGGCCTCACCTCCAACTTGGATCCTAAGCCTGTCCACTCCTCTAAATTTCCACTATCATCTACCCCAAGGCACCCCATCTCCCATATGGATGAAGCACTAGGGTTGAGACTGAGTACAAGTAAAGTCTTGACAGAAAGAAATGAGGTCCCTGCAGTCATGTTTTTTACAGTCAGGGTGTAGTAGGCAGAGGTCCATGAGCTGTCTCCTGGCATCTGCTCACACTTCTGCTCTAGCAATAGATTCTCTGGTTGGTAGCAGGGTAAATAGATATCCAGAATAAAGACTACATTTCCTAGCCAACTTTGCAGCTGCATGTGGTCTTGTGGCTGGGTTTGGACAAATGGGATTTGAGTGAAAGTGACAAGAGCAACTTCTGGCTCCAGCCCTTAAAGGGAAAGGGTCTGACTACCCTCCCTCTACCCCCTCACCCCTATCCCTTCCACTGGCAGAAATGAGGACAATGAGGTGAGCTCTTTCAGACCTTATAAATAAGGTGACACATGAGGAATGGCAAAACAAGTGACTCTGTGGAGCAGAGTCAACTCTAAGTTTCATGTGAGAGAGAAATAAACTTGTTTTGTCTTTTGGAGTTTTTCTTATATGTATATCCTAATAAATATAAGGGAAGAAAAATATTGAACAAATCATCACTCAAGTATACTAAGTACAAATTATAATAAATGCAATGAAAGAAACATGCATAGAAGTTTTCCTGAGAATATAGCAGGGGAGGACTAGTTTCTAATTATCAGTCAAGGAAGGCTTCTCTGAGGAATGGACATTTAAGTGGGGGTTTACTGGATGAGTAGAATTTAATCAGAGGAAATAGGCCAGGAAACAGTGTCTGTGAAGATTCTGAGGCCATAGAATTTGGTCACTAGTGGGACCCCAAGAAGGGCCCTATGAGCAGAGCTCCACAGCAAATTTTTAATCAGTTTTCAGTTTCACAATTGTGTCCCCCACTGATGGGTGCTTCAGCCTGGGCCCCCTAGAACCTAGACTGGGGACTGCAAAACTCATTCCAAGTACGTTGGAGGGATGAGTCAGTTACCTCTAGATAGATCTGGAGGACAGAGGCAAAGCCAGAGAAGCTGAATCTGCAGTGGGGTCCCAGGATCAAGTGTGGGTCTGGGAAGGAGGTGGGGAAGCTGGGACTGGAACCAAAGAGACCCAGGAGTGGATCAGGAGGTGCAGAGCCAGGCAGGTGTGGAAGCTGCAGCTAGGAGGTTTCAGACACAACCGGGCTGGTTGCCTGGGGCTATTTTTACTGGGGGCTTGGTGTGTGCAAGTGGCTTGCAGTTTCCTTGCCATCTCTAATGTGTGTCAGGCACAGTGGCAAATGCTCTCCATGCCTCATCCTCACACACTGTGTTTATGCAGTGGGTGTAATCTCCATTTTACAAATGAAGATACTGAGACTCAGAGAGGGCCAGAGCGTTGTCCAGAGTCACCAAGTGGGTGGAACTGGGCTGAAGGGGTGGAGCTTGTGGGTGGGGAAGGTTTGTGTGACCCTCTAATCCCTGACCCAAGGCCACATGGGGAAACACAACACATTCAACCTCTCCAGGGGAGCACACAGGCGGGGATTGCATGCTTTTGGCCTGGTGGTGTCTCTTGCCCTCACACCACAATTATCAACACAGATGGACTTCTGTGACCAAATGTCATCCCCATCACCAACTGAGCAATCGATTTGGCAGCAGACACCAGCCAGGTGTCCTCTGATTCAATTCTGACACTATTTACCTAGAGATGGCATCAGATCCCACAAGTTGAGGGCTCAGTCTCCAAGAATGCCCCGGCCACCAGTTCAGACACCAGTCACAAGTCCCAGCTTCCGCAGCTTCTGACTGACTAGCTTCAAGCTAGGGTTCCTGCAACCCCTCTTTGGGTTTGATTATTTGCTAGAGTGGTTCACAGAACTCAGTAAAACACTTAGGTTTACCAGTTTACTATAAAGGACATCACAACAGATGCAGATGAAGAGATGTGTAGGGCTGAAGTGGCGTTGTCTGGGGTGATACCTGAGCTTCATTGCCTCACGCCAAGGGAATCAAGGATGTGAACACACAGGAGTGAGTTTAAGAGTGGAGGTTTAATAGAGAGAAAGAGAAAACTCTCTCCCCTGCAGAGAGAGATGGGCTCCCAAGCGGATCTTCTGGCTTTGTGGTGAAATGCACAGGGTTTTATAGATAAGCTTAAGGAGGCGGTGTCTGATTTATGTAGGGCCCAAAAGATTGGTCGGACCAGATGTGCCATTTACATGAAGAAGCTGGCCACCCCACCCTAATCTTTATTATGCCAATGGGCTCTCTACCTGGTCAACACCGTGTTGTCTGTTCCTTACTGTACATGTGGTTGACAAAGAAAAGGGAAGATGAAGCCTCCATGTTGAACATGCCTGGCCACCAGGTAGCCTTTTCTTATTGGCACAGCTGCTGGCATTTACCCATGCAAGCTTCTAGCTTGCTTTTCTATGTCTGCAGCTTGATTTTTCAGGCTGCTTTTTGTTGGAAAAGAAATGATTTGGGGGGCTGTTTTCATTAAAAAGGAAGCCTTACCAAGGGCTCTCTTACCCTCACTAACTGCCTAAATAATTTATTTTTAGCTCTTGTGTCAAAGCGAGGTGTGAGGGAAGGAGCTTGGAGCTGCCATGGCCTCCCAGGAGTCAACCTCCAGGAGCCTCCACGTTCCTCTTGGGTTTCTAGGGAGGCTTCATTACATAGGCATGATTGCTTAAACCATTATCCATTGGTGGTCAGCTTGACCTTCATTCAGCCCCTGCCTGCTCCCAGGAGGTTGTGGGGTGTGGCTGAGAGCCCAACCCTCTAATCATGCCTTGGTCTTTCCTGTGACCAGCTCCACCCTTAAGCTATCAGTCAACACTAGCATACAAAAAGACAGTACTTTGGAGATTCCAAGGATTTTAGGAGTTGTATGCCAGGAAAGGGGACCAAATAATATTTCACAGAATCACACCTGGCAACAAAAGATGGCCCATCCACAGCACTGTTTAGTATTGTTGGCCAATGATTTAAAAAACTGTTAGAAATATCAAAATGGTTAGAAATAGAAAATCAGTGCCATGAAGAAAAGTCAGCATGGAGACAAAAGATTTCTCAGCAAGGCAATCTTTACTTTCTGCAGAAAGGGTGCTCAATCACAGATGGAACAATGGTGAGAGCACACCTGAACAAAGGAAAAGCAGACATATTTATCCCTTATACATTTGGGTCGTCCTTACTGCTCTGTCCTGCATCCATTGGCTGGAGTGGGACCTCACGGTCTTAAACTGATATCCAATTTGCTAATAGCCTAAAACTTTCCTAAATAGGTAAGTGCAGGGAAGAACAAAGGAGAGGAACTTGCTTACAAAAGGTTTAAGGAAGCAATAATATTTCCAAATAAGGAAGGGGCATAAGCTATGAGCTGGAACGTGCCGGTGAGCATGTCCAACAGTTACATAGGATAGGGCTTAACAAAGAGTTATTAGCACAAAGCAAGAAGGCTTGGAGAAAGTTAGTCTTCAAAAGAAACTATTATTTTTAACACTTATGATTTATTCTTTAACAAGAAGGGAAACTTTGACGAGGAAACTTTTTACTTTCTACAATTCCCTCCTCTATTACTTTATAGTTTTCCTCTTCAAACTTGCTTAACATGTCTTGGCTTAGTTGTTTTGATTAACTCCTGGATGTATGGGTACAACACAACACTGAAGAAGAAGGAGTATACTTATTATAGTTGTTAAAGAGGTAAGAATTGAGGCTACATTTTTTTTTCTTTTTTCTTTTTCTTCTTTTTCTGGTTGATGAAATGCCAGAGTAAAAGGGATAGCCAATTGAACTACAGCATAAGTACTGCTCTAATTATTTGGCAGAGTGTCCAGTAAAGGTCCTCCATAATACCACCTTACATCCACTCAGGGATGAATAAGGGCGGACTGATGGGTCAGCTCTTGAAAGTGCCTGACTTCACTGCATCCTGTTAAGTCTCCAAGGAATGCCAAATTTTTCCCCTTGTCATTGGAGACACGAGGTAAAATTGGTCTTGGAAGATGGAGGCTGGATGGTCCTTGGGGGCTGACCCACAGGGTGTTGAATTTCAGGGGAAATAGCAGAGAAAGAGCTTGGCACAATTCGTTATTCCAGGCGGTGAAATCTTGAAAAAGAGCTACCACGTACTCCATGTCCACTTGACCTGAGGACCATCCTAGTGGAAAGAGGACAACCTGGGCCTCTGGCCTACCATGCGCACAAGCATAACAGTCGCATTTGTTTAAAGTGCGAACGGAATATTTAATCCATTCTAACCAGGCATTTACATCTTTATACCCTGTTTCAATGGCTATGGTTTGCCTTAGGTCTCCTATTTCTACTACTGAGACCTTGCTTTTGTAATTTGGCATGAGGCGAGGCATACTTTGATTTCATAGGTTTGGGAAAGGGACAGTTGTAGGAGGTGGAGGAGGGAGAACGAAGTGCATCTCAAAGAAGTCTGTAGGATCCTTTCCAGTGACCTCTGCTCCTAAACCATAAAAACACTCTAAAGTGGGGTTAGAGTTGCTAGTGGTAGGAATAGTAATGGATATAAGCACTGGGTAAGGAAAGGAAAGGAAAAGACAGACTAAGCTTTTCTTAGCTTTAATTTGGTAGGGCTTGATCCAGGAACAATGGCCCATGATTCTGATGATAATGGCGTTTGCTTGACTCAGGTGTGATGTGTCCATCCCCTTTCTGCTGTACAAACAGCAGTCTCAGTGGTTAGCAGCACAAGGTAGGGTCCTTCTCAGGCTGGCTCGAGTTTCCCTTCTTTCCACCCTTTGAAGAGAACGTGATCCTCAGGCTGGTGCTGGTTTACCGGAAATTCTAGGGGTAGCACCTGTGCTAAAAGACTTTTAGTTGTGAGGGAAAGGAAAGTGGAAGATAAATCAAATATATAATTTCTGAGGAACTGACCTTTTGTTTTAAATGTGGGGACATCGGCAGTGGACTTTATAGTCCTTCGTGCCTTCGTTCCTTACACATCTGGCACATAAACTGTTTCTTCAATAATTTTACATTTGGGAGGCCTAATTACTTTTAAATTATACAAAATTTCTTGCATAAATTCCCTTGTATAACTTTTCATGACTATCACAGACAATTCTTTGACATGCCTCAATTTTCTGACTTGTAAACATCCCTTTCTTTAAACAACCAGTTAATTTATTTTAGGACAAGAATTTACCATATTACATTCTTTTTACATAAATTCTCCCTTTTTTTTTTTTTCCAAAGATGATAATCATTCTTTTCCAAAGTGAACTTCCTTCATGTCTGTGGACTAGACTGCCTAAGGGCACAAGATTAGAAGTTAGGATAATACCAGTTACACTGTTAACTTTTAGCAAACTTTACTTTTGTTGAAAACCTTGTAAGTTTGGGATTTTGATTGTTCTTTGCTATTAATAAGACCTCATTCAGTCCAAATTAACTTAGAATTGGTATAGATGACTCCTTCCTGATTCTGTAAGTACTTTAAGGCTTGGCTGAAAGCAAACAGCTTACACGTTTGAGCAGACCAATTATTGGGCAATTTTCCTAACTCTACTTCTACAAAAGGCCCTATCACTTACTGAATACCCATTGTAGCTTTTTCCCTCAATCACCCCCGAGGAACCATCTATTGTCCTGTACTGAAGGGAGTTCCTCCTAGGTCTGGACCTTTGTATGGTAATTAAGATTTAGATCCCCTGTTAGAAAACCTGCTGGGTTAAGGGAATTATCAGTGGTTAATGTTAAGTCATCTTTTTCTAACAGAATAGCCTCATACTTTAAGGTTCTTGAGTCAGTAAGCTACCTTTTTGCTTTTTTTTTTTTTTTTTTTTTGACTTAAGATAGTTTTGATCTGGTGAGGTGTGCTCACAATGAGGTTTCCTCTAAAAGTTATTTTTCTACTTTATTCTGTTAGCAAAGCTGTTGCCACTACAGATTGAATACATTTGGGCCATCCGCAGGTTACTGGGTTAAGGGTTTTTTATTAGGAAGGCTACGTGTTGTCAGTGGCCTCAGTGCTTTCTGGCTATGCCCTTGTTTACACTGACAACAAGGTGGAATGGTTGCTTAAAGAGGGTAAAACTAGGACGGGGCAGTTACTAATAGATGTTTTAACCTTTCCTTTTTTTTTTTTTCCTTTTTTTTTTTTATTATACTTTAAGTTTTAGGGTACATGTGCACATTGTGCAGGTTAGTTACATATGTATACATGTGCCATGCTGGTGCGCTGCACCCACTAACTCGTCATCTAGCCTTAGATATATCTCCCAATGCTATCCCTCGCCGCTCCCCCCACCCCACCACAGTCCCCAGAGTGTGATATTCCCCTTCATGTGTCCATGTGATCTCATTGTTCAATTCCCACCTATGAGTGAGAATATGCGGTGTTTGGTTTTTTGTTCTTGCGATAGTTTACTGAGAATGATGATTTCCAATTTCATCCATGTCCCTACAGAGGACATGAACTCATCATTTTTTATGGCTGCATAGTATTCCATGGTGTATATGTGCCACATTTTCTTAATCCAGTCTATCATTGTTGGACATTTGGGTTGCTTCCAAGTCTTTGCTATTGTGAATAATGCCGCAATAAACATACGTGTGCATGTGTCTTTATAGCAGCATGATTTACAGTCATTTGGGTATATACCCAGTAATGGGATGGCTGGGTCAAATGGTATTTCTAGTTGTAGATCCCTGAGGAATCGCCACACTGACTTCCACAATGGTTGAACTAGTTTACAGTCCCACCAACAGTGTAAAAGTGTTCCTATTTCTCCACATCCTCTCCAGCACCTGTTGTTTCCTGACTTTTTAATGATTGCCATTCTAACTGGTGTGAGATGATATCTCATAGTGGTTTTGATTTGCATTTCTCTGATGGCCAGTGTTGGATTTCTGGTAATTGCCAAATGAAGGGGTTTGGCCAGTCTTATGTGAGCTTTTTGTATAAGCGTTCTTTTTTAGGGCATAAGTGTCTACCCATAGACTATAGTATCCATCCGACTAATTCTAAAATTTTCTAAGCTCTTGCTTAGTCTCTGGCAGGGGCAAGAATTAAGCTTTCAATCTGTTCAGGCTCAATTTTCCATTTACCTTTGCTAATTAAATGACTTGTTCGAATATTTGACTAAATAAGTTTGAAGACTCCATAAACCCTTGGGGTAAGACTATTGGTATTACTACTTTTGATTGGAGTGACAGTCTTCTCACTTGCAAATAGGTCCTGGCTGTCCTCTGCTAACAGACAAGCTCAGAAGGCATCTTTTAAATCTATTACCATAACAACAGGGTGGGTAGTTTGGACTATCTGATTAATAGCTCTAAGATCTTGCACTAACTGGCTTCCCGCTTCTTTATGGGCAGTATTGGAGTGTTACAGGGTCACGGAGGAAACCTTCAATTATCAATTATAGGTTTGAAATTTACCCTGGCTTTTAAAGGAATAGGGTACACTGTTTTCTCTTTAGTACTTCTGTCTCTCTCTTTCTCTCTGACTTCCTCTCCCAGTTTCTCTTTCCTCTCTGCTGGTCTTTCCCTTGCCTCTGCTAGCCACTTATGCTGCTGTTCTCCCTTCTCCTTCCCGTTCCCCTTCCCCTAAGGGAGCGACCAGCAGGAGTGGAGCTTCCCCTGAGAAGAAGGCAAAAGGGGACTTCTGAGTATTTTTCTTACTACCGGAGGTTTGTGAGAGGTTCTGAGAGACAGGACTAACTGGATTTCCTAGACCGACTAAGAATTCCTAAGCCTGGCTGGGGAAAGTGACCGCACCCACCTGTAAAACACAGGGCTTGTAACTCAGCTCACATCTGACCAATCAGGTAGTAAAGAGAGCTCACTAAACCACCAATTAGGCTAAAAGCAGGAGGTAAAGAAATAATCAATCACGTATTGCCTGAGAGCACAGGGGGAGGGACAGTGATTGGGATATAAATACAGGCATTTGAGCCGGCAGTGGCAACCCACTTTGGGTCCCCTCCTGTTGAATGGGAGCTCTGTTTTCACTCTATTAAATCTTGCAACTGCACACTCTTCTGGTCTGTGTTTGTTCCGGCTTGAGCTGAGCTTTTGCTTGCCATCCACGCACTGCTAAATACCGCCATCGCAGACCCACTGTTGACTTTCACCCCTCCAGATCTGGCAGAGTCTTGCTGTGTTTCTGATCCAGCGAGGTGCCCCTTGCCGCTCCCGTTCAGGCTAGAGACTAGCCATTGTTCCTGCATGGCTAAGTGCCTGGGTTCATCCTAATCGAGCTGAACACTAGTCGCTGGGTTCCACAGTTCTTTTCCGTGACCCATGGCTTCTAATAGAGCTATAACACTCACCGCATGGCCCAAGGTTCCATTCCTCAGAATTCATGAGGCCAAGAACCCCAGGTCAGAGAACAAAAGGCTTGCTGCCATCTTGGGAGTGGCCGCCACCATCTTGGGAGCTCTAAGAACAAAGACCCACCCGTAACATTTGGTGGCAACTGTACGGGGATTCTCCAAAGTGGTGAGTAATATTGGACCACTTTTGCTTGCTATTCTGTCCTATCCTTCCTTAGAATTGGAGGAAAATAGGCCAGGCGTGGTGGCTCATGCCTGTAATCCCAGCACTTTGGGAGGCCGAGGCAGGCAGATCACAAGGTCAGGAGATCGAGACCATCCTGGCTAACACAGTGAAACCCTGTCTCTACTGAAACATACAAAAAATTAGCCTGGCGTGGTGGCACGTGCCTGTAATTCCAGCTACTCAGGAGGCTGAGGCAGGAGAATCACTTGAACCCGGGAGGCAGAGCTTGCAGTGAGCCGAGATCGTGCCACTGCACCCCAGCCTGGGTGACAGAGGGAGACTCCATCTCAAAAAAAAAAAAAAAAAAAAAGAATTGGATGAAAATACCAGGCAACTCTCAGCCAGTTAAAAATTATTACCGTGGCCAGCGGACTTAAGACTCAGGTGTGAGGCTTCCTGGGTAAAGGTTTTCTAATAACCTCCAGCCCTTCTGGGTTGGGAGGATTGGTCTGCCTGGAACCAGCTTCTGCTTTCACAATTTCCTGGGGGAAGCCGAGGGCCGACTAGAGGCAGAAAGCTATCATCCTGAACTCCTGGCATTGGCTGGTCAAGATCATGGTGCAGCCAGAAGTCTCTACTCAACAGCCGCCCATGTGTGCGCCCCTATCTCTCCTTGTGACCCATACCTCCTGGGTCCGAAACACGACTTTCTTGGAAGTGTAGCCCCAAAATTCTCCTTACCTCTGAATCTACTTCCTCTGATCCCTGCCTCCTAGATACTAATGATTCAGACTTTCACTTCCTCTCCCAAGTATTAGAGCAAGTTGTACCTCCAAAGGGATCTAGGGAAGCTCTATGCTGTGTCCTTAGGCATCTATGCTATGAACCCAGGGAGTCTTGCCCCTGGTGCCCCTCCTAATTTAGGTATATAGCTCTCCACATGGGCAGTTATATGGGACTCGTTCCCCACCATCCTTGCCAGAGCCCCAAGTTCTATTATGAGCCATAGCCCCAGGTTTGTAAATGGCTAGGAGGATTGCTCTCCCATTGTGTAAGATGCTCTCCTCCCCCAATTTCTACCCAGAGCTTACCCCACTGCAATACAATGTCCAAGCCTTGGCTCCTTGGCCAGGACCTTAGAACTGATAACCCAGTGCTTTAACAACTGGAACTAGGTCTACAACAATATAATAGATCAGGATGAAAGCGAACTGAGTAAATTAAAGGGAGGCGCATATTCCTACAGTGGCAAATGGGGGCAACGAGCAAACATCCTTCCACTGTGTTCCCAAAATCCATCTACAAAAAGAGAGGAAAGAGAGACAGAAAAGAAGGAAAAAGGGGAAAGAGAGAGAGGAGAGAGAGAGAGAGAAGGGAAAGAGAGAAGAGAGAGACAGGTAGTCTAAAGAGAGAGAAGAGAGAAAGTCAAAGACAGAGAGAGAAACAGTAAAGAAAAAATAGTGTACCCTATTACTTTAAAAGCAAGGTAAATTTAGGAACTATAATTAATAATTGAAGGTCTTCTCCAGGACTCTATAACACTCCAATACCAACTTGTTGTCAGTGTAAACAAGGGCGTAGCCCGAAAGCACTGAGACCAGTGACAACCGTAGCCTTCATATCAAAAATCCTCAACCCCATAGCCCACGGATGGCCCAAATGCATTCAATCTGTGGCCCAAATGCATTCAATCTGTAGCAGCAACTGCTTTGCTAGCAGAAGAAAGTAGAAAAATAACTTTTAGAGAAAACCTCACTGTGAGCGCATCTCACCAGTTTAGAAGTATCCTAAGTAAATAAAAGGCAAAAAGGTAGCTTACTAACTCAAAAATCTTAAAGTATAGGGCTATTCTGTTAGAAAAAGATGGTTTAACATTAACCACTGAAAATTCCCTTAACCCAGCACATTTCCTAACAGGGTGTTTAAATCTTAATTACCATACAAAGGTCCAACCAAACCTAGGAGAAACTCCCTTCAGAACAGGACGATAGATGGTTCCTCCCGGGTGATTGAGGAATAAAAAGACACAGTGGGTATTCAGTAATCGATAGGGAAACTCTTGTAAAAGCAGAGTTAGGAAAATTGCCTAATAAATGGTCTGTCCAAACGTGCAAGCTGTTTGTACTCAGCCAAGCCTTAAAGTACTTGCATAATAAAAAAAACCATCTATACAAATTCTAAGTTAATTTGGACTAAACAAGGTCTTATTAATAGCAAAGGATAATTGAAATCCCAAACTTAGAAGGTTTTCAACAAAAGTAAAGTTTGCTAAAAGTTAACAGTGTAACCTGTATTATCCTAACTTCTAATCTTGTGGCCTTAGCCAGTCTAGTCCACAGACATAAAGGAAGTTCGCTTTGGAAAAAATGTTTATCTTAAAAAAAAAACTCTATCTCAATCCTGACTTAGAAGGTTACCTACACCCTCTCTGAAATGAATTTTCATAAGAACTGTTGTTTATTGGAATGCATCTTGATGGGGCAACTGGGTTGTTATCAAATACTCAGGAACCCAGCCCAGCTCTAGAACTCACCTCTGAGCGCAAAGGCAATGTTGGGCATGCTGGTAAAGGACCACTGGAATCCAGCAGTCTGTACCCCCTTCTTTGTGGTCAAGAAAGGCGGCAAAACAGGTGCAGGACTGCTACATCAGTGAGCATAAATAATCTGATAAGCAGAGGTCCATGGGTGCTTATGCACCCTGGAAAAGAATAAGCATTAGGACCATAGAGATGCTCTAGAACTAATGCTCATCGGAAAATGACTAAGGGTGCTGGCATCCCTATTTTCTTTTTCCAGATGGGAAACATTCCCCTCAAGGGAAAAACGCCCCTAAGATGTATTCTGGAGAATTAGGACCAATTTGGCCCTCAGATGCTGAGAAAGAATGACTTATATTCTTCTGCAGTACCGCCTGGCCACAATATCCTCTTTAAGGGGGAGAAACCTGGCCTCCTGAGGGAAGTATAAATTATAACACCATCTTACAGCTAGAACTCTTTTGTAGAAAAGAGGGCAAATGGAGTGAAGTGCCATATGTGCAAACTTTCTTTTCATTAATAAACAACTCACAATTATGTAAAAAGTGTTATTTATGCCCTACAGGAAGCCCTCAGAGTCTACCTCCCTACCCCGGTGTCCCCCAGCTCCTTCCTCAACTAATAAGGACCCCCCTTCAACCCAAATGGTACAGAAAGAGATAGAAAAAGGGGTAAACAATGAACCAAAGAGTGCCAGTATTCCCTGGTTATGCCCCTTCCAAGTGGTGGGAGGAGGAGAATTTGGCCCAGTCAGAGTGCATGTACCTTTTTCCCTCTCAGATTTGAAGGAAATTAAAATAGACCTAGGTAAATTCTCAGATAATCCTGATGGCTATATTGATGTTTTACAAGGGTTAGGACAATCCTTTGATCTGACATAGAGAGATATGTTACTGCTAGATCAGACACCCCAAATGACAGAAGTACCGCCGTAACTGCAGCCCGAGAGTTTGGCGATCTCTGGTATCTCAGTCAGGTCAATGATAGGATGACAACAGAGGAAAGAGAACAATTCCCCACTGGCCAGCAGGCAGTTGCCAGTGTAGACCCTCACTGGGACACAGAATCAGAACCTGGAGATTGGTGCCGCAGACATTTGCTAACTTGAGTGCTAAAAGGTCTAAGGAAAACTAGGAAGAAGCCTATAAATTATTCAATGATGTCCACTATAACACAGGGAAAGAAGAAAATCTTACTGCCATTCTGGAGAGACTAAGGGAGGCATTGAGGAAGCATACCTCTCTGTCACCTAACTCTATTGAAGGCCAACTAATCTTAAAGGATAAGCTTATCACTCAGTCAGTTGCAGACATTAGAAAAAACTTCAAAAGTCCACCTTAGCCCCGCAGCAAAACTTAGAAACCCTATTGAACTTGGCAACCTCAGCTTTTTATAATAGAGATCAGGAGGAGCAGGTGGAATGGGACAAATGGGATTTAAAAAAAAAAAGGCCACCGCTTTAGTCATGGCCCTCAGGCAAGCGGACTTTGGAGGCTCTGGAAAAGGGAAAGGCTGGGCAAATCAAATGCCTAATAGGACTTGCTTCCAGTGCGGTCTCCAAGGACACTTTAAAAAAGATTGTCTGAATAGAAATAAGCTGCCCCCTCGTCCATGCCCCTTATGTCAAGGGAATCACTGGAAGGCCCACTGCCCCAGGGAACAAAGGTCCTCTTGAGTCAGAAGCCACTAACCAGATGATCCAGCAGCAGGACTGAGGGTGCCCAGCACAAGTGTCAGCCCATGCCATCACCCTCACAGAGCTCCGGGTATGCTTGACCATTGAGGGCCAGGAGGTTAACTATCTCCTGGACGCTGGCATGGCCTTCTGAGTCTTACTCTCCTGTCCCAGACAACTGTCCTCCAGATCTGTCAAAATCCAAGGGGTCCTAGGACAGCCAGTCACTAGATACTTCTCGCGGTCACTAAGTTGTGACTAGGGTACTTTACTCTTTTCACATGGTTTTCTAATTTTGCCTGAAAGACCCACTCCTGTGTTAGGGAGAGACATTCTAGCAAAAGCAGGGGCCATTACACACACTAATTAAGGAAACTCAGAAAGCCAATACCCATTTAGTAGAATGGACACCTGAAGCACAAGCTGCTTTCCAGGCCCTAAAGAAGGCCCTAACGCAAGCCCCAGTGTTAAGCTTGCCGATGGGCAAGACTTTTCTTTATATGTCACAGAAAAGACAGGAGTAGCTCTAGGAGTCCTTACAGAGGTCCGAGGGACCAGCTTGCAACCTGTGGCATACCTGAGTAAGGAAATTGATGTAGTGGCAAAGGGTTGGCCTCACTGTTTATGCGTAGTGGCAGCAGTAGCAGTATTAGTATCTGAAGCAGTTAAAATGATAAAGGGAAGAGATCTTACATGTGGACATCTCATGATGTGAACGGCATACTCACTGCTAAAGGAGACTTGTGGCTGTCAGACAACCTTCTGCTTAAATATCAGGTTCTATTATTTGAAGGGCCAGTGCTGTGACTGCGCACTTGTGCAACTCTTAACCCAGCCACATTTCTTACAGACAATGAAGAAAAGATGCATAACTGTCAACAATTGCTCAAACCTACGCCACTTGAGGGGACCTTCTAGAAGTTCCCTTGACTGATCCTGACCTCAACTTGTATACTGATGGAAGTTCCTTTGTAGAAAAAGGACTTCAAAAGGTGGGGTATGCACTGGTCAGTGATAATGGAATACTTGAAAGTAATCCCCTCACTCCAGGAGACAATGCTAGTTATTCCTGTGAACCTCTAGAGGATCTGCACCTGCTCTTCAAGTGACAACCATGAGGAAAGTAACTAGAATCGCAGATGCCCATGGCCCTCCCTTGTCATATATTTCTCTTTACTGTTCTCTTACTCTCTTGCACTCTCACTGCACCTCTTGCATGCTGCTGTACTACCAGTAGCTCCCCTTACCAAGAGCTTCTATGGAGAGCATGGCTTCCCAGAAATATTGATGCCCCACTGTATAGGAGTTTTTCTAAAGGAAACCCCATTTTCACCACCCACACCCATTTGCCCCTGCACTTCAGGCCATACATTTCAATCCCTGTATCTTTAACCTCCTTGTTAAGTTTGTCTCTTCCAGAATCAAAACTGTAAAACTACAAATTGTTCTTCAAATGGAGCCCCAGATGCAGTCTATGACTAAGATCAACCACAGACCCTTGGACTGGCCTGCTAGCCCATGCTCCGATGTTGATGACATCGAAGGCACCCCTCCTGAGGAAATCTGAACTGCGAGACCCCTCCTATGCCCCAATTCAGCAGGAAGCAGTTAGAACGGTCATCGGCCAACTTCCCCAACAGCACTTGGGTTTTCCTGTTGAGAGGGGGGATTGAGAGACAGGACTAGCTGGATTTCCTAGGCTGACTAAGAATTCCTAAGCCTAGCTGGGGAAGGTGACCACACCCACCTTTAAAATATAGGGCTTGTAACTCAGCTTACATCTGACCGATCAGGTAGTAAAGAGAGCTCACTAAACTACCAATTAGGCTAAAAGCAGGAGGTAAAGAAATAGTCAATCATCTATCACCTGAGAGCACAGGGGGAGGGACAGTGATTGGGATATAAACACAGGTATTTGAGAGGCAGTGGCAACCCCCTTTGGGTCCCCTCCCATTGAATGGGAACTCTGTTTTCACTCTATTAAATCTTGCAACTGCACACTCTTCTGGTCTGTGTTTGTTCCGGCTCGAGTTGAGCTTTTGCTTGCTGTCCACCCACTGCTAAACGCTGCCGTCACAGACCCACTGTTGACTTTCACCCCTCTGGATCTGGCAGGGTGTCCGCTGTGTTTCTGATCCAGCGAGGTGCCCATTGCCGCTCCTGTTGGGGCTAGAGGCTAACCATTGTTCCTGCATGGCTAAGTGCCCTGGTTTGTCCTAATCGAGCTGAACACAAGTTGCTGGGTTCCACGGTTCTCTTCCATGACCCATGGCTTCTAATAGACTATAACACTCACCGCACGGCCCAAGGTTCCACTCCTTGTAATTCGTGAGGTCAAGAACCCCAGGTCAGAGAACAAAAAGCTTGCTGCCATCTTGGGAGTGGCTGCCCCCATTTTGGGGCAGCCTGCCACCATCTTGGGAGCTCTAAGAACAATGACCCACCCGTAACAGTTCAATCCCCCACCAATGGGGATTTCTCACCTCTTTGAGGTTCAAATCCCCCCAATGAGGATTTCTCACCTCTTTTTGAGGTTCAATCCCTGAAATTAGCAGAAGGCTCAACCCCTGAAACCAGGGGTGTCTTGCTGTGCCTGTCCTGGAAGTCTCAACCCCTCAAATGAGGGGTGTCTTGCCTTGCTTGCCCTGGAAATCTCAACCCTTCAAACCAGTGGGTGTCTTGCCTTGCCTGCCCTCGGAGGTCGACCTGTTTCCTCCCTTTCCCCCTCTGAAGGTCCCTTGCACACTTCCTATTCGTGTTCTCCTCTCTGGCCACTCCCCCAAGGGAGAATTAGGCCCCTCTTAGCATTGGCGTGCTGGTAGAAATCCCATGGCAGGATCCGCCCTAAGCCATATGAGGTAGTTATGGAACTGCAGAGAGGACCCACTCACTCCATCCAGCAGTAGGACTTGTCACCATCCACACAACATTGCAAGCAGAGTTGTCTGTGATCATTCACGTGCACACACATTCAGCCCTCCAGAATTTGACCACCAAGGAAGTACTTCACCAGCTCCTGCGGCTTTTCCTTCCTTGGTCTGTGCAGAGAGTACTCACCATGGTATGTGAGGATCATTTACCCCAGGTTGCTGGCCAGTTTCTTTCTGTATTGCTTATTCATCACACCAGGTGGGTCTCGGACCTCTACCCCTGAGGCCACTGCAAGAGGCACTGGGGCGCCACCTCATGAAAGAGGACTAGAGACACCCCTGAAGGAGAATGTATCCCTGTATGATTGCCACCAAAATTGTTAGAAATAGATCATTGGTGCCTTGAAGAAAAGTCAGCACAGAGACAAAAGATCTGTCAGCAAGGCAATCTTTACTTTCTGCAGAAAGGGTGCTCAGTCACAGAGCACACCTGAACAAAGAGAGCACACCTGAACAAAGAGAGCACACCTGAACAAAGGAAAAGCAGATATATTTATCCTTACACATTTGGGTCGTCCTTACTGTTGTATCCTGCATCCATTGACTGGAGCAGGACCTCTCAATATTAAACTGACACCCGATTAGCTAATAGCCTAAAACTTTCCGAAATAAGTAAGTGCAGGGAAGAACAAAGAAGGAGAAGAAGTTGCTTACAAAAGGTTTAAGGAAGAAATAACATTTCCAAATAAGGAAGGGGCATAAGCTATGAACTGGAATGTGCCTGTGAGCATGTCCAACAGTTACACAGGATAGGGCTTAACAAAGAGTTGTTAGCACAAAGCAAGGAGGCTTGAAGAAAATTAGTCTTTAAAAGAAATGATTATTTCTAACACTTATGATTTATTCTTTAACAGGAAGTGAAATTTTGAAGAGGAAACATTTTGCTTTCTACAAAAACACAATCAGCTGAATTTGTAATCTCCCGTATTTTTTCTTTCACTTATTCCCGGCCTGGCCATAGAAGGCATTTGAGCATTAATTTGGACTCCATTCTAGAAAAATCTTTCTTTAGCACCACAAGCCAGCTGAGGAAGTTTTCCTGAGCCCTTTATCCAGTTGCTCTAGAAATAAATCAGGGACTTGGAGCCCACGTATTTAGATATCTAAATATCTAATACACAACTGTATCCACACATCTAAATATCTAATACACAACCGCCAGGTGCAGTGGCTTACACCTGTAATCTCAACAACTTGAGAGGATGGCTAGGGCCTCCGAGTTCTGGAGTTCGAGACCAGCCTGGGAAATAGCAGGACCCTGTCTCTAAAAAATATAAATATATTTTTTAAAATTAGGAGTGGTGGCATATGTCTGTAGTCGTAGCTACTTGGGGAGATTGCTTGAACCCTGGAATTCAAGGCTGCAGTGAGCTACAGTCATGCCACTGCACTGCAGCCTGGGCAACAGAGCAAGACCCTAGCTCTAAAAACAAACAAACAAACAAACAAATAAAATACGCAAACAGATGTAAGCAAGTGCTTTGCTTCATGTGTCAGGCCTCTGAGCCCAAGCCTGCACATATACATCCAGATGGCCTGAGGCAATCAGAAGTGCAAAAGAAGTGAAACAGCCAGCTCTTGTCTTAACAGATTGAACAACCTTATGACATTCCATTATGACTTGTTCCTTCCCTGCCCCAACTGATCGATCGATCGACCTTGTGACATTCTTCTTCTGGACAATGAGTCTTATGATCTCCCCACCATGCACCTTGTGACCCCCTCATAGGCTGACAATAGATAACCACCTTTAACTGTAACTTTCCACTGCTTACCCCAGTCCTATAAAACTGCCCCATCCCTATCTCCCTTTGCTGACTCTCTTTTCGGACTCAGCCCACCTGCACCCAGGTGATTAAAAAGCTTTATTGCTCACACAAAGCCTGTTGGTGGTCTCTTCACACGGATGTGCATGACATCATGCACTAGCCATTATGTGCACTCTGCATGCCAGTTAAAAAAGACTGAGCCTGCAGAGTTCTTCCTGGGAGTTCTTAGGAACAGGAGGCAGTGGCATTTTCCACATTTGGAACACAGAACTCAGGCAACTAGGATGCACGGAGGTGCAGAGCAGCTCCATAAGGTCTGCAGGAGCTGGCTGGGCTCTTAAGAATTTCTCTCTGCGTCCTTCTGCATTTTGTCAAGCTGGCTAGCTGCATGATAGCCAAGCACTTGATTTTTGCCCCTCCATTTCCCGTTGCACACCCTGTCTTTCTGGTGTGGAGTTTAACCAGACATCAGCATCAGGCTGTTGGTTTCCCTTGCAAAGTGATGGCTTCCGAACCCCTGGAGTTCCAGGAAGCACAATTTGCACACTCCATCTTGTCGTCTACGGTAGCTACCCTCTAGTTCACAGGATAGCAGGATAAAGGACTTTGAGTCCTTTGGTTACAAGTTGCCACGGACAAGGGAAGTCATTTTCCTGAACTCAAAATACCCATCTGTGTGTTATCGACTGTTTTTTTTTTTCTAGATGAAAACAACTACATTAACAAAAACAAGATAAATTTAAGTAGTTCATGGTAGGTCCAGTGAAAGCTATAATCCGGGGTTTTATGTTTCATTAATGTTTCAAAAATTAAGGTTTAGCAAAAAAGGTGGGATTGGGGGCCACCAAGAAGAAAGGCAGCACTCCTCTCCAATAACTTGGGCTCGTGATAAAGGGGAAAGCACTTATCCTTAAACCAGACCTCACCCCTTGAAAGATAATTTCTTCTCTAAAGAAATGAGCAGGAAGGGGTGGGGCTCCCGGGCTCACAGAATTTTATCTCAAGACAATGACACGGTCTAATTGCCTGAGTAAGCAGGTTCTGAACACACTAGTCTTCAAAGCTTTGAACCTGCTTCCCTGTACCTGTTTTGAATTTCCTCCTCTCTAACGTGTATTTATATCCTGCCTATTACAAGCTGACAAGAACAATCACTAGCATTATCTGTTTCCTTTCAGATCCTGGTGTAATTCACTTACCTTCTTCCCACGTTTTCTTTTCCTTGCCATCTAACCAGACTGCCTCATAAAGATAAAGGAAGGAGAGAGGTAGCATCTTTGGATGTTATTAAGAAAAAAACAGACAAACCAAACAGGCTATTTAGTCCTGGGTACCTGGAAGAAGTTTTTGTAAATTCATTCATTAATGTGTTCATTCCATTAAGAATTTACCAGGAGGTGACTATGAATTGAGCCCTATGCCAGGCAGTAGGGATTAAAAGGAGAACAAGTCCCTTTCCCTTAAGAAACTCAGTCTAGTAGAAGACAGAGACAAACACCTTAGGTATTTACAAGAGAGTCAGTGTAAATAAACTTGACTGTTATCGTGGAAAAGTATGTATCCAGGGTTAGGCTAAAGAAGAGGTAAGGATGATGTCTGCTGATTTGACTGAAGTTGTCTAGATTTTCTCATTACTGACAGTTGTGTCTTAAGGACTTCCTAGAGGCAATGCCAGGCTTTGGGTGGACAGTCATGATGTGTACAGGAGTCACCAGAATGCCTTTGCTTTATGGATGTATTTCTTGTTGGACTCATTTTCCTAACATTTGGAGGAAGGAGGAAGAGTGAAAAGCACAGCCGAGACAGAAAGTGAGTGCAGAGAGATGTCTTAGGTCATCAGCTATTATTTTAGTTGGTGCAAAAGTAATCGCGGTTTTTGCCATAACTTTTAATAGCTCTCTGCTTAGGGACAAAAGAAAAGGCAACTTCTTGCATGACTCAGCTTTCAGCTTAATTGTTTCCTTTTGGCAGAAGGAACTGGGGTACCAAGTTTTTTTTTTCTTTTTTTCTTTTGAGACCGTGTCTTGCTCTGTCGCCCAGGCTGGAGTGCAGTGGTGCGATCTTGGCTCACTGCAAGCGCCGCCTCCCGGGTTGATGCTGTTTTCCTGCCTCAGCCTCCCGAGTAGCCGGAACTACATGCGCCCGCCACCGCGCCCGTCACCACGCCCGGCTAATTTTTTGTTTTTGTATTTTTAGTAGAGATGGGTTTTCACCATGTTAGCCAGGATGGTCTCAATCTCCCGACCTTGAGATCTGCCCGCCTTGGCCTCCCAAAGTGCTGGGATTACAGGCGTGAGCCACCGCGCCCGGCCCAAGTTTTTATTTTCCTTTCACAGCTATTATCAAAAACCCAGAAAATAACAAATGTTGACAAGGATGTGGAGAAACTGAAACCCTGTGCATTGTTGTTGGGAATGTAAAATAGTACAGCTGTCAAAAACCGTATGTATTCTTGTTTCCAGTTTCTTTTACCAAATTGTGTTCATGAGTATAGTTTCACGTAGCTATAATTAGTTCATTTTCATCACTGTATCGTATCCCATTGCGTGAATATGCCTTAATTTATTTACCTATCCTGTAGATTATTTTCACTGTGGGGAATAGATAGATAGATAGATAGATAGATAGATAGATAGATAGATAGACAGATAGATACGAATGTACACATGAAATACAAAAATACATATAAGTTGCCAGGCCGTGTGGGCAGAAAGAGCCCAGTGGGCCTGAGCAAAACTCAGGCAAAGGCGCCACTGGCTACAGAGGTTTCTGGCCAGAAAAGCGACACCCCAAGGATCCTGTAACAATGTTTTACTTACTTCAGACTCAGCTTTACCTAACTACCTTGATGCTTTTAACGGCTTTCTTCTACTTGGCCGTGTGGTCACAGATGTCTTGTAAAAGGCCTCGTTAGCTGCTCACATGTCAGTGCCTCTGTTATGCTCTCCAGCTGCTATCTCCCCTACATCTGGTTCAAGCGCTCTTGCTGTAGTATAGGAGGAGGAGGAGCAATAATGATAGTAATAGTAATAACAGGCTGGGTGCGGTGGCTCACGGCTGTAATTCCAGCACTTTGGGAGGCTGAGGATCCACTTTGGATCACCTGAGGTCAGGAGTTTGAGACCGGCCTGACCAACATGGCAAAACCATGTCTCTACTAAAAATACAAAAATTAGCTAGCTGGGCACGGTGGTGCGTGCCTGTGATCCCAGCTATTTGGGAGGCTGAAGCAGGAGAATCACTTGAAACCGGGAGGTGGAGGGTGCAGTGAGGCAAGATTGCACAATTGCACTCCAACCTGGGCAACAGAGAGAGACTCTATCTCAAAAAAAAAAAAAAAAAAGTAATAATAATAGCAAACACTTAATGAAGTGCTTCCTATTTGCTGGGTACCATGCTTTTTTCCTTGGATGAATTTATTTATCTTCCTATTTATGAGTCAGAGACTATGATCCCCATTTTGAAGAGGAGAACACTGAGAATTGAAAAGGTTACAGAACTAGCTCAAGGAAATAGAGATAGTAGGTGGCAGTATCAGGTCAGAAGCCCAGGTCTCTAATGGACTTGCAATTTTAAAAATATCTGGATTTGTTATTCTCAAATTGTAAAGGCAATATATTACTTGTTCCATGATTTTGGAACAAGTGAAACAAAACAGAGGTGTATAAAGCAAAAACTGTCTTTCTCTTGCTCTGTCTTTTATTTCAGTCCCTTGGGGGAACTAGTGTTAATTGGCCTGGAACATGCCTTTCCATATCTCTCTCCTTGATCATCTATCTAAAAGTACACACATATAGAGGCAAGGTTTTTAGTTTGTTGATTCACTGTGAATGAAATAAAACAATGTCACAGTACTTGTTTGGACAATTAGATATCTATTGTCATACCTATATATCAGTAAATATAGATGTAAATATCCCTCTCATTTCCTGTCTTTCATATAAATATTGAAAAGTTGAGATCAAATCAAACATGGAGTACTCTTTTTCACCAGTTTTTGCTTTTTCTTTTCATAAATGCATCTCCTTTACACCTGCGTCACTACCACCACCAGCCTTCCCCACACTCACAGAAAATCCAGGTGAACAATCATGTGATTTCTTCCGTTTTAAAATAAATCATACAGAAATATGTAAAAAATACACACACACATGAATAAGTTCTTGGTATTGTCTATTTTACAGAAATGTGATGGATTATACATGCTTCTTCATATACGGCTTTTCTCAGGAATACCTCATGGAAATTCTTCCAAGTCAACTGATCTGGCTCCTACTGATTCTTTTAAGTGGCTTTGCAATATGGTACCTGATATGGTTTGGATCAGTGTCCCCACCAAATCCAATGTTGAAATGTAATCCACAATGCTAGAGGTGGGGTCTGGTGGGAGGTGATTCGATCATGGGGGCAGAGTTCTTATGAACTGGTTTACACCATCCCCCTTTGGTACTGCATAGTGAGTGAGTTCTCATGGATCTGGTTGTATATTTGTTTATTTATTTTATTTTTTGAGATCGGGTCTCACTCTGTCATCCAGGCTGGAGTACAGTGGTACGATCTCGGCTCACTGCAACCTCTGCCTCCCGAGTTCAAGTGATTCTCCTGCCTCAGCCTCTGGAGTAGCTGGGACCACAGACAAGTGCCTCCATGCCTGGCTAATTTTTATATTTTTAGTAGAGATGAGATTTCACTGTGTTGCCCTGACTGGTCTTGAACTCCTGAGCTCAAGCGATGCTCCCACCTTGGCCTCCTACAGTGCCAGGATTACAGTCGTGAGCCACCATGCCAGCCTGAGATGTGGTTGTTTAAAAGCATGTAGCACCTCCCTACTCTCTGTCTTCCTCCTGCTCCTGCCATGTGAGACACTGTCTCCCTTTTATGCCTTCCACCACATTTGGAAGCGTCCTGAGGCCTCCCCAGAAGCAGAAGCTGCTATGCTTCCTGTACAGCCTGCAGAACTGTAAGCCAATTAAACCTCTTTTCTTTATAAATTTCCCAGTCTCAGCTATTTCTTTCTAGCAATGTGAGAATGGACTAATACAGTACCACTATGCGAAAATGTATTCAGCCATCCCCATAATGATGGGTCCATTTGTTTCTACTTTTGCCACTGTAAACCACTACCTGCAACAAATGGCTACACTCCAGTTTGAAATTAATTTCTTTATAAAAATATCTAAAAACTTCAGTGATCCAAGAAGGGTTATGCAATTTGGTGTTACTATCAATAGAAAATAAATTATTTAAAAAATTATAACCCCCCCCTCAAAACCTTCCAGTGCTTTTGCTGAAATGAAGGCAAAAAAAATGGTATGGACTAGATATGTAATAATTTATGAATTATGCATATTCCTCTATTATTTATCCCAATATCATCAGCTTATCTACAGAATAAACATTTGCAATATTAATTAGACTTGGACATCTTTGACATTTTGCTTACTTTTAGTAACACAAAATATGTAACTTTTCATGTATCTGTTGACTTTTGGTTCCGAAGATGTATTTGTCAAGGCAGAAGGAGAGAACATTTTATATAACAGTTTGTTTGTTAACTTATTGTGTAGCTTTAATTATTTAGACATATGATAAGTAGGCCTTAATTTGTTCTCTCATCCAAGTTCTGCAAATCTTTGGAAGGGACTGATCCACTTTGTGTCCAGTGTATGCTCACTAATTTTTTCCCTCCTTATTTATTCAACACACATTTGCTTAACATTTTCTATGAGCCAGGCATTGTTGTAAGTTCATGCATTCAACAAACATTTATTGAGTGTCATTAGAGTGCTGAGGACTAGATTAGGTCATAAGAATATTCTGAGTAATGTGATCGATTGTAAGTGGAAGGAATTCAGTTCAGTGGGAAAGATATAAAAAGAGTGAAATAGACAGGGCGCGGTGGCTCACGCCTGTAATCCCAGCACTTTGGGCGGCCAAGGTGGGCAGATCACGAGGTCAGGAGATGGAGACCATCCTGGCTAACACAGTGAAACCCCACCTCTACTAAAAATACAAAAAGTTAGCCGGGCATGGTGGCGGGCACCTGTAGTCCCAGCTACTTGGGAGGCTGAGGCAGGAGAATCGCTTGAACCTGGGAGGCGGAGCTTGCAGTGAGCCGAGATTGCGCCACTGCACTCCAGCCTGGGCAACACAGTGAGACTCCGTCTCAAAAGAAAAAAAAAAAAGGGAAATAATTCAAACAATGTGGTTAAGTGTTCACTCAAAGTGCATACACGATGCAATGACTACACTCAGGCGAGAACACCTCAAGCTGGGAAAGTTGGGGCATCTTTACACAGAAGGAGTTAACATGTTGATGGGACTTAATGTGGGAGCTCAGCTGAGTGCTAACACCAGGTCCCAAATAAATACATACTACATATTTATATTTATTTATAGTATACTATTTATATAATATAGTTTATATATTTATAATGATATAGTAAATATGTTATTTATTTATTATATACTATATAATATAAAATATAGTTTATATATTTATAATAATTTAAATATGTTATTTATGTATTTATCATCATTATAAATATATAAACTGTAATTTAATATGTAATATATTATATAAATTTTGGACCACAGGAAAAACACATACACATTTTGGACCATAAGTAAAAAATAAAGCCTAAAATTGAGATGCTTTTACTCTTAGATTCTTAGCACTCAATTAAAACGTTGATGAGATCTATGATGGAGAAGGGTAGAAAATTTTGGGGGGCGGTGAAGGAAAGATACCACAGAAGAAGTTAACAGCTTGAAGGAAGGGACAATCACTTGTGACATTCCAGGCCTATTGATTGATTATGGTGGGATTTCAAGTATCTTGGGCGAGAAGAAAAGGTTTTTACGTTCTAGCTGCTTCGAATCCCTTCAGAAGTGGCAGTGTTGACTCTGGAAAGCTCAAGCTTGGCAAAGAGGGAGCCTAGATTCTGTCCAAGCTGGCAACGTGCAGACAAGAACAAAACAATGAGTGGGTGAATTTGCTTGCTTGAGCTGATTCTAGCCATAGGGATGATTCACCCCAAACCAAATCTCAGCAGCAGGTTGGTGTGGCCAATGTCAGCAGAGTTATCACAACAGCCCTCTGCTTCGCGGGTTGGGGCTTGCCAAGGCCCCATCTGACCACCCAGACTGTTCTGAGATGCTGCCAGCATTTGCATGGGGATGTTTTTCTGATTCTGCTACCTTGATCCAGAAAAGCTGTCATTGCCCACAGCACAAAACTCTCTCACACCCCCACTGTTCCATGATCTCACTTCTCCAAGAGGGCAGCCAAGATTACCAGGAAAACTGCTCCAGGTAATGTTCACACAACAAAGCAGGAAGCAGAGATTGTTCTGACCTGTTCTCCTAACAAGAGATAGGCTATGCTCAAAAATGATAGTCCCCCATCCAAGTATTCAGAATGAAACAAATTTTGAAAGTCAACAGATTAAACCCCTTTAATCTACCTGTCCAGTAGAGTTCTTCAGCTTTCAGTAACATGGTAGAAAATATCTTTGAATGGATCATTAGATTAGATTTCCCATTAGGGGAATCCAAGTTGAATCAATGATGAGAACTCAAATAGAAAATCTAGACTTATAAAGTGAGTTTTCCTGAATTGCAGTGAGGAATCTTTCATCTTCTAGCTTTAATTATTTTCTTTTGTTTGCATTTAAAAATGTGAGTGACCTTGAACAATTTCAAAGCGTAACAGGGACACTGTGGGGCTGGGGTGAAGACCCTAGCCTGAGAATTGCGAGGCTGGGGTCCCAGTTCATACCTGCTGTCAACTCATTTTAGACACTGTGTCAAGTCATCTTGCCTCCTTGAGACTCAGTTTCCTCTTCTATAAAATGAGAGGGTAGAGCCAACAATCCCCACATTATTGGCCTTTTGATCTTTTTATGGCCATTCTCTCCCACCAAACCAGAAGCACCTCTAGAGTTGAGATTTGGCTTTTTCACTATTACATCCACAGTGACCAAATATGCATTAGTTCAAGTGAATGAAATGGAAGATCTCGCCAGTTCTAAATTCAGAAGTGTCCTCAATATTGCCTTCCCTCATGTTCCGCACATTCAATAGGCACAAGGCTGGGATGCATTATCCAAATTTCCTCTTTGGGACGGAGGCCCTCATGCCCAGAGATGCTGGGAGTGTCGTGTGTCCCCACCCCTACCCCACAAAGAGAGCTACCTGGCTAAAGGTTATGCTCCTTTCCTGGGGCACCTTGCATTCAGTGACTGGTCAATGAAGGGGTATAAATGCTTGTTTCCCTTTGCTGCAAGGCAGGGCCATCCCAGCTCCAGAGATCCCTGTGGGATCCACTGACAGCCTTTGTTGCAACTGTAACACAGGCCACCTTCTCCCTCTGCCCAGTCCTGCTTCTTTCCCTTCTGAGGTTGTTCATCTTGAGATTCCCCCCTTCCCCCAGTGAGTTTCCATCTCGACGTCCGTTTCCCCAGAAACCTAACCTGTGACAGTTGGTGCCAGGAATGACCTTAGGAAAGAGACTCTGAGAACTCCATCACTGGTGGCAGGTAGAGCAACAGCAGTCCCTGTCATGTGCACCAATGCAATTGACACTGTCCCCAGTGGTGAACTGGGATAGTACACCAGGTGGGAGCAATAGATCAGGCTAAGCTTGTGGACAGAGTAGTATAGACACAATAGAATTGGATGGCTGTTGTTGGAGAAAACAGATCCTTTTGAACAGGAAAAAAAAAAAAAAAAGACCCTCAATGATAAGAGGCTGAAGGTGTTTTATCAGCAATTAAAGGCTAAATGTGAAAGCCAGAGGGCCTCTTGTCAGCATACAAGAAACTCTTGAAGCCAGGAGAGAAGATAGAGCTGAGGATAAGGACCAGGATTAATCATAAAAGTAGCCAGATTCTCAAGAAGTTTACATTCCCGAATAGAGCAGAACTGCTGCGGCAAAGTCAGGATCTAATGAGAAAAAATGGGGCCCTGAGATGCAGTGGGGATATCTATGCCAATGTCTCTAGATAACTCGGAGCCCTCAGGGCCTGCAGACGCAGCCCACAGCTCCCTGTTCCAGGTTCTCCTCCCCACGCTCACAAGATGACTCAGAGGCCTCTACCTTGTAACTCTCTCTCCCCAGGACTTTCCTCCACCTCCCTCCTGGCACTAGATCAGGAGCTACGAGGTTTGTCACAATGTAACTCAGACAGGGAAGTCCTGGGTCCAGCAAGGAAGGAATAGCATTATCCACCAAGTGAGCTGGGTGTGGGACATGGTCTGCACAGTCTGCACGTACAGTCAGAAGCAAGAAGGAATAGGACTGGATCTTGAGAGTGCTGGGTCCAGAGGATCAGAATGTCAAGCTGGCTGAGGTAGTGCTTATCAGCACTGGGGCACTCTATCATAATGTGGGATTTAACATCGTGGCAAGGACTGTGAAAGATGGTGCTGCCATACTGCTAGAATGGTCCTGGGAAGCTCTGAGAAAGCCTAGCCAACACCAGGTGACAGAATGCCAGGTCATGGTGGCAGATTTGGAAGGAGTCAAAATATCCGAGAAGAGGACATGCTAGAATGGATATACTTTTAAGGCCTGAAAACCTCCTGCAGAGAGGAAACTCTATCTAGCAAAGTACTAAGAAATGCTCTGGTGTTAGGGTGCTGGTATTTCTGAGAAGCTCAGTGGTAGCCCTCCTCTGAAGACCACAGCTAGTGGTAGGAGATGTAGTAACCAAACTGGGTTCCTGGTAATGAGAGAATCCTAAAAGAATAAAGGACAGATAGTGCTTAACCAACAGAAGTAAGATCCATGCAATTATTATAATTAGTGGCAAAGTAATATTGTGTCCTAGGAGGGCTTGGGGGAGCCCACGGTGACCAACCATTCTGGTTTTCCCAGGGCTGAGGGATTTCCAGGGAGGTAGAATGTTCAATGTTAAAACAGGGACAGTCTCTGCAAACCAGGATGGTGATCATCTTAGCGGTGGCCCATCTAGAGCAGGGATGGCTAAAAAAATAAGGCATACTGGTCAGGCATGGTGGCTCACACCTATGTTCCCAGCACTTTGGGAGGCCGACGGGGGTGTATCACCTGAGGTCAGGAGTTCAAGACCAGCCTTGCCAACGTGGTGAAACCCTGTCTCTATTAAAAATGCAAAAAGTAGCTGGGTGTGGTGGCGGGCGCTTGTAATCCCAGCTACTAGGGAGGCTGAGGCAGGAGAATCGCTTGAACCCAGGAGGTGGAGGTTGCAGTGAGCCAAGATGGCACCACTGCACTCCAGCCTGGATGACAGAGCGAGACTCTGTGTCAAAACAAAAAAAATAAGGCATACTTAGGAGCAAGAGAGACGGACAGACTTGGAGGATACTGCTCAATATACAATCAGGACGTTAAGGGCAGCTAACCCAATACAAAGTAAAGATCCCTTGCTCAGTTTTCAGAACTAAGCCTATATTCAAACTCAGAACACATTGACTGAGAGAGAGGCCGAGTACCCAGGAGGAAGGTCCTGCGACACCATGGCAAACATATCTGGCAGTGATTTCCCCAGTCCTTTCCCAAAGCGATCTATGGCCATTTACTCAGGTAATTACACCCAGGGGAAAGGGAGACAGCTGAATATTTCAAGGATTACTGGACATAGGGTCCAACATATCATTGATATTTAAGACCTGAAGGGTTGACATGTTCCTGCCGGTAGATTTGGGACCTGAGTTACCAGGTAATAAATCGAGTCTGGCTCACTATGTTTCCATGGGGTCCACAGAAGAACCTAGTGGCCACTTCTCCAGTCCAAATGTACAATTTGAGTGGGTATACTTGGCAAGTCACTGAGCACCCACGTTGGTTCTTTGGTTTGTGAAGTAAGAGCGAGTGTAGTGGGTAAGACCAAGAGAAAGCTCTTGAAATTGCCACCTCCCGACAGCCAACATGGTTAACTAAATTAATACTGTGTCCCTGGGGGGACAGTAGAGACTAGTGCTACCCTTAAAGGCCTAAAAGCGCGATTCTTGACCATGACTCCACTTAATTCTCTCATCTGCCTCCTCCAAAGTCTAGATGCATCCTGCGGGATGATAGTGGACTCCTGCAAAGGTGTTATTTCAATTGTAGCTGCTGGGTCAGAAGTTGGATCTGAATTAGAGCCAGCTAGCTTGGTCTCAGGCACACTGGAGGCTGCCACTGATTTGGCAAATGGGTCTTTTTTTTTTGGAGGCAAAGTATTGCTCTGTCACCTAGGCTGGAGTGCGGTGGAGCGATCTCAGCTCACTGCAACCTCAGCTGCCTCCTGGATTCAAGTGATTCTTCTGCCTCAGCTTCCCAAGTAGCTGGGGTTACAGGCATGTACCACCACACCCAGCTAATTTTTTGTATTTTTAGTAGAGACGGGGTTTTGCTATGTTGGCCAGGCTGGTCTCGAACTCTTGGCCTCAAGTGATCCGCCAACCCTGGCCTCTCAAAGTGCTTGGATTACAGGTGTGAGCCACCACGCCTGGCCCAAATACATCTTTTTGGTCTCTATAAGAAAGAAGAATGAGAAGCAATTTGCATTCATTGGAAATAGATACCAGTATATACATTTATGGTCTTGTCCCATAAAGAGGAATGAAATGATATGCCAAACGAGTATCAGGAGCTAGCACATATTTGTCAAAGTGATCTGGACTGTCCAGACATTCCAAAGGACATCACGTTGGTTCATTGTATTGATGGCATCATGTTAATCAGACCAGATGAACAAGAAGTGGCAAGGATGGGGGAGGTCTTGGTAAGACACACATGCTCAAGAGGGCAGGAAATAAATGCTGAGAGTCTAAGACCCACCACAGCAGTGACATTTGCCCAGTTTTTAAGGTAAATAGACAAAGGCAACAGACTAGACAAAGGGCAGCGTCTCTAGGAGCTCAGACCACTCAGATGAGGGTCTGGTCACACCCGCAGGTAAGCCACCCAGATCAGCCGAGATGTTAGCTGAAGGCAAGGGAAATCTAGAAGGAATAGCAGGGAAAGGAGGCCATCAGGATCAGTTACTTGGGACCAGCTACAGTGGCATGGCTGTAGTTCATCTCATTCACTTCTACATACAAAGCAGAAGAGTCCAAGTGGTACAGGGGTGGACTGCAGTGGGGCCTGAGGTACACCATCCAGATCCTCTCCTTCAGGGCCCAAGCATCATTCCACCAGCCACTGCAAGTGTTGAAAACTGACAGCTCAGCTGGATTCCCTACTGAAGATTCCTTGCTAGACCAAACTTTAGTCAGGCTCCTGAACCTTCCTAGGCCCATCTGTGCACTTCCTTATAAAATCCAGTTTTCGCAAGAACACTGCTAAGTCCATTAATAAGAGTCCCCCATCCTTGATATCTGATCAGGTTCCTTAGCCTCCCCACCTCCCAGGTGGTGTCTGCTCAGTTGGTTCAGGCAGAATTCCCCTTACCCCTGATGTTTCCTCTTAGTAATTCCCATCCACCGACCTTCACCCTGCGTCCTGGCTATACATTCCCACTTGCCCAGGCTGCATTTGGAATTGAGCCCAGTTCTATCCTAGTCTCTTTTCCCTTATTGCAGTAGACTTTTTTTTTTTTTTTAAAAATAATCTTCATTGGCTTTCTAATTAAGTCACAAAGAATCACTGTCAATCAAGTTATCTCAGGTTGTATATAACTGAGATGCAGTTTGCACAATAATGAAGGTTTATTGGGAGAAACCGGCTAATGAAATGAGTTGGATTCGATAAAGTAGGAAAGGAAGCAAATTCCTTTTCCCCATTGTTTTCTTTAAATTCTGTTATATTTTTCTTCCCTACCCCAGGTTAATATCCAGGGAAGATCCCATGGCTTCCCCAGGAACATTCGGGTATTACAGGTATTAACAATGTGATTTCCAGGTATCCAAGTGTCCAGTGTAACATAATATCAAAACTTCAGCTTCTCATTCAATTCCAAGTTTGAATTGAGTGAGCTCAGACCTAACCCCAGCAGGGAAAGCAGGAGGGTTGTTGTTTCTTCCTGTTCTCCCTCCTCTTTTAATCACTCTCTGCTACTTCTGGACCCCATAGAACTGGTGATAGTCTTGAATAAAATCTGTTTTTACTGCTTTAACAGCTCTGTGTTTTTCTTCAATACCACTCCCCACCCTCCACTGCCACAATTGTCCTCAGTTGAAAGGGTTCCTCACTGTGCCCCCCGCCTGCCCCCCACCCACCAACCTGGTGATAGCCCCTCCCCTTGGCAACCTGCATCCAATGACTGCTTAAGGTCAGGCTATAAATGCCTGGACCCTTTTTGACAATTGAGAACAACTCTTTAGTGCCATCCCTGCTCCAAAGTTGGCCTGGATGGGCTGAGGCCTTTGTTGCAACTGTATCATAGCTTAGCTTCTCCTTTGGCCCAATTCTGCTTCCTGCTGTCTCACAGGCATTGATCCCCAAAGTACTCCTTGTGCAAATCTCCATCTCAGAGTCACCTTCCCATGGAAACCAACTCCAACACACAACCTTGTATATCTAATTTTTTTTAAGAAAAGAGCTATTTTTGAAATGTCTGAAACTTCAGCATTTTCAGAACTCCAAACATTATATATGAATGTATTATATATGAAAGAGAAGCCTTTAATGTATTGATGTATTATATATATTATAGATATATTATATATATATGTATTATATGTATGTATTATATATATATTTAATGTATTATATATGAAAGAGAAGCCATCATGTGGTAACATGGCCCACCATTACTAGTGCATAAAAAAACAAAGGAAAAAGCGGGGAAGTCTGGGTGCGATGGCTCACACCTGTAATCCCAGCACTTTGGGAGGCTGAGGCGAATGGATCACGAGGTCAAGAGATGGAGGCCATCCTGGCCAACATGGTGAAACCCCATCTCTACTAAAAATACAAAAATTAGCCGGGCGTGGTGGCGGGTACCTGTAGTCCCAGCTACTCAGGAGGCTGAGGCAGAAGATTCACTTGAACCCAGGAGACGGAGGTTTCAGTGAGCCGAGATTGCACCACTGCACTCCAGCCTGGCGACAGAGCGAGACTCCGTCTCAAAAAAAAAAAAAAAAAAAAAAAAAAGTCGGAGGGGTAGGGGCAGGGGGAGTATAGGGAGTTTTGTTATACCAGAGTGTCTCCAGGCATGGGATTTTCTGTCATCCAAAAAAAACAGGGAAAGGAATGCATGATTGATATGATCCTGGAGTCGTAAAAGTGCTTCAGAGGAAAATTACAGCAATGCAGGCTCTATGTGGATAAAAGCTGGTTACTAAGTGCTAGGCCCTGGCCAAGGTTCTTTCCCATATCATCTCACTTAATCTTTGGAGATGGGTAAGGTGATCACTGTCACTTTGTAGATGAGGAAATTGAGGCCTAGCAAGGTTAAGCCATTTGTTCAAGCTCATACAACCAATAAATGGTGAAGCTGGGTTTAAACCGAAGATGTCTGATTTCTGAAGCCTCAGGGCTTCAAGATCATGTTCTCCTTCCTTCTTACAGAAAAATACTGGGATATCTGGAAACTAAGCATTACCTTGTCTCATTCCGTTCCAAGCAAAAATCCTCTGACTGAATTATTCATACCCTGAGAACACATACCTTATTTTTATTGAAAGCCATTAACAGCAAAAGATGAGTCGCTTGGGACATTTACTTTGCACTTGTATTTGCTGGGACATAATAAATCAGTAGAATAAAGGATATTTCTATAAATCTGTTTCAACTGCTTGAACTCTAGCTTCGTAAAGAGGTGACAACTGTGTTGGGCTTTGACATGTCTCCTCTCAATAACTCCCAGTATGGTGAAAATACGGTGCTCAGAAGCTATTAGCAAGCAACTGACAGTTTAAAGAAAAATGTTTCAGGTTTCTAAAAGTTTGTAGCAGTTTACACTGTCATCAAAAGTATGTGTTTATGATAATTATAATTATTAAAGGAAAAAATATATAAATAGAATAGCGACGATCAGAGCCACATGAGATTCGTCATTGTTTATTTGCTTTCTAAGCAAAAGTTTTCTGCCAGATTATTTACATCTTAAAAACATGCACCATGTTGTTTATAATGGAAGCTGATAAAAACTTAATGGATTTGCTTTCTAGAAATGTGCTTTGTACAAATGTGGAACATATAAGTTTTGCCTGATACATAATATTTCTTTTTCTTTTTTTTTTTTTTTTTGAGATGGAGTCTCCCACTGTCGCCCAGGCTGGAGTGCAGTGGCGCGATCTTGGCTCACCGCAAGCTCTGCCTCCCAGGTTCACGCCATTCTCCTGCCTCAGCCTCCCGAGTAGCTGGGACTACAGACACCCGCCACCATGCCCGGCTAATTTTTTGTATTTTTAATAGAGATGGGGTTTCACTGTGTTAGCCAGGATGGTCTCAATCTCCTGACCTCGTGATCTGCCCGCCTCAGCCTCCCAAAGTGCTGGGATTACAAGCGTAAGCCACAGTGCCCAGTCCACAATATTTCTATAAATATGGCATTATAAATGTATATGTAACTTACAAATAATTATGTAAACATTACATAGTATATACATAGAGTTTAACACTTATTGAGTATTAACTGTGTGCAAGGCATTGTTATAAGTGTATTAACTGATTTTTTTTTCCTTTTCTTAGAGACGATGTCTCGCTCCGTCACACAGGCTGGAGAGCAGTGGCGCAATCACGGCTCACTGCAGCCTCGACCTACTGGGCTCAAGGAATCCTCCTGCCTCAGCTTCCCAGGCATGTGCTACCACACTTTGCTAATTTGTATTAACTAACTTAATCCTCACAATAATCCTACAAGACGAGAATTTACTACATTTTATAGATGAAGAGAATATAGTGCTTCATACAGATAAGAACACTGAGTCACAGTAAATTTAATGAACTTGACCAAGAGCACATAGACAATAACTGGCAGAGGTGGGTTGCTAACTCAGGCACTGTGGATCCAGGGGTCTATACTCTTGGTGTAGGATTAAATCAACCAAAACAGGAAAGAGCACCAAGTTTGCTCCTAGTTCTTCTCCTCATGGACCTAACCACTTTTCTTCCAACCCAAAGGGGTTTATTAGTGTGCGTGTTATAAGATGAACCCCAAGGGATTTTGAATTTTCTATTCATAGCACAAGGGAATTATTTTATCCATAGTAGTGGCATAAACCCACAAACAACTGTTCAGCCACGTCTACATGTCCAGAGGGATTTGAAACATTTCCAGTGAATCATGTGCTTACGTGTCGTGAAGATGACCTACATGAATGAAGCAGGCGAGAGTGCTCACACCTGTGGCGGGTGGGGGCGCTTATACCTGTCTAGCAGCGGCTGCCCAACTCAAGCTGGAGCTACCAGTAGGAAAATGGCTCTCATGTAGACAGAACTTCCTTTTTTTTTTTTTTTTTTCAGAAGAACTCAGAAATATAGATGAAATCTCTTGATTTTTAAACATTAGTGACTTTAAAAAATGGCAATACTCTGCAAGCTAAACAGAATACACCTGGAGTCCAGTTCTGGTCCTTGAGCCACCATTCTGAACTTCTGACCAGAATGAAGATTAAGAGGGTGGTCTCCCAAATGCTATGAATTGAGAAGCATTGGGAAAGTGGCCTCATTCCCCAAAATATCTTCCCCTGTGTGGCCTGACTCTCCACTCTTTTTAATTTGTCCTCTGAGTTAAAAAATTGAGTTCTCCATGTTCATAAAGAAAATATGGCAGGGAGAGATAACCCACCAAAATCCATCAACATATTAAGAAAAAAAGTGATCAGACACTCCAAACCCTCCAGCCAAATGGAGACACGGTCAAAACCATCTAAATCAGTTGGAATCGGGAGCCCAGTAGAACCAGATTCTGTCTTTGGCCCCGGTGCCTCGGACTTCCCTTAGCAGACACCACACTGAGCCTGCCCAGGCCTCAAGCCCGTCTCTTTCACTGCACTGGACCCCACTGGATTTTATGAATTAGGATACCTTTAGTTGTGAGTAACAAAAACAACTCAAAGTGGCCTAAGCAAAACAGAGCAAGAGTGAGAGTGAGAAGGGGAGAGAGAGAGAATGTATTGGCTCTAGAAACTAAAAACGGATCCCTAGGAAATCTAGGCCAGATGGGGCTGGACCCGGGACTCCGTGTGTCTCTCCCTCTCAGCACCCCGTTTCTCCGCGCTGGCTTCATTGTGAGGCCGGGTCTCCCAATTAGGTGACCAGAGTGGCCAGCACAGCTCCTGTTTTACCTTGTACCCACTTGGCAACCATGCAGAAGCACTCCCCCCAGCACTTCCCAATGGCCCCAGCAGAATCCCAGAGCTGACATTCTGGACTGCCTGGGGCCACCTGTCCATTTCTGAACCCATCACTATGGTAGGTAGAGGATGGAGTACTCATATTGGCCAAACCTAGGTACAGGTCATCTCCCCACTTTTCCAGAAGCCAGAATATAGGGTCAACACTTTCTAAAAATTCATGGATTCATGATCCAATGGGTAGACAAGCTTCAAAATAAAAATATTGAGGGGCTGTTACCACAAATGGATATTGGGCAGGTGAAACACTACCCCAGATTTTATCCAAGGGAGACCTGGACAGTTACTCAGTCTCATTGCATCTTGACTAACAAGGATATGTGAATCCAGTGGCAAATGAAGCAATTTAAGAGATTTTCTTCCCTGTGAAGCTGATCTCAATGAGTTCCAGTCCTGCTCGGGGTCCCGGCCTCTGTCCCTGAGCTCCTGCAGGGCCCTCAGACTCAGGCTGTGGTGCTGAAGCCAATCTTTCAGGGGCAATGAAATGTCTTCCACAGACAGAGCTGCTTCATTTTCTTTAAAGTGATACCCCTGAAGTTTTCACTGCTATTGTTACTGTTCAGCCAGCACCCTTGTGAGCATGCGGAGAAAACAGGTTCAAAACACAGCTCCAGAGTCTAGTTTTCCCTTGCAGACCTGACTATTTACTTTCTTAAAGAACTTCCTGGCTGGTCTTGGCTATAGACTAGGGCTCAGACTTCTTACTGTGGCCTCTATAAGACCCTCTGTGATCTGGGCCCAGCCTGCCTACGTCTGTTTTTCAATAGCACTTCTCTCTGCATTACACCACCATTCTGGCTACAACCCCAAACTTTTCTTCTCCTCCCCCTTTACAGATTCTGTTCCATCCCTGGCATGCTTTTCCTTCCAGCTGCCTACTATTGAAATCCTACCTACCTATGAAGGATCTTTGTCTTTTTTTTGCTGTCTGGTGCCCAACATCATTTCCCTCCTATTAGAATGCTGATCTCCCCTCAGGGACTTCCCCATGTCTTTGATTCTGATAGAAAGGAGTGATGCAGTCCAAATGCTTGCATCTCCCCCCAAATTCACGCGTTGAAATCCTAACCCCCAATGTGATGGTATGAGGAGGTGGAGCCTCTGGTAAATGATTAGGTTACAAGGGCGGAACCCTCATGAACAGGACTAGTGCCCTCATCAGAGAGGCCCTAGAGAGGGTCCTTGCTTCTTCCGCCATGTAAGGACACAGTGAGAAGTCATCATCTATGAACCAGAAAGGATGCCCTCACCAGACATCAAATCTACTATACTGCTGCCTTGATCTAGGACTGCCCAGCCTTCAGAACAATGAAAATTAGATTTCTGGTTTTTTTATAAGCTTTCCAGTTTACAGTATTTAGTTATAGCAGTCCCAATGGACTAAGAAAAGTGGCCCATCCTGAGTTCACTAAAGAAGTCAAAGGCAAGATCCTTCTATCCCCACCCTTGCTCACCCAGCATCTGGTTGTCTGACTTTGCTCAGCCTGTCATTCACTCTGTTGTAGGACTTTGGTTTTTAGAGAGTGATACAAGGACATTTAGGCAGCAGTGAGGATGAATAGGCCTCTTCTTTCTGCCTCTCTCTGCTTGGATTTGTATTCATTTTCCATGGCTCTTGGTTCTGCCCATTTTCCAAATCTGGTCATTTCTGCCTTCTGGCATTTCTGATCCCCTTCCCACACATTCACCTTTTTTGTTTAAACTAGCCAGAGAGAAGCTTTCTGTTGCTTGCCACCAAGAGCTCTGAGTGACATACCCCTGCTTTAAGGCCCAGCTCATATCTTACTGCCCATATAAAACTTTCCTTTGATCTATCCCCTTTTCTACATTCCTGTAAATTCTGTAATCATTGAAAAAGCAAATCATTGGAATCAACTCTTATTTTGAGTTATCCACTTACAAGTCTATCCCTCACATTAGACTGTGAGTTCCTTGAGGACAGGGACCGGCATACAGTAGGTACTTAATAATTGTGTGTTGAATGAGTAAATATGGGTTCAGTTGAATTACGGCAATTGATTCTTTCAGGAAATTGCACTGCTGCAGATATTTATATAAAATAAATGTATTTGTTTAAGTAGGAACTGAAGATTACATGGGAAAAAAATTCATTATTACTTTATGTCTCATTTTGATCAGTCTGGCTAACCTTTTACTCTTCTACCTTTTTCTAGGCATTAAGAAGCATACATTAGAGATTTGTCAGTCTCATTTTCTTTCTTCTCATCCTGCCAGCAGGGCCTTAGAGACAATAACAGCAATCACACTTATGCAGCTTTCACCATCAACCATGCCCTGGACCAGCTGCTCTACGTGTAGTATCTCATTTAATTCTCCCCAATAAGGTAGCTAAGTATGATTATGATCCCATTTTATGGCTGAGGAAACCAAGATTCAGGAAGCTCAAGTGGTTTTCCCAAAGTCACAGAACTGGTGAGACATGGAGCTGCTGTGATCCGTGTACATTTCATTGCTTCCTTTCCTCTTAAATGATTCTCTCAAGCTATGAAATGTCTATAAGATCAGAAGAAATGGAAGGAGAAGCAAGAGGCTGAATAATCCTCAAAAGAAGATAATTAACTCTTAGATGGATGAGAACTATCTGCATGTTTTTATACTTTTTAAACTCTCTCTGGAAGCATCTCACCAAGAGTGTCATTAGAGTTTATTCATTATGGAGTCTTCTAATTCATTAGATTTCAGTTCATTTTTGCTGACATAGATTTCACATCCCCAGTGTTTAAAACACCAGGCGAGGATCCAGAAGTGAGAATGCTGTGGACATAAAGATGAACACTTTAAATATCAGTCTGTACAGAACTCCCACATGGTGGGGGGCCAAGACTATTCATATCCCACCACTAGACAAAGAAATCCTAGTGGGGCCAGGATAGTGCTCTGAGAGCACACCGCAGAAACAGGATGATTTCCAAAATACGTATCAGGGGAGCATCCTCACAGGGCAAGAGACAAAAAGGATGAGTAGGGGAGGAACAAAGCAGGGTGGTGTTGAAGAATGTGGATTTTGTCCTTAGCAAAATACTAGCAAACCAAATCCAGCAACACATCAAAAAGTTAATTCACTACAATCAAGTGGGCTTTATTCCTGGGATACAAGGATGGTTCAACATACACAAATCAATAAATATGACTCACTACATGAACAGAATTAAAAACAAAACCATGTGATTATCTCAATAGACATAGAAGCATTTGATAAAATCCAACATCCTTTCATGATGAAAACCCTCAACAAACTATCAAAAGAACATCAAAAGAACATATCTGAAAATAATAAGAACCATGTAGGACAAACTCACAGCCAACATCATACTGAATGGGCAAAAGTTGAAAGCATTCCCCCTAAGTAGTTTTTTCCAGTTCTGTGAAGAAAGTCATTGGTAGCTTGATGGGGATGGCATTGAATCTATAAATTACTTTGGGCAGTATGGCCATTTTCACGATATTGATTCTTCCTACCCATGAGCATGGAATGTTCTTCCATTTGTTTGTATCCTCTTTTATTTCATTGAGCAGTGGTTTGTAGTTCTCCTTGAAGAGGTCCTTCACATCCCTTGTAAGTTGGATTCCTAAGTATTTTATTCTCTTTGAAGCAATTGTGAATGGGAGTTCACTCATGATTGGGCTCTCTGTTTGTCTGTTATTGGTGTATAAGAATGCTTGTGATTTTTGTACATTGATTTTGTATCCTGAGACTTTACTGAAGTTGCTTATCAGTTTAAGGAGATTTTGGGCTGAGACAATGGGGTTTTCTAGATATACAATCATGTCATCTGCAAACAGGGACAATTTGACTTCCTCTTTTCCTAATTGAATACCCTTTATTTCCTTCTCCTGCCTAATTGCCCTGGCCAGAACTTCCAACACCATGTTGAATAGGAGTGGTGAGAGAGGGCATCCCTGTCTTTTGCCAGTTTTCAAAGGGAATGCTTCCAGTTTTTGCCCATTCAGTATGATATTGGCTGTGGGTTTGTCATAGATAGCTCTTATTATTGTGATATACGTCCCATCAATACCTAATTTATTGAGAGTTTTTAGCATGAAGGGTTGTTGAATTTTGTCAAAGGCCTTTTCTGCATCTATTGAGATAATCATGTGGTTTTTGTCTTTGGTTCTGTTTATATGCTGGATTACATTTATTGATTTTTGTATATTGAACCAGCCTTGCATCCCAGGGATGAAGCCCACCTGATCATGGTGGACAAGGTTTTTGATGTGCTGCTGGATTCAGTCGCAACCTACTCATCTGACAAAGGGCTAGTATCCAGAATCTACAATGAACTCAAACAAATTTACAAGGAAAAAACAAACAACCCCATCAAAAAGTGGGCAAAGGATATGAACAGACACTTCTCAAAAGAAGACATTTATGCAGCCAAAAGACACATGAAAAAATGCTCATCATCACTGGCCATCAGAGAAATGCAAATCAAAACCACAATGAGATACCATCTCACACCAGTTAGAATGGCAACCATTAAAAAGTCAGGAAACAACAGATGCTGGAGAGGATGTGGAGAAATAGGAACACTTTTACACTGTTGGTGGGACTGTAAACTAGTTCAACCATTTGTGGAAGTCAGTGTGGCGATTCCTCAGGGATCTAGAACTAGAAATACCATTTGACCCAGCCATCCCATTACTGGGTATATACCCAAAGGACTATAAATCATGCTGCTATAAAGACAAATGCACACGTATGTTTATTGCGGCACTATTCACAATAGCAAAGACTTGGAAGCAACCCAAATGTCCAACAATGATAGACTGGATTAAGAAAATGTGGCACATATACACTATGGAATACTATGCAGCCATAAAAAATGATGAGTTCATGTCCTTTGTAGGGACATGGATGAAATTGGAAATCATCATTCTCAGTAAACTATCGCAAGGACAAAAAACCAAACACCACATGTTCTCACTCATAGATGGGAATTGAACAATGAGAACACATGGACACAGGAAGGGGAACATCACACTCTGGGGACTGTTGTGGGGTGGGGGGAGGGGGGAGGGATAGCATTAGGAGATATACCTAATGCTAAATGACAAGTTAATGGGTGCAGCACACCAGCATGGCACATGTATACATATGTAACTAACTGGCACATTGTGCACACGTACCCTAAAACTTAAAGTATAATAAAATAATAATAATAATAATAATAATAATAATAATAATAATAATAAAAGAAAGCATTCCCCCTAAGAACTGGAACAAAACAAAGATATTCAATCTCACCACTTCTATTCAACATAGTACTGGAAGTCCTAGCCAGAGCAATCAGGCAAGAGAAAGAAATAAAAGGTATCCAAATAAAAAGAGAAAGTCAAATTATCTCTGTTTACTGACAATATGATTCTATACCTAGAAAACCCTAAAGGTTCTGCCAAAAGACTCCTAGACCTGATAAAGTAATTTAGCAAAGTTTCAGAATACAAAATCAATGTACAGTTAATTATCAGTTGCATTTCCATACACCAATAAGGTTCAATCCAAGAACCAAATCAAGAATGCAATCCCATTTATAATAGCTGCAAAAAAAAATAAAACAAACCTAGGAATACACCTAACCAAGGAGATGAAAGATCTTAACAAGGACAACTACGAAACACTGCTGAAAGAAATCATAGATGACACAAACAAATGGAAAAGCACTCCACGCTCATGAGTTAAAAGAATCAATATGTCCACATCGCCCAAAGCAATCTACAGTCAACACTATTCCTAACAAATTACCAATGTCATTTTTCACAGAACTAGAAAAACTATTCAAAAATTCATATGGAAACACAAAAGAGCTTAAATAGTCAAGGCAATCCTAAGCAAAAAGAATAAAGCTGGAGGCATCACACTGCCTGACTTCAAACTATACTATAAGGCTACAGTAACCAAAACAACATGGTATTAGTACAAAAATAGACACATAGACCAATGGAAAAGAATAGAGAGCCCAGAAATAAAGCTGCACACATGCAACTAACTGGTCTTCAACAAAGTCAACAAAAATAGACAATGAGGAAAGGATACCCTATTCAATAAATGGTGCTGGGAAAGCTGGCTAACCATATGCAGAAGAATGAAACTGGATCCCTACCTCTCACCATATACAAATATTGACTCAAGATGGACTAAAGATTTAAATGTAAGACCTCAAACTACAAAAATCCTAGAAGAAAACCTAGGAAATACTCTCCTGGACATTGGTGTAGGTGAAACACGTGTGACTAAGTCCTCAAAAGCAAATGGCACAAAAACAGAAATTGACGATTTGGACCTAATTAAACTAAAGCACTTCTGCATGGAAAAAGAAACCATGAATAGAGTAAACAGACAACCTACAGAATGGGAGAAAATATTTGCAAAGTATGCATCTGACAAAGGACTAATCCAGAACCTAGAAAGAACTTAACAAGAAAAAAAAAAACCCTATTAAAAAGTGAGTGGCCAGGTGTGGTGGCTCACACCTGTAATCCCAGCACTTTGGGAGGCCAAGGCAGGTGGATCATGAGGTCAGCAGTTCAAGACAAGCCTGGCCAAGATGGTGAAACCCCATCTCTACTAAAAATACAAAAATTAGCCAGGCGTGGTGGCAGGCACCTGTAATCCCAGCTACTCAGGAGGTTGGGGCAGAGAATTGCTTGAACACGGGAGGTGGAGGTTGCAGTGATATCGCGCCACTGCACTCCAGCCTGAGCGACAGAGCAAGACTCCGTCTCAAAAAAAAAAAAAAGAGAGTATGGATTTTGGAGCCAGCTGTCTGGATCTGAATCCTGCCTTCCGTGGTTGCTAGCTCTGGGATCTTGAGCAAGTGTCTGTTCCTCTGTTTCTCTACCTGTAAAATGGGATAATAATCATGGTAGCTTCCTAATTAGGGTCTTGTGAGATGAGATGAGTTATTATTTGTAAAGTCTTAGAATAGCAACCTGACACCAAGTGAGCACCCTATAAGTGACTGATAAACTATCCATCACAAGTGTAGGATGAACAGGCAGAGAAAGGTGCAGAAAGGTGTTCCAGCCATGAGACCACAGCTCGAAGCTAGGAGGTTTGCATGGCAAATGGAGACCAGATCACTGTCCAGGAGGCTGCAGCATTGCACGTACACAAGATGCAGATTGAGGAGGATGTCTAGAATGGAGATGAGCTAAGCCACCCCAAAATGCAAATGATCCCATGTATGCAAAATAGCAAGTTTCCCAAGCAGTAACTCCTATCTGGAGCCAGAGACGGTAGCCAGGCACACCATGGTTCTGGCTCCTACCACCAAATAGGCGGTAATAGACGGTAGGAGAGAGCTGAGTGTTTCTAAAAGTAAAAACCTGGAGAAAATAATTTTGACATAAATTTTCACAACGCACTCATAGAAGGAGAGGGAGGCTTTGCTCTCTTCCAGGCAGCCTGCCCATGTCTGCAGCAGCCCTTGTAGAAAAAGTTGGCATGAAGACAGGGCACAGAATCAAGAACCCTAAATCGCCACTCAGTGCTTGCTGTGCACCCCTCAATGAGTCACTTAAGATTTCCGGATCCCCAGCTTTTCCACCCTCACAATGTGGGCAAAAGCACCTTTCTCTGCTAGGAAATTGATGACATAAAACCCTTAGCAATAAAGAGGGTGCTGTGTACAAGTTGGAAAATAATACCGCATGTAAATATTCCCATAGCCCTTCCCACCACCACACAATTCCCACAGCTGTGATTAATCCCTTCTGAAAGCTCTGTACACATATCACTCTCCCTGCCCTCTTCCCAAGAGGGCATGGTTAATCCATTCTGAACTTCTCAATTGCCCTAGGACTGTTTAAACTTGCAAATGGTGGTTCTGTGATTTGAACTGGTGCAGGGTTGTAAGGTCTGGCACACCAAGGAGCCACAAACCCACAGAACAGATGGAGAACAGGTCCACCCAGTCCCAGACACTCTGCAGGATCATGAGAGGGGCAGCTGAGACAGGTGGAATGTCATGCTGTGATCACAGGTGTGGCAAGGAATGGCTGCGTTTTCTCATGTGGGAAACTTCTTTTTAAAAAATTGTGCAAATGCCCAGGCACAGTGGCTCACACCTGTAATCCCCACATTTTGGGAGGCCAAGGTGGGCGGATCACTTGAGGTCAGGAGTTCAAGACCAGCCTGGCCAACATGGTGAAACCCCCTCTCTACTAAAAATACAAAAATTAGCCAGGCGTGGTGGTGGGCACCTGTAATCCCAGCTACTTGGGAGGCTGAGGCAGGAGAATCACTTGAACCCGGGAGGTGCCTGGGTTCAATATACACAAACCTTGTTTTGTGCACAAAATTATGTAAAATATTCTATGGCCAGGTGCAGTGACTCACACCTGTAATCCCAGCACTTTGGGAGGCTGAGATGGGAGGATTGCTTGAGCCCAGAAGTTCAAGGCTGGGCAACATAGTGAGAACCCATCACTATAAAAAATTTTTTAAAAATATTAGCCAGGTGAGGTGGCATGTACCTATGGACCTAGCTACTCAGGAGGCTGAGGCATGAGGATTGCTTGAGCCTGGGAAGTCAAGGCTGCAGTAAGCCATGATCGTGTCACTGCACTCCAGCCTGAGTGATAGGGCGAGACCCTGTCTCAAAATAAATAAATAACTAAATACAACATTGTGCAAAATTACCTCCAGGCTATGCGTATAAGGTGTATATGAAACATAGATAAATTTCGTATTTAGACTTGGGTCTCATACCCAAGATATCTCATTATATAAATGCAAATATTCTAGAAATCTTTTAAAAAATCTGAAATCTACACTTCTGATCTCGGACTTCTCAAATAAGCTCAAATAAAGGATATTCAACTGTATAATAATGGAATAGTGGGAACTCTGAGGGAGATAGGAGCCCAACTCAAACTGGTTCAAGCACCATTGAGGAAATATATTGGCCCATGAAGCTAAAAAGTCTAGAGGTAGACTTTAAGCATGGCTGGACCCAAGGACTCAGACAACCCCCTGAGAACCAGCCTCCCTTTAACTCTTTCCTTCCTTTTTCTTGGTGTTGGCTGCTCTCAAGTGGGCTTACTTTCCTGCGTGCTTATGTCCTACCAGCCCCACATCCAGTAGAGAACCCCTCTGTCTCAGTTGTTCTAACACAAAGTGCCTGTGTAGATTTCCATTGGCTTGGCTTACATTGAATCAGTCACTATTTCCAAGGCTTAGAATGCTCCCACCGACCAGGCCGGGGTTCACCTGCCATTTCATGGGGCTGGATTGGAGATTAGCCCTTTCCTGCACCAGGAAAATAGGTGTTTCTCAAGTAAAGTTGGGGTGCTATTACTGGAAGGAAACAGACAGTTGTGAGACTGAGCAAAACATACAGTGTTTATTGAACATACTAATAATTCTCCTTTATTAAGAATCCCAAATAGGCCAGGCATGGCGGCTCACACCTGTAATCCCAGCACTTTGGGATGCTGAGGTGGGTGGATCAGCTGAGGTCAGGAGTTCAAGACCAGCCTGGCCAACATGATGAAACCCCATCTCTACTAAAATATAAAAATTAGCCGGGCATGATGGCGGGTGCCTGTAATTCCAGCTACTTGGGAGGCTGAGACGGGAGAATCGCTTGAACCTGGGAGACGGTAGTTGCAGTGAGCTAACATCGCACCACTGCACTCCAGCCTAGGCAGCTGAGCACGACTCTGTCTTAAAAAAAAAAAAAAAAAAAAAGAATCCCAAATAGATGTGGCACCATGCTCGTTACCTTGCAGTATCTCATATAATAATGGTCAAATACCCCTAGCAAGGTTAAATAGTTTGCCCAAGGTCACAGAGGGAGTCGTGGGAGAGCCCAAGCTGTTTGACTCCAGAGTCAATGCTTGCAAGTGTTATATGTTCCTGGATAGACCATGGTTTACTTGACCAGTCCCTATTGTTGGAAGCTGGTAAGATCAATGGGTTGAGGATCCTGATGGAGCTAGAGAATCTTTGACATTGAACACCAGAAGGAGTGAAAAAGAAGACAGTGATCAGGGAGAGAGAGATGGATAAAATTAAGATTATAGAAGGTGGTGCAGATATTGAGAATAATAAGACCTAGGGTATAACCATGGTGGTGGGTAGCCAAGATATAAGATCCTTGGAGGCGAGGAGATCAAGGAACTGAGAAGCAAGGACACTGCAAAGTTTACCTATGTGGACATTGAAATCATCAGGAACTAGTTCAGGAGTAGTGATGGAGAGATTGGAAGTGGGCCAGGAACTAGAATCTGTAGGACATAATAGGAAGTCACTCAGGGGTCTGGTAAAGACTGGAACCAGAAGAGGTAATGGGTGGTATCATCTGTCACATGACCTTCAATGCTGGTGGCCCTCAATAATGCCATGTCTTGGTTAGAGCAAGAGGGTGAAGGAAACTAGAGAAACTAGAGAAAAGGTTTTGACCTTATATAGGATTTTGCTGATAATGATCAATGGATTTTGGAAGACACACTGGCAAATGAGAAGATGGGAGATGAGGCAAAATCAAGGAATTATGGAGCTTGGGAGTTGGGACCTTCTTGTAGGAGCTGTCAGAAAGACAGGGATAAAGAGCATGGCCTGATGATCCCAAGACAGAGCATAGAGTTGAGGCTGTGAGTTTTGCCAGGGAAGGAGAATGGGTGTTCTGGGTCTCCTTTTCACGCCTTCCAATGAAGGTGTCTGATTATTCTTGCTTATGGGTTACTCGGTCAGCCCCCGTTCCAGTTTTCTCCTCCAAAATAATTTCTCTAGGCCTAACACATCTTCACTTTGGCAAGGCTGCAGCAGAATATCTTGACCAAAAATAAAACCTTAGAATCAAGCTCTGGTCAACAAAGGAAATGTAATCTGTCACAGGAGCAGAGTAAAAAAAAAAAAAAAAGAAAATCAAGATAACAAAATAAAAATAGGAAATATGAGAATTTATTTAGATATAAAATATAGAAAGTTTGGTTTTTTACCCTTAAGAAGTTGTTTTTTTAACAGAGGTAGAATTCACATGCCATAAACTTCACCCTTTGAAAGTGTATAATTCAGTAAGTGTTAGTATATTTACAAGGTTGTACAATTGTCACCACTATCCAATTGCAGAACATTTTCATGCCCAAAAAGAAACTACATACCCATTATCAGTCTCTCCCCATCCTCTTCCTCTTAGCCCTTAGTAACTAGTAATCTATATTCTGCCTCTGTGGATTTGCCTATTCTGGACATTTTAGTAAAAGGCAAAAGATTTATTCATTCTGAAGGGAAACCAGAGATGGACATTTTATAAAAATGGAATCATACAATATGTAGTCCCTCGTGACCAGTTTCTTTCACTTAGCATAATGTTTTCAAGGTTCATCCATGTTGTAGCATTCATCAAAACTTCATTCCTTTTTATGGCCAAATATTTCATGATATGGATACACCATTTTATTTATCTATTCATCAGTTGATGGACATTTTAGTTGCTTTACTTTTTAAGTATTATGAATGGAGGTGCCATGAATATTTGTGTGCAAGTTTCTGTGTGGCCATGTTTTCAATTCTCTTGGGCGTATACCCACTCATAAGAAGTTTGTGTCTAATTGGGGAAGAAGGATTCTGAGGAACTAAACTGAGGTCTCATAAATAATATGATATTGTCCCTTCAGAAAGTATATCCAAAATAATGTCTGCCCATTATTATGGAAGTATGAAGTTCCAGACCCTTAATAGAAAGAAAATCTTACCTTGAGCTGATCACTTGCCTGCAGAATCTAGAGGAGGATGAAGGAGTTCTTTGTTTTCCTACTGAATTGCATTTCTCACCATGCAAAGTTCCACCTTGGACAGGCCTCCAGCAGCCCATCTGGGAGGTCTTAATACTCTTCTTCATTCCCCACACAGATCTGCCTTGCAGTCAACCATAAACATTTATTTAGGTGCTGGAGATCCAGCAGAGACCAAAATAAACATAGTTTCTGCACTCGGGGAGCCTACGGTCTAGCTGAGAAGAGAGATTAACCAAATGCTTACAGGTAACTAAGCCTGCTGGGATGGTGCTTGGAACAAAAAGAAGAATTGGACAAACAAGCCTGGCAGGGAGTGGAAATCAGGGCCAGGGTGTCCAGGGTGATGTGAAGGACTTGCTCTGGACGCCTTGTTTCTGCTTGTCTCTGTGAATTGATTGCCTTTATTTTCACAGGGTAGAACACGGGCAGCTCTGAGTTCTCAACCTTCAGCTCCAGAGGCAAAACAGAAAGGAACTCTTCTCACACAGCTCCATTTAGAAAGTCTCAGGAAAGGGTCTGCTTGGACCATGTCCTGGGGAAGGAAATGAAGTATTCTTTTTGTTTGTTTGTTTTTGAGACGGAGTCTCGCTCTGTCGCCAGGCTGGAGTGTGGAGGCACGGTCTTGGCTCACTGCAACCTCCGCCTCCCAGCCTGAAGCGATTCTCCTGCCTTAGCCTCCTGAGGCACCCACCACCACACCCAGCTAATTTTTGTATTTTTATTAGAGACAGGGTTTGACCATGTTGGTCAGGCTGGTCTTGAACTCCTGACCTCAGGTGATCCGCCTGCCTCGGCCTCCCAAAGTGCTGGGATTACAGGTGTGAGCCACTGTGCCCGGCCAGAAATGAAGTATGCTAACTGGTCAACTATGTTGTTAGAAGTGCAGAATTCTAGAAGAAGATGAGAAATAAGCAGACAAAAACAATAAATGCCCAACACATGGCCAATCCTAATTTTCTTGGTTAGGGTTGGGAAGGAATGCATGACCACAAAAAGTGTCGATTCTGAGAGAGATTAAGACAGGAAAAATGAGCCAAGCTAGATTATGTAGAGCCTCTTATGCCATAAAATAAACTGGGACTTCATTTCATTGCCCTTGATAAGCCATTGAAAAGTTTTTAAGCAGAGGAGAGATATGCATTTTACAGTCACCAGCTTTGAAGGCAGGAAGAGGGGTTAGGGAAATTTTGAAATTATCTATGTGAGAGATGATGGGGGTCTGAACCAAGAAAGTAGAAATCGTGAAGAGAAGATAGATTTAAAATATGTTAGGGGGACATGCTTAAAGAGCTCAAAGATGCAATGGATGAGCGAGAAGGAGAGGGAGAGTCAGGCATACACATGTTCCCATTTGATAGGTATTAAAATTCACCTATAATGAACTTTAGGCTCAAGGCAATTCAAAATTATGCCAGAAAAAGCAGGGTGCTGCAAATACAAAGCACAGTAAGGCACGATCCTTGCCCTCAAGGAGCTCCCTAAATGTTAGGAAGCTAAGAAAAGTATATGAGAAATGTTAGTGTAAAGTCAACTAAGTCAAATGAAATAAGTAAAATTGGAAGGAAACAATGCTCCTATTTGTTGGCTAATGAGGCTGGGTATTATACAAGAAAACAGTTGAGATAGGTTTTCAAGAATGAGAAGGATTCTTACAGGTAGAGAGTTGGTAGGGGATATTCCAGACAGAGAAAATAGCATGAGCAAAGTTATGGTAATGGGGAAGCACATGACATATTTGAAAAGCATGCAGTGACTCATTTGACTGGATGTTAGGAAATTGCAAAAGATAAACCAATGACATGTGGACACAGGGAGGGGTGGAGGATCTTTTTTTGCAATCTTCCTCACATGTCTAAGCTATTAGTGGAAAGAGGAGTTTAAGTAAAGAAGACCACTCAAGGGAAAGATATGTTTTGTTTGGAACATATTGCATTTGAGGCAACTGTAGGACAACCCAGTGGAGATTCCCAGTGGGCAGTGACAAATTCTCATGTGTATTTATTATGAAATTTAAGGGCCAAATATATCATATGGATGTTTGGTACATATATATATATGCATGCACTTATTTACATGATGCATTAAAAAATAATTTGAGTGGCATATACAAATATGCATAACAGAATTTTAAACACAGAGGAATTAGATAAAGGAAAAATGAAGGAGAATTGAATTAAATTTAATCCATAAGGTTAACACATAATCTTCATTCCATAGGTCCTGTAAAATGCTAGAGGTGGATAGTAAATTTGGCTTTGGGTTTCCTAGCAGCCAAATTAAACAGGGAATCATGATCAGTTGTGAGATTTCTAATGGATGAGAAATACATTTTTGGAAGTCTTCCAGACAAGGCAAGAGATGAGGACGCTGATGTGTATGAGATGGCTCCGAAAGAGATGCCTGATGCTCTCCACATTCAAGAGCACATGCCATCTTGAACTTAGAGGCAGGACTGTGATTTTTTTTCTGCCCAGCGAAAGGTCTTATTTCCAAATGAAGGATTAAAGAGCCAGTGTGCAATTCTCCATTTACCCTTCCTTCTGCCATTTGCCTGAGACTGCCAAAAAGAAGAGAATATAGAGAAATGAGGGAAGAAAAGACGAAGGAGAACAGATGGTTTGGCAACATCTGATTTATGGCAGAAAGAGAAGCTGACAAAAAAAAAAAAAAGAACGGGGCTGGGCGCGGTAGCTCACGCCTGTAATCCCAGCACTTTGGGAGGCTAAGGTGGGTAGATCATGAGGTCAGGAGTTAGAGATCAGTCTGACCAACATGGTGAAACCCCGTCTCTACTAAAAACACAAAAATTAGCCAGGCAAAGTGGTGGGCACCTGTAATCCCAGCTACTCAGGAGGCTGAGGCAGGAGAATTGCTTGAACCCAGGAGGCAGAGGTTGCTGTGAGCCGAGATCGTGCCATTGCACTCCAGCCTGGGTGACAAAGTTAGACTCCATCTCAAAAAAAAAAAAAAAAAGAAGAAGAAGAGGAGGAAGAAGAAGAAGAAGAGGAGGAAGAGGAGGAAGAAGAGGAAGAGGAAGAAGAAGAAGAGGAAGAAGAAGAAGAAGGAGAAGAAGAAGAAGAAGAAGGAGAAGAAGAAGAAGAAGAAGAAGAAGAAGAAGAAGAAGAAGAAGAAGAAGAAGAAGAAGAAGAAGAAGAAGAAGAAAAAGAAAAAGAAGAAGAAGAAAAAGAGGAAGAGGAAGAGGAAGAAAACAAACAGTTATATACTCAGAAGGGAGAACACGGTACACAGTACCCCAAGAACTAAGACAGACACTTTTTCCAGAGGGAGAACCTTAGTAAGATTAAATATTTGCCCACAGTCACACAATTAAAATGTGGCAGAACTAGAATTTGAGTCCAGTTCCTAATGGCATGGAGAGCTATGCTCTTAATTGAAAGATTATGCTTCCTTATGAGAAAAAGGAAACTATAGACTCTACCACTTTCTAGCTGTATAACCTAGGGCAAAATTAACCTACAGTTCACTCATCTGTAAGATGGGGATATAATAGTAGCCCCTTATGCAATATTGTGCATATAATAATATATTGCCTACAATGTACAAGGGTGTACAGTTCTATGCTTTGAAGACTGAAATTTACAAATGTGACTTTTACATTTTTTTTTAACCTTTTGAACCCTAAGGTGTCAGCAATAGGCACATTGCAGAGAAGGGAAATGAAGTCTTAGGCATCCATTCCCAGAAACCGCACATCTCCAGACTCTGCAGTCCACAGAAGTTCTGAAATCCAGACCTCGGGCAATACTTTCCCTTGCCTTCATGAGAGAGATGGAATGAAATCACGGTGCTTGCCCAGATCCAATCCTGCAAGAGCCCAAGGACAGTCTCTTGGTAGGAAAGGAAAATAATCTTATTCCTCAACCCCTTGGATAGCAGTTTGAGCAAAAGCCCTGTTTTATAAGACAAAGGCAGTGATTTGGCAAAAATGATTTTTTAAATTGGGTGCTTAATTACAAGAAACACTACCACCTATACACCAAGCACTCTGTTGGGGGCTCACATGCATCTCTTTTGTCTAAGGCTGTGCTTTGAAAGTCATCTGATACCCAGGTGTGGTTCCATCTTTCCTAGTGTCTGTCATGCTGCCTGGCTTCCTTCAGTGACTGCCAGCTCACTTCATCTGTCCTCGCTCTACTTAGGTCCCCACTTAGGTAATGGCTTTGGAAACTGGTAAATTTCTGGAACTTGTTTGCAAGGACACTTTGTATTAGTTTAGTCCCAGGTTGGAAGATGTCTGAAAGATAATTTAGATCTATGACATTTTCAGGGCTGGCCAAAGTGGTCTTCCTGACTGTATTAAATATTTCAAATGACAAAGATATTTCACCATCTATCAAAGGAGAGTATTCTTTCAAGCAGTGTCCTCACTCAGGCCACGTATATTTCCATATGCAGGCTTTGCCACGGAAGTTCCTTCTTCTCAAAACGTTACCTTTTCTATCCTTCCATACACAGTCTAGTCATCCTTCATCCCTACACATAGTGGTTTTCTTCCCCCCTCAGTACAATTTTATTATGCTTACTGTCTATACGACAGGGTTAATTGAACATCTACTACATGCTAGACACTGTTCTAGTCTTTAGTTAGAAAGACAAATATGACAGTTCTGATCTCAGAGTTAAGAGCACAGTGTTGGAGTTAGACAGAGCCAAGATAGAACCTGTTTACAAGATGTGTGATGTTGTATCAATTATTGGCCACTCTGAGTCCCAATTCCTTATTCGTAAAATGGGCCATTTATTTCTACCTCAAAGGGTTGATGTGACGTTTAGATCAAGTAATAAATATAAAGTTCTCATAGGAGCATCTGATGCAAAGTAGGCACTTTGTAAATGGTGGTTGATAGGTATTAAGACATTTGAATGCACTGTTGCTTTTGCTTGGAATTTTCCTAACTGCCTAGTTAACTCACATGCATTTTAGATCCTGGTTTAAGCATCACTTGCTCAGAGAAGCCCCCATCCCAGACTTTAGGGCAACGCCCTGAAATTAGAGTATTGCCTAATTTCATAGTCTTAATAGTGCTGCTTACCTTCATGATAGCACCACCAGAGCTGTGATGTCACCATCATTCACGTGATTTTTAATTTATGTCTGTCTTATACCCACTTCCCCCTGCCCCATTCCAATCAGCCTTCTCAGGACAAAGATTGGGTCTATTGTTACTGATGGTTCTAACCCTTGGATCTCAAACAGTTTCTAAAACAAAGTAGGCACCCAGTAAGTATTTAAATTAATAAATAAGTAAATGAACAAATACATAACTTGTCATATTAAACATATTCTAATGACACCAATTAAAATTTCAGCCTCCAAGAAACCAATTAGTATAATAGTTACTAAGCGACTGGCATGGGATCTGAATGGGAAATAACTTTGTCCTGACGTTCTGAGCAATAAAGTTTGAAGAAATGTGGAAGAGCAGAAGAGACTTACAGCTCACTAAGGTAGCAGCTTTAAGATAATAATGACTAACATTCATGTAGCACTTACATTATGCCAGGCTGACTTTACAGATAAAGACTTTGTGCATATTAACACATTTAATGTTTCTACAACACAACGAGGTTGGAGCTATGCAGAGGGGTTAAATGATCTGCCCTAGGTTAGTGTGATGGGGTCATGTTCACTTTGGCATCTCATTACTAGTATTTGGGTCTTCTTCTTCATGACCTTCTAGATTCTGGATAGTTGAATACCTTAGCTCATCCCCTGGATCCCAAACGACCATGTCTCTAACCATTAGTAAATACAGACTTTACCTCTTACTTTTCTCCATGTAGTTTGATTACCAATGCCCACGAAAGCATTTGCACTCAAGCAGGTAACCTTCGAATATTTCTATTTATTTTATTGCTACTCACATCCTAATGGGGAAGACCCAAATACCCTCCTTTCACTCAAAGATTCTTTTCTAACTTGAACAGATTTGTCTCAATTGTTTACTTGCCATTCTTTGTAGAGGCTCATGAAATCATCTGGTGTCTCAAGGTCATTTAAGGTAATTCCCCCACTGAATTCAGTAATCTACTGAATAACGTTCAAATAGAGTGGCTTTCCAGCCTCTATCTGAACACTGCCAATGATGGATAATTCATCAACCTCAAGATAGTACATTCCATTATTTCCTGTTGGAAAGATCTTTCTTTACCAAAGCTGAAACTTAACTCCCTATAATTTTTCCTCATTGGCAGTGGTGTAACAAGCGGTGGAGGGGCAGTGGGAGCTGTCTGTTCCAGCAGGAGGGAACATTTTATCACTAAAGTTTTTTAGAATTTCCAGTATGCAATGCTAATAAAAGAACATAGACTTTTTGTGAGTTTTATCACTGTTTTCAAATTCTCCACTGACAATACACTGCCTCATTGCCTGTGCTGGGGAGGAATTCTCCCAGCAGGACTCGATGGTCCTAATCCTTCTTCTGGGGCCACACAGTATAAGTCCTTCCTCATGATAGCTCTTTCTATGTTGAAAGCGGCCCATGTGGCCCACCTCTAAATTTTTCTTTTATCTAGTTTTTCCTAATATGCCTTTATCATCCTGATTATCCTTCCCTGAGAAACGTGTTTCAGCTGACAATATCTGCATCACTTATAATGCTTTCAAGTTGCCTATCACAGGAAATTTACTCAAAATGGCTTAACCAGTAAATAAGGTTTATTGGTGTTGGTTGGCTTCAGGCAAGGCCTTTGATCCAGAGGTTCACGATGGTATTAGGGATGTGTTTCCATTTCTCTGTAATTTTCTCAGCCTTTTTCTTGGCTTCATCTTCAGAATGACTTTCCTTTGGGTAGCAAGATGGCAGCCAGAGCTTTTTGGTCTTCTTGTTTCTCATTCTCCTCTCAGGAGGAGAGGATATTTCTTCTTTAACCAAGGAACAAAACAATCCTGGGCTTCTCCCTGTTTGGTATCTCTTAGGTCACATGCCCAAATTGTCCACTCTCTCCTACTGCATGACCCTGTGGTCATGACAAGCCTTTGCTGTCAAAGGGGTAGAAGGGACCTTGGGAGGTGGGTTCATTTGCTCAGGCTGCTGAAATAAGGTACCACAGAATGGGTGGTTTACAGAACAGACATGTGTTATCTCCCAGTTTTGGAGGCCAAAAACCCAAGGTCAAGGTGTCAGCAGGATTGGTTTCTCCTGAGGGCTGGGAGGAAAGGATCTGTTCCAGTCCTTCCTGCTTGGCTTACCAGTGGCCATCTCCATCTTCTGCCTGTGTCTCTTCACATCATCTTCCCTCTACGTGTGTCTCTTTCTCTCATATGGCTTTATTTTATAAGGATATCAGCCACAGTGGATCAAGGGCCAACCCTTTTCCACCATGATCCCATCTTAACTTATCACAGTTGCAACAACCCTGTTTCCAAATAAAGGCACATTCCGAGCTACTGGGGGTTAGGACACCAACACATCTTTTTCATGGAGGACACAATTCAACCCATAACAAACCATGATGTTGGTTAAATAGTCCATCTTAAAACTGGGGACCTAGAACTGAGAACAATCTGCATGTGTGGCTTAACTTGTATAGAGAAGTATAGAGTGGACTTAGTCTCTGACTATGGAGGAATCAATGTCCTTGACTTGTCATCTAGTTAGCGACCCATCTCCAGACAAGATTATGCCAATGCCACATAATAGCATTGAGAGAGCCCTGTAATGTTTTCAGCAACAGCTTGACATAACGGCAGAAACTTACATTATGATTGCATCAGTGAAGCACCATATTGGAATCACTGAGGCAGTCAGCAAAGGGGGAGACTCAAGCATTAACGTCACTAACATCCTGCTCATGAGACCTGCATGTAGTTAGTCTTGATCTTTTGGGGTAAGATCTGACAAATGTTTTCCTGCCATAGAGGTCATTCATTCATAGATTCATTTAACACACATTTCCAAGTACTTGTTCTATTCAGTTCTCTATGCTACATGATAGCAGTGTCACTTATTTACACACCTTCAATGCCTTCCACACCTCCATGCCTTTCCATATCCTAACCCTGCCACCTGTAATGCACTCTTGCTTCATCTGTCAAGGCCAAGATGTTTTTGCTAAGTTTTCCCGGGCCTTTCAGCTGGTTGAAATTATCTCTTCATTTTCCCATGGGGCTTTGTACTAATGATACAGTTCAGTTTTAGGACTTACCACATCCTAATGCAACCATTTACTTGAAAGAATGACTCTTCCCCATCCCTTCTTGACTGGGAGTTTCTTCTAGTTTACGGATTTTTTTTTTTTTTTTTTTTTTTTTGAGACAATTTCACCATTCCCTAGGCTGGCACGCAGTGGAGCAATCTCGCCTCACTGCTACCTCCACCTCCTGGGTTCAAGTGATTCTCCTGCGTCAGCCTCCCAAGTAGCTGGGATTACAGGCACCCACCACCACACCCAGCTAATTTTTGTATTTTTAGTAGAGACAGGGTTTCACTATGTTGGCCAGGCTAGTCTTGAACTCCTGACCTCAGGCACTCCGCCTGCCTCAGCCTCCCAAAGTGCTGGGATTACAGGCGTGAGCCACCACACTTGGCTCTAGTTTATGGATTTTATGGGGTTTTTTGTTCTTTTTAAATCATGGTAGGATCTAGCACAGAGCCTGACAATAGTAGATATTGGTGAAGATTTGTTAAGAGAATGGACATCCTGGCCTCATGGAGCTCACAGTCTCAAGGAGGAGAGAAAGGAGAATTGGACAATTGCACTAGAGTAAGATAAGTGTTATGATGGGGAAATGTAGAATTCTGGGAGAAGAACAGCTAATCCAGATGTAGAGGGTCAGAGATGGCTTCTCAGAAGAGGTGACTCCTAATATATAAATGCCCAGTCTCTTGTGTTAAAGAAAGTTTATAGGAAGCCATTGATTTGGACTGAGCTCCTACACTAGGCCCAACAGACCAAACCAAAATGAAGTCACAAACACTAAAATTCCATGTCACCAAACTGAAACTAAGCTGTTTATCTGACCTTATGAAAAATCAGGGGAGAAAGAGAATAGCCAAATCCCCAAACAGGCCAGTTTTAGCTACCATTCTAAGGAATTCCTCTCTGCTTTAACCCTATAAGAAAATTAACTTCGAAATGACCAATTTGCTTTTTGTTCCTGGTTTCTGCCTTCTTTAGCCCTTTTTTGCCTATATAGCCTACCTCCTCTGCTTAGCTCATCAGAGTGCCTTTTCCAAATTTGTAGAAGAGACACTGTCCTGATTCATAAGTTGCAAATAAAAGCCAATTAGATCATGTGTGTAATTTTGTCTTTTGACACCTGTAATGTATTGTCTGATGGTGCCCAAGTGCTGGAGAGGATGGGGATCAACTCCATCCCTTACACATTGCTGGTGGGAAGTGTGAACTGGTACAACCACTAAGAAAAATCACCTGTTATTATCTTGTAAAATTGAATGTCCACATATTCTACCACTATGACTCCTGGGTATATGCCAAGGACAAATCACTCATTCACTCATCCATTTAACAAACATATATTTGGCATCTACCGCATGCCAGGCCCTGTGACAGGGGCTGGGGACAGAGAGATGAGTAAGACACAGACCCTGCATCCAGAGGCTCCTAGTCCAGTAGGAAAGACAAACAAATAAACTCTGCGGTGGGGGAGACACTGTCACAAGGGCCGATCTGTGCAGAGGTGATGGAGAGGAAGTGGTGAATTGTGCTGTGGTCACAGGCCTGGGTCTCTAGTGGGGAGTGTGTGGGAGCACTGAATTTGGAGTCGATGGGGAGGTGGTAATAAGGGCTCCATTGCTTGGGAGCAGGGTGAACTTGAGCAAGTTGCTCAGTTGCTTTGGGCCTCAATTTCCTCATGTGATAAAGGAGGCACAGATCAAGGTAGACATGTGCTGCATAGAAAACCAGAAAGAGCTGTGCGCATGCTCATGATTGTTCCCATGCTGAGCATCTGGGGCTCCAACAGGTAGTGATATTGCAGCTCCAGGGACTGAAAGGAGGACAAAGGTAGGAGCCCAGCCAGGGCTGGAGGGTGAAAGCAGCAAGGACTGATCAGAAAATTATAAACCCAAGAATTGGGGCAGTAAACAAAGTGGGGATCTGACCCAGGATCATTTTATACTGACAATCATACCAGACAACAATCACTGAGCACTATGTCCTATCCTAAGCACTTTGCATAAATTAATTCACTAACCTCACGACAGCTCTAAGAGATAGAGCACTTATTATCCCCATTAGGCAGATAAGGAAACTGAGGTACAGAAAGACCAAGCCCTTTGCCAAGGAGGTCACACAACTGTAAGAGTAAAAGCAAGGATTCAAACCCAGATTGTCTGGCTCCAAAGCCTGGGCCCTTGGACACTCTGCTCTGTGATGCATCAGGAGAGTAAGTCCAGGGTGAAGGTGCCACGGGGCAGGTGGGTGGCATGGAGCATGAGGTCCTGAGATTTCACCTGATGCCAAGGAGCAAGTGAGGCTGGGTGTCTGATAAGGGAAAGAAGAAAACTACCAGCAGAGAGAAAGAAACATAAGGAACAGAACAAGGCATTGGAGCTCAGCTTCACTGTCAACAGTATTCCCAAGGTTAAGTCCACTTGGAAGAGCATTTGCCAGACTCGACATCATTAAATAATTCCCAATATGTGCCAGGCCCTATGCTAAGCATGTTGCTTGTATTCTCTTGTTTTACCTTGCACAACAATTCTGTGAAAAGTGTCCCCACTTTATAGCTGAGACAATTTGGCAGTAAGATTAAATAATTTACCCTTGGTTGCAGAGGTAGAAACAGCTGGGACAGGAACGTAGCTTTGTCCGATGCCACCTGTCCCAGATCCCCTTGGCTCCCTTTTATGATTCTGAGCACCAATCTCTAGCTTCTACCTTTTTGTGCTAATGGCCTGTACCCAAGGCTTTATTCCAAGACCTGCCCTTGAGCAACTGGAGCTGCTGTGCCCACTCAGAGCAGGAAGGGTTTGAGAGCTTAGAGCCCGAGGCAGCCCTGAGCCAGTGGGAGCCCTGCTCCTGGTGAAGGCACAACTTCTGCTGCAGAACTCCCCTGCAGGGTCAGGCTACTGCTGGGACATTGCAAGAATCACTCATCAGCCAAAGGATGAAGAGTCCTTTTTATGGTTCAAGGTCAGGCTGCTCCTTTGTTTAGTTTCTTCCTCTTCCCTGTCCCATGTCTCCCACTCCTATCTTGGGCTTTCCTGGGAGCGCCTCCTTAATGAGCGAGTCATTTGTCCTTTTCACTGTGTTTGCTTTGGGGATCCCAACACAGGACACCCCTTGGCCTCTTAACCACCATCCTGTGCTCATAGCCTCATGTTCTGTGAGCTGCTCCACACTCCCACAGGGAGCAGAGGTGAGTTTCCACCCCCAACCCTCTCCCACTGCCTGGATGCTCCACTGGACTTCCCTTCGGCAAATTCCTGGGGCCATGCTCCCAGCCAGAGCCCAACATCTGAGGCTCGTGCCAACCTCCAAGCAGGGTACAGGCTGAACAGGCTTGGGCCAGACTTTGCTGTTCCCAGACGTGAGCAAGCCCAGACACAGCCTACCTCCCAGGGCGTGGGACAGTGGGTTGTGGAGTCAGAGGTGGTTTTCAGGGCCCTGTTGAGACTTGTGGGTGATGTTGAGCCAGATATGTTGGATCAGCCCTGGTGTGTCTGGGGTGAGAGAACCAGACAGACCACTCTTCAGGGAAGCAGGCCAAACCAATAAATAAAGGCTCTGCACAAAAGAATAGGTCTTGGACTAACAAGTTTCCTGAGGAATGAGTAATATGGAGTAAGAAACAGCCACCTAAGGTGCATTGAGTCCAATTTCTCCCATCATTTGGCTGCAGCTCACTGGAGAAAGATGCTAAACCCAGTGATCTCTTTTAGATGCTGACTCAATGATTCCCCTATCTGGGTCTACGTGGACTCAAGACTCAGGACTCATTGTTTGCCACCTCCACTCTTTTTTTTTTTTTAACTTCTATTTTAGGTTCAGGGGTACATGTGAAGGTTTGTTACATAGGTAAATTCGTTTCATGAGGGTTGATTGTACGGATTATTTTCATCACCCAGATATTAAACCCAGTAGCCCATAGTTATCTTTTCTGCTCCTCTCCCTTCTCCCACCCTCCACCCTCAAGTAGACCCCGTTGTCTATTGTTTCCTTCTTTGCGTTCATAAATTCTCATCATTTATCTCCCGCTTCTAAGTAAGAATATGTGGTATTTGGTTTTCTGTTCCTGCATTAGTTTGCTAAGGATAACAGCCTCCAGCTCCATCCATGTTCCCACAAAAGACATGATCTCATTCTTTTTTATGGCTGCATAGTATTCCACGGTGTATGTGTACCACATTTTCTTTATCCAATCTGTAATTGATGGGCATTTAGGTTGATTCTATGTCTTTGCTATTGTGGATAATGCTGCAATGAACATTCGTGTGCATGTCTTTATGGCAGAATGATTTCTATTCCTCTGGGTATAGACCCAGTAATGTGATTGCTAAGTCAAATTGTAGTTCTGCTTTTAGCTCTTTGATAAATTGCCATACTGCTTTCCACAATGGATGAACTAATTAACACTCCTATCAACAGTGCATAAGTGTTCCCTTTTCTCCGCAACAGAAAAATAATAGATTGCCAGCATCTTTTTTCTTTTTAATCATAGCCATTCTGACTGGGGTGAGATGGTATCTCCTTGTGGTTTGATTTGCGTTTCTCTAATGACCAGTGATATTGAGATTTTTTTCATATGCTTCTTGGTTGTGTGTATGTCTTCTTTTGAAAAGTGTTTGTTCATGTCCTTTGCTCACTTTTTAAGGGGATTGTTTGTTTTTCTCTTGAAAATTTGTTTAAGTTCCTTATAGATGCTGGATATTAGACCTTTGTCAGATGCACAGTTTGCAAAAATTTTCTCTCATTCTGTAGGTTGTCTGTTTACATCGACCTGACCTTCTTACAACACAAAAAGGAAGGGGAGGGGAAGGGCAACTTGACCTGAGATCTAAAGAGTGGTCAGGATCCATCTCTGTGAGCCTCAGTCTCCTCCTCTATGAAGTGGGCCTCTCCCTCCGTCCCTCAGCTTTTTGCCACCCTCCAAAGCTTCTCTCTATTTCCATTCATCTTTTCCTTTAGCACCTTCTTCATCTTTCCCAAGCCCTCCCTCCCCCATCTCAGAGCGTGAGGAGTCCTTTTGACTGTCCAATCTCAACTCACTCATTCATTTTGCCTGGTCACTTCCTATTCATCTTCGAAGGCTCAACTCAGGCCACATCTTCCCTGGGAAGCCTTTTTGATCTTTTCCCCACTGCTTAGTTACGTTGGTGCCCTTCTCTCTGCCCTCCTTCATCACCTCAAATTTCTCTGTAGTTGCATTAGAGGTTGAGCATCTCTGATCCGAAAATCGGAAATCTGAAATGCCCCAAAATCCAAGACTTTCTGAGTGCCAACATGATGCCATAAGGGAAAAATTCCACAACTGACCTCATGGGACAAGCTGTAGGCAAAAGGCAGTCAAAACTTTGTTTCATGCACAAAATTATAAAAATGTTGTGTAAAATTACCTGCAGACCATGTGTACAAGATATATATCAAACACAAGTAAATTTCGTGTTTAAACTTAGGTCCCCTCCCCAAGATATCTCATTATGTATATGCAAATATTCAAAAATTTTAAATCATCCAAAATCTGAAACATCTCTGGTCCCAAGTATTTCAGATAAGGGGTACTCAGCCTGTACCCCTTTGAGTGTGGATCACTGTGACTAGATTAGACCTTGCACACCATGGTCATGTTATTGCATCTCCGAAACTCCAGGACCTACCACAGTATCTTGGACATGATGAGCACTCACTAAATATTTGTTGAATAAACACCCACCTTGGAGGGGTGTTTGAAGATTAAACAAGATAATAGATGTGAAAACAAACTGTAAATTGCTATTACATTTATACGGTTTTCCATGTATATTTTTATGTTATACAAACGAACATTATCATAAGTATTAATAATATCATAATAGTAATATGTGCCAAAGTCTGGGAAGAGAGATTTGTTCAAAGTTAAATGTTGAGATAATGATCAGAAATACACATCTCTCTATATAACTGTTTATTCATCTCTAAATTCATATCATGAATGACAGGAACTTATTAAAACTCCTAGGTCAAAGATGACAGTTCTGTAAATTATTTGTCCAGTGAGGTGGAGGGGTGCTGGCCTAGGGAATGAATATCACCATCTCTGCCTTGCATGTGTTGAGAATTTTGGACCATTGGTTCTTATATTTGCCATAATAAATTCATCTAAGAAATCAGCCAATGGAAGGAAACAAATGCCATAGGCCCTTCCCTTTATGTTTATTCTCTTTTCTCAGGACAGGCAGTGTCAACGGCTAAACCTGTGTCCTCCCTACTGGGAGGGTGGGGTGCCTGAGGAGGGGGTCATGAGAGTAGGGTGGTTGCTGATCATGAGGGCAGCCCAAGCTCACTGTCACACCCCCGTCAAAAGTCAGCCTGCCAGGTAGAGCTGCCACTTCTCCTGGTGTGAAATTCTGTCTGGTAAATATGTGTCTCCTTCCTTATCATAACAAACACTCAAGGCCAGCCAAATCCAGTGCACAGTGATGCTTGACACGTCTCTCACCTCCTCAGCCAGGACAGGCCTGCTGTCCTTCAGACACATCAGATCACCCTTACTCTGTCCAGAAGGACAGCTAGAAACAGATCCCTCCTTCTGTCATTTTCTTCCCTCTCTCCCTCCCTCCTTCCTTTCCTTCCTTCCATTTTTCCTTCCTTCCTTCCTGCTTTCCTGCCTTCTTTTTTATTTCTTAATAAAACTTTATTTAATTTTTTGAATAGGTAATACGTTCTCAAGGTTGCAAGAAATAATTACGAAAAGACAAAGTAGAAAGTCTCCCTCTTTTGATTGTCACCTAGAAACCTCGGTGCCCACTGTGTATCCTTGCAGAGATTTTTAAAAACTGTGCCTACAAACATATTTACATGCTGATAGGATTATATATCCCTGACTCCTGGAGTCCTTTTTAAACAAAGGTAAATATTTGTAGAGTGATACATAGTGTTCTGCTTCTTAGTTTTCTCAGTAAATGATATATCTTAGAGATGTTTCTACATGAGACTATGAAGAGCTTTATCTTTTTTTAGAACTGTATAGTTTTCTTTTTGAGACAGAGCCTCACTCTGTCACCCAGGCTGGAGTACAGTGGCACGATTTCGGCTCACTGCAACTCCACCACCTGGGTTCAAGCAATTTTCCTGCCTCAGCTTCCTGAGGAGCTGGGTTTACAGGCACATGCCACCACGCCTGGTTAATTTTTGTATTTTTAGTAGAGATGGGGTTTCACCATGTTGGCCAGGCTGGTCTCGAACTCCTGACCTCAAGTGATCCTCCCGCCTCAGCTTCCCAAAGTGCTAGAATTACAGGCGTGAACCACTGCGCCTGGCCTATAACTGTGTAGTTTTCTAATTCATAATTCATTTAATCAGTCCTGAACTGCTGGACATCTACAATGAATGTTGCAACAAATAACTTTTCAACTGTATATCTGTAATTAGAAGTGGAATTGTTGGGTCTAAGTGCAGATATGTTTACAGTTTTGATAACTATCGCCAAACTGCCTGTTATAGAATTGCACCAACATACACTTTCACCAATAATGTATAAGAAAAACAAATTTCTAAAACGTTAAAATAGAAATAATTTAGCTAGGTGCAGTGGCTCATGCCTATAACCCCAGCACTTAGGGAGCCCAAGGCAGGAGAATCACTTGAGACTAGGAGTTCCAGACCAGCCTGGGCAACCTAGCGAGATCCATGTCTATACTAAAAAATTAAAAAGTTAGCGAGCATGTAGCACACACCTGTAGTGCCAGCTACTCGAGAGGCTGAGGTGGGAGGATTGCTTGAGCCTGGGTGGTCAAGGCTGCAGTGAGCTATGATTGCTCTACTACATTCCAGCTTGGGTGACAGAGCAAGACCCCATCTCAAAACACAAAAAAGAAAAAGAAATTATTCTACTACCAATTTTCATGTATTAAGCTAGCACAGTGGTGGTGTTACATTTTTATCTTAATCTCCACCACAACTTTCAAGGTAGGTTATTTTTGTTATTATCAGAGGGGCAATCCAAGAATCATTGATAGTAAATAATATTTGACTCTACTATACCCTTTTGTACTACTCTTGGTCTCTTGTCTAGAAGTCAATAAGTCAACAAGTATCCACTATGATCATCACAAGAAGAATACTAACAGCCAGCATTTACTGAGCACTGAATTATGTCAGGTACATTATCTTGCTTAATCCCTACAGTAGCCTTGCTATGGTTTGAATGTCTCCTCCAAAACTCATGTTGAAATTTAATTGCCATTATTATTGTACTTGGATGTGGAACCTTTAAGAAGTGATTAGGCCATGAGGGGTGTGCCCTCGTGAATGGGTTAATGTTGTTGCAGAAGGAGTGGGTTATTGCAAGAGTGAGTTGTTATAAAAGTGAGGCCAGTCCTCTCTTGCTCACTCTTGTAATCCTCTGCCTTCCATCGTGGAATAATGCAGCATGAAGGCCCTCACCAGATGCCAGCACCTTCCAGAACTGTGAGAAATAAATTGCTTTTCTTTATAAATTACCCAGCCTGTGGTGTTCTGTTACAGCAACACACAACAAAGACAAGCCCCATAACACAAGCTCTGTTATTATCCTCCATTTTTGATCATGGAAAAAACCAAAGGCTGCAAAGATAAGAAGCCCTTGGCTCAAGGTTACACAGCAAGCAGGCCTCAGTCTCAGAGTTTGAGCCCAGGCAGTCTGACTGCACAACCCAAGCCTTGGGCAACACTAAATGGAGATCATAGCTTAGGAGTTTCCAGAACATGCAGATCTTGGCAATCAGCACCTGTAAAACCCTTCATCTACAGGTGGGGAAACTGAGGCCCAGAGGAGAGGAGAAGGGGCCTGTTTAGTGGCTATGCTGGGTTAGGACGCCCTACTCTTGACTCCCTGACAGTGCTTTTTTCTTTACACCTTGCAGTCACACAATGCCTGTGACATTCTTAGCCCTGGGTTGGTGGAAGTGTAGATGGCAGGTCCAGGCTTCAGACCTGCCTGTCCAGTGAGATACAAACAAAGGTAGCATAGGCACAGCTCACAACACAGCTGGTAAGAACCAGTATCTGGCCAGGAGCCCTGTAGCCCACCTGGCAGGTTCCAGCCAAGGAATCAAAGACCCTGGCTTCTCATGTCAGTTCTACACACTTGCTACCACTTAATACAATTATAACAAAGGCCAATATGTATTCAACATTTACTATGTGCCAGGCACTATAATTAAGCACATTGCTTCACCTAATTGTCACAATAGCCTTCAGCTCAGAGAGATTAAGTGACTTGCTCAGTGTCACAGTCAGTTAGTGGCAGAGCTGGAAACCTGAACTCAGATATTTTTGATGTTAAAACCCATGGTTTTTAGCGGTAGGATAGTGCAATGGTTGGGAACCCTATCTTTGGAGTCACAGAGACTGGTTCTCCCACGAATTATTTGACAAACTGGGAGAAATTAATATGTCTGCACTTCAGTTTCCCTCACTGTAAAAAGGAGATTAATATTGTTGTTGTAGAAGGAATGGGTTATTGCAAGAGTGAGTTGTTATAAAGGTGAGGCCAGTCCTCTCTTGCTCGCTCTTGTAATCCTCTGCCTTCCACTGTGGAATAATGCAGCAAGAAGGCCCTCACCAGATGCCAGCACCTTGATCTTGGACTTCCCAGCTTCCAGAACTGTGAGAAATAAATTGCTTTTCTTTATAAAGCAATTTTATTTACCTATTTTATCAAAGAAATATCTGTACACTCATGTGTACAGATTATTCACAATAGCCAAAATTATTCCCAATAACTAAAATGTGGCAACAATCCAAGTGTTCATTGACAGATGAACAGATAAGCAAAACTGGATATATACATACATGGAATATTGTTCAACCTTAAAAAGGAAGGATCCTTTATAGAGGTTCATACACACACACACAAGGAAATTCCAGTATATGCTACAACATAGAAGAACCTTGAGGATATTATGCTAATTGAAATAAAGCAGTCACAAAAAGACAAATACTATATGATATAGCTGGAGTGGTCAACTTCACAAAGACAGAAAGCAAAATGGTGGGTGCCAGAGACTGGAGGGAGGGGGGAATAGGGCGTTATTGTTTAAAGTGCGTAGAATTTCAGTTTGGAAAGAGGAAGAATTCTGTGGATGGTGTAGTGACAGTAGCACAACAATGTGACTGTACTTAATGCTCCTGAACTGGACATTTTGAAATGGTTAAAATGGTAAATTACATGTATTTTTATATATAATATATATATAAGGTACATGATATTTATATTTAACAAAACAATTTGTTTTAAAAGAAAACAATACCTGTTTTAAAGAGCTATGAGAATGAAAAGAGACTGTGTTCATCTAGCACTTAGCACAGATCTGGCATGCAAGAAGTACTGAATGGGCGGAAGCAATACTTGTTATCCCTACCATTGGTCACCGCTGTGCGTTGCATCTGCCGTGGGTATGTGGGAGACTTCAGGCCTCACATCTATCACAGGTGGGGAGTTTCTGTTGTCTTGCCTGCTTCACTGGGTGGTTGTGATGAGCAAAGGAGGTCTTGTGTTGAGATGCTTCATAACCTTTTTTTTTTTTTAAAGTGAGGCTGGGCACAGTGGCTCACGTCGGTAATCGCAGCACTTTGGGAGGCAAAGATGAGAGGATTGCTTAAGTCCAAGAGTTTGAAACCAGTCTGGGCAACATAGTGAGACCCTGTCTTTACAAAAGAAATTAAAAAATAAGCCAGGCTTGGTGGTGCAATACACGTGGCCCCAGCTACACAGGAGGCTGAGGCAGGAGGATCGCTTGAGCCCAGAAAGTTGAAGTAGCAATGAGTTGTGTTCCTGCCACTGCACTCTGGGTGGGGTGACAGAATGAGACTCTCAAAAGAAAAAAAAAGTGGAGGAATGATTGATCAAGGTGTTATTAACACATTTCTTAGCTAGCTGAACTTCTTGTCTGTCTTCTCTTTGCACTTCGTATTTATCCTATCACTGCACTTGTCACCTTCCCCGGTGGTAACTTCCTCAGGCCTCTCTCCCCCTCACCTGTCATGAAATCCTCAGGCAGGATCTTCCTCATTTCCATATTCCAGCACCCAGGCCAGCATCTGCACCCACACAGAAGAAGCTTCATTTATTTTTGCTGATCTCAGCTGTTCTGGAGACTTGAAACAACTTTTTAGATGATTTTAACCAGAAGAACTTCTGAGGACTGAAGGCAAGAGGTTTGGTTCTGCTTTACAGATTGGCGTCCCCCCCAGGTGCAACTGACCCAGTAAATGTGTAATTGTCTATACCTGCGCAAATGCAGGCTCCTTGATTAACATGCATCGCCCTCTGGGGAAGAAAGGGAAGGGAAGGAAAGGGAAGGATAACTCAGGGAAAGTAGGAAAAACTCTCCTGGACCTCCCAGGAAAAGGTGACTTCAGGACATGGGCTGCCTGGTTGTTTTCAATGGTTTTCATTATTTAGTTTGAGCTCCTGGGGAGTAAATGTTTCTCAGGCATATTTTGGGGATCTAATTCTGGAGTCCTTGAGCTCGAAATAATGCAATAAAATACCTGCTCCGTGGAAGTGAAAATGGCTGCTTCGCAGGCTACCGAAGCTCTCTGTGCACACCCTTCACAGACAGGAGCTTCCAAGAGGTTAGGTAAGGTGTCCAAGGACTCAGAGGGAAAGTGTCAGAACCGGGACAACAGCATACAGTTCCTGGATAGGAGGGATCCCACAACCTGACTGACAGGCTGAGTGTTGCGATGAACTGAGGAACAAAGGCTGCTTCTCTGGAGCAGGCAGGCAGTTTGCATATTAAAGTACAAAGTGTACTGTAATCTCAGCTACTTGAGAGGCTGAAGCAGGAGAATTGCTTCAACCCGGGAGGTGGGGGTTGCAGTGAGCCGAGATTGCACTACTGCACTCCAGCCTGGGGGACAGACAGAGTGAGACTCCGTCTAAAAAATAAATAAATAAATAATAAAAAATACTAAGTGTATTCATCCTAGAGTTTCTGTACCTTTCATGATGGTTGAAGCAGCTAACTTTTGGACTGAACTTGCCCTCCAAACTCCAGACCAGAAATACCACCTATTTGTCATTCTTCCTTTTGACTCATACTAATTCCTCAGCATGTCCTACAGAAGGGAGTGTTGATAAGCCATGAAAAAGAGGAAGAACATATGATGAGGTAGCATGAGGGGCTTTCTTACTCACCAAATGTAAAGGAACAAGCTTACTCAGCCAGTCTTAATGATTAGCAAGGGACTTTCTCAAGGAAGAAAAGAAAATGGCCGCCACAGTGCTTTCCCCTCACAGTGCACAATTTGCCAATGAGTTCAAAGTGTCTCCGTAACTTCATGCCATTTCTTCTGGTAAGGTTTGGGGGCAGTCAGGGAGGGGTGGTAATTAGTGTTAGATGGGCATACCGAAATAAGGCATAGAGAGGATAACTGGTTTGTTCAGGGGCACACGGCAAACCCATGAAGTCAAACTCAAGTGGCGTCAGGGAGCGCTCAGGCTTCTTCCTGCCTCTAGAAGATTTCACAAGGCCAGGAAGCCAGCAGCCCTAGGGTCAAGTGAAGGGGAGGCAGCTCTGGGACCCACCCAAGAGCAGTTTCTGGTCAGGCATTCCTGGCAACTTGTGGTACCTCGGTCCACCCACGCCTCCTCCACGATGAAAGCTGATAGGCAAGGCCAACGGTCCTCTGGGGCCAGGCAGTGCCTCCGGCCTGGTTTAGGGGGCACTGAGAGGTCTCCCTTCTAAAAATATCTCCCTCCCTTTTCCTGCTGTGGAAGCTGAAGTGGTCACATGCAAGGCTTACTCCCGTGGTTTGAAGCATTATAGTCCCAGTAGATCTGATTTAAAAAATAAATGCCATTATGAGTGGACCAAACAAGTATTACCACACCGTAACATGGGACTTGGCATTTACTTATACCTCTCTCTAAATCCAAAGAAGGATTTGAGAGTATCACACATTTATTTCTCAGATGAGCCAGCTGAGGGAAACAGACCCTGCCCTGGCAAATCCATGGGGCAGCTAGAGAAAACCTTAACTCTACCTAGGACATTTCACTCTCCTGCCCAACACACGCCAAAGCTTCCCGTTGCACCTTGAAAGGAATCCAAACCCAGGATCTTCCCAGGCTCTCCCTGACCCACTCAGGCCCTTGCCTGACTTGCCTCTTGCATTCCATACTTGTTCTCCCGTCTTGTTCTTCACACTCCCACTTCACCTCGCAAGTGCAGCTGTCCTTCCTCCCACTGGGACTGTACGAGCTGCCCCTTCTGCTGGTAAACCTCTCCCCTGTGCTCCTGGTTCCTCTCTATCCCTTAAGCCTTGACTTGAAATGCCACCGTTTTTGTGGCCTCCCTGACCGTGCCACCTAAGGAAGGGGTTCTCTCTTGTCTTTGAAAATATGCTGCTATTTTCCTCCACAGCATTTCATATAATTTGAACGTGCGTGTATGTGGGCACAGTCTATCCTCATTATTTGCAGGTTCTGTATGTGTGAATTTGTCTAATCCCTAAAATGTATTTATAACTCCAAAATCATCACTTAAACCTCAAGGTCATTTGCAGACACATGCAGAGCTGCAAAAGATTTGAGTCACCCAATGCACCCATCCCCAGCTGAGATCCAACAAGGAGACACTTTGCCTTCCTGTTTCTGCTCTCATGCTCTCAAACAAGTGTCCTTTTCATGGTCAGTTTAGTGCCAAACATTTATAAAACAATTTGGTGAAAAACATTTAGGCTGGGCATGGTGGCTCATGCCTGTAATCCCAGCACTTTGGGAGGCCAAGGCAGGTGGATCACAAGATCAGAAGTTTGAGACCAGCCTGACCAACATGATGAAAACCCATCTCTACTAAAAATATAAAAATTAGCCTGGTGTGGTGGCATGCACCTGTAGTCCCAGCTACTGGGGAGGCTGAGGCAGGAGAATCATTTGAACCTGGGAGATGGAGGTCACAGTGTGCCGAGATCACACATTGCACTCCAGCCTGGGCAACAGAGAGAGAGAGTTAAAAAAAAAAGAAAGAAAGAAACAAAGAAGAGAAAAACATATAGAAAATTTTTTTTTTCAGCTCACTGCAGCCTCCGCCTGCCGGGTTCAAGAGATTCTCTCATCTCAGCCTCCCGAATAGTTGGGACCACAGGGATGTGCCACCACATCTGGCTGATTTTTGTGTTTTTAGTAGAGATGGGGTTTCACCATGTTGGCCAGGCTGGTCTCAAACTCCTGACCTCAAGGGATCCACCCACCTCAGCCTCCCAAAGTGCTGGGGGATTACAGGCATGAGCCACTGTGCCTGGCCCACATTTTCAAGATTTTTGTTGATGGTGTCACTGCTTGTTTCAAATGGCCCCAAGCATAGTGCTTAAGTGCTGCCTAGCATTCATGAGCATGAGAAGGCTGTGTTGTGCCTCACAGAGGAAATGTGAGTATTAGGTCATATTCACTCAAGCATCTTGTATTGCTATTGGTATTGAATTCAATGTCAATGGATCAACAATGTGTATTAAGTAAGGTGTCTTTAAACAAGAACACACATAAAACAAGGCTACGTATTGATTGATGGAACTAGAGGCTCACAGGAACCTCAACCTATATTTACTGTAGGATCAATGGTTCAGTATTCACTAATTCAGTGCTTGTAGTGACTTTATAAAACATAGCTACTGTGAGAAGTAGAAATACCACTTGACCCAGCCATCCCATTACTGGGTGTATACCCAAAGGATTATAAATCATGCTGCTATAAAGACGCATGCACACGTATATGCACTGTGGCACTATTCACAATAGCAAAGACTTGGAACCAACCCAAATGTCCATCAATGATAGACTGGATTAAGGAAATGGGGCACATATACACCATGGAATACTATGCAGCCATAAAAAATGATGAGTTCATGTCCTTTGTAGGGACATGGATGAAGCTGGAAACCATCATTCTCAGCAAACTATCACAAGGACAAAAAACCAAACACCGCATGTTCTCACTTATAGGTGGGAATTGAACAATGAGAACACTTGGACACAGGAAGGGGAACATCACACACTGGGGCCTGTCATGGGGTGGGGGGAAGGGGGAGGGATAGCATTAGGAGATATACCTAATGTAAATGACGAGTTAATGGGTGCAGCACACCAACATGGCACATGTATACATATGTAACAAACCTGCATGTTGTGCACATGTACCATAGAACTTAAAGTATAATTAAAAAAAAAACATAGCTACTGTGAAAAATGAGAACCATCTGTATTTTTATTTTTATTTATTTCTTTATTTTTTTGAGACAGAGTCTAGCTCTGTTGCCAGGCTGGAGTTCAGTGGTGCGATCTCGGCTCACTGCAACCTCCGCCTCCTGGGTTCAAGCGATTCTCCTGCGTTCAAGCGATTCTCCTGCCTCAGCCTCCTGGGTAGCTGGGATTATAGGCATGCACCACACAGCTAATTTTTGTATTTTTAGTAGAGACAGGGTTTTACCTTGTTGGCCAGTATGGTCTCGATCTCCTGACCTCGTGATCTGCCCACCTCGGCATTCCAAAGTGCTGGGATTACTGGTGTGAGCCACCGTGCCCAGCCCATCTATATTTTTGTAAGTTTCTTAGGGATGCTGTAGTAAATGCCACACACTTGGCTTACAGCAACAGAAATGTCTTCTTTTCTAGTTCTGGAAGCCAGAAGTCTGATATCGAGGTGTTAGCAGCTGGGCCAGGCTGCCTCCATAGAGAAAAATCCTTTCTTGCTTCATCCTAGTTTTTAGTGGTTTGCTGACAATCCTTGGCTTTCCTTGGCCTGTAGCTACATCTCTGCCTTGGCCATCACCTGTCATTCTCCCTGTGTGTGTCTGTCTTCATGTCCCTTCTCCCTTTCTTGTAAGGATACCAGCCATACTGGATTTAGGGCCCACCCTACTCTGGTACGGCCTCATCGTAACCAATTACATCTGTGAAGACCCTATTTCCAAATATGATCACATTCTGAAGTTCCTAGAAGGACATACATTTGGGAAGAGGACCGTATTCAATCCAGTAATACACATACATGAACACATAGTGTTTATTTAATTCATATATTTTTCCCCAACCAGAGAGCAAGCTCCATGAGATGAAAACAGTGGCTTTCTTAGCATCCTTTTATCCACAATACCAAGGCCAACCTGATACATGGTAGGAGCTCAGTAAATACTTGGTGAGGAAAAATGGATGAACCAAAGAGTGAATTTCAAAATTCATTAGAATGTTAGAGATTCTTGAACCAGCAGTGATCCAACTCTCCCAGAACCCTAGGCTTCTGATCTATCAGGTCAGACTGAGGAAGAGGCCAAGTGGGTGGGCTTGCTGCCCTCAGCTCCCTCCCTACTCCATTTCAACCGGTTACCCTGCTGTATCTGTTTTATATATCCTGCTTCTAGGCAATATTGTTTTTATAAAAGTGCCTTAAAGGGTTTTAAAAGTGTTGGCCGGGCAGGGTAGCTCACGCCTGTAATCTCAGCACTTTGGGAGGCCAAGGCAGGCAGATCACCTGAAGTCAGGAGTTCAAGACCAGCCTGGCCAACGCGGTGAAACCCCGTCTCTACCAAAAATACAAAAAATTAGCCAGTGTGGTGGCAGGTGCCTGTATTCCTAGCTACTGAGGCAGGAGAATCCCTTGAGCCTGGGAGGCAAAATTTGTAGTGAGCTGAGATTAGGCCACTGCACTCCAGCCTGAGCGACAGAAAGACACTCTATCTACAAAAAAAAAAAAAAAAAAAAAAAAAAAAAAAGAAAGAAAAAGAAAAAAGTGAGGAAACCCCTGAGCCTAGCTGCCTATTTTATAGATGAGGAAACTAAGATCCAAAGACCTGAAGATGCCTGCCCCTCGTCACCAGTGTGTCACCAGTCTGTCATGGTGGAAGCAGGGCTAAGACTCAGGTCTTCTGAGCCTTATTCCAGAAGTTTTGCCTTTATGCTTGCTCTCCTGCCGAGATATACAATGGGAGTAATTTGGTGTTTGCCCTCCCCTGGGACCCTGTTTTTCTATCTGGAGCAACTTCTGAGAGAAGAGAATGGAGTCCTTGGCATGTGCCCCTTCCCCATAGCTCTGAAAGACGCTTTGTGCCAAGTTCCTTGGACATTCCACAGGCTAGTTCTAGGCAAATCCATCTGCCAGCAGGTCACAATCCTAGCCTTCAACTCTGAGCTGAGATATTTTGTCCTTTCTGCTGTTAAATGAACCCTTTGCTTTCTTGGAAGCTAAAGCAAAGTGAGGGAGGCCAGGCTCAGAGGACCTGGGGCAAAGCGCTTGGGCTGGGCTGGAGTGAGCTGGGGTGGACTGCCAGGGGAGATGGGTCTGTTTTGCAGACCTGGCTCGAGAAAAAAAGAAAAAACTGTGCTGATTATCTCCCAGCCCCAGCTGCAGAAATGCCTTAGCTCGGCAGCAGCAGATTATAAATAGCCCAGAGTCCACTCCCAGCCGCCTGAAAAGAAGGATATTTTTTTCATGTTAGAAGAACGGGGCTTTAGAGCTATCCTGGGCCCCCTTCTCAACCCCACCCCCAAAGAGCTGTGATTTATGTCTTAGCACCATTACTGGGACCAAGGATCACATAGCCCCGATAAACAATGATTAATTCATTGCCAAGTTCCATGAAAAAGAAGGCATTCCTTTGGAAGTCATCTCTTTCACTTTGGCACAGACATGCTGACCCATGAGACCAGAGGGGCAGTTGCACTGCAAGTTCATCACCCTGTGTTTCATCAGGCCCTCTCTGCCCTTGCTCATTAAGGGGCTTGGGAATGGCAGGTGGCTCACTGACCTGGAGGGCAGGTGGGGGCAGACTACTGGAGAAGAACTGGTCTGAACTTGACTATTTGCTGAGATGCTCTGGAATGAAAAAACCAGGGACGCGGGACTGGTTCATTCACATTTGACTTACTCTCTCTGGAGGGAAATCAGCCTTTATCTTGAGGAAATCAGGAATTGGATCTCAATGCAAATGTCCTAGAGATTTTTGGACCAGCTGGCTCACTCACTGGGACCTTAAGTTTGAATGGCAAGTCCTAATGTACAAAGCACTTGTCATGTCCTGCTTTCCTCTGACCTCTACAACAACTGTTTTGCTTGTTTTGTTTAGTTTTCTGAACTCAAAGATAATCCTTGCTTATTGTGGAAAAGGTTAGGCATTTCAGAAAAAACAAAAAGAAGAAAAAGAAGCCCACCCAAATCCCAACACACTGAAACAGTAATATTTTCATGAATATCCTTCCAGACCTCTCTTATTGGATATATGAATGGATATGAATTATGAATTTACCTACATGGGACTGTGTTATTGTATTGGTTAGGCTCTTGGCAGAAAGAGATGGAATACTCAACTGGGTAACTGAGGAGAGTTTAATAAAGGAACTATTTACATAGATGTGGGCAGAGGTTAGGAAAACCAGCAAGGAATAGTGTAGTACATCAGGGCTAGCAATGGGGGAGAACCATTAACACCCTTAGGGCTGAAAGGCAATTAGAAGGAGTGGTTACTGCAAATCAGAGCCTGTCAGAAAGTGTAGCCTTCAGTGCAGTCACAACCAGCCCTAGAAAACCAGCAGAGATGGAGTCAGAGGAATAAACACTCTCGCCTCACTCTTCTCCCAACCTCTAACAAGCTCATGTCTCCCATTGGCCAACCCAACCAGAGTTAGAGGGTATGGAAGCCCATTGGCAACAGTACACAGAGTGGATAGGAGAGGCAAGTAGAAAATACCCATGACATCCACTGTAATGCTGCTTTTATCATTCACTGGAAAGTCCAGGAGAAGTTTCTAACTCAGTGAATATGGATTCATATCATACTTTTTTGTGGACCTTACATGAGTGTGCCATCGTTTTTTGTTTTTGCTTTTGTTTTTCTTTTTGAGACGGAGTCTCGCTTTGTCACCCAGGCTGGAGTGCAATGGCTTGATCTCGGCTCACTGCAACCTCCACCTCCTAGGCTCAAGACAGTCTCCTGCCTCAGCCTCCCAAGTACCTGGGATTACAGGTGCCCACCACCACGCCCAGCTAATGTGTGTGTGTGTGTGTGTGTGTGTGTGTGTGTGTGTATTTAGTAGAGATGAGGTTTCACCATGTTGTCCAGGCTGGTTTCGAACTCCTGACCTCAAGTGATCTGCCCACCTCTGCCTCCCAAAGTGCTGGGATCACAGGCTTGAGCCCCAGTGCCCAGTTGAATGTGCCATAGTTTTTTAACTGATCCGTTATTGATGGATCTCCAGCAAGTTTCTAATTTCTCAAGGGCACAGACGATATTGCAATGAGCAGATCTGTAAGTACAAAGCCTTTGTATGCTTAGGATACTTACTTTTGTTTCCTCCTAGATTATTTTTTTAGAAACCAAGGCTCAGAACTGAAGAGATTCACCCTAGTCACATTGTTGAAAAAAACTTCTCATTTTTTCAACAATGAACATGGAGTACTTCTGTAGTAGAAAAAGGAATAATAAATTTTTAGCTTTAAAATGCACCCCATGAATATATATACCCTACTGTGTACCCACAAAAATTAAAAATTAACAAAAAAGGATGCTTCTTCCCTTGAAAGTCCTATCACCCACATGGCTCTGAAAGGGAGGGGACTGGGTAGTCACTCCTCCCCAAGGGCAGCCTCCTCTTTCATTCATTCATTCAGAGCAGGGCCTCGGTGGGTCATGGGGGATATGGGGTGTGCTGAGTCAGGGGGCAGGGACTGAGGAGAGTCAGGCTGGGGCTTACAGCACTGTCCCAGACAGGGAAGACGCCACAGTGAACTTCAGGAGGGGAAGAGAGGAAGTGCGCTGGGCAAAGAGGAAACGATGTCACAGGACACACTTTTGCTGTCTTTGCTGCTGTCGCCTAAGAGGTGGACACAGCTCCCGAGGACTTACGGTGAAAAAAGTGGGGAGGAAATGGCCTTGAAGGTCAGGGGGAGGGAAGTGAGTGTGAGGGGCAGAGAGTGGCAGCCTCTGCCTCTCCCATGCACTTCCTGTTTGCACCTGAGCTTGCTCGCCTGAAAAATGGAGGGGATGCTCCCTCCTGTGCAGGCCTGGCACTTCACAGGTGCTCAACAAATGCATGTTTCTTCCTTTTTTGCCCAAAAGCTAGAAGCCAAGCCAGTCTCCTCACCTGAAAAATGGGAAGAGCAAAATATCCTACCCTAGAGGGTTGCTGTGAGAGCCGAAAGCGTCTATCCACGTGAAGCACATGGGACAGAGCCTGGCACAAAGAAAATGCTTCCCAGTAAGTATTTGCGTTGTTATTATTCATCATGGCCCACCTGGCACGGAGCATGGGCGCAGTGGACGTTTGGCAGAAGAGTTAATGATGTGTATTCATTACCAAAATAGGATAAAATGTGATTCCAAAATGGCCCAAAATCAACAGCACACAAAGGACAAGACATGCCATGTAGCATGCTGCAAAAGAAAGGTTTCTGTGACAAGCAGCCTAACGAGGAGGTGCAGGTGGGCCTGAGCCCAATACCCAGGAGGGGTTAATGCACAGGACATAAAGCAGAAACAGAGAAGGGGGCTATGCAGTCCCAAATCCAGCACTTCTTCTTCTTCTTTTTTTTTTTTTTTTTTTTTTTGAGACAAAGTCTCACTCTTTCGCCCTGGCTGGAGTGCAATGGCATGATCTTGGCTCACTGTAACCTCCACCTCCCAGGTTCAAGCAATTCTCCTGCCTCAGTCTCTCGAATAGCTGGGATTACGGGCGTGAGCCACCACACCTGGCTAATTTTTGTATTTTTAGTAGAGACAGGGTTTCACCATGTTGGCCAGGCCGGTCTCGAACTCGTGATCTCAGGTGATCTGCCCGCCTCGACCTCCCAAAGTGTTGGGATTACAGTCATGAGCCACCATTCCCAGCCCCAGATCCAGTGCTTCTTCGCTGTGTGACTTTGAACAAGACCCTTACCCTGTCTGGCCTTCAGGTCACATTTTTGAAATGGGGATAAATAGCCCAGTTCCCATAGTTACTGTGAGGGTGCAGAGGGGGAAGGTGAGGCATGCCCCAGGTGCCCAGGGAGAGGCAGGCTGGCTGCTAGGGTTGCAGTATTCTTACTGCACTAGGCAGCACCATCCTGGGGCTCTCGTCTGCAGTCCTGCTGCAGGATAGCTCTTTACCTGGTAAGGTTCCTTTGAGCTTCATGATCCAGAATTTCCTGGTCTGGGGAGCTCTGTCGGGCTCAAGAGTGGAGAGCTGTCCTGTGCCAGCAGAGCCCAGCTCGGCTGAGTTCCAGGGCTCTGCTGAGAGCCCATCTGCTGGGTCTGCCAAGGCCAGAGCGATGAGATGGAAGTCAGCGAGGGGGTCTCGGGGTCTGAGCTGTGTGTGCCAGGCTGGGCACTGACTTGCTGTTTCCCATGATGTCCCCACAGGCTCCATCAGCCCACCGCCCCCTCTGGCCTTCCCTCAAGAGCAGCCACTGGGCCTTGGTTGCCATGGAGACAGTTTCCCTCAGAGGCTTTGCCTCCCATCTTCTTTTCTTTTCTTTTCTTTTTTCTTTTTTTTTAATTTGAGACAAGATCTCGCTTTGTCACCCGGCCTGGAGTGCAGTAGTGCAATCACGACTCACTGCAGCCTTGACCACCCAGGCTCAAGCAGTCCTCCCACCTCAGCCTCTCAAGTAGCTGGGACTACAGGCATGCACCACCATGCCCAGCACAGGTGGAAGCCGGGATCTTAGAAGATTGTTGTAGTAATCCTGGTGAGATGAGGTGGTGGCTTGGACCAAGATGCTCATGGCCAGTGATGACAAATGGGTGGACTCAAGACCTACTTTGAATGTACAGTCAACATGCTGCTCACCAGGAAGTGGAGTGCAAGAAAATGTTGTCAAGAATGACTCCTAGGCCAGCCACGGTGGCTCGTGACTATAATCAGCACTTTGGGAGGCCGAGGCAGGCGGATCACCTGAGGTCAGGAGTTCAAGACCAGCCTGGCCAAAATGGTGAAACCCTGTCTCTACTAAAAATACGAAAGTTTGCTGGGCATGGTTGCAGGCAACTGTAATCCCAGCTACTTGGGAGGGTGAGGCAGGAGAACTGCTTGAACCCAGGGGGCAGAGGTTGCAGTGAGCTGAGATTGTGCCACTGCAGCCTGGGTGACAGAGTGAGACTCCTTTTTTTGTTTTGTTTTGTTTTGTTTGTTTTGTTTTGTTTTGACAGAGTCTTGCTCTGTCGCCAGGCTGGAGTGCAGTGGCACAATCTCGGTTCACTGCAACCTCCACCCCCTGGGTTCAAGTTGTTCTCCTGCCTCAGCCTCCTGAGTAGCTGGGATTACAGGCACCTGTTACCATACCCGGCTAATTTTTGTATTTTTAGTAGAGACGGGTTTCACCATGTTGGCCAGGATGGTCTCGACCTCTTGACCTCGTGATCCACCCGCCTTGGCCTCCCAAAGTGCTGGGATTATGAGACTCCTTTTAAAAAAAAAAAAAAAGAAAAGAAAGGAAAGGAAAGAAAGAAAAAGAAAGAAAGAAAGAAGGAAGGAAGGAAGGAAGGAAGGAAGGAAGGAAGGAAGGAAGGAAGGAAAGGAAGGAAGGAAGGAAGGAAGGAAGGAAGGAAGGAAGGAAGGAAGGAAGGAAGGAAGGAAAGGAAGAAAGAAAAGAAAGGAAAGAAAGAAAGAAAGAAAGAAAGAAAGAAAGAAAGAAAGAAAGAAAGAAAGAAAGAAAGAAAGAAAGAAAGAAAAAAGAATGACTCCTAGACTTTTGGTCCCAGCCAGATGGTGGTGCTTTTTCCTGAGATGAGGAAGAGAAGGAAGAAGAAAATATTTGGAAACGATACAGAGTTCATCTTTGGACATGTTAAATTTGAGGTGTTAAATGAGAAAATGCACATTTTGAGGTGTCTCCTAAAGAAAATGTCAAGTAGATGTTTTGATAGTCTTTGAATCTGGAGCTAGGGGAGAGATTGAAACTGAAGATAAGGAGCTAAGAATATGTATAGGTCCAATGGCCTGAGTGCGATTCCTACACGGTGAATATAGAAGGCTTGAGGACTGAGCTCTAAGGCCCTCTGGCATTTATAAATTACAATGAGAAGGAAGACCAGTAAAGAAGTCTAAAACCAGTTCAGCAGGAGGAAAGCAATGAAAGAATGGCATTCCAGAAACAAAGGAAAGAAAGTTTTTATAGAATCAGTGGAGTAGGCAGAGTAATGACCCCTGAAAGATGTCAGGTCCTAATTCCCTGACCCTGTGAATATGTGACCTTAGATGGCAAAGAGGCATTGCAGATGTGATTAAGGTTAGGGACCTTGGAATGGGGAGACTGTCCTGCATTATTTGGATAGGACTTAAAAGCAGAGAATATTGCCTGGTTAAGGTCAGCGAGAGAGATGACTACTGAAGAATGGACAGAGATATTTGGTGTTTCTGGCTTTGAAGATGGAAGAAGAGAGCTACAAACCAAGAAATATGAGCAGCCTCTAGAAGTCTCTAGAATCTGGAAAAGGCAAGGAAACAGATTCTTCTCTAGAGCCTCCAGAGAGGAATGCAGCCCTGCCTGCATTTTAGCCTAGTGTGACCCATCTCTGACTTCACCCACAGAACTGTAAAATGATAAATGTGTGTGGGTTTTGTTGTTGTTGTTGTTGTTTTTGAGATGGAGCTTCGCTCTTGTTGCCCAGGCTGGAGTGCAATGGCATGATCTCGGCTCACTGCAACACCCACCTCCCGGGTTCAAGCGATTCTCCTGCCTCAGCCTCCTGAGTAGCTGGGATTACAGGCGTGTGCCACCAAGCCCGGCTAATTTTGTATTTTTAGTAGAGACAGGGTTTCTCCATGTTGATCAGGCTGGTCTCAAACTCCTGACCTCAGGTGATCCACCTGCCTCGGCCTCCCAAATTGCTGGGATTACCTCGGCCTCCCAAGGTGCTAGGTGTGAGCCACTGTACCTGGCCAAATGTGTGTTGTTTTAAGCCATTAACTTTGTGGCAATCTGCTGCTGCAGGAATGGAAAACCAATACAACGAGGCAATGATGAGCTGGTCAAATCACCATCCAATCCCAGCAAAAGGAGAATGAAAATTCTCCAGTGGTTTGGGCAGGATGGAGATCCTTGGAGACCTTCATGGTATTAAATAGTAGTTCAATGAGGATGAAAGCAGATTGGAGTAGACTGAGGAGAACCTGAGAGGGTGGGGAGTAAAGTCTGGGAATAGGTCCATCCTTAGAGGAAATTTGTTAGGAAAGAAAGCCAAGAAGTGTGTATGTGGAGGGGAGGAGCAGAGGTGGGTGTGGGCTCAGGGGAGTCTGCTCTTATTTCTTAAGAGAAGAGACAGTGCTGCATGCTTGTATGCTGGTAGGGATGACCCAGGAGAGAGGCACAAATGTGATGAGCAAGACAGTCTGAGATCTCTCTGGAAGTCCTCTACCCCACCCGTGAGTGCTCTGCAGCCAGGAACACAGGTAGAAGATAGGCAGAAGACCAATGCCTCAGCCCAGCCTCCCTGGAAGATGAGGATCTGTCCCAAACAGTGGGGACACAGGAATCCCAAGTGGAGCCACTCCCTTCTCCAGGTTTGATTCCGTAGCCCCTTGACCCATCCTTTCCATAACCTGTATTCCAGGGGCTGTGAGGTCTCTTGGGCTTCCATTTGCGTGCTTCCCTGAGCAGCAAGGCTGCATCGATCTTGTTCTTTGTGTTTCCCAGCCTTGTTGAGATACAACACACCAAGGGCATTTGATAAATGCTTTGTTAAATAATGATAACGCCACCTCTGTTGAGCACTCACTCTGTGCCAGGGGCTTTACTAACCACAGGTGTGATTTCACATAATCCTGACAAGCAGCCAATCATCTCCATTTTATAGGCAAACAAGTTGAAGCCCAGGGTTACATGGTGGGTAGATGGCAGGGTCAGGACTTGAACCCAGGCAGTCTCGCTCAAGAGGCCCCTCCCATAACCAGCACACCACTTGGCCCATGGCAGGTAACAACTGAAGGTTCTAAGGGAGCCCAGTGGAGGGGAGCTGAGGCCTTGGAGATGACACCCGAGCTTGGGTTTGAAGGATTAGGAAGACTTAGCCAGTGAAAAAGGTGGGAAGAGACCCCCTAAGTGAAGAGGAAAGCATAAGCAAATGTACCAAGGTGGGAGGTTCATGCAGAGTGACAGGAAGCTCCCGAAGCTGCTTCCATGTTGCTGTGTAATCGGAATGTGGAAACGAGAGGGGATGCAGGGTGCAAAGACCAGCAAAGGAAATCTGCTTTATTTTGTAGGCAATGGAAAGCCCTGATGGAGCCCGGTGTAAACTATGCAGGGTGCCAGAGCCCCCACTGACAGCGCTGGTGTCCACATGTGGTCACAGGGATACAGCGGCAGCATCCCAAAGCCCTAGCCTGGTCCATCACCCTCAAAACTGCCTCTGGTTTGTCCAAGTCTACCAGGATTCAAGTTCATTTCAGAAAAGCAGTGGCCAGAAACCAAGGCCTGGAGGGGGCTGGGGAGGTGTCAGGGAAGGGATCAGAGGCCAAGCTCTGTGTTTCCTCAGACAAAGAGAGAAAGCAGGCTGAGAGATGGCGGCAGCATGTGACACCTGGGCCACAGGCCTGGGCAGCAGCCGTGGCAGCCAAGGGGATAATGGCTCTCTTTGTCCTGCGTGTAAATTCTCCGGAAAAGAAAGGATTCCAGGGCCTGCTTCTCCGGCTTGCACAATGCTGGCCGCCTGGGGCCCCACTGCGAGGGCCTGCCATGGCATTCGGGGAGCAGTGAGGCCCCTTCTCTGTCTCGTTCCTTCCAGGCGTGCAGAAGCGGAAAGTCAGGCTGCCGTGCCAGACATTCTGCAGGGGGTTGGGAGGCTGGGCTGAGGCACAGCCTGTGCCAGGAGCTTTGTTTCACAGCCTCGAGGAAACCAAAGCATCTTGAAGCTCTGAATTAGAAAGAGTCTTAGAGAGCATCCATGCCAGCTCTTCCTAATACTTGTCCCACCCCCTACCTTCTCTGCCTACCACTCCCCACTCCCCTGCCTTCAGCAGCCAAGAATGGTTACAAACACAGGCTTTGGAGTCAGAGAGGGCTGAGTTCAAATGCTGACAATGCCACTCACAAGCTATTTCATCTCTATGGGCTTCAGTTTCTCCACCTGCAAAATGGACATAATAGCACCTACTCATAAGATTGTCAATAGGAATAAGTGAGAAAATGCATGTACCATGCTTAATGTGGACACAGCCTCCAGAAGCGCTCAATAAGGGTAGACGGTCCAGTAGGTCACCCAGCCTGTACTTGATTTCCTCCAAGGGCAGGCAATCACTGCTTGCATTCCATTTTCAGACCAAGTTCAAATCTGTCTCTTATACCCTCATGGGTGCTGAGGGTAAAGGGGAGAGGGCCTACATACATTAAACATTTCCTACATGTTACTGTTGCCATAAATTACTCACAGAACTTAAGGGCCTGTCTTAGTCTATTTGTGTTGCTATAAAGGAATACCCGAGGCTGGGTAATTTATAAAGACAAGAGGTTTATTTGGCTCATGGTTCTGCAGGCTGTACAAGAAGCATGGAGCCAGCGTCTGGTCTGGTGAGGGCCTCAGGAAGCTTCCATTCATGGAAAGGGGAAGGAGAGCTAGTGTGCAGAGATCACATGCTAAGAGAGGAATGGGGAGGGGGTGGTGCAGAGGTGCCAGGATTTTTAGCAGCCAGCTCTCATGAAAACTAATAGAGTGAGAGCTCATTTATTACAATGCAAGAATGGCACCAAGCAATTCATGAGGGATCAGCCACCATGACACAAACACCTCCCATGAGGCCCCACCTCCAGTATTGGGGATCACATTTCAACATGAGGGTTGGAGGGGTCAAATATCCAAACCATAGCAGGGCCTGTCCAGGGCCACACAGAGGAAGTGACCAGGATTTGAGCCTGAGTCTTTCCAGCCTTCTGCACCATGATGCCGTAAGGGAAAACTTTATATATGTGAAAACAGCTCCACGGCCCCCTCAGTGTCTTCTCTTCCCCACAGAAAACATCTCCTAGGCCTCAGGGTTTCGTTTTGTGTTCTGCCACCATCCTGGCCCCTATCCTCTTGACAGGCTCTAATTTGTTACTGTCTCTCTTAAATAAATAGCTTGCAGACTTATTCCAGCTGTCTTCTGACCAGTGCAGAATAGGAATGCACTCTCACCTCCTTTATTCTAGGGGCTCTGTTTTTGCTAATAACACCTAAGATGATGTGGCCCTTGGACCATTCACATTATGCTGATGGCTCTCTCATACTTAATGATCTTCAATCTGCAAGAATAACAAGAGCCTTTGTGCTCTGAACAGCTCGTAGCAGTCATTGCAGATCTTCATTTCAGGTAATAGAACCTTCTTCAACTAGTTTAAGCAGTCAAGCCTTTTATATATTTGGTGGCTCACAGAATCTCCAGCAGGGCTGAAGAGTCAGGCGTGGAAGAGACACACCCAGGAACAACTCACCAACCACTCCTGACCCGGCTTCTCCACTGGAGACACCATTGCCATTAGACAAGAATGAACCTGCACACCTTGCTGATGCTGGTGTAGCACTGTCGCTAGAACCTCTGCCTCTGCTCCTCTTGGTCTCCCACATTCAGTACCTCCTTCTTCACCTTGGTCTCTTCTAAGCCTCCGTGGGTGCATTTCAGGGATTAAATGAGTTAATAGATGTATAGTCAGCCTCCAACATGGTTCCAGTAATTCTCACCTCCTGGTATTGTGTCTTTGTATAGGCCCCTCCCACAATGGATAGGGCTGACCTGTGTAACCAACAGGATGTTGCAGAAATGACATAGTGTGACTTCAACACTAAGTCACATAAGACATCGCAACTTCTGCCTTGCTCTTTTGGAGCACTTGTTGTAGGGAAAACCAGCTGCCATGTCATAAGGACACTTAAGCAATGCTCTGGAGAGATCTACATGGCAAAGAACTGAGGCCTCCTGCCAACCCCCAGCACAAATGAGCCAGGCATGCAAGACATCATCTTGGAAAGGGATCCTGCAGCCTCACTTGAGCCTTCAGATGATGCAGCTCCAGCTGACATCTTGGCTGCAACCTCATGAGGGACCCTGGGCCAGCACCACCCAGCCAAGCTGCTCCAGACACCTGATCCACAAAAACTTTGTGAGATAATAAAATAAAATACATTTTAACATTTTTTGCTTACATTTTGGGAGAATTTGTTATGGAGCAATAGATAACAAATATATAACACATGTAAAGACTTAGAACACTGCCTAGCTCAGGGTCAGCAGTCCTTAAATGCTGTCATTATTTATTTTATTTTATTTTATTTTATTTTATATATTTTATTTTATTTTTGAGACAGAGTCTCGCTCTGTCACCCAGGCTGGAGTGCAGTGGCATGATCTTGGCTCGCTGCAGCTTCTGCCTCCCAGGTTCAAGCAATTCTCCTGCCTCAGCCTCCCGAGTAGCTGGGACTACAGGCGTGTGCTGCCACGCCCAGCTAAGTTTCTGTATTTTTAGTAGAGACAGGGTTTCACCATGTTGACCAGGATGGTCTTGATCTCCTGACCTCGTGATCTGCCCGCCTTGGCCTCCCATAAATGCTGTCATTATTTTTATCTTCACTGGCCTCTGTGTCAAACATCAGAAGCTGTCACCTCTGCAACCTGGGGAGTCTGGAAAATGAAAAATAGTGATGATTGCCCTTAATCCTCCCAGCAACTCTATGACTGGGCACACTAGTATCTTTTTACAAATCCTGAGAGGTTGAGTCACTTGCCTTGGGTTCCAGAGAGAAAGGTCCAGGATTTGAGCCCCAGCCTGACTCCAACCCACCATCCAATTCTGTCCCATGTACAACAGGCACCAAGAACAGGCTGGAATTTTCTGTGGGAAGCTCCAAGCTTTGTCAATTGTCACTTCAAGTCTCCATGAGGATGGTATGGAGAAGCTGGAGGATGAGAAGAAGCAGAAAGGGAGAGAAGCCCAGAATTGTAATGAATCCCAGGAACAGGGCTTTTGACATCAGCACTCAGCCCTTTGGGCAGAGGTGTCCTGAGAATCCAAGGCAATTTGGCTAATGGGAAGCATTGGAAGCTGACAACTCCTTATCAAAGATTTTTCTGGATTAAGGTTGCAGGCTGTCTGGGAAACTACCAGTTTTTCTCCAAGGAAGGCCCCAGGGCTCCCTCCCAGGCTGAGCTGTTTCCTCCATGCAGAAACTCAGCTTGTTTCTTTACCACTTTAAAGCTGCCACCACTGGCTCTCATCTTGGGGAGCTGCCCTGTCCCCATCCCAGAGCTACCTGTGGAGTGGAATCTAGCCTCCCCTCCCCACTTCTTTTCTGTCTCCCAGAAAAGAAAGAGGCCTGTACCTAAGCCTCTTTCATTGTAGGGTTTTTCCTGGTGATTGTTACAGGGTGGGGAAGGAAAATATAATAGACAATGGAAAGAGCTTTAAGAACTGATAGCCTGATAGAGTGGAGTAATGGGGAGAATAGGGGTTTGAAGATAGACCCACCTAGACTCAAACTGTGATAAAATTATATCACTGATATGGCTGAGGTCAAATGACACAACTTCCCGGAGCCTCAGTTTAGTCATCCGAATAATAAAGATAATCCTTTACAGAGGGTGATTCAGCAAAAGCTCTCAAAATCTAAAATGCACACACTTGGCCAGGCACGGTGGCTCACTCCTCTAATCCTAGCACTTTGGGAGGCCAAAGCAGGCAGATCACCTGGCATCGGGAGTTTGAGACCAGCCTGGCCAACATGGTGAAACCCCATCTCTACTAAAAATACAAAAAAATCAGCTGGGCGTGGTGGTGCTAATCTGTAGTCCCAGCTACTTGGGAGGCCGAGGCAGGAGAATCACTTGAACCTGGGAAGCGGAGGTTGCAGTGAGTCACGCCACTGCACTCCAGCCTGGGCAACAGAGCGAGACTCTGTCTCAAAAATAAATAAATAAATAAAATGCACGCACTCTTCCACCACCAAGAAACTGCCCTACAGAAACAACTCTTGCCTATGATCAAAATTCAGTGCACAAAGAGTTCCATGACAACAAAAATTTGTCAATTTTCACCATCGGGAAATTGGGAAATGAATTATGGAGCATCCGTAAGATGAAATTGTTTTGCAGTTGTCAAAAAAATGAAGTAGGAAAAGGGAATATGTCAACAGCCCTTTCTTCTCCTCCAGTGGTTTCATGTACAGTCCTGCCTTACCCCGGTTGTCTTCCTTGTTGCCTGTGACCATGTCTTCTCACTGTATTTGGCCCCACACCTAGAGGAGCACCTTGAAACCAGTGGAGGGTCCACAGGAGCTGGTGAGTAGTGGAATGCCACAGAGCTGGGTTCCCTGCTACGTAACAGCTGATCTTCTGACCCTCCTGAAACCACCTCCCTTTACAGACAGGCAGTGGCAGCATGGCAGTGGAACCCAGGCCTCCCACTTCTTAGCCCAGGGCTCTTGCGCTTCCCCAAGCCCTCAAGCGTTTCCCATTAGCATCCAAACTCAGGGTCTCCTCATCACTGTCCTTGGCTGTTGCCACAGCCTTAGCTAAGGTGTCTTTCTGCCAGTCTGTCCTCTACATTGTTGCCAGAATATCTCTTAAAGCACAGCTCTGCCTTAGTCTAGTTTCTGGGTGGTGACAAAGGAAGTCCCACCCCACTGGCCAATCTCACATTATCTTCCATTAACCCCTTTTAAGAAGAGCCTTTGACTGGGCACGGTGGCTCATGCCTGTAATCCCAGCACTTTGGGAGGCCGAGGTGTTCCGATCATCTGAGGTCAGGAGTTCAAGAATAGCCTGGCCAACATGGTGAAACCTCATCTCTACTAAAAATACAAAAATTAGCTGGGCGTGGTGGCACGAGCCTGTTAATTCCAGCTTCTTGGGAGGCTAAGGCATGAGAATCGCTTGAACCTGGGAGGCGGAGGTTGCAGTAAGCCGAGCTCACCCCACTGCACTCCAGCCTGGGTGACAGAGCGAGACTCCTTCTCCAAAAAAAAAAAAAGAGAAGAGCCTTTGCTCCAGCCACCCCCATGCCTGGCAAACCCATGTCACAGAGCTGGGCTCCCTGCTACATAACAGCTCTCACCTTTGCCTTTGTTTATACTTTTTTCTCCTCCACCTGCGAAGGGGATTCTTCCCTGGATCTGCTTTTCTGCTGGGACCCTTTTCCATCTTTTTATACCCAAATCCTACTGATCCTCTCACAGGTGACCTCCAGGAAGCCTTCCTTAGTCACAGTCTTTCCCTCCATTCCTCCTACCCAGTGGCTCGGAATTCCGCCATTTATGGGACTGATCTCTGCCTTTAGGCAGGGAGAGTAATCACCACAGAGGGTTTCCCTTCCAGTCTCCCCCGACCCTGGGACCTGGCATTTCCCAGGCAGCAGATGCTCAATAATGACTTGAAAAATGATTAATGAGTAAACCAGAGCAATGGATTACTACAGGAATAATTTCCAAGTGACCGCAAGAGTAAATGAATGAATTGGCCTGAATTCGTGAAGGAATGATTAAAGCTGACCTTGGAGTCTCAGGGTCACTGGTTCCTTTTTCCCCAGATAATTGAAAGCCAACCATGCACGGGTCCCTGTTGTGGTAAAGAAAGTCCAGATACACACTAAGTTTGCAACTTTCTGGAGATTCCATGAGGACATCCCAGTCGAGAAACAACATAAACAGTAGCCACAGAAGAGACATATAGATGGCCAAACAAACATAAACATACAGTCACTTTCACTTATAATTTTTAAAAACATAATTTACAATGAGACATGGTTTTGTTCTTCTGTTACATGTGTAATGCTTAATTGGCAGAGGAGGGGAAACAGGTAGTCCCCAGTACTATTGGTGGGAACATTACCATATCTAACATTTGTGGAAGTCAACCTGGAAATGAACTTTCAAATTTTTAACTTGCAAATAGGTGTGCCCTTTGACCTAGCAATTTCATTTTAACAATGAATCTTAAAGATATAATTGGGCAAGAAGACAAAGATGTATGTACAAGAATTTTGGCTGAGTGTGGTGGCTCATATCTGTAATCCCCACATTTTGGGAAGCTGAGGAGGGTAGAGTCTTGAAGTCAGGAGTTTGAGACCAGCCTGGGCAACATAGTGAGACCCCCCCCCACCCATCTCTACAAAAACTAAAAAATCAACCAGGCATGACGATGGCACATGCCTGTAATTCCAGATGCTTGGGAGGCTGGGGTGAGAGGATCCCTTGAGCCTGGGAGGTTGAGGTTGCAGTGAGCTATGATTGCACCATTGCACTCCAGCCTGGGTGACAGAGTGAGACCGTGTCTCTAAAAAAAAAAAAAAAACCTTGTTTCTAAGAACAAAAAGTAGGAAATAGTATGTCTATCATTAACACTCTAAACAATTTATGCTTTATCCGCACAATGAAACAATCAAATCCTGTACGACCATTCAAAAGAATGAGGGAGGGCTTTCTGCACAGACAGGACATGATACTCCATATCATTAAGTGACAAAAGCAGATGACAAATCATATGATCTTTTTGATATATGATTAATAATTTTTATATGTGAATGGAAGCAGTATGGAATTCTATGCACCAACATGGTTAAGATTGTGAAAGGAAGAAACACTTTTGTGTTTTTAAATAAATAATCAGTGATTACTTTTATAATCAGGGAAATACATGATAGAGACAGCAGAGGGTCTTGGTTTGGGTCTCAGCAGCCTTGTTTCTGTTTTCCCTGCTCCTGGCCTCTGCTCAGTCACCGCCCAAGTCCTCACTCCCTGGGAAAGGCTGCCCCAGCCCACTTTTTTTTCTTTTCTTTTCCTTTCTTTTCTTTTATTTTTTTGAGACAGAGTTTCACTCTTGTTGCCCAGGCTGGAGTGCAAAGGCGCGATCTCAGCTCACCGCAACCTCCGCCTCCTGGGTTCAAGTGATTCTTCTGCCTCAGCCTCCCGAGTAGCTGGGACTACAGGCATGGGCCACCACACCCGGCTAATTTTGTATTTTTAGTAGAGACAGGTTTCCTCCATTTTGGTCAGGCTGGTCTTGAACTCCTGACCTCAGGAGATCCACCCACCTCGGCCTCCCAAAGTGCTGGGATTACAGGCGTGAGCCACTGTGCCCGGCCCAGCCCACTTTCTAGAACAATGGAAACAATGGTATTTTCTACAGCAGCGTCAAGAGCAACCTCCAGAATAAACCATGGGCTTACTTCAGTCCCTGCACAAGGGAGTGACGGCGTGAAGCTGCCACAGCTCAGGGAAAACGGCACTGGGCAGACCCTTAGTGACAGGTGTCCTCTTCCGGGCCTTGCCCATCTTTGTTTCAAGGTCACATTGCCTGTGGCTACTGCACTAACCACTCTTAGAACTCACTGACTTCATTCACAGCCCTAGGATATGAACTAACAAGGCTTGGGCAGAGTCTCAAATCAACCATACTAAGGGGAGGGGGAAAGGGTGTTATTTAACCCAGAAGCTCCATGGAAAGGAGACAACATAGTAAAGCAGTATTTGCTAACATCTGTTATTATTATTATTATTATCAATTATTTAGAGACAGGATCTCACTCTGTCGCCCAGGTTGGAATACAGTGGTGTGATCATAGCTCACTGCAGCCTTGACCTCCTGGGCTCAAGCGATCCTCTTGCCTCAGCCTCCTAAGTAGCTGGGACTACAGGCATGCACCATCATACTCAGTTAATATTTTTAAAATGTTTTTGTAAAGACGGGATCTTGCTATTTTGCCCAGGCTGGTCTTGAACTCCTGGCCACAAACAGTCAATGGCTTTGGACCTAATCTCTCTGAGCTTCAGGTTTTTTTCATATGTGAAATGAGATAGTGATTCCTATCTTTTAGGATTGCTGTGTGGAATAAATAGATTGTGCATGAAAAATACTTAACTCAGTGCCTAGCAGATAATAACTGATCAATAAATAGACATTGCTATATTAATCTTGTTGCTGTTACACTTTGGTTTGTAGAAGGTGACGTGCCTTCTTTACCTGCCCTCTCATCATGCCAGCTGGACTGTTTCAATGGGGAGAGTGCCTGGCACCACCGGGAACTTCATCAGCAAGCATAGGACCCCTGACAAGCAGCTGGCCGTCAGCGGATTAGAATGTCAAGGAGGAGATCCAACTCTAAGCTGCCTGAAGCTGTCTTAGGGAGGAAGTGAAAGAACTGCAAGTGAGAGACACCAAAGCCTCGAATGGGTTAAATTGTGTGTCCCCACCAAAAAATGTTCAAGTCCTAATCCTCGATACCTGCGCATGTGACCCTATTTGAAAATAGTGCCTTTGCAGACGATCAAGTTGAGGCCATAAGGGTGATCTCTACACCAGTATGACTGTGTCCATATAAAAAGGGGAAATTTGGACACAGAGACAGACATGCACATGGGGAGAATGCCACATGAAGGTGAAAACAGAGATCAGTGTGATGCATCTACAAGCCCAACACCACCAAAGATTGCCAGCAGACCACCAGGGGCTAGGAGAGAGGCATGGGGCGGATTCTCTTTTGCAGCCCTCAGAAGGAAACAGACCTACCGACACCTTGATCTGGACTTCTAGCCTCCAGGACTAGAAGGGACAACACATTTCTGTTGTTTAAGTTACCCAGTTGGTGGTGCTTTCTTATGGCAGCTCAAGTTAACTAATACAGCGGGGTATACTAAAGACAGGACAACCCTCTCCTTCTTGCCAACTGTGTGACCCTTGACAAGTTACCTACCCTCTCAGGGGTGAATTCCTTTTTTCTGTGTAATGGAGTTTTTGCTTTTGTTTTCAAGACAGGGTCTCACTCTGTCACCCAAGCTGGAGTGCAGTGGCATGATCATGGCTCACTGCAACCTCAAGCTCCTGGGCTCAAGCGATTGTCCCCCCTCAGCCTCCCGAGTAGCTGGGACTACATCACGCACCACCATGCCTGGCTAATTTTGTGGTGTTTTTTTTGTTTGTTTGTTTGTTTTGTTTTGTTTTGTTTGTAGAGACAGGGTTTCGTCATGTTACCCAGGCTGCAATGGAGTTAATGCTAGTGACTACCACAGGAAGTTCAGTGAGATGCTTATGACACAAATGCTCAGCATGTCACAAATGTCCAAATCAGTCACCACTGGAGATCAAAAGAGAAGGCCATGAAATTCATGTTATGTCTTTGTTTCCCCTTCAAAATTCTAAAATCTTTGTGGAGGAAATGATTCAAAATACTGAATCTCCAACAACACCAGAACAGTTCTCTGAACTCCATAAATGCTTAATAAATGTTTCTTAGTGAGGTGTGTTCCAAATTAGGATTTTATTAGAGTATTTATTAGAGTAAGTTCTATAATAAGAGCTTTTTTTTTTTTTTTTTCTGAGATAGAGTCTCGCTCTGTTGCCCAGGCTGGAGTGCAGTGGCTCAATCTCAGCTCACTGCAACCTCCGCCTCCTGGGTTCAAGAGATTCTCCTGCCTCAGCCTTCCAAGTAGCTGGGACTACAGGTATATACCACCATGCCTAGCCAATTTTTTTTTTTTTTTTTGTATTTTTAGTAGAGACGAGGTTTCTATGTTGGCCATATTGGCCAGGCTGGTCTTGAACTCCTGACCTCAAGTGATCCTCCCGCCTCGGCCTCCCAAAGTGCTGGGATTACAGGCGTGAGCCACCGCGCCCAGCCCTATAATAAGATCTTGATGCTTTTGCATCCTCAGTCCTGTCACAGTGTCTGCCACACTTAAGATGTTCAATAAATATTGATTAATTAGTATTGAATAAACAAATTAACCTCATGGGGCACATGATTTGGCCTGTAGGATAATTGAATCTATGGTAAGGGGCATTGTTTTATCAAGAAGTAATTTTAGCCAGTTCCTGTTATGATCTTAAACTGGGGAAATACAAAACAATAAGATAAGGCTTATTGAACATTTACTCTGTTGGATCCTGAAGCTTCATTCAGATTATCATTTGCATCCCTTAAAACAACAACATCAACTACAGCTCTTATTTTCATTTTGCCAATGTAGAAACTGAGGCTCAGAGAGATTAAAAACCTTCTCCAAAAGTCACAGTAAGTAAAGGAGAATCAGGAGTTGAACTCAGGAAATCTAATTCCAGTTTCCACACACTTAACCATTATAGCTTATTCCTTTCCTCTTACCAAATAAGTGGAACCCTGCCAGGCTCTTACAATCTAGTTCTAGAATCACTGAGTGTTACTGGCAGGGACCTTTAAAAGTATCTAATCTAATGGTCTTTTTAAAAACAATGAAACTGAGAACCTGCAAAGGCATGTGACTAGCCTCGATGAGAAAGTGGCCCAACTGGGGCTTGAGCCCAGGTCTCCCGCCCTCCATGCTGGTGTGCCTTGGTAGGAGTGTGGACCTGAACTACAACAGGTCATTCACCCAGGCCCCCAGCTCTCCATCCCACAAATGGGCAGGGAAAGGCAGGGAGGTATAAAACACCGGCTTCCTACCTTCTGCTTCGATCCACAGAGAAGACTTAGGCCAGAGTGGCCCTGCACGTCCGCCTTTCCCCTCTCAGGGAGTCCCTCTTTCTGGGTTTGAGTCTTGCCAGTCCGAAACACGTGCGAATAGAATCCCAAAAGCACAGGGCCCAGGCTTTTTTCTGGGCGATGTGCTGTTTTTTTTTTTATATCTCAGACTATGGCTGTTACTGTCCATGGGCTCAACTAATGCAGAGAATTGTAGGACATCTAGCCCTGCTCCTAAAGGAGGCAAAATGATCCTTATCATGCCTGTTATAGCCAAGGAAGGCTGGACCCAATTCCACAGAACTCGAGATGGCGCTTTTCATTTCAAAGAAAAGACACTATGAGCCTTTCTCATATTTCACAGCATGCTGTGTGTTGCACTTGACCTCTACTCTTGCCCTCAGCTTCCCCAGGTGGCCTCGCCTCCCTGCTGCAGCCCCAAAGCAGTAAAGCTACAGCTCTGGGCCATGGGCTGTGGCTTCAGTGATCTAGGACCTGATTCTCCTAAAAACCACAAATGGATAGTTCTTCCAAAGACCCAGGGTCCTCATAGAACTCTCTAGAAACAGTAATGATCTCCTTGGAGCTCAAACAGTCCCTGAGCTATCAGACCCTGCCAACACCAGGGCTTAATGCTCAGGGAACACATTTTATGAGAGCAACTGTCACTCCTGAGCTTCTGTGGGTCACTTGAAATCACCCAGTTATTTTTCACTCAGCTGAGGGGCAGTATAGTTCTGACGGGTGGCTTTGGGTTCACTGCCTTCAACTCCAGTCAGAAAACGTTAGTGCTGAAATGGATCCGGGGTACAAATAGTTGGGTTGTTGACATGCTTTCTTCTGTTGTATACATAAAGGTTCCACATACAAAAACCTATTTGCAAAGAGAGGTCAGATGCTTAAATGTGAATAATAAAAATGCTTATCCATGGGTACTCTAGTTTAATCTCCTCATTACAAGAGGAATCTGAGGCCCAGAGAGAGAAAGTGACTTGTCCAAAATCATACAACTAATATTGCAGCCAGCAATAGAACAAAGAGAGCTCAGGAATTCTGGGTCCCAGTGACTATGGAAAACAATTGTCTGAAATTTTACCACTAGAAATTGCTACTCCCTGCCCCATACTACCTGAGTCTTATTTAGGTAAACAGATAGTAAATATAAACATTATCATTGTAAAAAAATGTTTTAAAGACCAAATATATTTATAAAGTTTTTTAAAGTGATCTTTTGTACCCCTTTGTACTCTACCCAATCCCATTCATTTCCCGAAGGATGTCCGATGTTAACAAATGAGTGTCAAGTCCTTCTAGGCCTTTTTCTATGCACTTAGGAATGTGTTTACAATATATGACTGGGTTTTAAAAATACATACTTATATACTATATGTATGTAGATATAAGTATAAATTTATAAGCCATATTTATATATTATGCCATTTATAAATATAAAATCAAATTGTTCTGTTTTGAGACTTCCTTTGTTCACCTAACCTTGTGTCTTGGCACTTTTTCTCTCTCTTTTTTTTTTCTTTTTGAGATTTTGCTCTTGTTGCCCAGGCTGGAGTGCAATGGCACAATCTCAGCTCACTGCAACCTCCACCTCCCAGATTCAAGCGATTCTCCTGCCTCAGACTCCTGAGTAGCTGGGATTACAGGTGCCTGCCTCCATGCCCACCTAATTTTTGTATTTTTAGTAGAGACAGGGTTTCGCCATGTTGGCCAGGCTAGTCTCAAACTCCTGACCTCAGGTGATATAACCATCTTGGCCTCCCAAAGTGCTGGGATTACAGGTGTGAGCCACCGTGCCCATCCATGGCACTCTTTCCATGTTGGTCAATAGAATCTTGATGTTTTGTCGATGGCTTCATGGTATTCCATTGTATGGATGTACCACAATTTCTATTTAGCCAATTGTCTATCTTTAGGCATTCAGAATAGCTAAAGATGGACAATTGGCTAAATAGACACTGTGGTACACAATGGCTTTTTCTGTTGCAGCCATGGTTGCAGTAAACTTCCTTGTATATAAATCTCTGGGACATGAGCCAATGTTTCTTCAGAAGAGATACCTAGAAGTGAAGATGTGAGATCATTTGTCTACAGAAGGTTTCACTTTAAGTTGTAATGACTCGCCTTAATGTTGTCCAAAGGTTGTTTTTCTAAACCTTATTTGAGGGCCCACAACAGCCATAAACTTTTACTTATGTTTCACCTAGAATCATCACAGCAATCCTGTGAAAGCAAAGTATGATCCCTATTTTTCAAAAAAACTCACTGAAGTAGGAACAGACGAAAAATATCTCAATTTGTGAAAAAGCATTTACAAAAAAAAAAAAACATCTAACATCATACTTAATGGTGCCAACTGAACGTCTTCCCACTGAGATTGGGAATAAGACAAAGATGTCTGCTTTCAACATCTTCTTCAACAGGGTAGTAGAAGTTCTAGCCAGTGCAATATAGCAAGAAAAAGAAATACAAGACATACAGATTGAAAAGAAAGAAATAAAATCATCTCTATTTGCAGATAACATGATTGTCTATTTATACAATCCTAAAGAATCTAAAAAACATAAACTAAAATAAACCTCCTAGAATTAATAAGTGAATTAAGTAAGGTCACAGAATACATGATCAACACTCAAAAATCAAATGCATTTGTTTATCCTGTCAATGAACATGGGGAAACTGAAATTAAAAACAATACCATTTACAATCACTTCAAAGAAAATAAAATACTTAGGTATAAATACATATACTATGTCTCTGATGAAAATTACAAAATGCTGATGAAAAAATAAAGACCTACATAAATGAGGAGAAATACCATGTTCATAGACTGGAAGACTCATCATAGTGGAGATGTCAATTCTTCCCAAATTATCAATAGTTTAACACAATTCTTATCAAAATCCCAAAAAGATTTTGTAGACAAAGCCAAGCTTATTCTAAAATTTGTATGGGAGGCAAAAATTTTGAAAATAAAATAGCTGTGATAACTATTTTAAAAAGTAGGAGGAAGCACTCTACCTTGTGTTAAGTCTCACTATATAGCTACAGTTGCCAAGGTAGTATGATATTGGTGGAGAGATAAACCCACAAATCAATGAAACAGAATAGAGGACTCAGAAATAGACCCACAAAAATATACTCAACTGATTTTTTACCAAAAATACCAAAAGTGCAAAAGCGAGTGAATGAAGGAAGGAAACTCTTTTCAACAAGTGGTGTTGGAGCAAAAAACAAAACAAAACAAAATCTCTTGTTTTAACTTAAGTCTCATACTTTAAAACTTTATACAAAAATTAACATAGATCACAGACTTAGATGTAAACATAAAACTTCAACACTTTTAGAGAAAAATATGGGAGAAAATCTTTAGCACTTAGAGCTAAGTTAAGGAGGTCTTAGACTTAAAATCAAAAGCACAATTTATAAAAGAAAAAATTGAGGCATCTTGATACTTCATCAAAATTAAAAATGTTTGCTCTGAAAAACACCCTATTAAGAGAATGAAAAGGCTGGGCACAGTGGCTCACACCTGTAATCCCAGCATTTTGGGAGGATCACGAGAGGTCGGGAGTTCGAGACCAGCCTGACCAACATGGAGAAACCCCGTCTCTACGAAAATACAAAAAATTAGACAGGCTTGGTGGCAGATGCCTGTAATCCCAGCTACTCGGGAGGCTGAGGCAGGAGAATTGCCTGAACCCAGGAGGTGGAGGTTGCGGTGAGCCAAGATGCGCCATTGCACTCTAGCCTGGGCAACAAGAGCGAAACTCCATCTCAAAAAAAAAAAAAAAAAAAAAACAGAATGAAAAAATAAACCAGAGACTGGGAGAAAATATTGGCAAACCACATATTCATCTAACAGACTTGTATCTAGACTATATAAAGAACTCTCAAAACATAACAGTAGAAGACAAAACAATCTAATTACAAAATGGGCCAAAAACCACAAATAAATGGCTCATAGAAGAAAATGTACAGATGGCAAATAAGCATATGAAAATATGTTCAACACCATTAGCCATTAGAAAAATTCAAATTAAAACTACAATGAGTTGTTATGGTGTAACTATTAGAATGGCTAAAATTAAAAAAAGCAATAACACCAAATGCTAGTGAGGATGTAAAGAAACTGGATCACTTACACACTGCTGATGGAAATGTCAAATGGTAGCATCACCCTGGAAAATAGCTTGCCAGTTTCTTATAAAACTAAGCATGCACTTACCATTTGCACATTTGTACATTTATCTCAGAGAAATGAAAACTTAAGTTCACACGAAAACCTGTACATGAGTGTTCATAGAAGCTTTATTGGAAATATCTAAAACCTAGAAACAACCCAAATGTCCTTCAATGGTTGAATGGTTAAACATCCATACCATGGAATACTATGCAGCAATAAACAGGAATAAACTCTTAATACAGCCAACATGGATGAATCTCAAGAGAATTACACTGGGTGAAAAAAGCCAATCTCAAAAGTTACATATTGTAACCTTTTGAATTTTTATAGTATTCTTGAAATGACAATATTATAGAGATAGAGAATAATTGATCAGTGGTTTCCAGGGCTAGGGATAAGGAAGGAGAGGAGATAAGTCTATAAGAGGTAGAATGAGGGAGGCTTGTTGTGATGAAACAGTTCTCTATCTTGATTACGGTAATGGTTACATGAATCACATACACGTGATAAAACTTCATATAACTATACACACAGATGGGCACACACACACATAGAATAAGTGCATGTAAAACCTGTGAAATCTGAATAAACTCTGTGGATTGCACCAATGTTAATTTTCTGGTTTTGATGTTGTACTATAATCACACATTGGGATACTCAGTGGGAAACTGGGTGAAGGGTACATAGACCCTCCTCGTATATACATATACATACCCACACATACACACACACTCTCACACACACATACACACACACACACATATATATATTTGCAACTTCCTGTCAATCTATAGTTATTTCAAAATAAAAAGTTTAAAAAATTATAGCCATTGAATTCAAAACCCAGCTCTACCACTCTAGTTATAAGTTGAGTGACTTCTCTGAGTCTCTATCTTCATTATTGTAACAAAGATAAAAAACTAATAAATATCTTCTATTTTTTTTTGTCTGTCCACATTCATTTTCCATTCTGTAACCAATTCTAACTTTCCTTGGGGAACTATCCCTCCTCTGTTCGTAGTTGTAAGGTTTGGGTAGGGCTGCCCCCACCCCTGGCTTCATGGAGGAAGACTTGGACCAAGTATCACAGATACTGGTAGTTGAAGTCACAGATAACTGATCACTGGAACAGACCTTTGAAAAGGAGAAACTCACTTTCTTCTAGCTTTGCTGGGAGGACATGCCAGGCTAATTTTTGTATTTTCAGTAGAGATGGGGTTTCACCATGTTGGCCAGGCTGGCCTCGAACTCCTGACCTCAGGTGATACACCCGCCTTGGCCTCCTAAAGTATTGGGATTATAGGTGTGAGCCACCACGTCCGGCCCAGATCAGTCTTATCAAATGAAAACAGGCTATTTCTCCAATTTTCACATCTTTTAAAAGAAAAAAACAGAAGTCCTCTTGTGTCTCTCCCTTCCTCTGCAGACTACACCCCATTTAATTTCTTCCCTTTGCAGTAAAACTTTTCTCTGCCTCATCCAGCAATTCCACTCCTGGGTATATACCCAAGAGAATTGAAAGCAGGGTCTCAAAGAGATATTTGTGCACCCATGTTCATAGCAGCATTATTCACAATAGCCAAAAGGCAGAAGCAACCCAAGTGTCACCCATCAATAGATGAATGGATAAATAAGATGCAGTATAATCCATACAATGGAATATCATTCAGCCTTGAAAAGGAAGGAAATTCTAACACATGGTTGAACCTTGAACATATTATGCTAAGTGAAATAAGCCAAAAACAAAACGACAAATATATACTATTCCACTTACAAGAGGTACCTAGAGTAGTCAAATTCATAGCAAAAGAAAGTAGGATGATGTTTTGCCCAGGGCTGGTGGGAAATGAGGGTTCTTGTTTGATGAGTGCAGAATTTCCATTTTTCAAGAGATGAAAAATTTCTGGAGGGTGGTCGCACGACAATGTGAATGTACTTAACACCACTGAATTGTATGCTTAAAAAATGGTTAAAATGGTCGCTTTCATGTGTATTTTACCACAATTAAAAATAAAAATTTAAAAAAACACACTCCTATTTTTCTCTGACTCCAGTTTCTCTCCTTCCATTCTTCCTTCAACCCACTCCAGTCAGTGTCCACTCCCGCCCCCCAGCAAGATGGCTCTTGTCAAGGTCAACAGTGACCACATCAAATCTCCCAGGTAGCCCCAGCCCTCATTGGCCAGACCTGTCAATATGATCTAATGTGCCCTCTGCCCTGGTCCACTTCCTTCCTTGGATTCTGGAGCTCATTCTCTAGCTTTTCCTCCAGTTTCATCATAATCCACTGGCTCTTTCTTTGAAGTGTATACAGAAGGTGACACTTCTTACCTCTCTTCTAGAACTGGTCTCATCCCCTGTTCCTGCCGTTACCACCTACATTCATTCTCAACACAGCAGCTGGCATGATCCCCTTAAAACGTGCCAGGTCATGCCAAGCCCTCTGGTGGGCCTTGTCTCTTTCTGAACAGAGTTCAAGTCCATACAAAGCCCTGAACTCCTCAATGACTTCCCCTTACACAGCAGGCATCTTTCCACCTCATTATCTGTCACACTCTTCACAGATATCCGCAGAGCTAACTCCTTCACCTTAAAATGTCAATGCAATGTCACCTTTTCTGTGAGGCCTATTGTGAGCACCTGGTTTTATATTCCAGCCCATCCCCATGTCAATCATGCTTACGCCACTTTATTTTTTTGTTTTTCCATATTCCCTCATCATTTAAGGGATACATCATAACACAATTTAGAATTTTTACCTACTTAGTAGGTCTGTTTATTTTTTATCTCCTCCTGATAGAACATAAGCGGGGACTCTATTTTCTTAATTCACTGATATAGATGCAGCTCCAAGCACATGGTAGGTGTTCAATAACCACTGGTTGAATTAACTAGGAATGAATTTCCAGGCTATTTCACTACCGTAAAAAGCTCATTATTTCATTTGATCCTTGGAAGTTTTGTGAAGCCTACCAAAATATATCATTATATTCATTTTACAGATAAAGAAACGGAATCTCAAACAGACTAAGGGGGCCAGATCCAGTGGCTCATGCCTGTAATCCCAGCACTTTGGGAGGCCAAGGCAGGTGGATCACTTGAGCTCAGGAGTTCGAGACCAGCCTTGGCAACATGATGAAACCTCATCTTCACAAAAAATACAAAAATTAGCCAGGTGTGGTAGTGCATGTCTGTAGTCCCAGCTACTTGGGGGGCTGAAGTGGGAGGATCACTTGAGCCTGGGAGGTCAAGGCTGTAGTAAGCCGTGTTTACACCACTGCACTCCAGCTTGGGCAACAGAGCAAGACCCCATCTCAAAAAAAAAATCACAAAAACAAACAGAAAAAGGCTAAGGGTCCTCCTTTATTTATTTAAAATGCAGTCCTTCATTTACTCAGCAAAAATGTATTGAGTGGCATCATGGTATAGCTAGGCTTAAAACAGAGATTTGTTCATGTCTATTACTGGAGTTTTCTACTTTTAAACACCCATGCTCCCTTTTGAGAAACATGAACATTGCATGCATCCCCAGTTGAAAGGTGGTAGAGTGCAATGGCTGGGAGCAGGGGCTTTGGAGCCTGACTGTGTGGCAACCCCACCTCCCCAGCTCCCTGGCTCTGTGGCCAGGCACTTTCTTCCACAATTTCCTTTCTCATTCACTCGAAAGATGGAAATGGCAATAGCAGTCACTTCATAGCGTTGTCAAAGAATGCATGTAAAGCATTGTGTTGTTACCAGTTGATGTGTTTTCTGCCTATTCTTACCAGCCAAGAGGATTTTATCTGATTTGCTTCCTATAATTTGCATGACAAAACCAACAAGCTTTATTTTCACTTCCAAATAAATATAAAGATAATATTGGATAGGCTGTTTGAAACTCAAGAGTTTTACATGCTCACTCTGCATTGCCCTGGTGCCTCTCAGCATTCAGATTGCCAAGTGTGACCCCAAGTCAAAAGAGGGTACTGATTCGTGCCTTCTTCCTTTTGCATCTGTTCCCAACAGAGGAGGAGCTACTGATTTCCAGCTGCAAGGTTGAAATAAAACCAGCAAAAGTGCAAGCCAAGGGTTCAGTTTCCCAATAGCTGCAGCTGTCTAGCACCCGGAGCTATTTTTAAACTCCTTTTCAGAACTTCCAGTGCTTGCGATGGATCTATTTTCTTAACTGCCAAGAGATAATGCTTAAAAGGGATAGCTTGAAAATATTCCACGGCGCTCATACAAATGACTGAAATAGATAGTGTACAAGACGGCCTTTGTCTGGAGCAGCAGAGGAAAGCAAGATGAAGTCTTTCAGACCCCAGGACCATGGTGCTGCTGGATCTGCTGCTGACAACCGTGGCTTTGTGTCTTGAATGTGCACTGTGACCAGAAAAGGCAAGAAAACCAAACAGTAATTGTAAAGAACATCAGAGACCTGGCATTTAAATTGGTCATTGATTCCAGGAAACAGGAGACCCCAAAATAGCTCCCAAAGAATCCCCCTTGACTTGAAGAGTGCTGCCTTATCTGGTAAACCTGTCCAAACTGTCTAAAGTGAACTTGTCTTTTGCCCCTTTCCTGAACTCCATCTAGATTTCACTGCCTCATTTGACAGAACGACCAGTCATGCAGTCATTTGTGTTACAAATTTAAGAATCATCCCAACTCTGCTTTCTTCACCTCCCACATCCTATAAAGTCTTACTAATATTGTCTCCTATTTCTCAGATCATGCTCTTTTAATAGCCCCACAACCACTGCCCTGACTCAGTGTTTCATCATCCCTCATCTGGATTTTTGCAAGAGCATCTAAACCAATCTCCCTGTGTCTATTTTGGATCCCCGTCACAAGGATTGACACAATTTTTTTTTTTTAATTTTAAATCTTATTATGTAGCTCTTGCTTGGGCTCCTCTGGTGTTTCCTAATTGCCCTCAGCAGACAGTCCAGGCTCTTTAGTGTGACACCTCCATCACCTGTAACTGACACCTCTTCAGCCTTAGCCCTTCTTTTTTTTTTTTTTTTTTTTTTTTGAGACGGAGTCTCGCTTTTTTGCCCAGGCCGGACTGCAGTGGCGCTATCTCGGCTCACTGCAAGCTCCGCCTCCCGGGTTCACGCCATTCTCCTGCCTCAGCCTCCCGAGTAGCTGGGACTACAGGAGCCCGCCACCACGCCCAGCTAATTTTTTGTATTTTTAGTAGAGACGGGGTTTCACCGTGTTAGCCAAGATGGCCTCGATCTCCTGACCTCGTGATCCGCCCGCCTCGGCCTCCCAAAGTGCTGGGATTACAGGCGTGAGCCACGGCGCCCGGCCTCAGCCTTAGCCCTTCTATAACCCACTTCTGGTTTTATATTCCAGCAACATTGAGCTACTTGTCATTTTCCACATATCATATTATTTCCCTCTCCATGTCTTATGCTAGCTCCCTGCCTGGAACGCCATTCATCTGTATTTAAAAAACAAACAAACAAACAAACATTTTAGTGACGTATAACATGGACAGAGCAAAGTGTGTAAGTCCTACTTGTATAGCTTGATGTAATTTTACAAAAAATGACACATTCAAGTAACCACCATACAAATCAAAGATTAGAAAATTGCCAGCACTCCAGAACGTTTCCTTCTGCCTTCTCCTAGACACCACCCCCTAAAAAGTAGCCAATGTTCTGACTTCATTCCAAATTGATTAGATTTGCCTGATTTTGGACTTTATTTAAATGTTACTTAAATAACATCATACAGTATATGCTTTCTTATCTGGCTTCTTTCACTAAATATTATTTTGTAGAATTCACCCATGCTATGGCATATGGCAGTGGTTTGCTTGTTTTGTTGTCTTATAATATTCCATTGTATAAATATACCACAATTTATTTATCTAGTCTAGTGTTGATGAAAATATGAGTGGTGTCCAGGTTTTAGCTATTACAAAAGTGCTGCTATGAACATTCTTATGTGTTCTTTTTGTGAATATATGTATGCATTTCTATTGAGTAGAATTGCTAGAGCATATATATATATACATATATATACACATACACAAAACTTTAATATGGATTGCCAAATAGTTTTCCAAAGTGATTATGCCACTTTACATTCCCACTAATAATATATGAGAGTTCTAGTTGCACCACATTTTTGCCAAAACTTGAGATTGTCAGTTTTTAAAACTGTAAGCCATTTTGCTGGATTTTAAAAACTATGTCTGATAACATCTGACTTTTAATTGGAGGGTATAGACCATTTACATTTATGTAATTATTGATATAGCTGGGTTTAAGTCAACCATCTTGCTATTTGAATTTAATTTATTCCACTTAACATTGTTCCTTTTTTTCCTTTTCTTGCCTTCTTTTGGATTATTGAGTATATTTTAGTGACTGCCCTAGGTTTATATTATGCATCTTTGAATCAATACATTCCATCTTTCATCATCTTATAAAACTTAGTGTATAGTGTAAAGAGCTTATGAGTATATTTAATTTATTTTCCTTCTGTTTTTGGTGATTTTATTGTTGTCATACTTGAACATACATTATAAAATCTACACTACTTTTTTTGCCTTAAACAGTCAATTCTCTTTTTTAAAAATTAAAAATAAGAAAATTTGTCTATGTTTACTCACATATATACCATCTGTAAAGCTCTTTATTGCTTTGTATAACCAGTTTCAAGTTATCATTTTCTTTCAGCCCAAAGACTTAATATTCATTTTTCTGTGGGTAGCCTGGTGATGAATTCTCTTACCTTCTGTTTATCTAAAAATTGTTTATTTCACCTTTATTTTTGAAAAATATTTTAGGTAGATATGGATTTTTGGTTGACTTTATTTTCTTCAAAAATATAGTTCACTGTTCAGCTGAGTGCAGTGGGACACACTTGTAGTCCCAGCTACTCAGGAGGCCGCCTCGGAGGCAAGAGGATTAAGCCCAGGAGTTCAAAGCTACAGTGTGTTTTAATCACATTTGTGAATAGCCACTGCACTCCATCCTGTGCAACATAGCGAGACCCCATCTCAAAAAAAATTCATTTTCTTAAGCAAATCAACAAACAAAACAACTTATTAAAAAGTGGGCAAAGGACATGAACAGACATTTTTCAAAAGAAAACATATGCACAGCCAAGAAGCATATGAAAAAATGCACACATTACTAGTCATTACAGAAATGTAAATCAAAACCACAGTGAGATACCATCAGTGTGTAAGTCAAATGGCTACTATTAAAAAGCCAAAAAGTAACATGCTGGTGATCTTGTTGGAGAAAAGGGAATGCTTATACACTGCTGGTGGGAATGTAAATTAGTTCAGCCACTGTGGAAAGCAGTTTGTTGATTTCTCAAAGAACTTAAAACAGAACTACCATTTGACCCAGCAATCCCATTATTGGGTATATACCCAAAGGAATATAAATCATTCTACCATAAAGACACATGCACACACATGTTTATTGCAGCACTATTCACAATAGCAAAGACATGGAATCCATCTAAATGCCCATCAACAGTAGACTGGATAAAGAAAATGTACATATATGCCATGGAATACTATGCAGCTATAAAAACAATAAAATCATGTCCTTTGCAGCAACGTGGATGGAGCTGGAGGCCATTATCCTAAGGAAACTAACACAACAACAGAAAACCAAATACTGGATAAGTGAGGGCTAAACATTGAGTATGCATGGACACAAAGAAGGTAAAAATGGACACTGGGGCCAACTTGAGGCTGGAGAGTGGGAGGAGGGTGAGGATTGAAAAACTACCTATCAGGTACTATGCTTATTGCCCGCATGATGAAATACTCTGTACATGAAACCCCCATGACATGCAATTTACCTATTTAACAACCTGCACATATACTCCTGAAACTGAAAGTTTAAAAAAATATTTTTTCAGAAAATTTACATCTGTCATGCTTCCTTAGGAAGTTATTTGAAGATGTGCTCCAGCAAAATAAGAGGTAACCCGGGATCCATGAAAAAGTGTTTTCAACCCAAGAGTGTGACAAAGAGAATTTCCAGGATGACAGCCCTGGTTCAGGTCTGGAGATCAACTGCCGTATACGTACTTGAGAACAAGTATGAAAGTGTCCCTGAGGGAGGTATCCAGGGAACAAATAAAGGGGAGAGCATGGCAAAGTATTTCTGATATGATAACTGCCCAGGGAAGAAGAAGAAAATAAGAAGATGGCTTACTGCTGGAGCATTTAAACACTTCAAAGAACACTATTTATGTAGCCAACAATAGTGCTTTAACAATATTAAGAGGATGATGTGGAGAGGTGCAGATGATGGTGTAAGAATTAAATCTCATAGGAAGGAAAAGTTTAAAAATCACTAGGTAATATATGAAATTGTAAATTAAAAATCAGCAGCATGTCTTTATTCTGTTACTTTTAATCGCAATGATAGTAATAATAATAAAGTTGAAAAATTAAAAAATATTTTTAAAAGTTCATTTTAAACTATGTATCACTTTAAATATACAGTTCTATTGTCCTCTGGCTTGCATTGTTTTTAAAAGAAGTTTGGAAAATTCTTATACTTATTCCTCTGTGTGTAATATATTTTTTATTGTGCTGCTTTTTAATTTTTCTCTTTATCATTAATTTTTAGTAATTTAATTATGATAGCTTTTGAGTAGTTTTCTTTAAGTTAATCCTGCTTTGATTTTGTTTAAGTTCTTAAATTTTGGGGTTTAAGTTTTCATTAAATTTAGAACTTTTAAAATGTTAAGTCTTTTTTTTTCTTCTCCTTCCTCTTTTTCCTCTCCTTTTAAAATTCCAATTAAGTTTGTGTTAGGCCATTTAATATAGTTACACAGGTCATTGAGTCTGTTATTCTTTTTGTTTTCTTGTTTTCTTTGTTTTTGTTTTTGCTTTCATTTGATTAATTTCTATTGGTATGTCTTCAAGTTTACTAATCTTTTCTTTTTCAGTGTCTAATCTGCTGTTAATACCATTCAATGTGTTTTGTATTTCAGATGCGTTTTTTTTTTTTTTGCTTTAGAAGTTCCTTTTTGCTTTATTAAAGCCATTACTTCTGTGCCCAGCTAAATAAACATATGCATTAATGCGAACCCAATTAGTTCTTAAAAGATGCTCAAAAAAGTATCAAAATGTCAACCAAATCAATAAATGGTTTTTTTTTTTTTCTAACCATAGAAGTTACTACCAGGATTGCCAGACCTACTTTTGTGATCCTCTTCCACCTCTTAGGTGTTCTCCTGCTGGCCTTAAAAACATGACTGCTAAAATCAAGTAATGTGCCCTATGTATCCCACCACCTTTAAAAGTCAGCAGTGATTCTCCCATTTCACCTATTTCATCTTCATGTCTCTCATTTGTGAAATGGGAGTACGTGAGTCAGTTATATATATATATATATTTTTTTGAGCTGGAGTTTTGCTCTTGTTGCCCAAGCTAGGGTGCAATGGCACAATCTCGGCTCACTGCAACCTCTGCCTCCCAGGTTCAAGCGATTCTCCTGCCTCAGCCTCCCAAATAGCTGGGATTACAGGTGTCTGCCACTACACCTGGCTAATTTTTGTATTTTTAGTAGAAACGGGGTTTCACCATCTTGGCCAGGCTGGTCTTTAACTCCTGACCTCGTGATCCATCTGCCTCAGCCTCTGAAAGTGCTGGGATTACAGGTGTGAGCCACCGTGCCCGGCCATAACTTTATCTTAAACACACATACTTTGAAGCTAAACTGTCTAAGTACAGATCCTAGCTAAGCTTCTCACAGCTGTGTGACTGTGAGCAAGTTACTTAGCCTCTCTGTGAGAGTAAGAAATTAACATATATAAAACTCTTAGAGCAGTGCCTAATAGCAGAGTAACTATTAGCCATTAGTATTTTATGAGAATCAAATAAAATACAATATAAGAAATCTATAAAATACCACGTGAGTTAGTACCATGATGATTTAGTATCATTATAATTAAATCATTTCCCCTAGAGAAGAGTAGCTCAACCATGAGGCTTCTGTGGGTGCTACCAAATGACGTATCTAACACTAAAATATGAACATCCATCCTTTTACTGCTGGCTTCTTTAACTTACTCTTTTAAAAAGGTGCTTCCAGCTCTAACATTTACTCTGAATGACTCATATATGAGAACTGAGGTTTTCCCTGTAGTTCCTAAAATCTATAAACCAGAAACTCAGAGCCTTCCATGTTTCCCCAACCACAGGCTGTGGGCAGACCTGAGCCAGACACAGGAAAGGAATCTACTAGGCAGAGAGCAGAGGCCTCTAGACAGGGCTCGGCCCTTCTGCCTTGTGTCAGGGACCTCTGCTCAGGACCACAGTGGTACCATTAGGTACCATGAGAATGAGTCTCTGTGACAAGGATTTTGATCTGCTAGGCCAGAGGGGACTGGGAAGTGAGGTTGCAGAGGAGTTAGCAAGATCCGAGGGTTAGGCAAGCAAGTGCAAGGGTTCAGAGCAGAGAAGGCCTGAGGTGCAGAGGAATCAGAATGTCCACAGAATGAGGGTCCCTACCTGAAGCACCACAGAGTTGCAAAGGTGCCAGCTGCCTGGAGAGTCCAGAGGGAAAAGCAGATACTGGCAGACTGAACACCCACAGAGCATGGTGGATTGAAGAGGGACACAGGAGGGTCAGTCACAGAGTCAAGAGTTTGTTTAGGATTGGACAGAGGTGGATTCAAAGCCAAAACAAAGTTGTCAGCAGAAACAGAGGAGATTTGCTAAAACTTTAGAGGGCATAAGAACTTGAACTTGATAAAATGCAGATTATCAGGCCCAAACCCCAGAAAGCCTGCATATGGCAATCTGAATGGAGTATAAAATTCTGCATTTTTAACCACCACCCAGATTATTCTGACATGGTTCTTGGGCCACACACTTTAAGAAACCCTTAGTCTATTGGCCTAAGGATCAAGGGTGTGGCCACTTTGTAGGAAGGTCCTGCTGATGCTCATGGTCCTGAGCACCCAAGGGTAGATAATAACCAGTAGGAAGACAAAGAAGGTGAAATGAAGAAACAGCCCTTATGTACCCTTGACAGCTGCTTATCTATCCAGTGCCTTTGTGTGAATTCAAAAAAAAGTGATCCTTGTGAACAGATGAATTTGATAAAGGCACCTATTCCTCTGGGTGGAGAAGTCAGATCAAGGCTTGAGAAGAGGACAGGATGGGTTTCAGTCTCCCCTGTCTGCTTGGCTTGGCGGCCTCATAGAAACTGAGAGAGAGGAGCTGGGATTACCGTTTGAGGTCCTCCTGGTCACTGACAGTGCACACAGGAGCACTGGAGGCCGATGGGGAATGCTGGTAGGAGTGCAGGAGCATAGAGGCAAGAATTCATGTTCTGGAGTCAGTCTGGACTGAGTTCAAGTTTTGGCTCTTCTATTTCCTGGTCGTGTGACCAGGAATAAACTTCCTGACCTTTTACCAAGGCTCTGGAACTGAATCTATAAAATACAGAATACTATGGCCTGTCAGTGAGGCATGATCAAAGCCAAGCAGCCATTCAGCACTTGTCAGGAACGCTGGCAAACATTAGTAGCCTCCAACGACTACAGAAGAGTTGTCTTTCCTCCCACAACCTCACCACCAGGAGGAATGTCATAATGAAACCACATACAAGACGACATTCTCCCATTTACAAACATAATTAGTAGATAGGCACAAAACACAGCTGTTCTCTACGCGTGGCGAAGTCTCTGCTGTCGATCCTTAGGCATGCCACCAAGTGCCTTGTAAGAAAGTCCATAAAGCACATAAAACCTGGTCCAGACGTGCAAAAGGCAATGAAAGAAAGAGAGCCAGAATCCTAGTAGGCTTAAAATGAGTGGCCTGGTTATACACAACTAGGTAAAAGAGAATCTATTGTTCTTGCTATAGCTTTTCATTTTTCTCTGGTAACGTTGGTATTTAGTAATTCAATGATCGTTGTCTTAGTCCATTCAGGCGGCAGTCACAGAATACCATAGACTTGTGGCTTATAAACCACAGAATTTTATTTCTCACCCTTCTGTAGGCTGGAAGTCCAAGATCAAGTGGTCAGCAGATTTGGTGTCTGGGGAGGGCCCGTTTCCCGGCTCACAGATGGCCACCTTGTCACTGTGTCCTCACATGGTGGAAGGGATAAAGGGGCTCTCTGGAGTTTCTTTTATAAGGGCATTCATTCCACTCATGAGGGCTTCACCTTCATAACCTGATCACCTTTCAGCGTGGAGAGACACATACATTCAGTCTCTAGCAATATGTTAGATGTATCACTGGTTGGGTCTAAAGCCTTCTCCAAAAAGGTTTTGTTGTACACTGCTGTGGAAGACTTCATGACTCCCAAATAAAAGGCAACCCTAAAACTCCACCAGGAAGGTTTTGCTTAGAAAAAAAGAGCGTTGATGAGCAGTAGCTATCGATTCTTGACAGGGCCAGCCGCATGATGTGTGGGACCTAGTGCTAAATGAAACATGAGGCTTCTTGTTCAAAAAGCAGAGAAAAAAAACCCCTTTTTCTTTTCTTCCATCATCTCTCTCTCTCTCAACCCATCATAGTGTTTTTTGTTCACTATTTAACATCATTCTCCCTCAGGCATAGGGATGCTTCTGGGGTGAGGGCAGCCCCTCACAGGCACCTGGGGCCTGTCCCGTGACTTGGTCCATGGGGTGCGCATACCCTACTCAACCCTCCCCAAACCTGCTCTCAGACCTGTCCAGGGGCAGAGGGAAGCAGCAGTCACTGGATGTGGGTAGAGGAACGGGCAGCCGAGAACCCACTCCAGCCAGGCGGGGAGGCAGCAGGAAGTGGGACCCACATGAGTTGAGGCATCAAGCATGCTGCATACTTCACTGTCCCCTCAAACTTCACTATCAAAACACAAATTCAAAGACTAAGAACTTCAGAATGGCCATCGCACAGCCTTAAACCCCAAGCCTGGGGCCTCCTTCTGAGTGCAGGACCCTGTGTCCCACCTTGGTAACCCACACTGATGCTGGAACTCCGAAAACTCAGATGGAGGAAATTCACTGCTGAGTGAACCATGAGGTTACTGATTGAGTCATACCAAAGGGTTAATACTAGAGCACCTCCAACAGCGTCTTACTCCAAATTGGTGCTCAAAAATATTTCGACACTGGGATTTCGAAAGTTCAAAACTGTTGAAAATAGGCCTTAATATAGAGAACCAATGCAAAATTTACACCAAAATAATACAGTCTAGATGAGGGTTTCTCAGCCTCACCACTGTTGACATTTTGGGCCAGGTAATTCTCTGTTGTGCTAATTGTCCTATGCATTGTAGGATGTTTAGCAGTGCCCTTGGCCCCTACCCATTGTATGCCAGTAGCACATCCTTCTCCCCTCTTATGGCAACCAAAAAGTTCTCCAGATGTTGCCAAATTGCCAAATGCCCCCTGGGGCAGGGGCCGGAAAATTGTCCCTGGTTGACAACTGTTGGTATATAATTTAGCACATTAATGTTTGGTTGTTTTACTTACATTTGATAAACAAATTACGTATTATACTTTCATATTTAAAAGTTAAATTCCAATGGGCTATGTATATGGCATTTTTAATTTTTTAACTTAAAAGGTGTCTGTTCCTCAACTGCTGTGGCTTGTTTATTATCCAGACACAAGCATCTTACATCAGCCATCGACAGTAAGTGGAGGGAAGCTATCTCTGTGAGGAGGAAATGAGGAGCCCCTTTCAGAATATGCCACAAGGACCCATTGAAGGCACTGCCATAGAATCAACACTGATTGCCAAGGTCTGGAGAGAAGCAGATGTGCTCATATCTAAGGGGAAAAAAAAAAAACCAGATTCTGCAAAATTCATTTGAATGTGGCTGTGTTTTTGTGTTGCTTTGTTTTTGCTGGAGATCAATCTAAATGGGTCTTGTTTGGGCTGATATTGAAGTGGAAAAGGACGCCATCTGGGCTGGTGAGAAGCTGGAATTCAGAAGGAAGACAGGAGGTCAACAATTTGGATTTGACCACAGACACATTAGTGAACTAAAGTCTCCCCTCTTCTACTTTTGGAAACTTTCTTGGTGATCACTTCTTGTAATAAAGAAGATTAACAGAGTAGAAACTCTGTGGGGGCCCCTGTTGGTCTCCCCACTCAGGACCACCTTTTGACCAGCTATCTGACTGTCCCTGTCCCCTACTTCTAAAGACGGTGCTGCTACTTTCTTCACAGTGTTGCCCTCCAGAATAGGCAGGTGTAGGGTACAAACTGTGTGGGGTCACGGTTCTTTTGACTCCAGGTGGGACAAGCTTGGAGGTGCAATTTATACTCAGTGTCCCCATGGGGATCAGGATGAGGGGTGGGCGTCACCTGGAATCACACCCTTGCCTCCCAACTTCCCCTTCCCTCTCCTGCTTCCTCTGCTTCCTTACTCGCTTCTCCTGGGAGCACTTCCAGAAGGATACATTTGAATCCTCCGCTGAGGGCCGGCTTCTGGGAAAAAACTGGCCTAAAACATTTCCTTTTCCCCACAGGACCATGAGTGAAATGTGGCCTGTGCATGTCCACACACCAAACCCAGAAGACATGGCTTAATTTCAAGGGCATCAGTGAGACCTTAAGATTTTAAAATATCCCCCCTACACTACCCATTTTTTAGATACTCACTATTAGAGCCAGAGCCATAGAAGGTGCCTGTGTCAGATCCAAAATGGCTGCCCAGAGGAGGGGCCTGAGGTCAATCTGGAGAACCTCATCACCTGGAGTTCAGTCTACAATGTATGCTGAGAGAGGAAAACCATCCTGAGACCAGGGACCTGAGGCATAAGGGCAGGAGCCAAGAAAAGCCTTAGGCTTCAACTCAAATTGAGAAGTCTACTTAGTGGCAGAGCTGGCCTGGAAGCCTAGTCTTCTTACTCCAAGTTCAATGATGTTTTTCTGTTTTCTTTCTTTTTTTTTTTTTTTTTTTTTGAGACAGTCTTGCTCTGTCACCCTGGCTGGAGTGCAGTGATGCAACCTCAGTTCACTGCAACCTTCACTTCCTGGGTTCAAGCAATCCTCCCATCTCAGCCTCCCGAGTAGCTGGAACTAAAGACGCCTGCCCCCATGCCCGGATAATTTTTGTATTTTTAGCAGAGATGGGTTTTCACCATGTTGGCCAGGTTTGTCTTGAACCCCAGACCTCAACTGATCCACCTTGGCCTCCCAGAGTGCTGGGATTACAGGCATGAGCCACTGCACCCGGCCTCAGTGCCCTTTCTCACATGCCCATCTGCTCGCTCTTCTGTCATCTTGTTTCATTAACTCTCTTTTCACCTGATTCCCCTTATAAGTGAGATGCAAGCCTCCTTGAGAGTGAAGACAAGCCTAACCCTCACCCTTACCTTAACCCCAACCCTAACCCCATAGTGCCTAGGTACAGACTCTCAAAACACACATTTTGGTGGATGAGTGACTGACTAAGCAATGCTTTTCCTGCCTCAATGTTTCTGTAAAGAAGATATATAGGGCTGCCATTTTCAGTTACGTGGATGCTGTTCACACACCCTGCAAAATGGATAGTCCAGAGCTGTGTGGTGTTCAACATGCTCAATCCTGAATCTGGAGTGTCCTCTCTCTAAACAGTTCCACTTGATCCCGCAAGGAGTTCTGGAACATAAATTTGCAGCACTAGATCTAACAGCCTTGAGGCAAAGGAGATGGACTTTTGTTCTCCCACACAATGCCTGGTATATAGCGGCTGTCTTAAAAGGTCAGTTGCTTGGATGAGTACATCTGCAGGCTGAATGATAAAGCATGATGCAGTGAAGAAAAGGCACAGGCTTTAGTTTTTTTTGTTTTTTTTTTTCCAAGACAGAGTTTCACTCTTGTTGCCCAGGCTGGAGTGCAATTGTTCAATCTTGGCTCACTGCATCCTCTACCTCCCGGATTCAAGCAATTCTCCTGCCTCAACCTCCCAAGTAGCTGGGATTACAGGCATGCACCACCATGCCCGGCTAATTTTGTATTTTTAATAGAGACAGGGTTTCTCCATGTTGGTCAGACTGGTCTCAAACTCCCGACCTGAGGTGATCTGCCTGCCTCAGCCTCCCAAAGTGCTGGGATTACAGGCATGAGCCACAGTGCCCAGCCAGGCTTTAGGTTCTTTATAATGAGCTCCACCCTGGGCTGAGCCTTGGCTCTTCATAGCTGTGTGACTGCAGGCAAGTTTCTTACCATCTACCTACATCCACTTCACACTTAATCTTCTCTACCGCCAAGCACACATAAAAATTACTGGTGGGAAAGAAGAAACAAACAGGTGGGAACCACTCTCCAATACACACTCTTCTGTAGAAAAAGAAGAGCCATGTGGCATTGTGGTTAAAAACACTGGTTTGGAAGTCAGACCTTTGGTTTTGAATCTCGACTCTGCTTGTGCAAAAACAGACAAGATATTTAAGTAAGCTATACCCCTAATCACTCATTTATGGCAATGGAGACAGTAATAGCACCCGCCTCATGGATGTTCAGAGAGCACAAGATCATACATGCATAGTGCTCAGCACAGGATTGGCACAAAATAGGTAAATGTTGAATGAATAAATGAATGAGTAAGCAAAAGGATGACCTGAATCGGCAATGACCAGGAGGGTCATGGGCTGTACATCCCAAAATATGCAAATTCAACAAATGGTTGGCAACTAACTTCCATTGCTAAGCCCAGCCAGGAGCTAGAGAATGCTGTTTATGATCTAAGTCACTGTCCATTTCTCTCTTCATGTGTTATGTGGTTCCAGAGGAGGTGGAGAAGGGAAGAGGCCCTGGTGAGTAATCACAGGATGACAGAATATGACACAACATGGAAATTTGCTTTCTGTGTCCCTGTTCAAGCCAACTCTTGGAAACACATGCTCTTTCAAACCTGACAGCCACATCGAACTTCCATCTGAAGCACCTGCCATGTCAAGAAAACCATCAAAGAGATAAGATAATAAATATTAACATTTGAAACCAGTGTAGTCAATGTAACAAACCCAGAGAGCCAATTAGTTTGATTGTTGGTGAATCAAAAAGAGGACCTGGCTAGGAGAAAAGTTGAGGCTTGAGCTTTGGTGGGCAGGATGGGGAGGACAGCTTAAGAATTGATCCGGGCACCAACAAGAGCATAAAATCATCCCAAAGAAAGGGTATGAGAGCTATTTTCAAATGGCAGAAATATTCTCATGTGGAAGAGGAAATCAAGTAATTTGAGGGCAACTCTACTGAAGTGGAAGTTACAAGGAGGTTGATTTTGACTCAAAATAACAAGACTTGCTGGCAATTAAAGTGATCACTTTTAAAAACCTATTAGGCACCAGGAACTGAACTGGATGTTTTGCAAGTATCACCTAATTTAACTCTTGCCAGAGCTGTATAAGACACACATTGTTAGGCCTCAATTTTCAGATGAGGCAATAGAAACTTGAAGACGTTAGGGTGAATGCTCAAGATGGCAAGTAGAGATGACATTTAAATTCGAGTCTGCCTGACTCCAAAGGCTGCCACTGTGGCTGTGCATTTTATGCATTGCACAGAGACATTTGGGCTGCTTTTGCCAGAAGGAAGCATAATTTATTCTTTTTAGAAAGATGCTTTCCTTTAGCCAAACCATGCAGTGGGGTTACATCTACCTTGAAAAAGCACCTTTTTTTGTTATTGTTATTTACACAAAAACCCCATGTTCGATAACTGTCTCTGGGTTTACACTCCTTCTGATAGAAAGAATTCCAGCTGTGGAGTGAACTGCCACATACGATGAGAACAGTTCAACCCCAGAAAGATTTTATAGACTTGGGAAGATAACTGCCTCTTATCCTTATTATAATACAGTTATTTGTGTCATTCTCCAACCTAGTATTCTTTAATGCTTTGTGTCTTTCCAAGGCCCTGCATGATTGACCCTTACTTACCCCCCTCCATTCTTCTAGAGCACTTACTTTTGCCATATAGGACTTCTCTGTTTCTGCTTCAGAGACTGTATTTATAAGTTCCTTTATTTCCTGTCTTCCAAACAGACAGAGTTATATCCCCTGAATAACTCTTACTGATCCTTCAGGTCTGAGCTCTTAAATATATTTCTTCAGAGATGCCTTTGCTGACTTGCTGGTCCAGGTTGAGTACCCCATGGATGGGTCAGGCTCCAGGCAGGACTATAGAAACTACACTAGGTATTTCAGCCAGAAGGAATTTAATACAGGGGGGTGGTTACAGAAGTATTGCAGGGTTGAAAGAGCAAAGAGATGTGTAGCTGAGCCACAATAGGTAAATTACCAGAACCTTCCAGTAATACACATAGCTCCATTTTTTTCTGTTTTTACTTTTTTAAAACTTCTTTTCAGTTTTTATTTTAGATTTGGGGGTATAGGTGCAGGTTTGTTATAATGGTATATTGTGTGATACTGAGGTTTGGGGGTACCATTAATCCTTTCATTCAGGTAGTGAGCATGGTACCCATGGTACCCATCTATCTTAGAGATAGGTTTTACCTCCCATCTATCTTAGAGATAGATTTTATTATTATTATCCTCATTCTACAGATGAGGCAACCAAGGCCCAGAGAAGTTAAATTGACTTGCCTAAGTTCATATGGCCAGTTATGAAGTAGAGTACCCAGGATCTGGACACAGGCTGACCATGGGGCCACAGGCTACACTCTTAGCCACCACACAACCCTGCCCCCTTTGCTCATGCCTCTTTGAGCCCTGGCTTTTGCATCTATCAAATGGAGGTGATGATACATTTTTTTGTAAGGGTGATTTGCAGAGCTGTAACTAGGCCTCCATTTGTGAGAATTTCCAGTCCTGCTTCCACTTCGTTACCTTTAGTGGAAGTCATCCTATAAAATGCAAATACTGAAGCTGTGGGCCCTTGATCCTAATGTGTTTGTGTAAATTCGTGTGTCTTAGGAGTCTATTCTTCTTCCACCAAGGGAGGGATGGAGGAGAGCACAAGACAAGAGGGTGCAGGTTTCCTGTGGCTGTTGTAACAAAGCACCACTAACTGAATGGCTTAAAACGACAGAAATGTATTCTCTCACTGTTCTGGAGGTTGGGGTCTGGAATCAAGGTTTCGGCAGGGCCATGCTCTCTCCAAAGGCTCTAGAGAACAATTTTTCCTTGTCTCTTCTTTGCCTTTAATGGTTGATGTCAATGTATGGCATTCCTTGGTTTGTGGCGTAGAACTCTAATCTCTGCCTCTGTCTTCATGTGACCACTTTCCACTGTGTGTTTGTGTCTAAATTTCTCTCTTCTTGTAAAGATGCCAGTTATTGGATTATGGTTCATCTTTTTTTTTTTTTTTGAGATGGAGTTTTGCTCTTGTTGCCCAGGCTGGAGCACAATGGCGCGATTTTGGCTTACCGCAAACTCCGCCTCCCGAGTTCAAGTGATTCTCCTGCCTCAGCCTCCCAAGTAGCTGGGACTACCAGCATGCACCACCATGCCCGGCTAATTTTGTATTTTCAGTAGAGACGGGGTTTCTCCATGTTGGTCAGGCTGGTCTCAAACTCCCAACCTCAGGTGATCCTCCCGCCTCAGCCTCCCAAAGTGCTGGGATTACAGGCATAAGCCACTGCACCCAGCCTGGATTATGGTTCATCTTAATCCAGTATGACCTCACGTTAACTGAGTTACATCTGCAGAGATCCTATTTCCAGATAAGGTCAAATGCTGAGGTTCCAGGTGAACATGAATTTTTGGGGCACACTGTTCAATCCAGTACAGAGGGGAAAGGTGACAACAGATGGAGAAGCAGGGAAGGAGGGTGCTGGGAAGGGAAGGGAAGAGGGTGCTCCAGGAAGGGGAAACTCTCCTCTCCATGGTTATGTTCAGACAGCTGCCTCTGGGCCTGGGTAGCATTCTAGTTTTGTAGGCATTTCACCGATCTGTATGTCCATCTTTTTAGCCATAAAACAACAGTGTTGGTCTTTAAGGCCATGTCCACCATGAAGGCTCTCATTTCCTAGGAGAGGAAGCAACCAGAATTGGGCAGCATAAAGCAAAATTGTCTTCATAGCCATCTGGAAGACAACCTGCCAACAAAATCCCATCACGACAGGCCTTCCATTCTAGATACTCTGCAATCAGGAAACAGCTCCTCCAACACCACGCCAGGACTTTCAGTGGCTCATATGATGGGCAGTGAGTGGGAGCTGTAGTTTTGGGTCCAGGTGAGATCACAGCTGATGGCCTTCCAGAAGCCAGCCATGCAGAGCTCCAGAAGGAACAGGTAGAATCACAAAGAGGTTGAGACTTGGCCTGAGGAGGCAGGGTAAGAAAGAACAGCATCAGTGAGCTTGAGTAAGGAGGGCATTTGGACACATCTGCAAGATTCCAAGCAGGTTAAATGTTGGATCTCCCATCAAGGGGCTTTAGGTGCTCAAAGGAATAGGATGGTATTAGAAGACTGGTTTGCTGAAAAAGTACCAGCCTTTGTACCAAGATTTTATGTTATCTCATTTAACCCTCAAAACATGTAATTATAGAGTAAATACTATTCTCTCTATTTGAAAATTGTGAAAACTGAGTTTCAGGGAATGACTGGCGTGGGGGTGCACTGTTAGTAAATAGCAGAGCCAGGAATTCAAACTCGAGTCAGTTTCATTCCCAGCCCTGATCAGAGTTGAGTTGGGTGTGAAGATTTGTTTGGGACTCAGGGCTTTGTGTTTTGTTTTTGGCATTGGGCTCCCTCCTTGCAGCCCCCAGTGCACACGTGTCTGCAGGCCTCTCTGCCTCTGCTCTCGGGGCTACGGGGCCCTCTGTGTGAGGACAGTCAGTTATTTGTCCAGGAGCCAAGGGCAGAGATCAAGGGTTCGGAGTGGTTTTACTTCCTGAGTAGGGAGGCGGCCTTGCTCTGTGGAATCCATCCTTTCGAGGAGGATGAATTTAGCTGCCCTCCCTAGTTGGTGGTGAGGGAGGCGGGCAGGGTCCTGTCAGACAGAGGATGTAGGCTTAGCTCCAAAGGGCTTTTGTCTGAGGCCGGGCCTCAGGCCAGTGACATTCTTTGGTGGAGGCTGCCAGGCCACCACTGAGAGAGGCACCTGTGGGACAGGGAGAGAAAGAGAGTGAGAGGGCTATCTTTCTTCCAGAGAAGAGGGAACCTGGAGGGTGGAATCTGCTGTTTGGGGGCCCCCAGGGTGCTAAGGCCACACCAGCAGGCACTTCAGGCTTGAGAAGACATGCCAAGGCCCAGGCTACTCAGAGATGCGGGCTATTAACTTTCCAGCTTCTGTGTTGTCTAATAAAAATCCCACAAGATGAAAGAATTGTGCTCCTTCTTGGACTTGTTTCCTATAGACATCCTAAGATCACAGAACTTTCCAATGGAAGGGGCATTGGCAGTGTCTGGTTATAACTCATGCACACCAAGTATGTCTCTATTTGTCATGCATGCTGTTGGTGCCCCATCCAGATCTCCTGTGCAGATGGGTGCACCCATGCCTGAATGCTGTGAATGATGCTCACAGCTGCCCCTTTCTCTGGAGAATTGCCCTCAGTCATCAGGAGACATCCTCCTGGGAGGTTACACACTCCCGTCCGTCCCAACCACTTGGAGCCAATGAGTAACAGAGGGGCCTCAAGGAGGCAGCGAGCCTGTGGAGAATCCCCACCCCAGAGCCCCCTGGGGGTCTGGCTGAGACTGGCCTCTGACTGAGACCACATCCTTCCTTAGGACTTGCTCTCACTCTCTTTCTTCTGAAAGCCCTTCTTTGATAAGTTTCTTGTGCAAAGGTGCCCATATTAGGCTCTACTTCTAGAAAACCTGACCTCAGACTCCCTTTTTTCAGTAATTCACTCTAGTGAGCAATTATTGAGCATTTCCCATGTTCTAGATATGGTTGTATGTGCAGAGAACACAGCAGTGAACCAAATAAACTTACTTTTCCCTCGGTGGGCTTATGGGATGGTGGGAGAAGACAAATACTAAATAATCACAAAAAAATATGGTTAGGATTATAATTAGGACTATGTATTAAAAGTATGGAGCTCATTTCCAGTAGCTAAGGCATGGAATCAACCCAGGTGCCCATCAGCAGTGGATTGGATAAAGAAAATATGGTACATATACACCATGGAATACTATGCAGCCGTGAAAAGAATGAAATCACGTCCTTTGCAGCAACATGGATGCAGATGGAGGCCATTATCCTAAGTGAACTAATACAGGAACAAATACTGCATGTTCTCACTTATAAGTGGGAGCTAAACATCGAGTACACATGGACACAAAGATTGGAACAATAGACACTGGAAATACAAGAGCCAGGGTGTGGTTGGGGAAAAAGAGGGGCAAGAGTTGAAAAACTGCATGGGTACCTGAAAAATGGTGATAGTCTTGTCACCATTGCCCAAGATCACATGGTTGTAAGTGACAGAGGCACCATTTGAATACAGGTCTGTCTGAAGGTTTTGGTTCCAGGATTCTGTACTGGAGAGAGGGCCATAAAGTTCTAAGTGCCAGCTTCATTCGGAGACTTCCTCTCAAGAAATGGCCCCAAGAGTGTTGTGCTAGGTGATTCTATGACTTGCTAGGGAATACTCTCTGCCCAATCAAATGCTCCGCACTGGATGGCCACCAAGCCCTCAGTTGGGACATTACTTTGGGAAGCAGGAGTTTTGGGTGCTTGTGCAGGAAAAAGGATGCTCAAGCTCAAGCTGTAGACCCAACAAGGCCAAGCCAGGTCTTAAACAATGAGGTGTGTGCATGTGTGTGCGTGTGTGTGTGTGTTGTGTGTGTGTGTGTGTGTGTGTGTGTGTGTGTGTGTGAAGCCAGAGGACTCGGAATCACTATCCCCCTCAGAAGAGTCAGCCAAGAGGCAGTGTTGCAACAACTGCTGTAACTGAACATTGCCTGCAGATATCTGCCCCTTGCAGCCTTAAGGAGCTCAACCAACCTCCCCCGGGAGGTGGTATAGATGAGTGGTTAGGCGTTCAGGCTTTGGAACACAAAGCCCTGAGCATAAATCCCTACTCTGCCATTTCCCAGCTGTAGGCACATGGGCAAGACATAACTGCTCTGAGACTTCATTTCTATTTTTTGTAAAATGACCCTGTGTCATTGGGATAGTGATGAAAAGTAAACCAGATACTATCTGTAAAGCATCTAGCCCAAAGGAAGTACCTAGATTTGAATAAATTGATGCTGCTCTGATAATGGTGATGATGAGCATGAAGGTGATGCCCGCTCAGAGAGTAAAAGCTACCAAATGTCTGTGCAGACCTCCACCGCCCACCTCTGACTGTGCAGCCTCCCCGCAGGTAGGACTGGAAGGGGAAATCAGATTAACAGACTTCAGCCCTTTAAGTCCATTTGTAAATTTCTGGTTGTAATGGATGTTGGCAAAGCCCTTCAATTTCATTTCCCTGGGAAATGTTATTAATATTCTGCCTGGTAAAACTTTGCAATCAATACATAAAGACCTCCTTCAAGAAGGTTGATCCTAAAGCCAGCATCTCTGGTAAACACGGCTTGTTGTTTGAGATGGTAATAATCACTGCGGCTCTTTGTTCAGTGTCTTTTGGCTGACTTTCAGTTCATGAGGAAGAGTCTGTATTGAAGCCAATTTGAATTGATTTTGCAAGTAAAATTTCAGGGGACAATGTGCCAGGTGTCTCAGAGAGCTGGAGTCTGGTGGATTCTCTGTCATCTGCTCACAAGAACCCTAACTCACGTTTGTATGGTGAGCCACAGTTTTCAAAGCACTGTACTTTCACATTCGGTATTTCATTCTATCTTCACAATAACATTGTTAGGCTAATATTGTTCTCCTTATTTTGCAATTTTCCGATTTAACAGATGAGAGAAACAATAAGAGCTTAAGGGGTACGCCTAAAGCTATATATATTATTTTACAACTGAGACCATAGAAATACAAAGAATTATTAGAGACTATTATAAACCACCAGGAGGCTGAGGTGGGTGGATCACCTGAGGTCAGGAGTTCGAGACCAGCCTGGCCAACATGATGAAACCCCATCTCTACTGAAAACACAAAAAATTAGCTGGGTGTGGTGGCAGGCGCCTGTAATCACAGGTACTCAGGAGGCTGAGGCAGGAGAATCACTTGAACCTGGGAGGCGGAGGTTGCAGTGAGCCGAGATTGCACCACTGCACTCCAGCCTGGGCAACAAGAGTGAAACTCCATCTCAAAAATAAATAAATAAATAAATATTTAAAAAATAAACCACTATACACCAAAAAATTGGAAAACCTAGAAGAAATGGATAAATTCCTGGACATGCATACAACATACCAAGATTGAACCATGAAGAAATAGAAAATCCCAGCACTTTGGGAGGCCAAGGTGGGCCGATCACTTGAGGTCAGGGGTTTGAGACCAGCCTAACCAATATGGTGAAACCTTGTCTCTACTGAAAAAATAGAAAAATTGGCTAGTTGTGGCAGCGGGCACCTGCAATCCTAGCTAATCGGGAGGCTGAGGCAGGAGAATTGCTTGAACCTAGGAGGTGGAAGTTGCAGTGAGCCGAGATTGCGCCACTGCACTCTAGCCTGGGTGACAGAGTGAGACTGTGTCTCAAAAAAAGAGAAAAGAAATAGAAAACCTCAATAAACCAATAATGAGTAATGAGATTGAAGCCATAATAAAAAGTTTCCCATCAAAGAAAAGCCCAGGATCTGATGGCTTCACTACTGAATTCAACCTTACATTTAAAGAACTAATACCAATTCTATTCAAATGCTTCAAAAAAATTGAAAAGGAAAGAATACTTCTAAACTCATCCTATAAGGCCAGCATCTCCCTGATACCAAAACCAAATAAAGGCACAACAAAAAAAGAAAAATACAGGCCATTATTATTGATGAACATAGATGCAAAAATTCTCGATGAAATACTAGCAGACCAAATTCAACAACATATTAAAAAGATCATTCACCATGAGCAAGTGAGATTTATCCCAGGGATTCAAGGATGATTCAACATACATAAATCAATAAATGTGATGCAACACATAAAACAGAACCAAGAACAAAAACCATATGATTATTTCAATAGATGCCAAAAAAGCATTTGATAAAACTCAACATCCCTTTATGGTAAAAACGATCATCAACTGAGTATAGAAGGAACATATCTCAAAATAATAAAGGCCATATACAACAAATCCACAGCTAACATCACACTGAAAAGGGAAAAATTAAAGACTTGTCCTCTAAGATCTAGAACAAGACAAGGATGTACACTTTCACCACTTTTATTCAATATAGTCCTAGAAGTCCTGGCCAAAGCAATTAGGCAAAAGAAAGAAATAGAGGGCATCCAAATTGGAAAGAAATAAGTCAAATTAGCCTTGTTTATAGATGACATGATCTCATACTTAGAAAAATCTAAAGACTCCACCAAAAAATTGTTAGAACTGATAAGCAAATTCAGTAAAGTTGTAGAATACAAAATCAACATACAAAAATCAGTAGCACTTATATACATAAACAGTGAACAATCTGAAAAAGAAATCAATTCCATTTACAATAGCTACAAAGAATATAAAATATGTAGGAATCAATGTAACCAAAAAAGTGAAAGATCTATACAAAGAAAACTATAAAATGCTGATTAAAGAAATTGAAGAGAATACAAAAAAATGGAAAGATATTCCATGCTCATGGATTGGAAGAATTAATATCGTTAAAATGACAATATTACACAAAGCAATTTACAGATTCAATGCAATCCATATCAAAATACCAATGACAGTTGTCACAGAAATAGAAAAAAATACTAAAATTTATATGGAACCACAAAAGACTCTGAATAGCCAAAGCAATCCTGAGCAAAATGAACAAAGTGGGGGCATCACACTACCTGACTTCAAAGTTTACTACAAAGCTATAGTAACCAAATCAGCATGGTACTGGCATAAAAACAGACATATAGACCAATGGAACAGAATAGAGAACCCAGATATAAATACATGCATTTACAGCCAATCCATCTTCAATAAAGGTGTCAAAGACATATAATGGGGAAAGGACAGTCTCTTCAATAAAAGTTGCTGAGAAGACTGGATATCCATATGCAGAAGAATGATGCTAGACCCCCGTCTCTCATCATATACAAAAATAAAATCAAAATGGATTAAAGACTTCAGTCTAATACCTGAAACTATAAAACTACTAGAAGAAAATAGTGAAGAAATGCTCCAGGACATTGGTCTCAGATTTTTTTTTTCTTTTTTTTGTGACAAAGTCTTACTCTCTCCCCCAGGCTGGAGTGCAGTGGCACGATCTCAGCTCACTGCAACCTCTGCCTCCCGAGTTCAAGCGATTCTCCTGCCTCAGCCTCTCAAGTAGCTAGGATTACAGGCACCCACCACCATGCCTGGCTAATTTTTGTATTTTTATTAGAGACAGAGTTTCACCATGTTGGCCAGGCTGATCTTGAACTCCTGATCTCAAGTGAATGGCCCACCTCGGCCTCCTTAAGTGATGGGATTACAGGCGTGAGCCACTGCGCCTGGCATGGTCTGGGATTTTTTTGTGTAAGACCTCAAAAGCACAGGCAACCAAAGCAAAAACAGACAAGTGGAATTACATCAAGCTAAAACCTTCTGCACAGCAAAACAAAGTTAAGAGATGACCTACAGAATGGGAGAAAATATTTGCACACCACCCATCTGACAAAGGATTAACAATCAGAATATATAAGGAGTTCAAACAACTCAATAGCAAAAACCCCAAATAATCAGATCTAAAAATGGGTAAAACATCTGAATAGACATTTCTCAAAAGAAGACATACAAATGGTCAACAGGTATATGATACACCAGACCTGAAATATAGGAATGAGCATCTATGAAAATAATTGGGGGAGAAGCATTTCAAGCAGAGGAAACAGAGCATGCTAAGGATATATACAGATAGAAGGTAAAGAAGAGAGCGATGTATAGATTTCTTTCTGTTGCTTTTTTTTTAAATGGGTTTATAGAGTTTTATACATTTATTTTAACTTAGTATGTCATAAGCATCTTTTCATGTCATTAAACACTTCCAGGATTGTTTCATTTTGTTTGCTGTTATGAACAATGGTGAATTGAATACCTTGTTTGCAAAGATATCCATCCACTAGAATGGTTATACTAAAGAAGACATTACAAAGGATTGCTGATGATATAGAGCAACTGGAACACTTGTGCACTGGTGGTGAAAGTATAAATTGATACAACTACTCTGAAAAACTCTTTGGCAATATCTACTACAGCTGAGCATACACTTACCCTGTGATTCAACAGTTCTACTCCTGGATATATACTCAACAGAGGTATGTAAATATATCCATCAAAAGATGTGTACAAAAATATTAACAGCAGCACTATTTGTAGTTGCAAAAAACAAAACAGAAACAACCCAAATATCCATCAACAGTAGAGTAATGGTGGAATAGTCATAGAATGAAATCCACATGGTAATTAAAAGTAAACAAACTATAGCTCCACACAACATGAATGAATCTCAAAAACATAATGTTGAGCAAAAGAAACCAGCCACAAAAGGTGGATTCTGTATTATTCCATACGTACAAAGCTCAGTAGTAGACAAACCACACCTATGATGTTAAGGGTAAGGACCAGGGAAGGGACAGAGGAAGGCCTCTGCAGGAAAGGTAATGTTCTGATTCTCGGTTCAGGTGCTGACGACATGGCTGTGTCACTTTGTGACAATTCATGGAGATAAATGCTTACGAGTTTGTACTTCCTTGTGTTATGTTATACTTCAATAAGAATTTTTAAAATATTAATGATTATTTCATAAATATTCCTAAGTATGTATTTTCTCTATGTTAATGTTAAAAAATTCTAAGTTTTTAGCAAATAGCACTGTTGTGGGTTGAGTTGTGTCCCCCGGTGAGAGATGTCAAAGCCCTACTCCTCATTACCTACAAATATGACTTTATTTGAGAATATGGCCTTTGCAGATGTACTCAAATTAAATAAGGCCATACTGGATTGGAATGGGCCCTAAATCCAATGACTAGTGTCCTTATACAGAGAGGGAGGTTTGGAGGCACACAGACACACAGGGAAGAAAGCCATATGACACAGAGGGACAGAGGTTAGGGCAGCAGTGCCCTATCTTTTCATCACCAGGGACCAGTTTCATGGCAGACAATTTTTCCACAGACCAGAAATAATAATGTAATAATATATAGTAAAATAATTATACAACTCACCATAATGCAGAAGTAGTGGGAGCCCTGAGCTTGTTTTCTTTCCTGCAACTAGATGGTCCCATCTGGGGATGATGGGAGAGAGTGACAGATCATCAGGCATTAGATTCTCATAAGAAGCGCACAACTAGTCCTTCACATATGCAGTTCACAATAGGATTTGAGCTCCTATGAGGATCTTATGCTGCTACTGATCTGACAGGAGGCAGAGCTCAACTGGTAATGCTCACTCACCAGCCCTCACCTCCTACTGTGTGGCCTGATTCCTAACAGGCCATAGGCCTTCTGTGGCCAGAGGTTGGGGACTCCTGGGTTAGAGTGATGCAGCTACAAGCCAAGGATGACAAGAATTGGCCACAGCCACCAGAAGCTGGGAGAATGGCATGGAACAGATCCTTCCTCAGCACCTCCAGAAGAAGCGAACTCTGACAACGTCTTGATTTCTGACTCCTGAACTCTGAGACAATAAATATTTGTTGTTTCAAGCCACTCAGTTTGTGGTAATTTGTTATGGCAGCCCTGAGAAACTGATATAAGTACCAAATTCCAGGAAGGATTACTTTTTAACCCCCATTCAGCCTCTTGGTGGAAAGTAGAGAATGTTCCCAAGTGGCAGTTATAATGAAATCATTTTGATGACCCTCTTGTTTTCAGCTGAGCCCAAGTCATGTCTGTGACTTTCCACTGCAAATGACTCAGTCAATCAACTCACTGTGAGCTAATAAGTCATGTACGGAACCTGGAGGCAGAAGAGGGAGGAGAGATGAGGAGGAAAAGGTGAGCAGAGGGAAGAAATGTGGCACAGCTGTAAGACAACATCGGTCTTCTTGGCTATGAGTGTTTTGCATAGATATTACTACCTTTTTTGCTTAAATCCTTTCTTATTGCATAAATAACTCAGGTTTACTTTATAAAAAGTAGGAAATACAGGAAAGCAGATAAAATATATAATAACAGGTTTACTTTATAAAAAGTAGAAAATGCAGGAAAGCAGATAAAATAAATAAACACAACTCTTCATAATCCAAAACCATTCATATTTTGACGTTTTGCCTGCCAGACATTTTTCTTTGCATATGTATACACACACACACACACACACACACACACCCCTTCTTTTTTATAAGAAAAGCATCATCCCTTCCTAATTGCCTACATGCCTTCTCTTCCTCTTTCTTGATAAATACAAATTTTTAAATACACTCCTGAGACCCACTCTCCTGCCCACACACACATTTCTGCTTTTGTTTTTCATCTAACAGACCTCACCCTGGGCCCCTTCCTGTGGCCAACCCATTCTTTCACACAAGGACTCAATTCTCTCTCCAGCCCGGGGTTCAGATGGGAAGGTCTGAATTGCAACACAAACAGTATGGGGGGAAAAGATGTTTTGCAAAGACTTCTTTAGTATGGTTGCTGCCTTTCTAGCAAACATCAGATTTGCTTTCTCTTTTCGACCTCAGAGTTGAGAGCTGAGTTAATTAGACTCCTCCATTTAAGACACGATTATCCTCAACATTCGTGCAAACAGCTTCTTGTTTTCTATGCTCTTTTACATTCCAAGTTCCCACTCCCTTTCCACTCCCCCACCCCCGCCCCATTAACGTTTATCCTAATATGGTTGATTTATGTCCTGCAATATTGTGCTGGATGGCTTCCATTTGCAACTCTAGATGGGCTCTCTGTTTATCTCAGCCCAGGTCTGGTCCCTGGGGGCTCATCTGCAGGGTGTGCATCAATGCGCTTGTTAGCTCCTTGCCTTCTGATTGGGTTTGGGCAATGGGAAGCACCGTCAGGAGATCCAGAAGGTGGCAGGAAAGGGAAACCAGAGTATTTACACCCCTCCCTCCCTCCCTGACAGGGAGCAAGGTCCTCCCCTGGGGGCAGCTGATGGCTGTATCCCCACAGCTCCTGTGAGGTGGCCCTTTCCAGGTGGCTCTCTCAATGGAGTTGGCCTTTACAGACCAGGACATGGTTAGGTCCCATGGCTGTTCCTAGCTCCAGGGCACCTCACCGTCATTGGGTGCTTTCCCTAACCCTGACCACACCTCTGTAAATAGACCTTTCACTAATTCTCCAACTATGCAACATGTGTGTGTCCATCTTTTCCCTGCCTGGACCATGACAGATACAAATACATATGTGTAGTAATGCAGATCACGGAAACGGCGCTTTGGGAAATGAAAAAGAAACAGGATGGGATCTGGAGGACAGTAATATTCTATTCATTAAATACATGCATACACACACATACACATGACAGAATATTCTATATCTTACAAGGGTACTGACACGGTTTGGCCGTGTCCCCACCCAAATCTCATCTTGAATTGCAGCTCCCATGATTCCTACGTGTTGTGGGAGGTACCTGGTGGGAGGTAATTGAATCATGGGGGCGGGTTTTTCCCATGCTGTTCTTGGGATAGTGAATAAGTCTCAGGAGATCTGGTAGTTTTATAAAGGGGAGTTTCCATGCACACACCCTCTTGCCTGCCACCATGAAAGGCATGTCTTGCTTTCCCTTTCCTTCCACCGTGATTGTGAGCCCTCCCCAGCCATGTGGAACTGTGAGTCCATTAAACCTCTTTTCTTTATACATTACCCAGTCTCGGGTATGTCTTTATTAGCTGTGTGAGAACAGACAAATACAGGAATATACATATAGTCAAGTGTTGCTTAACAACGGGGATCTGCTCTGAGAAATGCATTATTAGGCAATTTCATCCTTGTGTGAACACCATAGTGTGTACTTACACAAACCTAGATTGTCTAGCCTACTATACACCTAGGCTATATAGTCTAGCCTATTGGTCCCAGGTTACAAATCTGTACAGCAGTTTACTGTACTGAATAACATAGACAATTGTAACACAATGGTAACTATTGTGTATCTAACCACAGAAAAGCTACAGTAAAAATACAGTATAAAAATAACAAAAAATGGTACACCTACGTAGGGCACTTACCATGAATGGAGCAGGCAAGACTGGAAGCTGCTCTGGGTGAGTCAGCAAGTGAGTGGTGAATGAATGTGAAGGTCTAGGACATTACTGTCCACTACTGTAGACTTTTTGACTCTTGTATTAACACTTAGCTTAAAACACAAACACATTGAACAGCTGTACAAAAATATTTCCTTTCTTTATATTTTTATTTTATAAGATTTTCCCTACTTCTAAGAATTGTTTTACTTTTTAAAACTTTTTGTTAAAGACTAAGAGACAAACACACATGTTAGCCTAGACCTACGTGGGGTCAGAACCATCTATATCACTGTCTTCCGCCCCCACGACTTGTCCCACTGGAAGGGCTTCAGGGACAATAACACGCATGGAGCTGTCATTTATAATAACAACACCTTCTTCAGGACACCTCCTGAAGAACCTGTCTGAAGATGTTTTACCATTACCTTTTTTGTATAAGAAGAAGGAGTGCTCTCTAAAATAACAATAATAAGTATAGTAAATACACGAACCAGTAACATAGTTGTTTACTATCATGATCAAGTATTCTGTACTGCACATGATTGTATTGCTCTGTTGTATACCACTGGCAGCACAGTAGGTTTGTTTACAGCAGCATCACTACGCACAAGTAATGTCTTGCACTATGTACTGTGGCTACGTCACTAGGTGGACTTTTTCAGCTCCATCGTAATCTAATGGGACCACCGTGGCACACGGGTCCGTTGTTGACCCAGCACGTCATTTTGCAGTGCATGACAGCACTCCAGGTTGCTGTTTCTGACCACTGCACAGCACCACCCACTGTGATCCTTCCTGTTACTTCTCCAGCCCCTGGTGAAGAGCTGCCTCCAACTTCCTGCGCTCACCTGCAATACTACAGTAAGTTGAAATTTTTATACTTTTTAACTCAAAGTTTTTTAGTTCTTTTCCAGCTCTCAGTTCTGAATTTATGCCAAACACAGTAATTTTATGAGTAAACCATGTTGCACGGGCATCCCTCAAGTCCATGTTCCTCGGTTAAATAATGCGACCCTAAAAATCATACAAAGGTGCATTTAAAATGTGTCTTTCCTGACTTTTCTAAAACAGTCACAAATTGTGTAATAAAACAAATGACAAGAATCACATTGGCTACCATTTAGAGAGCACTTTACATATGCTGAGTTCTCTCTTAAGCCGGGTACAAGCTGTAGTTCATTCAACAGTACCTGGAGCCAGCTTGGACTGGCTTGCAAGAGCCGATTATTAAATTTTCAAGAATTTTGCAAGCCAGTCACTAAACACAGCAATTATTAAAAATCAAATTATATATACTCACAATTAAACACGTTGGATTATAAACAAATATAATAGAAACTCATCACTTCCTAATTATTATTATTATTTTTTTTTGAGACAGAATTTCGCTCTTGTTGACCAGGCTGGAGTGCAATGGCACGATCTCAGCTCACCGCATTCTCCGCCTCCGGGGTTCAAGTGATTCTCCTGCCTCCTGAGTAGCTGGGATTACAGGTGTGCGTCACCACACCCAGCTAATTTTGTATTTTTAGTAGAGATGGGGTTTCTCCATGTTGGTCAGGCTGGTCTTGAACTCCTGACCTCAGGTGATCCGCCTGCCTGAGCCTCCCAAAGTGCTGGGATTACAGGCATGAGCCACTGCGCCCGGCAGTTCCTAATTATTTTACTACCCTCCACTGTTATCCAGGCTCAGATAATGTCCACTGTATCTGCACGGTGCAAGCAAGATATAATGGTTCCCATATCTAATTCCACATGCAATAGTGTTACATTGGTTCCTTGAAATCTGCCTTAGTGGGAGAATTTGCACCACAGAAATCAGCAAATACTATGAATCAGGAGTCCTCTGTCCTCAGAGCTGGTTGTTAAACACTGACCAGCATACCACTGTGCTCAATCCTCACAACAGCCCTATGAGATGGGTCCTTTTTTATTTTACAGATGAAAAAGTGAGGCCTCTGGAATTGGACATGTAAGTGGAGATGCCCAAAGCGTACTTGGGTGTATTAGTCCGATAAGGACTATTAAAAGAATTTAAAAATGGTCATTGGATTTGATAATTATGTAGTTAGTAGTGGCTTCAGGGAAGTGATGGGGACAAAGAAGCCAGATTACAGTAAGTTCAGAGTGAACAGGAGCAAAGGAGCACAAACAGTGAATATGGACTGACATTCAGGACACGTGGGTCATTCAGGAGACAGATGATAACTAGGGGGGTTCACATAGGATCAAGTTTCCGCCCTTCTAACACATCAAATTAACCATTGCAAAGTGTTCAATTCAGTGGCGTTTAGTACATTCACAGTGTTGTGCAACCACCACCTCTTCCATCACCCCCGACCCAAATAACCTCCGTACCCGTTAAGCAGTCAGGTCTCCATTTCCCCCTCCCCCCAGCTCCTGGTAACCACCAATTTTCTTTCTGTTTCTATGGATGAACATATCTCAACATCTAAGACAGGACCTGCCACATAGATCCTCCGTAAAAATTTGTTGAGCTAAACAGACACTACCTATAAGTCACACCCGCATCCTTGCAGATCACCCTAGCTCAACCACTGCAACTTACAAATTCAGGAGGTAGTTGTTCATGTTGCCTCATCCCTTTCAGGGCAAGGACCGTGTTTTACACACCTTGCCCTCTCCACAGCAAATGGCACAGTGCCTCGTACATACTAGGTACCCCATAAGCATTATCAAAGGCTCTGGAATTATTTTGCATCTCTCCAAATCATATGTTTTTTCAGGTGAGTTTTATGTTTAATCCCTTTTTCTTTTGATTTTAAAATTAAAACATACTCATCGTAGAAAATTTATTTTAAAACATCGAGATATCTGAAGAAGTTCAAAATCACTTATAATACCTCAATCCACATAAAGGTTGCTATGGGTTTCCTCCATGTCATTTTCCAAATGCAGGATCTTGGGGAATTTAAAAGGGGAGTGCAGGTGTGCACATGGGTATTTAAATCCCACTGCTCCATGGTTCTCCTGCTAGTTAATTAACTATTAGCACTACTGCTTTGGCTAAATCTCACATTTTTACAAACAGTGGAGATTAGCAGGGAAGCCCCTTTGAGTTCTGAAAAGTAACCCTTCTATCACCTCCATGTTCTCATATTAACAGGAAAGCAAGCAGAGCGCCTTATAGATGCACCAGAGAGTCTACGTCTACAAAGAACAAGGAGCTGAGAACCTACCATAAAAAACTTCCATCAAAAGGAATATGTATCTTGCTTCTTGGAAAGGGAAGTTTACTTTTCTGGGGCAGGGCTTAAGGAAGTGTCCCAGCAAGACACTTGCTGATGACTGAGCTCCGGTCAACACTGCTAGGAAGTGTCTTGGGAGTGGTGGGAAAGAACATCAGCTCGGGGTGGGGAGCGCTGAGGGAGTTGCCTAAGAGAGGACATAGAAGGGGCAGAGTCAGCACTACAAATACAAGAAGTTTACTTTTGGTGCAAATGACAGTTCCTATTTATTGAAAGCCTGATGTGGAACATGTTGAGATTAGAGCAGGTTTCTAAAGGATACCCATCACCACCTTCTTGTAGTCCCCACCCTGTTCCAAACCATTTAAAATAAGAGAGGAGTCTGGCAGGTGGAGAACAAAATGGGAGAGACAGCATTGGAGAGCTCAGGTGAGGTTTAAGGCAACAACAGGCTTCTGCTGACCAGAATCAGCCTGACTTGCACCTGGTACTGGGCAGTAGTGGAAAAATGCTGACCTTCCCATGTAGTGTGCCTCCCCAGAAACACATAACGTATGGAGGAGCCGGGCAGAATGTGTGCTTCTGGTGGCAGCTGAATTCCAAAGGAAACGTAGATAGGAGGCAGGTGTACCTATGCCCATTTCCTACTCCCAAATTTGCCAAGGAGGTAATTCCTCCTTGCGGAATCCTGAGCACAGGACCAGAAAGGAGCCAGGAGTGTTACATGCATCGATGTCCCTCCACATGGAAACACACAGCAAGGGGAAAGGAGGTTCCACATAAGAGGTACTGTCCTAGGAGTGTTAAGTGTTTTATCTCTAAAATACTTCAGAACAACCTGTAAAGAGGATATTCAGATCTCCATTTTAAGATGTAGAAACTAACGAGATCCTGTAATTTGCAACAACATGGATGGAACTGGAAGTTATTAAGGGGATAAGTCAGGCACAGAAAGACAAACTTCACATATTCTCACTTGTTTGCGAGAGCTAACAATTATAACATTTGAACTCATGGAGATAGAGACTAGAAGGGTGGCTACCAGAGGCTGAGAAGGGTAGAGGGGGAAATGCTAGCGGGAAGTGGAGATGGTTACTAGGTACAGAAAAATAGCTAGAAAGCATGAATAAGGGCCAGACACAATGGCTCATGCCTGTAATCCCAACATTTTAGGAGGCCAAGGCAGGAGGATTGCTTGAGCCCAGGAGTTTGAGACCACCCTGGGCAACATAGTGAGACTTCATCTCTACAAAAAAAAGGAAGATATAATGGTGTGCACCTATAGTCTCAGCTACTTGGGAAGCTGAGGTGGGAGGATCATTTGAGCCTGGAAGGCAGAAGTTACAGTGAGCTGAGTTTGTGCTGCTGCACTCCAGCCTGGGTGACAGAGCAAGACCCTGTCAACAAAGAAAGAGAGAAAGGGGGTATGGGGAATAGGAGGGAGGGAAGAAGGAAAGAAGCAAGAGACCTAGTATTTGACAGCACTACAGGGTGACTATAGTCAATAATAATTTAATTGTACATTTAAAAATAACTAAAATAGTAAAATTGGATTGTTTGTAACACAAAGGATAAATGCTTGAGGGGATGGATACCCCATTAACTCTGATGGGATTATTGTACATTGCATGCCTGTATCAAAATATCCAATCTATGTCATAAATATATATACCTACTATGTACCCACAAAAATTAAAAATTTAAAGCAAAACAAAGATGAGGAACCTGAGAAGAGTTAATAAGGGCACAGCATCATACAGCTGGCAGGTGGTGGAGCTGGGATTTGCATGCATGTCTTTCTGAATTGCTATCTCTTGCTCTTTCTAGCAGGATGCACTGTCCTTCCACTTTAGAAGCACGTCCACTTCCGCATAGCCCTTCTCCTGTCTGAGAACCCTTGCTAAAAAGGCAAGCAGTTAGGTCTGGATGTAGGTGCCATAAACATAGTAAAAATATTTAACAAAAAAAAAAACTTGATTAAAGAAATTCGGAATAGGGAGTGGTTGTTCTGATGAGAGTGATCAGGCAGCAGAAGTGCTATTTAAGCTGGATTTGGAAGAAGAAATCGTGTTCCACTGGACAGTATGCTTTTTGCTTCTCATTATTCTGGTTTGGTGGGGCATAAGAATCAGTCCAGAGATCCCTTGCTCTTTTCTCAGGTGTTAATTTCAAGGTATTGGTTTAAGTTTGGGTTCCACCATCAATTAGCTGGGGCAGGTTTCTTCCTCTTTCTAAGTTTTGGTGTCTTCATCTGTAAAAGGTGATTGTGGTAAAGACTAAATTAGATGGTGTCTATGAAAGTGTTTGGCTCATAGCCTGTTTTTTTTCCCCCTCTCTTTCCTCTCTTGATTTTGAGTCATTTTCATTGCTGCTTTTAGAGAACCTGCTGCATGTTCATTTCTAGATGCCTCCCTGACTTTGATGCTGTCTGACCTTGACGTGGTGGCTGATGGACAGCCGCCCCAGGCCCCTTGTTTAAAGCCTTATCTCCAATCCTCACACAAACATGATCTCACCTCTCCCAAGGGCAGAGACAGATGTTGTCCCGATCTGATTCTTCCATGGATGCCTGCTGCTCTGCACAGAGAAGCACATTTCTGTTTCAAAAAGGAGAACTGGTGACAGTGTGGAGCTGGGTTCCCCAAAAGGGAGAGTCCTGGTTTCCTTCAATTCCCCAGACAGGGCCATTTAGGTCCTCTAGCCTCTGGGTTGGGGAATGAAAATCTGCCATCAGAACCAGGAGTGTTGTGTGTGGAGGTTTTGTCCTGTGTGTGGGGTTTTGTTTTGATCCCAGAAGATGTTGAACTGGCTTGGACCTACTCAGGTTTCTGAATGGCTCCTTGATCTCCCAAAATGACTTCCAGAATCAATTTTACCTTGTAAGGTGATTTGCCTCTTGTACATAGGGGTAGCTCCTCCTTTCCCTTCCACTTCTAATCCCTCCAGGCTATACTCATCTTGACAGCATGGACCATGTTGGTTTCATGTTTATACCTCTTGCTTATCACCTGCCCACTCCCTGTCACCACCCCAACACATACAGTAACTAGCATTTTGCTTAATACATAAAGGGCACTCATTGAATATGTGATGAATGAATGAAGCCGTAGTAAACTTAGTCTGATATGCTGAACTCCAGGAGTCTGGTGACTGCAGAAACCAGAATGGGAGTCAGGAGGTCATGTATCCTAGCCCACCTCTGCCAATATATATAATAATAAATAATAATAGTAGCAAAGTCATAACACCTAACATTTATTCATCACCTTCTACATTCCAGGTACATATAAAGGTCTTTCCATTCACTTGCTACCTTATTCAATCCTTACAACAACCCCTAAATTAATTATCATTATTCCATTTTATAAATGAAGAAGCTGATGCTTAGAGAACTTATTCACCTTCCCAGGCTCCCCGCAGCTCATAATGGGTGAAGCTGAGATGTGACCCATTTCTCTACCCAGGTGTGCCAGCTTTTTACCAGTGTGCTCTACTTCCTGGGTCTCCTTGCCTGTTGGATAACTTTAGCCAAGCCCCTTCTCCTCTTTGGCTTCACTGTCCTCATCTCCAAAATGGAGATAGAGAACGGACAAAGTGATTACTAAGGTCCCTGTTAGAACTCTCTTTCCATGAGATTAGTAGCAATACCAAATGGTAATCTCTCCTGTTTGCACAGCCTTTTACAGTTCATAAATCCCTTACTCACCCTTTTCATCAGGCAAATTACCTTGGAAACAAGATTTGCCTAAATGCCTTGAGTCACTGTTCTAGGGAAGTCTCAGCAGGAAGAGGTGGTTCTAGGAACAGGCCTACCTGTGCTCACCCTGAGGCCCTAAAAGGTACTACTGCCTGTCCTTCCAACTCAGGTTGCCTTCTCGGAGGCTGAGCAGGCTTTCAATTTAGAGTGGTTAAACCAGTGAAGCCACTTCCTTGCACAATCCAGGCAAGATAGGACCAGGGACTGGGCAGTGTAGGCCTCTAGGAAATACCTGGACAGAAATGATATAAACAGTTCTTTGACCCTGAACTCATTCAGACCTGTGGGCTGCAGGAAGGGGACTCGACGTTCGTCACTTCTGTAATAGTTGACTCATTCATTCAACAAGTAGGTATGGCAATATCCATAATGGGACCTGACTGTGCTAGGTACTTAGAATAAAAGATGGTGCCTTCTTCTCTTAAAGATCTCATCATTGGGCAGGAGTGGAGAGCCAGATGCACAAACAGATAAATCCAACACCATGTAGTACTCCTTTTCTATGGGGCCCTAGAACATTGCATACCTTGTCTGTCTGAGCCTCAGTTTCTACATCAACCAAATGGGGTTGATAATGTCCCATCTCATCTTTTGCCCCATCTTCTGCAGCTTCCCACCTCCTGGGAACCACTCCCTGTTTCCCAGGAAACACTTAAGCTTCCTTTACCTCACTGTCCCTACTCTTCCCTCTGCCCCAAATGCCCATCCCCTATGCACGTCTTAAAAATACCCACCTGGACCGGGCGCAGTGGCTCAAGTCTGTAATCCCTGCACTTTAGGAGGCCAAGGCTGGTGGATCACATGAGGTCAGGAGTTCGAGACCAGCCTGGCCAACATGGTGAAACACCATCTCTACTAAAAATATGAACATTTGCCAGTCTTGGGGTCGCATGCCTGTAATCCCAGCTACTCAGGAGGCTGAGGCAGGAGAATCGCTTGAACCTAGGAGGTGGAAGTTGCAGTGAGCCGAGATCGCGCCACTGCACTCCAGCCTGGGTGACAGAATGAGACTTGCTCTCCAGGAAAAAAAAAAAAAATACCCACTCAACCTCAGCACCTGGCATAGTCCTGGGCATATGGTAAAGGATGAATAAATATTTGCCGAATGAATAAATCTCACAAGATCAAGCTCTCCCTCTGCCGCTTCACCTCCTTCTCTTAGCCTTACATGACTTCCCAGGCAGAACAATTATCTGTTTGTCTCCCCATTAAATCGCAAACTCCTCATGTGCAGACACTGGGAATGACACAGAACATCGGTGTTTAGTAAACATTAGGAAAAGTGAAAAACAAGTTGGTCGGGAAAGGTATTATTATCTTTGTTTTAATAATGCCTCTTAGGTTCTGAAAAATCCCAAAGGACTTTGTGAATCCTCCTGAAGGTTAAGCAACTTGCCCAATCGCACAGGGCCCCAGGCAGCCTCATTTCTTGACCTGAATCTGAGCTGTCAGACCACAGATCTCAGAGGTACTTTTTAAAGTACTTATTTTACAAATTCTAAGTGCACATGTTTCAACATTTCAGAAATTGGTGTGCACTCTTCTTTCTTTAATGGCACATAAAATAATGGTGATATGTCTTACAACCAGTGTGTCCTTCGATTTGATGAAATACATTAGTAGCTATCATTGGAAAAAGAAGAAACACAAGTGCTCAGGTTCACTCTCAGGAATAATCAAAGAACTACAGGTTAGAACCGCAAAGTGGAGACCATTCCCTTCATTGCATTTGGCAAAGATGAAAGGTGAAAAATCAATACGATTGGAGGTAAGGGAATTGAAAATAGATAATCTCATAAAAAACCGGTGAGGCAATGCATTGGCATAAACTTTTGGGAAGGAAGTTTGAAAATTTTTCACTCATGGCAAAGGCTTTAAAAATATGTTAGCCCTTTGATCTAGGTATTTCATGTCTAGTAATTTATCCTAAGGACAAGTTCATAGCTGTGCTCAGAGATTTATCTACAAGCATATTCTCAGAAGCCTTGTTAATAGTGAGAAAAGGCCAGGCGTAGTGGCTCACACTGGTATTCTCAACACTATGGGAGGCTGAGGCAGGAGGACCACTTTAACCCAGGAGTTTGAGACCAGCCCTGGGCAACATAGGGAGACCCCATCTCTACAAAAATAAATTTTAAAAAATTAGCTGGGCATGGTGGTATGTGTCTGTGGTCCCAGCTACTTTAGAGGCTGAGGTGAGAGAATCGCCTGAGCCCAGGAGGTCGAGGCTGCTGTGGGCCGTGATCTCTACTGCTCTCCAGCCTAGGTGACAGAGCAAGACCCTGTCTCAAAAAAAAAAAAAAAGAAGAAGGGGAGAAAACTGGGATTAAAAAAAACCTACATTTGGCAACTATTGATTAGATAAATAAAGGCAATTCAATGAAATTGAATAATACAAATAATGATAGACACTGTTTTTTGTTTTTTTTGAGATAGGGTCTCACTCTTTTCCCCAGGCTGGAGTACAGTGGTGCAATCTCAGCTCACAGCAACCTCTACTTCCCGGCTCAAGCGATTCTCTTGCCTCAGCCTCCCGAGCAGCTGGAGCCACAGGCATGGCTCATTTTTGTATTTTTAGTAGAGACTGGGTTTCACCATGTTGCCCAGGCTGGTCTCCCACTCCTGAGCTCCAAGTGATCCACCCGCCTCGGCCTCCCAAGGTGGTAGGATTATAGGCGTGAGCCACTGCACCTGGCCTTTGTGTTAATAATTATGATGAATTATAAACCACGTGTATGTATGTGTGTGTACAGAGAAAAGCCATGGGCAATACTTTGCTTTACTAGCAAAACTTTGGCATCATTCTAATTCCAGTTTTGTTTGAAAAGCAATTCTGGATTGAGCGCCACCATGGTGTAAACAAGGATCACCTGATGTTAATAAAATTACAGGTGTTCTTTTTGTCACAGCTGAGTGTTTAAAAAATAGGTAACTCCAGGCCGGGTGCAGTAGCTCATGCCTGTAATCCCAACACTTTGGGAGGCCAAGGAGGGAAGATCACCTGAGGTCAGGAGTTTGAGAGCAGCCTGGCCAACATGGTGAAACCCTGTCTCTACTAAAAATACAAAAAAAAAATTAGCTAGGCATGGTGGCTTGCGCCTGTAACCCCAGTTACTCAGGAGGCTGAGGCAGGAGAACTGCTTGAACCCGGGAGGCGGAGGTTGCTGTGAGCCAAGATCACACCACTACAATCCAGCCTGGGCGACAGAGCAAGACTTCATCTCAAAAAAAAAAAAAAAAAAAAAAATTGGTAACTCCAATGTTGTTTTTGTTCTTTTTAGAATGTATTATTTTGGAATAATTTCTAACCTACTGAAAAGTTTCAAGAATAGTACAATACTGCAAACAACTCCGTATCCCCTTCCCCCAGACCCACCAATTGTTAACACACTGTTTTATTTGTTATTATTTCTGTCTAGCACAGGCTCCACGTTCTACCTACATTTGTGCTTGCATAAGTCTTTTTTTATGAAACATTTGAGAGTAGGTTACAAATATCATGCCTTTTATCTCTTAATATTTCAATATGCGTTTCTTAAGAACAAAAATACTCCCTTACATAACTACAGAACCATTAGCAAATTCCAGAAATATAATATTGATACAATGCTTTTATCTAAGCTACAGTCTATATTCCAACTTAATCAATTGTCCCCATTTGTCCTCTATAGGAATTTATTTTTTCCTTGTCCAGAATCCAGTTCAGCACAGCGCATCCCATTTAGTTGTCACATCTTTTTGTCTTCTCAATCTGCAAGAGTCCATTGGTTTTTCTTAGTCATTTATGACAGCCACAGTTTTTAAAAACACAGGACTATTATTTTATAGACAATTTAGATTGTCTGACACTTCCTCATAATTGGAATCACATTATGTATTTTTGTCTGAAATATTACATAAATGCTGTTGTATCCTTCTGAAGGTATCACATCTAGAGATATGTGATGTCTTTTTGTCCCTTAGGAGTGATATTAACTTTTATCATCTAGCTAACATTTGTGCTTTTCCCATAGTATGCCTTCTGTTTCTCCTTATGTACCTAATAGATAATTTGAGGGAAGATACTTTGAGACTATTGTACATTTTCAATCCCTTATCTGACTTCTTCCCCATCTTCAATTTAGAATTCATTGATGAAACTTGCCAAATGATTTTTAATGTAATCATTCTATGTTTATTAATTATGAGGAATTAATTATCATTTATTTATTTATTATCAAAATGGGCTCATAGTCTTATTTTCATCAATGGATTATAATCCATTACTGTCCATATTTATTTTGATGCTCCAAATTGTCCTCAATTTGGCCAGTAGGAGCCCTTCAAGTTGGCTCCTGTATCTTTTTGACAGGCTCCATAATATATTTTGAGCACTCCCTGTCTTTCTGACACAACATGATGTTCCAGATTTATCTTGTACTTTCTAAGCCTTGAAATCAGCTATTTCTCCAAGAGGCCTGGTTGCTTTTAGTGGATAATGGCATTTCCAAGCAAAGACCTGGGCACCTATCCGTGTTTTACTTTTCTTCTTTTCAGTTATCTGTATCTTCTATTAAAAAAAAATCAAGTATGCATGCCCTTACAGAAAAAATTAAAATTATTTTTATATTATTATTATTATTATTATTTTCCGAGACAGAGTCTTGCTCTGTCACCCAGGCTGGAGTGCAGTGGCGCGATCTCGGCTCACTGCAACATCTGCCTCCTGGGTTCAAGCAATTCTCCTGCCTCAGCCTCCCGAGTAACTAGGATTACAGGCCCACAGCACCACGCCCGGCTAATTTTTGTATTCTTAGTAGAGATGGGGTTTCACCATGTTGGCCAGGCTGATCTCGAGCTCTTGACCCCGTGATCCTCCCGCCTCGGCCTCCCAAAGTGCTAGGATCACAGGTGTGAGCCACCGTGCCCGGCCCATATTATTCTTAAAAATAAGGAAAACAACCAAAAGATAGTGGACTCTTATAAAATCCCCTTGGGAGCCAAAATTCCTTGGACCCATGAAAACAGTGTTCATCTGCTGACTTTGTCAAATGCCAAAGGAAGCAGCTCCAAAACAGAAATGTCTGTCAGAAGTCACTGTGGAGGGCTGTCCTCTGTCTTCAGAGTGCAGAAGGCACACAGAGTCTGTCTGCCGAGTGAAAGCTGCAGGACCAGCCCGAAGACCCGGAGTGGTACCCCAGGCAGCAAGGAGAATAGGAATCCAACAGAGAGGAGCGGTCACCCAACTTGCTGCCAGCAGGAGAAAAGCCTTTTCCCCACCCCAGCCACTGAATTTCTACCAAAACCAGGCCAAAAGACGGGTACATCTAACACCCCACCTCCTGACCCACGCCACACACATCCATCCATCCCAGCTCTGGGCACAGACTAGAACTGGAAGAAGGAAGGTCTTGTTGCCAAGAGACTGTGAATGCTTATGTCCATTCAACTATTTTAATGAATTTCTGATGTGCTGCCAACATGACTGACCCCTGCCTTTTGCCAAGGGCAACTGGCTGGGACCCTTCCCTTCCCCTCCCAGTAGGGACCCCTCGGCCTGTGGCCCAGCTGTGGCCCTGAGTGACTGCTCCACTTTGGTACCGTCCTTAGCTGGCATCCTGTTAGAATCAAGGCTGCCTCAGCAGCTATCCTCAGCCTGCAGAGAGTCATGAAGGGAAGACTGCCTCCTCTCTGGGCCACTGCATCCCTTTCTAGTTCCTTCAAGAAAGGGTGTAAATCTTGGACACTCCATTTTTTTTTCTTATGGAAAACTGAACTCTTATGCTAAGGCCTACATTTCCTGCCATGAAAGCCTTCCCTGTAGACTTCCCGGGGCCGCAGTCTCCACAGCACTTTGCTGGGCTTTTCCCAGCACTGATCTCATCACTTTGCCATCAAGTGTCACCCTGCTTCTCTGTGAGCTCAGGAGGGGAGAGGCTGTGGCGTATCATTCCTGTAGTTTCAGCACCAAGCACAATGTCTGACAGCACGTGGAGTTCAATAAACACTGGAATGAATGAATAGATGAGATAAGCTGGGGCAATACAATTCAGGCTGATGGAGGCCAACAGAGTCAGGACAGGATATCGGGATTCAGTGATTTGTTCTGAGACAAAGCTGAGTGGCTGACCTCCTAGTCTAAACCACCCTCAGCTAGCTGGGCACGGTGGCTCACTCCTGTAATCCCAGCACTTTGGGAGCCTGAGGCCGATGGATCATCTGAAGTCAGGGGTTCGAGATTAGCCTGGCCATCATGGCGAAACCTCGTCTCTACTAAAAATAAAAAAAAAAATTAGCCGGGTGTGGTGGCAGGTGCCTGTAGTCCCAGCTACTTGGGAGGCTGAGGAGGGAGAATGGCGTGAACCCGAGAGGCAGAGCTTGTAGTGAGCCGAGATCAGGCCACTGTACTCCAGCCTGGGCGACAGCAAGACTCCATCTCAAAAAAAAAAAAAAAAAAAAAAAGACAGCTTGGAGTCCAGGACAGCAGGAGTGACATCTGTTATGAGTCAGCCTGAAGCTCATAAGTTAATTTTCCTAAGAAGCAGCCCTAGTTACATCACTGGTCTGCCCCACACCTTTAATATCTTCCCATCACCTATCAAGAGAAAGTCTTCCTTGGTGGAAGCCAAACTGCCACCCCCCAAGCATATTTCCTGCATATTTTGCATACATCCTACCCTCCATTCGATACACTCTTTACCCTTCTTCCAACATACAGCTCAAGTGCAGCTTCTACCCTTTGTTCACATTGCTATTCCTCCACTGGAATGCCCTCTCTACTTGATCCCTGATTCAGTCTTTCCATCTTTCAGTGATTCCAAATGCCATCCCTCCTTCAATCATGCTTTTGCTCATCCCCTAAAACTCAAGTGATGTTTCATCCCTTTGAACTTGTATTTATCTCTGAGGTAGGCATTAAAGGCCAAGGTTCAAATCCTGGTGTGTTGGTATGGTGGTTAATTTTATGTGTCAACTTGACTGGGCTAAGGGATGCCCAGATAGCTGGTAATACATTATTTTGGGGTGTGTCCGTGAGGGTATTTCTGGAAGAGATTAGCATTTGAATCAGGAGACTGAGTGAAGAAGATTCACTTTCACCAGTGTGTGCAGGCATCAGCCAATTCATTGAGCACCCGAATGGAGCCAAAAGGTGGAGGAAGGACACATTCTTTTCTGCTTGAGTTGGGATATCCATCTTCTGCACTCAGACATCAATTCTCCTGGTTCTCAGAACTTTGGACTCAGACTGAGACTTAGACTATTGGCTTCTGCAGTACTTAGGCCTTCAGGCCTGGACTGGAACTATACCATCAACTGTCCTGTGCCTTCATCTTTACAGTGGCTAATTAGGGGACTTCTCAGACTCCATAATCATGTGAGTCAATCCCTCATAATAAATCTCTTTCTATATATCTCTACTTCTTCTATTGGTTCTGTTTCTCTAGAGAACCCTGAGTAATACAGTAGGATTCTCCCATTTCCTACATGTGTACCTTGAGCAAATGATTAAGAAAACTGGGCCTCTGATGCCTTCTCCATAAAACCAGAAAATCAACTGAGATCATGCACATAAAGTATCCAAGGTTCGTGACACATAATAGAATATCAACGAATGTTTGTTTTCACCTTAGTTGGTCTTGTCTTGTATTACAGTGAGGTAAATAATGTTTCTACCATCCCCAGCTCATTTCTAGAGCAGAAAATCCTGGCAGGAGTTCCCCAGTTTTTGCACATTTAAATGTCCTCCACACTATCGCTAGCACAATGCCTTGCACACAGTAAATATGCAATCAGTATGTGTTGAATTTGGGTAAGAGTAGGGAAAATCAGTAAGAATTTACTTTTAACTAAAATTTAATATCTGAAAGAAATGTACAGAGTTTCTGTAATAAACTAACCTAGGAAGCAGAGACAAATGATAGAACATGACCTCGGGCTCCAAGACTGGATTTTACATTATCTGGCTGTGAGATGCCGGAAAAGCCATTTACTTTATAAAAAAAAGCCTTAGTTCCTGTGTCTTTGAAGGGAGATATTAATAGAACTTACCTCATAGAGTTCCCGGGGAAAAGTAAATGAGATCATACATTGAGTGGACAGCACCAGGTACCTAGGTAGCACTCAATCAAATCAAAACTAGGGTCATTTCTATGGGGATTAAAAGAAGACAAAGATGAAGTATCATGAGAATTAAAGTTACTGAGAAGAGACTGAAATATAAATCTAATTAATTTTTTTGAAGTCCCTAAGTGTGTTCTTTAATTATAACATTTGTTTAATATTTACTTGTTTAATGTTTTTATAAAGAGAAATATTTTATAAACATGGAGTGAAATGTTTTAATTAATATGAGTTGTCCAGAATTGCTAAGAATGCCATCACACCATCATCTTAAGTTCTGTGGAAAGTCTGTATCTAGCTACTAGGATGGCGAGACCGTGCCGCAATTTTATTGTCGTCGTTCATTTATTGAACGCCTACCATATGCCAAGCACTTGACAAAACATACTCAAAGTCAAGGAGCATCCCTAGTGGTCTAGTGGTCAGGATTTGGTGCTCTCAAAGTACAAGGGCAATACATTAAAAAGATTCCTACCAAATTACTCCTTTTTGTACTAAAACTGTAAAACAAGAAAAAAAACAGAAGAGAATTGACACATACGTAGGTCCTTTTATAAGTTCGATGGTAGAAAGGGGAATATCACACACCAGGGCCTGTCGTGGGGTGGGGAGATGGGGGAGGGATAGCATTAGGAGATATACCTAATGTAAATGACAAGTTAATGGGTGCAGCACACCAACATGGCACATGTATACATATGTAACAAACCTGCACATTGTGCACATGTACCCTAGAACTTAAAGTATAATTTTTAAAAAATGAAAAAAAAAAAAAAGAAAACTGGTAGAAAACTTCACTTCGGTGGTTTCTGTATTCTCTTGTTGTAGGACTCAGAAAAAAAATCTAGATGGAAATAGTTTAAAAGCATTAGAGAAATACAGAGCAGTATTTTCACTTAATCACCCCCCTTATCACCTAGCAGAGAGTAGAGTTTTGCAGAAATGAGACCCCAGGACAGTTGGGTTTTGATAGGCCTAGACTCAGGAAGTCAGAGGCAGGCAGAGAAGGGATGAAGCATTGAGCTTGACCTGCCCCATAATTTGGACAAAAGCCACGCCTGAGAAGGCAGTGTGAGGAATAAAAGGTTACTGTGAATTTGTGCCTAATTATCTTTCGTATCGGCTTAGGCCTGCTGGCAGCATCCACAGGCTCTGAGAAAGGAAGGCTCTGGATTTACCCAGGCATTGCACAACATCCTGTTCTCAGCTGCTCTGGGCTCAAACACGTCCACAACCAGATATTGCTGATCATCCTGAATAGAGTGGCCTTTGGCTCTTGGGACAGATGAGCTGGTAAGCAAGCAGCAACTGGGCTGCATGTCTCCTCATTCTGCTTGAACTGTGACTCTGCATCCCTCACTGGCCTGAAGGGTTTCCTGCTCACTCACAGCCTGGCCCACATTCTGATTCACCCTTGTTGTCCAGTGGGGAGACAAGAGTCTGTCTGTGCAGAGCAGCTGAGCAGGGAGGAAGTGCTCTGGCTTAAAGGGTCTGCATGGCAAGTGTTCTTCTCCCTTCTGTCTTCTTTAAAAATTTTTTTGGCAAAGCACATGATTATTGTTGAAAAAGCAAAATGTACAGATAAAAATATATCATCCTAACCCCCACCATCCAGAAGTAATAATCTTAACATTGTGGTATATACTCCCTCTGAGATATATATGTATAATATTCATGTAATGTGTCATGAACACAAAAAACAGGAGAGGCGAATGGAGTTCAAGTACTCTCGTAGGTCCTTGCATTTTCTGGGAAGTAGTAAAAGTACTCTCTATGAAAGTGCACTTTATATTAACAATAATATGTCAAGGAAGCACATAAAAATCTCAAGTGTAACCACTGAAAGAATGGTAAAAGCATATATAACTACACACACTACCTGGAGACACTGCAGAGTGAACAAAAACAAGTAATTCCTGGAAGACATATAACATTTGGAAGAAAGAAACAGTACAGGATAAATTTCATATTTTATGGCTTTTTGTCTGAGGATAGGTCCTACTCTGTGCCATACACAGCAGTTAAATCTCCAAGAGATAACCTGCAGTGTTTTTGACTTGAATAATCAGAGAATAGAGTTCAGGGTAATCATAGCTGATGTAAAACAAGGATGCCAAACAGCACAGCTAACATTAAAAGATATTTAAGCTGCTGCAAACCACAGGGAAGACAGAGTTTGCACTTCAAGTTCAGCCAAGTTAATTGCCTACTTTAAGAAATTAATATTCCCTGTAGTAACACAACAGAATACAGAGTTTCTACAACAGATCACTCACAATGTTCAGTATACTATCCAAAATTAATTTATATACAAATCAACAGGAAAACTTTACTATGTCTAAAAATTGTTTAAAGAGAAAAATGGCAGAGATAGCCCATATGTTCAAATTTAACAGACAAGAATTTTAAGGAAACTATCATAACTATGTTCAAGGATATAAAGGAAATATACTTGTAATGAATGAAATGATAGGAAATCTCAGAAGAAAAATAAAAATAGCAACAACAACAACAACAACAAAAAAAAACCCAAATGGAAATCCTAAAACTGAAAAAAAATACAATATCTGAAATTTTAAAGTCACTGAATGGCTTAATAGCAGAATGAGAATTCACAGGAGAAAGAGCCAGTAAATATGAAGATAGATCATTAAAATCATCCAATTTGAAGGAGAGAAAGAGAAAAGCTTGAAAAAAATGAACACAGTTTTAAAGACCTGTGGGAAAATACCAAACAGTCTAATATACATGTAATTGACATCCCTGAGGGAGAGGAAGTGGGGCAGAAAAAATATTTGAATATGAAATAATGACCAAGTGTTCCCAAATTTGGTGGAAGATGTAAACTTACAGATTCAAGAAACTCAGTGAATACCACTGAAGAAAACTTCATCTAGTGAAATCATAGTCAAACTGCTAAAAATCAAAGACAGAAAAAAATCTTGAATGCAGAGAAAACTAATAACTGAGTAACAATAATTTGAATAATTCCTAACTTTTCATTAGAAATTATAGAGAAGATAGCAGAATATAATCTTGAAACTGCTGAAGGAAAAAATCTGTCAATCCAGAATCCTATATTGAATGAAAATATCCTTTAATGCAACTGAGTGAATTTGTTGCCAGAAGATCAGCATTGTAAAGAAGCAGCGGCCAGGCACACTGGCTCACACCTGGAATCCCAGTACTGTGGGAGGCTGAGGCAGGTGGATCACCTGAGGTCAGGAGTTGAAGACCAGCCTGCCAACCTGGTGAAACCCCGTCTCTACTAAAAATACAAAAATTAGCCGGGCATGGCGGCCTGCGCCTATAGTCCCAGCTACTTGGGAGGCTGAGGCACAAGAATTGCTTGAACCTGGGAGGCAGAGGTTGCAGTGAGCTGAGATCACACTACTGCACTCCAGCCTCGGTGACAGATTGAGACTCTGTCTCCAAGAAAAAAAAAAAAAAAAGAGAAACAGTAAAGAAGGTTATTAGAGCCAAAGGGAAATTATACAAAATGGAAACATATCTTTAGGAAAGAAAAAAGTGTATCAGAAAAAGTAAATTTGTGGATAAATATGAAAATTATTTTTTATTTATTTAAAATCCATATACCTGTTTAAACAAAAATTATAGCATTGTCTTAGAGGTTTATAGCTTAAATAGATGTAACACCTGTGACAACTTAGCACAAAGAATGGAAGTGGGTGTGTACAATGGACCTGTATTATAAAGTTCTTACATTTTACATGAAATGGCACAACATTAACTCTAAACACACTGGGAAAAGTTAAAGATGTTTATTTTAATCTTTAGAGCAACTAGTAAAAAAATACAAAAAAGTATAGCTAAGAAGCCAATATATAAGTTGAAATGAAGTTCCATGAATTATTCAAGCCATGCATTCTCAAACAGGGCAATATTCCACCAAAGGAGTTGAAAACTGGTTCTTGGAAATAAAATAATCTTACCTATTTTTAACATATAAAGCACTGATATACATAGAGTATATAAAGAGATATACAGTATATTTGTGGTATTAAAATTCAGGGGAATGTGATTAGGAAAAAATGTCTAAAAGACTCATTAGGAGGTGATAATGAAAAAGATTAAGAAACATTGAATTTAAAGCAAGAGACCACAGGAAGGTAGAACATAAAAATTAAAAACAGATGAGAAAAACAGAAAACAAATATTAAAATAGTAGGCCTAATTTCAAATTTGATGTATAGATAATTACATTAAACATTAGTGGATTAAACATAATGCCAAAAGGCTTGACATACCTGTAAGTAATGTGAAGTGGACTGAGTTTGAGCTTTAGAGTAAGACAGGACCATATTTGGATCCCGGCTCAATCACTAAAAATGTATAATGGAGATACAGGTAATAGCACTGCCTTCATGGGATTAAATGAGATTATCTGTGTCACATGCTTCGTATAGTGACTGATGTCAAGTGCTCAGTAAATATCAATCCTCTCTCTTATCATCTAACATAACAATAAAGGAGACAGTGGGCAATTTCTCTAGCTTGTATTGGCATAGAAAAGCTGAGCTCATTTAAAAGAGGAGTTGATAAATTATGTTGACAGACAAAATCTAGACTGCCACCAACTTTTGCAATTAAGCTTCATTGGCACCCAGCTACATCTATCCATTTATGGTTTGTGTATGGCTACTTTTGTGTAAGACGGGGCAGAGACCAGTTCATAAAGCCTAAAATATTCACTATCTGGCCCTTTGTAGAAAAAGTTTTCCCGCCTTGTTCTAGAACATGATGGAATTTTACTTCCAAACTTCCAGCCTAGTTTCTATTTTTGAAGCTTTTTACGCCAACTTTTTGCATTAATACTTTTCATTTGTTTCACTTTAGATTAATCTATTTATAACCCCCAAATACTCAGGATTAAGATATTCACTAGGAGACGATTGCAATCTACACTTGCTCTCTGATGTTCTACCCCCAAAGCCCTCTGACTTTCTTTGTAGCCTTTTACTGTGATAGCTCTAAAAATCTCAATGGAAGAATTGTCTGAGAGTCACTAAAATCCACTATCTTGCTCCACTGTTAAAGTCATGAACACTTTTGCGTGTATTAGCTTCAGAACCTTCACACGCATGTTCTTACTTGTTATCCCTATTTTGCAGATGAGAAAACTGAGGTTCAAAGAGGTTTGGCCACTTGCCAAACAGTAGTCAGTGGAAGAGTATTCTGACACCTCCTCTGATACTCCAACTATCATATCACTTTGTGTACAATCTATTCCCTGATGTTTCTAGTTTTGTTGGGGAAGAATCAAAGTACATAGCAAGTATGAAGGTAGTCCAAAATCTGACATTAATAAGTAAACAAGGAGTATGGAAACTCAGAGATAGAGGCTCCATAGAATTCTAAAAAGAACTGAGGCCTTTAAGTAATTAGAACTATTAGATCTGGCTTGCATGCTTTAAAAATTTACAAAAGCAGGAAGCATGGAATGCAAACCTATTAACTTGGCACGATAAACAACACTTGAACAAACTACCCTTGTGTGATACTAGCACTCAGCAAATTTAACTCATCATTCTGAAGGCCCACAAAGTGCCAAGCTCTATGTTAACACCCGGGGAGAGAATGGCCATTGTCTGGAGTCCTCTGCCAAGGGCACAATTCTTGTCAGGTGGCTCCTTCTCTCCAGTTCAGGAAAGCGCTGCTTACCCTGATGTCTTCAGACCTAAGGGTGGAAGCAGCTCCCTGCTGTTGCTAGCCCCCAGGGTTTCGCCAGCCTTCCTCAGTTTACCTGAAAATCTCCCACACATTTGAACTGATCCCTTATTAAACTCCCCACAATAATGCCTTTAGAATGGGCCATCTGTCTCCTGTGGGGATCCTAGGATACACTCTTAGAGAAATCCTAATAGCTACACCCTGTACTGTTTATGAATATGGACTTTGGAGTCAAACAACTCTGTATTTGAATCCCAGTTTCACTACATACAGATCCCTATGTGGACTAGGGCCACTTACCTAACCTCACTGAGACACAATTTCCACATTTATTTAATGAGGATAAGAATACTTACTGCATAAGTGTTATAAAGAAGGAATAAGATCATATATGGGAAATACTAAGTACTCAATCAATGGCAGCTCTCACAGGTATCCTAATTGCGGAGTGGGGAATGGGGACAAGTTAAGCAACAGAAACAGGGAAGTGTGAAGACACATGTACCCTGGTGCCTCCTGTGGTGAGGACTAGGCTATCAATGAAGAAAACCCTTCCAGGGACCCAGCAGGACGGTATCCCAAAGCTTCCCTGGCTCCTTGGAACTGCTGCAAGACTTTCAAAATAATAGCAGGAAAGAAAACCATTTGTCTCTTTATTTTTATTTTTTATTTTTTTGGGATGGAGTCTCGCTCTTTCACCCAGGCTGGAGTGCAGTGGTGTGATCTCGGTTCACTGCAAGCTCCGCCTCCCGGGTTCACACCATTCTCTTGCCTCAGCCTCCCCAGTAGCTGAGACTACAGGCACCCGCCATGATGCCCGGCTAATTTTTTGTATTTTTAGTACAGATGGAGTTTCACCGTGTTAGCCAGGATGGTCTCTATCTCCTGACCTCGTGATCCGCCCACCTCGGCCTCCCAAAGTGCTGGAATTACATGCGTCAGCCACCGCGCCCGGCCTTGTCTGCTTTTTTTTTTTTTTTCCATCAGTGTGAGACCACAGAACCCACCTTCCCAGCATCCTCCTCTTTGCTCTCTCCCCAAGAGTCACAGCTTGCGAGGCTTCTCAGGTGCACGTTCTCTAATTGTGCAGAGTGAGTGGCCTGTTCTGAAAACACAGGGCAAGAGAGAGCAGACTGTGTCCAGGCAAGCAGTCAACTTCTCCATGGAAATGCCAAGGTCAAGGTAACCCAGGGCAAAAGAACAGTCGAGGTTGGAGTCAGAAAGAAGAGAGAGCAGCACTAGCCCTTCTGCTGGTAGCTGCAGAGAAACAAAAGGGGGCTTTCATTTGTCTCTCTTCTGCCATTTCTGTTTTCCTTTCTGGCCACATAGTCTGGCTTTCTAAAAACCATGAATTAATTGCCTGCATTCATGTGTCTCATTTATTCCACGATTCACTTCTCCATTTGTCCATTCACTCTTTCATTCATCCTTCCAACTCTCCATTGACTGATCCATTCATCATTCATTTGCTCACTGGTTCACTCACTTATTCAAGGATTCATCCCTCCATTCATTCACCCATCAAAATAGCATTCATTGAGTACCTTCTTACTATCCTGTGTCAGGCACAGTGCAGCTGTGTGTGGAAAGGAATAACATCACCACATATATCCTGCAGAATCCCCAATACCTAGAAAGAGAATTAGGGGTTTGTCAAGAAGCAAATAAACAATCCATGCAGAGGGAGCGGGATTTAAAAATGCATGGTGTCTCCGAGTGTGGTGCCCATGCCTGTAATCCCAGCACATTGGGAGGCTGAGGCGGGCAGATCACAAGGTCAGGAGATCGAGACCATCCTGGCTAACATGGTGAAACCCCGTCTCTACTAAAAATACAAAAAAAAAAAAATTAATCGGGCGTGGTGGTGGGCGCCTGTAGTCCCAGCTACTCAGGAGGCTGAGGCAGGAGAATGGCATGAACCCGGGAGGCGGAGCTTGCAGTGAGCCGAGATCGCGCCACTGCACTCCAGCCTGGGTGACAGAGCAAGACTCCGTCTCAAAAAAAAAAAAAAAAAAAAATGCGTGGTGTCGTGAAAGGGTATGGTTTGCCTGCATGATGGTGAGAAGTTCACTTTGATGGGAACACAGGCACTAAAGGGACTGGGAGGCTGAGGAAAGACAGGAGCTGAGGGTAAGGTGGAGGCGCCCTAGATGAATGCCAGGCCAAGAAGTTTGACCTGATCCCACAGGCACCAGGTCATCCGCTGGTTTTGCATTAGGAGAATGGGATGTTGAATTTTTTTTAGGAAGAAAGTTCTGCCAAGAAAGGAGAGACTAAAGGCAAGAAGATCAGAGAGAAGGCTTAGGCTGAGCTATGGGGATGGAGGTGAAGAATATTTGAAGAATGTTTCTGAGGAAGGTTTGACAGGTCATGTCTCTAAATCCCATCTAAATAAAAGCAAATTTTTAAGGAAAAATACTTTTATGTTTTGTTCTCCTTTCTCAGGACATGTTGAAGCCATTATCCAATCCAGAGCATTAACTATTCCACGGGCCCTTAAACAACAGGACCAGAATGACTCCCTTGGGCAACAGCCCATTCTTAACTGTAGCCCGGAGAGTAATGAAGCCTTGGGCTTAAAGAGATATTCTCTGTTCATTCCTGATAGAATCTTCCAGATGCTCTCATTTTACAAATGAGAAATACCAAGTGAGGCCCACAAAGGTTAAGTAACTTCTCAAGATCGCACAGCTTAAAAGTGACAGAGCTGAGTATAAAACCCATGCCTACTGAAATCAGACCCCAGCCTTTCTACAACAACCCTAAAGGTACACTTACCATTCTATGCACAATTAGACTACAGCTGAGAATAAAATTATGGATAGGGGCCCCATGTCCTTGCTCATGCCTGTAATTCCAGGGAGGCCAAGGCAGGAGGGTGGCTTGAGCCTAGGAGTTTGAGGTTGCAGTGAGCTATGATCGTGCCACCCCAGCCTGGGTGACAGAGTGAGACCCTATCTCTAAAAAAGAAAAAATAATTATCAGTAGGGTGTACAAAGAAAATAACTGCTGTGTAGGAGCCATTTTTTTCATGAAATTTATTTCATATTGCTCTAAAGTTTATTTAATGTCTACAAACTTGAATTTATATACATATATGTTCACTACCATGTGTGCATACATATCTATATATACACACTATATTATACATGGCACAAATGAGCAATATTGCCATGTAATCAAAGAAGTTAAAAAGGGGGAATCTAAATTCTTTCCTGGTGGTGGTCTCCTTCTATCTCTGAGACTTCTGCAAACTTGGAACGTAATTCAGACTGTCTCTGAACAATTCTGTGTAATGATTCCATATAATTCAAGGATCCCGGAAACTCCCTTCTTCCCTCTGGCTTTCTTCCTTCCAGTATACTTCTCCTAACTGTCAATCCCAACTCTGCTTCTTGCTTGCCACCTCAGCATCAATTCTCACTTCTGCATGTTTTCCTCCAACTGTCCCTTCCCAAGGCTTCACATCAGCCAAGTGCCACAGATGAGAGGTCACACCGGCCAACTGGGGATCCAATGTGGCCCACGTCATGGTGGCCTACACCAGATTTTAAAATTTGGAATTGAAAAATTAGCTGGGCATGGTGGCAGGCACCTGTAATCCCAAGTACTTGGGAGGCTGAGGCAGGAGAATTGCTTGAACCCGGGAGGTTGCAGTGAGCCGAGATTGCGCCACTGTACTCCAGCCTGGGCAACCAAGCAAGACTTCACCTCAAAAAAAAAAAAAAAATTGGAATTTGTTTTCAACACTTAAAAATCAGAAAAGTTTACATTTAAAAAAAAATTAGATTTCTGGCTTCTCTTGACAAATTGAAAGATCTGGCAATACGGAGCCTATAGTACCACATGGCAATCATTGTCCAGAAGGCGTGCTGTTTGGTTCATCACGGTTCTTACCCCCTGCCTACTTCATTCTTTCATGTAACTTGACTGACCCCAAAGACATTTGCACCTGAGATCCTTGAAGGAGACAACTGTTGGCCTGTGTGAATTGAAGCCCCTGCCACTTGTGGTATTTCTGAGGATGTGGAAGATCCATGACATAGTATTTTGTGATTTAACTGATGAACAAGTGAATTTGACTCAGGTATAGACATATGAATCAAAGAACGTGAGAAATCCCAAAGAGCATAACATTTGTTCCTAGCTTTACTGAAATCTAAACAGCAAAAACTGTATATATTCAAGTTGTAGAATGTGATTTTTGAAATATGTATGTGTTAGGAATAACGCTAAAAAATTTTAAGGAAATTGAACACTTGAACAAAGGATTTTTAGCAAAGCAATTTTATTTTTGGGCAGAGGGGTGCCTCCTTGGCTAGTCGCCATGAGAGCCCACCTGAACAAAGGGCACGAGAGCCTTTATTTTTGACGGCAAGTCTTGCCCCTGCACTCTTTCCCCATTGGCTGGGGTCAGGCTGTATAATTTAAAATAATCCCAGTTGGCTAAACGTTTGAATTTTTTTAGGTAAGGTGGGCACGTAAAAGAAAGTGGAGAGGAAGGGGAAGGGGTGTGTGTAATGAGCTAGAAAGTTAGTCTTCTTTTTAAATAAGGAAAGGAACGTGAGCTGGTACTGATAATGCCTGTCCTGTGGCGTGCCTGGGCATCTAACAAATGCAAAAAGGAAAAAAAGGAGAAAAAGGAAAAAAAGGTGGGGGGGGGGGCGTTATTATAAATTAAAGAATAAAAGATTGATTAGATTATTTGAAGAGAAACCTCATCATATTCCACATATACATTGGGAAATGATTACCACTATCAAGCTATTAGGTTGGTGCAAAAGTAATTGCAGTTTTTGCCATTACTTTCCCACAACTCAGAACTTACGCAGATGAATGGAAGCCAAGGGCTGACAGGTTTCAGATTTGATGATGAGATTGTAAAGAGATTCAGCATGTAGTGGGATTTGGGTTATACCACATCAAGATCCTGCCCAACACTGAGATTTTATGGTTCTATGGTTTGGGGAACATGTTATCTTTTAGAAAGGATGGCTCTAGGACTGTTGGAAACACACTTTTATAGCCAATGTGCTTTTCAGATGCCCTTATATCCAGAGTCAACCAGGGTAAAATTATGTTCTCACCAGAGTCTTGTTTAACATCTTTCTTCTTCTCTCTTTTGTCTATTTTCCTTGCACTTCTGACACTTCTCATTGGATGGTTTGTAGGGCTCAGAGAGCCTGTGGTAATTAAAAAGGCCTGTCTCTGGGGTCAGACTCCAGATTAGCTCTAGAATTCAGCCCTTATGAACTGTGTGATCTTGGGAAAGTGATACGACTTCTCTGGGCCTCGATTCCCTCATCTGTATTATTTGGAGACAATAGTGGTACCTACCTCATGAAGTTGTTGAGAATATTAAGCAATACATCTAAAATAACTATTAGAGGTTCTGCCATGAAGAAAAGGCTCAAAAATATCATCAACAGCAAGACCATTATTATTAAAAGAGTCAGCTCCAGAAGTATTTGTCAAAAGTGACTTGGAAACACTGTGTTCCCTGAGGAAAGGGCCCACATTCTTGTTTATTTTCTAAATTCTTGCCCCTAGCAGAGTTCCTGGTACATGTGGATGCTTAATAAATGTCTGTAAATAGGTAAGTGAAAGAATAAATGAGTGGATGAATCAATAGAGGTTGAAGATTAAGAGATATTTCTGTTGTAAGGTTCTACAGAGGTTCCAAAAGAAGACAAGGAAGGTGGAAGAGGAGGAAAAACACTCACCGAGTGTTGCGGGGAAAACAACAGCTGACGAGGTTAGTCAAAGAGTGATTCATGGGCCAAATAAGCCCAAAAGGAGAAGTTCCCGGTACCACCCCACAACTTGGTGGTGGAAACTTTGAGAATTAGTCAAGAGGGATGGCCCCAAGGGACCGTTTTGTACTGATTTGGGTTTCAGGGTTGAGAGAACACGATGGAAGTTTTCAGAGTGAGGCACTTGGGTAATCTATTTTGGAGGAATTATCTGGAGAAAAGAAAATGAGAACTGCCGGTAACCTTTGTGTGATTGCGTTAAGGTAGGAAGGAGGTGATTCCAGGACATTCTCATAGCCTGGTTTTTCAGGCCCAGTGCGCCGTGGTGTCCCATGCGAATTACAGTTGGAAATTTAACAGTGTGATGACGTGTGAGATAGACTAGCAAAGAAGCAAAGTGTTCATAGTGAAGAGACTGTGTCCTACATGGGAGGGGACTTTTTAAGCAAACTTTTTAAGATATAAGATTGATAAAGGAAAGTACATAAATCAGAAACGTACAATCCATGAATTTTCAAAACATGGAATGTCTACATTGCCAGCATCATGATAGAGAAGTGAGTTCTAAACATAACACACACTGCGCCCATCTGGGATATTTGGCAGAAAAGCAGATTTCTTGGCCCCACTGCGAGAGACTGTGATTCAGTAGATCCAGCGTTTGACCCAGGAATCTGCATTTCTGTCTACACTGCTAGATTCCAGTAAGGGTGGTCCACTGGGTGAGAACAAGCTTCAGAGTCATGCAAACTTGCACTTGGAATCCTACCTTCTCCTTGAGTGAGTAGCTTGACCTTCTCACAAAGACAGTAGGGGCAATAGTACTTCCTCATAGGTTTGCTTTAAGGATTAAATTAGAAAATGCATATAAATCAATAAAAACTGTTGGGCATGGTGTTGACCACACAGTAAGCACTCAGTGAACATAGAAAAGCATAAACGCCCACAAAAAAGACGAGGCTCGGTCCCCAGGTCTTTGTGCCCAGCACCTAGTCCAGAGCTCATCACACAAGGCTAAGGGAGTATGGTGTGAGAGTTAGCAACACGGGTGATATGGTTTGGCTCTGGGTCCCCACCCAAATCTCACCTTGAATTGTATAATCCCCACGTGTTGTGGGAGGGACCAGGTAGGAGGTAACAGAATCATGGAGGCGGGTTCTTCCCATGCTGTTCACATGATAGTGAATAAGTCTCAAGAGATCTGATGGTTTTATAAAGGGGAGTTCCCCTACACATGCCCTCTTGCCTGCTGCCATGTAAGACGTTCGTTTCACCTTCCACCATGATTGTGAGGCCTCCCCAGCCATGTGGAACTGTAAGTCAATTAAACCTCTCTCCTTTATACATTACCCAGCCTCGAGTATGTCTTCATTAGTTGCATGAGAATGGACTAATACAACAGGTTAGCAGTCAGATACCCTGGGGTGTGAGTTCGAGTCCTGGCTTTGCCACTTACTAGTTATGTAATCTTGGGCAAGTTACTTAACAGCTCTGACTCAGTTTCCTTATCTGTAAAATGAGAATAATAACACCTACTTCATAGGGTGACTGTGGGGATGAAATGAGAGAATCAGGAAAGACCTGAGCCCTGAGCCCTGAGCCCTGAGCCCATGGCCTGGTCCCTGCAAAGAGCTCAATAAAAGTTGGCAACTCTATGATTTACAGCTGAAGCTGAGAATGTTCCACCCCTGGGCAATAAAAAGGTACTCCTCAGAGGCATTCTGAGGGGAAACAGGCCCCTCTCTCTGATAACATTAGCTAAATGCTTCTTTGAAAGAGCAGTGTAATAAAAAGGCTAAGAGTTGGATGTTTATTACTAGGCCAAAGTGCTACTACCGTGATTATGGGCCAGGTGGGACTGCCAGTGTTCAGGTGTTTATACCTTTCAAGGGGTTGCAGAGATGGGTTGATAGTGAACTTTTTGCTCTGCAATGGCAAACTGTTATTTAACTTCTGCCAAACGCAGAGGATAAAATTTGAATTGTTGAAGGGGGTTGGGGGAATCAGGCTATTCTCAGCTACATTTTTTGGTGCTGACATCGGGGTTGGGAATTTCCACAAATCCAGCCTTGACTTTGAAGACTGGTTTTCAGGGGTCATTCCAAAGTAATTTATTTCTGGAGAACTAAATTATACTGGTCTTGGCTGGACATGGTGGCTCACACCTGTAATCCCAGCACTTTGAGAGGACCAGGCCGGTGGATCGCCTGAGGTCAGGAGTTCTAGATCAGCCTGGCCAACATGGTGAAACCCCGTCTCTACTAAAAATACAAAAATCAGCTGGGCATGGTGGCAGGTGCCTGTAATCGCAGCTACTCGGGAGGCTGAGGCAAGAGAATGGCTTGACCCCAGCAGGCAGAGATTGCAGTGAGTCGAGATCATGCCACTGCCCTCCAGCCTGGGTGACAGTGTGAGACCCTGTCTCAAAATAAATAAATAAATAAAAATAAATTATACTGGTCAATTTCCCAAGAGATGGAGTATAGACACCATTTCAGATTTCAGTTTGCCGTCTCCTGTGTAAGGTATCTGGGAGCCATGCCTTAGAATCAGAGGTTCCAGTCCTGCTACTGATAAATCAGGTAGCCTTGGGCAATTTATTTCAACCACTTTTCTTCAACATGTATAAGTCTAGCTCTGGGCTAGGCACCGGGAAATAAAAACAAAAGTACAAGACATGATCTTCATCCTTAAGAGCAAGGTTGTCATGCATAGTTGTACAGGTTGGAAACTGCCCAAGCCCATTCAACCAAGAATGAGAGGAGGGGCTCACATCCAGCCCGCATGCTGGTCACATGGGACAGACTTTTATTTTCCTGGAAGAAAAAGTGCCTTCTACTAATTTGCACAAAGGTGCTAGATGGGCCAGTGGTAACTTTCTTGAGAAGGTCATGTCTGGCTGCTAACACAGAAATAGAAATAAAAACTGCTTTTCTTCATGACATGAAAACAAATAATATATTTTTTCTCATGTAAAGAGTGGTTGAGAAAACCAAATGGGAGAATACAGATGAAAACACTTTACAACAACACGTAAAAGAGAATTCAGCACTCCTGACAGCACAGTGGAATCATCTCCTCTTGCAAACTAGCTGTGTGATGTTAGGGAAGTCACTTTACTTCTCTGGGTTTCATTTTCTTCCTATAGAAAATAAATAAGCTGGATGAAAAGAGTGGATATCTAATTTTAGTGTACGTAAGAATAACTTGAGGAATAACTTGGTTCAGAGAAGCCAGTTGAGCAGGTCAAGAGTTGGAATCAAGAATCTGTATTTTGAGCCAGTATGCCAGATAATTCTGATGCCTATGGTTGGCAGGCCCAATGGATAAACACAGGCCCCTTCCAGATCCAGCTTCTCTAAGCCTGTGTTCCCCTGTGTTACCGCACACAGAAGTCTTGATAAGAGTGAGGTGACAGGAAAAATAGAGAATAACATCATGATCCCTAACCTGAACGTAATGACCTTCCAGAGGGGCTTAGCAGCAGGAACTTTCTGCCCCCATCCCCAAGCTGAACTGGCAGGCCCTGGACACTCATCAATTACACACTCAGGGATATGGTCACTTTGCCTGGGCTCACACCACTCATTATCCTAACTGAAAATCAGGGCCAACTGGCCCTAACAAATTCTCCCTTGGTCTTTGTTTTTTTGAGATGGAGTCTTGCTCCGTCACCCAGGCTGGAGTATACTGGCGCGATCTCGGCTTACTGCAACCAACGCTTCTCGGGCTCAAGCCATTCTCTTGCCTCGGCCTCCCAAGTAGCTGGGATTAGACGCACCTGCTACCATGCCCAGTTAATTTTTGTATTTTTAGTAGGGATGGGGTTTCAACATGTTGACCAGGCTGGGCTGGAACTCCTGATCTAAGGTGACCCACCCACCTCATCCTCCCAAAGTGCTAGGATTACAGGCGTGAGCCACTACGCCTGGCTCCTCTTGATCTTTCTGAAAGTACAAGTCAGTAAATGTCAAAACAAGCCTCTGGCCAGCCTGAAAATTCTGCCATCAATAAGCTATAAACATCATTGGTTGGAATTTGTGCTTTGGCCTATTTGGTAGTGATTCCTCCTCCCTTCATGCAGTCCTCAACTATCTGCTAAGCCCTGACACTACATCAGGTAATGTGAGAGGGGTTGCGATACAGAAATGAATAATGGGCTAGAGATAGCTGAACTCCTCCTGCCCCCCATCACAGCCACTAACGCATAAATCACTGTCTGAAATCCAAAAGATTTTTCATGCTGTAAAGCTGTTTTTGTCTAGTAGCTTCCACCTGAGCCAACTGGCATTTTAAACAATGTCCTGGGACTCAGGACAAACAAGTCCACTAAGGTAACTGGAAACATCCAAATGGGGAAAAAAGTCAGTAACTTAACAAAAATGCAAGAGTTCCCCTGCCTTGGCCAGCATTGACTTTCACAAACGTAAGTGAGAACATTTTGCAGCTGCTCACGTAAGTATCACTCTTCTGTTCCAACCCAAGTTTCAACCTCACTGTCTGCAGGTTTGTCTGAAAGCCCAATGTGGTTGACAGTGGTCGGAAAAAGAACCACAGAACTGGATTGCATGGTCTACAACTATCAGATCTCAACCACAATGTCACTGTAAGCATAGGGAAGGGTTTCTTTGCCCCTGATTTCTAAATACAGTTTGAGCATTCCTAAAGCAAAACCTGAAATCCAAAATCTGAAACTGTTTGAGTCTCCTTTTGGACATAATGCCACAGAGGAAAATTTTACACCTGACCTCATGTGATGGTCACAGTTAAAACAGACGCATGACAGTTTATTCAGCATCCCCAAGGGAAAGGAGACCCTCCCAGCTGTGATGTATCTTTTCCGAGCATACCCACAAAGGGTAATAAATGCTACGTGTGCAGGCTGGACCCGCCAGTGGCAGGTTCCCCATGATGCAAAGAAGACTTCTAAGACAAAACTGTTGTTGATGAGGCAGATGACTCTGGAGGAAAGATTTTTTAAAACATCCAACAGAATGCCTCCTCCTCCCTGGAGGACCCACTTTTGGTCCCTCAAGTGCTTCTGATGTTTCTTCTCACTGCAAAAAAATAAAATAAAATACAGTGCACAGTAACCTTTTAGTCAAAACACAGCATCACAGGTGGAGACTAAAAGCCAGCCGCTGTTTGTTGCTGCTGTTGTTTAGCAGGTGATCCAGGTATTTTGGTGATGCACTGTGCTGCTTCTTTACCCTGAACACACGATTTTTTACTGTATTAATGGTATGTCCATTTTGTATTGCTAGGTCCTCATGTGTGAGTAAATATGAGAAAATGATTGTTTCTCAGTAGCATATAAATTCAGAGTCAGGAATGGTGGTGATGCCAAACAACCACAGATTGTCCATGTGGGTGGCTGAGATAGTGACATCTTTGCTTTCTGATGGTTCTGTGTACACAAACTTTGTTTCATGCACAGAATTATTAAAGTATTGTATAAATTTACCTTCAGGCTATGTGTATAAGGTATATACGAAATAGAAATGAATTTCATGTTTAGACTTGGGTCCCATCCCCAAGATATCTCATTATGTATATGCAAATATTCTAAAATCTAAAATCTGAAAAACTTTTGGTCCCAAGCCTTTCGAATAAGGGATCCTTCATCCTTATTTATAAAACAAAACTTTAGGTTCTCAAACTCCTTTTCCATCTGTGGGAGGTACAGAAGGAATGAAAGGGATGTCTCCCTCTTATTCCATGCTGGGATGGGCATGGAGAAAGTGACTTGGAATTAACATTTAGTCGACACCTACTGTATGCCAAGATCTTCCTTTTTGTCCTTCACACCAGCCTCATAAAGTAGAGATTGTTTTCCGCCATTCACAGATAAAGAAATTGCAGCCCTGGTAGATTCATCCAACGTGCCCAAACACACACCCAGTGACCAAAAAAAAGAGCCATTGCTAACGTTGGTGAGCACTTCCCATGAGTTAGCCCTGTGCTAAGCACTTTTATAGACATTATTTCACTTACTTTTCTGAACAACTCTATAAGGTGAATAGTACTGTTATCCCCATTCTATAATTGAGGAAACTGAGATTTAGAGAGGTAAGTAGCTTGTCCTGCATCACATAGCCAGTAAGTCTGGAGGAGAGAGTCAAGCTTTGGTCAGGAAAATACAGTTCAGACACTCTATTTAGACTCTTTCGGTCAGCTGGGCTTGAAACTCTGTCCTTGCTTTGTGGGGGAACAAAGTTTATTGGATAAAAAAATGGAGAGAAAGAGTGAGCCCCTACTGAGTATGAGGCTATACTAAAGGAAATAAAAGATGTTGGACTTGGGCTCTGCCCAGATTGTCTAGTAAAGAGAATAGATGTTAAACAAAAATATAACTCTAGCAACTGTGATATAATTGCTATTATATAAACAAGCAAATCCTGAACGAGCCCAGAAGGAGTGCTGATATGCAATGGAAGAAACTGAAAGATGTCACTAAAGGTGACATTTCAGTTGACATTTACTCTAATTTTCTTGTTTTAAAGTGAGCAGTGAACATGCTTCCCAGTGCCCATGCCCTTCCCCACCATGATGCAGTTCCCAGCTTGGGCTGGCACAGATCCAATCCCCAGGTCCAGCTTCGGGCCCTGGCTACAAACCAGGGAGACCCCCTCCTGCTTGCCTTGGTGTAAGGATGGCATGTGATCTAAGTTCTTCTAACCAAAGTGAAGGCCGGGACGTCTGCTTGATGGTTTTCAGTCAAGAAGAGTCTTCTTCCTCTTCCTTTCCCAGGTGGCACATTCCCATGTGGTCTGGACCACTACCACATTCGTGCTACCAGGGAAGCCAGGCTAAAGGCAAAGCCAAAACAGTGAGAACAGTTTGGCCAAAAGAGCTACAGAGAAATAGATCTGGAACCCAGGCCCGAGGCCTACACTACTTTGATCTGGAATAGATCTGGAACCCAGGCCTGAGGCCTACACTACTTTGGACTTTTTCAAGAATGAGCTAATGAATTCATATATTGCTTTAGCCATTTGGAGTTAGGTTTTTCCATTATTTGTCACCCAAAGCATCCCAACTGATCCAAAGTCTATTTTTAGAAATGTGTGAAGATAGCCATAAAGTGTTTTACTCTTGATGTCATCAGGATCAAGTATCGTGGTCTTCTGGTTTCAAGAGACAGAAAAACCAGCCCAAACTAACTTAAGCAAAAATAAAACGTATCAGCTGAAGAACATGAACAGTTAGGGAGTAAGGTGGGCTGCAGGCGTAGTTGACTGCAAGAATGCAGACAAAATCACCAGAATTCAGTTTTTTTCCATGTCTCTGCTCAATTCTGTCCTCCTTCATGTGTCGGCCTTATTCTCAGACATGACCTCACTTCCCAGGTGCAGTCTAGATCTTAAGACCTCTCACGTTCAAGTCCAATGGGAAAGAGTAGCTCCATTTTCATGTTAACCAAGAAAACCCCCTCTGGTTTTCTGACTGGGCCTTGGCTCAAGCCTGTTCCCTCTCTCAGACTAACCACTGTGAGCCGGAGAAAGGACTTCCCTGGGTGACTTGGACCTTACTCCAGTGATTCACCACTGGAACCAATGTAGAGGTCAGCTTCACGCAAAGCACATGGCTGAAAGTGGGGGTAGGTGTTTTCCCCAAACCTAAATCAAGCAAGGTAGAAATAGGCAACAAAATAACAGATGTCCAGCCAGGTGTGGTGGCTCACACCTGTAATCCCAGCACTTTGGGAGGCCGAGGCGGGCAGATCACCTGAGGTCGAGAGTTCGAGACCAACCGGACCAACATGGAGAAACCCCATCTCTACTAAAAATGCAAAAGTTAGCCAGGCGTGGTGGCACACACCTGTAGTTCCAGCTACTCAAGGAGGCTGAGGTAGGAGAATCGCTTGAACCCGGGAGGTGGAGGTTGCGGTGAGCCGAGATTGTGCCATTGCTCTCCAGTCTGGGCAACAAGAGCAAAACTCCATCTCAAAAAAATAAAAAATAAAACTATAACAGATGTCCCCTGCAGCTCATTTGAAAGTAATTCAGCCAACATTCCTAACATAATGTGGATTTGCAACAGGTGGGTTTAACAGCAAATTTTGTTTATCACAGCTAAGAATTCCTTTCCTGTGTTTGCCAGCCTAAACAAGAAATAGTTTCTATGAGGTTTTCATTCTTCTTCCACGAGTTCATTTGTCCTTTCAAATATTTTCTGAGTACTAATGAAGACAATAAAAATAGTTTTCACACTTACTAAACACACATATAAAACATTATCTCATTTAATTCTACTACTAGCTGATAAGTTCTCAAGCAGGGGTGATTTTGCTCCCCCAAGGACATTTGGCAATGTCTGGAGACAGTTTTGATTGTCATAGCTCCAGGGCTGCTACTGGCATCTAGTGAGTAGAGGCCTTGAATGCTGCTGAACATCCTGCAATGCACAGGACAGCCCTCCACAGCAAAGAATTATCCAGCCCCCAGTGCCGATAGCATGGAGATTGAGAAAACTTATACGTGCTCGTGACACTATCTTCACTTCTATAGATGAAGAAAAATGAAGCTTAGAAAAGTTAAGCAACTTGTCCAAGCTTATGCAAGGTACGAAGTAGTAGTGGTTGAGATTTTCATCCAAAGCCCTTGCTTTTATCTGTTGATAATTAAGCTTGGAATTGGAACTCAGTGTCCCTCCACTCTATCCCCACCCACTCTAAATTCTGGGTCAGTGGATTGGTACCCATAGGCGTTACTGTAACAGGATTGCGGATGATGTCAATGTAAGCAGCTGACAAGTGTTTGGAGCCCCTGCAAGGAAGAGGCCCTGCACACATTGGTGCCAGGCCTGGGGGAGGCAAAGATGTGTGGTCTCTCGAGGAGACAGGTTCATGGGCTGCTATGACACACAGTGGGATGAAAGCATAATGACTGCCATTTCACACCTCCAATCTTGGTACATGCTTTCTCCTCTGCTTGGAATTCTTTTTGCTCTTCTCTTTTCTAACTTCTCATCCTTTAAGCTCATCTAGAAAGCTTGCCTACCCTCCCTCTCTACAGTCTGTTTCAGGTGTCCTCTGTGGTCCCATAACATACTAAACAGAATGGAACAGTTCCACTCGTCACACAATACTGTAGTTAGAATTTGACTTGGCTGTGTCTCATCCCCTGGACTATCAGCCACCTAAGAATGGAACCCACAGCCATGAACCTTTGTGCCCAGCCCAGTGCCTGGTGGTGGGGTATTTGCCACAAATTACTATTTGCTGTTCGTCTATTCTAGGAGTCAGCAAACTTTTGCTGTGAAGTGTTAGATAATAAATATTTTAGGCTTTGCAAGCCATCTATCATCGTAAATACTTAATTGTTGTTGTAACACAAAAATATCCATAGAAAATATGAAAATGAATGAGCTTGGCTGTGTACCAATAAAAGTTTATTTACAAAAGCAGGCGGTGGGCCAGATTTGGCCTGTGGGCCACAGTTTGCTGACTTTTGTCTATTAAAATAACCATTCTTCCATCAGTATGTCCCCATAAAATTTTAGATGTGCACATTGCTGCCAAACAACCTCCAAAATACAGTTATATTTTCCAGCCAAATATGGACACGTGAATAAATTCTAGCCAATGTATTTGGAGAAGCATTATTTGGGACTCCTTGGAAGGCTGTTTAAAAGCAGGTGATTCATTTGGGAAAGGCCCCTTTCCTCCCTTCTGTTTTTCCTCCTTCTTCCAACCTATGAAGGGCTCCAGGTATCATCTCAGGCCGTGAGGTGACTTTGAATAAAGAAACCGCAAGCAAGGAAAGGAGAGCAGAAAGTAGGAGCCAGAGTCCCTGACAACACCAGGGAGCCGCCATGCTTTTCCTGCATGGCCAACCTGTAGACTTTACATGAGAGAAAAATGAACCCTGTCTTGTTTAAGCCACTGCATGTGTTTGTGTTATTATTGGCATGAGAACGTAATCTTAACTATATACCATCGCGTGGAAACACTCAACAAATATCAGAGCAGTGAGAGGAACGCTCAAAGCATCAGGGAGAGCCACAGAGGAAATGAGTTCTGCTGGGTGGGTAGGGAACCATGGAAACAAACACAGGGGCCTCCTCAGGCTCTTCATGGTTAAGCACCCAGGGTGATTCACATCTCTGGCCAGTTCCTTCCGGCCTCTTTCTTCCTCCCTACAGGGGACTTTCTTTTTATAGTGTCTTCCATCAGCTACTCTATCTTTGGAGGCATCCTTCTTCAAGTTTGTATGTCATAGAGAATTCAGTTTGCTACAAGAGATTGTTCTGTTTCTTGTCAGTTTTACTTACTGGACACCAAGGAAGAGCAGCTGGAAGAATCTCCTAAGTGACAAAAGAGCAGTGCCTACCAGAGTGAGGACACGGAACAGGTCCTTCTTGCCATGGTCACTGATGTGATTGCCTTCTGTTGCCAGCAGGTGGGTGGCAGAAAGGGGAAAGCCTGGCTCTAGCATCAGATAACCCTGAGTTTAAATAATGACTCAGTCTCTGGGCAGTGTGGCATTGGCCAAGCCACGTCATTTCCCTAAGAGTCAGTTTTTCTTTCTTTTTTTTTTTTTTTTTTTTTTTTGAGACGGAGTCTTGCTCTGTCGCCCAGGCTGGGTGCAATGGCGCCATCTTGGCTCACTGCAAACTCCGCCTTCCAGGTTCACGCCATTCTCCTGCCTCAGCCTCCAGAGTAGCTGGGACTGCAGGTGCCCGCCACCATGCCCGGCTAATTTTTTGTATTTTTAGTAGAGACGGGGTTTCACCATGTTAGCCAGGATGGTCTTGATCTCCTGACCTTGTGATCCACCCACCTTGGCCTCCCAAAGTGCTGGGATTACAGGTGTGAGCCACCGTGCCCGGCCAAGAGAGTCAGTTTTTCAAACTACAAAATAAGTCAATCATCACTTTCTCATAGCACTGTTATAAGAATTAGACAGTGAAAGGGTGGCCGGCACAGAGTGAGGGTTCAAATGATGGTTCTGGAAACCCCTCTCTGCCTGCTACCCTGACGATGAGGATGAGAACTTGGCATTTGGGTGGATCCCATGCCACTGCTTTGGAAGGGCAAAACCCCCCAGCTTTCAAACTTAACACTTCCTTCCTTTCCTCTTTTCTTAGCCTGTCGCCACACAATTGAACTTCCTTTGTATTCTTTCACTCGCCTTTAAAGTGCTAGCAGAACAATCATTAGAATCAGTAAAAAAAAAAAAAAAAAAAACCCTATTTTTTTCCCTGACATTATTTCATACAACCAGCCTCACTTGAGTCCTGCAGAGACATCCAGTGCCACAAGGACATTCTCAATGTCACAGTTACTGGCCACGCACTTTCACTTTCCGATGAATGAGGCCTTGGCACGGTCATCTCCAACTGAACAAGTGGTCACATGACACTTTAAACCTGGAGGCCATTTCCATAAAGGTGTCTTACAAATACAAAATAGTCCACATCCCAGGAGAGGTCTGAAAAAGCTATTAGTGCTATGCAGTGGAAATGAACAACCCAAAAAAAGCTGCCAGCAACGAACAGGACCCCACGGCATCCAGTATGGGAGCTGGGTTCCATAGAGCGGCGGTCCACACGGCTGTAAACGCAGCACTGCTTCCCGTAAATGGTGTCAAGGAGAAGAAGTGAGCAAGCTCCAGAGAGAGGGCAAGTGAAGGGGACCTGCAGGTGATGGCTCTTTGGAAGCATTTGTGGCAGGGCCACTGATTGAGTATATCAATAAAAAACAACCCCCTCAAAGGGAAAGAAGAGCAAATTGTGGCATAGATCTGGGTGGGCAACAAGCAAATGATCTCTCGTTTTCCCTAGCATCTGGTGAAATAAATGTTTTGCTTTTTTTTTTTTTTTTTTTTTTTTGAGACAAGGGCTTGCTCTGTCATCAGGCTGGTGTGTGGTGGCACAATTATGGGTCACTGCAGCCTTGACTTCATGGGCTCAAGTGATCCTCCCACCTTAGCCTCCTATGTATCTGGGACTCCAGGCAAGTGCCACCATGTCCAGCTAATTTTTTCCATATTTTGTAGGGACGGGGTTTTCACCACATTGCCCAGGCTGGTCTTGAACACCAGGGCTCTAGCGATCCTCCCACCTCGGCCTCCCAAAGTGCTGGGATTACAGGTATGAGCCACTGTACCCTGTGTAAATGTTTCTTTTCATTCAACAGGGCATCCAAACCTCACAAGAGAAACAATTAGACATCAGGAATATACGAACAAAAGCTTGATGGGGCAGAGTAAATGAATGACTGTTTGTGTATAGTGAAGGCTTTCTCTTTGGTTGTTGACAATAACCATGGCCTAGGGAGAAAACAGTAAATGAATCAGGGAGACTACATAGTATTAACTTCCAGTGTGTATGGGAGGTTATGTTAGACCCTGTGCAGATTAGATAGAAGCCATTCATTCGTTCATTCAGTCATTCCATAATACCTGTTAGGCCTGTGTCATGTAGTAGGCCTTGAGGTAGGTAATTGCTGGGGATTCAGTGGTGACCAGGCAGCCATACCTCTGCCCATATACAGTTGACATTGCAGGAGGTAGAGTGATAGCCATGAGCCTCCACATTCTGGACCTGGCATCAAATTGCCTCTGTAGAATTCTGGTTCCATCATACTATCTGCATGATGATGTTGGCCAAGTTACTTACCCCTGTCATACCTCGGTTTCCCCACTGCAAAAAGCGAATACTAATAGCATCCCCCTTGTGGGGTCAGAGTGAGGCTTGCATGAGATAATGCACATGAAACACTCAGAACAGAGTGCCATTCTGTGAGTTCTAGTTGTGGTGGCTGTTGTCATTATTATCAGCACAGGCCAGAGGGGCTGAGAAGGCCAGCCTGGAGCAAGTAATGACAAATGCGCTGAGAATGAGCAGAGCTGTGTATTATGGCAACACTTAAGAGGAGCTCATCTGAGAGCTAGATGTGCATTTGGTGGCAGAATCTGGGCTGGGACCCAGCCTCCTGGGTTCTGACCTAGCTTCTTTCCTCAGGCTGCTGGAGACCTCCTCAAAACACAACGAACTGCATGGGACTATGGCCCACAGAGTAAAACAGAAAACCAAAGAGCCACTGCAACACACACATTAGTATCACCTGTATCATGGCCAAGCAGAACAAGGGTTTACAGAGGCAGATGGCAATGAGGGTAAAAAGTTAAGCTCTAGTGGAATGGACCAGGACACACCCTAACTCCACCCCTTGCTAGTTTTGCTACCTTTAGCAAATTACTTGGCTTTTTCCTGGCCTCGGTTCCTCTCCCTGTTAAATGAGGCTAATGATAGAACCTGTCTTACAGGGTTACTGTGATGACCAAATATTCTAAAACTAGCAGCCTTTGTTGTTGTTGTTTTTATTGTTAAATCTCAGGCCTAGTTTACTGTGAGAGTGTATTAATCATTCAGTTCTGAAACTTGTGCCCTCTGTGTGAAGCTGTTCAGGGTTGACCTAAGTAATCAAAGGTTTACATGGTTCTGAAATCCTGGCTTGGGAGTGATAGCTGGTGCTGTGGTTTAGATCTGTGTTCCTCCCCAAAACTCATTTTGAATTGGAAGGCCCAATGTTGGATGGAGGTGGGGCCTGGTGGGAGGTGATTGGATCATGGGGGTTGATCTCCCCCTTGGTGCCGTTCTCATGATAGTGAGTGACTTCTCATGAGATCTGGTTGTTTAAAAGTGTGTGGTACCTGCCACCCACCTTCCTCCTGCTCTTGCCATGTGAGGTGCTGGCTTCCCCTTTGCCTTCTGCCATGATTGGAAGCTCCCTGACGCCTCCTCAGAAGTAGATGTCGCCATGCTTCCTGTACAGCCTGCAGAACTGTGAACTAATGAAACCTCTTTTCCTTATAAATTACCCAGCCTCGGGTGTTTATAACAGTGCAAGAACAAACTAATAAAGCTGTTGTCCCCCTTCTTTTGATTGTTCCTGGCCCACACCAGGAACCTGCCTGGATGGTTTCCTTAGAATTTGGCTGAGGTAAGTTGAGGCCATGTCACTGGTATTAAAGAACCAGACATAAACTTCTTAACAAACAGGCAGGCTATTTTTTAAAAAAACATTAATTACACATTTTATTTGTAAAAGCAACATAACAACAACACCATTAGGCCATTTTTAATAACGGCTTTATTGTCATATGATTCACTACCATAAAATTCACCCTTTCACAGTGTACAATTAGCCTCAGAGTTGTACAAGTATCACCACTCATTCCAGAATATTTTCATCACCTCCAAGAAGAACCCCATGCCCTTTAGCAGGCACTCCCTAGTCTCTCCTCCTCCCTTCCCCAGCTCCTGGCAACTATGAATCCTACTCTGGACATTGCATAGAAATAGAATAATAGAGGCCTGGAGCAGTGGTTCCCAGCACTTTGGGAATCTAAGGCAGGTGGATTGCTTGAGCTTAGGAGTTCAAGACCAGCTTGGGCAACATGGCAAAACCCCAGCTCTACAAAAAATACAAAAAAATCAGCCGGGTGTGGTGGTGCACACCTGTGGTCCCAGCTACTCGGGAGGCTGAGGTGGAAGGATCACTTGAGCCTGGGAGGTCAAGGCTGCAGTGTGCCGAGACCACACCACTGCACTCTAGCCTGGGGGCGTGAGACCCTGTGAAAGAAGAAAGAAGAAAGAGAGAGAGAGAGGAGAGAGAGAAAGAGAGAAAGGAAGAAAAGAAGGAAGGAAAGAAGGAAGGAAGGAAGGAAGGAAGGAAGGAAGGAAGGAAGGAAGGAAGGAAAGAGAGAGAAAGAAAGAAAGAAAAAAAGAAAGAGGGAAAGAAAGAAAAGGAGGGAGGGAAGGAAGGAAGGAAAGGAGGGAGGGAATATTTGGCCTTTTCCTTTCACTTAGCATAATGTTTTCAAGGTTTATCCATGTTGTAGCATGGGTTACTACTTTATTCATTTTTATGGTTGAATAATATTCCGTTGTATGGTATAACACTTTGTTTATTCATTCATCAGTTGATGGATATGTTTGGCTATTATAAATACTACTGCTATGACCATTTGTGTATAAGTTTTAGTGTGGACATATGTTTTTAATTTTCTTGGGTATATACCTGGAATTGGAATTGCTGGATCACATAGTAACTCTATGCTTAACTCTTTTGAGGAGCTGCTAAGTTATTTTCCAAAGAGATTGTACCATTTTTATTCCTACCAATAATGTCTGAGAGTTCCAATTTCTCTACATCCTCATTAGCACTTATAATTGTCCATTTTTAAGATTATGACTATCCTAGCTGGTATTAGGCAAGTTTCTAAAGAGAAAAAAATCTTACAATTGTTTCTTCACATATTTCACTCGGCCTCCCAAAGTGCTGGGAGTCACTGCTCCCGGCTTTTATTATTCTATTTCTATGCAATGTCAGGAGTAGGCAAATCCATAGAGACAGAAAGTTGAAGGCTTAGAACTGTGCCTGGCATGTAGCAGACAACACTCAACATATACTTGTTAAATAAATAAGTCATTTTGTCATCTCAATGGGACTATTTCCATTTTGTTTTATTCCTGTCTAACCTATCTACACAATACACATTTCACAGTTATGCCCATATTTGCAATTCTTCCTGCTTTCTTTCACCTCACATTAAACTTTAAAATATCCTTATGTTTCCACACAGCCTTCATTATTATTGTATTGGCTGCCTAATAGTTCATTTATTGGATGCAGTGTAATGGACTAAACCATTAGATAGTGTGCACCTGATTTTTTAATACTGACTTTTTAGCAAGTTGGAAGTGAAGGAGAAAGTTGCCTATTTGGCAGCCTTTTCCAGATGGCAATGTGATGACTGAAGAGAGCAGACAGAAAAATACCTGTATTCATCAGGGCTCTCCAGAGAAAGAAAACTAATAGGGGAGATATATATATATGTATATATACACACATAAATATATATGTAAATCCCTCTCTCTTTCTCTTTCATGTATACACACACACACACACACACACACACAGTATAAATATATTTATACATTATTTCATATATACATATATATTTTATATATATACACACACATATAGGTATTTTAGGCTATTATTCAACACACAATGTGCAAATATATTTATACATTATTTCATATATACATATATATTTTTTATATATATATACACACACACACATATAGGCATTTTAGGCTTGCTAGGGCTTTGCAGGCCATATATCACAAATACTCAACTGTTGTTATAACTCAAAAATATCCGTAGAAAATATGTAAATAAATGTGCTTTGTTGTGTACCCTACCAATAAAACTTTATTTACAAAAGCATGCGGTAGGCCAGATTTGGCCTGTGGGCCACAGTTATTGACCTCTGTAAATATATATGTATATGTGTGTGTGTATATATATATATATATATATATAGAGAGAGAGAGAGAGAGAGAGGAAAAGAGGGAAATAAGGAAGGAAGGGAGGGAGGGAGGGAAGGAAGGAAGGAAGGAAGGAAGGAAGGAAGGAAGAGAATAGAATAGAATATTTGGCCTTTTCCTTTCACTTAGCATAATGTTTTCAAGGTTTATCCATGTTGTAGCCTGGGTTACTACTTTATTCCTTTTTATGGTTGAATAATATCCCATTGTATGGTATAACACTTTGTTTATTCATTCATCAGTTGATGGATATGTTTGGCTATTATAAATACTACTGATATGACCATTTGTGTATAAGTTTTAGTGTGGACATATGTTTTTAATTTTCTTGGGTATATACCTGGAATTGGAATTGCTGGATCATATAGTAACTCTATGCTTAACCCTTTGAGGAGCTGCTATGTTATTTTCCAAAGACACTGTACCATTTTTATTCCTACCAGTAATGTCTGAGAGTTCCAATTTCTCTACATCCTCCTTAGCACTTATAATTGTCCATTTTTAAGATTATGACTATTCTAGTTGGTATTAGTTAGGTTTTTTTATACCTATATATTTATTAAACAGGAAAACATATAGAGAGAAATTTACCCTCAATAATCAGAAAATATACATTCTTTTCAAGTACAAATGGAAGTATTCACTAAATTAATCATGTACTAGGCCACAAAGATGCAACAATATACTCCAAAAAGTTAACATCATGCAAATCATGTTCTCTGACAATAATCCAATTTAGAAAGAAAGCAATGAGATAATTTTGAAAGAATATACCAGCAAAGTAAATATCTAAGAAACCCTTCGGTTAAAAGGAAATCATGAAAGAAGTTAAAAAACACAAAATTAAATAACAATGAAAACACTACCAGTGTTTAAAGAGAAAAAAATCTCACAATTGTTTCTTCACATATCTTCACTCAGCCTCCTAAAGTGCTGGAAGCCACTGCACCCAGCTTTTATTATTCTATTTCTGTGCAATGTCAGGAGTAGGCAAATCCATAGAGACAGAAAGTTGAAGGCTTAGAACTGTGCCTGGCATGTAGCAGACAACACTCAACATATACTTGTTAAATAAATAAGTCATTTTGTCATCTCAATGGGACTATTTCCATTTTGTTTTATTCCTGTCTAATCTATCTACACGATACACATTTCACATAGTTATGCCTATATTTGCAATTCTTCCTGCTTTCTTTCACCTCACATTAAACTTTAAAATATCCTTATGTTTCCACACAGCCTTCATAATTATTATTGTATTGGCTGCCTAATAGTTCATTTATTGGATGCAGTGCAGTGGACTAAACCATTAGATAGTGCGTACGTGATTTTTCAATACTGACTTTTTAGCAAGTTGGAAGTGAAGGAGAAAGTTGCCTATTTGGCAGCCTTTTCCAGATGACAATGTGATGGCTGAAGAGAGCAGACAGAAAAATACCTGTATTCATCAGGGCTCTCCAGAGAAAGAAAACTAATAATGGATATGTGTGTGTATATGTGTATATATATATATATATATATACACACACATATATATGCATACATACATACACATATATATACACACACATATAAATATATATGTAAATCCCGCTTTCTCTTTCATGTATATATATACACACAATGTACAAATATATTTATACATTATTTCATACATACGTACATATTTTATATATATATACACACATAAGTATTTTAGGCTATTATTCAACACACAATGTACAAATATTTGTAGACATTATTTCATATATACATCTATATTTTATATATATATATACACACACACACACATATAGGTATTTTAGGCTTGCTAGGGCTTTGCAGGCCATATATCACAAATACTCAGCTGTCCTTATAACTCAAAAATATCCATAGAAAATATGTAAATAAATGTGCTTTGTTGTGTACCCTACCAATAAAACTTTATTTATAAAAGCATGCAGTAGGCCAGATTTGGCCTGTGGGCCACAGTTATTGACCTCTGTAAATATATATGTATATGTGTGTGTATCTATATATATATAGAGAGAGAGAGAGCAAGAGAGAGAGATTTACATAAATATAAAGAGATTTATTCTAGTAATAAATGAATATAGAGCTTCATTATAAAAAATTAGCTCATGTGATTATGGAGGCTAGAGGCTAGCAAGTCCGATTCTGCAGCATGGGCCCACAGGCTGGAGATTCAGCAGAGCCAGTGGTGCCAATGAAGTTCAAAGGCAGTCTACTGGAGAATTCCTTCCTGCTCAGGGAAGTTGGTCTTTTTTTTCTATTCAGATCTTCAACTCATTGGATGAGGCCCACCCATATTATGAAGAGAAATCTCCTTTACTCAAAGTTCACCAACTTAAATGTTAATCTCATCCAGAAACACCCTCTAAGTTGACACAAAGTTAATCATCACAATCCTGAATGGATTCCAAGGTCCTGCTTTGGTTTCCTGTGTTGTTGTACATGGAAAAATTACCTAAGAGTCTGACCCACGTATGAACCCTGCCTTCTAAGCTTCATTGCTTAAACAAAGGCAAAATAGAATAAAGAGAGAAGAGTAGAAGTGGCTGCAAAATGAAGAACATTAGCTTCATTATTAGGACAGTAGATTCCAAGCCAGTAGGGTTTTGATGAGCATTTCTGTCTTCCTCATTATACTGTCATTGCCTTATCCTGAGTTTTCCACCTTCAATCTGTATGCCCTTGATATAGTTTGGCTGTGTCCCCACCCAAATCTCATCTTGAATTGTAGCTCCCATAATCCCCATGTGTCGTGGAAGGGACCTGGTGGGAGGTAATTGAATCACAGGGACAGGTTTTTCCCATGCTGTTCTCATGATAGTGAGTAAGTCTCATGAGATCTGATGGTTTGATAAAGGGCAGTTCCCCTGCACATGTTCTATTGCCTGCCACCATGTGAGACATGTCTTTGCTCCTCCTTCACCTTCCACCATGATTGTGAGGCCTCCCCAGCCATGTGGAACTGTGAGTCCGTTAAATCTCTTTTTCTTTATAAATTACTCAGTCTTTGGTATGTCTTTATTAGCAGCAGGAGAACAGACTAATATACCCCTTGAAGACAAAGATTGTGCCTGGAGCCCCATTGTAGCTCTTGGGTTCACCTGTTAAGTCCTCAACAAATTTTGGTCCTTATTTATAAATTGCTATTGTTTGCATGTGTTCCCCAAAGTTCATGTTTTGGAAACTTAATCCCATGCAACAGTTTTTGGGAGGTGGGGCCTAATAAAAGGTGATTAGGTCAGAGGGCTCCGCCCTCATGAATGGATTAATGTTGTTATCACAGGAGTGGGTAATTTATCTCCAGAGTACCTTTGTTATAAAAGCGAGTCCAGCCTCCTCTTGCTTGCTCACTGCTGCCCTTTGTTGCCTTCCACCTTCTGCCATGGGATGACACAACATGAAGGCCTTCACCAGATGCAGGCACCATGCTCTTAGACTTTCCAATCTCCTGAACGGTGAGCCAAATAAACTTCTATTGTTTATAAATTAATCCATCTCAGGTATTCTGTTATAGCAGCAGAAAACAGACTAAGACACAAATGTTCATGGTATGCCTAACTTGTGCCTGCCCCTGTGTAAACAGCTTAGGTACGTGGTCTTGATTACATCTTACAACAAGCATATGAAGTAGGTGCTGTTCTCACGTGCATAGTGGATTGCCTGGTGAAATGGAATTTTTTTAAAAAAGCTTGATATTTAGGAATTCCTGGCTGCTTCTTTGTGTTGGGGAGAAAGCAAACCTTCTAGAAACATCTTTCATTATTCTAGGAAAAATCACTTGAATAGCCTTTCTTAGTAAACAAATGCAAAGAGGTAGATACCCATTTCCTGGGGAGACAGAAAGGTCAGGATAATGGCTTCCCCTTGTCCTTCTCTTATTAGGTAGACAAAGTCAGCTCCTCTCCTCCTTCCATTTCCCTAAGTCCTCTCAGGGGATAAAGCTGACTGCTAGGTGGTAGTGGGAAAGGGCATGTAGAGATAAGAGAAGGAAAATTCTCGATAAAATAGAGCCTCATGTCTAGTTTACATGCATAGCTGCTCCTGGACAGCTATTCCCTCTCCTCTCCAGCCTGGTTCCCAGCTCCGCTCCACAGGTTCTCTCCTTTCTTTCCTTTTCTAGAAAGTTCTTGTTCTGCCTCACTATTCCCACCACACATAGCCTTTTGGTTCTCTATGTCTGCACTGCATAATCTAACACAGTGGCTCCCAATGTGCTTTTTAAATATGAGGCCATCTTTAACCATTTAAAATTGTATTTATCTGTATAAAACTAAAACATACTTGTAAAAATAATACAAATATTTTGCCAGGCATGGAGCAGAGTCCTCAGTCAGTATGCATTTCTTCTCCAGGGTAAAACAGAGTCCAGTAAGGTGGTTTTAGCTGTGATGCACTGGGGAGATGGTGCTGTGTGTTGTCAAGAAATTTAGAATTAGAAGTTTTGGGTTCTGGTAATATTTCTGCCACTTACTAGTTGTATGCCTCTGAGAAGTCCACAGCTCCAAGCCTGTTTCTGCTCCTGGAATGTAAGTCCAGTTGAGCCCTTTCACAGCCAACCCACCCCCGTGTCAGTGTGAGATCTGCACAGTATCTGCGAAAATGCTTCATAAATTATCTAGAGTTATGCAAATGTGAGTATTATGGGGATTACAGTATGTTATTGCCTGGAATCATGCTTCCAGTATTTTAAAGAATCCATTAATGGGATGCTCTTAAATTTTTTTTTTCCTGGCATTATTCTCAGCCAGGCTGCAACAAGGAGTCTTACTTGATCAGTATGGCCTTTACTTAGGTATTTACTTAGCTTTTAGGTCTTTAAAGCAGCACATGATTTTCAAGTGAGTTATTCAATTAATCGTTTCTGTATCACTCTGATGCCCCTTTGGACTGTCTGCTTATTGAAAGCCGTCCCATCTGGAGGGACTGCCCTAACTCCCTGCTCATCCTGCAAACAGATCAAATGGCCTCCAGGGGAAATCCCAATTAATGGCAAAATCAATTAGTCACAAGTTGGGAAGAAAGAGAGAGCCAAATGGTTACCCAACACATAATGTACCTTCCTTTACACAATGTGTGGTCCAGTAATGCATCTAGATGGGATTTCTACAAATTGAATCAAAACGAAGGAGATTGCTATTTAAAGGACCCCTGGGGGGAATTATCTGATAAAAGATCTTTCCATATTCATGAATGAGTCTCTAGAGAGAACTGCTATTTCTAAATTTGTATTCTTAAAATCCAGTTTTCAAATTATTATTATATTAAAACAGTTTCTATAATGATAATAGTCATAGAGATCCAATGACTAAAAAGTACATGAATTGTGTGGCTATAGGTATTTCTCCTCTGGGAGTTAAAGTTTAAAGAGAGATGGTACCTTGATGATAGGTCCTTTATACAAGGACCTTCCTTGTATACAAGTCCCTTCCTTCACTTTGACAAAGGAAGAAAAATTTCAACTCATGCTAAAGAAAATCTCAAACAATTAGTTATAATCAATAAAGGAATGGGTTGCCCTTTGAAGTATTAAGCTGCCTGTCAGAAAAAAATTTACATTATAAAGAACAACTTTGTGGAAATCTGTTTTCATTTTATGATTAGTCTTGAATTTGTTCTAGAAAATACACATCTGTGGAGGTGTGAGATGGGAAGCCCTCTCCTATTTCAACAGGTTTATGTTAAAATAGCTTTAGTGTAAAATAAATATAAACAACAAGTTCTGGGGGAGAGGAACTGTCCCAGTGGCCATTGGGAAGAAGAATAGGTTGCAGCCACCTGCTTTGTCTACTGATGCGGGTCTCCTGCTGTTTGTATTTATAGACACATCAAGGCAGGGACAGGGTATCAGAGCACGTGGGGGAAGATGAAGCATCACCTGAGAAAGGCCTTTCTTCTTTCACCATGAATGCCTCCTTGAGTCACTGCCTGGAGCCAACAGCACCATCCCTTCCTTAATCTCTTTTCCCAACTGTTTCTGCAACACATAAACATGCACATACACACAGAGACAGACATATATGTCTAGATATCTAAAACAGACAAAGAACCCAGAGAGAGCTTAAAATCAGGTCTGCAGGTCAGCCAGACTCATATGGAAGACATCACGTGGAAGGGACCAACCCTCTCATTTTACAAATGAGGAAAGCGAGGCACAGAGAGGCTAATGTGACTCACCTGCCACTCAGGTGGGCAAGTCATTTCTTTTCCCTCCATCTCCTGATGTGCATCACAGCATCTTCCTGCCTTGAAGACAGGGAGCCAGGGGTGTTGTGCTCATTAGTCGGGTAATGGCTGCCACCACCTTTGAAGCTGCTGGATAGGATCCCAGGTAAATAGCATTACCCCCTGCAAATGAAATGGTTCCCTGTACACAACCTGTTTTCACTTGTTGCCTGTGGCCGCTGGCCACTTGTGGCTGGAAAGATTACTACTGAACTCCAGGTCATAAGCCTCCATCTGCTCACAACCTTCAGAAAATAGGAGGGCTGGGTCTGGTTCTTATTATTAAAAGCAAACAAACCCATTATTAAAAGTAAACAAGACAGAACTGCTTTGAAACAATTGACTAAATGTCTCCTGGCTCAGAAGCCTAAATTCACCCCTATTAGCCCAAACCAAGCCTTCCTTAGTGAGAATCTAGAGAGGAAAGCTAAAAGTTTCTTGTTAAAAAGAATCCCCCTGCCCCCCTGCCCCCCTGCCCCCAACACCACCATTCTCTTGGGCATTCAGTAACTGCTGCAGGCTAAGCTCATTAACCATATTATCTTTAATTCTCAAGATTTTGAAATGAGCATTACATTTTGTATGTTATGCAATGGGATGGGCCAGTCAAGTAATTTGCTCACGGACACAGCTGAAACACTGAAACACCAGAATTCGAACTTGAGTCTCTATGACTTCAAACCCCATGCCCATTCCATCTCACATACTGCCCCCATTAAAAATAGTCTCCCATGTTGCTGTTTCTGTTGTTGATTTCAAAGAAAAGCTCAAGACCTAGGAGAAGAAAGTCTGCTGTCTGCTCAGGTAAAACCTCTTGCAATTGCAGGCATTCTGATAGAGTTGCTCTGGGGAGGAAGCTCTGAGCCACCCTGGTTACTTAAATATATAAAGTGGACAGAGCAAAGATGATAGATGCTAAACTGCTGGTATTCAACATCTTTCCCCAATGTCTGCCTAATTCCAGTGCCATTTAATATACTCTGTTGTCCAAACAAACCAGAATACACACAAAGCTTGCAGTGCAAGGTACAGAATCTTGGCCTTGCCAGTAAATCCAGAGTTAAGCTCTCAGTGACAGACTCCTACTAGCCAAACTTACAAGAGACTGACATATAGTCAGACCATTAATTGACTACAATACGATTTTGTTTGCCTGAGTGTCTTAATGCTAGAAACATCTAAACAATGGTTTATTCCAAAATGAATGTTAAAATCTTTAAAATCATGCTATCTGAAGACTCAATAAACAATCTGCTGTGATTACAAAGCTAGGAAATGGAGAGATTTAACACACCACCAATGACTATTTGGGGACCTCACAGCAGCCAAGTTTTTTTTTTTTTTTTTTTTTTGAGACAGAGTCTTGCTCTGTCGCCCAGGCTGGAGTACAGTGGCACGATCTTGGCTCACTGCAAGCTGCAAGCTCCGCCTCCCAGGTTCATGCCATTCTCCTACCTCAGCCTCCTGAGTAGCAGGGACTATAGGCACCCGCCACCACACTTGGCTAATTTTTTGTATTTTTAGTAGAGATAGGGTTTCACTGTGTTAGCCAGGATGGTCTTGATCTCCTGACCTCATGATCCGCCTGCCTCGGCCTCCCAAAGTGCTGGGATTACAGGCGTGAGCCACCGTGCCCAGTCACAGCAGCCAAATCTTTTTATGTGGATGGATGGTGTCAACTGTTACAAACAGATGGACAATGACTCTACCAGTTAGTTCATACTGTAAAAAACCTTATGAATTAATGACTACACCAGTTATTTCATGCTGTAAAAAACCTTATGAATTATAAGAAATAAAAAACTACTTATGGGAAAACACTCTGGAAGTTCCTCAAAAGGATACACATAGATTTTCCACATAACCCAGCAATTCCACTATAGGTATATATCCAAGAGAATTGAAAACATACCCACACAGAAACTCACCCAAGGGTTCATAGCATCTTTATCAGTAACAGCCAAGAAGTAGAAACAACTCAAATATCCATCAACTGACGAATAAACAAGATGTGATATAACCATATAATGAAATATTATTCAGCCATAAAAAAAAAGTATCGATCCACACTACTGCATGGATAAACCTTGAGACCAGTATGCTAAGTGAAACGAACCAGATAAAAAATGCCACATATTGTATGATTCATTTATATGAAATGTCCAGAATAGGCAAATCCATAGAGACAGAGTAGATTAGTGGTTATGTAGGGTTAGGGAAAAGGGAGGTTGTGGGGAAATGGAGAGTGACTGCTAATAGGTAGGGGGCTGGTTTGAGGGGTGATAAAAGTGTTCTAAAATTGATTGTGGTGATATTTGCACAACTGTGAATATATTAAAAATCACTGAATTTTGCACTTTAAAAGGGTGCATTTTATGGTATGTGAATTATATCTCAATAAAGCTGGTTTAATTAAAACGACATAGCCAGTCTTTTTTTAACCCTAGCGCTCATGCCTGTAATCCTAGCACTTTGGGAGGCAGGCAGATTAAATGTCTCCTGGCTCAGAAGCCTAAATTCACCCCTGTGACCACAAGCCAAGTCTTCCTTAGTGAAAATCTAAAGAGAGAATCTAACAGTTTCTTGTCAAGAAGAATCCCCCTGCCCCTCTGTTCCCCTGCCACCCCCCACTACTGCCATTGTTCTCTTGGGCATTCAGTAACTGCTGCAGGCTCAGTTAAGTTGAGCTCAGTAGTTCAAGACCAGCCTGGGCAAATGGCAAAACCACATCTCTACAAAAAATACAAAAACTAGCTGTGCATGGTGGTGCACACCTGTAGTCCCAGCTACTCAGGAGGCTGAGGTGGGAGGCTGTCTTGGGCCTGAGCCGAGATCGTGCCACTGCACTCCAGCCTGGGTGACAGAGCTAGATCTTGTCTCAAAAAAATAAAAAAACAAAAAGACATTTACTACTGAGCAGTCGACGTTCATGCTGAATATTTTCCATTGCTCCCCTGAGCCCCAATTCACTCTCCAACCTCCCCTGCTTCGCTTTGTCAGAAAGCTGTTCTGTATGGACTGTACCAACAGGCACCTTTGTACAAGTGATCAACCCATTTATTGTCCAAACTGTGGTACTTTTGAGAAAGAGCGATGGGAGCAAACCAGGACTCTGTGGACAAATGTCTGTTGGAGTTTGATTCTTGCCGTCCAGGTTGGTTGTAGGGCCCTTCAGAGGGCCACAGCTCTTGCCACACTCAGCCCCCTCCACGCAGCTGGCTCTCTGGGTTCCAGCTTACCCCCTCTTCTTGCCCTCTCCTGGCAGGGGTGGTGATGGCTTCTCACCATTGCTGGACCCCAGAGCTGCACCATCCATGGTGTTCCCTACACCCTGCCCATGTCCGTGCAAATAGTCTCTTTCTTAAACTTCCTTCTTACCCAGTTTGAGTGGGCCATCTGTTTCCTGCCTGTACCCTATAGACACAAAACTCCAGAAAAGCAGCATGAAAGATAAATTTGAAAGGAAGGGTGTGGTCGGCACAGTGATCCTGCTAGATATCTTCCAAAGGGCCGTTGCGCCGACTCTCCTGTTTCTGCAGATTTCTGTTACGCCAAATCCTGCAAATAAATGATTTTACTACACCCCCCAGCAACAAGGATGTTACAACAAATACAATTTTCTTTTTTTTTATTATAAGGAGTTTTCTTTGACACTCTGAAAGAAATAAGTATATACGGCAAATTACAATTTGCAGTATGATAATTCAGTATGAAAAAAAATCAATTCATTTGGCTTATCTTGTTCAGAACTTGCTGTGCTCCCTAAAACTGAGGATTGATGCATTTCACCTCTACAAAATTCTCAGGCAATATCTCTTGGACTATCTGTTCCCCTTCCCCATTTTCTCTTGAACTAGCAATATGCTGTATTCTCATGTCCTCCATGTCTCCTAACCTCTTTTGTCTATTTTCTATTAATATTTCTTTATTTCTGGGCTTCCTTCTGAACTTTCTGATTTAAAAAATTCCCTTTTCAGCTCCATGTCTATTCAGTTCTCTAACTTGTCCATATATAGTTCAAATATACATGGTAATTCCAGTGACTGTAATTTTCGTTTCTAGGCTTTCTTTGATTCCTTTTTCACGATGCTTTTCTCTTTTCATAGTGTCAGTTTTTGTGTCCTTCTTTTATATTTGAATTATTTTAAATTTGCTTACCTCTATCAGATTGATGGATTAGCTTCAGTTCTTGTGGGTTCAGCCCTGCTGGGAGTTTGCTGATTCTTGAGTGTGATGAGTGCACTGTGGCCTTGTATTGATCAGTTCTTTATAGTTTTGAATCCTAAGCTCATTCCAGGAGGCTTTCTGCAGGAATCTTGTGAGGACTTGATTGAGGGTGGATCCCCTCAGAGCCATTTCTCATTTGCTTCTGGGTTACCCAGGATTATTTTAGACCAGTAACAATTTTTCACAGTAATTTTCATTTTAAGTATTTTGGATCCATTTAAGATATGGCAAACTGAAACCCCCAAATGCAGCTGTGGTGCAGGCCTCTGTCACAAATTTTTCACTGAATGCTTTTCACTTCTACCCAGATCCCAGACTAAGACTGCCAGGCTGCTGTGTCGGCCACCTGTCCTGGTGGGCAGATTGTTTCTCGTCCACTTGCCCTTGAAGTGCAGCAGTTATGGGGTGTCCAGCTCTGTCGGTGGCTCTCAGTGGCACATCCCTGACTTGCATGGGACTAGGGACTCTTTCTCTGGTCCTCCTTGGGGGTGAACACGCAGGCCAAGCCCTTGGATTATTGAAACCAAGGACTCCTCCTGGGGCAATTAAAGCATCAGCTGTCATACATTCTTTTTTGTGTGTGTTTTTTTGTTTGTTTGTTTTTGAGGCTGAGTCTCACTCTGTTGCCTAGGCTGGAGTGCAGTGGCGTGATCTCTGCTCATGGCAACCTCTGCCTCCTGAGTTCAAGCAATTCTCCTGCCTCAGCCTCCCCAGTAGCTGGGATTACAGCTGCCCACCACCTCGCCCGGCTAATTTTTGTATTTTTAGTAAAGATGAGGTTTCACCATGTTGGCCAGACTGTTCTCAAACTCGTGACCTCAAGTGATCCAACCATCTCGGCCTCCCAAAGTGCTGGGATTACAGGCATGAGCCACCATGCCCGGCCACACCTGGAACTTTCAATAAGGCCTGGGATGAGGCTGGTGAAGGAAGGGATTTTGAGCACGAAAATGACAAAAAATCAGACCTACCCCTTTAAATTAGATTCTTGTCCCATATTTGAGCATCTTTCTGACATTCCCCTCCTTTCAAAACATCAAGCACTCACTGGGCAGACATCAAGATCCTGTTAACATGCAACTCCTTTCATGACTATTTGTTGTTATATTTTTTATTTTTATTTTTTTGAGATGGAGTCTCACTCTGTTGCCCAGGCTGAAGTGCAGTGGTATGATCTTGGCTCACTGCAACCTCTGCCTCCTGGGTTCAAGCAATTCTCTGCCTCGGCCTCCTGAGTAGCTGGGATTACAGGCATCCGCCACCATGCTCAGCTAATTTTTGTATTTTCAGTAGAGATGGGGTTTCACCACATTAGCCAGGCTGGTCTCGAACTCCTGACCTCGTTACCCACCCGCCTCGGCTTCCCAAAGTGCTGGGATTACAGGTGTGAGCCACCGTGCCAGGCTTGTTATTGTTTTTAATAGCTCCTATGAGGAGGAACCCAAAGGAAAGAATCTCTATTAGACAAATTTCAACCCCTGTGGTCTTGGAGAAGAGAGATTGAGAGTCAGTGAAGTCTTCCCAAAACAACTCCCCTCCCCGCTTCCTGCCAAACTGCCCAGTGGATGATGGGGTTAGAGTGTGCACTGCCTTCTTGTAGTTCTGTGACCTCTGGCAGGCTATCTGATCTCTGGAGCCAGCCTCTATTTCCTTGGGAGTTCCTACCTCACTGGCTATTCCTAGGATTAAAGTGGATGTCAAAGGCCTATCACATAGTAGGGGCTACACACATGAGTTCCCTTGTTCCTCAGGAGTGATTCTCAACTCTGGCTGCTCAAAGGACCTTGCCTCGTCCTCAAATTGGCTGTACATTGGAATCCCCTTGGGAATTTTAAAACATCCATACCTGGGCTCCATTCCCAGTGAATCTGATTTAATTGTCCTGGGCTGTCATCTGGCCATCAGGCTGTTTCAGAGCTTCCCAGGTGATTCAAATGTGTGGCAACATTAAGAACACTGATCTAGGAAACTTTGAAAGAAAGTACCCAGGACCAGGTTCTACTCCTAAACAATTCAAGAAGAACCTCTGGCAGAGGTTTGCTATGGAATTTTTAAAAATGTATCATGCATGTTTTATTCCATTATCACATAAAGACATACAGATGCACGTGCATATGTGAATGGGTGTGTGTGGATGGATTTTGTTAGTGTTTGTTTTACAGAAGCAGGATCACATAACACATACTTTTCTGGATCTTACTATGAAGACAATAATTTCTGCAGAAATCCCTCCAGGTCAATGAATATTATTCTAATTCATTCTTTTTTCTTTTAATTTTTTATTTTGACATAATTTCAGACTTATAGAAATGTTGCAAGAATAGTACAAAGATATCTCATTTCCCCTTCATTAGATTTCCCAAATGTTACCCCATTATGGTATTTGCTTCAAGCTTGGGTTTTGTTTTTTTTTTGTTTGTTTTGTTTTGTTTTTTAATTGAGACAAGTTCTCGTTCTGTCATCCAGGCTGGAATGCAATGGTGTGAACACATCTCACTGCAGACTTGACATCCTGCACTCAAGCGATCCTCTCACCTCAGCCTCCTGAGTAGCTGGGACTGTAGGCACATGCCATCACAGCTGTCTAATTTTTTGTACAGATGCGGTCCCACTATGTTGCCCAGGCTGGTCTTGAGCTCCTAGGCTCAGGTGATCCTCCCACCTCAGCTTCCCAAAGTGCTTGGATTATACATGTGAGCCACCGTGCCTAGCCAAGCTTAGGTATGTTTTAAAAGCTCCTCAGGTGAGTCTAATGCACAGCCACGTTGCTCTGTGGGGCCTCCCAGTTAGCCATGAGACTTAAGGCAGTGTTTGTGAAACTTCTGACCTTCGAGAGGGGTCTTTGCATTAGAGGCAGTTATCTGAAGTGGTTAAGACAGTGGGCTCGAAGTCATGCTGCTATGTTTGAATTCTAGCTCTTTTGCTTCCTCCCTCCTGACCCACCTTCTGTGCCTCAGTTTCTTCATCTGTAAAATAAGGATAATCGAAGTGCTAACTCCTAAGGCTTTGTGAGGATTGAGTGAGATTACTTAAGATAGTACTTGGCACACAGTAAGTATACACTAAAGGTTAGTTATTTGTATATTTATCATTACCATAGCTCATCTATGAAACAAAATTGGCTTAAGCTCGCCCTGGTCACCTATAAACAGAATTCTTTCTGATCGAGTCATTAAATTCTTTAGACAAATTCGGGAGTTATCAGCATATAAAAGTTCCCATTTAGAAACAGGCCCCTTTTGAAAATGAAATTAGCGAGGATCAATTAAAAATATCTGTCACATTGACTCACCCTAAGAGATGTTTTGTATGTGTTTTGTGGATGGCAGGCTGAAAAATGCCGAAATATAACCCTAATGTCCAGAATGTGTCACTGGGGCAGGAAACCAATGAAAGGTGATGAACTGATTAGTAGCAAGGCTGAAGGGGGGTGGCGGGGAGCGTAAAGAGCAAGTTCTCCCCCCACGGACCAGCTGTCCCCCAGGCCTAGGCCAGGTGGGAATGTGAGCCCTGAATTGCCACATGTTCCTATCTTCCTGGAAGTGCTGAAACTTTGTTCCTTGAGGTGAAGTTTCCCAACTTCTAAATATTTTTAGATTTCCCAATTTTTTATTTTTTTTTTTTTAGATTTTCCAATTTTAAAAACTCCTCTGCAGGCCAGTTTGTAGCTTCCAATCATGGGAGTCAAATAGCGGGGTTGGAAGATCCGAAAGGGGAAAGAAGTCATAATATTTTGTATTTCTCCAGGACTATTTGAGGAAGAGAGGCTGTATCTGATGGTTCTAGGTCGCCAAGACATTGTGTCTGCTCTCTAGTGGGGTAGGAACCTGGTTGGGTTCCATTCCTGAGACATTTCTTGAGCACCTGCTTTGTACCAAACCACGCCTGTCCTCCCAGGAGCATCCAATCTCCTTTGCTTTGTTTATGTGCTCCCAAGCTGCCTGCTGACTACTAATTTGACTTCTGCAGTGCCTTGATATGGAGAACTGGGCTCTCAGGGGAACAGATATCCCTGCTGCAAGTTATAAACCAAGACTGTCCAGGACCTGATCTCCCTCTCATTAACAGTATTTCTGGGGCTTAGCTCTTTCTGTACCATATAAGCATGATGAGAAAAATATATATTTTATAAGTAAGATAAGGGTCTGGTCAGAGTAGCAATAAAAGAGCATGAAAAAGATATTAGTTTAGAAAACCTTAAGTTTACATACCATATGAAGCAATTCAGAAATATATCTGGTTATTTCGAATCCATCAGAGGCATCTGAGTTTACCTAAAAGTGTAAAATATTATACATTACACAAAACCCAACATTTCATCATGTAAACAACAAAAACGGGACACCCTATTGTCGCAGAGGCAGATTCTATAACCTGAAACCCCTCCTGCCATAGCCACGTAGACACAGTTGGTAAAATGTAATCAGAATCTCTTTAAATATATGCAGAGCCAGTCTAAAAGAAGGGAAGTCCCCAACAGCCAGAAACAAAGGAGAATCTGAAAACAAGGAAAGAATGTATGACAGCTGGCCAGGCACAATGGCTCACGCCTGTAATCCCAGTACTTTGGGAGGCCGAGGCGGGTAGATCATCTGAGGTCAGGAGTTCGAGACCAGCCTGACCAACATGGAGGCTGAGGCAGGAGAATCGCTTGAACCTGAGAGGTGGAGGTTGCAGTGAGCCGAGATCGCGCTACTGCTCTCCAGCCTGGGTGACAGAGTGAGGCCCTGTCTCAAAAAAAAAAAAAAAAAAAAAAAATTGCCAGGTGTCACTCCCACTTTCCTGCATCTGGGAACACTTTTCCAGCCTCCCTTTCAAGGAGTTCTCATGAGAGACAAGGGCCTGGTGGTCAGGCCCAGGGAAAAAGGCCACAAGAGAGGTATGCTTTGGCAAACATTGCTAAAGTTGGGGTATTTGGGGCATTGAAATTTAAGCATGTGGCAGGAAAGCTAGACCAAGTGTCCACTGGGCTAAGGCCCCTTATCCCAGGAGTTCAGGAGGCTGGGTAAAAGAGAGACCTGGGGCATGGAAGTCAGAAAACCAGGGTTGGATTCCTTCCAACAGTGCAACAAGGACCAGAATGATAATTTCCTTCAAGTAGACATAATACGTATAAAATGCCCAGAATGCACACAGTAGACCCTCAGCAATGTGCCTGGGACAGCACACCAATGTTACAGAAGTGAAATGGGGCCAGGGCTGGACCTGAGCCTTGGCCTCATCCCTGCTTCTTCTGTTGATAAGATTTATCGAATGATTACTTACGAGATGCCAGGTACCACTTGAAGTGCTTTCATCGATCAGCTCATGTAATGTTCAGAACAGCCCTATCAGGTAGAAGCCATCATTATCCCCATTTACAGATGGATGAGGAAACTGAGGCCCAGAAAGGTTAAGTAACATACCTAAAGGCATACAGTTAGTAGGTTGTGAACTGGAGTTTGAATCCAGGCAATCTGGCTCTACAAGCAGTCATCTTGATAGTTAGAATACCAATAGTATTAAAATCACAATAATGATTGGCAGCAAACGATGTGTCAAGCACCCGTTATTGGCAAGGTGAAGATGAGTCGGATGCATTCGAACGCCCTTGGGGACAGGATCCAGCAGGGGTGATCAAGAGATCAGTTACTTCCTGAAGGTAACACCCTTCCGGGTGATTTCGGGGAGACGGATGGGGAAGGTGGGTTGCAGTTAAGAGTTGGGCAGAGTGATCCAGGGGAACATTATCTTCTGCAGCTGTGCTGTGTAACTCCATGCATCCCTTTGATCCATAAAGTTTTCAAAGCCAGACCTTTTCCCATTACGGAGTGAATCTGACACAAGTGTACAGAATTTTGCACTTGGTTTCTTTTGGCCCCACTCCCCCCAGTCTTTTCTTTTGTTATGTTTTGTGCTTCAAATGGTTAGCTCAAGGGTTAAAGGAACTGTCCGGAGTTAGGTGCCTATGTCTTAATATCTTTTAAAAGTTGCTCATTTGATTCTCCTCCCTCTGGCCCATTTGGCGTTCATCTGAATGAGGGCTCCTGGTTATGCAGATAGGCAGTGGAGCTGTGAAAATGGACCACTAGGCCCCAAATCAACCTGGGCACATTTGCGCTCTGCAGGTTCAACCTCCCAGGAGGGCTCCCTGCGGTTATACCAACGCTGGCTGCTCTCAGTGGGCCTGAAAACCATCAACCGTCCAAGTCATAGGCAATCAGCAATCTCGATAGACTGATGGATCGTGGACAGAAGCTCTAACGCTGTTTCCATTCATTTAGCAACAGCAAATCAATCCACTTTCCCAGCATCCTGCAACTTTATCGAACTCGGCATCCCATTGCAGGATACGCCCCCGAACTCTCCTTAATTATATATTTCGCTATTTGCAATCAGGACTCGGCGATGCAGTCCTGACATCAGAGAATGGGCGTCTTCTCAGAAGGCCGCAGTAGCGGCAGCAGCTTTCCCGCCCTACTGAGCGCTCACTACAAGCGGGCTCTGGGCTAGGCGCGCCACCCGTGCAAGTCCCCGGGGAGCGGCGGTGCACCCTCCGTCCCGCGCGCTCGCAGCCATTGTAGGGGTGGGCGCTCGCCAGGCAGGGTGCCGACACGCCCTCTCCGCGCTGCGACGGGCGGCCGGGGGAGGAGAGGGTGCGCTGTGCGCACCGGAGGGAGAGGCTCCGGCCCAGCGCCGCCTGCCCGCCAGCAGACCAGCAGGCTCCTCTTTGCGGCGGGTGCCCCACGCGCCTCTCGGGCGCGCGCTCCCAGCCCCGCCCGCGTGCGGCGGCCGCACGGCCGCGAGAGCGCGCCTCCGCTTGGCGGGCACGGCCGCGAGCGCGCGTGCGCCCCTCCGAACGTCCCCGGGAGCCCAGCCAGAGCGAGCGCCGGGGCCGGGCGCGCAGGAGTGAAAAGGAGGCGGCGGCCGCAGCTGCGAGCAACAGATCCGGACGCCGCGAGCTGACCCGCTCTGCTGTTGGGCGATTTTTTTTTAATTGCAGAAAAATTTATTAAATTGGAAAATCTTGCGTTTTTCAATGGCGCTGGCCCCGGGTCAGCGGGCGATTTTCTCTGCATCAAGATGGGCTTTGCCGTTTCCGTAGTGGGCACCAGTGGTGGCCTGATTGTCAGTCTTCTCCCGGCATTTTTAAGGCCAGGAGCCGAGCGCTGCTTGTAGGCGAATACCCTACAGAGCGGTTTGGCTTTTTAAATTACTGTTATTATTTTGGGCAGAGAACAGTCGGTCTGGTGCACCCCGTCCTCGCTGCAGAAGAGGCTGCGAGTCCGAGGTGGGTCTCTCGGAAGGTGAAATTCCTTCTGGGGTGAGCGAGCCCCGGCCCCGCGCGCAGTCCAGCGGCCCCGCGTGTGTGCCCTCGCCCTGCCGGAGCCGGGAAAATGGAGGCTGTGATTGAGAAGGAATGCAGCGCGCTCGGAGGCCTCTTCCAGACCATCATCAGCGACATGAAGGTAGGACGCCGGGGGTGCGGCTGCGGCGCCGGCCGCCGCGCTCTGACCTCGCCGCCGCGCTTCGCCTCCACCCCGGGCCGGGCACCCGGCCCTTCCCTGCAGTGTGGCCACCGGCCACCTGCGGGAGCTCCCGGCCGGAGTGTCACCTGCTCACCCGGGGCGCTGCTCCGGGCTCTGCGGGGTCACTGGGCGGGTGGCTTCTCTGGGGGGTGTCTGCTGTCCCACGCCATCTCCCCCGCTCATTGTCCCAGGGGGCGGCACCATTTCTTTCCCTCGGGGGCTCAAGGCACTGGCTGCAAGTTTTCCCATTGTCTGTCCCTGAAGTAAGTGTCTGGGACCCGCGGGGGCTGGATGCCCGGGAGGACACCTGATTCCTCCGGGCACGGGGTGGGGGCGCCTGGCGCGGTGGTGGGGAGGAAGTGGGGGCTCTGCCCGCTCGCAGGAAGGAGTCCCCTAGCCTAGGAGACTGAGAGGGAAAGCCAGTCCCTCCTTGGCTGTCAGGTCTACTTGGAGTGGGGTATCTGAGCAAATTAGTTATTAATTGGGCCGTTCCGAAGCTGGTAAAGGTGTGCGTGCCCTCTCTTAGCCCTCCCGCGGGGCGCGGGGCCGAAGTTCCCGGGCAGCCTTGCAGGGGCCCCGCCTTCTCCCAGCTGAGCCTAAAGGCAAGATTGGGGCCCCCGAAATAACTGTATCCTGCCCTCCCAGACCCAAACGGACACACACTCTAGGTTTTCTCTTGGAAGGGTTGTGAAGATGGTGTGTGTGTGCGCGCGTGCATGTGTGTGTGCGCGCGCGCGCGTGGGGGCGGGGAACAACACCCTGGTTTTTTCCTGCAAAGGGTGGGACTGGGGATAACCTGATCCTCGGATGTGGATTTTCTGGTGCCTAGAGATAGACCAGGGCCCCGTGTTATTCATCCAGAGGAAATAAAACCAGCCGCGCGAGCTGGCTGGAGGTGGGAATTGGGAGCGGTGGGGGAAATTATTTTTTTAATGTGTATTTAGGGAGCTTCTCTTTGGCTCTGGCCCAGCCCCAGTTTGCCTCAACAGATCCAGATCCGGGGAGGTGGTGTTTAATTAAAAGCTCGCTTCCAAAACGAGTGGGCAGGTTTGGAAAGCTGTGCACCGAGTGGGTGTGGACAGCCCCTCTTCAGCCGCTGCCTGGGCGCCTGGAGGAGCTTTTGTCTGATGAAGTGTAAGGTTTAGAGAGGCTTCGTGCCTCGGAGATGGTCTTTGGGAAGGAATGCTCAGCTGTCATGGCCTGCTTCCACCTTTCAGAACCAACTGCCACCTCACCCAGGGTGAACTTTATCAAGCTGCCTCTGTCCTGGTTTTGTCCATTTTGAAATCTTTCTACAGCTCTCGTGCCTTTTGTCACAAATTGTCCTTAGCATAGCATAATCTGCAGCCAGACTCTGCTTGCCCAGGAATGCTTATAGTCCAGGCACTTGGAATTAGATGGATTATTCCCTGTTGAAAGACAGCCCCTTTCATTCTGTTGCCCCCAGTGCACACTGACGGATCTGTCCACTGTAGTCCTGGAGTGATCACATCTGGAGTTTTTTCTCTTTGTTCTTTAATCCAGAATCCAGGCTCGGTTCTTCCCATTCACTGTTTGAATCGAAAGCCGTTCAGAAGGTGACCTGCCCAAAGGGTGGGCTGTCCTGCTTTCCACCTGCCATCCTGTGGCTGCGTGGCACTATGCCCTGGCTGGGGACTCACGGGTGCCAAGGTGGTGTTTTTTCCCCTGCATGGTTCCAGTTAAAAATAAAGACATTTTCTTTAATGCCCAGTCACGGCGGAATCTAGAGTTTGTGTATCCTGACTTCTTTCGGTTTGAGTTTAGTAGGTTTGTTCAGTATCCTATGGGAAATCATTTATTTTAAAGTTTTTTTTTTTTGGTTTGTTTGTTTTGGCAGTAAAATTTTAAAAGCAAGGTGGAATGGAAGACTAAAACATGCCTTGGGTTCTGCAGAGTTTTAGACTTTTGGAGACTCGAGAGATGAAGAGAGAGGGAATGTCTGATTTCCAAGATTGTTTATGCATAAGACAATTCTTGAATATTTTCTTGGACTTTGCTTCTTAAAAGACTTCATCATGGATTAGATGACAGTGACATTTTAAATGGAAATTAAAAATTTTTAAATTTGAACAGATCTGATAAGCAGTATATAGTGTGCAGATGCATGAAGTCACCAGCAACAAAAGTCAGTTTTTAATATCTGAAATCAACTGACTTTCTAATGACCTGCTTATCCTCTTGTTCTCTTCTTTAAACTCCCATAATGGGTTTATAATGCCTTTGGTCTCCTATCTGTTTGCTCTGAGGGAAAAGCGTAAATGTCGGAAACCCATTTGGAATGCCATCTTGATAAAAATTTTTAGGTTATTTTCTCAGAAGTGATGTTAGGCTGGGTGAGAAAAGGATAAGGAAAATGGTTTTATTAGTAGCATTTGATTCTTCAAAATGTACAGCAGCACAGGAAGGGAGTCAATTTCCTCTTTGGAGAAAAAAAGAAAACAATAAAAGGAATAATTTCAAGGCCTGGCACCCTCCATCTTCTGAAACCAGAGAACCTCAAGACATGGAAAAGCAAGAGAGAGAGGATTCTTTGTGCTTTCCTCTAAAGATGCTTCATCTAAGTCCTCGGCTGGCTGTCAGGGCATGGGTTTTATCCTTTTCAGGCAGTAAGGTGTGGAAGAAATCCTGACTTTTTCTCCACTGGGGAACAGCACCATGTAAAGCAAGCAGCAGCTAGTAAACAACATATCGATTCCTTGACGAGAGGAAGCCTGGTGGTTTGTTTCCCGTTTATTCTACCCTGCTGTGGTGGTGGTCGCTAATGAACGGTGTTGTGCAAAATCACCTACTGGCTGCCTTTCCTCCCATCCATGCAAATTAGTAAATCGCTGATCAAATTGGCTGGTGTGAGTTGGTTCCAGAGGAAAGGGGAGACAAGATATTCACGTGGCTGGAGGGAAGGGCCCATAGCTGGTTTGTCTGGGGAACAGTAGTCTGGAAGTGATGTTGACTGCCTTCCGATGTGTAGACGATCTTGACTGCATCAAGGAGGTCCTGGAATCTTTTTGGAGTTTCTATCCAAGCTCTGGGAAGGGAGGGCTCCATGTCTCAAACAGCAGCTTTGTGCCTTTGCTTTTGAGTCATTGAACCGGCATCGATTTTGGTGATGTCTGGGGAGTTCTTAAGACCAGGAGACTTTGCTGGCCAAAATTGAGGACAGCTCACTCTGCGGATGTCTTTCTTCTTTTAATAATTAACTTGGGTTAAAAAAACAAAGTTGGATGTCTGAAATCAAATATTTTCTTCACCCTTGTTGCTCAAGAATCAGCATGTCGAGAGCTGAACTGGGCCTGCTGCGGGGAGAACTTTGTACGAGGTTAGGAGTATAGAATGTGACTGGCGCAAGACAACCCCAACCACACCTGGTTCCTCCACCCCATGTGTCACTTTAGACAGGGGTGTCCTGTTACCAGCACCTGTGCTGAGCAGAATAGAGGCCTTGTTCAGTTCCTCCCCACCGCCCCCCACCTGTGTTTGCCATCACTATCCTCTTTCCTAAGTTCTGCCTAAAATTAGAACTGCTAAAGGGACTTCTTGAATTCCATGGAAATCTTTTTGTGGTTCGAAGCCATGTCGTGATATTTTCCCTCCCATATCATAGGATGGAGAATGTGGGTAGTGGGTCCAACACTGGATAGTGATTTCAGGATTTTTTTTTTACCCCTCACTGCTTTGTTTTGGGGTTCCCATCAGAAGAGAGATACACTTCCTTGCTGTTTATGGAGGGCAATTGTGTAGAAGGCCTTTTGCTAGGCTCTGCCCTTGGAGAGCTCCTTGTCCTGTGGGCTGTAAACAGGTAATATGAATCCAATATGGTGGTCATGAAGGAAGGGCTGTGGTTCAGCCTAGAGAAGAGCATCAGTCTCTGCAGGAGTTCCCTTGGAGGCCTCAAAAAAAAAGTTTTCTCCAGGACAGCACTGAAAACCCAACCAAGGCCTCAGCCAGGTGCTCTGAGGGAGGTGGGCTGCTCCCTATAAACGGTGACAGCCACCAAAGGCAGGACAAGCAGAGCACTTGTAAAGGACACATGGGCCCCATGTTGGCTTTTCTCTTAGCAAATGGTTGTATTTGGCCAGGGTTTTACAGCTTCCTCGTTTTGGGCCCATGGGAGAAGAAGGTGAAGTAAAGATGTCATAAAATCGACAGCAGGAACTGCCTGGGATGGGTGCCCAGAGATTTAGGACCTCTTCTATGTAGAGTCATCTTTTTGGTTTTTTGGGTGCCAATTTTGTTGTTTGGAAATCGTTTCTATACTGGTTTGAGTGTTTCTTTGTGAAAACCCCCTCCCTATTTAGTTTTTGTGAAAACCCTTTACTATTTAGTCAAATTTTTTGGAACTTCTAGCTTGATGCTGTGAACCTTTATGTTCTGAAATTCCGCAGTTTGTAATGCTCCAAATCAAGAGAAGTCATTCCTAGGTCCTGGTTTGCATAGAAGGTAAGCTGAGTTTGGATTTTGCCTGGTTCAGCCATTGCCCAGTTCTTACTAGAGTAACATATACTCATTCCGTAGTATTTATTGAGCATCAGTGGTGTTTCAGGCACCAAACGTGGCATAATGATTTCAGCAAGTAAAAACGTAGGGTTTCCCATTAAATTTGCATTTCAGATATACTAAAAAATTGTTCACTATTTAAGTTTGTTCCCTGTGTGCTATGTGTTCTCAGTTGCTGACCTCTTGCCCTTTGAACTCTTCTTTTGCACCTCAGCCACAGGGAAAAGGAAAAAAGCTAAAATGATGTCTGTCAATTTGGCTAGCTTACTTAAGGCTGTTAAAATGCTTGGAGGGTGAAAAGGTTGAAACTATTGATTCATTAGATGCTTTATCTCCAATTTGCATCTCGGCTTTTTCCATCTTCACGGGCATGGGTGGCGATAGCTGGCAAGATTCCTTCTGTAGTGAGACCATTTAGATGTTCGAATTGGGTATGGACAAATGAGGTCACTTTGAGTTCCCCATTACTTCTCGGAACTGCCTTCAGGACACTTACCCCAAAAACCCACACCTCTGCAAAAACAAAGAAATACCTCACTCCAGACCAAACAAAAGCCAGAGGACAGATTTAGCTGCCTAGGATGTCAGACAAGAAATTTGGGGGCCATTTAAAGGGAACTAACTGATGCTGTGAGCCGTTTAACTCAGATTTGGAGATAGCACTGCTGATATGGCCTTATTAAGTAGCAAACAGGAGAGGAAAATGAAATTGAGGAGTAAATTAATTGGCTGAGCATTAAGGAAGCCCATTGTCACGATTGCTGAGGTTCTCCCTTGAATTAGCAGTAGACTGCAGGTTTCATCTGAGTATGAGCCACCAAGGCAAATCAGAAACAACCGAACAACCAAAAACTTAAAAGTAGCAATTCCCAGTGCAGAATCCACTCCAGAGCAGTCCCCGTCTCAACACCTGGAAGTCCTAGGCTTGGGGCTCTCTCATCTCGCCTGCTTCCCGATTTGTTTGGAGGTGACAGTGTTTTTACCTACTGAGCAAATGGGAGGATTTGGGTTGTTTAAGATTCTCTGGGGGCTGGACAAGGGCCCTTGTAAGTCTGTGTTTGAAGAAGTGGATGGGCTCACCAACAAAACTCCTTCCTGTGCTGCCTCTTGGCGTATCTGGCCTTGGTCATAGGTTCTAAGTTGTTTTTCTTTTCCTGTCTAATGTAAGTGGGTGAAAAAAAAAAATCAATTGAGTTGAGTGCCTTTTGAACTGTGTGTCTTTTTATTTGCTTGCTTTCTCTCAAAGCAGTAGAAAGTTTCAGCTCACTCAGCACCAGCAGCTTCCTGGGCATGGAGGTGGGCAGCAGGTTTTGCCTGGGTCCCCTCTGCTGCCTACTATGCGACAGGGGCTCCAAGGGCCGTGGGAATGGGTCTCACCAGAAGGCGAGGTTCTAGGCAGGTGTACCTCATTTGGCTGCATGCGTGTGGTTACAGAGCAGGGTCCATTGGGTTCCCTGGGAGCTTGGAGATGCTGCTGCCTGGGCCAGGGCTCTGATCAGTGCCTTGGGGTACATTCATGGCATTAAGATTTTGAAAAGCACCCCAGGTAATTCTGGTGATGTCCAAGGCTGAGAATCACTGAGCTGTGTAAGTCTTCCCTCAAAGCCTTTTCTGGTAGGGCGAGGTGCCCATCACTCTGGGAGGCCAAGATGGGTGGATCACCTGAGGTCCAGGAGTTTGAGACGAGCCTGGCCAACATGGTGAAACCCCATCTCTGCAAAAAATACAAAATTTAGCCCAGCGTGATCACGCACACCTCTAGTCCCAGCTACTCAGTAGGCTGAGGCAGGAGAATTGCTTGAACCCGGGAGGCAGAGGTTGCAATGAGCTGAGATCACGCCACTGCACTCCAGCCTGGCGACAGAATGAGACTCTGTCTCAAAAAAAAAAAAAAAAATTAGAGTTAAATGTTAAAGTAAATAAACTGAAACATAAAAATAAACAGCAACAAAGGATTTTAGAATACTTTGCCATGATTTATTGATTCTGTCCGTTGTGATTTTTTTTTTTGCGATGATGGAAATTGTTAAATACGTGAGCCACTAGCCACGTGTGACTATTGAGTACGTGAGGTGTGGCTAGTGCAGTCAAGGAATTGACTTTATTTTTAGTCACTTTTCATTTGTTTAAATTTAAATAGCCGTGTATGGCTAGTAGCTACCGTACGGAACAGTTGCAGATCTGTAACATATCATCTAGAGAATTAGAGTGTGCCTGCGTTGCAACACAGCTTTCTATCTTCTACCTTCTGCTGGCTACAACACTGCCCCTAAACCCCTCCATAGAAATTCTGGAGCTAGAGTTGACCTTGAAGTTAAAGGAATCTGACTCAAATCCCATGGGCGAGTTATTTAATCTCTGTAAGTCTTGGTTTCCTCTTCCGCAAAATGGGTCTGATGAACCTGATAAGAGTTGTTGGAGGATTCTGAAGTGAAACATTGCTTGTGAAGGTTTTCACACATTGCCTGGCGAACGTCCACTCAAATGTTAGAAGCAGTTACTATTCTGTCTTGTAGATTTGGGAATGAGGTATTTTGAAGTCTTAGAATCAGTGGAGTAATTATCTCCACCACTTCTTAGGCAGACACTGCCCCACCCTTATGGAGCTGTATTTAGAGCTTGCAGTGAAGTTGCAGGAAATGGAGAAGTTGAGTTTTTTTCTTGCTAAGTAAATCGCCCCTGAGTTCATTACAAAGGTCAGCTGGCCCAGCAGGACCTATTTGCATTCTGTATTTGCAAACCCTACTGTTTGTTTATTAGGGAAGGAGAGGGTGGGGTCCTTGGCTAGGACATTTGTAAGTCAGATACATTGAGGCCTGGGGGAGGGAAAGTTGCTTTATTAGGGTCATCTTTTCCCATCTACATCCTTTGAGTTTCCTCCTTTTTCTGGGGCAACCACCAAAAGTGGCCATCCTGTGCCTCTAGTCTGCCCTGTGGCAGCAGCTTCCCAAGTCTTGGCCACATCTGGGTTCTTCCCATGGGCCGAATGTGGCAGTCCTGCCTTAACCTTTTGTGTGAGGACACCTGTGATTTGGCCCCAGCTAAGTGGCCCGCTATGTGTCCAGTGCTCCCTAACTCGGACTCCCAGGCTTCCTTGACACAGCCTGTGCTCCTCACTTTTGTTGTTTGTCCTGTCCTGTCTCTGCCATTGCTGCCTACTGAAATCTTTCTCATCCTTAGGCCCCATTAGACAGTGACCTTATTCTCTGGTGCCTCCTTTTCCCTCAAAGCTCGATAACCCTAAAGCCATTTTTCACATTCTTTGTGACATTCTACCTAGTATTGATTATATCCTACCTTAAAAAGTGGTTATCCTTGGGCTTTGAAGCCCGGCTCTAGCGTTTCCTAGCTCTATTGCTCTGAGCAAGTTAAGTTTACTGAGCCTTGATTTTCTTACCTGTAAAATGGGAGAAGAGGTGAATAATCCTTCCCTCTTAAAGTTGTTGAGTATTAAATAAGTAAAAGTCGAGGGCTTAGCATGAAATAAGTGCTAAATAAATGCTCGTATCTATTTGAGCCACCCTAGTAATTCCTGGCAGAACCTCCTGCTGATAGTGGCACTCAGATGTTTCAAAGAATAGAAGCAACCTATGCCTTCAGTTTGATAATGCAGTAGAGACAAGTGCAGTGCTTTTCAACATTCAACATATAAGTAATTTGAGAGGACACAGTACATGTATTCGTCAAATACGATGGCATGTCTACTGCATGTCAGGTGCTGCTGGGGGGTGGAGGAACACCTGTGGACAGTATAGACAGTCATTGCCCTGAAGTGCTCAGTCTAGGAGACAGGCAGGCAGGTAATTAGAGTTCAGTGTAATCCACACCACCATAGAGATCAGCCCAAGATTGTGTGGGGGCTCTGGGGAGGGCCTCTGATTCCCATTTAGGGTGGGAGTACAGAGTCCAGGAAGGCTTTTGATCTGGGTGACACCCTCGCTCGGAACTGAGTTTTATTTTGCTTATTTTAAAAGCATTTATATGCAAACCAGGCACTATGCTAAGTGCTTGACACAAACTTATTTAATCTTCCAACCACCCAGCGAGGTAGTCTTAGTAACTAGTATAATTCCCATTTTACAGATGGGGAAACTGAGGTGCTGCGCGGTTAAGCCATTTGCCCATGTCATACAGCTAGTGAGAAGCATAGCTGGGAGTTAGTTGAGTCCAGGCAGTCTGGCTCCAGGGTCTGTGTGCCTCTCCACAGGACTGGGCTCTCTCTCGCTTTTGCAGCCTAGCATTTTAGATTCTGTAACAGGTGTATTTCATTCATGTCCTTGATCGCTCTATTTGTACCATTAGGACTCAGGATGAGACAGATAAGAACACACAAAAATCTAGACTCACCTCTGAGTTTCTTCCAGAAGCTCAAGGGGTCTCCCTCTAATTAAGAGGAATATGCCCTGGCCACGGACATGAAGTTGTTGGGCCAGGCCAGTGCAGTTTTTGGGAGCAGCTGAGCTGTGAGATCGAAGTGTGCAATAGGGTTGTCTAAGGTGGCAGCCACACGACACATGTTTGTTTTGCTGGAGGAGCCCCTCTGTCAAGGGTCGCTCCAGTAACCACTCTGCACCCCGAGTGATTGAGTGCAGAGCAGGAAGCGGGCAGATATTTGCAGAAGGAGGCTGGGAGAGCTCAGGGATTAGTTCCCAGGGAGACCTCCCTTTTGAGGCCGGACTCCTCTCCTGCAGCCGAGCACGCAGCCATTAAGGAAGTCTTTGAGTTTGGTTTAATGGCCCCTCTTTGTTTTGAAGTGGCTGTTTACTGAACCTTCAAAGCCCGCTCGGCAGCAGGATGTGATCGAGGGCCTGAATAATTGGATGAGGCACCCCAATAGGAAACAGGGAGCGGGGAGCAGAGCCAGGACTAGCCGACAGCCAAGCCCTCTGTCTGAGCCTCCGCTGGAGGGACTGAGGTCATCCTGCAACCAGAAGTTGACCTGGAGCGGGGGTCCCCTGGAACCTGGCCTCTTTGATGTTGTGCTGGCCTTAATTAGGAACACCCTAATTAAGTCACTGAGGAGGAAGCTTTTTTCTTAAAAAAAAAAAATTAGCAGATGTTTTGAGAGCATTTCATGAGGGATTACTTCTCAAAGATTATGTAAGTAACGTAAAGTTAATGGAAGAAAAACTAGAAACTTCAGTTAAGTAAAAAATAAGTCACCCACAAGCGCTTGATGAGAAAGTGGGTTATGTTCACACTCACAAGGGCTCGCACATTTTCAGCAAAGGGTCAGGGAGCCAAGACTGTGTCAGAAACTTCTTTCTTCACTTAGCGGCCTGGCGTCCTTGCCTTTCCGTGTGTGTAGTTGTTAGCAGTGCCATTGTTAATGGCTGTGTGGTGTTGCACTGCTTTGTATTTCTCTAATTAATTCATTTGGTCAAAACATACTTGAGAAGCTACTAGTACCAGGTTCTAAGTGCTGGGCTCTAGCAGTGAACACAATGGACACAAATCCCTGCCCTCCTGGAACTTACATTCTAGTGGAGTGAGGTGCAGTTGAAGGAGACACATGGAATAAGTCAATTCTCTTGTATAGTAGGATTATGTGCAATGGGGAAAAAGCACTGTTGCTGTTTTTCTTTTTAATTTTTATTTATATATATATTTTTTGAGATGGAGTCTTGCTCTGTCCCCCAGACCGGAGTATGCAGTGGCGCGATCTCAGCTCACTGCAACCTCTGCCTCCCAGGTTCAAGTGATTCTCCTGCCTCAGCCTCCCGAGTATCTGTCCCCCAGGCCGGAGTGTGCAGTGGTGCAATCTTGGCTCGCTGCCACCTCTGCCTCCCAGGTTCAAGTGATTCTCCTGCCTCAGCCTCCCGAGTATCTGTCCCCCAGGCCGGAGTGTGCAGTGGTGCAATCTTGGCTCGCTGCCACCTCTGCCTCCCAGGTTCAAGAGATTCTCCTGCCTCAGCCTCCCAAGTAGCTAGGACTATAGACATGCACCACCACACCCGGCTTTTTTTTTTTTGTATCTTTAGTAAAGATGGGGTTTTGTCATGTTGGCCAGGCTGGTCTCGAACTCCTAATCTCAAGTGATCTGCCCGCCTTGGCCTCCCAAAGTGCTGGGATTACAGGCATGAGCCACCATGCCCAGTCTGGTGCTGTTTTTAAGTAGAGTGGTTAGGGGCGGGCCTCGCAGAGGAGGTGGCGTTAGAGCAACAACTTAAGAACCGTGAAGATGTGGGCAGGGGGTGAGGGCAGTGTTCAGTGCAAGGGAAGAGAGCATGTGCAGAAGCCCTGAGGCAGAAGCCAGTACCTCCCTCATTTGTGTTTAGGTTGCGTCCAGTTTTTTTTTTTTTTTTTACTAATTATAAGCAACCCTACAACAAGTACATCCTTGTGACTAGACATTGATTTACATCAGTGATTTCCCCCGAAGGACTTTTTATCCTTGGTCAAAATGTGTGTTTTTTTCAAGGCTTTTGAAACCCATTACCCAAAGCCTACCAAAAAACATGTCTCAGTTCCCAATTCCCATGTTTGAGGGCTCACCACCGTGGATTACATCTAAAGGAGCTAGATGTGGACACTGGGACCTAGCTGGCACCCCTGCTTCCAAGGGCGCAAAGGGACATGTGGCATCTTATCTAGTGCAGTGATTCTCAAATCTTGCTGTGTGTAATTTTTAATGAGCAAAAGTGTCCCTGGAGAATGGGTTAAAATGCAGATTCCCTGGCTCCATCCCAGGAGACTTTTTGTTGATCTGGGGGTGGGGCTTAGAACCTGTAGTGTTAGCAAACACTTCAGGTCATTCTCTGATAGGTCTTGCTGGGATTCCACCAGGAGTAGGTGGAAGTGGGAGTGCCCCCTGGGTCACCTGAGCCACTGAGAGCTTCCTCTGCAGCTCTTGAAGTATGTAGGGAGCTATCTCCCGCACATGTGTCCCCATCCCCGACTCCACCACAGATATACTTGGAATGCGATCAGGCAGACGAAATGAGTTCTGTGCCTAGGCAGAGCATGATCTCGACTTCCTTTCATTTGCTAATTCTGTCTTTTGCAGGGAACGCTTCCTCCCTCTTTGTTTCATTTCTCTTTGCCAAGAAAATTCCCATTTATCCTCTGAGACCGAGGTGAGGCATTGCCTCACTCTGGGAACCGCACTGTCCAGCACTTTATATCTCGAGTATGCTGCCCTTGGGGCTTTGGGATCTGCAGTTCCACATCAGCTTTACTGCTAGACTGCGTTCCTCAACGCTTTGGTCTCTTTCTGTCTATGGCCCACCCCTCACTCAGTGCCTGCGCATAGTAGGTGCCCATTCATGGCCCAGTCAGGGTGATTGGCATCGTACATTGAGTCATCAAAGCAGAGTTGAATTCTACTTGCTAGTCACCCTTCTAAACACTTGTTGTTTTCCCCATCATCCTACAACCATCATTTGAGGCAGGGACTGCCATCAGTGTCCTTTACAGATGAAGACAGGGCAGCACCAGGTGATTAAATTACTTGCCCAGGGTCACCCAGTGAGCACATCTGGAATTGGCAGGCTGACTCTAGAGTCATGCTCTTAACCACTAGGCCACACAAGGCTTTTCAGGCTCTGGAATATGGCTACACCTCAGCGCCCTCTCGCCAGGCAAGAAAAATGACATTCAATGGAAAGACACTTAAAAAAAAAATGGCTATGGAAATGACAAACACAGTTATCACTGTGACACTGGTGGCCTTTGACTCTTTACTGGCTACCAGGGCATCGTTCCTAGCAGCCTGGGGTGGGAGTTGAGGTCACAGAGGAGGTGCTATCTGTCTCCGTTCCAAAGGGGAAATCTGCTTCGTGGAAGATGGCAGAGCACACTAAGCGTGTATAGCGCAGCAAGGCCAGTGCTTGCCCCAGGGTGGATGTGACAAGTTCATCATGCTGCCCTTGGCTGCGGAGAGGTCTCAGTTTAAAAGGGAATATGGATTAAAAAAAGTAAGGAAAAGAAAACAAATTAAACAACAAAAATTAAAAAAAAAGAAGAAAGAGAAAAAGAAAAGAACATAAAAAAGGGAATATGGAATGAATACAGAGGTATGTGTGTATTTAGGGGAGCAAAACCTCAAACATGATCCTCTCTAGGGTAGAGGGTGTTTGTGTGTCTGTTCAGGGTATTGGAGAGATTGGCCCCAAGAGGAACTAATCCCTAAAATGCAGAAGCAGTTTTGGAGTTGGGTAGAGGCAGGTCAGAGCGGACACTTCCAGGGAAAAGAAATGGGTGAGTGTAAATGGACCAACGTGAAGTCACGCTTAGAAGGTCTAACATTTCATAGGGTGTGCAAGCCACTAGGTGTTTTGCTCAGGTTCAATATCTAATGTGGACATTTATAGACAGGAATAAACACATGGAGCAATAGCTTTGGCCTCTGGATAGGAGGACAAAGGTTAGAGGGTAGATATGTATTATTCTGGGGAGGATTAAGCTTATACAAATGCTAGGTAAAAGCAGCCAGCCCCTGTATTAGGTGGTTAAATATTGAGTTCCCAGGTTTCCAGATGTGGAGAATCAGTCAGTCTTAGGTGAACCCATTATACAATTTTATTTTAAAAAGAACTGGGCAGGCTGGGAGTGGTGGCTCATGCCTGTAATCAATCCCAGCACTTTAGGAGGCTGAGGTAGGTGGATCACTTGAGGTCAGGAGTTCAAGGCCAGCCTGTCCAACATAGTGAAACCCCATCTCTACTAAAAATACAAAAAATTAGCTGAACATGATGGCACACTCCTGTAGTCCCAGCTACACAGAGGCTGGGGCAGGAAGATCACTTGAACCCTGGAGGCGGAGGTTGCAGTGAGCCAAGACAGCACCACTGCACTCCAGCCTGGGCAACACGGCAAGACTCCATCTCAAAACAAAAACAAAAACAAAAACAACTGAGCAAACTCAGGAGCAATTAACCATTGCTTAGGAGCAAATAACAGTTAATGCAGTTAACCGGGCGTGAGGGCAAGCCCTTCCCTGACTTTGGGCAAATTACTTACTCTTTCTGTGCCCGATTTTCCTATGGTTAGTAGGGAAGTGTTAAATGCCTGTTCTACCAGCTGCCCTTTCAGTGGTGTTTTGAAAGACCTCTGTACTCTCGAATACAGCATACATGTGAGGCGGTGCCTTCAGTGCCCATCATGACGTCAGTTTAGATTCCCACATGGCAGGTTTTCACCTTTGAAAACTTGGCCATACAAATGTCAGGTGGCTGCTGATGCAGGCAGTGACTAACCATAAACCTCTTCCTCTCTCTTTTGATGGGAGGAACTATCTGAAATCATAAAGGAAATGTCATGGCCGTAATGGCCATGGCTCTTGCTTGTAATCCCAGCACATTGGGAGGCCAAGGCAGGCAGATGACTTGAATCCAGGAGTTCGAGACCAGCCTGGGCAACATGGCAAAACCCATCTCTACTAAAAATACAAAAATTAGTCGGGTGTGGTAGTGTTTCCCTGTTGTCCCAGCTACTTGGGGGACTGAGGCAGGAGGATCGCTTGGGCCTGGGAAGTCGAGGCAGCAATGAGGGGCCTGGGAAGTCGAGGCTGCAGTGAGCTGATATTGTGCCACTGCACTCCAGCCTTGGTGACAAAGTGAGACCCTGTCTCAAAACAAGAAAACAGGCAGGGCGCAGTGGCTCATACCTGTAATCCCAGCTCTTTGGGAGGCTGAGGCGGGCAGATCATCTGAGGTCAGGAGTTCGAAACCAGCCTGGCCAACATGGCAAAACCCTGTCTCTACTAAAAATACAAAAATTAGCCAGACGTGGTGGTGCATGCCTATAATCCCAGCTACTTGGGAGGCTGAGGCAGGAGAATCTCTTGAACCTCATAGTCGGAGGTTGCAGTGAGCCAAGATCACATCACTGCACCTCCAGCCTGAGTGACAGAGCAAGACTGTCTCAAAACAAACCCAAAATTGGGGAATGAGTTGAATTTAGGGGATGAAAAAGGAGAGGGATTCTATTTTTCAAGAAATGTGGAGCATGGAACACATACATACATTTTACAGTGGTTAAAAAATAGAACCAAAAACCTAGCTGTGGTTGTAGAGCACCCTAAGATAGTGAAGCCCTTAGGGGTGCCGTTGTGGTGGGGTGGCCATTGCTGTCCAATAGAACTTTCTGCAGTGGTAGAGATGTTCTGTGTCCATGCTGTCCAGTACGGTATCCACTAGCCACTGCAGAGCACTTGAGGTGTGGCTAGTGGGCTGAAAAACTGAATTTTAAATTTTATTTAATCATACTTTAAATAACCTCATGTGGGGCTCCCCTGTTGGACAGCTCAGGATAGACAAAGGAATACTTCCTGGTGGAAAACTTAAGAAAATGACTTGGAAGATATGGTTGACATATTTGTTTGGTTATTTTTATTTTAAGTGGAGACACCCAGATGTCAGAAAACAGCCCGGGCATCCAACCTAGTAATGCGGGAGGAGGAAAAGCTTGATATCCTTGATTTGTTTGGTTAGGGTGTTAATAGTTACAAATGGAGCAGTTTGTAAGGGGAGATGGACGGATGGACAGAGGGAGCACCTTTTGTGGTTCAGTCTTCCTTTTCATAGGCATATTTATTGCTGGTGTGCTTGGGCAAGTGGGTGAGGGTGGGCGGGCGAGGAAGCAACCATTGATTATCCCCAAGGCTGTCATCCGCTTGATGGACAGGGATAATTAGTGGATTAGGCAACCCCCAATCAGAGAATAAAAGCCCAGGAATGGTATTTATGATGGATGGGCTTACCCAGTGCCTTTCATCTGAGGATCTTAGGAGCCCTTCATCTTGCAGGATTGGGTGGGGAAGGGTGGTTTTGGGGACAAAGCTATGACAGGCATTCATGGGCCCTGTCTGTCATCCCACACGCCCACTTCTGGAAGCTGAGCGGATTCTTGCCTCATGCTTGAAGAAGCAGGGAGGCCAGAGCCACTCCAGCGTAGGTCAGAAGGTGCCAGCCTCCTCTGGAAGCTGCGTAAAGCAGCTTCAGGGTAACCTGAAGGCTGAGCTCATCCAGGGTATACCCAGCGGAAGAAGAGGAAGGATGCTGTTGGCTATGTTCCTCACACTCGCCCTGCTGAGGTCTCCGCAGACCTGGGAAGGGGTCATGGTGGCAGGGGTGGCTGTGGCAGCTGGAGATTTAAAAGCCCCTCCCAGATTGACTCTACTGATCTCCTGGTAGAAGAAGACCAGTTTGTGTGTTCACAGAAAACCAAGATGAGATAAAATTATCCATAATCATACCACAAGTGCCAACAGCTATGAACCTCTTGGTGCATTTCTACCAGGCATTTTTCTACCCACTCTTTGTTGTGTGTTTCATGTTTTCTTCCTTTTTTTTTTTTTTTCTGAGACAGTCTCGCTCTGTCACCTAGGCTGGAGTGCAGTGGCGTGATCTCGGCTCATTGTAACCTCTGCCTCCTGGGCTTTAGCGATTTTCATGCCTTAGCCTCCTGAGTAACTGGGATTGCAGACGTGTGCTACCATGCTGCACTAATTTTTTGCATTTTTAGTAGAGACAGGGTTTTGTCATGTTCCCCAGGCTGGTCTCGAACTCCTGAGCTCAGGTGATCCATCTGCCTCAGCCTTCCAAAGTGCTAGGATTATAGGAGTGAGGCACTGCGCCCAGCCTCGTGCTTTCTTTTTCATGTGGTTGGGGGTCCTGACCATTTCCAGGGTGGTATTACAATCCCTCTGGGCCATCTGCAGTTGTAATCAGGTGCCATGTGTGCAGGGCACCCTTGTCCTCTTCTGCTCTACCTTGTCTGGGCTCTTATAGGACCCACATGTAAAGCGCGACCCAACCTGCTGTCTAAGCCACTCTTTGCAGCCCTGGGGCTGGGCTGGGCTGGAGGCTGGCTCTGTTCATGTGGTTACTTGCACTTCCCAGAATCAGGGAACACTTGGGCTGCAAAGTCAGATCTGGCATCCTATTGCAACCTGGAGCTCTCTGCTCCAACCTCTCTGGGCATCAGTTTCCTCAGCTCTAAAATAACAGCAGCACCTGCCTGCCTGGGCTGCTGTGAGCATGCAGTGAGAATGCAGGATCAAGCTGGGCTCCTTAGAGAGTGGTCTGTGGACCAGGAGCAGCAGCACCTCAGATTAAACGGCCCCACCTCCACCAAGCAAATCAGAACCTGCCTGTCTGCAAGCTCCCCAGATGATGGATATGTAAATTACAGCTTGGGAAGGGCCAGTATATATACCTGGCACCTGGCAACTCTTTAGAAAGTGGTGATGCTTCATGATGATGGTGATGACAGTGATGCTTGTCAAGGTGAACAGAGATACTTGGGAAGTTACCTGGCTGGTCATATACCCCACGGCTTGATTTCTCAGCCAGATCCACTGGTGAGCCAGCCTCTGTCTGGCACCTTTTGGGCAGAACAAAGGCCTTTGAGCTGGAACCCCACTCTCTAGAGCCTCTGCCCTCCTGGTTCCTACTTGATTCTCCCCTGAACTGAATTCTTCCTCCTCACGTAAGTCCTCCCCAGCTCTGTGGCTCCTCCCAAGTTGCCCTTTCTCTGGCAGTTCCCGGCCCCTGTGTTCCTTGTGTGGCAGCGTGGTGTTGAATTCCCTCAGCTGTCCCAGTGGCGCTGGGCTGGGAGAGGCAGTTGCTGCATTATTTATGGAGCACCGGTCACCAGCCGTGCTGATGAGCTACACACAGTTATTCTCTGCACCATGTGTGGGATGCCGTCCTGGGCCTCTGTTCAATAGGAAACAAAACGAAGCCAAACAACCCTAAGCCAGAATGGCTGTTGGCCGATTGCTGTGCCTTGCTTTGTGTTAGGCAAATGGCCTGCCATGGGTCCTGGCTCTAGGGAAAGTGGAGGAAGAGGAGGAAGATGAGGAGAGGCACTCGGCGGTGTCTCCTAAGCTCCACTTTGAGGGTGGGGTGGGGGAGACCAACTTGTGGATTTGTTTAGGTGGCCACCAAACTCTTCAGTTGAAGGAGATTTAGGAGGCCTTTTTCCTAAAAACTAAGAAAATGACTTCATTATTTTCCTCTCTCTCCCAGGAACTAGAGTGATGCCAGGTATGTGACCATTAGCCAGGTTCTCCCATCACCTGTCTGGTCTGGAATTTATGTCACTCACTGTCTGAATGAAGGCCACCCCGGTCTTCCTCACCTGTCCCAAGTCCCCACCCTGGGTCTTGCCCTGGAAGGCTGCCCTTGCCCACCTGGGCCACTTCGCCCATGTCCTGCCTGGAGGAGTGGCCAGCATAAATGTGTCACTCCAGTGTCCCTTGGAGAGAGCTGGTCAGTGTTCCCTGCCTCCTTTTGTGTCAGCTGCACCCCCTACCAGAAGTACTTTTCCTTCCTCCCTTCATTTCTCAGTCCTTGTTCCACAGTCCAAAGGGGAAGCCCTCAGGCTTATAGACAGCAAACTGTATGATGTGATAAGTTGGGGAGTAGGTGCAGCTAAACCAGAGGGTAGGTGGGAAGGGGGTGTGTCAGAGAATGTTCCAGAAGAAGTGTCACAGCTGGGTAGTGACAGCTGAATAGGAGTTTTCAATATTGCTGAATCCCCCTGGAGATTTGAAGAGAAGCAGCCACAGGGTGTGGTGTGTGTGGGGAGTGTGGGTGAGATCACGTGTTCAGGGAAGCCCCATCTCTCACCCAAGGAAGTGATGGAGGGAGTCCTCTTTACACGCTTGTAAACAAACTGGCTTTCTCTTCCCGTTTCTTTAATAGGGACCTTTTCCTTTCTTAGAACCCAGTGTAATCTGAGTTGTATTTTCAACGAACGCACTGCCAAGGGCTCCAGAAACTCCTGGCTCTCCTCTCTGAAGAAATTCAGGGGGCTCCTGGAGGAGGTGCGCCTTCTCATTTTGCCTTGTGACTTTGGACTTGGCAGAAGCCGGGGCGTGGCGGGAGTTTTGTTTTCTTTGATTTGGGTCTGTCTGGAACGTTGTGAAGCCTTTATGTGTTCTCAGGTGAAATCCACAGTGGGGTCTGTGTTGAATTGTTTTCACGGCTCTGGGAGTGCATTCCGAGGGATTTCCTCAAATGGGGACAGAGCTCAGCCAGCAACCTCAGGAATGAACTTTCTGGGGACTTCTTGGTGGGTGGATGCAGATGCAAAAACCAAGGACAGTTGGGGAATTGCTTTCTAAAGGGCTCTAAGAGCTTCCAGTGTCTTGGGTTGCGGGTTTCTTTTGAAACTTGAGTATGGTCTCCTTTATGTAGTCTTGCTGTCCAAAAGGCAGGACTTTTTCTCTGCTGCCTTTCAATCTTTCTAGTTACCTTCTTCCTCCTTTCTTACTTCCTCTAAGCTTGAATTATTATAGTAAAACTGCTCTCAGGTGGGTAGAAACTTCTTTTTTCCTTGAAAGAAACTTACAAAAATATCTGGAACAACCCAACATCACTTTGCCTTTAAATTTTAATGACATTTACTCACTTTTTTTTTTTTTCATTTCTCAACAAGGAGGTTTTTGTCTTCTGTTCTTAGAAGTTGATTTTTTTTCTTTTTTTAGAATCTATTAAATTATATATTGCCTAAAACAGGTGGGCCTGACTCTCTCTGATAGACTGTCAAGTGTCATTAAGTCAGCAGCAAGCTACTTTGGGCAACCTTCTGGCTGGGTGGATGTTCGTAGGTGGGGAGCTGTTAGCTGTACCCCTTGACTAGAAAGGGGACCCCTCCTTTTGTTGCTAATTTGGTAAAGACTGAAATGACGCTCCAAGTGGGGGCAGATAAGAAGTTTCTTCAGTGGTTTGAGTAGTCGTCTTTTTCAGGCACACTCATCTCAGGGTTGAGTACTCCACCCTGCCATTTGCTTAGCAGCAGCAGAGAAATTGTCTGGCACTGAACACCCAGCTGCCTTTGCCTTGGTCTGTTTCTGCCTAACCCTGGTTTACTAATAGGGAGATGCAGATGCTTCCCATGTTGGCTGGTTCCACACCAGGTACTCTAAAAGGGGGGTTCCAGTCTGGATGGACAGTCTGACTTAGACTTTACAGTCTGTCCCCCACACATCCTAAAGGAGATTACTGAGAGCCTGTGGCCACTTGGATCCCTCATATCAAATGTTTGTTGAGCACTTCCAGTGTGCTGGGCACTGCACCGAGCACTTTCTGTATATGACCTCATTCGTTCCTCCTCTCAGCCCTGTGAAGATGTGACTTAAACCCATGCAGAGGTCAAATAACTTGCCCAGTGTCGCATAGCAAATGGGAGAGCTAAGGTTCAATCCAAGAGATTGGGCTTCTGTACGTGCAATCTTTATTCATCTCCTTCATTCTTTCAATGTTCAATAATTGATGGTATTGGTAATGGTGATGGAATTATTTGTTTTGGTTATCATCATTATAAGGGAATGATCCCTGAGAAGTGAAATGATTTCCCCTAGTCCATGACTGGCAGGGCTGTGACTAGACCTCAGGACCCAGTGCTCCCTGCCCAGGCCACTGGCCAGTTCTGCATGTTCTCGATGAACATGCCTCACCTTTTCCTTTGGCTTTGTTTCTTTGAGACAGGGTCTTGCTCTGTTGCCCAGGCTGGAGTGCGGTGGCACAATCACAGCTCACTGCAGCTTCGATCTCCCGGGCTCAAGGGATTCTCCCACCTCAGCCTCCTGAGTAGCTAGGACTACAGGCATGTGCCACAGCACCCAGCTAGGTTTTTTTTTTTTTCTTTTGAGATGGAGTCTCGCTCTTTCGCCTAGGCTGGAGTGCAGTGGTGCGATCTCGGCTCAATGCAACCTCCACTTTCCGGGTTCAAGCAATTCTCTGCTTCAGCCTCCCGAGTAGCTGGGATTACAGGTGCCTGCTACCACGCCCAGCTAATTTTTGTATTTTTAGTAGAGATGGGTTTCACCATCTTGGCCAGGCTGGTCTTGAACTCCTGACCTCCTCATCCACCTGCCTCCTAAAATGCTGGGATTACAGGCGTGAGCTACCGTGCCTGGCCTGGTGTTTTTTTTTTGTTTGTTTGTTTGTTTGTTTTTTTTTTTGTATTTTTAGTAGAAATGGGGTCTCGCCATGTTGTCTGGGCTGGTCTTGAACTCCTGGGCTCAAGTGATCCTCCTGCCTCAGCTTCCCAAAGTGCTAGGATTACAGGTGTGAGCCACTGCCCCTGGCCCACCTTTTTCTTAAGAAATACTTTGATCGTCTTAATAATATTTCTCCAGGGCTCCCTGGATGGGAGTGTTTGGTGTTTGGGAGAGGAGGGTCTGGCTCTTTGGTCCTTCTTCCTTGTGTAGCCGAGAGATGGTGGCACCTTTGCCTAGAAGTAGGTGAGCAGTGTTTCTGAATGCTCAGATTTCTCAGAAAGCTTTTCATCGTGTCTTGTGGCTCAGAAAGAGAAGGAATGGTCGGACGAAGCTGCTATTGGTTGGTTGAGCCTTTGTGTTCTTAGAGGTGCCAACTGCTGTCCCTCTGGACAGAGATCTCCAGTGGCCATCCTGAGGACTCTGATCTTGGCCCTCATCTCTTTAATTGGATGTAGGTGTACAAGGGGTGTTCTTATCTGGACTGGATTAAAAAAATGGTATGTATGTTGGGTGTCATAATTGGAGTCCCCACTATGTCTTGATGGGCCTTGAATGATAGCCTGAGCTCTCACAAGTTTTCATTTGACATAAATTAATATACAGTTCTGCTCTTGGGTGGAAGTAACCCCCAGGGCACACACTTGGGATGGAGGTCATGTCGTGACAAGACCCTCACACAGGTGTTGGTTGACAGTAGCTCAGGTGTAGCTGCCAAAGGGCCTCTGCCAGGAGCCAGCCAGACACGATTCTTGCCCGGCTGTTGCTTAGTTTCCCATAGGGGCAAATTGCCACTTAGAGGAATAAATCCAGAAACCTGTGCTTGAGCCAAGCAGGTCTCCAATGCATGAAGGCAGAACTGATGAATGTGGTGTAGCAGCATGCGTGAAACAGACTTTAGAGTTCGGGTGGATTGTAAATTCATGGTGCTGTTGTTGCCAGAACCTCTAATTTGATCTTACGTTTTAAAAAATGCAATGACTTTATTGTTTTCATTAAAATGATACATGACCCTTATAAAGAAAACTCACAAGACTCCAGCCATAAAGGAAAGTACAAAGGAGAAAGCAATACATTGGTCCAGATTTTAACTCCCAGAAGTAACCCGTATTAATATTTTATAGACAACTTTCCAGATATCTCTTATGTACATTTTCAGACAGAATTGACAGCTAGGGAAGTATATAAATAGACGATTCTATAACAAGGTGTTCCTTGTTATAATGAGTGCTCCTTGTTATAATGAGTGCTATGCATGATCTTTTGAAAAAATATACTTAATTGTACTTTCATTTAACAGAAGAAAATGAAACTGAAGTAATACTGTAATTGTTTCTTCACCACTTTCTTTAAGTTGATTTCTCAGATGTGCCTTTAAGGCAGTGGTTCTTGACTGGGCGTGATTTTTGTCCCCTAGGGGCCATCTGGCAATGTCCCATTTTTGGTTGTCCCAAATAGGGGGTGGGGGAACGCTGGCATCTAGTGAATGGAAGATAGCGATACTGCTAAACATCTTAAATGTGCAGGACAGCCCCCCACGACAAAGAATTATCTGGCCTCAAATGTCCATAGTGTTGAGGCTGAGAACCTGCTCTAAGGGTAAGAAAAAATGATGTTTAATACCATTAGGAAGGTAAAACTGTTAATGTTTTAGCTGGGTTGCAGTTTTAGACAGTTTTAATTGGGCTTCTGTCATGAAAGATGAGTTGATTAACCTCATTATAATTTTTTCCTCCTTTCCTGAACAAGAAAATCAAGAGGTAGCATATGTTGTTTTTACCTTGTCAGGGTTCATAACATTTACGCTCTGTTCTGCAAAAATAATCCCCAGGTGTTTAGTCTTAGTTTTGTTTTGTTTTATTTTATTTTATATTATTTTATTTTTTGAGACGGAGTGTTGCTCTGTTGCCCAGTCTGGAGTGCAGTGGTGCGATCTCAGCTCACCGTAACCTCCATCTCCCAGGCTCAAGTGATTCTCATGCCTCAGCCTCCTGAGTAGCTGGGACTACAAGCATGCGCCACCATGCCTGGCTAATTTTTGTATTTTTAGTAGAGATGGGGATTCACCACGTTGGCCAGGCTGATCTCGATCTCCTGGCCTCAAGATGTCTGCCCACCTTGGCCTCCCAAAGTGCTGGAATTACAGCTGTGAGCCATGGCGCCCGGCCCTTAGTTCTGTACTTAAATGATCAATGCCAAATACCACTTCTCAGCCCATTGTTTCCCCCTTTCTGTGTTGATTTTGAGTCACCTCTTGGTTGGTGGGCTGTGTGATCTTAATATAAATTTAACATGTGTAGGAAGGGAGACGTCGGTCCCTGCCTGCTTTGCCCTGTCAGACTTGCACCTGCAGATTTGAGTTTGTGTCTATGCACCACACTTAGAGGAAGAGTAGAGAGACACGCTGAGTGTCTCTGGGATGCAGTCAGGGTGTGAAGCAGGGTCCCGGGGAGAAGTGGGGTTGGATGTGAAACTGGATTTTGAAAAGACTTCCATGTGGAAGCAGGATTATTGATCTTAACTGAGGGCTCCCAGAGGTTAGAACTAGAACTACATGAACATCAAGGACAGGGTGGCTGATAATAGGCTGGGAAGGTGATGAGTTCCCTGTTAGCCGAAGTGTGTTGGGGAACCACCTGTTGCTATACTGTCCCTAGGTGTTGGGCTTAAGCCATCAGCTGAGCTGCTGCATTAGGTAATTTTTCAATCTTGAGATTCTGATAGTCTAATTAATGCTTTCTGTAACCACCTGTCCTGGGGAAGAGCCCCAGTCACTCTGGTTCCCTGCTTGGTGTTGTTTGGGGCAAGTGGGAGAACAGCCAGGGCCATGTTTCATGAACAAGTGGTTCAGGGTGGAGCTTTAAATGTTCTGTACACCTTAAATTTGGACCCACCATCTACCAACTCAAAAGTGTATGTGTCAGATTCTGCCAAACTAGTTCAGTTGATGTTTGTAGTATTTACAAGATTATAGGAACTGAGCACATTCTAAACTGATTCCTGAGCCAATACATGTATATAGAATCCGGGAAACGTATTGCAGACCTGCAAAGGAAGAGAACATACACAGATTGTTCCCTGCATGATTGGAATTGGGTGCTCTGTTAATGTAGTAATCAGATGTCTATCGCAGTGTGACTTACTGATGTCTTTGATGTGTTGCAGGGGAGCTATCCAGTTTGGGAAGATTTCATAAACAAAGCAGGAAAGCTGCAGTCCCAGCTTCGGTAAGTAGAAGCACATGTTCTACAGGAAAAGGACAACATCCTCAGACAAGGATGGAGTGGGACAGACCAAAATGCAGATTGATTAGGGTTGATTCAGGAAGTGCTGCAGATAGGGAAGCCTGTGCTGGGTTCTGATTGGAGCATGATCACCTATAGCCATATATCCTGGGCCCTGATTGCCATATGTAAAATGGGACTCATTCATGTCTGCTTTCCTCCTTCCATAGGAATTTTGAGAGTCAAATGAGGTAGGTACTGTATGTAAGGTAGCAACGGGTAACATTTATGTATTGCTCACTATGTGCCAGGCATTTGTTAACTTGTTTAAATCTCATAACCCCACAAGGTACATACCATTATTATCCCCATTTTACTGATGAGGAAACTGAGGCACAGCGAAGTTAAATAACTTATCCATAGTCACATCACTACTAAATGGCAGAGCAAGGATTTGAACTTAGGCTCTCTGGCTCCAGAGTCCATGTTCTCCTCCATTCTGCTTACTGCCTCTCCACAAATAGAGTTTAAAACCTCCTGTTGGCTGGGTGTGGTGGCTCACACCTGTAATCCCAGTACTTTGGGAGGCCCAGGCAGGCAGATCACAAGGTCAGGAGTTCAAGACCAGTCTGGCCAACATGGCGAAATCCCATCTCTACTAAAAATACAAAAATTAGCTGGGCATGGTGACGAGTGCCTGTAATCCCAGCTACTTGGGAGGCTGAGACAGGAGAATCGCTTGAATACAGGAGGTAGAGGTTGCAGTGAGCCGAGATTGTGCCATTGCACTCTAGCCTGGGCGACAAGAGCAAGAGTCCACCTCAAAAGAAAATAATAATAATAAAATAAAATAAAACCTTGTGTTGACTATTGTATAATTCCATTTACATGAACTATCTAGCAAAAGCATATCTTTAGAGAGATGTTGATCATTGGTTGCTTGGGGATAGGGTGAAAAAGGAGAGTGAGAAGTGGGTAAGACAGATCTTTTGGGGTGGTGGAAATGTTCTAAAATTGGATTGCGGTGATGATTGTGCAACTCCAAATTTACTAAAAATCATTGACTCATACCCTGAAAAAGGGTGTATTTTATGGTATGTAAATTATGCCTCCGTAAAGCTGCCTAAACAAGATCCAGTGCTGAGCTCTAAGGGGCTGTGATTGCCTAGTCTCGTGCTTGTTCATATATCATGTGATATGAAATAGAAAATACGTTGGCATCTTCTTATTAAAGCTCTACCCTTTTAAATCATTGTGGTGAAGGGATACAATTTCACTTAGTGGGTGCTTCATGAAGGATAGGACATTTTAAAAAGGAATTATTTTGATGGCCCTGGTTCATGGCATGTAGGGGATGTCATTGGTTGGTTTGGATGGAGGAAGATGGTTCAGAGAGCGGGGCAGGCAGGGGTTTTCCAGGATAAAGAGCCATGTGGACGACAGAGAGGTGGGAGAGGGATGATGTGATGCTCTCGGGCCTTTGCCTGTGGACACCAGGGGTCACTGCCCAGAGTGTTAGCCATAGGACTAGAGTGTCCATGGTGCCCTATAGACTAAAGAACTTGGGAAAGGTGGGCCTTTTTTCTTTCATTCCTTCAGCTTTGTTTGGAGCCTGGGATTTCCATCCATGAACTGCAGCCTCAGATGGACAGTGAACTTGGAATACTGCACCTTCCCCAGTTGTCAAGTCCTGTACTTAAGCCCTGCTTAAGCTCTTGTAATTACTTTCTACTGGATCAGATCCCACCTCCCCTGCTCAGGATTCAGGGCTCCTCACCTGAGTCCTTCACCAGCCTCACCTTATTTAGCCATATCTACTCCCACCTCCATGTCTGCCATGATTACCATTTATTTTAGGTAGCTTCATCTTTATCCTGTGGGAGGTCTCCTCCTATAGTAATACAGTAAAACATTTAAGTACATTTCCCCTACTTTTTTAAGATTCAGCCTCATTTAACCGTCTGGCAGTCTTTCAGAGTAGACCAAGAAAATTGTTATCTTCCCCTTTTATCAGTGAGGATCTTGAAGCTTAAAGTAATGAACAGATCAGCTGTCTTAAACATATAAAGTAAAATTTAAAGTAATCTTAACCTGTCCTTACTGGTACAGGATACATTTTATATTATTAAACAATGTTTTGTCCTGAAGGCAGGGACCATTTCTTTATTATTTTGTTAAACTAATAGTACAGGGCTGAGAGCAATATAGGGGCCTCATGCACATAGTTTAATTTTGTGTGTTAGAGAAAGGATGAAGTTTAGATTGCAGAAGAGGCATAGAAGCCTTAGTTTATTTAAGCTGAATCACTCCTCTGTGTTTCTGTTGGTTACAAGTTTGCTCTGCCCCATCAAAGAGGGCCAAGATGTCTTGTGACTACAGCGGACAGTGAAATATGACTGCCATTTAAAAGCCTCAAACTTGATCACCCGCCTAATTTTCAGTGGAGCCCTGGTGACTGTGTAATATGCAAGACACCTCTGCAGCTGGTTCATTAAATTTGGATGATTGGCATTGAGTTGGATGAGAATAAATCCAGCCATTGTGTCAGATATTAATTGTAAATCAGAACAAGCTATTTATAAGTCCCAAGAAGTTTGATAAAGCTAATTTTTCCAGGGTTTGTGTTTGATGTCAACTCTTTAAAAAATATGCTTCAAAGTGGTTTTGTGTACATGTATGTCATTATTTTTAAAAATTTTGAGCAGAATGTTTTCTTGCCCTACTGGAAAATAACAGGCCTCATTTTGAAGTTTGGCTGTAAGGGACTGTTGCCTAGATTTTCCCAGGAACTACTTCCAGCACCTTGCAGGAACCTTTTGTTTCAAAACTACTGTTGCTGATGTTTAAAGGCCATTCCTTTCCCTTTTTCTTTCTTTTTTCTTTTCTCTTTCTTTTTGAGAGAGGGTATTGCTCTGTCACCTAGGCTGGAGTACAGTAGTGCAGCCATGGCTCACTGCACCCTTGACCTCCTGGGCTCAAGTGGTCATCCCGTCTCAGCCTCCTGAGTAGCTGGGACTACAGGCATGCACCACTGTGCCCGGCTAATTTAAAAACAATTTTTTTGTGTGTAGAGAATGGAGTCTTAGTATGTTGCCCAGGCTGGTCTCAAACTCCTGAGCTCAAGTGATCCTCCCACCTCAGCTTTCCAAAGTGCTGGGATTACAGGATGAGCCACTACAGCTGGTTTCATTTTTCTCTATTTTGAAATCTTCCCTTTCTAGTCCTTATTGTTATTCTTCTTCAGCAACTTTGCATCCTTAGGAACGCTCAGTAAAGGCTGAGTTATATAAGAAATACTTGAAAATTAACACTTAGTTACAAGTTTGATTGTAAAGTCCTTGAATTCTAGTTCTGGGGCTTGTTTGTGTGGAATCCATGGCCCTGGCTTGGAGTGTTGACTACGCTGAATGATGCCTTAGGTCATGACTCTTGGAACCAGTAGACCACAGAGGGCTCAAGGCATCCTATGGTGTCCAAAAAAATATTAAGAACCCAGAATAATTTCTAGGACATAAGTGACTATAGTACCTTCTCCCCATTCTCACCTTGTAGGAATTTGGAAGATTCAGTTGAAATAGTGTCCTAAGGTTGAAACAGTAGTATCTCAGTTTCATTATAACTAGGATCTAGGGAGAAAAGTCACACTGCCAGGATCTTGTCTTATAGTGGGTCAAGCCCAAGCCTGTGAGTCATGAGGCTGGGATACTTGTCCCAGCTCTAGTATGAACTAGGGCTATGTTTGTGGCCTCGTATTTGTGGCCTCAGTTCTCCTATTCCTAAAATGAATTGTTTGAACTACATGATCTTTCTACCAGATTCCTTCCCCCAACTGATGTGCATATATATATATTGCTTTCCTACTCCAAAATTAATTTCACCTCTACCACTTATATTTTTTAATGTTTTATTTTTCCTTTTAGGTAGAAATGCCTCTGTTTTCCTCCTGTATAAAACTTTGCCTGGTAGTAGGTGTTTCTTTTTTCTTTTTTTTTTTGAGGCAGAGTCTTGCTCTGTCACCTAGGCTGGAGTGCAGTGGTGCGATCTTGGCTCACCGCAACCTCTGCCTCCTGGTCTCAAGCGATTCTTCTGCCTCAGCCTCCCAAGTAGCTGGGATTATAGGTGCATACCACCACGCCTGGCTAATTTTTTGTAGACACGGGGTTTCACCATCTTGGCCAGGTTGGTCTCGAACTCTTGATCTCAAGTGATCCACCCACCTCAGCCTCCCAAAGTGCCAGGAATACAGGCGTGAGCCACCATGCCTGGCCCTGGTAATGGTTTTATACAGTCAGATGAAATGGAATGGGAAGGGCTACTAGCATTTATTGATTAGCACCGAATGAGCTGGATATTATTCGGGTGGAGTACTTGGAAAAAAGTGGGTTCAGCAAGACAGTGGTTGTCCATGCTCAGTTGAGTTATTTCTGGAGGAAGGTTACATGTACTCCTTAGCAGAGGTTTTAGGCCTTGAGCTGTAATGAATTTGCTAGGGAGAGACATTCCTTATGCTTTTGTTATCTGTTTGCATTTTAGGACAACAGTAGTAGCAGCAGCTGCCTTCTTGGACGCCTTTCAGAAAGTGGCTGACATGGCCACCAACACACGTGGTAAGCAGATGGAGGCTGACTCCCAGTGTTAACTGCATTCTGCACGTGGACTCTTCCCCTTGGGTGGCTGCACAAGAAGATGCAGCTTAAGTTATCAGAGCTGAGCTGACTCGTATTTTCCCATTTTTTAAAACTCTGTGGGATTCCACATATTAGAAGTTGCAACTAGTTTTCTGGATAATAAAGCACATGTGAAGAAGAATGAAAAAGGAAGAAAATGAACCACTGTTTCTGCACGAGTTGGCTTGATGGGTTCTTTGATCACTTTAATGACGTGCTGGTTGTTGAACCTTGAGCTGTGCCTTTGGTTGCAATTTGCGTTTTCCTCCTTACGTGGGTTTTCCTTGTTTCCTTGTGGAATGGGAAGCAGTAGGGATGATTGGATAGACCATTTTTCTGAGTTTCCATAAAATGAAGAACCCTTTTAAAATAAGGATCTCATTGGGTTGTATCTATTTATGCGTCCCTCATATTTGACTGCAAACCTGTTGAGATACAGACTATGACTTATTCATGTCTGAAGCCCCAAAACGTAGTGCCTAGAACATAGGAGATGTTTAAAGTATGTTTATTAAATCAATGAAAAAAATTTAATGGCTTCAGCAAGTACTGAATCATATAAAAGTTATTCATAACATGTGAAAAGTATAAAAAGAAAATGAATACCCCCGTATGCCTGACCGTCTTTAGAAATGCAACATTATGGTCAGGCGCGGTGGGTCATGCCTGTAATCCCAGCACTTTGGGAGGCCAAGGCAAGAGATCCGAGGTGGATCACTTGAGGTCAGGAGTTTGAGACCAGCCTGGCCAACATGGCGAAACCCCATGTCTACTAAAAATACAAAAATTAGCCAGGCGTGGTGGCACGTGCCTGTAATTCCAGCTATTTGGGAGGCTGAGGCATGACAGTTGCTTGAATCCGGGAGGCAGAGGTTGCAGTGAGCCCAGATCGCGCCACTGCACTCCAGCCTGGGCAACGGTGAGTTGGGACTCTGTCTCAAAAAAAAAAAAAAAAAAAAGAAAAGCAACACATGCAACATTACCAGTAACAGACAATTACCCTATTCAAAGGGAGGAGGGTGATTTCCTTTTCATTGCAATGCAGCTACTCTCTTCTGCCTCTTACTTTGCCTTGTCTTTCTGGGTCTTCTTGTTGTACTGGCAGCTATAGGCCTGTTCTTTTCATTGTCGTGGTGACATTGGAAAATTTGGGTTGTAGGGCAAGTGTTGGGGACTGCTCCCAGGCACATGAAAGTTTCTCCGAACCACCTGATGGGTACCTTCAGTGCAATGATACTCATTCATCACAGGTGCTTAAAAGTATTTGAATGAATTTGCAGCAAGAACCCTTCTCATTCATTGAACAAACTCCTTTTATTTCAGGCACTATCATGGGACCACAAAAAGCAATATGACTCTCCTTGTCCTGGAGCGGCTTACAATTGAGTGGGGAAAATGAGAAGTATAAATAAAGAATTTCAACATAGAAACTATATGTTTGGTATGGTAATAGTTGTAGAACAAAGTGCTAGGGGAATATAGAAAAGTGAGCAATTAACTCAGGGAGTGAAGGAGTTTTTCCTAGGGGAGGTAATATTTCTCCTCATTTCCGGGATGCCAGCAGGGTTTTACAGCATTCCCTTGGAGAATGTGACACAGAAACTAGAAGCATGGTTTCTTCATCCAGTATGTCAGCTTGGTGTGGATCTTAACCAGTATCTTTTTAAAAGTCCTTTAAAAAAATTACTCCATAGCTTATGTGTGTCTGTTATAGAAACTTGAGAAAATACAACCGTAGAGAAGAACTTAATATGCAAACCATTGCAGGGCCTATAGTATTGCATTTTATATTTTCTTCTACTTCAGCAGTATCTGGAACTGGACTTGGCAGCCATATTTTTATCTTTCTGTAATAGCCATCAGTATAGGGTTTTTTTTTTGTTTGTTTGTTTTTTGTTTTTTTTTGAGACAGAATCTCGCTCTGTCTCTCAGACTGGAGTGCAATGGCGCAATCTTGGCTCACTGCAACCTCTGCCTCCCCACATTCAAGCAATTCTCCTGCCTCAGCCTCCCGTGTAGCTGGGATTACAGGCATGTGCCACCACGCCCGACTAATTTTTGTATTTTTAGTAGAGATGGGGTTTCACCATGTTAGCCAGGCTAGTCTCCAACTCCTTACCTCAGGTGATCTGCCCGCCTCAGCCTCCCATAGTGCTGGGATTACAGGCGTGAGCCACCGTGCCTGGCCCAGAATATGTCTTTTTTTTTTTTTAAGCTGCTCTACTGTTTTAAGGAACTTAGATATCTGGCATTGCATGTTTGAGGCTCTGTGATAATAATGTTTTTATATTTTAATGTTTAATTCTTGGATGGATCCTGTAGATGGACTGGAAAGAGATTCCCAGATTGTCCATAAGTTCCTGTAGTGGGAACCTGGGATTCTGAAGATGCTGCTCCCAGAATGGTTCTTGGCGGGACACTGCAGGGCCTGGAAATTGTCATCTTTGAAGGGAAGAAAAACAGCCATTATTTGTGCAAAAAGAAACCAAAGAGCCTCACTGCAGAAGTGATGGGGGTAGAGTAGGAGTTTGGAGGTGATGTATTTCACCAAAGGCAAATAATCTCATAGTGAACAAACTCCTGCTTTGACATTTTTTTTTCTTTTTTTTTTTTTGAGACGGACTCTTGCTCTTGTCACCCAGGCTGGAATGCAGTGGCACAATCTCAGCTCACTGCAACCTTCCCCTCTAGGGTTCAAGTGATTCTCCTGCCTCAGCCTCCCAAGTAGCTGGGATTACAGGCGCCCACCATCACGCCCAGCTAATTTTTGTATTTTTAGTAGAGACAGGGTTTCGTCATGTTGGCCAGACTGGTCTCGAACTCCTGACCTCATGATCTACCTGCCTCGGCCTTCCAAAGTACTGGGATTACAGGCGGGAGCCACCGCATCTGGCTGCTTTGACATATTTTTAGACCATGGGATTTCAGATCATTTTTAGTGATGCCAGGATACTTTCTGTTTAAAATCCATACGTGCTACTATTTTCATTGAATGTGGGAGTGTGAGAACTCTCAAATAACCTAAAAGTATATGGGTGATAGAAAGAAGGTATATTTTACAGAGATAAGAGAAACTCGAATGTCCTTCTTAGTAAGTGTCAGAAGTGACTTTTATTAATTTTTACTTAAAAATTTAAAAAATAGGACATGCTCTTTAGTTTAAAAAATTGAAATAAGTAGGCTGGGCGCAGTGGCTCACACCTGTAATCCCAGCATTTGGGAGGCCGAGGCAGGTGGATTACCTGAGATCAGAAGTTCAAGACTACCCTGACCAACATGTTGAAATCCTGTCTCTACTAAAAGTATAAAAATTAGCCAGGCAGAGGAGTGGGCACCTGTAATCCCAGCTACTTGGGAGGCTGAGGCAGGAGAATCGCTTGAACTCGGGAGGTGGAGGTTGCAGTGAGCTGAGATTGCGCCACTGCACTCCAGCCTGGGTGACAGAGCAAGACTCTGTGTCCAAAAAAAAAATTGAAATAAATATATAAACTAAAATTTATCCTCCCCACTTCCCCGCCCCTCCCGGGAATTGGGTTTAGTGTCATTTACAGATGTTTTTGCATATATAAACAAACATGCTGGGAGGAAAAAAAAAAAACAACACTAGTTTTCCACAATATGTGGAATGACACATGGAATAAAATATACCTGTGTGACCTTTTTCAGAAGGTAGCCCCTAAGAAACATTGTTCTGTGCTTTTTACTGCATAGTATATTATAGTTATCTTTCCAGTACCTATAAGTCCACCTTATTCTTTCTAGCGGCCAAATGGAATTTCTGAATGTAGCACTGTCTGAATATAGCACAACTGAGTCATTATTCTCTTGATAGATATTTAGGTTATCTCCAGGTATTTGCTACTACAAGCTCTGCTGCAATTAATGCCCATGTATATATCCTTTTGGAGTCCTACAAGTGATCTATTTTTAATGATGTATGGATCACCAAGGAAATGATAATCTGTAAAAAGTGCTTCAAGCTGTTTTGGTCAGCAGCAAATAGATTTGGGCTTAGGGTTGGTGTAGGCCGTGACTCTAACAGAGTTTGTGGTTTGATATCTACCTTCTCCAGAAAGAATATCCTTGGTTACTCCCTTGCTTACAGCCTTTACATGTATTTTTTTTTTTTTATCCCTCTTGATGGAAGTGGTAGGAGGGAATTGCAGTTATCATTAAGTGCATCTCTTCTGGGCAAGTGCCCAGCATTTCAAGCTAGCAGGTCGCTCTGGTTTCCAAAATATTAGCATCTCATATTGTTTCCAAAAGGGAACAGCTCTGAGTGGTCTTTGTCCTTTATAGGAAATCTTTTGCACTAGCTATTAATAAAATTTACTTAGGAAAAACTTTGAATACTAGTCACTATAAGAGCAAAATCAATCTAGTTGTTATGTACCTATTGTTAAACAGAATGTGGAAATATGTTAGAACTTAATTGCTTTCATTTTTTTTAAATGAAAGTGTATAAGTGGATATTATAATGTGTATATTTGGGTTAATAATTAAACTATAATGGAATTTCAGTTTATTAGCACTAGGCGCAGTTCCATATTTTGTTGATTTTAGACTCTGGATGAATATACAATTTGTTTTAAATATGAAAGTACGATTTTCTGTATTATTGAACACAAAGAATTGGTTTCTAGGTATCTGGTAGACTTGGAACCCGAGGCTTTGTGGAGCAGGGTCTCTGCTTCCTTCACATCCATAATGGACCAGCACGTGGCTATTACAGGAGCTGAGAAATATTTGAACTGAGTGGCATGCATTTGTCTGGGCTACTTAAAAAAATAAGAAAAGGAAAATTAAGGAAATTAAGAAAAAGATGGTAAGTACCTACCACATAGGCTGTGGTGAGAACAAAAAGACTTAATACACATGAACCACTCAGAACAGAGCCCAGCCCATGGTACACATTCAATAAAGCCTAGCTATCCTGATTTTCAGTCTTAAAATCATGCCTACTTTTTAGGGTAACAAATTTAAGATTCTGGACATTAAAGATGATCTAGTCTGCCTGGGATCCATTTCCTTCCTTCTGAGAATCTGAAATGCCTTCCTCAGGCATTGGATGTATTACCATCTAAACTTCCCTGAGATGGTTGTTCAAAACCATGAAAGTAATTACAGAGGCAGATGAAAATGAGAGTCACACAACACTGCTCTTCAAAGGCCCTTGCTGACACAAGCAGATGGCACAGTGGCCGGGATGGGCCAGTGCTGACTAAGAGGGAGTGTGTCGTCCGCTCTGTACTCCGCGCAAGTCCCTGATGTGTAAGGGCACAGGCTTACAGGCGTACGAATTTTATTCCCCATTTTGATCCCATTTTGATTCTGAATGCATTAAAAAAAATCTGTGTAGCACAAAAAATAATCTATGTTGTTGAAATAACAAAAGTCTATATGCGGTAGTTAGAATAACAACTAGCTTGGGATCTGGGATACGTAGGTTTGACTTCGTGCCTTTGCAGCTATGTGACCTTGAGTAAATATTTCCCTTCTCTGGGCTTCCATTTTCCCACCTATAAAGGGCCTAGGAGCCTAGATCATCACAAGTAATTTTTTTTTGGCTCTAATATTCTATGATTTAAAATCTTGCCTTGGTTCTTATTAGCTATGAATGAAGTGTAAATTTCCTTTTCTATATTATCTTTAGAGCTTCCAATTTTTGCTCTGAGTACAAAGGAAGTGGAGGAAGCAAGATTAAGCCAAAGATAATGGAGAGAGAAGGTTAGAAGAGAAAAGGGAAAATTACAGATGGGCATTTGGGTTGAGGTCCCCTCTCAGACTTGGAGTGTGTGTAGGAGGAAGGCAGGTGGACGCCGGACCTTCTAGGACAGGCATCGAAGGCTGGTCCATCAGACATGCGCTTTAATCAGTGAGTCTGGATCGCCGAGGTTGGTGAAGCATGTTGGTGAAGAAAATTGCTGATGGCTTAGTTCTTACAAATGTGTTACACATTTGCAGTACAGATTTTGGTAAATGCCATGGTCTCCAGATCTGGCATTAGGCATCACAGTCACTCAAGAAGTTCACTTTAAGGGACAGATTTCAAGGCCCTGCCACTCCCATGGAATCAGAATAACTGGGTGAGACCCAGGAATCTCCAATTTTGAAAAGCTTTCCAGGAGATGTTGCTCTCCATTGAGGTATGTTTGTGCTGTCCTGTAAAGCCTCTTGCCATCTTGCCATAACCCACCTGTCCGATGACATCTCCCCACCCATGGCCGGCAACTGCACCCACAAAGAACTGCTCACTGTTTTCTGAAACCCTTAAAACCCTTGATCCCTATCTGCTGGCACATGTGCATTCCAGGCCCAGAATGTCCTTTCCAGCCCTCCCCTTCTTCACCCTGTTTGTATGCTTGAGGATCTGCTGCTTGTCTCCCAGGAGTTTAAGAGCTGTATCACTTGTGAGACCTTTGTCTTCCCTCAGGAAGTAAACTGGGTCCTTGCTCAGGGCCTCGGGGGACATGCTGGGGTCAGAGGATTCCCCTAGCTGTGCTGTCACTATCTTCCCCACCAGATTGGAGACACCTCTAACAGGACCTGCTCCTTCCTGAGGAACTCACTTTCCCAGATGCTGAGTATCTGGCCTTCAGCAGGGTGCAGACCCATCTGCTGAATGAACGACTGCGTGCAAACAGTAGCTTCCACTTTTATGCAGCCCTCATGGATCCTGGTGGGAAGCCCGTCAGTTCTCGAGCAAGGGGCTGTTGGGATGGGGTCTTGGCAGGATTCCTCCCTGGAGTTCAGAATTTGAATCTTGGTGACCCCTCCCTGAGGTCAAGTCTCTGGTGCAAAGGACAACTGGGTAGAAGGCACTCACCCTGCTTCATGGATGGAGTGGAGGAGGGGAGGGAATCTTTCCTCTGAGGGGAGAAGGTGCTGGGTTGTTTGGGTTCCCAGCTGGGTTGTTTCCTGGCTCCAGCCAGACTGCTCTTGTTTGCTCCTGAGTTTTATTTTAACCAGATTGTTTAATTGAGACTTCACTAGCCTTTAACTTCTGGATTGCCTTTGGTGTTCAAGCCCAGAACTCTTTCGTGTAATTAGAGTCTTACTATTTCTACCTAGCAAACTTTTTTTTTTTCTTTTTAAAAAGATTGATGCATCCACATGTTATGGGGGCACATATGATACTTTGATAAATTGATATAATGTGTAAAGTTCGAATCATTTGAGAGGCCGAGGTGGGTGGATCACTTGATGTCAGGAGTTAGAGACCAGCCTGGTCAACATGGCGAGATCCTGGCTCTACTAAAAATACAAAAAAATTAGCTGAGCTTGGTGGCGGGCCTCTAATTCCAGCTACTCGGGAGGCTGAGGCATGACAATCACTTGAACTCAGGAGGCGGAGGTTGCAATGAGCCAAGATCATGCCACTGCACTCCAGCCTGGGTAATGGAGTGAGACTCTGTCTCAAAAAAAAAAAAAAAAAATCAGGGTAATTGGGATATCTATCACCTGAAATATTTGTCTTCTTATTACTACTTACCAAACTCTTTAGCCTCAAACTGAAAACAATTTTTTTTCAAATTAAAAACATCATATAAAAGGCCCTTCTTTTAGGTCTGGAACTGAAAATTCTTTGAATATTACCATAAAGGAATGTAGTCAAATTTCTTCATTTGATTAAAAATAAAAAGGTATATCAGCCGGATGCGGTGGCTCACGCCTGTAATCCCAGTGCTTTGGGAGGCAGGGGCCGGTGGATCACTTGAGGTCAGCAGTTCGAGACCAGCCTGGCCAATATGGTGAAACCCCATCTCTACTAAAAATACAAAAATTAGCTGGGTGTGGTGGCGGGCATCTGTAGTCCCAGCTACTTGGGAGGCTGAGACAGGAGAATCACTTGAACCTGGGAGGCGGAGGTTGCAGTGAACCAAGATCGTACCATTGTACTCCAGCCTGGGCAACAGAGCAAGACTTGGTCTCAAAAAAAAATAAACAACTCTTGAAACCATCTAAACTGTATATATGTGTATGTGTTTGTGTACATGTATGTACGTATGTGTATCCATATACTTTTTATATTGAGCACTTTTTATAATCTCAATCTTACATAAAGTACAAATAAAATCTATAAAAATGATTGCTATTTATAATAATAGGCAACATAGCTAAAAACTGTGGTTATTATGTAAGCATATCTTCAAGATAAATTTTCCAGCTCCTAAGCCCTCCTATACACAGATTTTAGAGCTGCCATTGCCCTAGTGGGAGGTGATGTAAAAAAAATATTGTTTTAAATGGGTTTGTAAATGTACAGTCTGCTTTTGGTCTCATCATTTTGGTGTTTTTCCACTTCAATTTGTCTTGCGTCATTTTAATTTGTTAGCACAATGTATTTAGTCATATACGTCTGCTATGAATAAAACATCTTTTTAAAAATGGCCCGGGCATGTGAAGTTTGTCTTACGATTCCCCATTTTTTTTAAAGCTGTCATTGTTTGGGGTGTGCTTTCTATGAAACTTCAGACTTTGTGTTGAGCCCAGGACAGTAGGGTGTCATGCATTTTTAGCATTTTTACAACTCATACTATACATAAGAACTAGAAATAACAAATGAATCTGTATATTTTTAAAGAGTGTTTTTATTTTATAAATTTAAAAAAATACCTTGTTTTTGATGTTTTTCAGTTGATGGAGTTATGGTTGCTTATGTGTTTGATTATTTTGACGGGCAAGTACGTATATTTAGGAGATTTGTAACCATGAGCCTAGCATTACTGCTGATAAAACGAATCCCTCCTTTCTAATCCCATTGCTCTTTTCTTGATGTAAAAACTGATGCCTGGCGACAGCACTGTTCCCCATTTGACAAGTGGCCTTTTATTATTGATCTTTGGTTGGGTAGCAGCAGTTGCCAGAGAGAATTGTTCATTGTGGTCAACCAGTGCTCCTGCCTCAGTCGTGTTTTGCTTTTAACCATGTCTTCCTGGAATGACACTTGAAAGGGCAGTCATCATGTGTTAGCCCAGAATGAACTCACCGGAATCCCACATTTACCAAAACATATCCTGGATCCTCAGGGCAGGATGTCACCAGAATTCTATAATCCTCCAGCAGGGACAGTGAGGGATATCAGAATTCCACACCCAAGCATGTGTGTCTGTCCTGCTCAGGATTGTCTTACCCCTAACAGAGAGAAAGTCTTGCTCCATTCAATGGGGTTTCCCCATTAGGCTTTAGTGTATTTCCCCAGATGATACTTGAATTACATCTGGATGTGTGTGTGCTGTTCCCTGTCTAACCTCGGCAGCCTTCATCAATGCCGGTGAATTATGCGATGGTGGTGGCGGCGGCGGGAGCAGCAGCAGTGGGGAGGAAGGTCCAAGCTTGGAGAGGATGTGTGTTTTTATGGGTGACTGAGTTGATTTGTGTGCAGCGTGGTTATTTGTGTTGTTAGGCAGTTTACATAATAAAGTGGTTTACTCAGCAGTTGCCCACTTCTAGCTAACAGAGCCACCGTGCATTTTGTATACAAGCACTGACAATTCTCCCCTCTTCTCCTCCCCCACCTCTTTCCATCCTAGTTCTTGCCTTTGCTTCCCATAGATTGGCTTTTTGTTTTGGCTTAATAACTAATACCCCACCCCATCCCCACTGCCACACACACATACCTTGTAGTCACTTTTGGTAAAATATTAACATTCATGAAAGAATGCAGTTATTTTAGTTCATGCAGATGAAGCGAAGAATTTTTTTTTTTTTTTTTTTTTGAGATGGAGTTTCACTCTCGTTGCCCAGGCTGGAGTGCAATGGTGCGATCTTGGCTCACTGGAACCTCCACCTCCCGGGTTCAAGCGACTGTCCTGCCTCATCCTCCCGAGTAGTTAGGATTACAGGCATGCGCCACCATGCCCAGCTAATTTTTGTATTTTTAGTAGAGATGGGGTTTCTCCATGTTGGTCAGGCTGGTCTCAAACTCCCGACCTCAGGTGATCCGCCTGCCTCAGCCTCCCAAAGTGCTGGGATTACAGGTGTGAGCCACCACGCCCAGCCAAGAATTTTTTTTTTTTTAATGTTCTCTTGTGAAGAATCATTTGCCATAGAGCTATGAACTTGGTTTGGTCTGCTCTGCCCATCTTAGATAAAAATAACCATCTGGAATGTAAATGTGAACTTGAAGATACTTGAAGTTGTCAAACTAGTATTTTTCTAGGACGGGTCTGTTTGGTCAGACCACATAGATGCCTCCTCTGTGCTCCCTTTGAAAAAGTCTCAGCTAGAAAACACGCACAAAATGTGAAAGCTAGTTGGAACTAAAATTTTCACTTTAACCTGCGCTTGTGTCCTCTGCTGTAGGAAAAGTGCTGTTACCAGAAAATAACTCAAGGAATAGTTATAGAATACTAAAAAGGTCTTCTGTCACCGAGAATTTGGCAGTGAATTCTTCTGACTCATTTTAAAGACATTAGATTTGTATACACTACTTCAAGAAAGCTTAAAGTGAGAACTACTTGGAAGTTTTTTTTTTTAAAGGAACTATCTGGTCTTTCATTTTTGAGAAGATACAGGATTTTTTTTTTTCTTCTGCTCACCTAGTATCTAGTGCAACATTTTCATTTTTACTGGAGACACTGAATCTCAGTGAAGTCACTTGTCCGAGGTCACACAGCTAGGAAGGAGACTGGGGATTCTAGCGTTGGGTTTTCTATTGCGTGATTTCCCTTAAAAACCACCTAAGCAGTTGTTGGCTCTGACTTCTTGGTTTCATGGTGAGGGAGTTCAAGGAGGACACAGCATAGGTTGTGAAAAAAATCTCTGTTCTGTCTCTCAGCCGGTGATTGTTTACAGACATTTTGGTTTGCTTGTTTGTTAATAAGAAACCCGTGGTCATCTGGTTTCCAAAGCAGCTCTCTGCTTCCATTCTGGTTCTTCCTTTTTCTGCAGAAGATATTTTTGTTTTCTTTTAGCTCTTTGGAAGGGGGGAGGCTATTTTTGCTTACATTTTAATCATTTGTTTCATTTGACATAAGCTTCTTAACTGTAAGAATAATGAGGCTTCAATTCATTTACATTGCCTTCAATTCATCTACATGCACACATACGTACACACACATACACATATACACATACACACAACATACACATGTACACACGTACAACACACACACAACACACATACACACAGACGTACACATGTACACATACACATACATTCACAACATACACGTACACACATATATACACACACATACACATGCACACACACACGCACAACATACACAACATACACATACACACGCATATATACACACAACATACACATATGCACATACATACACACGCACACGTACGCACATACACACAAATACACGTTTTTTGATTCCCAAATGTTTACAATTGAAATGGAACTCTTATTTCTAGTAAAAGACACTGCTGTGGTAATCTGCAGCATTTCCTGCTGTGTGTGCTAGGGCCCAGGGACCTCGGTTACCATGGAAACTAATATCCAGCCGCCCGGGTGGTACTTCCCTTTAGAGCCGCATTTGAGCGCATTTCACAGTTCAATACAATGCTGCTTCTTCCTGCCTTTAAAATCAGGAAAGGGGGCAAAGCTGATTGATTACAAGTAAAATGAAAAAATACTGTTTCTGCTAAGACAGAAAGGGACCTTTAATACGCGCCCTTTTAATCTGATTGTCAGAAGTAGGACAGTGCACAGTTTCTCAAAGATGGCCAGAGGATCTGATAAAATACAAAAGAATTGTGGAGGCGATAGTAAACATTCTTCTTCCTGTGCTGCTGATCCACAGGCTTCTCTTTGAGAATGACTGGCCTGCAAGGCTGACAAGGGTGTTTACCCGCTGACTCTGGTGGAGTCCATTTGGTTCACCAGAAGGGCTTGAGGGCAGACAAAAGACCTTGAGCTCTCTGCGTGTGCCAGTCATCCTGTGTTTCCTGACCCCTGTCTCTCTCAGAACCCACTCACAGAACCAGATCCGAGAGCCTGGGAGAGCTTGCCCGGATTTCAGCCCTTGATTTGCCACTTAAGCACGTGATTGCCATCTGTGCTTGCTTAAAGGGGATGCTGATTAGGAGAGTGATACTTCATTTGGATAATACGATTTAAGCCCAAGTGCAAGAGGTGTTGCTTGTGCTGGAACTGCAGGAAATATGAGCCATGTAAACGCACCACCCAACCTCCTGCAGTGGTCCAGGTGGTCCTACCGGTCACTGACTACAGTATGTCTGTGTGGGAGATGACAGTGATCCCAAGCCCTGGTTTCCATGCAGGCATATGGACTCCTGCTTAATGAGATTGAAGGATAGTAATTGTCTCCACCCTTATTTAGATGATGCCCATCGCTCTGGCGTTTGTGTTTTCAAATGTTTTGGATAAAGCGAGTGCCGGGAGAGTGTGCTATTTAGTGAGCTCAGTCCAGCCTCGGTCTTGAGCATTGACTGTGGGTCCTCTGCTGTTGGGGTTCTCGACTTGCCCACCAGCTGCCTTATCTCAGGTTGAGAAAGGTAGTGGGAACCCCATTTTGCAAATGGGGAAACTCTTGGTGACTTGAAGTCACCTGGTTAAAATGGCACACAACTTTGAAGCTGCCTGCCATTTTAACCAAGTGTGCCAGACATAAGTTTCTGGAGTGTGTATCTCGTCTATGTGACACTCCAGTACCAGGTTCTTCCCACCTCAGGGATCAGTTTATGGAAACACCTCAGAATTGAGACCAGGGCTTCTCAATCTGTGATTTGGGGCTGGATAAATATTAGTTGTGAGGGGCGTGTTGTGCATTGTAGGTTGGTTAGCAGCGTTCTCGGCCTCTACACCCTCTCAGTTGTGAAAACCAAAAATGTGTATTGAGATCAGCCCTGGTTGAGAATCACCAAGCTAGACCTCTTTGGGTTTTGTTGGGCAATTTAACGGAACTCTGGCTATGCCTTTTTTGAGGCAGTTGTAGCTAGCTTGGTTCATTGAAGCTAGGTTTGAAATCATTCATAACTAAGTTATGATGTTAGGAATTCGACAGTCCATGCATTGTTTCATCTGAAAAACAACTACTCTGCCAAGTTGCACGTATACAACTCTGTAAAGAGTCCACATCTTACTAAAAAAAGACTGCTTCCTTTTTACCAAAAGGTCATTTCCCAGAGTGAAAATATGCAAGTTTTTTTTTTTGTTTTCAGAAGATTAAGTCAAATGAGAATAGGAATGGGGTGAACAGAGCGCTTGAGTTCCCGTTCGTGTTGCGCTCCCTGCGTGATGGAGAGAGGGCTCAGGGAGGCGGAGCTGGATGGGGAGGCGGCTGCAGGCCCCCTCTGCCTGCTCACAGCTGTGTGGCCCTGGGTGGGTCAGTACAGCTGGACACACCTGAGTTTCGTTGTCTATGAGATGACAGTCAGGTCTGCCGTACCTGCCTGTCAGGGTGACGGTGGAAGTCAAATGAGGTCATAGTTGTGAAAGCATTTTATAAATTGTAAACCCAGGCAGCTGTGATGAGAGGTCGTGGTGCTCCTGTGACTTGGGACTTTGGGGGTCCCTGGCCACCTTCCGACTGCTGGCTCCTTGGTCACTTAGAGACATGGTGCTCACTTGCGTTCCGCCTTCACCCCGCGTGGCCTGTCCCCTCCCACTTGTCTGTCTCCAACTTCTGCCGCTGTTTGGGATCCAGTTCAGTCCTTGTTTTCTCCTGAATGTCTTCTTCTGGCATTTTAAAAGTATTTTTTATAATTATTATTTTAAACAAATATTTTAAGTATGATGTATAATTATAATGTTCACCCCATTATTGTATGTTTTGTGATTAGATTTGGGGGATGAATGGTGTCTTGAATGAATGTGGGGTTTTTGGCTGTCTCCCCAGTACATGCCCCAGGTGTGTTGAATATGTCATTCTCTCCTGCATCACACACACTCGGAATGCCCTCTCCCTTCCCTCACCTGCAGACTCTGACTTACCTTCCAAGGTTATCTCAGGCGGTCTCTCCTCCAGGACGCCTTTCCTCCTTGAGGGGCTTAGGATCCCCGCTGAGAGCTCTGCCCAGAATCTGGGCTTCGCTGTCGTAGCACTGTACTGTACATTACCTGTTCCCTGGTCTGGAGATTCTCCCACCTTGGCCTCCCAAAGTGCTGGGATTACAGGCATGGGTCACTGCATCCAGGCTCCTTTCTTTTATTTTTTTCTCATTGAGGTGAAATTCATATAACATAAAACTAATCATTTTTAAGTAAACAGTTTAGTGACAGTTTGGACATTTTTGCAGTGCTGTGTGACACCACCTCATCTAATTCCAAAACATTTTCATTACCGTGAAAGAAAGCCCCGTACCGGGATGATGAAAAGTTCTGGAGATGGAGGTGGTGATGGTTACATTAACAATGTGAATATACTTAATGTCACAGGATTGTATATTTAGAAATGGTTAATTAAAATAGTGAATTTCTTGGTTTATATTTATTTATTTATTTACCATGAGAAAAACACACAAAAATCTCATACTCATTAAGCAGTTACTCCCTGTCCCCACCCTTCCCAGCTTCTGGCAGTGTTTTGTGTTTTATCATTATAGCCTTAGCCCCTAACATAGTAGGGGCCAAATACATCTTCTTTGAATGAATGGAATGAGTTTCTACTTGAACACACATTTGTTTATCTATCTAATGGCTATGTGACAAGCAAAGTTATCTTTAAGAACATTTCTTTGAAATGTTTCACTAGTGTTTTTTCAAGGGGTTTTCTACTTATCTACCAGCATCTCCATAGACATACCTCTTAAACCAAACCTAACTTTGTAGCTTATCTGCCCCCACTTCATTATCTTTAGTTGACATTTGGGGCCAGTGATGGAACCCGGTGGTATCTGTCTGGCACACTCACAAAGAAAGTGTTATTAAATCTCTCAAATACATGTAGCAGGTCAAATATATGCCTTTTCTTATGATGTTGAAGTTTTCAATTACTGCTGCTTTTATGAGGGAGAAGGAAAATCTACCCATCCTTTTAGAAATGAATGTTCCTAATCTCATTGCTTCCTTGAAACATGGCCGCCTTGTCATTCGTTCTTTTCTTTATGCTTGCAACTCACAAAATCTTGTTCTTTTCTGTTGCTCTATAATTTATAAAACCGTGTTGCAGTTGGCTTGGTTAGAATTTACTTAGGCATAGTTGAGCCTTTAGATTTTCCTTCTGGCATGGACAAAAGCGTCATTAATTATGAATATGAATTCCTTTGCAAAATGACAAGATTGAACATTTCCTCATGCCAGTAACCCAGCTGTCTCATTCTGATGTGCAACAAAGACTTTTTAGAGATTGTTTTTAATGGCCGTGGTATCAGACACTAAAAAATAAGAAGCTTAAAAGGAATGCAAAGTAGCTTACAGTTCATTCGTCTAGAAAAAAAGAAATAAAGAAAGGTTTTTGCTATCCTGTGGCTGTCTTTACTCTGATTGTACATTTGCAATCTCCAAGTTTTGGCCGTGGCTGCAAACCAAATGGTTGTGCTGCTCTGCTGTTGTCAGATACAAGATTCTATTTGTTCAGATGATCAGTATTTGAGAATCCTATGGCCCAGGTCACTTTTTCGGTCTCCTTGGTTTGATAATGGAAATGGGAGTGGTGTCAGAGCCCCCACCGCATGTGGGTACCGGCTTGTTATGGCCTCACCACCATCCACTTGGTAACTTCTCTTATTGACACTGGAAGAGGCTGCAACTGGGCTCTGATTCCAGAGCCTGGAGGCTTTTAACTGCTGTATTATGGGGTCTTGGTCCTGAGTGTGTCTGCTCAGCCATTGGTTGACCATGTCAGTAAGATGGTTTCTGATGTTTCCACCCGCCCTGTGTCTTGACAGATTTGCAGCCAGATTCAGATATGGCAGTGGGCTCCTTCGTGTTGGAAAGGTTGTGTTGTTCCACTCCGTCTGTCTGGATGCTTCCTAGGGCGTGTCCCACCTCTGGCCTCCAGTTGAGGTTTTCTAGTCTGGAGAGACACCTGTGTTTCTGAGTTCCTTTCCAGGGTGTCAGAGAAGCTGGCACTCTTGGAAATTCCCTACTAGGTTTGGATCCTTGCATGTACATATATCTGTATATATGTGTACATATCTATATGTGTATATACGTATATATCTATATATACATAAAGCTAGTATTTGATAGTGTACTGCAGGCTATTGTAAGACTTTGTTTCTGTTCACAATTCCTTGAATGAGGATTTTGGGGTCATTGTTTTTCTTCCATTTTTTAAATTTCATTTTTTTAAAATTGTGGGCTGCTTCCTTTTTAACCACATGTTAAACATTACACATTAAACGTTAAAACATTTGTGTATAAGAAACTTTTTTTCTTTTTTTTTTGCTTACTTTAAATGGAAGTGCTGTCACATTAAACATCAGGTTTAAATCACATGGAAATAAAATGGGGCCAGATAGTTGAATGTACTGTCATTTCACTACTTTAGGAAACATCAGGAGAGGAACCAAGATGGTCTGAAAAGGTCATAGACTGGGGAAGGAAGGGCTGGGATGACCATTTGTCAGCTTTCAAAAAGCAAGACAAAATGGTTATGCCTGGTTCAGATCCCAGCCATTTTTGTTTTCTTCAAGAAAGTGGTTAGAAATGTGTTTTGGTTTCAGAAAAGCCCTGGTTTTCTTTGATGTTTAGTATAAATTTGGCTTGAAATGCCATATTCCATCATTGTCATATGTAGGCATGTGCTTTTTGTGTGTGCTGTAAGGACAATGTCTACACTGGGTCATTTCCCTCCCCACCCAGTTCCCCTTCGTTGAAGTAGGAGCTGCTGTTTCAGTTAGCTGCCCTGAGCTGGCCTTGCAGTTAGCCACTGGCCCATTCAGCAGCCTGGTCTCCCCTTGCTGACTCCAGGCTTCCTTCTGCATCACGAGAGCCAAACCGGCCACTTTAGCCTCCTGTCTACTGTATTCTTACCCTGCAGGAATGGAGGCTGTAGGCTAGAGCCTGCCTGTTCCGTGAGGCTCAGATCCAAAGGCTTACTCTCCTGGAATGGGGCCTCTCTCCTGTCTCTGTGCCGCCCCTCACACCTGTGGCCTTGTGCACTGATGGATTATTTGCCCGAGGTGAAGAGGAAGCGTTGAAGGGATAGCCGTGTTAGTTTTGGATTCCAGCTACTTTGCTGCTGATGGTTGTGCAACCTCCAGGGACCTGCTATTTAGCAAATAGGGCCGAGCACAGCCTGGGGGAGGCTGCCGAAGATGGGGGTGGGCACAAGTTGATGACTAGTGTCCCCACCCCTGCTCTGACTTCACTTAAAGACAACCCCCAAAATGGCTTTAGCGTAAAATGGAAAAGATGGTAAATTATTCTGGCGTGAGGGCTACCCTGTTGTTAGAGTTAAGAAAGTGCATGGCTGCTGTTTAAGAACCTTTGATTTGAGTTGAATCCCAGCCTGCACTCTTTTTTGCAGTGTGACTTTTGGGAAGTTGCCTTAACCTCTGTGTACCTGTTTTCTCATCTGTAAATTGGATGTGATAACAGCACCTTTGTAGGCTGTGTGTGGAGTCTTTGAGAAGGTGTATAAAGAGCTTTCAGTGCCTGGTTCATAGTAGCCTTCAATCGTTAGCTTATATGAATCAGGAAAGCTAGTATTTATTAGCACATACAAATGTGTCAGGCACTATGCTCTGGGCTTCCTATCAATTATAGTAATCTTTATAGAAAGCAGTTTTGTTTTGTTTTATTTTGTTGAGACGGCATTTTTTTTGCTCTTGTCACTGAGGCTGGAGTGCAATGGCATGATCTCGGCTCACTGCAACCTCTGCCTCCCAGGTTCAAGCAATTCTCCTGCCTCAGCCTCCTGAGTAGCTGAGATTACAGGCACCTGCCACCACACCCGGCTAATTTTTGTATTTTTGGTAGAGATGGGGTTTCACCATGTTGGCCAGGCTGGTCTTGAACTCCTGACCTCAAGTTATGCACCCGCCTTGGCCTCCCAAAGTGCTGGGATTACAGGCATGAGCCACTGCGCCCAGCCAGGAGGCAGTTTTGAGAGAGATACTGTTGATTTAAACTAAACAGTGGTCATGTATTTCTATCATTGAAATATATTTGGGATGGTTACATTTTTATCGTGGATATTTAAAAAGACATACCTCAAAACAAAACAAAACAGAAACTGGGAATGGCATAGAAGCAGAACCTTTGCTGCTTGAAATAGCTCCTTCAGCATAAAACACATGTAGGAGTCCTGAGGTTGGCATTTCTCTCTGCCGCTGGGATGCTGAGTGGAAGATTTGTTACTTGAGTTCATCATTTGCTTTTTTTTTTTTTTTTTAAATGTCACAGCTTCTCTGTGTTGTTTTTGACTCCATAGACACATTTGTCTAAGGTTTTAAAAGTTCAGCTTTTCACTTAGGAGGAAGCTGAGCTCTGTAATTTTCCTTTTTGCATCTGACACTAGGACATTGGAGTCTCTTTCATGCTGGGGGACCCTCTCTACTCTGGGCTATACCACTTAATCCTCAGGTGGCCCTGAACAGATTATTAACTTGCTTAAAGGTGGTTAAGGAGCTCCTCTCCTGCGGTCTAAAGAAATCCCCACTCTGGCCAGGAGGGTCTTGGTGACCTTGCCGAACCATCCTCCCCTAGGAGTAGAGACTGGGGTAACATAAAATGCAGAGAAGCAATGACCTCAAAGCAGCTGGGTAGATGTGACAGCTCCTCAAAGCCTTACCTGTTTTGCCTAAGAGGAGTGTCCTTCATTCGTACCTATAGAAACACTACTTGGCAACAGTGAATGTTCTCTGACACATGTAATAGGTTGTTAAGTTTCTCTATTTAGAGTCCATTGGTAGTCAAGACCACCTGGGTGCTGTTTGCAAGACATAACTATCATGGAAGTATTTAATACTATACTATTGGTATAGCAGGTACATGATATGCTATTAGTGCTGTAGAAATGTTATGTTAGAGACGGGAACCTGAAGCCCCTCCTTGTGGCACATAGACAACCTTTGTTTTTTCCTATAATCCTTTCCACCTTTTCCTTGGGGTAATGCCCCTCCAAGTGTGCTCTCCCCTGGGACTCAGCTGCCTAGGCCTTCCTTCTTAGCCACTGTTAGCTGAGAGCAGAGGCAGCAGCTCTGGCTGGCAGTGGCCCCTGGAGCTTTGACATCTGGAGGGGATGAGGACCCCGTTCGGATGACTCCTGCCCTTCCCTACCCAGGCTGTTTGACTCTTGATCTCGCCTAGTACTTTTTCTCAATATCTAATTCCTGAGCCTGCGATTGAGTTGTCCTGCTTGGACACAGCCCTTGTGTTCCACATGTGTGGTCTGATCCAGTGACAAAGAAGTTGCCATTTAAACATCTCATCTTGAAGAACCATTCTGCCTTTCATGCTTCATGTATTGAACACTGAAACTGATAGGAGTCTTAGCTTTCCCTGTGTGTTTCCAAGGGTTTAATACATACATAATGATCAAGAGAACCTGATTTAACATTTTGCTCACCCTAGTATTAAAAAAAAAAATTCTGGAGAAGGTAATAAAGACTAAGTTTAAAGAATGTCTTGGCAGTTGTTAAAGGAAATTTTAATTAAATCCCAAAATAGTGGGTACATGAGAATAATTCCATTTGAGGGTAACTGTTGGGTGTCCTCATTAAAGCCTATACAATGCATCGTATGAATTTTCTCCTGTTGAAGAGTTAGGCAGCTTTCTATGCTGTTTCTCCTAGACCTTGTTGCAAATGCATGCGAAATTTTGAGATTCCCATATACTATAAGTCTTGTGTTGGCATTTTCTGAAGTTCATTTTGGGCATGGATAGGGAAGGTTATGAGTCAGGTGACAGGAGTTTCCATATCACATCCACATTTGACCATATGGCAGTTTGTTCCTTGGTCTAGCCAACATGCTCTGAACATGTTCCACAGAGGACTGGGCTGGCTTCTTAGAAGGGCTCTAGAAGCAGATCAGGCAAGGATTTTGGCCCAGTGGGGCCAACTGTCCAGAATGGAAGACCGTGCATGCACCTTAATATGTATAACTTTCTAAAAGTCCTAATATTTGAGCCTCACTCTCAGGTAGACTGTTTTACTGATCCGAGATGGGACTTGGGCATCAGTATGTTCTAAAGCTTCCAAGTTGAGTCTAAGTATAGCCAGAATTAGATACCACTGCCTAGACCACGAGCATTGGAGGGTGATAACACAAGACCCTTGTGAATTTTCAAATGCTAAGCAGCCACTACAGTGTGCGACTGCAGTGAGGATGGTCATACCTACCTATTAGAGCAGTTGCAAGGATTAAATAAAACCTTTGGTTAAATGAAGAGAACAAACCCAAGTTGAGATGCCAGCACTAGGCTTGGCTTACTTCTTAGCTAAAGGACTTGCCCTCACAAAACAACCTTGCCTCCTCTAGGATTCGGATCTTGTCTTGGCCAAACCGTAAATTAGCACTTGCTGTGGACCAGAGAACTTCTGAATAGCGCCAACCATGAGAGTTTAAGCCTTCGAATGCCAAGGATCTCCTGAATTCATGCTCCAGAGCTACTCCCAGACTTACAGGTTAAAGTGGAACTGGTAGTGGGGAAAGTAAAGAAGGGATAGGTGTTTTATAGTCGAAGGAGCATGTTAGGCATGCCTGTGTGTTTCTGCTGAAAATAGCTAACGAATTGGTCTGCAGGTTCCGTGATGGTAGAGACTGGGTCTACCTTGTTCATCTTTGTGCTCTTGCAGCCCAGTACACTGTAGTAGTAAAACCTTTGTTGAATGAGAGGATGAATTAGGGCCTACCAGGCTGATAGGGCTTGGCTGTGTCCCCACCCAAATCTCATCTTGAACTGTAGCTCCTATAATCCTTACGAGTTGTGGGAGGGACCTGGTGGGAGGTAACTGAATCACAAGGGTGGGTTTTCCTGTGCTGTTCTTGTGATAGTGAATAAGTCTCACAAGATCTGATGGTTTGATAAAGGGCAGTTCCTCTGTACACGCTCTTTTGCCTGCCGCCATGTAAGACGTACCTTTGCTCTTCCTTTGCCTTCTGCCATGATTGCAAGGCCTCCCCAGCCATGTGGAACTGTGAGTCCATTAAATCTCTTTTTCTTTATAAATTACCCAGTCTCGGGTATTTCTTCATAGCAGTATGAAAATGGACTAATACACAGACCCTGCACTCAAGTGGTGGGGCTATTTGAGAAGGATGTTTTTAGGTCTCCTCTTAACTGGATAGAGAATTTGGAGAGGCTGATTAGTGTTCCCCAGGTCTCAGAGCTAAAGAGCAGAACCAGGATCTTAAGTCTGGAATTATTCCTGTGATACTATGCCAGCTTCCTTGCCATAAATATGTATACTATCCACTGGCCAAACTCATCTCTAAAATGCATTCAGTGGATGAAAGGGGATCAGCTGAGATCATGGTTTGGGAGGGATCAGTCTCAATTTGTCACCTTCATACTGAAGCTATAACACTAAAATCTCTCGGGGATCAAAATGTTTGGGGGAAAAGATATATTTTGATGTCCTTTCTTTCTGGCAGCATGACCAGTACTAGACACGTTAGAGGCATCTAGTGAGTACTTACTGATTTGATTCAGAAAATAGGAGTAACTATGCTTGAATTTCTTTTATCAAAGAGAAAGGAATGAAACATTTAACTTTTAGCAGTAAGCAAGCATATTTTAAAATTTGTGGTCCTCTGCCAACAGGTGACTAAAGGACTCTTTAAATTTTCTTGAGATTCACAGAACAGGGGTAGGTATTTTCTTTCTGAAATATGCTGTTGTAATGTCCTTGCCTTGTTCTTTTCCGGTTTATGCAGAACTTTAAACCTCCCTCCCCTATAAATAAAGAAAAAAACCAGATACACCATATCCTAAAAAGTTAGCATCCATGATTTAAAGAAGGGGTAGGCAGACTACAGCCTCTGGGCCAAATGCAGCCTGCTATTGGCCCATGAGCTAAGAATGACTATTAAAGAGTTGGGGAAAAAAATGAAAACAGTAATGTTTTGTGACATGCAAAAATGGTATGAATTTCAAATGTAAGAGTGCATCCCTAAAGTTTTATGGGAACACAGCCCATTCATTTGGGTTTTGTCTGTGGTTACTTTTATGCTACAGTGGCATAGGTGAGTAGTCACAGCAGAGACCAAAGGGCCCTCAAAGCCTGACATGTTTACTAAATGACCTTTCCTGGCAGAATGTCCCTGATTTCACTTTAAAGCAAAGTACCCTTGGGAGGGAAGGGCTAGGGGTGTGGAGGTAGAGGTAGAAAATATATTTCCTCTTACCTTTTCCTTGCCTTTGGTAAAATTTAAGTGTTCAAGATTAATCTTAAAAAAAATTTTCTCCCTGCCTCCTCCTGATTTGTGTACCCCTGAACTGAGGGTCTTGATTGGGGAAGACAAAAGAGAGAAATGAACAATTGGTGATCGTGGAGACCATGAGAAGGAGGACTTTGGTATCATTCCAGCCAGAGAATTTGTAGGCTTAGCACTCCCTTTTTTTTCTGTGTGCCTTTAAAATTCTCAATAGTCCAATTTTGTTATTTTTTGCATCACATGGGGAACACAGTATGAGAATGTTCATCTGACTGACTTTATTATGTATACAATGACGAGTATTGGACATGACACAATGCACAGTGCCAAGTCCTTTTCATCAGCGTGTGTTTTGTGCCCGTGGCTGGCTGATTGATGGGACTGGGTCTGGCAGGCCTGGCTCCTAAGGTGAGATTGCATTTTGCCCCTTCAAGTAACCTACTGTGATTGCACTCGCTTTATACTGAATTTGAAGCCCCAAACCTTGGATTAAAAAAGAATTCAAGGGAACGGAGACCTTTTCACTTGATACTTGAAGATTCTTAACACCTAGAGGGAGTTGAGACTCTTTGTTTTGCTGAGAAGTTGTCTTGGAAGCAGTGACAATATTGATGTTGACAACATTAGCCTCTCCATTACCTGAGTTTAGATTTGAGCACGTTCTTTCATTTGCCCAGACCTGTAGCAGAGCAGCAGAAGGCTGGCCAGGTTGCCTCACATTTGCGTCTGTCCACATGAGGTTTTGAGCTCAGAGTCTTTGGATGGTCGTGAGATCTTGACTTGATAAAAATGGCTCTGTTCAAAGAAAGGTCTGAGTGTTCTGGTCACTAAATTAGATGGCAAAGATTTGGAGATGAAGAGCTTTGCTTTGGTCTTTCCTGTATCATTTTTCTTTCCATGTCCCTGCAGTGTCTTTACTTTTTAAAGAATTTAATCTTTAATACCATCTTTGCATTTTCCATGCATGTTAGGAATAATGTCCAGTTTTGAGACAGTCCTGTTACACATTCTGAGTTATGATTAATTTTTAAAAATCAAATTATTAATCAATACCTTTTTATTCCTTCACAAACGCTTCATGTGCCCGACTTAGCCTTAGAAGTTCTTCATTGTTTTTCTTATTATAAAAGTGGGGTGGGATTAGAAAGTGATGGCTTAATGAGGAAGGAAGCACAGCTCAAATGCCATTCATATGACCAGGGTCTACCTCACATACTTGTTAGAATGAAATGTGAAAGTGCCTTAAAAGACGTCACCTGCTACATGAATGTCTACCGCAACATTATTCGTGATAACCAAAAGGCGGAAACATCTCAGCTGCCCATTACTGGATGAATGGATAAACAAATTGCGGTATGTACATAATGGAATATTATTCAACCGTAAAAAGGGACGAAGTGCAGATGCTACAACTTGGATGAACCTCAAACGTGTTAGTGAAAGTCAAGAGACAAGAGGTCTCATATCATATAATTCCACTTATGGGGAATGCTCAGGATAGGTAAATCCATAGAGATAGGAAGCAGTTTCCAGGTTGCCAGAGGTTGGTGAGAGTAGGGAATGGGGAATGACTGCTTAGTGGCCATGGGGGTTTATTTTGGGGCACTGAAAATGTTTTTGAACTAGGTAGAGGTGGTCATTACTCACATTGTGAATGCACTGAACGCTTCTGAATCGTTCACTTCAAAGTGATTTTGTCTTATGTCAATTTCACTTCAAAATATAAAACACACACATGCATAATCTGCATCAATGTCACTATATATGGTACACCCTATTCATCACCAGGACCTGTCAGCCTGGATGTACTTGGTCCCCAACCCTGTGTCAGAGGGAGAACCAAACACACCTTTACACATAGGGGACCCGAACAGAGCTCAAGGGCAATGGAACTTGCTCAAGGCCAAGTCATTGGGAAGTGACAGTTGTAGGACTGGCTCTTGGGTTTTCCTGTTTTCTATGCATCTTTATTCATTATTTCTACATGGTGTTTGCTGGCAGGGGAGGCTGACACATTGGGTAGACTAGTGAAAGATCAGTGTTCCTCAAGAAGCTTCTATTCTGCCCCTCGGAGGGCAGTCAAAGCTCCTCCACATACCTGCTGTGAAGCGGAGGCTAGCTCAGCCTTGTTGTTTCCTGACTTCTTGGAGCTGGCTTTCTCTGTTTGAAAACAGAAAGAGCAAGAATGTTAAGAGGGCCGGACATGGTGGCTCATGCCTGTAATCCCAGCATTTTGGGAGGCTGAGGTGGGTGGATCACCTGATGTCCAGAGTTTGAGACCAGCCAGGCCAACATGGTAAAACCCCGTCTCTACTAGAAATACAAAAATTAACCAGGCATGGTGACATGCGCCTGTAATCCCAGCTAACTGGGAGGCTGAGGCAGGAGAATTGATTGAACCTGGGAAGCAGAGGTTGCAGTGCGTTGAGAGTGCCACTGCACTCCAACTCAGGTGGCAGAGCAAGACTCTGACTCAAAAAAAAAAGAATGATAAGAGGACTTACCTCATAGGATTTTTGGGAGTTTTTAACCAGATTGTGCAGTGCCTGGGAGAGGTTTAATAAATGTAATCTGGCCGGGCGTGGTGGCTTCTGCCTATAATTCCAGCACTTTGGGAGGCCGAGGGGGGCGGATCCCTGCGGCCAGGAGTTTGAGACCAGCCTAGCCAACATGGCAAAACCCTGTCTTTACTAAAAATATAAGAATAACCAGGTATGGTGATGTGTGCCTATAATCCCAGGTACTTGGGAGGCTGAGACAGGAGAATTGCTTGCACCAGGAGGCGGACCAAGTACATCAAGGCTGACAGCTCCTGGCGATGCGTGGGGTGTACCATATATAGTGACGCTGATGCAGATTATGCATATTTTATAATTGAAGTGTTTTTTATAATTGAAGTGGAATTGACATAAGAGAAAATTAATCATTTTAAAGTGAGTAATTCAGTGACATTTAGTGCATTCATAATGTGGGGTAATGACCACCTCTACCAATTCAAAACCTAGTTGCAGTGAGCCGAGATTGTGGCACTGCACTCCAGCCTGGGCGACCGAGTGAGGCTCCATCTCAAAAAATAAAAAAATAAAATAATATATTCTGTACCTGCCCCTTAGACAGTCTGGTTCATTAAGTTTCTTGGAAAGGTTCAGGGAAGAGCCTTGTGCCCTCCGAGGTGACCGGGTGAGATGTGGTTTGGAGCCCCTTCCACCCTGGATCATGCTGCAGCTTGGATCATTGACCCTGTCTCCTGCTCTCTGAGGAAGAGGACCCTTCCTGTGTCTGGAGCAAGGGCCATGGATTTCACAGTTGGGTGGCACTGACAAAGCTGCAAAGGCTCGATGGCTTTATTAGCAACTCACCTTGTGCCATTTTTCAGGTAGATCTGGCTGTTGGTTCCATGAAATATGGGCACGTTGGTGAAATACTCTTAGGCTTCTAAAAAAGAGAAAGGAAAAAAAAGAAATAGTGCTTTCCTCTGCTCGACACACCACAGTTCCAGCTTCAGGATGCCCTAACACAAGGCAAGAGAAACGTGCAGCTTTGAATCTGGGTCTCCTTCTCTTCTTGTAGTAACATAAATTGACGCGGCCCATCTGTGCTGCTTCAGAACAAACAAGAATGAAGTCATGGTGCTTAAAATAGCACAGGGTGGAGTGGCTGAGAGCAACTCTCACTCTTCCACCTCCCCTGGGGACTTTCACGCAGGGTTTTGGAATGGTGGCTGTGGGTTCGGTTCCCTTGGCACCACATCTGGGTCATGCATGTGCTTGTGACCAGCTTTTACTCCACGTGCAGGCAGTACTCTTAAAGAGTGATTTTTTTTTTTTTTTTTGTGAGACAGAGTCTTGCTCTGTCACCCAGGCTGGAGTACAGTGGTGCGATCTAGGCTCACTGCAACCTCCACCTCCCGGGTTCAAGCGATTCTCCTGCCTTAGCCTCCCGAGTAGCTGGGATTACAGGCGCCTGCTACCATTCCCAGCTAAGGAGTGATTTTCTCTGAGAGGGACATTTGCTGTGAAAGTGAGTGTGGTCTCTTATTTAATGTTATGTGGCTTTCCCTTCTTCATATCTCCTGTGCTGTCATTATGTGTTTCAGGGCCACTTTAAAACACAGCTCACCTTCCTAACATAGTGCACTAGTCCAGCGAGAACATCCAGAAACTTCATTTGCAAGCTTGGGGTTACCCTGAAGGAAATCCTCATGGCTTGCAAGATTCAGTTCCTGGGGCTTGGCTCTCTTTCCTGGACAATAAATGAGAGGTCTCATTTCTTCTTCATCATGCCCTTTTTCTTTCTCCATATATATGTGTGCATGTGTGTGTGTGCATGTGTGTGTGTATGCATGTGTGTGTGTGCATATGTGTGTGTGTGCATGCATGTGTGTGTGTGCATGTGTGTATTTATTTTAGGATGGGGTGTTGCTGTGTTTCCCAGGCTGAAATGCAGTGGCACAATCTCAGCTCACTGCAGCCTTGCCTTTCCTGGCTCAACAGATCCTCCCACCTCAGCTTCCCAAGTAGCTGGGACTATGGGTGCATGCCACCACACCCAGCTATTTTTTTTTAAATTATTTTGTAGAGATGAGGTTTCATCATGTTATCCAGGGTGGTCTCAAATTCCTGGGTTCAAGCAATCCTCCCACCTTGGCCTCTCAGAGTGCTGGGATTACATGCATGAGCCACCATGCCCAGCCCTTTCCTTCCCATTTTTCTTTTTTTTTTTTGAGGCAGAGTCTTGCTCTGTTGCCCAGGCTGGAGTGCAGTGGTATGATCTTGGCTCACTGCAACCTCCATCTCCCGGGTTCAAGCGATTCTCCTGCTTCAGCCTCCCAAGTACCTGGGATTGTAGGCACATGCCACCACACCCAGCTAATTTTTGTATTTTTGGTAGAGATGGGGTTTCACAATGTTGGGCAGGCTGGTCTTGAACTCCTGACCTCAAGTCATCCACCCGCCTTGGCCTCCCAAAGTGTTGGGATTACAGGCATGAGCCACTGCACCTGGCCCCTTCTCCATATTTTTAAGTGAACAAAAATAATATTAATGTGTTAACACTGTCTTTGTATGTTTTATAGTCTGGATGTATCTTATTACTTCATAAATGCTGAAAAAATTACATTCTTAATTAGTATTCCTTCAGAAATTATGAAGCTGCATTCCAACTGATATCTCTGTGGATGTAGCTGCTGGATTTTTCTTAAAACTTTCACAGAGTATTACTTGCTATGCATGGAAACATGCACCCTTTATGTGAGTTTGTGAGTTGCATTGGTTGGGAAATTTCCTGATGGTCACTGAATATGGCAAAAATTGAGCTTTTGCCTTGCCTGCACAAATAGTATTGATCATAGTGTGTTTATGGACAGAGACTCTCAATCTCTTCTCCTTATTTTGATAAAGGAAATGGATGTTGATCATGGTATGTGTTTCCTGGGGCAGAATGCTGTGTTCTTAATGAAGACACCTCTTATATAAGAGGCGTCTGGTGTTGTTCTGTTGTCAAGATGAAGTCAGGTGTCCAGTAACCACTGTTTGCAAACTTGTATCAGGACATCTTGAACTAATTTGCTGTTGCCATGAATCCTTCTCCAATGTTTGAGCCACCCAGTGGGAATAGGAATGTCCTGGAACACTCTGTCTCCACTTTGGTCATCTTCAGAAAAGTTATCTTTCCTTTAGAGAAACTTTGGGGGTTGCTGTGCACGCCATGCAATTTTAGAGTAGAAGGCAGCCAGGAGGGCGAGACTAGTGAAGGGGGCTTCGTGAGAAAGTCGTGACTTTCCTGGCCCTTGAGGACTTGGCAAGTGGGTGGAAAGAGGGAGGACAGTCTAGCAAGAGGGGCCCCATCATTCGAGGTATGGTGTCCAGCTTGGTACCCATGCATGACTGTGAGGAGACAGGTCTCTGGAGTGGAGAACGGGGGTAGAAGCAATGGGAGAAAGAAGGTTGGTGCGGGTCATGAGGTCAGGTGAGGATTTGATTCTGGAGGAGGGCTCAGTGGGAAAATTTTGGAGGTCAGAAATCTTATGGGGAGAAAAGTATTTGAGGGAGCCTAGCCTGTCATGGTGGATGTGGAAGGGAGGTCAGTTTAGAAAGGCAGTGGTTGGAGCAATCTACCCCAATGAGCTTATTGGCATTGGCATGCAAAGGCTTTTCAGGAAAAAAAGAAAAAGAAAAAAGAAAAATGTTCTAGAAGATCATAGCCATGATCTTGATGGCTTCATCAGGACTAATCACTATGGAAAATTAAGGATGCCCATTTCTTATATTTAATGCGGTAGCTGTGTTTTCTTTTGGTTGACCTGGCCTTTTGGCACTCCTGGGCTCTGTATCTTAAGCCATTTTAGAGAAATTATTTGATGTCCTCAGAGGGAGGAGAATGCTAAAACCACCTCTTTTAATCTGCGGTCTCTGGACTTTTCCTCTTTAACCACTTTGGAGACGGGATGAATTGGTTTCTTAGTAATTAAGAGCCAGGAGCTCTTTTTATTGCTTGTCCTTAACCTCTGACTTCACTGCCCCAGTCTAAACATCCAAATGAGATGATGTTATGAAAGCTCTTGGTAAGCCCTAGGGTGCTGTACAAATGGTGTTTATCTGAAGCTCACTTCCTTGCTTTTAGTCATGTTGCTGAAATGATCAATCCTAAGTGTATCATGTTTGCTGAGCTCATACATACATTTGTATTTAAATTTGTAGCTTTTTATTGATTTTCGAGACTCCTTTGCAAGTACGACGACGTCAGGAGTCCCTAACCATACCTGCCAGGCTGTGTGGGGTGCCGCCAGGCTGTGTGGGGTGCCGCCAGGCTGTGTGGGGTGCCGCCAGGCTGTGTGGGGTGCCGCCCGCCTGAGTGTAATCTCCTTTGCCACCACTAGTCCCTTTTGTTTGTTCAACCATATTGGCCAAATTCCTTTCCATCCCAGGATCACAATATTTGCTGTTCCCTCTGTTTGGTTGCTCTTCTGCAGATCTTTGTGTGGTTTCAGCTCAAATATAACCTCAGGAGGGCCTTTTCTGACCGCCCAGCAAAAATACCCCATCCTCCTCCCACTGCACACCCCATTTATCCTTTCTGTTCCTTGGCAGTGTTTTATGGCACTTAGAATTCTATGAAATTCTTATTTGTTTTCATGACCTGTTTTGCCTGTTTCCACCCTCCCACTAGCATGTAGGCTCCATGAGGGCAGCACTTTGTCTTGTGTTCTCTGTATCCACAGTACCTGGCGCTCAGTAAATATTTATTGAGTGAATGAAATGAATAAGAAGTTTACATGAATGAATGTTAAAATAGCCTGTGCTTGCAGACACATCCTACTGCAGAGATATTTGGATGCTATTAGTAGAGCAGGAGCAAGACGCGCGTACCATCTGCCTTTATCTAGTGTAGGGAGATTCCTCTAGTGTTCTGTAGCTATCCACTTTCTTTTACCAGTACTAAACTCAAAAGAGTAAACATTAACTTTGCTTAGCCAAATGAAACCAGCAGATTTTAGCACATGATCTATAAAGGTCATTGCTTTGCTTTGTGTCCCTGAATGTATATAGACAAAGACACTGAATGTTAGTAGAAAGCAGCCAGAAATATGTAGGTCACTGTCTTTGACTCATTTTTGGCTGGAACCTTCTGCAGTGGTCCTACAAAACAAACCCCAAAATAAACAAAACTACCTTCAATATATTCACTAGCCAGCTCTCTTGTTTGCCCCAAGTCCAAGAAATCTGGCCTTCATCTAAAGGAACTGTTTTCTTACTTAGGATGTCAATCATTAAAAGTGTTCATTTCATGTTTGGAGTGAGCTGTACTGTAAATGCTGGGCTGTGTGGTTGTATCAGTTTGTGCAAACAGTAGGAGCCAAGGACGTTTTATTCACCCCTGAGTTAGCATCATTTGTCACACTATCTCAGCGGAGCGAGACGGTGGACACCTACACAGTTTCTCAGGCTGTGCTTTCTACTAATTGTTTGTTTAATTAGAAAATGAGTAATTATTTATCCAGAAAATAGAATCCAAAACCGTGGGGCTGAAATCTTCTCTAATTGCACCATGTGATCATGCTTTTCTGAGGATTGTATTTTTGGTGTGTGTAGGTGGTAGGGGAGTCTTATTTTGTGGCTGGTGTTTACTGAGAGATCCATCTTTTGCTCAGCACCTCAAGTGGAACAAAATGAAGTCAGTGGCAATCAACCTGCTTTGTAAAAAAGTTTAAAAGCCAGGTACAATCAGAATATCTGTCTAAACAGTGAGGTTTGTATTCATTCAATAGCTTTGGGGACCTGCTACATGTAGGACATCATTGAAGGTAAACTAATGTGTGGGAAAGGGCCCCTGTGTACAAGAAGGTGGTAATGGTGGTTTGCACTTCACGGGAACAAAGGGAGTCAAACCTTGACAAGCTTTGTGGAATTTGCTGGGCAAAAGCTTGTTTGGGGTGAGATCCTGTCGATATAGCTAAGAATGGAGTTTGGGTTCTGGGTATAGGTCAGCTTTTTGATGGGTGACCAAACACACTGAGGTCTTCATTGTGGCTAACTGCTGATGCCGTTTCATCTTTCTTTTCTGGTCCCGTTCAGAGGTATGAATTTTCCCTTCCTAATAGCCGAGTCTGGCATGCTGTCGAAGAGTGTCACGGGTAGGTGCTAAGTTGACCTTGTAGGTCTGTTTTCCATCCTGACACAAAGGGGCTACTGGGAAGTTTTTAGCCAGCTATGATGACAGGGAGGGAGGAGTTCACCTGTGGACCTGGTAGGGGCATGAACGAGAAAGGCGGGTTTTCAAACGGAGCTAGGACAGGATGAATTCCTGCCGTAGATGTGAGCTGAGGTATGGAAACCTGGCTTTGTCTGTCTGTTGGATGAAGCAGATCTGGTGACACCTCCTGTCCACAGCATCACTCTCCATGAACACACATTGGTAGGGTTAGGGCCTGAACAAAACATGCCTAACAAGACAGGGCACGTGGAACTGATTGTGCCTGTGAGAAAACAAAAAGCGAATCACCACCTTCCTACAGCCCACACGTGTGGCCGCTTGCGCTGTGTCCTCCTCAGTTGCTGGCCGGGCCTGTTGGCATCTTGGTTTTAGAGCCCAGCGGTGGAGGTGAAAGCCTTGGAGACTTTTTTTGTTTTTGTTTTGAGACAGGGTGGCGTCCCCCAGGCTGGAGTGCAGTGGCGCGATCATGGCTCACTGCAGCCTTGACCCTCTGAACTCAGGTGATCTTCCCACCTCAGTGGTCCCCCAGACCCCTGCCCTAGTAGCTGGGACTACAGGCCCACACCACCATGTCTGGCTAATTTTTTTTTATAGAGAAAGGGTCTCGCCATATTGCCCAGGCTGGTCTTGAACTCCTGGGCTCAAGCAATCCTCCCACCCTGGCCTCCCAAAGTGTTGGGATTATAGGTGTGAGCCACTGTGCCTGGCCGCTTGGAGACTTTGAATCTTAGCTCGGAGTGCAGTAGCTGTGTGACCTTGCCAACTGCAGATGCTTTTTAAGTCCCAGTTTCCTCACATGTCTGAAATGATAATAATACCTCCTCCCGGAGTTGTTGTTATTTATTTATTTTTTATTTTTTGAGACGGAGTTTCGCTTCTGTTGCCCAGGCTGGAGTGCAATGGTGTGATCTCAGCTCACCACAACCTTTGCTTCCCGGGTTCAAGCAATTCTCCTGCCTCAGCCTCCTGAGTAGCTGGGATTACAGGCATGCACCACCATGCCCGGCTAATTTTGTATTTTTAGTAGAGATGGGGTTTATCCATGTTGGTCAGGATGGTCTCAAACTCCCAACCTCAGGTGATCCACCCGCCTCGGCCTCCCGAAGTGCTGGGATTACAGGCATGAGCCACCACGCCCGGCCTATTGTTATTTTTTTTTTGTGGTAAAATATATGTAACATCAAAGTTACCATTTTAACCATTTCTGTCTTGGCCTTCTCTCAGAAACATGTCGCGCTTTCACAGTTGCCCTGAGAGGGTGCCAGAATCCATGCACAGCCCCAGGCCTGGTCCCCTGGTGAGCTCTGCATCCTCTGGGGAGAGCGCCTCCCCATGAGGGTCATGCCTTCTCCTCAAACTCACCATCTCAAATCAAATCCTAAGATGGGGGGAAACCCAGGGCGTGGCCATCTCCTCTCCCCTCCACCTGAATCCCAGCCTGCTTCTTAGATCTGTTCTTCTTTTCTTTTTATATAACTAGTGAGACTAGATTTGTCTTGGGTTCATTTGAACCTTTCCCTGCTTCTTAAATGGGAATTTTAATTTCTGTCCTTATTCCCGCTGGCTTCTTCAACTCTCCCCCTAAACTCCTCCATTGACCTCCTCCTCTCCCTACTGCTGATGGATTTTCTTTCCTTAGTTCAGATCTGATCACCCCTCTTCCCTCTTTGAAAACTCCCCAGGACCCCCATTAATGGTCACATGATAAAGCTCACTATCTGCCAACTGGTATGCTAACCCTCGGCCAGCTGGGCTCACTCTGCGCTGATGACCCCTCCTCATTCTCCCTCCACCCTCCCTATCCCATGACCAACACCCTATCACAGGGGCCCTTCATCTTTTTGGACCTCAGACCCCTTCAAGGAACAGACAGCTATGGACTGCCTCCCTAGAAAGGTACATAGTCACTCAGTTTTCCATTCAGTTTCAAGGGGTCTGTGGATCCCGGTGGCGAACTTAGCCGGATGCCCATGCTAGACCATGCATTCTAAGCCTCTTTGTCGTGGCTTGTGCCATTTTCTCTTATATCTTTGTTCCTTTGTCTTTGTTCCTGTGTTTCCATCAGTATTTTTCTTCAGTGCACTTTCCTGTCAGAGTTAATTTTTCCCTCTATCGTGCTTGTACAGCACATTACCAGAACATCTATTTAGCATTTGTATTAGAGTTGATAGTTTGCATGGCTGCCTTGCCCTTGTGTTCCTGAGCACAGTGCCTTGCATGTGTTATACACACAGTCATGTGTCCATTTATTCATTGATTCAACAGTTTCTTAAGCTCTTGTGAGCTAGCCACAGTGCTTGTCCTGGGGCTGTGCTAGGAAATATGATCCAGTCCCCACCCCAGGGAGATCAGTTTAATGGAGACTGTAAACAGATAAGCAGAATGTTATCATGCAGTGAGACTATTGAACATTTACTGTGTGCTGGGTGCTAATGAGCACATTGTATTAATATGTGTGTTGTCTCTGAATTCTCACAACAGCTTTGTGAAATAGGGTCTAATATTTTATGGATGAAACAATGGAGACCACAGCTAGGTTAAGTAACTTGCCCAAAATCGTGAGACTCATCAGCAGTAGAGTGGAACTTCAACACTGTAGACTGTCTCTGGGGGCCAGATTTTTTTTTTTTTTTTTTTGAGAAGGAGTTTCACTCGTATTGCCCAGGCTGGAGTGCAATGGCACAATCTCAGCTCACCACAACCTCCGCCTCCGGGGTTCAAGTGATTCTCCTGCCTCAGCCTCCTGAGTAGCTTGGATTACAGGCATGCGCCACCACGCCTGGCTAATTTTGTATTTTTAGTAGAGACGGGGTTTCTCCATGTTGGTCAGGATGGTCTCGAACTCCCAACCTCAGGTGATCCACCCGCCTCGGCCTCCCAAAGTGCTGGGATTACAGGCATGAGCCACTGTGCCCGGCCTTGGGGGCCAGATTTTTTTTATAGCTAGGCTGTCTGAGATCAGCCTGGCCAAGCCAGGGCCCTGTGAGAGGCCAGGAGAAAGAAGAGAGGAGAAAAGCCAGGTGGAAATCACCAAAGTCTTCCTGGAAGAGTATGAAGAATTGGGATGAAGACAAAGTAACCAGGGGCCCAAAGGTGAGACTGAGCGAGTGGGTGAACTGTGGATGAAATGTTACGAACTCAGGTCTGCGGAGATGGAAAAAGGAGAGAAGGCAGTGCCCACGGAATGAATCGAAGAGAAAAATAGAATTAGTCACTGAACAGATTATCGAATTGAGCAAATCTTTAAAGAATTCCAAAGATAGAAATGTCTTGGACACAGCAGGACTAATTTTTGTTTCAACATTGGAAGGCAGCCCTGCTTCTTATTATAGACATGTTCAAATAGTTTAAGTGCTGGTTACTGACCAGATTATCTGGTACAAACATTTATATTACAGCAAGTTACTTACCCTCTCCAAGCTTAGTGTTCATATGAATAAGATGGGGATAAAAAAAATGCTTATTTCCTCAAATCCAAGAACTATCAATTTAGTTGTACCTTTAGTTTATGTAGCACTAAGGAAAAAAAAAATCCTGCCAACTAAAATATGAAATGCCTTTCAGAGTTGTTAACATGTCGGGGGGAAAGAATGAACTGTAAAATGGATTCTAGGATTGGTCTTAGAAACAATGAAATAGAATAGTCTACTTCCTAGTGTTACTGTGAACAGTGCCAGATGTGTAGCAGTTGCTCACTGTATTTGATGATGAGGATGGTGGTGGTGACGGTGGTAGTGTTTGTGTAGAAGGAAACAGGCCTGGAGGCTGAAGCAACTATGACTTGATGTAAGCAAAAGCTACTAGTCAAGTGCTCTCGTTGCGGATTTTGCTATTTTAGAGTAGAGGGGTCTCCTGACACACAAGAGCCCTGTTGCCTGCAATTCTATGTTACCAGAGGCTGTGAGTGTGTATGCTTTTAGGTATAATATGACCAAGTGGTCATATGCCTATTTAAAACCTAAGGGGAAATGAAGGGCTCAATTTTAGAGTGTGGCTTCTAATCTTGTGTGCTCCTAAACTCTGGTCTACATACTCCCAACGATTAAAGAGACATTTTGCAACCTGAAATGGTTGGGTTCAGACTAGAATGCTTGGGTGCTACCAAATTAAAGGCCAGTAGGAAGCTACTTGGAGAAGCAGCCTCTGGCACTGTGGTAGAGGAGCATTTATCTAGAGACGGGCCTCGCTGGAAGGAGATAGCCACGCCTGTGTCTCAGGAGACTTTAATTAGGGCCATTGGCTTGGCTGCCCCATGATGACAGGTTGAACTTACGCCTGTGGTTCTAAGTCATGAAACCACCCCTGGGAACAGCCCAGCAGAACCATGGGTGGCACCTCCAAGGACTGGAGAGGGGGTAGCCCTGCAGGCGCTGGCTTCTGCCTGCTGGCTTCCAGCTGCTCCCTCCTGGGGTTCCCCACCTGGACCTCACCTGCTTCTCCTGCTGAAGTGTCTTCTCACCGACCTGGGCACAGGTTACTTCTGTGCTGTGCTTTGCTTTATTTCTCCTTTGTCTGCAGACACCACTGGGCCAGCACCAGTCCATCCCGGGTTTTTAGACTCGAACTGAGGTGTCATCTCCTGAGGAGCCCCTGTGATCTGCGCTCCTCTCTGTGCTCCGTGATGCCCTAGGCTTCTCTCTGTCATGGCGTTTCCTGTCCTAACTTTCTGTCTATGTGTGTGTCTCTGCCCTCCTTGAGGAATGGGACCACGTCTTACTCATCTTTGTATTCACTGTGCTTTTCCTGTAGGAGGCCATTTACAAAAGGACACGGGAATGGACAGAGGGGCAAAATATCGAAAGCTGATATTTGGAGGGTCTGCAGAGGAGGTGGGAGGAGGATGGCTTTTCTAAGTATCCTCAGGAATAAGGAGCCACATATGCAGGGGAGCCAAGAAAGGGAAAAGGAAAATTTACAGAATCTATTGCTTTAAAGAGTGTGGGGAGAAAGGGGAGGTGGGACGGTTCTACTCTTGACCTTGGTGGGAGCATGGATTGGGCGGGTGGGGGTTCTGGGCTGATGATGCATGCCAAAGCTGGGTTTCCTAACTGGCCTCAGAGGCTTCCGATTTGAGGAAGGGGGATGGGAGGGCCGAGTGAGCACAGGGGTTGGTGGTTTTCCTCCCCTTCAGAGGACACGTGTCCTTGGCTTCATTTGTAGGTCTTTGCCAAGGTGTCTATGGGAAGCCTCCTTGAGCAAAGGGGCTCCAAGGCTGTGGACGTGTGTGTCTGTCAGTCTGTCTGTCTGTCTGTCTTAGCATGAGGTTTAGCAGGCAGCCTCAGGAAAAACTTACAGCCCGAAAGGGAGTGTCTGGCCATGCTGCTGGCACTCCCTCTTTTCCTAGAGACACGTGTGCAGGTGTCTGAGTGCAGGCTAAGTACAAGTTGCCCATTTCGGCTCCAGAACCCAGCCAGGCAGCTGTTGGCATAGCATCCCTGAGGGAGGTTTCAGCGTTGGGTGGGGAGTGGGGCCCAGATACTGATATCCAGTGTTCTCACCTGGCTAAAGGAGAGCAGCTGCCCCTTGGTTACCTGGAGAAAACAATCAGGAAAGGCTCGTGGTCACGTCTCGGTCCCTTGGATCATTAGGTAGTTGCCCTTGATTTCCGTGAGCTTTATCTGACTGCAAGGGTACATTACACGGTCCCCTTGGATACCACGACAATTGTACCTGGTCTGTTTCCTCCCAAGAATTTTGGAGGACTTTAAAATTTAACCCGTGGGAGGGCAGGGAGGGAAGTCTTGGTACTTACAAATAAAAAAGCATTACTGCCTTATTCTCCCACCCCCTCCCCCAATATTTACAAATATAATAAATAATAGCTTTCGTTTACTCTCTAGAGCAGGGGCTCTTCAATGTGGGAGTTTACCTCAGAATCACTTGGGTAGCTGTTTGACAGTACGTATGTCTAGACCCTGTCTTCAGAGGGTGCGTCAGGAGGCCTGGGGCAGAGCCCGGATCCTGAGTATTGGGGAAAGGCTCTCCAGGTAATTGTGATGGACACCCTAGACAGAGAACCACTGTGTTAGATGGAAAAGCTTCCTGGTGGCAGAGACTGAGGCCTCTCTTGGTGTCCTGTGCTGTGTATGGCATACAGTATTTTTTTTATTCAGAAGTATTTATTGAACATCTACTATGTGCCGGGCCCTGGAATACATTCGTATCACTGTTCTTGGTGCTCCTAGAGCCCTGGCGGAGGGGCCCTAATTGTGTTGGATGCCAAGAAACCAGATAGGCAGCTTCTATTCATTCTCAGTTGTCATTGGATTATGGTCTTCCTGAGTGGTGTGAGGTAGGCACCCGGAATTATAGCGTTGACGTTGTCCTCTTTCCCAAAAATTGAACATAGCTCACCAAGCAGGGGCCCCTGGAACGTTGTAGCACATGCGATCAATAGATCTAACATGCCACCCCTGCCTTTCCCATTAACTTTCAGGCTAAAGAGCTGAGCTTGGGACAAGACTGGGCTGGATCATTTCCCTTTCTCTTTAATCTAAAAAGAACCTGAAGCTGGCTACTTCCTTGGTGTTCATGGATGGGTGAGAGCCATCTTGAGCCTCTCCTATCTGCTAGACACAAAGGACGTGAAGATGAATGGAGCATGGCCCTCATACTTTACAAATATCATAGTCTAAGGGGAGTCAGAAATGCAGACAGATGTGGGCCGTACAGTGTGACAGGTCCTGAATGTATGCTGAGCAAACTGTGAACAGGCTGTCGCAGCTATGGTGAGTTGTGGGAAAGAGGGGAATCCTTTATGGGACAGTGCTGATTGGACTTCCCAGGTTCCTCCCTAGCCCCGGCCTTTGAGGGGTGGTGTTTGTAGCGGGTGGCTGACCAGGAAGGAAGCCTTACCACCCCTCACCTGGGCTGAGGAGGCTCTGCTTCGTGCCTCTCCCAGCAGTGTCTGCACCTTTGGCGTGGCTAGGACTCCACTACCTGACCCTGTGGCCTGTCCAGTTTTCAAGCTGATGGTCACACGTATCTTCCCAGCTGCGGGGCTCCTTTTGTGTTCACCTGAGACAATCGTAGCTTCTGTTTCTAAGAGCTAGTGCTTTGATCATGTTTTCATCAGAAAAACATGGTTCATGAACTTGCTCTTTGTCTAGATCCTGTAATAATCAGGTTGTGCAGGCATGAATTGTTAGTAAAAATTCATCAGTTTACAGAAAAAAAAAAAACCTAGAAGAAAATAAAGGGACACGTCTAACATTGGTGTTGTTTCTGGGTAGTGCGTGTATGGGGACCATTTTCCTAAGGTTTTTACTTTTCAGGTTATCCTTTCATTTTGGAAAAAGACGATAAATATTATTTCTTAAAACCTACATGTGTTGGTGAGCTGTTGTTACTGAAACCCTTTCCTCCAAGGATGAAGGTTCTGAATGATAAACTTTTTAATGATCACACTCATCCCACTGCCCTCTGGCATCTTATTGGTGGCTGGGTCTGGTTTTACTTTTCACTGAATGTTCCATTTTCTCTGTTGATTGACGATGGCCTCAGGGCCAAGAGGTGACTACTGTCAGAGGATACAGTGTGAACCAAATTGTGCGTGTGTGTACGTGTGCGTGGGAGGGTGTGTATGTGTGTTCCACTCGGACCTTGGGGCACAAGTCCCTCATCCTTTGCTCTTGTGGGAAGACACTGGACCAGGCTGCTTAGTATAGAGGAGAACCAGAGTATCACAGGGCACCCAGGAGGAAGAGAGGCATGGGAGAGTTGAGGGGCATTTCCATACTGCACTAGCATGAAAGCTGTACCACATTCAGAATTTTAGAACACTGATATCATGTGCATTTAGAACAAGCTTCGTAGAAATATTGTGGCTGCTCTGATTCCTCCACTAAGCCAGAGCCTCATATTTGGTGTGTAGTGGGAGGCATCTCAGCCCCAGCAAGTGGGAGGGAGGGTTAATGCTCTAAACAAGGAACTTCCTCTTCTGTTGGAGGCGTGGGTTAGTGATCTGTGCTGTTGTGTGGGAAGCCTTGTTGATTTATCCCCTTGATCTTGCCTCCACCCTTCAGCTTGAGGGTGTGTGTGTGTGTGTGTGTGTGTGTGTGTGTGTGTGTGTGCATGCGCATGGGCAACTTTCTAAATACCAAAATATACATTCTAATTATAAACTAGTGCCATTCGTTCCTTGCCCCCACCCTCCCTTGTTTACTTTCTTTTGGTTAAAGTGCTGCTTCTTTCGAAGGGCCCCTGTTTCTGTGGCACAGCCTATTCCAGATCACTCAAACGGTTGTTTGTGCTTTTCTGATTCCTAACTCTGGGCTGCCGAATGCTTTTTCATCTCCTACAATTGAGCTCAGAGCCAGAGAAGGGCTTTTGAAGGTTCATTTCTGAAATGTACACATGTGTACTGTCTTGAAGTCCAAGCATATCCTCGGGACAGCTGTGTGGCTTTGAGATCTACTCAGAGTGGCCATCCTACCTGCCATGTTTCTGGGGGGTGGTACTTTTCAGTATGTGAAAAGAGACTGCTTCTAATACTCTATGGCTCTTATTCAAGTTCAAGTTCCATGGGAACTGAATCACAAGGTCTGGTTTTAGGAGTAAGAGAGAGAGTCAGGAAGAGATGATTCCTTACCATTTTGTGTGCATGTATTTATTTCTATTTAGTTGTTGTATTTGGACTCTAATTCTGGGTTGGGATAGCCCTCACTGCCTGAAGTAATTGCTTCTTAGAAATAGCCACTGCATTTGTTGCTATCTTCATGTTACCCAGGTGGGAGCGGAGCGGCCCAGGTGTTGTCCCATCAATGCACTTGAGTAGAGAATCCAGGATGAATGCTAGGCACATTACATGGTCCCCTTGGATGTGACAACAATCATATCTGGTCTGTTTCCTCCTAAGAATTTCTGAGGACTTTAAAATTTAACCAGTGGGACCAGTACAGTTTAAATGTATTAGCTGCTTGCCAGTAGGAGCCAAATCATAATTCTTAGCCTTTAATCTCCTGAGAAATGAGCTGAGCAGCGCCATGTGATTTTTAGGTAGCTTTTCTGGAATTAGACTAGAGTGGCCATTCATGTGTTTCAATCTAAGTGTTTCACTTTAAAGGGCGACCTTCCTAAATATTATCAGCTAAAGGCATACCCTATATACACATGATTCCCGAGATGCAAGTCACAGAAATAGATTGAGTGTCATGGAGAAAAACTTAATAAACTATAAATTCTCAGATACACAGAATGTGAACTGTTAAATTACTATGGTAATTGATACCATTTAGCTATTATTATTTAATTATTTAAAGTCCCCTCATTCTTCTAAACAGGGCAGAAGGGTACTTTAATAATGCACTTTTTATTGTGCATTATTCATTTCATCGAATCATCCATGATTCTGGTTATATCTCAGGTTCTTAACTAGTGTTGAGTTCTTGTAAAGGAATTGCTTACTGAGTTCAGTTGGCAGGTTAATATTAAGAGGTATCCTCTAAAACAAAGTTCAAAATTGCTGGGGTTTGTTCAGATTCATTTGAAATAATGCAAAGATTACAGCAAGCTTTATAAAATGAAAATTAGTTGAGGCTCCTAAAAGAAAAGCCCGTAGCCTGGATGGTGCAAACAACAGAAATTTACTTCTCACAACTTTGGAGGCTGGGAAGTCCAAGATCGAGGTGCTGGCTAATATGATCTGGATCTGTGTCCCTGCCCAAATCTCATGTTGAATTGTAATCCCCAGTGTTGGAGATGGGGCCTGGTGAGAGGTGATTGGACTGTGGGGGTGGATTTCCCCCTTGGCGCTTTGCTGCTGTTCTGGTTGATGGTGAGTGAGTTCTCAGGAGCTCTGGTTGTTTAGAAGTGTGTGGCACCTCCCCCTTCTGTCTCTCCCTCCTGCTTCAGCCATGTGAAGCTCCTAGCTCCCTCTTTGCATTCTGCCATGAGTAAACATTCCCTGAGACCTCCCCAGAAGCAGAAGCTGCCGTGCTTCCTGTACAGCCTGTGGAACTGCACAATTAAACCTCTTTTCTTTATAAATTATCCAATGTGTTAGTCCATTTTCATGCTGCTGATAAAAGACATACCCGAGATTGGGTAATTTATAAAGAAAAAGAGGTTTAATGGACTCAGTTCCACGTGGCTGGGGAGGCCTCACAATCATGGTAGAAGATGAAAGGCACTTCTTACATGGTGGCAGGCAAGAGAGAATGAGAGCCAAGCGAGAACGGAAACCCCATATCAAAACATCAGACCTCATGAGTCTTATTCACTATCGTGATAACAGTATAGGGGAAACCACCCCCATGATTCAGTTACCTCCCACCTGGTCCTTCCCACAATACATGGGAATTATGAGAGCTACAATTCAAGATGAGATTTGGGCGGGGATGGAGCCAAATCATATCACCCAGTCTCAAGTATTTCTTTATAGCAGTGTGAGAACAGACTAATACACTGTTTCATTTGGCTCCTGGTGAGGGCCCTCTTCCTGGTTTGTAGACAGCTGCTTTCTTGCTATATCCTCACGTGGTGGAGGGAGAGATCATCATTCTCATGTCTTTTCTTATAAGTGCACTAATCCCATTTGTGAAGGTTCCACTCTCATGACCTAATTACCTCCCAAAGGCTCACCTCTAAATACCATCACAGTGGAGATTAGGATTTCAACATGAGAATTTTGGGGGAGGACACAAACACTTAGTCCACAGTAGATGGAATGGGACTTCATTTTATAAAGCTTGCTGTAATTTAACAGCTTGAAATGGGCCAATAATGGGTATGTGAGCTGAGAGCCTCATGCTTTTTGTAGGGAGGTAGGTGCCTGGGGGCACTGTGTATCATCAGAAGGTCCCTGTATCCTGGTTAAATTTGGACTTGGTAAGGACCGTGTGAACGTGCTCTTGTCCATGATGTATGCGCAGTGGGCTTGGAGCTGACCCCAGAACCGTCTCTGTCACAGTGTTGCTGGTGAGTCTTCATGTCATGCCCTCTATTTCTGCTCAGTGCAGAGGAAAGTAACTTCTGTTCACACCCATATGTGACTAAGTAGTGTGTGTCCTCTTCTTTTTTTTTTTTTTTTGCTGACTCTGCCTTTAATAACACATGTGTTGAGAAAAAAGGAAAAAACTTTCCATTCCATGTTTTGTGGCTTCATTTTCAACACTTTATTATGGGAAGTTTTAAACACACACACAAAAAAGACAATACTATGATGAACCCCCACTTACCCCATTACGCAGCTTCAGTAACCATCAACTTTCTGCTGTTCTTATTTTCAGACATGTTGCCCCCCAGCCCAACCCCTTTTTGTGTCCTGCAGTATTGTAAAGCAAAGTGCAGGCATTTAGTATTTCACCCATATACGTGGATGCATGGACTCTGCTAATAGATTAGGCCTAAAAACAACAACAAGACCAACCCATAACCACAATACCATTACCACTTCTAACAAAATTAACAATCATTCATTCACATCATTAGTCTAGATTCCATTTTCCCAGTTGACTCAAATGTCTTGCATTTAGTTCATATGTTCCTTTAATTTAGTCTAATTTATTACAGCCTTCCTGTTTTCGTAAAAATGCCATTTACTGGTCCTTTGTCCTGTAGAATTTTCTGCATTCTGGACTTGGTTGGTTGTACTCTCATAGTATCATTTAACAGCTTCCTCTATCCCCATGTTGCCTGCAGTTGGAATACTTCAGGGGTGGCTCTGAAGGAGCAACTCCATTTTTTTTTCCTTTTTTTCTTTTTTCTTTTTTTTTTTTTTTTTTGAGATGGAGTCTCACTCACTCTTTTGCCCAGCCTGGAATGCAGTGGTGTGACCTTGGCTCACTGCAACCTCTACCACCTGGGTTCAAGCAATTCTCCTGCCTCAGCCTCCTGAGTAGTTGGGACTGCAGGCATTCACCACCACACCTGGCTAATTTTTGTATTAATATTTTTAGTAGAGACAGGGTTTCACCATGTTGGCCAGGCTGGTCTTGAACTCCTGACCTCAAGTGATCTGCCTGTCATAGCTTCCCAAAGTGCTGGGATTACAGGCGTGAGCCACTGTGCCCAGCCTTCATTTTCATTTAAAAAAAAAAAAAAAGGTCCTGGCTCATTGTCCTTTTGGTAGCAATTTAGAGAGATCGTACTTTTTACTCAAATGCCTTGACACTTTTGTGTGCTTGTTTTCCTCCTATGAATGGATTTAGGCTCATTTAGCTCTCTTAAGAACTTTATTTTGCAAGCTGGTCTCCCTAGCTCTACACCTGTCCTCCTTGCCAGTTCAGCCTTTATTCCATAGCTGATTTTCTCTTCCTAAAGGAAAGAGTTGGTTTTGAGTTCAAGTATGCTAGCCCCACTACTTAAGCTGTGTAATGTTGGACAAGTTAGTGAGTCTGAGTTTCTTCTCCTGAAAAACGGGGATCTATCTCTTAAGATAAAGGAGATAGGAAATTCAATAGTGCATGAAAAGGACTTAACACAGTCAGATTCAATGCTCAAGACACATTAGGTTTTTTTCTCCTTCTGATTATATCATTCCAAGTTCAAAGATTTTATTTTCTTCTGCCTACCAAAGTTCAACCTCCTAAGTAGGTTTTCTTCTTTGAGCATTTCAGCGTTTGTTATACACACATCTTTCCAGCTTCTGTTCCCCTGAACTCTGGACACACTATCCTAGGAACACACTCTTTACTTTACTATGGCCTTTGTCTACAGTTTCCCTCTTGGAATGTGGTTCCCTCTGATCTCTGTCTGATGCTTCAAGGACCAGCTGAGATGCTACCCTTTCTCCCACATCCTCCCATCCCTCTTTCTCTCCCCAATCAGTAAGCAGCCTATTGCTTGGGTTCAGTAGTTCCACAGTGCTTTATATGTGCCACTGTCATTGCACACATCTCTCTCCAACTTGTATTATGGGTGTGGCTGTAAGAGTATTTATCTCCCAGGCAGCTAGTGGTAAAAAGACAGAAAGCTTTCATCTTTATCTTTGACTTTTGCAGAGCAAGTCCGGGCTCCTGCGCATGGCGTGGTGCCAGATGACTATTTGTTGAGTCGTATGGATTCTGATCACTCTCACCTGTGTGGAGGCCACTGTGGCAACCCCTCCCTGTTCTGCTGGGATGAGGAAGGGCGTATCTGACTCTCTGTGCTCTTGGGAACCCCGTGTACCTCCAGGCCTAGCAAGGGGAAGTCTAAACCAAAGATGCCAGAAGTACATTGTCTTTGACCACTAACTGTTGCAACAGAGTCAGCATCTAATGTGTTGTTTCTTAGAGTTATTTGCAATGACTTTGAGAACAAAAGCTCCCCTGGGAGGGTCAGCAGACTTGGTGTGTGCACCAGGCAGGGCTCCTGGCAGGCCTGCCCAGCAGGTCCCCAAGCGTGGGCCTGAGCCCCGACAGCAGTTGCAGCCACAGGGCATCTGCAGTTATCAAAACTCTCATCTGTACATCATTTTCCAATCCGTGTTCTGCTCTGCTGTTTAGGGGGCTAGAGAGCAGAAAAGAGAGGGTGGAAAAGTGCTTCATTTGGGCAGTGGTTTTATGATTAAGAATAGAGTGCCTTTGATATTAAAGCAATATTATTAAATTATTAAATTAGTTAGAAGTTTCGGCATTGGAAAACTAGAGCCCAGTACCCTATTGTGTTACTTTCTAACTTTGTGGCCTTGGGCAAGTTATTGAAATTATCTGAACCTCAGGTGGTTCTTTGCTAAAGTAGACAGAAGATACTTCATAGGGCTGATGAGGAATGTAAGGAAATTTTAAAGGGCTGTGCACGTTGCTTGTAACGTTTACTAATGGGTACATTACATTATGCTTGTCAGATAGTCATGTGAGTTACACCCTCCCTTGTTGGTAACGTGGTTGAGACCTGGAAATGTACGCAGCTGGCCAAGGTCACCTTCTAGTAGCAATTACGCTGGGTTAGGATCAGTGTTGGTGACTTCCTGGTGTTCTTGGCATAAGGATATACATCATACTTCATGTGGTCTAGTATGAACCTTTCAATGTTTATACTTCATGAAACTCTTGTTTTTCTTAAAATTCTCCAGAATTTTGATTGATCATTTCTCCTGATCTTTGAGGAGGGAGGAAGAACTTCTCTGCTATAGAACTCGTTAATATGCCTCACATTTTCAGAAAGTCCTCTCACCGTGGAAAGTGACAGAGGTGGAGAGAGTGGATGGGAACATGTGCTTCTGTGATGCTTTGCGTGCCAGGGAATTGTTTCTTTGCTAATGATCTGTGTCATTAAAATGAACACTGGATGAGCGAAGACGGTGAAACATTTAACTGTAGGTTAATAATTCATTTAGCAAATATTCTAACCTTCAGGATTGTATCAGCAGCTACCATCAGGAGCGCTTCAGGCCTGTCCCTCCTTTCTTTGGAGTCGAGGCTTGAGGAACTTGCTCCTCCCACAGCTACAGGTCAGCGACGATGATACACCTCATTACCCTCGTGTGGGGTAGCAGTAAGACGTTTCCAGAAGCATCCGTCTAGCAGGAGCTCTGGAATGTAAGTAACCCAAGAAGTGGCTGTTCTGTAACTTCTCTGTGATGGAAGTCTGTGATAGGAAGGAGGCCTTTTCCTGCAACCAGGATGTCTAACCGCTTCCTGATGGGCATGGAGGGGATCAGTGAGTTAAAGTTTCCGGCATCTGTTGAATGCGATTTGTGTCTAGTAGTTCTGTCGATTATAGGCATCTCCCAGCAGCCTCAAGGAAAGTCACACATGCTTGTATATCCTAGGGGGAAAAGGGAGATATTTTTATGCAAAGTAAATGTTATGAATCCCTGTTTTATTTTTTTGTGTTTGTTTTGTTTTGTTTTGTTTTGAGATGGAGTCTTGCTCTGTTGCCCAGGCTGGAGCGCACTGGCGCGATCTCGGCTCACTGCAACCTCAGCCTCCCAGGTTCAAGCGATTCTCCTGCCTCAGCCTCCCAAGTAGCTGGGATTACAGACACATGCCACCATGCCCAGCTAATTTTTGTATTTTTAGTAGAGATGGGGTTTCACCATGTTGGTCAGGCTGGTCTCGAATTCCTGGCTTCAGGTGATCCACCCGCCTTGGCCTCCCAAAGTGCTGGGATTACAGGTGTGAGCCACCATGCCCGGCTTGTTTTTTATAAGTTAGCAAATATGATCTTTTCTCTGGTGATATGCCAACATAGTTGTAATGAATAAAATGTTACAGAAGACATAACATATGAAAAGTTATTAGCTAACTATTTTATTTCAATGTGATGGACTAAACCACACACTGCATTTAGGCATAACTTTGAGCTGATGACTTCCTGTACTGTCCCCAACCAATTGTCACCCCTCAGAGGGCTGCCACACTACCCTCTTGTTGGCACAGGAATTGGTTGGTCTGGGCTTTTAAAATCAGATTCATCTTTCTGAATTCCTTCCTCAGTTTCTTTCCCATCTGCCTAGCTCCTGTGCCCCATCCGGGCATTCCAGGCCAACCCCCAAGTGTCTGGCCACGGAAGTGAATATGTTTGGGATTTAAATCATCAGTTGCCTTTGAAAGTCACGCTGCAATAGACAGATAACTTGGAATGCAGGTGAGGCAGAGAATTCACTGCCATCAAGTCGCAGTGTAAATAAGATCACAGAGGTGATGATAACCTTTCACGGGTTGATGATAGGTTAATGAAAAAAGAACTTCAGAGCATTTTAGGTGGATATTCGTTAAAGCAGACTCAGTGGGATCACTCTTTAGAGTTGCTCTTGATGGCTGTGTTTTTTTTTTTTTTTTTTTGAGACGGAGTCTCGCTCTGTCGCCCAGGCTGGAGTGCAATGGCACGATCTCGGCTCACTGAAACCTCCGCTTCCCGGGTTCAAGTGATTCTCCTGCCTCAGCCTCCCAAGTAACTGGGATTATAGGCACCTGCCACCATGCCCAGATAATTTTTATATTTTTAGTAGAGACGGGGTTTCACCAGGTCGGCCAGGCTGGTCTCCAAATCTTCACCTGTTTCTTTTTACGTGACTGTGGCCTTTAGAAATTTTTAAACGACTCATGTGGCTTACATTGTGGCTTGTTTTGTATTTCTGTTGGGTATTGTTAATGTATAGAAGACATTCCTCGGCTGGGCATGGTGGCTCATTCCTGTAATCCTAGCACTTTGGGAGGCTGAGGCAGATGGCTCACCTGAGGTCAGGAGTTTGAGACCAGCCTGGCCAACATGGTGAAACCCTGTCTCTACAAAAAATTAGCCAGGCATGGTGGCATGCACCTGTAGTCCCAGCTACTCGGGAGGCTGAGGCAGGAGAATCACTTGAACCTGGGAGGCAGAGGTTGCAGTGAGCCAAGATTGTGCCATTGCACTCCAGCCTGGGCAACAGAGCAAGACTCCCTCTCAAAATAAATAAAGAAGACATTTCTCTACTGGCTAAGAAGTTGGAATAAATGTTTACCGAGTCCCATCCAATTATTAAACAGCTTATGATTCTTACTAAACAGGGAGGATTAGGAGAAGGGAACCCCTGGGGTGGTTGAAATGGGTGAATCTAGCCAGGAGAAGGTTTCCGAGGGGAGAGGTGGCCTTGGAACTGAGTTTTGAAGTTGGAGACTGAAAATCCTTTAGGGAGAAGAAAATTGACACAACCGGGCTTTCTGACAGACAAGGACTGGCCCACCCCTGCCTCTAAGGAACCCTGGGGTCTGGGAGAGGACCCAAAAGCCTTCTTCTAGGGGAGCACGCCTGGCAGCTCTGAGATATGAAAGAGAGAACCCAGCAAAAACAGGATGTCACTGGGTCCTCGAGTCTGGGGATCAGGGTAACCCAGGCTCAGTGAATTTTTCTGTCTCTGAGCCCCTCAGATGAATTAGCGAGTTCTTCAGGGAGGGTCTTTTTCTCCATGGCTGGTACTGTCTGACTGGGTGGAGACTTATGTCCCAGGAAAACCGAAATAACTGCTTTTCTTGCAAATGCTTTCACATAGCTCTTTATCTGGTCTGTGGTTTCAGGGAAGGGCCCTTCTGCAGTCAGGAATTGTCCCCAGCCTTTATTTAGAGGGCTAAGCTAGGGAAATGGTTCTGAATGTAACATGTTTCTAACTGTAGTAATCTATGCCCCTCCCCCCCCACCAAAAAAAAAAAGACCATGTGGACTGTATTTGGTAGCCATAGGTAGGTAGAGCAGTAAAATACAATTTATATGATTGTGCTGTGTGTGCTGTGTATGTCAAAGCATGCTCTTCACACGGCATGTCACGCTCAAGTTCTTGAACTGCCACACGTGACTGCCTGGTGCTATCAGCATACTTTGTGGTATGTTATCAGCTGAAACCAGAAGTCTTTTTGAAAAATGTCATTGTTGCATGGGGCTTTAATACTGAAATCCTAGGAGGTGGCCTTTCTTAGGTCATAATTTTTTAAATTGCTGTAATGCATGTTTAAAGAACGACAGTACACACGAGAAGACAAAAAGTGGCCTGAAGCTTTGGGTGGAAGTCAGGTAGATTTGATTCAGCAAGTAATAGAAGTCAACATTTAATGAACACTTGCTTTGTGCCAAGCACACTGTTGTAAGCACTTTAAATATATTAAGTTATTTAGGTCTCACAACTTTGTATGATAGTTTATTATTTCCATTTCACAGATAAATGAGCTTGGGCACAGAGAGGTAAACTGATGTCCTCAAGGTCAACAGCTACTAGGTGGAGGAGTTGAAATTTGAATCCGGGCCATACACCATTGTTAATCGAGCATTTGTGTTAACTACCAAGTACTTACTGGGCCCTGGGGATGGCTCTGGAGCAGTGGATAAGTCAGATAGCTCCGATCCTTGCTTGCCAAGCCATACCATCATTCTCAGCTTCAGTTTCCCCAACCGTAAAACCAGCACCCAAACCCTGCCCTGCGCACCTGCTAAGATTTGTTTGTTAGGATCAGTTGCATTAATGCAGGAAAATGTGATGTTCGTGCATGGCAGAAGGCTGGGTTGATCAAAGGCTATGCATAGCTTCCATTTGCAAATGTCAGGGGAGATGGGGTAAAAATGGAAGGATCGGAGAGAAGGGCGAGGAAACGCGGCTTCTCTATCTTAGCACGTTCTCAGGATTTGGTTGTGTCAGGTCCCTGCCCTGCGCCATATATGGATGATCTCATTCTTGTCCATCCTGTGTGTTCTGACTGAAGTCACACCTAGCATATGTGGGTGTCAAGTCAGTTGAAGCAACAGGAGTGTGGTTTCACAGCCCTTTAAAACATAAGCTCTTTGGCTGGGCGCGGTGGCTCACGCCTGCAATCCCAGCACTTTGGGAGGCCGAGGCAAGCAGATCATGAGGTCAGGAATTCGAGACCAATCTGGCCAACATGGTGAAACCCCATCTCTACTAAAAATACAAAAATTAGCTGGGCGTGGTGGTGCATACCTGTAATCCCAGGTACTCGGGAGGCTGAGGCAGGAGAATTGCTTGAATCTGGGAGGCGGAGGTTGCAGTGAGCCGAAATTGCACCACTGCACTCCAGCCTGGGTGACAGAGCAAGACTCCATCTCGAGGGAAAAAAAAAAAAAGGCTCTTCAGCGCTTCTGTTGGCCTGTGTGTAGTTTGGCCACTGTCTGGGAATACCTTGTACCAATTGCTGTCTGTTAAAAGGATGAAAGATACAATGTTCGGAGACAGACCCTGGGTGACAATGCTCTTAGTCTTTTCCATATCTAGGAGGCTGCCGTAAGTTTGATAATTGAAAGATTCCAACCTGAAACAGCTCAGTGTTTTTCCCCAAGCACAAGAACATTAAGTCCTGACCTTGTGCCTTTCTATGACTCAACACAGAGAGAGCCTTGCGTCCTTTCTTTTGGTTGTCGTGCTGAGTCTATGATCTTTTCGAGGTCATAGCAGTAGGAACCTTAATGACTGAAGATGAGTATTGCAGGGATTCACATTAGTCCTGTGTTCTTTCTTGAGTAACAGTGGTCAGTAGGGTCATTACCATTAATGGAGCACCTTGAGGAGTAATTTGCCTGTGCCGGGAGCTTTTTGTGTACTCTGTCTTGGCTGACCCTCAAGACAGCCTTGTGAAGTAGGTATTGATGCCTGAATTGTATAGCCAGAGGTGCCAAGGCTCGCCAGGGTCATGTGATTGTCACGAAAGCTGGTCAGGAAGCATAGCTCCCATCTCAGCGCCCCCGACTCCATCGCTGCTCTGTGCTGGGGGTTTGTTCAGGGAAGGGCTGCTTCCTGCTGATAATGATGGACACCTCTCCTTAGAGGTTTCCATGCTTTGTACCACACAGGGAAAACTTTTACTGTGAAAGGCCACACAGTCAATATTTTAGGCTTTGCAGACTACCGTCTCTCTCACAACCACTCAACACTCCCATTGTAGAGCAAAAGCAGCCCTAGATAATAGATAAACAGATGGCCCTGGCTGTCTTTCAATAAAACTTTACTTACAGAAACAGGCAGTGGGCCGGATTTGGCCTGCTGCCATAGTTTGCCAGCTCTTGATTTAGGGTTTGGTCTAAATGGAAATGGTTATTGTTAATACTATTATTTTTGGAAAGTTTATGAAGGATGGCAGGTTGCCCACAACAGATAGAAAGGGAAACTCTCTGTTTTGGAGAAGATTAATCTGGATCCATTCCTACTTGGAGTATGTCTCATAGAGGCTGGATGTTGTAGAGCTCCTTGAGGGTAGTCCCGGGTGGACCCCATAGTACTCGATGAGTGCAGACCTGGGCCCAGTGGGCATTGGATAAAGATGGCATTTTCATCATGGCGTACTGATGGCCTTGTGGTGTCCATCTCACAGCAGTCCCCATGGCCTTGGATTCTCACATTTTCTCACTTACCTTTCCTTGGAACACCGTCTGGTCAGTATCTGGGGGGGGGCTGCTATTTGGGATGAAGACTCTTCCTATAATCCTGAGCCTGAGAGGAGAGAGTAGGGAAACGGCTGGACTTTCTTGGAGTCACTGTGCTTCCCACCAACTTTGATGTGGAGACCCCCAAGCCTTTCCAAGGTAATATATCTCTGGGAAATAGGGCTCCCTTTTACAAATGCTGGCTTTATCCCTCTACTAAGGAGCTGTGATGGGCTGCTTTGGGGGCCTGAGGAGTTAGGGGAGAGAGGGCAAAGTGAGCTTCCAGTGAGACGAAATTCATTGTTGATGTGGTGCTGCTTGGAGGATGTGAGGTTTTCTTAAGCAACTCCTTATTTTGTAGCCCACCCAAAACTTTTGTAACAGAAGAGAGCTAAAGTTAAACTGCACCCAAAGAGTCCATTGTTGGTGTGTTGAAATACTTAAAAAAAAAAATTCAAAAACACTAGGTAATAGTAACAACAAACCCTTTCACCGGATCACTCATCTGCTTCTGAACATCAACTCATAATCTTTGGAGCAACTCTGGTAGCTCCTTGGTATTCTTTTGCCCCAGTTTTTTCCTCTGTTAATAAAAGGCTTTGAAATGCTGGGATGGGGTGAGTCTTGCCACCTCTTGATTTCAGACATTAATAAAGAAGCTGATGGTCCATGCCCACCATAAATAGGATTGCAGAGGCTATAGAGGCTAAATCTGCTTTAGGCCTGCTGGTAAACTGTATTCCCCTTGCTACTCTTGAAACGCTAGGTTGATTGGAGACATTTGTTTTTAAGATTGAGTTCTCTCAGGACATGACCCCACTGTTGGTGATGGGTTGGATCACACAGCCCATGGGGACCTGTAGGTGGCTCCAGAGGTTCTTGTTCGGCCTCTGATTTTAGAGAGTTCTGGATTTTAATGCACATGACTTATACCTTGATCCTGTGTCCTGTTATCAAGGATACGTCTATATAGTCATTCAGGTATTTCAAGGAACTTGAATTGCCTTGCTTATTTTTATAGCTGACGAGCTGTAACAATTGAAGAAGTGAGAAATGATTTAATTCTTTTGAAATGAGCTAAAACATGATGGAAGAAATAGTAATATTTCAACATGCCACACATCTTTTTTTTTATATTAGAACATGCTTTATTGAGGATAAACACTGTTGTTAGCTAAAAGTACAAAGTTTTAGGATGAATAAGTTGTGGAGATCTATTGTATAGCATGGTGACTGTGGTTAATAAGAAGACTTGAAAATCTCTAAGAGATTAGATCTTAAATGCTCTCACTACAAAAAATATCTTAGTCGTTTTACAACATATACATTCATCAAAACATAGCATGTATACTGTTAACACATAACAATTTTAATTTCTCAGCTATACCCTTAATAAAGCTAAGGGGAAAAAAGAAACTTTGATATCTAACAAATTCCACCCAAAAGAATCGTATTTCATAAAAAAACTCTAAATCTAGATGTATCCAAACATGAATTACTCAGCACATACATAAGACATAAATAGTATGAAAATGTACTTTGAAGTAGTTTTTGAAAATGTAGGTAAATTCCTTTTATTTAAAGAGGAATGACTGCGTGGTGGCTCATGCTTGTAATCCCAGAACTTTGGGAAGCTGAGGCGGGAGGATCACTTGAGCCTAGGAGTTTGAAAGCAGCCTGGTCAACATAGTGAGACCCCATCTCTACAAAAGGAAAATTTAAAAATTAGCTGGGTATGGTGGCACATGCCTGTAGTCCCAGCTACTCAGGAGGCTGAGGTGGGAGGACCATTTGAGGCCAGAGTTCGATGGGAGGACCATTTGAGGCCAGAGTTCGAGGCTGCAGTGAGCCATGGTAGAGCCAGTGTACTCCAGCCTGGGTGACAGAGGAAGACTGTCAGAGAGAGAGAGAGAGAAAGATGTAATGGTGCAGATTTTTTTTTTTTAACCATGAGGAAAATAGCTTTTAGCTGCAGGTTATACAACATGTTTATTTAGTGAAAAATAGGTGATACAAATTTTCCTTCAAGATATTAAGCAGTAGCTTTCTAATGGCTCTGTTCTCTGTGGATGGTTTAAAACTCACGGGCATTTTGTCTTTTAAAGCACTTGAGAAACCCTGCTTTCATCACATCCAAATTCTTCTGTCTTCTCAGTAATAGTTTAAGTTTCTAGGGATCTTGCTATTGCATTTCTTACAAGTTGTCTAAATTATGAAACTGTGGATATAACTTGCTTTTAAAAGTCAGTAGAAGTGTAAGAGATGCCTTATCTAAAGATAATTTGAGAAGCAGCAAGACTCAGTTATTCTTTGTGACCCAGGAAAATATTTTTAGATTTTTTAAATGAATGAATGGTAAATAAATGACTCTATGGTCATTTATTTACCAAGAGATGCTGATTAGATGGCAGTTATATTCATTATTACATGTTCTCCCGATTGTGAAGTGTTCAGTATGTAACTGGCTAAAGATGAGATGGCACAGCCATTGAAATAAAAGACTAAGGCTTATAATCCCATTTATAATCCCAGCCTTGCTAATATTCCAGTGAGATGGACAGAAGAAAACACAAAGGAATTTGATTCCTGGTTTCCCAAAGGAGCCTAGACAAGTTGAGGTTTCAGCGTGGCCCAGGAATGCCTTTAAAAAATGAGTTGAATACAATTTTTTAAAACCCTCACTGTCCATTAAGTGTTTTTAAAGTGTGTTTTATTTTACATACTTTTTTCTAAATAGACATTCACAGTGGAAAGGAGGGGAGAAATACAGCAGGAATAACTAGAATTCATTTGCATGAGCAGCTTCTGAAGGAAGATATCATAGTTTCTTTGAAATCGGGTGAGAGACCTTCGTGCCCTGAAAGAGCAAAGATTGTTGCTGTCACCACTTAAGCCGAGGAAGCTGGGCGAGGGTTTTGTCTCTTTGGGAACATGGGCAAATACTTTCATTAACAGCTTAGAGTACTCAAAATAGTAAGATGCTTATGATCCTTTTTGCTTTCTGGATACGCATGATAAAGGGTTTAAGTCAAAGGTTGGAGCTTAAAATTGAAAATCATGCTGAGCGTCAACCGAGAAAATGAGATTTGGGGACAGTAGTTCAAAGAACAGAAAAAAGAGAAAAGCTTGGTAAACTGGTGTGCTTTAAGCTTGTGATACCCCAGCGGAAACATATCCGCATAGCTGTTCTCAAATCAGCGTCCTTTGGATTCTCGTGGGAAGAATAATTTGAGTTTATCCTAAGATTTTTGCCATTGATAGGGATCGTGAAGATGGGACTAGCCACCCAACATTCATTGGAGCCTTATATTTTCTTCTACACATTGAAAATTGTATTTTCTTTTAAAAATTGGTGACAAGGTCTTGCTCTGTTGCCCAGGCTGGAATGAGTAGCGCAATCATAGCTCACTGCAACCTCTTGGGCTCAAACAGTCCTCCCGCCTCAGCCTCCCGAGTAGCTACTAGGACTACAGGTGCACGCCACCATGCTGGCTAATTGTTTTTCGTTTTTTCGTTTTTGTTTTTGTTTTTTGTAGAGACTAGGGTCTCTCCATGTTTTCCGGGCTAGTCTCAACCTCTTGGCCTCAAGTGATCCTCTCACCTCAGCCTCCCAAAGTGCTGGGATTATAGGTGTGAGCCACTGCACCTGGCTGAAAAATGCATTTTTGATGCACTATTTTGAGAGGGTCTCTGGTTCAGGTGTTTGAACAGAAATGTCCTTCTCTACATTTGGGCCTCAAGACCTATCAATGCCACATATATAGTAGGCCCCCAGTAAACGTTTATGGCTCAATGAATCTGTGTATGACATACCTAATTTCATTCAGTTTATCCAGCTAGACATTTTCTTAGAAAAATGACTTAAGGGGTGGACACAAATTCCATAAAATGTTTTAAGCCCTCTTATACTGAATCATAATCGGATGACTTAGGTTTCTCCATGTCCATTTGGAATTATCTCCTGATTTCTTCATAACATTCTGCCAATAGTATTCAGACCTCAGGGCTTTGCTCACAGCCTCTGTAGCAGTGTTTTCCAGTTTGACATTTGCAGGTTAGATTTAGGCCTGGAAACCCCACCACGTCCTGCTCAAGGGACCTGAAGTGGAGAGAGCAGGTAAATATTTAGACACCAGTACTATTTAGCAAAATTGGAGGCTTAAATGTAATTTCCTTGTTTCATTCACTTGGTGAAAAGATTAATTATGTTTACGTGATGCTAAAATTAAATTGTGGTAATATGAAAATCAGACAGCTCAGAACTCAAATGGTAAATGCATCAAGAATCTGTTCTCTAAAATCCATTGTGGAATGAGCTTGGTGTGAAGAAACTCATTAATTAGAAATTCTTTCTTAGAGAATGAGCATTCTACCATGTTCTGCTACTGTCTAGCTGGCAATTGATCTCAGGGACTTTGGAGAACCAAGACTTTTTCATCTGTGGTTGAGATCAAAGAAGACAGAGATAAGGTTGCCAAGGAAACCAAAATGCTACAGAATTATGTGCTGCTCATGCATTTCAATGTGGTTTGAGGTTTGGGAGGCTTTCTTTTTTTTCTTTTGGCACAAATAATAGTACATGAAAATGAGCAATGCCCATGTTCCCAGGTCTTAAAGGAAATGACCACAGGCTTAATGTAACTCAAACCGTGGGCCTAAAGGGAATCCTATTCTTTCTCTTCTTTCTGTACTCAAGCATCAGCAATTAATGGCGTGCTTCCAGTTGGCTTCTCTTTAGTGTGCTTTGTCCCTCTCCATCACAGACACATACCCACACCCACAAACTTTTTAATAACTTTTTCCTGACTTTAAATAAATTACTTGCACAGAATTTCAAAAATACAAACAATTCTCTGACAACATATAAAAGTTACCTGTAATTTTGCCATTTGGAAATACCTAATGTAGTATTTTGTTGTACTTTTCTCCTAATATTTATAGACACAATGGGTACATACTATTTTAAATATATTTATAACATGAAATCCCAAAGTTTTGAGTACAGATTTTCGTGGTTTTTTTTTTTTTTTTTTTTTTTTGAGACGGAATTTCGCTCTTGTTGCCCAGGGTGGAGTGCAATGGTGCGATCTTGGCTCACCACAGCCTCTGCCTCCCCAGTTCAAGCGATTCTCCTGCTGCAGCCTCCCGAGTAGCTGGGATTACAGGTATGTGCCACCACGCCTGGCTAATTTTTTTATTTTTGGTAGAGATGGGGTTTCTCCATGTTGGTCAGGCTGGTTTCGAACTCCTGACCTCAGGTGATCTGCCTGCCTCGGCCTCCCAAAGTGCTGGGATTACAGGCATGAGCCACTGCGCCGGGCTAGATTTTTGTTTTTAAATGATCATATTGTAATCATTTTTCCGTGGCTGCAGGAACAACTCCTATGAACACACAACTGTTTATTTGGCCATTTCCCCCACTGTTGGTTATCTTTTGCTTGTAGAGTTCCAGTATTCTAAATGATGCTGCAGAAGGCATTCCTGTGCATCTTTTTGCATATCTTATTTCCCTAGGATGGAGTCCTCATGTGGGATTGCCGAGTGAGGGCCGTAAGCATTTGTAGGCTTCTGTTGTATTGCCAAATGCTTCTTTGGAAGTCTTATTAACACTAGGGGTTACCAATTTTTTTCTCTCTGCCAAATTTTATTGATCAAAGATACTCAGTTTTCCCCCTTAATTATGCAGAGAAAAAGAAGAATAGCAGCTACCATGGATTGAGAACTTATTGTATGTGCTAAGTCTGTTATTGTTAGTTCTCACAATGGCTGGCTCAAGTAGGTTTCATTGCTCCTGTTTCACAGATGAGAAAACTGAGGTTTAACACCGTGCTTAAGAACCCAGAAGAGCCGGGCGCAGTGGCTCATGCCTGTAATCCCAGCACTTTGGGAGGCTGAGGCAGGCACGTCACCTGAGGTCAGGAGTTCGAGACCAGACTGACCAATATGACTAAACCCTGTCTCTACTAAAAACACAAAAATTAGCCAGGCGTGGTGGCATGCACCTGTAATCTCAGCTACTTGAGAGTCTGAGCCCTGAGAATCACTTGAACCCGGGAGGCAGAGGTTGCAGTGAGCCGAGATCATGCCATTGCAATGCAGACTGGGCAACAAGAGTGAAACTCATCTCCAAAAAAAAGAAAAAAGAAAAAAGAAAAAACCCAGAAGAAACATGGGGCTGTCTTAACAACTCATATTTCCAACTTAGGTGGATCAATATAAATATGTTACTAGCTAAGGAGATGCCTAGAGATCTAATAGTTGTAAAGCCTCCTTGGACTTAAGGTGGGTGATTGGCAGGAAGATGGGAGCTAACTGAAACTTCAAAGGGTAGGCTGACTTTGGGCTCCTTCTGTTGAAAATGGAGATGTTTTTCTTTCCACAGTATAGTGTCCCCTCCCTAGTCTTTGGGTGTGTCATCCTAGCATGTGGAGCTTTTGTAAACAGAAAATTTACAGTGAGTGAAAGCTTTATCTGCTGATTGATTCGTTAAATTAAAAAAAGCCTTCAATTTCTGCCTACTTTCCATTCCTATCACATCCACAATTGAAAGCATGTATTCTGCACCTGCCTCGTTTCAGAGTTTAAATATCTTCTCAGTGAACTGCGCCTGTTATGAAATGCTAAGTACTTGAAACCAAAACCACATGGTGGTTATTCTGGAACTGTTTTCCTTTCAACTTTTGGAGACTTTCTATTTACTGAAAACTAAGGGTAAATGATTTATCTTTTTGCTGGATTTAGCTGTCTATAAATTTCTCTGTGCCTTGAAAAAAAATCACACTTATTCTAATGTGTCCTCATTCTTAATAACCACAATTGGCGGGAAGAGGGGAAAAAAGATTTATCTGCCAGTGAGCCAGTTTTTTGTTTAACATCTGGGTCTGATACTTTTTAAATTCTCTTCTGTTTATCTCTTCCTTTTATTCCTACTCTGGTCTCTCCATGCTTATTGGTAAAATTAGAATTTATTTTCAGGTGGGGAACACTCTGACTCCAGCTACAGATACTTGATTTGTTTTAGGGGGGCCATTTGAGCCAAGCAAGGTGATAAACTGAAGGATTTTTACAGTTCTGACATCAGACCATCTGTCCGTCTTTCTGTCCAGCCATCAGAGCTTCTTACTTCACAGCATGTTGCTAGGCACTGTGGGAGAGAGATACCACGATAAATCAGGTAAAGAGCCCGTTTATTGAGTAATTTCTGTGTTCCAAGGCCTGGGCTGGGCACTTTCCATATGTTCTTATTTAATTCCTGCAGCAACTGCACAAGGAATCTTGTTTTAACTGTACGTTTCAAACAAAGGAATTGAGGCTCAGAGAGACCCTGGGACTAGAAAAGACTTGTGGTTATTTGAACCCATCTTAATTGTGTCTCAATCCTTTTATTCTTTTCTCTAACACGGCTTTATTTTCTGATAGGAATGTTCACTGTTTTCCCAAGTTGCTCACAGGTATATGGGGATTGGGGGGTCTGGAGGGAGCTCTCTTAACCAGCCTGCACTGGGCCTGCTGGCCAAAGTGACTGTGGTCTTCCATTCCCCTGGTCCATTTGACCCATCAGGGCACTGGGGGCTGTGATGGCTCTCTTCCTTGTCCCCTGCCATGTCCCCTCCCCCAGATGAGCTCTGTGCTTACTGATCAGTTGCGGGTTTTCCCCCAGACTTGTTTTTTTTTTTTTGCCACATGTACTTGCTTTTGTAATTATGTAACCAAAATAGTACATACACGGATGACATATTAGTGTGAAAAGAGAACTCGTTTTTTTGAAAACTAAGTTATGTGTTTTGGAAAGAGTTGCAAAACAACTTATAAAGAAATTCCTGTTGTTTAAGGTGTGGTTGAGACAATCAGTATAAATAAAGAGGGGATGGTGTAGGTAAAATCTAGAAGGGTTGAGGCCGGGCACGGTGGCTCACGCCTGTTATCTCAGGACTTTGGGAGGCCGAGGAGGGTGGATCACGAGGTCAAGAGATTGAGACCAACCTGGCCAACATGGTGAAACCCCATCTCTACTAAAAATACAAAAATTAGCCGGGCATGGGGGCGGGCACCTGTAGTCCCAGCTACTCAGGAGGCTGAGGCAAGAGAATAGCTTGAACCCAGAAGGCGGAGGTTGCAGTGAGCTGAGATCACGCCATTGCACTCCAGCCTGGGTGACAGAGCGAGTCTCCATCTCAAAAACAAAACAAAACAAAAAAATCTAGAAGGATTTTCTACTTTGTAAGTAGTGAAACTCTCCTTGAAGGAACCTGAAATCTGACATTGCAGGGTGTGTGGATGGGGTGTGGTTGTTGCCGGAAAGACCACAGAACTCTAGTCAGCAGATCCCCACTCTAAAGAGAAGGCCTTGGCCCTTCACAAGATTGAGGAATGAATGTTTTCCGTTCCAGTAAATTGTTTAAGGTGTGTGCGTATAATTTTTTAGTCCTTTCCTACCCCGACTTTTTAAAATAATCGAACAACCATCACATCAGAGAAGGCAGCTCTTCCGTAGAACCAGAGTGACTGCGTTTCTCAGCCTTGGCTCAGTGAAATAACAGTGGGTAGGGTAATCAAGAAGGCTGGGTTTGTATCCCAGCTTGACCCATCTACCAGCTGGTGAGGCCTAGGGGAGGCCAGACATTCAGTTTCCTCCTCTGTAAAATGTAAAATGAGATGGACAACTGTCCAGCACTGCAGCTGGGGAGGATCCAGGGAATAAATACCTATAGTCTGGATGAAAGCACCTTTCACATAGTAGGTGCTCGTTAAATGTCAGCCACAAGTCATAAACTGTTTATATTGTTCTGCCTACTTATAATGTCAGCCAAATGTCATAAACTGTTTATATTGTTCTGCCTACTTATAATGTTTACCTTATTCACTATTATGATTATTAGCTATTGGGGCAAGAAATTGAACGAAAGGTTAGGCTTTGCAGATGATGAACATTTAGTTAGTAATAGTCATAGCACTACATAGAAAAGAAATCTGGGGCTGGGCGCGGTGGCTCACGCCTGTAATCCCAGCACTTTGGGAGGTCGAAGCAGGCAGATCACTTGAGGTCAGGAGTTCAAAACCAGCCTGGGCAACATGGAAAAACCCCATCTCTACTAAAAATACAAAAAATTAGCTGGGCATGGTGGCACAGCCTGTAATCCCAGCTACTCCGGAGGCTGAGGCACGAGAATCACTTGAATACGGGAGTGAGCCAAGATAGTGCTACTGCACTCCAGCCTGAGTGACACAGAACAAGACCCTGTCTCAGGGAAAAAAAAAATCTAAGTAAGGTAATACCATCAGAAAGATATAATAGTGTATTTAATAGAATATATTCTTATAGCACTTTATAGGAACCACTTAAATTTTTGTTTTGTTGTGATAATTTTACATCTTATTAAGGCAACACTTTTGTTTTTTGGAGATGGAGTCTTGCTTTGTGGCGCAGGCTAGAGTGCAGTGGCGTGATCTTGGCTCACTGCAACCTCTGCCTCCTGGGTTCAAGCGATTCTCCTGCCGCAGCCTCCCGAGTAACTCAGACTACAGGTGTGCGCCACCAAAGCCCGGCTAATTTTTGTATTTTTAGTAGAGATGGGGTTTCACCATGTTGGCCAGGCTGGTCTGGAACTCCTGACCTCTAGTGATCCGCCTGCCTTGGCCTCCCAAAGTGCTGAGATTACAGGCATGAGCCACCACCTGGGCCAGGCCGCCAATACCTTTTTAATTTAGCCCCTTGCTACATACGCATTTGAAAAAATAAAATTACTTTTTTGTTGTGACAATGTGTAGTAAGTGCTTGCCAGTTCAGCCTTTTGATGAATTCAAACTGGCCCGCCCAGTTAGTTAAAATTCTTTACCTCATGGAGATTGTTCTGGATTTCCAAAATGATATTTGTTTGCTTGTAACATGATAGTGATAATTACTAGTGATTAAGAAAAGCCTCCTCCTCTGCTCCTCATTCTTTTGTGGCCTCAGGGCCCTTGTTACCCTCCTGCATCCTGGACAAAGAGGTGGGAAATGCGTCTGTGATGGGTGTTACTCTGAAGACCCCTAGGTTATTAAATGGGAGATATTTCAGCTTCATGCTTGAATGGTGGTAATGAGCTCTGTGGCCCATTTCTATTCTCCGGGGAGAACTGAGTAGCTCCAAGAATGTGGGGAGAGCAGGTGTCTGCTTATCTCATCACAGACCCTCCGGTTTCCTGACACTGTACCGAAGGGCACGGATCTCCGCCGGGGAAGGAAATTTGGAAATGGAATGTCTGTGTGTGATCCCCTTCCTGTTTCAGCTGGGACTTTTCTCATTCCCAGCTTATTTTAGGATGATGTGGGCTTCCTTTGAAGCGCCACTTATCAACATTACTAAACTCTAAGATAGGCCCAGTTTGGGGTAGTGGATTTGATCACAAACACTGATGTGTACCTTCTTAGCTCCATGGGTTGAAGAGAGAGACGCTTAACAATTGAACTGCAGTTTCCTGACTTTAAGCCTTTTGTAGTTGTGAAATTTGAAATTTCCTTGGATCTCTGTGATAAGGTGAAATAATTCTGATTAACATCTTTGTTAGATTTATTGTTAAAGGCCACATTCTTCAACTCATAGGACTATACCATCAGCAAAGTCATTGTCTTCTGCTCTAAAAAGATCCAGGAATAACAGAATTTTATGGGGAGAAAGAGACCCCATAGGGGAAATGTCTCAGGTGATTCTTCTATACATTAAAGTTTGGGAAGTACTACGCTGCTCCCAGCTGGAATTAATCTACTCCCCCTAAACTGCCAAACCCTGCTTAACCTCCTTAATTTATCTAACTTGTGTGTAAGTCTTCTATAAGAGGATATGTTCTTTGAGGGCAAGTTCAGCCTGATTTATTTTCATGTTCCCATAGCAACTTTTACACCTGGGCTCAGTAAACGTTTGCACAGAATGAACGAATGAGCAAGTGTATACATCCAAAATATAACCACAAAAAACAGCTGTTTAGCTTGTGGGGGAAGATTACCCCCCCTCACTTAGACACCCGTCGGAAGCATGCTGCTTTGGGGGGAGAATCTGAGACCCAAATGTGACACATAAATTCCACCCCTTCTAGGGTGTGAACGGAGGAGGTGACCACCTGTTTCCTGTAGGCCCCAGCATGAAACAGCAGCTGGGCCAAGGCCAAGGTTTTGCGAGTGATCTAACCCCCTCCCTCCTGCTTTCTGCAAGTGTTCAGCACCCATCTTCCCAACACCAGATACCCAGCTTACCACCAGCCTGCCCATGTTGGAGCCGTGGGTCTGGCTTCCCCTTTCCTGTGGGAGAAGGGCCTTCTGGGGTCTCAGCCCCCACCCCATGCTGCTCAGGTTTCTCTCCTGTATATTCCTCACTCTAGATTGGCCATGAGTGTGCATCACTTTAATGTCACCATCCCAAAACTCCCCTGACTCTGTCTCCCTCTCTAGTTACCACTCCATTTTCCTGGTCCCTTTCACCGAATAAGGTTGAATGAATAAATAAGTTCACTTTAAAGTCTAGCCATCTTATTTGAGCTCTTCATATTGAGGGAGTAGGATGGCTCTAGAAAAGCATGAACCAACACGGATGCTTCAGGATCTGACAGTTCTGGAGCCAGGTGCTTCTTTTGTGGTCTTAGGCAGGGCTGCGTTTCCTCATCTTTTAGGGTACACGTCCAACTCCCTGGGTGATCATGCTATTAAATAAGGGAACATGTAAGATATAGGGCACACAGCAAAAGATTGAAAATTAATTCCTTCCGTAGCCATCTTTATGGATGCCAGAGGAAAATCCCCTCTTAGTTCAGAGCTGGACACTTCTGAATTTAATAAGTAAGACCTGGGAGAGGATAATTTCGGCAGAGTCAGTTGCTATTGGCTCCTTGCCCGCAGCAAATGCTGACTGTTGGTTCCTCTGCAGAGGATCAAAGGTCATCGTGCAAGGTCCCGATGGGGCCAAGAAGTCCTTGTGCCAAATGTAAAGTGGTTACCCTTCAAGGGCACCCTCTCCAATGGCGATGGGTGCTTAGGTACTTTCGGATTGTCAAGGAAGACTTTGAGACTCTTGGTCAGCTGTACCTCTAAGTGGACAGCTGGGTACATTTCCTGAGCAGGAGTATGAGGCCTCAGTGATCATAGATAAATGGACACAGAGGCAGTCAGGCAAATAAACCCACATTTGTCACAGCTGTCAGAATGATCATGTTATGTTCTCTGCCCTTTGGAAAATGTTTTGGAGGTAAGCTCCCTCAGTTAATGACCTCTGTTACATTTTCCTAGTATTTAGAGTCTCAAACACATTTAGAAAATAGAGAAAGGCCACCAAACTTTGGCGGGGTGCAGTGACTCACACCTGTAATCCCAGCACTTTGGGAGGCCGAGGCAGGCGGATCACTTGAGGTCAGGAGTTCGAGGCCAGCCTGGCCAACATGGTGAAACCCCATCTCAACTAAAAATACAAAAAATTAGCTGAGCATGGTGGCACACAAGTGTAGTCCGAGCTACTCCAGAGGCTGAGGCAGGAGAATCGCTTGAACCTAGGAGGCAGAGGTTGCAGTGAGCGGAGATCGTGCCACTGCACTCCAGCCTGGGCGACAGAGGGAGACTCCATCTCAAAGAAGAAGGAGAAAGTTAGTAGCTGAGGTTCCAGCACAGGAACCCATATCTGAGGCAGGGCTGCGCTCTTTGGACTCTGCGCTCCTAGCCTAAGGAGCCTGTCGAATGCACCCTGCACCCTCCACCCTCCAGTGTGAATGTATTGGTTTTCCTGCCTTTGTGTCTTTTAATGTTAGAGAGCTGAGTGTTCTTCCTTAAAGACTCGTTCAGGTGCTTGGTGTATGTAACAGGGCAGTTTATTTGGCCTAAATGAGAATATTGAGGCAGGTAGGCTTTCTTGTTGTTTTGTTTAGCAACTAGATGGAAGGCATGAGAGCAATCCAATAAAATTGGGAATCCGGGAGCCATAAAATATAGTTGATTCCATCTACAAATAGGGCAATTGCTTCAGAGAGAATAACAGCTCAGGACACTCACACAACCAGTGATTGAGCTCCCGTTGTCTACTAGATCTTGCAGTGCTATGGAGAGTGTAAAGATGATTAAGCTACTCTCCTTAGCCTCAAGCAACTTAGCATGGCAGATGGGAGATAACCTGAAAGCTGCTGATTAGAATAGACCAAGAGTGATAAGGACCTTCTGTGCTCTGGGTAGGGAGGCATGGGAGATCTTATAGGAACAGAGGCGTTCCGGCATTTGCCTGGGATGTGTCAAGCATTACAGATGTCTCTGTTGACATAGATTTCTCTGCTGAGCTTTGCAGTGAAGAAGTCCTGAGTCTTCTCAGAATTAGATAACCACATCCATGTTTCTACAACTAACTGTTGCACCTGCTACCTGAAGGATGACCAAACCAGAGCTTCTCTGTGTACAGACTGCTGACTTTAAGAGTTTATTCTCTAAGGTGATCTAGAGTTTCCTGTCATTTGACTCTGTTCCCTGTATTTATTGCTTTCTTCCTTTTCTCTGAAATGCTATTCCTTTACCTTCTCTTACCTTTTTAAACCCTAAAAGCAAGAAAGAACTTTACTTATAGGAAGAAAGAGCTAGAGGAAGGAAGTGATGTTTGGAGGGTAAATAAATGGAAGTTTGGGCAGCTTTAACGTTCCAGGCTTTGAGCTAGGCATTGAGCGTTAACTCTTACAATAACCTGGGGAGAATAGACAGTCATTTCTTTTTGTAGATAAGAACAGAGAATCAGAGGACAGTTCATTATTTCGTACAAAACAAAAAGTGCATTAAGACTAGTAATGTTTTAAAAAATCATTTGCTGTCTTTTAAACTCACAGCATAGAACGGCACTTCCCAAACTCCAATGTGCATGGGAATTGCTTGGGATCCTGTCAAATGTAGGTTCTGATTCAGCAAGTCCAGCACAGATGGGTCCCCAGGACACTGCATTTCCGTCACACTCCCAGGTGATTCTGCTGCTGCTGATTCAGGGAGCACACTTTGAATACCAAGGACATGGACTGTGCATTTGCTAGCATTTTTTTTTTTTGAAGCTACAAGAGGGAAAAATATTTAGATCAAGGAAATCAGAAGGTTTCTGGCTCTAATCAGCCCATCACAAAAATGAGATGAGTATTTCCCTGTTGTCATAACCCCTTAGGGTGAGGAGTGTATCCTTGGTGACAGACCAAAATCAAATCATTTTTACAAATATTTATGGAGTATGGTTTGAGAGGATGAAGAAGAAAAGCATGTGGAAACATGGGGCAAATTGGGACTTTTTATATCTCTCATTTAAATAAAGACTTGTTGGCTGGGCAGCTCACGCCCATAATCCCAGCACTTTGAAAGGCCAAGGCAGGAGGATCACTTGAGTGGGAGGAGTTTGAGACCAGCCTGGGCAATGTGGTGAAATGTCATTTCTACAAAAAAAAACTATAAAAAAAACTACAAAACAACAACAACAACAAAAAAAAACTAGCCAGGTATGATGGTGTGCGCCTGTAGTCCCAGCTACTTGCAAGGTTCAGGTGGGAGGATTGCTTGCGCCCAGGAGGTTGTGGCTGCAGTGACAGCCATGATTACATCACTGTCCTCCAGCTGGGGCAACAGAGTGAGACCCTGTCTCAAAAAAAAAAAAAATTAAAAATAAATAAATAAATAAGGACTGGTCTATATTTTATCCTTCCTACTGGTCTCAAAGGAAGCCACCTAGAGTGGGTCATTGTTTGACATTTTGATGAATTTATACTTTGATACATAAATTTTGAACCAGACCATATCTTGAAGTGTGAGAGAAGTAATTATATGAATTGCCTTTGGAGGCTAATTCTACCTGTTCTCTCAGTGTGGCCATTACTCAAACATTTTGGGAAAGCACTTCTAGAACCACCGTCAGAAATTTAGGCGGTACTAGGATCAACAAACATTACTTCAGAAGGCACTGAAGGGTTTTTTTGTTGTTGTTGGTTTTTTTTTTTTTGAGACAGGATCTTGCTCTGTCGCCCAGGCTGGAGTGTGCAGTGGTGTGATCTCAGCTCACTGCAACCTCCGCCTCCTGGGTTCAAGTGATTCTCCTCCCTCAGCCCCTCGAGTAGCTGGGATTACAGGCGTGTGCCACCACACCCAGATAATTTTGTATTTTTAGTAGTGACGGGGTTTCACCATGTTGGCCAGGCTGGTCTCGAACTCCTGACCTCAAGTGACCCACCCGCCTCGACCTCCCAAAGTGCGGGGATTACAAGCGTAAACCCACTGTGCCCGGCCTATGATAGGTTTTCACCTACTGAGAATGGACTTAATTTTTCCTTTTAGGAATAAGAGTCAGAGCTAAGGCCCAAGACTAAGGCAAGTGACAAAGCCACTCAATACTATATGTGATCAGGAGAGTTTGTGAAGGACAAGGACTCCTTTTATTGAGTCACTTAGAAACCTAATTCTGAATGCTGTTCTTAAAGATGAGTTCCCAAGAGGTTTTGACCAAACATAAAATTATTAAGGCCTTTGATGCCTAAAATGACAACAACCCTTTGGCTGGAGAAATTTCCAGGTTGTGGCAAAATCCATCTTTAAAAATTTTTTTTTAATTTTGTAATTTTAATTTCTTATACAGATGGGGTCTCACTATGTTGCCCAGGCTGGTCTCGAACCTCTGGCCTCAAGCATTCCTCCTGCTTTGGCCTCCCAAAACACTGGAATTGTAGATGTGAGCTACCATGCCCCGCGCCACCTTATTTTTTACTGACCTTATGTATGATATGTATGGGTTAGTGAAAGGCAGGATTGAGGCCGGGTGTGGTGGCTCATGCCTGTAATCCCACCACTTTGGGAGGCCAAGGCAGGTGGATCACCTGAGGTCAGGAGTTCGAGACCAGCCTGGTTAACATGGCAAAACCCCATCTCTACTAAAAATACAAAAATTAGCTGGATGCGGTAGCATACACCTGTAGTCCCAGCTACTTGGAAGGCTGAGGCAGAAGAATCGCTTGAACTCAGGAGGCAGAGGTTGCAGTGAGCTGAGATTGTGCAACTGCACTCCAGCCTGGGCAACAGAGAAAGACTCCATCTCAAAAAACAAACAAACAAACAAACAAAACCTAATTCTGAATGCTGTTCTTAAAGATGAGTTCCCAAGAGGTTTTGACCAACAATACAATTATTGAGGCCATTGATGCCTGAGATGACAACAACCCTTTGGCTGGAGAAATTTCCAGGTTATAGCAAAATCTATCTTTAAATTTTTTTTTGAATTTTTTATTTTAATTTTTTGTAGAGGTGGGGTCTTACTATGTTGCCCAGGCTTGTCTCGAACTCCTGGCTGCAAGTATTTCTCCTGCTTTGGCCTCCCAAAGCACTGGAATTATAGGTGTGAGCCACCATGCCCAGCCTCATCTTATTTTTTACTGACCTATGTATGTGTTAATAAAAGGCAGGATTGAGAAACTTGTTCCTTACCTTTTTTTTTTTTTTTTTTTGAGACAGAGTCTCACTCTGCTTCCTAGGCTAGAGTGCAGTGGTTATGGTCATAGTTCACTGAATCCTTGAACTCCTAAGCTCAAGGGATCCTCCTGCCTCAGCCTCCCAAGTAGCTGGGACTACAGGCATGCACCACCACACCTGGCTAATTATTTAAATTTTTTTGAAGGGATGGAGTCTCGCTATGTTGCCCAGGCTGGTCTCAAACTGCTGGGCTCAAGCGATTCTCCTGTCTTGGCCTCCCAAAGTGTTGGGCTTACAGGAATGAGCCACTGCACCCGGATGCTCCTTAACTTTTCTCCTCTTTCTCTTTGCTTTCTGTTAAAAACCAAATGACACAACCACCATCATCAGCAGCAGGCCCAAAGCTCAGATCTGTTATTCCAGTAGCTGCAGTGGAAGAGCCGAGTGGGTGGACAGGCAGTGGGGGAAGCCTGAGCTTTGCTGCCTCTGCCTTTGGAGGGCCGTGGGTGTGATTCTGTAAGCAGTGGAGAGCCACCCAAGGCACAATGGGATCAGACCCGCTGTAGGAGGTTGGCTAAGCAGTGGTGCTAAAAGCAGTTTGAATTGGAGAGACAGAAGCTGGCAGGCCCGAGGGCTTTCATAGTCAGAACCTGAATGGTGGCTTTGGGAGTGAAGTGAGTGGACTATGGAGGGGATCAGAGAAATTTTAGTGCCAGAGATGCTCAGACTCAGGATGAGATGAGGGGCAGGGTGGCATTGACCAGGAGTTAAGGTCTGGTGCACGGTGAGGTCACCAACAAAGCCTGGGAGCATGGAGGAAAAGGAGAGTTCTGAGGAGGCAGTGGCCTGCGGGCCAGGACAGGGTCTGAGCTGTGCAGCAGTGTCGGGACTGTCGTGTAGCGCTCGTCTTTTCCTAGCACGTGGACGTACTCTTTAGGGTCCAGAAGGGCTCATGTCTTGTGAAATCAGGTTGCTGTGTTTGCTGGCTCTGGAAGTAAAGGGCGTTTTGTGTCATTAGGGAGATTGGTGGGTCAAGGTAGTGACCTTTGTCTGTGCTGTCCTCGGGAGCACCCAGCTGTGGCAGCGTGCCTGGAATCCGAGTCCAGGAGACCTGGCCTGTCCCCGTGCCCCACCTTCCCAAAGCTGCTGATTCCTTACTCTTTGCCTTTGACCTCTGTGCTGCGTGTATGTTTCAGGCTCAAGGGCGAATCCTCAGGGTGCAGGCCAATGAAATGCTCAAGTGCTCTCAGTCCTCCTTATTTTCCCTTTCTTATACACATGTTTCTGGCTCCAGGTGTAGTTGGTAACTTTTTATCTCAGTGATGATGCTGCCTTAAATACATGTGTATTTAGGAACATGCTGGTAGGTGGCACAGCATTGCAATATACCAAGCAGGTTCAGAATGCCATGGCCAAAGGCCTCCAAAGGTTTCCATAATGATGAGAAGTAATGAGAGGCAGAATCTGGTGACTTGGGTTCTAAGCTTTATGTGTTGATAGCAGAGCCAGCTGGTCATTTTTTTTGTATTAGATTTTGTGCTAAGTACTTTATTTGCATTATTTTAATTTCCTCTTAAAACCACCTTGTAAGTAGGTACTGCCCTACAAATGAGACAGTGGAGGCAGGTTGGGGCTATGTAGCTCATTGTAGGTCACATAGAAAGTGAGTAGTGTGGCTGGGGCTGGTACCCGGATGTTTCTGACTCCAAAGCCTGTGCTGTAGACCAGTGCTTCTCAAACTGTCCAGTGCCTGTGAATGGCCTGGAGCCTTGTTAAAAATGTGGGCGGTGATGCAGTGGGTCAGGCAGTGCTGGGGCTCCATGATCTTGCTGCTGGCCCATAGGCCCCCTGAGTCACAAGTGGCCTTTTTCATCCTCTTCTTCCTCCCAGCCTTTCTCCACCTCCTCTTTCAGGTCCTCCCCTCTGTTCCTGCTCCCACCCCACCCCCACCTTTCCTCCCATGTGGCTGACAGTCTGCTCGGGTAGCCCAGGCTGCTTGCCTGTTGGTGACTCTGTTGATGGATGGCTTGCCAAAAGATGTGGTGGCCCCCATTCAGCCCAGTGGCATGGGGTGGGCTTAGACTGGGGCCCTTTAGGGTCCACAACCTCTTTGGGCTCAGGGAGGAAATAGGTCACTTCTGAAGGTGACCTCTTCCAGGGGAGGTAGAGGGAAGTTAACTCTCCCTGGTCATTTAATTAAATGTAAATGCCTTTGGTCTAAAAGTTTTAAGCAATTTTACAAGATGAATTATATTCCATGGAGCAGGTGAAGTATTTCAAGAAGCTTCAGACAGGATTAAGCAAGCGGGGCTGACGCAGCTGGCTTGGCCTTGCCACATCTGTCCTCAGCGACTCAATTCTTTACAGGGTGATGAGTCAGCAGCCACTGGGCAGTAGCTCCATTTAAGAACGCACGGTGTGTGTGATATGTTTTTAAAAGATGACAGTTAAAATGATAAAGACTGGTTATTCGGATGATTCACTTTGGAAAGGCCCCTGGTTCTTCCCAGATGGAGGGGGGTGGCCTTGTGGTGTGGTGTCTGGGAGAGAGAACCCTCCCCTCAGGCAGGCTGTGGCCTCTGTGTGTTACGATGGAAACTACCTGTCCAGCCTCCAGCAGGACAGGAGGCCACTTAACGTTGGAGGCACTTGGCTGTCTCACCAACCAGGGATGTGGGAACTCGTGTTTCAGGTCTGTTTTAGGGAGAGGTCAGATCTCGGGCTTCAGAGTTAGGTACCGCTATAGCTAAGTATCCAGCTCCAGAATTTCTTTTTTCTTTTTCTTTTCTTTTTTTTTTTTTTTTTTTTTGAGACGGAGTCATTCAGGCTGGAGTGCAGTGGCGTGATCTTGGCTCACTGCAAGCTCCACCTCTGGGTTAACGCCATTTTCCTGCCTCAGCCTCCCAAGTAGCTGGGACTACAGGTGCCCGCCACCACACCTGGCTAATTTTTTGTATTTTTTTTAGTAGAGACTGGGTTTCACCGTGTTAGCCAGCATGGTCTCCATCTCCTGACCTTGTGATCCGCCCGCCTCAGCCTCCCAAAGTGCTGGGATTACAGGTGTGAGCCACCGCGCCTGGCCATCTAGCTCCAGAATTTCTTAGCTGTGTAACTTTAAGTGGCTTAATCTCCTTAATTCGAGCCTTAGTTTTCTCATCTATAAAATGGGGGTGATGATAGTGCTTATGCACAGGGCTGTTGAAAGAATGAAGATGAATGAATGAATGAATGTGTACACAGAGCTTAGGCCTAGGCCTGGCTCATGAGTGCCCAGCACTTGTGAGCTCTCATGATTAACTCATTTCCCTCCTGCCCCAAGGACCCTCTTGGGAAATAAAACCTCCCTGAAGATACTTTGGGATCCTGTAAAATCCGTGTGTGTTACTTTCAGGGTCTGCTGTGGTGTAATGGAAGAAGTGCAGACTTCGGAGCTAGACACCACCTGGCTTTGAGTCCTAGGTCTACCCACCTATGGCAGGTTTCTCTTAGCCTCAGTTTCCCCATCTTTAAAATGAGGATGGGCAATGAAGAATTGCCTCAGAGGGTTGTTGCGAGGATTAGATGAAATTACACAAGGTACTTCTTGGAGTTCCTGGCTCACTGTAGGCATTTAATCCATGCAACTTATTATTTAGCTGACAAAATGCCTATAATTAGATGTTAGGGAAATTGCTGTCATCGATGGGGAAAGTTCCCCAATGGAGTTGGAACTGTTGACTCTGCTGTCCTGGCTTCTCCAAGTCCTGCCATCATTTTCTTCTGCCCCTTCCCAGAGCACCTGCTGTGGGGGCTGGTGGGAGCTCCAGGTTCCACAGCTGAGCCGTGGGGAGCAGAAGACAGAGCTTTCCTGCTAATAAGGATCATAAATGCCAGCCCTGGGCTGGGCAAGCATCCTGCTGCCGGTTCATATCACTGGATTTAGCATCCTGTGGCGGTGGTTTAATTGGAAGAGATAATTGGTGCCGTGTCCTGGGGAGTATGATCTGGGAGTCGGATGATAAGACTGACGCGGCTGATGTCTTGGAGCTCAGACTCGCAGCCTGGGATGGGAAGCACCCGTTCTCAGCAAACTTTTGGTTTCTGTTTGTATTACTGACCTGCTCTGTACTTTTCATCACTGCTAGTTTGTTGCTGTTGTTGTTGTTTTTGAGACAGGGTCTCCCTCTGTCGCCCAGGCTGGAGTGCAATGGCACGATCTCAGCTCACTGCAACCTCCATCTCCCGGGTTCAAGCGATATTCCTGCCTCAGCCACCTGAGTAGCTGGGATTACAGGCACATGCCACCACGCCTGGCTAACTTTTGTATTTTTAGTAGAGACGGGGTTTCACCTTGTTGGCCAGGCTGGTCTCTAACTCCTGACCTCAAGTAATCTGCCCACCTCGGCCTCCCAAAGTGTTGGGATTACAGGCGTGAGCCACCGCGACCAGTCACTGCTAGTTTTCTATCTGTAAGAGTTTTTATGGGAAATAGCAATGCCACAGTTTTCTTTCTAAAGCGCAGTTCACACTGTCTCCCTGTGCTTCTCTCCCGGACTCCCTATGGCCTGTGGAAGCTCAGGCTGACCTTTAAGGCCTTTCACCCTCCTAGCTGAGCTTCCTCTTCTTACATTACCCTTTCAGTGATCCCTGGGGGACCCCCCCGCCACCCCTGGCCATCTCCCAGGGCTGCTTAGTCTATGATCCCATCGTGTCTGCTCCATGAATTCTTCCTGACACCCTCCTCTACTTTCCCGGTCTTATATTGTCTCTGTCTCCTTGGCTGTGGCCCTGTGCTGTGGAGGAAGAGTTGAGAACAAGGGATTTGAAATCTGATAGCCTTAGTTTGAATCCTGGCCTCAACATATTTTCCCTTTGTGACTGTGGATCAGCAACTTAACCTGCGTGAGCCTTGGTCTCCTCCTTTATAGGATAGATGCCTGCCTTGAGGGTTGTGGAGAAGGTGAAATGTTGAGTACCTAATGCATGAAGTGGCACTCAGTCAGTGTTAGCGAATGTAACGATTATGCCCCAGTTTCTCACTGATAGCCAGCCCTCATCTTTTGAGTACCAACTTGATAACTAAATTGAACCAGGTTTTTAAACACTGTAAGATGATTCCAGTTTTTTAGATAGCTCAGAGGGCCGTGGGGACACCAGGGTCAGAGGCCAGAGGTACCAGGTTGCAGGGGAGGATAAGCACAGCCTTACCTTCTCTTTTGAGACCCTGGTGGCAGCCTTGGAAGCTTTTCTCGGTGCAAACTTTGGTGTGAGCCACACAGCTGCTGCCTGCTAAATGGGAATGTGCACAGGACTCGAGGAATGAAGCAATGTTGCGTGACAGGTTCGTGTCCAACCCCTGTGTGCAGGCTGGGCAGGGGCTGGGTGCGGGCTGCTGACTCACCAGCTGCAGTGAACAGGACCTGCCTTGGGAGACCTTTCCTAGTGTTGGGGCAGCGTATATCAGGCTCTGTGACCGTCACCATGGAGATGTGATTCTTGTTGCCTTTTCCTTTTGTCTGTTGCAGTAGAGGCTGGTGTGATGCCCCTAGGAAGAAACCTGGAACCCAGAGTCCCAGACAGAACTTGTAGCGGCCTGCTGATTGGTCCTCACTGCACCGTAATCATTTCTAACCACCCCATTCCCATGACCGGGTGCACCTCATTATCTCCTCCCAAGGGCAGGTTGAATGCCTCCCCACAAACCGCCTTGTTGAATGGAACCTTACTAGATCCTCATCCCACACTCTGCCCCCCTCCAGCCCAGTGGATAAGATTGCTATTTCTGGATTTAATGTTTCTCAAAATCCTTTTGACTGGAGCTACTTTGACTATAGGATCATGTTTGGTTTTTTTATTTTTATTTTGAAGCATGGGTCTCTCTAGGTTACCCAGGCTGGTCTTGAACTCCTGGGCTCAAGCTATCCTCCCACCTCAGCTTCCCGAGTAGCTGAGATTACAGATGCGTGCCACCATGCCTGGCTTATAGGATCATTTTTTAGCTCAAGCATCCTGGCAGAAAAGCTGGTGGTGGACTGGCCCAGGCCAGTGCTTTGTGTGTAGAATGTTCCCAAGAAAAGAACTGACGAAACACTAGAATGGCTCAGTGTGGTGAGAAATAATTCCACTCCTGGAAGACCTGCATACCTGCAACTTCCTGTCCCATAGCCCTTTGTATTCACTGTGCTGTTGACTTTGTCTTGTCCTTTCATTTATCCTCATTATGACCATCCTTTTCAACATGGTGCCATGGTTAAAAGACCTGGCCCTAGAGTTCTATTTGGGTTTGATTTGCAGCCTCTCCCTTTCAGTCTTCATCAGACTCTGCACAGTTTCCTGCTGCGTATAGTAGGTGTTCATTATGCTTAAACTAAAGTCACAGCCTACAGAAAATTTGACCCTGGAGCCAACTGAGAGGGGAGGGAGAGAGGCAGTGGGGACCTTGCATGGATATAATCCTGATGTCTGGATTTCTTGGATGAAAACAGTGTTGTGGATGAGGGTTTGCTCATGAAAATGGATGTGTGGCCTTCGTATCTTGCAGCAGTGCCTGGGAGTCTGTTCATCTTGAAATAAAAGGAACTAGATGCATTTAAAGAAGGCAGCATAGCTACACTTGCAGCTGGAACATTTAAGCCTCTTTCACAATTCTCAAAGCTGCAGTTTTTGTGTGTGGGGTCAGGGGGAGTGCCTTAACTGGCCTTCTCTCTCAGAGCCGGGACTTGGCTGCTTCTGGGGGTAGAGTTGCCTCGCCAGCAGGTGGTCTATACCAGCTGAACTTCGCCATGAAAGCCGCCTGTGTTGGAGAACTGAACGTCTGTGTCCGAAAATGCTGGTCTGTCTAAAGTTTCAGCATTTGCGATCCTTAGGTTCCCAACCATGCACTCATTTCCCTGGACTGTAATTCTGCCTTCACGAATGAGCCAGAATTATTTTGATAGGTACAGTGCCTAGATTAGAAGGATTCAGCTGCTTGCCAAGAAACCCTTGCTCACGTGGAGGGCTTTACATTTTATATATTCTCCTGCCATGTATTTTCGATGATCCTTAGAAGAATCTTACAAAGCAGGTACAGAGTTCCATTTTACAGATGAGCCCACCAAGGCTCAGAGAGATCAAGTGTCCTTTCCAAGGTCATGTAACTAAAGAGAGGCAGAGGCAGGACACGAATCTGATCCTGGCAGACGAGGATGACAATCATTTGCACAATGCCTTCTCATTCAGTCTCCTTTCTGGCTCCCGAGCCCAGAATCCTGCCCAGAAAACCATTTCTCTGAAAAGAAAAGATTTGCATTTTTGGATCTGAAATCCACACACCCAGGCCCTGACAGATTTGGGGCACGTGTTGTTACAGCCGCTGAGGTCTGTGGCTAGGGAAATATGGGCATGTCATGTAGAACATTTATCTATGAAACAAGGACAATGGGTGTCAGGAAATTTCCAGGCATTTGCCAGACATCTGCCATTTTAATGTGGAGGGTAGCAAACAGCTTTGTGTGCAGACCTCATTCATTCCTGTGCCCACACCTCCCCGCTCTGCGCAAATCCACCTCTTTGAGTCAGCTTCAGTTTCGCATTTCCAGCCGTCTGGTGGTTGGTCTCCATTCATCTGAACAGACATTTATTTCAGCGCCATCAACGTGGCTGGCATGGTGCAGGGATATTTGGCCTTCCCCCTGGCACCTGAGACTCAGCCAAACCAAACTGCCTTCTCCTGATTTCCCTATTATTTGTTGGTGGGACTCCCAGGTGGAGGTACCTGGGCTTCAAGTGTCAGACTGCCCTGGGATCCTTAGCCCTGCCTCTGTCATTACTCTGGAGCTGCCAGGCTGAATAGACACTGCCCCTGTGATTCCCCTGTACCCATCCCTTTCTTTTCTTTTTCTGTGTCACGTCGTCAACCTGAGTCTAGGCTGCTTTTGCTCACCAGTTCTCTGAATGTCTGGTCCATGCCTCCCAGTTTCTCTTTTTACAACCTGGGCTGAGGATCTTCTGAAAACGTCCCTTCCCTGCTCAGAAAGCGGGTGCACTCTTGCTGTCTGAACGCGGAGCCATTTGGCTTAGAGCTCTCTGATAGTGCAAAAATAATAAATTGTGGGCTTGCTGCTTTCTCCTCCAGACTATGGTCCACTCATTGAGGACGGGGGCTGTCTTCTTCTTCTGTCCTATATGAGTCTTCGCACAGTGACAAACCTTTTCAAATAGGAGCGTGAGTGAAATGGGGGTTGAAAGTAAGCCTCTCTCCTTTGTTTTAAGCTGGTGTAACAGCACATATCAGTTCACCCACACGAAGCAATGGTTGATAGCTTCGATGAGCTGACAAGAAAGGAGGCAGTTTCCTTACTTTCCCAGAGAAAGGCAAGATGGCAGTGAGTTTTAGAAGGTGCTTAGCGCGGGCCCCGCAAGGTGGCTTCCGCCTGTAATCCTAGCGCTTTGGGAGGCCAAGGTAGGCGGATCACCGGAGGTCAGGAGTTTGAGACCAGCCTGGCTGGCCAACATAGTGAAACCCGGTCTCTACTAAAAATACAAAAATTAGTCGGGTGTGGTGGTGTGGGCCTGTAGTCCCGGGTACCCAGGAGGCTGAGGCAGGAGAATCGCTTGAACCCAGGAGGCAGAGGTTGCAGTAAGCTGAGATCACGCCACTGCACACTCACTCCAGCCTGGGTGACAGAGCAAGACCCTGTCTCAAAACAAACAAACAAACAAACAAAAAAACACAGAAGATCCTTCAGTGTTTCAGGTGCTCTTTGGTTTTTTTAGGCCAAATGCTTAAATTGGACAGTTAATTTTATGCATTTCTCTCTTTTGGGCCAATTTGTGAAGCCAGCAAGTGTTTATTGGACAGATGAGTTGTTTGGGGGAAGGGCCAGGGCATCTAACTCTTTTAGGTGTTGGATTTGGTTATGTTTGGTAAAAGAAAATGTGGCATTCACAAAATTGAGCCTAACCACATTTTCCAATAATTTTTGCCTTTCCTGTTGCTGCTCACAAAGGTGGTTGATCAATACCTTACTGGAAAAAATGTCTGAGGACATATGACAGGTTCACTATAGACATATGAGCACAGATACATGCAGTTTAGTTGTGTGTAGTCTTCGTAAGAAGGATAAACGTGTGTGAGTTCAGAAGACAAGAAATAGGGTTGAAGTTAAACAATTTTCAGTAGGGTAACCATACTCTGAAACAGCCAGTCAAGGCTTGTGGGAGACTTCTTATTGGAATCCTTCAGTCAAGACAGTTCTTTGGATTAGGAACCACTTGAGTGCTTCCTCTCATCGCAGTGACCTGCCCTCCTGGAAGGTGTGAGAAAGGCAAGCAGGCTGGATCGTTCTTACTGTTACACAGGGATGGGCTCGTCTGTGCTCTGACTTTGCCTTGGGCCCCATCTCCCTACTTTCCGGGTCAGGGAAGATTGTCTTTTGTGTGTTTGTGTGTATATTTAAGGTGTACAACATGAAGTTTTGATACACTTAGTGAAATGGTTACTATAGTCAAGCAAGTTAACATATCTATCATTTCTCATAATTACTTTTTTTTTTTTTTTTGAGATGGACTCCCTGCTCTGCCGCCCAGGCTAGAGTGCGGTGGTGTGATCTCAGCTCATTGTAACCTCCACCACCCGGGCTCAAGCGATTCTCCTGCCTCAGCCTCCCGAGTAATGGATTACAAGAGTATGCCACCAAGACCAGCTAATTGTTGTGGTTTTAGTAGAGACAGGGTTTCACCATGGTGGCCAGGCTGGTCTCGAACTCCTGACCTCAAGTGATCCGCCTGCCTTGGCCTCCAAGAGTGCTGGGATTATGGGAATGAGCCACTGCACCCAGTCATTTACCTTTTTTTTTTTTTTTTTTTTCAATATGGCAAGAGCTCCTAAAATCTACTGTCTTAGCAGAAATCCCCGGTATAATTCAATGTTGTTGACTAGGAGTCCTCATGCACATTAGGTCTCTGGGCGATGCATCTTGCATATCTGCCTCTCTGCGTCCTTTCACCTACATCTCCCGTTTCCTCCTTCACCTCCCCCACCCCTGCTCCTTGGTAACCACTGTTTTATTTTCTATGTCTTCTACTTAAAAAAATATATTCCACCTATAAGTAAGATCACATACAAGCAAGGTCATGCAGTGTTTGTCTTTCTGTGTCTGGTTTCTTTCACTTAGCATAACGTCCTCCAGGTTCATCCGAATTGTGGCAGAAGGCAGGATCTCTGTCTTTTTTAAGGCTGAAAAATATATTCATATTCTCTCTCTCTCTCTCTCTCTCTCTCTCTCTCTCTCTTTCTCTTTCTGTCTCTCACACTTTCCTTACTCATTCATCAGGGAGGTTCTTAACTGAGAGAGTGAAGCCACCTCGTGCTGGTGCATCACTGAGAGAAAGTAAACCAAACCCAAACCTGAAACGGATGGTTCAAGTGCCCAGAACCCACTTTCTGGTTGAATCTTTCTGACTCTCTAAGGGTTAGTAAGGATTTCTCTGGGGAAAGAGATAGGGGCTGGGCGTGGTGGATCACGCCTGTAATCCCAGCACCTTGGGAGGCTGAGGTGGGCAGATCACTTGAGGTCAGGAGTTCAAGACCAGCCTGGCCAACGTGGTGAAACCCCATCTCTACTAAAAATACAAAAACTAGCTAGGTGTGGTGGCGTGCACCTGTAATCCCAGCTACTTACTCGGGAGGCTGAGGCAGGAGAATCACTTGAACCCGGGAGGTGGAGGTTGCAGTGAGCCGAGATGGCGCCACTGCACTGTAGCCTGGGCGACAGGGCGAGACGCCGTCTCAAAAAAAAACACACAAACAGAAAGTGATAGGAACCCTTCCATCACATCAAGCCTGGTGCTTCTATATGATTGGAATGACGGTACTGATGCCCCCCTGGCAGACACCCCTTCTGCCCATGGGCCTGGCTTTCCAGTCCCTGTTTAAGGAAGACTGCCCCCACCAAGTGCCTCTCCCTCCTGGGGAGCTGGCCCCTTCCACTTCACTTCTGAGACCATGGCTGGGGCTAATGAGACTGTCATTAACAGTGCCTCAAACAAAACCTAAGACCATTAAATATTTAATTGAATTATTTCACTGCAGGGATATTGTGACTCATGTTGAAAACTAATCACCTGCTTTTTTATCTGGCCCTTAATAGATCTCTGGTTCAACATTTAAAGGTCAGAGTCATGGCGATCGCAGTATTGTCATTGTTTTCTTTCCTTTGTGGGTTTGGGTGGAGGAAAGGGGAAGAGTGGGATGCGTGGGAAGGAAGAGGAGTCATTGGAAGTTGCCTTTATCAGTGGAGGGATTCCAGGGGATCATAGGAGCTATGCTTCTTCTTTTCTGGCCTTCCCTGGTCTTGATTCCCCAGAGGGATACCAGGAAGGGGCTGGAATGTGGGTGCGGATGACCTCTGAACTAGGCGATCCTGTTTAATGCAAGAAACTGTATTCCCTGTCCAGCCATTCACGATACTGTTTCATTCGCTCTATCAGAGCTCAGTGAGGCGTTGAAATTCCATTGTTCTTCTTTTTAATTTAATTTTTTATGCAGGAAGATGAAAAGATGTTTTAAAATCCTCATGGTTTTTTCTTCCTCTTCTCAGTGTTATTACTATGTTAACAAGATAGCCATTCCTGCCACTAACATCTGTGCTCAGCCTGTGGTCAGGTCCTGACTTGAGTATTCTAGCAATAAAATCGGTGTACTTAATTAGCTTTTTAGGTGACTCCAGCCTGTGCTGCTGCTTGTACCATTTGATGGGAATTTCAGGAGGAAGGAATTAAGGCCTGTGGACGTGAAGACATGTGGCTGACACAGGGTTTATGTTGGTAAAAGATCAACTGTGAAATATTTGGAGTGTCCAATGCATGCCGTGACCTTGCTAGACACCCTTGGGAGTTGTAGAGCCAGTCCGATGCCCTCCACAAATACCTTGGATTTTCTAGAGAGGAGCAAAAGCTATTTCTCTTAGAAGATTTTAGTGTAGCATTTTCCCACAGACAAAAATGCCCAAGTTTGGGTATGAAGCCCCAACTGCTAACTTTCTTTGCATCTGTTGAAGATGATGAACAGGAGAAAGTTAAAGCAGTGGATAGAAAAACAGTTGTGCTGGCTGGGCGCAGTGGCTCATTCCTGTAATCCCAGCACTTTGAGAGGCTGAGGCGGGCGGGTCACCTGAGGCTGGGAGTTCTGAGACCAGCCTGACCAATATGGAGAAACCCCATCTCTACTAAAAATAAAAAATTAGCCAGGCATGGTGGCGCATGCCTGTAATCTCAGCAACTCAGGAGGCTGAGGTAGGCTTTGAACCCGGGAGGCGGAGGTTGCAGTGAGCCAAGATCGCGCCATTGCACTCCAGCCCGGCCAAGAAGAGCAAAACTCTGTCTTCAAAAAGAAAAGAAAAGAAAAGAAAAGAAAAGAAAAACAGTTGTGCTGTAATTTTTGTACTGTTATTGCCTGGCTGAAAACCAGGCCTGCCGCTGATGGCCCTAAAGGGAACCGCATCTGCCAGGACGACAGAGCGTCAGCAATGTGTTGGACTCATCATAAAGCAGACACATGTTTCCTGCATTATGGAGCTGTTGGGCCACATGACCTAGAAGCCCTTCTGGTGCCAGGAGTCTGAATTCCATGATGCTTACATCCAGCCAGCTAGTGATTGCAGAAAACCTTTAAAAAAAAAAGTCTGAAAAGATTAACCAGATCTATTTTGTGCAGGTTCATTTGTGTTCCCATTGGCTTTAATGACACCTCCTCCCTCCCAAATTTCACAGTGATTTGTTCCTTTCCTCTTTAACGTCATTCAGCGGTATTTTTTGAGTGCTGCTCTGTGCCATGCACCGTGCAAGAGAGGGGAGCCCCACCTGCAAGAAGCTTAGTCTTGGCAGAGGAGACAAAAAGTAAAGAGACAATGGCAGGACGGGTGTGACGGGGCACAGGGGTCTGGTTTAGGCAGAGAGGCGGGTCCCTTGGAGGCAGAGCATGGGAAATGCTGCTCAGTCTAGGTGATACCCAGGCGAGGTCTTAGAGGTGCACAGAATCCTGTGAGAAGGGCACCATCCCAGCAGTGGAGTGTACAGAAGCTGGGAGGTAAGCAGCTGAACGGTGTGTACAGAAGCTGGGAGGTAAGCAGGAGCAAGAACAGAGCATTTGGGAGCTGCCGGGACGCCTGTCACCTGAAGTGCGTGTGTTGGCAGGTTGTGATGATCTTGTTTCCTGCAAAGACTCTCAGATGCCAGTTTAAAAGAACACTTACAGTTCTGCCTTTTTGTCTGTTAACTTTAATAGATGTCAACTCCATGAAATTCTGGTGAAAACCTCCTTGCATGAATATTAATCACCTGCCGTTAACCACGTACAAGAAAATTTTAGAAAGGCAAACTTAGTAAACATCTGTCCAAATCATTTGGAGCAAAGCACTAGCTCCTTAGATCTTCCAGCCATGACACTGTTGTGTTAGTGTAAAATGACACTGAGGATGTGCAAAAGTTACTGAATCTAAGATTGCTTTGCATCTGTTTTCCTGTGTTCCTTGGAACCTGCTTTTTGTATTTGTTTTCTTCTCCTTTTTTCCAAGTATCTGGGAAAAGCCCCTCTTCTGGTCTGGTGTTTGTTGTACTGTGGATGAGCAGACAGCTACATTATGGAGAGCTGCCAGCTACCAGAGTCATTGCAGAGCCAGTGTGAAGGCAAATGCAGGAAACCTCATACTTGGTGTCTCCTTTGGATTGGAAAGAATGACTCTGAGCTCCTGTTCCTAGTTGCTGTCCTTCAACCTGGTCCCAGGTCATAAAGAGCAAGTGTGGTTTCAGCAGCATGTTCACCGAGTCTACTCTGCCAGCTGCCCAAGTATTAGTTTTGTCAACTGCAGATTAAAAATGAAAAAATTGGTACACAGACCCTGCCCTGTTGAAGTCATCTTTGGGAATCTGTCTTGTGATCATGTGGAACGATGCAACAGTTGCTTACTCTTGGCATGAATGAAGGCCAGAAATGTTGTGAAACAGAAAAGTTTGTTTTGGGTACTTGTCCATTTGCTTGGGAAAAATTGGTATGTAGAGGGTGGCTGCCTGTTTGCCTTCCACTGAGGTCTGGGACTTTGAAGTAGACAGGCCTGGGCAGCAGCAGCCTAAGAGATTTAGGTTATAAAGGCTGAGGAGTCTGGTGTATGGGCTTTGGAGGCACATGACCTCATTTGAAATCCAGATCCCTTGCATGTTAGCTGTGTGACCCCAGGCAGGTTCCTTACCCTCTCTGTTCAAAGGCATCTTGAGAATGTTATTATAGGAAGTATTTAGGTAGCAGTCCATTTAGAAGGGGTGAGTACTCTTACATGATACTTTACCCAAGACAGAAAACCTGCATAACCCACGTAAATAATTCATCTCCCAAAAATAGAGTCAGGGCGTAATGAGGGCTAATGTGCCAGGCCACCTCTTGGAAGTGCTATAGCCTTTGTGTCTCATTTTCCTCTTCTATGATGGGAATATTCATGCCTGCCACATAGAGTTGTCAGGGATTTTAGAAATAAAGTCTAGACGTTGCTTAGCACCAGGTTACTACTTCAAGCGAGGAGTATAAAACATGGTGGTAAATTTTGCCAAGTGACTTTCTTGGATCTCTGAGGTCACTGAGCTCCAGGTCCACTCTGATTTTGAGTGGCATGATCAGGTAGGTGAGCTCGCAGAGGGTGCCCAGGGGCTTGTGGTGGGGCTGGAGAATGGCAATCTGTGGAGATCCCCTGCACCCCTCTCGCCCTGTGAAACATCCCAAATTAAAATAGGGGGTTGCTGCCGTATAAAAAATTATTCTCTTGAAAATCTCTGGTTTAGGTGAGATCTCTCTTTGAAGTGCAAGATGATTTTTAAGAACCTTCCCAGCTCTCATGGTTCTCTCATAAGAAATGAAAGAACTGAATTCCAGGCTCTTTGTAATTGACCAGGAAAATTAGGATAAATGGGTTAAAGGAGTCAGAGGCCTTTGGGCCACCACGTCTGCTCGCGGTCTGAATGGGAGCCCCCTGGGACCCAGCGGGCTCTCTGGTGGGTCCTTGATCTCCTAGAAATGGAAGCAAGTGGTGAGACCCTGCCCCTTAGGGGCAGCTCCTGGTTTCCTTCACAGAACAGCAAAGAAAGAGTTGCCCCGCCTGCCTGAAAATCATTTTTCTTGCCGCTGGTATTCTGGGAATGATTCTGGAAAAAACATTAGGCATGGACTCGAAGTCTGACACACTCATGTGTGGTAGCGGTAGACACTGCCCTCGTTCTCTGACCAGACAGCATTTCCATCTGTTGGTTTACCACTTATGGACAGCATTTCCATCTGTTGGTTTACCACTTATGTAATCCTAATGAGAAAAACAGTGGGATTTGTGGCAGGCCAAAGTTCAGGTGAATTGCTAGTCTCTAGATGAAATGCCAGTTAATCTGATTGTTAATCGATCCCTATTTTTGTAAACTTGAAATGAAAGGTTCAAATTTGAAATGAAAAAGCAATCAAGATTTCAGCAACTCAGTTGCCTCCTTAGCGCAGTAGGTAGCACGTCAGTCTCATAATCTGAAGATTTCAACAAGTGAGTGCCTCGTTGCTCAAGGAGTGAATTGAGAAGGGCTTAGTTCTGTCCCTGATACTGTCAGTCTAGGTTCTAAGTTGTAGCAACAGAAATCACTGCAGAATCAGACAGGGAAGTTGCTGAAGAATGTGGGGGAGTCCAAAGGATCCCTTTCTCTCCTATGTTTTGTGTTCCTCTACTCTAATACCTGGGAACTATCCGTTTCCGTCTGCTTATGTGTCTCACTCTCTGGTGAGACCTGGACTGACAGCAGGGACAGTCTTGTTTGCTTTTATTTTTCCTCTGCCCAGCACTGACATATGGGGGTTGGGTCACATAATCTAGCCATGGGCAGGATGTCGGAACATACTGAAGCATATTGGTGGGCTGAGCTCAAGTAATAAAGCTGATTTTTTTTTTTTTTTTTTTTTTTTACTGCCTGAAACAGGCACACTTAACAACAGCCGCAGCAATGACAAAAACCTCATGAGAAGATGCCTGGGTCAAGGGTCTTACTTCCAGCAGCTTCCCTGCAAATCCAGTGCAAATAAACATAGGCTCTCCTTTGCAGTTTGTTGCAGTGGAATCTTGTCTGTTGCATGCTGAAGCGTAGGATGTTAGGCCTCTTCTGACATCACAGCAGAGCGTTTGCATGTTCATGTTGAATGTGTTGGTTTGGTTTATCTGTGCCCTGAATTTGGCATCATGAACTTGCACTCTTGGTTCAGTTGGAGGCGGAGGTGGCCCAGAGCCGTGTGGATCTGTGCTGGTGTCACCACTGATGGTGGCAAAGGGAAGAGTGATGCTGAGGAGGAAGCAGGAGAATCCTGAAGGTCGAAGGCCATGGGGCCCGGCTGCCATAATAGCCATAGCGTCTGGGGCACTGACCAGGAGAAGGGTGCTGGCCTCAGCCCTTCCTCCTGTGATCCTGAACGGCTGGTTCTAGGGCCACCAGTAGTTCTAGGCTGATCTGGTTAGGGAAGGAGGCACTGCTTGTTCTTGCCTCAGTTTCCCCTCCAGAATCATCCCCAGAATAGAAACCAAAGCTATAATGAGATCATTGGTTTTTAAAAAAATTTTAATTTTTAGTTGTGGTGGAGTGTGCATAATATAACATATACCGTCTTAATCATTTTCAAGTGTAGAGTTCTGTAGTGTTGTGCCACAGATCTCCAGGACTTTTTCCTCTTGCAAAACTGAAGCTCTGAACCCATTCAGCAACTCGCATTTTCCCCCTTCCCCCCAGTGCCTGATAACCACCATTCTCCTTTCTGTTTCTGTGAGTGTGATTCTGCTAGACACCTCGTGGAAGTGGAATCACAGTATCTGTCCTTTTGTGGCGGGCTTATTTCACTTAGCATTATGTCCTCAGAGCTCATCCAGTGTTGGAGCCTGTGTCAGGATTTCCTTCCTTTTTTAGGCCTGAATAATCCATTGTATGTATATGTTTATCTGTTCATCCCCAGCAGATATTTGGGTTGCTTCCACCTCGTGGCCACATCCCTAACTTTTAATCCTTTCCACCGCTCTCCATTTGCCTTGGGGTGAGAGCTCTGCCTACCCCCCAGCATGGCTTTCCTGAAGCCATTTCCAGGCCTGGCCTCCTCCTGCCTCTCTTGCTCTAACCTAATCCTCTCACTGCCATGCCACATCCCTGGCACTCTGGCCACACTGGACTCCTTAGAGACCCTCCAGGCACGCACTGTTCTCTTGTACTGCCAGGCCTTTTTTGCACGTGCTCTTCTGTTCATCTGGAACGCTGCATCTTCCCGCCTTCTGGAACCTCCAACATACACTGTCTTCCTTCCATCTCAGCTTAGACAAGCCCTTCTTGATCTCCTCCTATCACATTGTGTCATCCAGTACTGTTTATCTGTCATTTTGTACCACTGCGCCTGTGTTTATTTTAGGGCAAGGACTATTTTATTGACTAATCCTAGAGTCTGTGCATGGTAGGTATGGATGATTTAGTAAACACATAAAATATGTCATTCTTTCAAAGGCAGGAGCCTCTTCCTTTCCTCCCCCTGCCCTTTTCCCCTTGTCACTAAAATCCATGTCCCAGGTTGAAATTGGGTACTTCTTTCCTATAGAAACATTGTTATGGGACATGGTCAGGTTCAGTAGCATCTGATGCGGGTATATAATGGATTAAGTTTGCAGGCCAGCCTGAGAACTTAACTACCATTCATGACATTGTTTCTTTGGGGAAAAAACATACCCATTTCCAAAACAGCTGAAGCATAGTCTTCTGGATCCTGCGCCTCTTTGTGAAGTTGGCCTTTGCTGGTGGCTCTGCCACTGGTTTGGAAATCAGAGATGGTTTTTCCATGCCCATGATGAGGACAAAGGTGAGTGTCCCCTGTCTCCACATTGGGAAAAGAAACACACCCATCCCTTAGAAAGGAGAGGGAAATGGTATTGCGGCCTCACTCTCAGATGAGTAAAACCTCCTGAGAATTTAATGTGTGATTGTTTTTATAAATGTGACAAGTCCTGGTGTTAGCTCCTGGCCTCCAATTGAGCAAGGTTTCAGTAGCAGGTAATCCCCCTGTTCTTTCCCCTAGCTGTGTGGGGCGGGACCCATGTCTTTGCTACCACCTCTTGCTATATTCCTACCCTTTTTTTTTTTTTTTTTTTTTGAGGCAGGTATTTGCTCTGTCGCCCAGGCTGGAGTGCAGTGGCATGATCATGGCTCATTACAGCCTCAGCCTATTGGGCTTAAACCATCCTCCCACCTCAGCCACCCAAGTAGCTGGGACTACAGATGCAGACCACCAAGCCTGGCTAGTTCTTAAAAATGTTTTGTGGAAATGAGGTCTCACTGTGTTGTCCAAGCTGGTCTTGAACTCCTGAGCTCAAACCATCCTCCTGCCTCAGCCTCCCAAAGTGCTAGGATGACAGCCACTGTGCCCAACCATATCCCTAACTTTTAAACCTTGCTGTGGCTGAGAACAAATTAATGTAGTTTGAAGTTTACCAACAGGGAAAACAAAAGGAAAGAAAGGGATGGGGCAGCAGAGCAGGCAGTGCCATGACTCAGTTCCACTCAGATCTCATTCTGGATTTGACTGGGGTAGAAACCAGACTTTAGGATGCCCATGACTCATTGTCTATGGAAATAGCATTCTCTTAGACTTGTGCAGTCAGCTACCTGTGGAGCTGTACGTAGCAGCCCCCATAGGCTTGAAGGACCTTTCTGTAGCTGTCTTTGGAGGCAGTGATACTCTCCTCCCAATTGTTACACACATTTCTGCATAGGAGTTGATACATGAAACAGGAAACTCAAATACATTTTGCAATGAGTTGAGAAGTAAATCCAAAACCAGATTTAGCTGAGAGTCTTTTGTTGCATGAAGCTGTGCACACAAAGGCAGTGAAGAGGTCTAGAATAAGACAGCTGTAGGTTTGCGTGTTAATTGCATGATGATCTGACTACGTGTGCACAGGGCCTGGCACTCAGCATCCTACTTGGATTATCTCATTCAATCCTTGATAACACTGTGGAGCAGCTCCTGTTGGATGAAGAAACAAAGATTCAGAGTAGATGTCACCCAAGGTTATACCATTGGTTGGAGGGAGAGCTGGAACAGTGACCAGGGATATCCAGCTCCAGAACCCTGAATCTTAACCTCTGTGGTATACTCCTGTTCGGTGGGTTGCCCTGAGCCAATTGTTCTGCTCTCTGAGTCTTGCTCCTCATCTGTAAGATGGTCCTCGGGCGGCTGAGTGTATTGAGAGACAGCCTAGGTATAGATGCATACCTTCAGGAAATAGGCCATCCTTCTAGGGCCACAGAAATGCCCCTGAGACCTTTTTTCCTGTCATAGCACCGTGCTCTGCTTTCTGAGAACTGAAATTTGCAGGGATAGCCTGCCTACGGAATTTGTCCACTTGTTTAGTGGGGCTGGATGGTGGTTGTCCTATTTACTTAATTCACTTGATGGGTTTCAGTCTTTTGAACCTAAAAAAAATAAGAAAATGGGATTTGTTTAATCTCGTTTTCCAACACAACAGTTCTTAATCTGCTTTCGAATGTTTGTTTGTGGGCTGAATACAATTCAGTGTTAATCTAGTGACCTAGTATTGCCTGGTGATGAAATCTGTCCCTGCCGTTAGGTTCACTTGTGTTTCTTTGTGTTTCTCTCTCTCTGTCTCTCTTTCTCTCTCGTACACACACACACACACACACACACACACACACACACACACACACACACACACACACACATTTTAAACTTGGTCTTTAAAATCTCAGTTTTTCCTGCTTAAGACAAGAAGATCCCTGATGCCAAGATTTCTACCTGAAAGGTCAGTTTCAGCTTTGTAACAACTGGGTAATTGTCTCCTAAAATAAACCAGCATCTCAGGGACTGCAAGCTTGTCTTCTCAGTTATGTGAATGCAAATCTCTTCTCTCCTAATGACTACCCTGCCTATGCCGTTTCCTGTGGGCATGTGCAGTCATCTGGAAATGGCGGCTGCCAGTTCCACAGCTGGGGACGACCCTGGCTTCTTTTCTGTAATGAGGATGTGTCTGCTCCTGCCATTGCCCCACTCTTTGTCCTCTGCCTTGTGGTCAGGAGCTGCTCTTTGTGCTTTCTTTTTTCCCCAGTTGTTACTGCTGGGGGAAACTGTTGGGAGTGGTCCAATGTCACCCCTGTAGGATGCTCACCAAATCGATACTAATTCCTGCAGCAGATAATTCCTGCCTGAAACTTTAAAGTTTGCTAATTAAGTACCATTAAGATTATTTGCTAGGTTCTTCCCCAAATGAGTGCTGGGTTCCTGATTGGGAACCTTGGTAGAAAAGCCCAGGGGCTGCATTCTGGCGTTCTGTGAGCCCCACAGGCAGCAGAGCTGTCCCTGGGGTAAGCTTTGGTTCTGGGGAGGTCCCTGTTCACAGGTGCCATCTTCACATCAAATCTGCTTCTGTGCAAATACGCTTGAGTGTCTGAGATCAAGATCATTTTACGTCATGCAAATCTGTTTTATTTCTCCAGTCTTCTTTTGGGATGGTAGACATTACTGATAAGGTACTAAGTAAACTGGAGTTTTAAAAACAGGGTATTTCCTTTTAATATTTCTGATTCTCTTTCTCATATGAAATGGGCCATTAAGCTTGTTCAGGATGGTGGTCCCAGGTCTCACTGTGTCAGCCCGGAGTGATTACTGAAAGATGCCGATGGTATCTAAAGGCCATCTGTAAAGTGTTGAGGTGGGTGGTGAGCTGAGGGACGTGGTGAATTGAAGGGAGCCGAGGGTCTGTTCTGCATGGACAGAATGGAAGTAGGCCTGTAGGAGAGTATCCCAGGCACCTGTCTTGGTGGAACCTCACTGTAATGGGGGGATGCCAGCTGACAGCTGGAGGTCGTGTGTTCAGGTCGGCTGGGCCTGAAAGTCTCCTCCACAGGTCACGCCGCTCCTTGTAGCAGCAACACATGGGCAAGGTATTTACTTCTCCTTCAGTGGGGCTTGTATCCACTTTTGTGATGTACGTCACTTACCCAGCAATCCCCCCAGCTCACCCCTGGCTCTTTCTCCCAATCTTGGTCTATACAAATATATTCCCCTGTGAGTTACCTAAGAATCCATGTGCATTTGTCTCAAAAGATAATTGATGGGCAGGGCCCTGGGAGAAGCCATCTTTAGTGATGCTCTACAGAGGTGACTGTTGAGTCACATGCTGGGGGGGGGGGGTCTGTCTGGTGGGTTTGTGCACATGTGTACTCAGGCACGTGCACTGTTTCTACAGCATGTGGATACAAGGCACCTGGCTGTGGGTTTCCCCATGCAGCCTTCCACATGGTTCATGGAATACCACCAGGGTCCTTGGTGCTGTTTCCATGTAGCATAACAGTGACAACCATGGATTTCCAGGTGGCATTGAATGGCTAGAATTGGAAACTAGCTCTGTATTGGAGACCTGGGAGAAGTTACCTTCCAGGCATTTTTTTGTTTCGTTTGGGCTCCTTGAGCTCATGGCAGGCATTGCCAGAGCCTAAACCTGCTGCTTGGAAAGGGGAAGGTTCTTCAGGTAATTACTCCCTCCCTTCTTGTACCTCTGTTCACCTCACTCCAGGGATGATTGAAGAAAGCTCCCTACCATCTTCCTCCTGGCATGAAGGGGAGCAAGTTCTCTGGTCCTGGAGATGTTTCAACTGAGTCCAGATGACTATTTGGCAGGGACGATAAAGAAGAAATTCTGGTGTCATGTGAAACTAGGTTACCCCTAAGGTCTCATGCAGCTTTTAGATTCTCCTAGATGCTGACGGTTCTTTAGAAAGTGGCTTTAAGAAATCCCAGGGCTGACTGTTGAGAATACCATTTGGTAGGTTCCCCGCCCTTCTTTATGCGCAGCCAAGTGATTGTTGTCATGGCAACAGATCTGTTCCCGCGAAGGCTTTTCTTGTAGCATATAAGGGGACCTGAAGCTTCAGAGATTGTTAGTAATTATCTTCTAAAAAAATATGTCTTGAGTACTGTGAGCATTTTAATGGGCCCGGTTCCAGCCTTATGGGTACTTTTGAGGTCTGTATCAGCCCCATGTCACAAAATAAAACGACTTGATTCGTTGTTTTGTTTTCATTTTTTTCTTTTGTGCATGTCTAATATGGAAGAAGAATCACGATCCTATTGTTAATACCTTGCACATAGTAGGTGCTCATATACTTAATTTTATTTGACAGGCAGGCAGAAAAGCTGAGGATTGATCTAAATATCCTTTATTAGATTAGCAGTTACATATGTTCTTTCCCTAGATGACCTTGAATCACAAACTAGGCAGGCCTCCCGGAGCTCACAGCTTTATGGTCCAGATCTCCTGTCCCTGTTGTTTGCACATCACCAGGGAGAGGGGATCCATGGGTGAGTCTGATATGTATGAAGAATGTCTCATTTCCCCCCACCCCAGGAGCTCAGAGTCAGCTCAGCTGCCAAAATGTCAGGAGTACCTGCTCTTCAGAATAGGATAGTGTCCAAGTTTTAAACTCTTTCCCCTTTATCTACAAACATCAATTGAGTCTTTATTCTAAGTCATGCATTTTGCTAGATACTGAGAATTCAGGAATGGCTCACACGTAGTTGTTCCTCCAAGGTGGTCGCTGTCTAATGAAGGACACAGGCCCGTGGAGCAGTAAGCCCAGGACAGCGCATTAAGTGTGAGAATGCACTTGGTCCCCTTAGTCTCTCTTTCCTTCCCTGCCTTTGAACAAAGGCATCCCATCCTATTTGCAAGGACTGGAGGCCTCTGAACCACTTCTAATCCTCTGCAAGGGAGAAGATAAAAGCTTACTCCTTGCCCACCTTTTTATACCAAGTCACTCTGAAGGTTACGTGAATGTCCTAGACATGGGAAAGATAGGAGCAGGTGGGAACCGAGGGACTCTTTCTGACCCTTAACTCTTCTGCTGTCGAGCCACTTTGCCCTGAGACGTTGTCAGCCCTCCCATGCTCTCCCTTTCCTCTAGACCGGGGTTGCCATTTCACTCGTTGGTAGGAGGACCTCTGGTTAAATGGAAGAGTGTGGTTTGGGATGGGACACTAAGGCGAGGGGTGGAGAAGCTTCATCAGCAGGAGACTGTCCCAGCAGCAGACCCTGTGTCCTTTAGTGGTGCAACTGGCAAACAGTCATATTTACTGTCTCAGGACATCCCGTCAGCTGGATTTCACCTGGCAGGGGCTCTGTGTGGTGATGATGTTCTCAGGGAGCTGGGGAAAGTATTCTGGCTGGTGAAACATTCTAGCCCCTTTCACTCCAAGTGTGGTTGGTAGTCTAGCAGCAAGTCAGTATCTTCTGGGAACTTGTCAGATATGCTGAATCTCTAGACCTTCTGGATCAGAATCTACATTTTAGCACAATTTCCTGGTGATCCTTGTGTATACTGAAGTTTAATAAGTTGTGTCTTGAGCTCTCTTTTGAGATCCTAGGCCCAGGGTAGCAAATACAGAGTCTGCATCCTTCCACTGTCCTGCGGTTGTAGCAGACATTACTAGCTGATCTAGCCAATCCATTTTCCATCTAGCGCATAGCTGCCCACAGCACCCTCCACACAGTGCCCCAGGCATCCATACACCTGATCAGAATTAGCCCAAGAGATAAACTGATTTACCATCCTTGCCTTTGTCTATGAAGAGCTCATTCTAAAAAAGTAACTAACATAAAAAACAAGGAAACAGCTGTTTGCATAGGCCTTAAGTGTTGGGAATTAGGACCCCCATCATACCCCAGGGCAGTGGGAAGGAACACTCAGGCCCACTGCTTGAAAAGATGTCGGCAACCTGAACATGCACAATACAGTGGCGATAAACCAGACCCTACTGGTTCTCTGCAGTTGGGCAATGACCTTGTCGGAGGAGGCGAGGCCATGATATTGCTGGAGGAGGCGAGGCCATGATGTTACCCTGGCTCCAGTGCTCATCCATGGGACATGTGGTCAGCCCCTGTGTCCCACAATCCCATTGCCTTCTGGCAACTTCCTAACTGATGACTGAGCCACAGTCAGGTTTCAGTCATTCATTGGTAGTTATTCTTATCTGCATTTTGTTAGAAGAACACAGTTAATAAAGTGGGTGTGGGGAAGAAAACAGTGCAGGAGAAGGAGAACTGGAAGAGGAACCAGAGTGGCTTGAGTTATCTAGTAAAGTCTTCATTACATGATGTGACCAGCTCTCAGAGGGGCATCTAATACAGAGCAGTTTAGTTTAACCTCAGAAGGTCATCAGGGTGCTAGAATCATGTCCCATTTTCATGGTAATTGGGCAAGACTGGGAAAATGTTTTGGGAATACACATTTTATCTTCCACTTCCAGCAGTGGCTTCTAACCACTGAGGACTCTCCACGTTACCAATCTCTACTGACCTACCTCAAGCTTTGTAAAATCTTATTTACCGAACAAATTACATTTTTAAGTAATAATTAAGCCCCCCCTTTTCTGTAGAGATATATAATAACTGTTAACCTGGGGTCATTTTTATCGGGCTTTATATAATTCCAACAGAAAGCAAAGGACTGTGAGTGCTTAAGTTAGCCTGAGCAGTAAAGAGGCTTTTAGACCTACTGAGAATAGTTTTTGGATTCACATTACCACTGCTTGACCTGAGACTCGATTTGGGAGCTAGAAACTAAAACCAGTTATGCCCTTCCATTGAATAGATGGAGGCTGGGAGGCTCGGGCTTGTCTAGCTTGTAGGGACTCAAGGGCACTTTGGTCGTGTCACGGTGCTGCTTTCTCTCCTGCGCAAGCCTCATACTTGCTTTCTCTGTTGAATGGTAAAAGCCAGCCTCTTGTTTGCTATTCCGGGGTTAGAATTTCAATTCCTTTTTTAAAAACTCTGTTTAGATCAGAAACCATCCAGACACTCATTCAGAAACCATCTGGGGAAGGTATGACTTGAGATAGAAATTGAAGAGATAGAGAGGAGGAGAAGAAGATAGTATACGAGTTAGTTTAAATGACCCCAGATGAGTTTGGCCGGGAAATCAACTGCAGAATGCATCCTCTGTCCCTGGCCTGTATCCCTCAAGGGCCTTTGATAGAGTCTTGGCTTAGTTGCAGCCACTTTTCCTCTAGAACTTTAACTCAGTAAAGGTGTGCAGTAAAAATGGGGAAGAGGGATGAGGAGGAGCCAGGAGAGAATCGAGGAAGAGCAAATATTACGAGCGTAGAACGCGAAGCTTGGCATGTCTGCCTGGTTCCACTTACTCACGTTTGTTGAGCTCCTTCTATGTCTGAAGCTGTTTCTAAAACGTCAGTTTCTAGAAAACAGGATCCTGAATTCAGCTAAGCATGATTCCCAGGGCCATCCCTGGGAAGCTGTCCTGAAGATGCCTCCTGCTAAGACAGGTTGCGGAGGGGAGTCAGTGGCTGAAAGGGTGATTTCAGGATAGATTGTCCTGGCAAATAAGGAGGGGTCCTCTGCATGAATAAGCAGTGTACCCTGCCAAAGGAAGCTGGCAGGAGGTGATTCCTGCTGAAGCCTGACAGTACATGTCCACCCTGAACTCATGGCCTTGGATGCAGACCGGCCAACTGTACACAGTTGAGCGAGGAAGTGGCGACAGCACGGTTTGAATCTGGCTGATAAAACAGATGTTCGGGGGAAGGGCTCTTATTTTCTCCCAGTTATAGGATCGGGGGTGGGGGAAGAAAACCTAATTCCCTATCTGCCAAATGTTTCTGTTGGTAATGTCCTGGCAACAGTGAGATGCCCCCAAGAATGGAGTGGTTGAAAGTTCTAGCTATCGACTCAGCCCTGGATGTAAATTCTGAATTCTGTGTGACCTTGGGCAAGTTACTTAACCTCTCTGAGTACCCTTGGCCTCATCTGTAAAATGAGGATAATGATACCTACTTTTGGCGGGGTGCAGGGGCTTGTGCCTGTAGTCCCGGCACTTTGGGAGGCTGAGGCAGGTGGATCACTTGAGATCATGAGTTTGAGACCAGCCTGGCCAACACGGTGAAACCCCGTCTCTACTAAAAATACAAAAATTAGCTGGGCGTAGTTGTGGGTGCCTGTAATCCCAGAATCGCTTGAACCCAGGAGGCAGAGGTTGCAGTGAGCCAAGATCATGCCATTGTACTCCAGCCTGGGCCACAAGAGTGAAACTCTATCTCAAAAAAAAAAAAAAAAAACAAAAAACCAAACACAGAAAACACAAAAATTAGCTGGGCATGGTGGCACATGCCTGTAGTCCCAGCTACTTGGGAGGCTGAGGCACAAGAATCTCTTGAACCTGGGAAGCAGAAGTTGCAGTGAGCCAAGATCACACCACTGCACTCCCAGCACTCTAGCCTGGACAACAGAGTGAGACTCTGTCTCAAAAAAAAAAAAAAAAAAAAATGAGATACCTACTTTATAATGGTACCTATAAGAGGAGTATAATGAGATTTTAAAAAAATGAATACAACATTCCTGCAAGGGTTTGTCATGTTGCAAGCACTCAGTAAATGGGAGCTATTCCTAATAATATGAAAAACTGCAAGATTACCTCCTAAGAGATGATAAAGTCGCTATATTCTGGCATAGTTTGGGGATGTACAGAAACCTCTTAAAGGAATAAAGTAGCTCTTAGGCCAGTGACACATGCATGAAACCTGATTTTAGGTGCTAGCGGGTTCAAGGATAGATGTTTATCACAGGGAGTTCTGATCTCCAACGGGAGCCCAGCGCGAGGGCAGGGAGGGAGGCAGCGCGAGGGCAGGGAGGGAGGCAGCGAGAGGGCAGGGAGGGAGGCAGCGAGAGGGCAGGGAGGGAGGCAGTGCGAGGGCTGTCTCCGCAGAGTCCCAGCTTAGAGCCATCCCTTTGTCAGGGATAGATGTAGCAGGCTCTTACTCTGATCCCTAGAACACTAACTCCCTGATTCTGATTCCATATTCATCTGGCCACCTTCTGAATTACCTGACAACCCAAGAAGGCTGACTGGGAGATAATCCCTGATCCAGATACTGTGAGCATCTTATCTACCCGACAGTTAAATTTTGTGAACTAAGAAAATGACATGTGGTTTCTGCATCAGGCCACAGCTGCTTCGCTGGCAGGAGCTGGCGTCATCGAGTCGCTCAGACCTGGCTTCAGCAGGAGCATCTTTCTGTGCCCATGCAGCAGAGGCAGACCATGGCAATGGGGGGTTCATGGTGGCAGATGTCGGGGAGACAGCTGGCATTTCCCAGGTGACACCCCCACAGGGTGTTGCAACCAGACACCATTCCATCCAAAACGTAGACAGGGAAGCCTCCCTGTCGGAATGTGTTTGCTGTTAATATGGTTTTCCCATAGTGTGAGCGTGTCCGTGTTTTTGTGTTTCCATATTACCATTCTCGCTTTGCTTTTAAAACAGCAACAAAGAGGAATATTGGTCTTTGTGGCTGCCAGTACGGTGCATGCCAGAATCTCATGCTTGCTGGTCTGAAGCCGCCAGATGGTGGTAGGATTGTGTGTGGGTTTTGTTTCCTCTGCTTTTTGAAAAGTCGTGAAGTGGGAGAGACTGAGAAGTGGGAGATTGGCTGGAAGATTATCATCTGATAACAGTTTGCAGTGTCTTCCACCCTGTGTGTGGGCACAATGGTGTCTTCCAAAAATGTGATGCTGACCCTACCTAGCATTTGCTGAATGTGCAGTATTAGCTGTCCCGTAAACACCAGCTGGGTTATTCATTACATACTCAGCTGTATACAGTAGCTGAATAAAACAGGTTTTTTAAAAAAAAAACCACACAGGAAATTTTCTGCATGTTTTTCTCTTCCTTGAAGATTAAAATGAGTTGTTAGGATTGCCATTGTAGCAAAAGGGAAGTTGTACTTCCTTTTTTGGGGGCTTTATGGGTTTATTTTTGAATATCTTTTCAAGTTCTTTTACCTTTGTCCTAAGGAACCTATTTTCACAGCTTAAAGGACTAATGTTTCTCTTCTCTTAGTTTCCTTGAAATCAGATTGTGTGTTTGTTGTAAGAACATTTAGATCAAGCTTGTCCAACCCATGGCCTGTTGGCCCCATGCGCCCCAGGATGGTTTTGAATGTGGCCCAACACAAATTCATCAACTTTCTTGAAACGGTTTTTTTTTGCTTTTATTTTATTTTATTTTATTTATTTTTAAGATGGAGTCTCACTCTGTTGCCCAGACTGGAGTGCAATGGCTTGATTTCGGCTCACTGCAACCTCCGCCTCCCGGGTCCAAGCGATTTTCCTGCCTCAGCTTCCTGAGTAGCTGGGATTACAGGCGCCTGCCTCCACGCCCAGCTAATTTTTTGTATTTTTAGTAGAGATGGGGTTTCACCACGCTGGCCAGGCTGGTCTTGAACTCTCAACCTTAGGTGAGCCACCATGCCCAGCCTGTTTGTTTTTTTAGCTCATCAGCTATCATTAGTGTATTTTAAGTGTGGCCCAAGACAATTCTTCCATGTGGCCCAGAGAAGCCAAAAGATTGGACACACCCGACTGAGATGATCTTGTAAATGGCACAGGCAAAAAAGTTTGTGTTTTGCAGCCATTTTCAAGGCTAACATAAGGTATCAGGACGCTGCTCAGTGACTTATGTGTGACCAGGGTCTCTAATGATTGGAGAGGGGATATTTGTCTCGTGTGAACAGAGTCTGATCTCTGTGAAGACTTGTGATACCAGAAACTGGTTGCTTCTCCATTTCCTCCCTCTCTGCCTCCCCTCCCTGTAGTTAAACAAATGTAGGGCATCAAATGATGCCACTTTCTTCTGGTTGTCCATCTCTCCATGCCCAAGGGTAAAAATAAAATGCTGATGAAGCCAGAGGAACACAGTTTGTTCATTTGAAGTTCTTAATATCCTGAGTGCTGACTTTGACCTTTAATGAAAATGATGGTCCTTTTGGCAGGGGCCAGCTGCCTCATAAATGTGCAGCTTAAAGAACAAGGATGAGTTTCCCTGAACAAGAGAAACAGCAGCAAGCGTGGAAGTCCTGCGTGCATCAGGAGCACTCTGCTAATTAAAGGCAAGAGTGGGATGCCTGGCCAGGCACTGTGGCTCACACCTGTAATCCCAGCACTTTGGGAGGCTGAGGCGGGCAGATCACTTGAGGTCAGGAGTTCGAGACCAGCCTAGCCAACATGGTGAAACCTCATCTCTACTAAAAATACAAAAATTAGCCAGGAGTGGTGGCGCACGCCTGTAATCCCAGATACTTGGGAGGCTGAGGCAGGAGAATTGCTTGAACCCGGGAGGTGTAGGTTGTGGTGAGCTGAGATGGTGCCACTGCACTCCAGCCTGGGCAACAGAGCAAGACTACATCTCAGAAAGAACAAAAAGAGTGGGATGCCCAACAGCAAGGAACTGCTGGTTTGTTGCTTTGTGAGTTTTCTAAGGCACCTTCCAGCTCTAAGGTTACCATGACGATCCGTCATTTCCAATTACAGGAGATGCCCACTCTATGGGGGCAGGCGGCTGTCTCTTTACTTCGTAGCACAATAATTAGACCAAGGTAACATTTCCTAAAAATTTGTTGACTACAGGAACACTGTCCTTTCTCCACTCCAGCATCTTGGTTGCCAGGAAGAGGGGTCATCCAGTCTAACCTGGAGATCACCTAAGAGATCCACCTTATAGACCCCCAGGCTGATGTACCCACCTCTAGCCGAGGTCTGGCTAGCCCCTTGCCTGGAGCTTCCTTACTGATCAGTTATTTTGTTGGTCTGGGTTATAGTTGTCCACCTACTAGCCTTTTGGGTTTTGCCCCTTGGTCTAGATCAAGCTTGTTCAACCTGCAGGCCTCACATGGCTCAGGATGGCTTTGAATGCAGCCCAACACAAATTTGTGAGCTTTCTTAAACCATTATGAGGCCGGGCATGGTGGCTCACATCTGTAATCCTAGCACTTTGGGAGGTCGAGGTGGGGGAATCACTTGAGGCCAGGAGTTCAAGACTAGCCTGGCCAACATGGCGAAACCCCATCTCTACTAAAAATACAAAACTTAGCCAGGTGTAGTAGTGCACACTTGTAGCCCCAGCTGTTTGGGAGGCTGAGGTGGGAGGATTGCTTGCACCCAGGAGGCGGAGGTTGCAGTGAGCCGTGATCACACCACTGCACTCCAGCCTGGATGACAGAGTGAGACCGTGTCTCAAAAAAAAATTATATATATATATATATATGTATATATATGAGATTTATTTGTGATTTTTTTTTTTTAGTAGCTGTTGTTTGTGTTAGTGTATTTTATATGTGGCCCAAGACAATTCCTCTTCCACTGTGGCCCAGGGAAGCCAAAAGATTGGACACACCTGGTCGAAATCTTTGGGTAAAGCATTGTCTTAGCTAGGGCATCATGATTGAACTTTTCCAGGCCTAAGAATTGAGCTTCCTCTTCTCTTATTAGAATTCAGGTTCACACTCTGATGCCATTTGGAAACACTCTTACTTTCCTTTGAAGACTGTGTTCTGTCACTTCACCTTATAAAATAAAAAAATCCTGAAACATGCCAGTGCGATTGCAGAAGAGGAGTGCCCAGCTTCATGGTCAAGTCTGACGCTCGTGTGTGCGTGTGTGCAGAGCTGTGTAGCCGTGGCTAGTGCTGGCCTCCAGGCATCCCCCGGGGCAGCAGATGGTGTACCCAGCCTTGCCCTGCTCGGTCCAGCCAGAGTGGCAGTGATGCACGCTGAGGCAACTTCTGTGATGCAACACCCGGGCAGTCCTCCAGCCCGCCGTCAAGGTGAAAAGACCCCTGCCAATTTAGGACTTCTGGGCTCTCTGAGAGCAGGGGCTTGAGAGGAAGGAGAGACTATTTTCTCATATAGTGAAACTAAAATATTACAACCTGCCATGAGCCATTGCAGCAGTGTCCCTAAGTGGCCCTGAGCGTCCCATGACACAGTCCCGAGCCCTGGATTTTGTAGGAGCTTTCCTTTTCATTCTTGGCTGGAAGGAAGCTGGTGATGCAACTGTTGTGAGCTCTGAAATATAAAAATTAACAGTCAAGGGGGCTGGGCACAGTGGCTCATGCCTATAATCCCAGCACTTTGGGAGGTCAAGGCGGGTGGATCACCAGAGGTCAGGAGTTCGAGACCAGCTTGGCCAACATGGTGAAACCCCGTCTCTACTAAAAATACAAAAAATTAGTCAGGCATGGTGGTGGGCGCCTATAATCTCAGGTACTCGGGTGGCTGAGGCAGGAGAATTGCTTGAACCCGGGAGGTGGAGGTTGCAGTGAGCGGAGGTCACGCCACTGCACTCCAGCCTAGGCAACAGAGTGAGACTCAAAAAAAAAAAAAAAAAAAAAATTACAGTCAAGGGAAACCTAGGGTCAAGGTCACTTTAAAAAGCTGTTCAGCCAAGGGCAACGGCCTTCCTGTTTTGAAGGGGTGGGGGCAGAGGATGGAGGCTCACTGGAGTTGGTTTTCATGAGCCTCCCGGTCCCCCAGCTTTCACTTCCCATTAAATAACCACGTTGTGGATGCGTAACAATTAATAAGTACAAACAGAACCTTCCAGGCAAGCCCTCTGGGCCGCTCCTTCTAGGCCTTTGGTCTTCTGAGATGTTTGGGAAGAAGGAATAATTCTGGCTTTCTTGAAAGCTGCCCTTTGCACTGTTCATTTGCCCTCTAAGTACTGATTTGCCAGCTCCTTAGAGAAAGTGGATATTAGATGTGGGAGGAGTGGGGGTCATGATCTGTTGTCCAGTGTGTCCTTATGGACAGATGCCCCAGCCCAGCCACATTTACTTACTCCGGCCTCTGCCTTCCTGTAGGACTCAGCTTATAGCTACATCACCGCTCTGCCTAATGGGAGCACTGATGTAACCAGTGCTCCTTATTTTCTCTGTAAAATATTCCAGCCCCTGCCTTCAGGAAGCTCACAGACTCTCTCTCTAGCATGCGCACACACACTTCTCACACCTGGGTTGTAGGCTTCACCAGCATCCGCTGTGTGCGCTTATAAACCTGTAAATGCCAGTTGCACATACTGTTGTTAAATAATTTAATTATAAGCTATGTAAATGTTTGCAGTGTGAATGTGAAAACCAAGATTTGTCATTTCTACAAAAGAAGTAGAATGTTTAGAAAGATATGATATTAATAAAAGTTACTTTTGCAAAAAAAAAATGCCATCGAATTAAGTATGGATGAGGCAACTGTAAAAGATTTGGGAACAAAATTTGTAAAAATCTAGGATATTCAGATTGCTTCACAAGAAGCCCGACATGGAAATCACAGATGATGCATTTTGGGTGTGATTTATGCAACAAAGATAGCATGAGACACTGGTCAGCATATTTGGTTTTTTTTTTGTTTTTTTTTTTTTTGTAGTACAACCATCTACGTTTGAGCCTACGCCAGGCAGACCCTTGCAAAGACCACACAGACAGCAAATGTGGGAGCTGGGCTTTGAAGCCACATTGGCTAATTTCAGAGCTAAGCCTTTCACCCTGTGGTTCTCTGCTTATCCTCCTGCTCATTTAGACGATAGTAAGGAGTCTCTGCTAAGACTCTAGATTAGCCATGGTGAGAGACACTGTTGCTACTGAAACTCTATGGCTTGCAGGCTGCGTGGAGTGTGCCTGCCATCCAAGTGTGTGGGAAAGAGGAGACAGATGGGAATACAGCTGCCAAGGAGCCCCAAGACCGTTTTGGAGGTCATTTGGGGGAGGAGGGGGTCACTTACCTCAATAGGTAAGTTTTTGGTGTGTATCTGTTTTAGAAAAAGATTCCTGATACAGTCACAGGCGAGCCTACACTCACATTTGTTATATTTGGTGTGTGTGGTAGTTATGTGCCCAGGAACCAAAGATTTCCACTTTACTTAGATCTTTCATTTCTTTTTTCTTTTTCTTTCTCTCTCTCTTTTTTTTTTTTTTTTTTTTGAGACGGAGTCTCATTCTGTCCCCCAGGCTGGAGTGCAGTGGCGTGATCTTGGCTCACTGCAACCTCTGCCTCCCGGGTTCAAGTGATTCTCCTGCCTCAGCCTCCTGAGTAGCCGGGATTACAGGCACCCACCACCGTGCTGGCTAATTTTTGTATTTTTAGTAGAGACAGGGTTTCACCATGTTGGCCAGGCTGGTCTCAAACTCCTGACCTCAGGCAATCGGCCCGCCTCGGCCTCCCAAAGTGTTGGGGATTACAGGCGTGAGCCACCGCACCCGGCTACTTAGATCTTTTAAACTTGAACCCTAGTGGGTACAGTAATCAATTTCACTGTGGGGGAACGGGAGCTGCTGTTCAAGCGCACAGGGTCCCTTCCATCAGCAGGCGGCAAGGGCAATGGGGAGGGAGCAACCACTGGTGTTAGGGTTCCAGCTGCTGTTTTGTAGACATCTTCAGGGACACTTTGGGGCTGGCTGTTTATTGCTGGTTGGTGTCCAGACAGAAGTCACAAGCCATTGAGTGGTTGGAGGTGGCTTTCTTATCCACCACCCATTCTTCCTCCACTTTCTAGCTGGGTCCCGTGAAGGAGCTCTTCCTAACCAGACAGCTGCGGCCTTAGATCCTGCTGATGCAGCTCCTCAGGCTCCCTCTCCTAGTTATTTGGGTATTTCCAGTATTTTGGGCTTGTACACAAGCTGCCCCTAGTTGAATTAATGCATCCCTAAGGCCATAGGAGAGGGGGTTAGTGCCTGCTGGCTTTGTGGGGAATGTCAGTTGTGTGTTTTCAAATTAGTGTTTCTTTAATGGCAAGTGGAACATTTTCTTCATTATGAGAACATGTGTTGCCTATTATCTCTGTGCTTATGAAGATGGGGGTAGGCAGTGAACTTAATAGCTTTTCAGAGCTTCTGCAGCGAGGGTTTGCGGGGAGGCCACTGGTGCAGTGAGCATGTCAGGTGGCTTCCCTGGAACAGCACTGGAAACAGTGAGCCCTCCTTATGGAAAAAGGATGCATGTTCCTACGCCAGTGCTCACCAGGGACGAGTTTGCCCCCTGGGGACATTTCTAGTTGTCATGACTTGAGGGATGTTACTGGCATCTAGTGGGTAGAGGCCAGGGAGGCTGCAAAACATCCTACAATACACAGGACACAAAAAATGATCATTCCTTTTTTTCTTGCTTTTTTCTTTTGAGACAGGGTCTCAGTCACTCAGGCTGGAGTGTGGTGGTGTGATCATAGCTCACTGTAGCCTTGAGCTCCTGAGTTCAAGCGATCCTCTCACCTCAGCCTCCTGAGTGGCTGGGACTGCAGGCATACACCGCCACACCCAGTTAATTATTTATTTATTAATTTATTTGTAGAGATGGGGTCTTGCTGTGTTGCTAGTTGGTATCGCTTAAAGCCAGAAGTTTGAGACCAAACTTAAGTGATCCTCCTGCCTCAGCCTTCCAGAGTGTTGGGATTATAGGCATGGCCATCATGCCTGGCCCAAAATGGTCATTATTGATAACAAAAAATGATCCGGTTCAAAATGTCAGCAGGGCTGAGGCCGAGATACCCCACTCTAGTGAACTCTCCTGCCCTGCACCCCTCTCCTGCAGAGATGCCTGAGAGCGTTCTCCTCTCCTCTGGTTCTGTCTGGCTCCTAATTAGCCTTCGAGCAATGTCAGCTCTCGGGAACAGCAGAGATGCACAGTGACTTACTGTGACGGCGGCACACTTTCACCAAAGCAGTTCTTCAGTCTGGCTTCCTCAGCCCTTCCCCTCCACGCTGCAGAAGCTGGGCCTGACAAAACGTCTTTTCAGTCCTCGCTCGCCACCTGCCCACACTGTAGCCCCCAAGAATGCCTGCCATTAGTCCCCTGCTATGCAGGGAGATGGCAGCTGCCTGCAAATGAGGCAGCTTGGAGGGACAGGACAATGCCACTCGAAGGACCCACCGTCCTGCCTGTCGCTGCCAGGTCTCTGCAGCAAGGGGCAATCTGACTTCGGACTTTAGGGGGCAAGGAAACTTTGCTTTTCTTATTTCCTCCCTACCCCCCCAAATATGCATTAAACAATTTGTATTCTGTTTGTGACTTTAATGTGCCTCTTTGTCCTCAGCTGGGAATGTCTCCAGCTTGTCGTAGTGAGAGAGAGCCCTTGGTATCCGTAGAAGCAGGCTTGGATTTTGGCTCTACTGCTGACCAGCAATGTGGCCCTCAGCAAGGTTGTTAACCCTCCTGAGCCTCAGGTGTTTTCATTTGTAACATGGGGCTGATAATGCCTACCACAGAGGGTTGCTGTCAGGACAGTGTTCCCTGCACCATTTTATCTGTGTCCATCCAACCAATCTTTGTAAGCTGCTCAAGGGCCTGGCACCTGTCTTCACCGTCCTTGAAATCACGTTAGTTTTTGCTGCACGGTAGGATGTGGGCCGTGGACTGCGGCGCACCCCCAGAAAGATAGGTTGATGTCCTAATCCCTGGCGCCCGGGAATGTGACCATTTGGACACAGGGTCTTTGCTGATGTAATCCAGTTAGGATGAGGTCATTAAGGTGGGCCCTAATCCAATAGGACTGGGGTCTTTATAGGAAGAGGGAAATTTAGACACACACACACAGGAATGCCTTCACACGTGTCTTATGGGAAGATGGACACACACAGGCCGTGAGCCTAGCACAACAGAGGCAGAAATTTGAACAATGCAGCTGCAAGCCAAGGAATGCTGGAGTCACCAGCAGCAAGGAGAAGGCAAGGAAGGACTCTCCCTGTAGGTTTTAGAGGGAGCACGGCCCTGCCGACATCTGGATTTCAGATTTTTAGCCTCCAGAACTACGGTTGCTTTAAGCCAGCCAGTTTGGGTTGCTTTGTTACAGCAGCCCCCAAAAGCCAATACAAATACTCAGTGGACGCTTGTGGATCGTGTGTCTTCATATGCAAAATGTATGGTGCTGGGCCTCAGCAGTCATGCTTTGGCAGCCCAGCCCCTGGATGGTTCACTTCTTCCTTTCCACTGATGATTCCTTCACAGATCACCCACAGATCATACTGGCTGATTTTGTGCTGCTTTATTAGAAAAGCATTTGCTTGTTATGGGAGAAAGTTTTTACATGTACCACGTTGAATCGGGTTATGTTTTTGCCATAAAGTATTTGTGCCTCTCTAAGCAGTGGCATCAAGTGACCAACTTAGATTTCTTTTAGCAACACGTTGGTTCCTGGTTCTGGGAAGAAGCATGAGAGGCCATTGCTCCTTTCTTTCTTCTCCTTTCAAGAAGCAGAACCAAATCAAAGTGGCTCTAAAAATAAGAAAATGAATATGCTTGCAAAACTGGGGTGCCAGGCCCAGAGGAAGAGCAGGTTCGGGTTGGTGGCTAAGGGACATCACTGGAGACTCAGGCCCTTTCTCTTCTGTCCACAGCAGTGTCATCCTGAGGCAGGTGTCCCCATGGCCATAGGATGGCTGATGGCAGCAGCTGCACAGTCTGCTTCCTTGTTTGTGGCCTGTGGAACCCTTTGGTGTGTTTCTCTTAAGATCAGGAAAACATTCCCCAGAGGCCTCCCCAGCAGCCTCCTCTCCATGTCTTTGTCCCATCCCTGAAGCAGCCACTGCCAAAGGGGATGGAGTTAGCATCATGGGCCTAGACCGATCATGTGAGGGCGAATGGGTGCTGCAGTCAGCCACAGTGCCCTGCCACACTCTCCAGATTCACAACTCTTACCTTTTTTTAATGGCCATGATAAGGATGCCCCAAAGATGTCCACGTTCTAACCCCTAGAACCTGTGAATGTTACTGTACGTGGCCAAAGGGGTCTCTGCTGATGTGTGGTGATGTGGTTAAGGGTCTTGAGGCAGGGAGGTGATCCTGGATGATCCAGGTGGGTCCCACATAATCACAAGGATTCTCATAAGAAGGAGGCAGGAAAATTGGAGGCGGAGAGAGAAGATGTAAGGACAGAAGCAGAAGTCAGAGAAGGGAGTAGATTGCACCGCTGGCTTTGAAGATGGACAAAGGGGCCACGAGCCAAGGAGTGCAGGCAGCCTCTAGAAGTGGGAAAAGGCAAGGAAATAGATTCTCCCCTGCAGCCTCCAGAAGGAATGCCAGCCCTGTGGTACCTGACACCCTGATATTAGACCAGTGAAACTGATTTTGGACTTCTGACTTCCAGAACTATAAGATAATAAACTTCTGTTGTTTTAAGCCACTAAGCTCGTGGTCATTTATTACAGCAGCAAAGGGAAACGAATACAGCATTGTATCTCTAGGCTGACCAGGAATCAATATAGAACTTTGCTAAGATTAAGCATCTTGTTTTTATTTTATATCTTTTAAACAAGTATGTGGGGATTAAACAAGATACAAACCCAGTCCCTGGTCCTGCCTCCAGATAGGGCCAGCCTGGTGGTTTGCTCTCAAAATGGTAAATGTCCGTTCCTTTATTCAACACCAGTGCTAGGTACCGAGAACACAGAAGTAGGGCCTTGTCTTCACTCAAGCTGCTGTGTGTGCCTCAGCCAGCCATTTGTTTCCACAAATATGCCCACTCGCAAATGGGAGCTCTTCCAGATGTCTTCTGTCTTTGTAGCTCAAGCCAGTTTCCTCTGAAGCTTATTCAAACCTGCTGATTTTTGTTTAAGTTCTTGCAAGGGTTAGGAAGAGCATAAGATGTTAAGCACTTCCACAGATGGACCTATTTTTAGGGTGCCCCATGTTGCCGAGATCAGCAGTGATTCTAATAGCTCAGTCCTGGGGTCCACAGAGGATGTCATCTGCCTCCTGTCTTCGTGCCAGTTGGACAGAGACACTGCTGTTTGGAAGTTTTCTTTGTGGTTCTTTATTTCCTCTCCTCTCTAGGGCTTCCTGTTCTACAGAGGCACATACATTATGTCTAGAAATTGTTTTTATTGTACCATAGTTCAGCTATTTCCTTTCCTTTCCTTTCCTTTATTTCTTTTGTTGTTGTTGTTGAGACAGAGTCTCAGTCTGTTGCCCAGGTTGAAGTGCAGTGGCGCAGTCTCAGCTCACTGTAACCTCCACCTCCTGGGTTCAAGCGATTCTCAAGCTACTCCTCCCAAGTAGGTGGGATTACAAGCATGTGCCACCACACCTGGCTGATTTTTGTATTTTTAGTAGAGATGAGGTTTCATCATGTTGGCCAGGCTGGTCTCGAACTCCTGACCTCAGGTGATCCGCCCGCCTCAGCCTTCCAAAGTGCTGGGGTTACAGGCGTGAGCCACTGAGCCCGGCCAGTTCATCTGTTTCTGAGAAGCCTTGGGCTTTCCTGGGGATAATAAGTGACCAGTGGCAATCTATGGGAAATACCTGGGAAGGTGACAGAAGCAGTGAAGCAGAGAAACGGAGTGGGGGCACTGACATTTGAGATGATCTTTTCCAACATCATAATTCTATCTTGAGGAAACTGAGGCATGAATTATCCATGAAGCAGCTCTCCATCCCTGAACTCCCTATAGTAGCTTAGCAAGGATGGAGCGCAATCCCTGTTGGTACTGATTAGACAGGGCCAGGCTCTAGAAGCAAAATATGAGAGCTGGCTTTAAAGCACCAACACCCGTAATAGCGTGTAGACCAATAAGTTTGGTGTACATTGTTCTAGGCTCTCGTCTCTGCTCTGTCCCATCTCCCTTTGTCCATCACAAGTGCCATATACCTGAGGGGATAAATGCATTGACGCTGGAGCTTAAGCCTAGGTTTGAGTTCCACTTACTAGTGACATAACCTGGGACAAATCACTTGGGCATTTTTCCTTTCTATAACATGGGATGGTCACAGTACTGATGCGGCTGGAGGTGCTGCGAGGATTAAATGAGTTGAAGTGTGCAGAGTACTCACAGCAGTGCCTGGCACATCCTAAGCGCTGTACGTCTTCCTGCAACCTTAAACGTTGTTCTCCAGTGTTTTAAATTACCACGTGCAATTCCATCGCATGGTGGTGCTCTATGGTTGATTTAACCAGATCCCTGTAATGGGATTTTGTTTCCAGTCTTTTGACGCTGTGAACAACATTTCGATGACTACCCTTGTAGGTAAGGACTTTCTTTCACTCTTAATCATTTCCGCAGGTTAAATTTCTGAAATGAGAATTGCTGGGTCAAAGAAAAATATTTCAAGGCTTTTCTTGATAGACGCTACCACATTTTGCTCCAGGAAAGTAGTAGTTTACACTCTTACCATCAGTGAGTGAGTGTGCCAGTTTCCTTGTGTGGCCGGGTTATTAACTTTTAATCAAACGAAGGCCCAGAAAGAAATAGGAAATATTTCCCGGGGAATAAAACGTTCCTCGTCTTTGCTTATATGCAGTAAAAAGCTCAGAACTTGGAGAGCGCAGAAGGCGGGGCAGAGTGTGTGAAAACGGCGCCCTCTGCTGGCTCTCCCTGGTGTGAACAGTGGTAGATGGCAACGCTGAGATGGCCGTGGCATCCCCTGCTCTTTGGAGGCAGGTACAGTTTTAAGAGACTCTGGTCATAAAAGTCAGATTCGGGCAACACTTGGCCCTCGCTTGGGTTCTTTTACAGCACTGGTTTCAACAGGAGTGATTTGTTGCCCAACACTTGGTACTCTCTGGAGACATTTTGGAGGATCACAAGTCTGGAGGTGAGGTTAAAGGAAGTCTGCTGTTGACTTCTGGTGGGTAGAGGCCAAGGATACTGCTAAACATCTCACACTGCACAGCCCAGTCCAGCCCAGCAACAAAGCAACATTCAGCCCAGGATGTCAACATTGTCCAGATTGAGAAAACCTTGTTTTTAGAGGAATAGAGGCCTTGCCCTCAGAAGGTTTCTCTCTTCAGACTGAAATAAAATATAGAAATATTAATATACGATATATATGTCACAGTTACTATTATTTGGTTGTAGAAACTTGATGGTTTTGCAAAATGAAATGGAAAACATGTGGAGCTGAAATAGTAAATGGGGATTTCTAGAAGAGAGGGCACAGGAAAATCCAACCCATAGTAATGTCACGAGTACTAATAAGAGAGGGAATGTTCTTCTACCAATTCAACATGGTTAAACCTGCCACAGATCCCTGTGGCTTTCCCCTGAAGGTCTTGTCTGTTAAAAATAGTGCTTTATTTGACACTTTTCCCCAAATTCACAAACACCAGTGTTTTCGTAATGTTCATAATTGTGCCCTCCAGTGTTCAGCGCAGAACTACCATGTGTGGTTATAATTTGCTCTCCCACGCCCCAGTAAATGCTGATTCAAGCATTGTTTTTAAGAGGGAGAAGGAAGAGAAGAGCTTTAAAAATAATGTTAGAGAAGGTGTGCCTGAAGGGGAAAAGTATGATGAGAATTTCGGGAAAATCAAACTGGGCTGCAACTTCCTTCATTATTTGCTGAGCTTGAAGACTGGTGTTGCTCAAGCCCATTTAAAAAATGTCCTATTACTGGCTGGGCATGGTGGCTCACGCCTGTAATCTTAGCACTTTGGGAGGCTGAGGTGGGTGGATCACCTGAGGTCAGGAGTTCGAGACCAGCCTGGCCAACATGGTGAAACTCTGTCTTTACTAAAAAAAAAATAAAAAAATCAGCTGGGTGTGGTGGCACGTGCCTGTAATCCCAGCTACTTAGGAGGCTGAGGCAGGAGAATTGTTTGAACCCAGGAGGTAGAGGTTGCAGTGAGCCTTGATTGCACCACTGCACTCCAGCCTGGGCAACACAGCAAGATTCCATCTCAAAAAAAAAAAGTCCTATTACCTCATTTTGCTTTAGCCTTGCTATTCTCTGAATTACTTGTATTCTAGAACATTTGTCTTGAAATAATTAGCTAGCGTGGCTGCCTTGGCTGTTCTAAATAATGTTAACGGGATTATTTTGTCAGAATTGTTGAGAAAAGCTACAGCTCTTCCCTAAACAGCAGATACTATATTGATTATCTTTCATGAGAAGTATTTTTCAAACTACAGGTCATGGTCGATTTATAGGTTGTAAAGTCAATTTTTAGATTACAATCAGCATTACAAAAAAAATCAGATGGAATAGAAACTAACAGAGTGTGGTATATAGTAGGAGCAGCCTTTGGTGATAGTTTTGGTGATACAGAAATCTGTCACCATACGTACATACATGTTTACATGTGCCTGTGTGTATGCACACATGGGCATGGTGAGAAGCTTCTAAAGATGGTGGCTTATATTTTACAATGTGGTGAAATCTGACTTGTTTGTAAAGTTCTCTAAAGACCTCCATGATCCCTGCTAGTCTTCTATCCCTCACCTTTGCCTCTGTTGCTTTTTCAGGTGGGACCAGGGAGATTGGATCTGCTCTCACCAGGATGTGCATGAGGCACAGAAGCATTGAAGCCAAGCTGAGGCAGTTTTCGAGGTGAGGAGCATGTTTTGGCCCCGATCGCCAACACCCTTGCAGATTTCAGGTTAAGGAAGCAGTCATGTGTGGCACACAGCATTTAAATCCCCACAATCTGTCTGACTTGGCTCATTCATTGCCTGAGTATTGTTAGGCATCTGCTGCATACCAGGCACTGGTCGAGGCCCTGGGGGTGCAGCAGATCACCAGCCAGCCAGGCCCCTGCCTTCACAGAGCCTGTGCTCCTGCATGGGTCTCTCCTTACCCTTTGTCTGTGCAAGGAGCCGGTGCAGCCTGCTGAGGTCTTTTGGGCCCCCACTGCCCTGCGGGAGCCTCGCAAGAAGAGGGGCTGTGAAATTGGAGAGTGAGATGTGCCTTGGTATCCTGTGTGCATCCTCCAGACTCACTGAGGGATGTGGCAGCTCACAGACCACTCCACACCGCCAGCTTCCCATCTGGCTTCCAGGCATCCAGAATAGGGAAGAAATGGTAGTAGCTGGCACCGGAATTGGGTTACAAATGTTCAAGTGAAAATGGACATTGCTTTCCAAGCAGATCAGCATCATTCAGCAGTTTTATGTGATTCTGTTTGGGAGACTGCACAAAATGAAGGGGCACACCTTCAGAGACCTTCACCCCTCAGTAACCCCGAGGCTGGCAGTGCAGCTCGAGAATTTTCTGGGTCTCGTCACTCTTCTCTTTCTCCAGGCTGTGCATACTTAGTGTATATTTATGACCTGTCATGCCGCATGCACAGCAGAATCTTGTGGGTCTTTTTTAAAAATAGTGATGCTGGGCCCCACCCTCAAAGTCTCCATTGGGGGTGAGATAAGGCCCAGGTGTCTTTGCATTTTGGGGGTCCCTGTTGTGCAGCTCTCAGAGGGGTGACCCCTGTGGTTCTGCAACTTGGCTTGTTAATACAAACACTAGAATATCACAGGGAAAATGGGAAGAAGGGTCACTCCCACCAGTCACATTGACAGCTTCTTAGTAGTCATTGAAAAACATTCTTGGGGCCAGGCGCGGTGGCTCTCGCCTGTAATCCCAGCACTTTGGGAGGCCAAGGCAGGCGGCTCATGAGGTCAGGAGATCAAGACCATCCTGGCCAACATGGTGAAAACCCATCTCTACTAAAATACAAAAAATTAGTTGGGCATGGTGATGTGTTCCTGTAGTCCCAGCTACCTGGGAGGCTGAGGCAGGGGAATCGCTTGAACCTGGGAGGTGGTGGTTGCAGTGAGCCGAGATCGCGCCACTGCACTCCAGCCTGGTGACAGAGCGAGACTCTGTCTTAAAAGAAAAGCATTCTTGGAACATGGCTGTTCTGGAGCCCCGGGGTTTAGATGAGAACGTTTCGGGTAATTGTGATTTAGGTATGTTTTGACAACCACATTTAAATCCTGACAACAGAATGTATCTATTTAATTTCTCCCTTTTTCCCCCCCGCTTGGTAAAAGCGCTTTAATTGATTGTCTGATAAACCCACTTCAAGAACAGATGGAAGAATGGAAGAAAGTGGCCAACCAGCTGGATAAAGACCACGCAAAAGGTACAGGGGCGAGATGTCTAGCGCATCACTGCACGCTGGGGGGCGCTGTGGGAAGTTGCCAGCTGCTGCCTGGCCCCTCTGCTAGGTTTATTGGTGTCACCAAAACAGCCAAGGGCCCACTCTGTCCCTACTCTCCTGTAGGCACGTCCGTGTCAGGGGATGAGGAGAACAAAGTGATCCCGTTGTGAGGCTGAGTGCTGTTTCTTTGGTGTGAAACAACATTCAGCAGCTGATAGTCTGATCCCTCAGTGGCATGAATTGTATTCAGCTGAATTAAGAATAAATCACAGGGTGGGCGCGGTGGCTCAGACCTGTAATCCCGGCACTTTGGGAGGCCGAGGCGGGCGGATCACTTGAGGTCAGGAGTTTGAGACCAGCCTGGCCAACATGTTGAAACCCCATCTCTACTAAAAACACAAAAATTAGCCAAGCATGGTGGTGGGTGCCTGTAATCCCAGCTACTTGGGAGGCTGAGACACAAAAATCGCTTGAACCCGGGAGTCAGAGGTTGCAGTGAGCCAAGATTGCACCATTGTACTCCAGCCTGGACGACAGAGTGAGACTCCATCTCAAAAAACAAAAAAAAAGAAAAAGAAGAAATCATAGGCCGGGTGCAGTGGCTCACACCTGTAATTCCAGCACTTCAGGAGGCTCAGGTGGGCAGATCACTTGAGTCCAGGAGTCTGAGACCAGCCTGGCCAACTTGGTGAAACCCTATGGCTACTAAAAATACAAAAAGTATCCAGGTGTGGTGGTGCATGCCTGTAATCCCAACTACTCGGGAGGCTGAGACACGAGAATTGTTTGAACCCAGGAGGCAGAGGTTGCAGTAAGCAGAGATTGCACCACTGCACTCCAGCCTGGGTGACAGAGCAAGACACTGCCTCCCCCTAACCCTCCAAAGAAGTGAAAATCATCATGGCAGGTTTAAATGCCAAACATTTATACTTAAGGCATTTCAGCACATTTTGAAAGCCAGACTTTTAATGATATAAGCTTACCCTAGGTCTCCTGCCCATTCTCTTTGTGCGTTGTCCCAGGTCGGTGAGACAAGTCTTTGTGAACTGGTTGAGTGAGTTGTCAGGGACCTTGATGGTATGAGAGGAACTAAGTGTAATCTGCACAGCAAATAGCACTGATGCTTTCGAGTGAGAGTGTTTGTGTTCCCTTCACACAGGCCAACCAGACCTTCGTAAGAGCTTCTCATCCCCTGTTCAGGTCATTCTGATGCTTTTTACATGCTAGGCGCTATGGGGGCTACAGAAGGATGAGTGTGGTATCTACTGAAACAGAAATAAATTAACCCTGTTACAAAGCAAAGTAGAAGACTGCAATGAAGACCCAACCGGGTGCTCTGGGAGTGTGAATGGTGGCTCCTAAAACAGGCCTCTTTGTGACTATGGGGATGGTTTATTCTGCCTGCTTCAAGCTATATCATGAAAATCATTCTATGTCCCCAGCAACTATCAGTAGCCACCAGAAAGTTGCCGGTTCATTCAAATTATTCACCCCTCCCCTCATCATGCACCTATGCTACTGAGTACTTACCGTATTTCATGCCCGTGCATGCTCTGGAGCCACAGAAATAAATAAGTTGGTCTTGGTTTTTGGTGCACGTCCTTTAACTTTGTCTATCACAGACAACAGACTCCTGAAGTCGTGTCTTCATTGTTATTGGAAATCAGTCTTATGTAGAACTTCAACAAACCATTTTGATAAAAGAACCAGGGAGGGTGATGGCTTATTTGTGTTGAGATTCAGAAGTATGGGTACAATAGCCAAATACTTAGCAGTTATATTAAAAAAGTTAATATAGGCCAGGCGTGGTGGCTCATGCCTGTAATCCCAGCATTTTGGGAGGCCGAGGCGGGTGGATCACTTGAGGTCAGGAGTTCAAGACCAGCCTGGCCAACATGGCAAAACCCCACCTCCACTAAAAATACAAAAAAACCAATTAGCTGGGCGTGGTGGCATGCGCCTGTAATCCCAGCTACTCGGGAGGCTGAGACACAAGAATCACTTGAACTCAGGAGGCGGAGGCTGCGGTGAGCTGAGATTGCACTGTTGCACTCCAGCCTGGACAACACAGCAAGACTCCATCTCAAGAAAAAAAATAGTTAATATATAATCTTTTATCCCCCCTACCCTAACTTGAAGTTAGGGAGAGAGGCAAATTCAGAGGATTAACTGGATCCCATTGTGTGTTAATCACATCATGAATTTTCTTAGGCTCACGGGATTTATCCATCTGTACTTTTCATTGGGTAAAAGAAAATAGAACCATTTGACATTTTTTTTCAGATGGGGAAAGAGTTGATAGTTTATGTTTGGCCCAATTCACTTTGTGTTGGCTGACTTGGCTCATTCATTGGCTGAGTATTTGTCAGGCATCTGCTGCATGCCAGGGACTCGTTGAGGCCCTGGGGATGCATAGACAACCATCCGGCCAGGCCCCTGCCCTCAGGGAACCTGCTCTCCTGCGCAGGTCTCTCCTCACCCTCTGTCTGTGTGAGGAGCCGGTGCAGACTTCTGAGGCCTTTTGGGCCCCACCACCCTGCAGGAGCCTCCTTCTACTCTGTTAAATGTTCCCCTTTGCTGGTACAGCAAAGCTGAGACTTCAAATAGGATGTGTAAGGCCTTTTATAAGAGTAGTTGTGCTGAGCCCATTAGGAGAAGGCAGCAGGTCTTGCAGAGAGGTCTACTCATCCAATAAAACACAGGTTCCTTGATTTTCTTGGAATATTTCCCCCTCCTTCCCATTCCCACTGCATACAGAGAAGCACGTCTCAATTTTCTTCTTTGGGGTCACATACAGAGATGAAGAGCCTAGGCCTGAATGTGAATTGAGACCCATTGTCCGGCCTGCATACCTGCTAAGTGGCCTGTCTGCACAGGGGCCAAGAGGTTGTGGGGTACAAAGCTCCTAACCCCCAGCCTCGGTGACACAGCACTTCCTTCATCTTTTCGATTCAGCCTTTAACTCAGGGAGCGCGACCCGAGTAGCAGCCACACGCAACCCACTCTGCTAGCCCAAGATGCTCAGACATGACCCAGGCACTGCTGCGTCCCCTGGGGAGCTTGTAGGGGGAGGGAGGAGAGACTGTAGGGCAGAGCACAGGATGTTGGGGGAGAGAGATACAGGGAGCCCCAGAGGTTGGAGAGGTTTGGTTGAGGAATTAGAAAATGAGGCACCATTTGGAGGGATCCCAGTAGGTGTACATGGTTTCATCACGCTGACGTTAGAGCAGTGAAGGGGCCCTAGCCAGATAGAAAACTGTGCAGATAGGCAGGGAAGATGGGGGAGTGGCCAGAAAAGAGTGGAGAGCTGCCACGCTGCACAGTGATTCCAGGTGTGTATAAATAGGCTTAGGGCCAGTAGAAGGGAAACCTCAGAGCTGGCTGCAAGGGAGCTGGCCAAGGTGAAATGTACAGCAGCTGGCAATTAATTGACTGTGAGGGCAGCAAAGGGAAAAGTGTCACAGGTGACCATCATCCCAGGTGTCTATGTCTGGGTGATGAGGATGCCAGCAACAGAAATGGGGCAGTCTGCGAATGGGCCAGTGGTGGAGGAGGAAGTGCTTGGCAGGGGATGTGGTGCACTTGGACTGCCCCTCTGAGGTGTTTGTGGTATCTAGCCACAGGATTCATGCTGAAAGTAAGGCAGCTGGTTCTTCTTGCCCAGTCTCCCCACTGTGTGATCTAGCTTCTCCTGCTGTATGAGACACTTTTTCTGGATTTTAACATCTGCCCAGCATCTTTTCCACATAGGGGTTTTTTGTTTTTTGTTTGTTTTTTTGTTTTTGCAAAACACTGTGGATTTGGGCCCGGGGAAAGTAGATAATATTGAAAAATCTTTCCGGATACTTGAGCTGAGAAATTGTGAATTTTTTTCATTTTTACTAAAGTATTCCCCGCCAGGCATGGTGGCTCATGCCTGTAATCCCAGCACTTTGGGAAGCCAAGGATCACTTGAGGTCAGGAGTTCAAGACCAGCCTGGCCAACATGGTGAAACCCCATCTCTACTAAAAGTACAAAAATTAGCTGGGCGTGGTGGTGGGCGCCTGTAATCCCAGCTACTCAGGAGGCTGAGGTGGGAGAATCGCTTGAACTCGGGAGGTGGAGGTGGCAGTGAGCCGAGATCATGCCACTGCACTCCAGCCTGGGCCACAGAACAAGACTCTGTCTTAAAAAAAAAAAAAGTATTCCCAAACGGAGCCTCCCTTCAAAGCTGGTATGAGTGAATATGACAGGGCAAGACCACTGTGCATTTTGTTTTCGTGTCTCTAGCCCCTTTGTTGTAAATGTCATCATGAGATTATCATATTGTATTCTGATAAAGCCATTGACGGCATGTCACAGTTTATGCTTTCTGTGATAAATGTAATGGCTGTTTCCTACCTAACATATTTTCTGTTAAGCAAAGTGGTAAAATTGTTCCATATTCTGCTTTCTCTTAGAATATAAGAAAGCCCGCCAAGAGATAAAAAAGAAGTCCTCGGATACGCTGAAACTGCAGAAGAAAGCAAAAAAAGGTAACTCCTAAAATTCTGCCACTGATGTTACTTCCTGATGGAGTACTTGATTTGTTTTTGAAGTGAAAGGTGTTCACTTCAGAGACTTCCTTAAGTATGACGGCCCTGGAAAACAGGTGGGAGCAAATAGGACCTATCTGAGTTCACATTCTCAAAGTGCAGAATAGGTATTAATTTGAGGCCTTTGCCAAGTGGTACTTGACGTGTTCCTTCCCCCACCTTTGTCTTCCAAGTTTGACAGTTTCCATGCCTATTGTGCTTCGTAATGATACCTATAAATTTCTTAGAAGCCTTGGGATAATGCAGAAAGGCCTTTATGCAAATGTTCTCTAGTAATTATTACAGAAATTATGTCATTTTCTCCTGCAGCTTTCACAGCCTATAATCTTCAAAACCCTTTATTAAGTCTTGTGAGAATGCTAGGAATGGGTGCAGGGGAAGCTGGGAGTCATGGCCATACAGGGGATTTTCCATGGTGTTCATGAGGGAGGAGCTTGATAATCTACCACTGAGCACAACCAGGCAAGATGCCTTTCCCCCACATCCTTGTTTATCCTCCTTCACAAACAAATGAATCGTCAGATCTTTGACCCACCTTTGTTCCTCCAGAATGGACTGGGAGTTTGAAGAGAAAAATCTAGCAGCATCCACTTTGCAAGCACTTGTGACATTTTACTACCACCTAAAAATGTAGGGACTTTCTCCTGAGCTAGAGAAGGTGACATTCCTTCCAGTCTATTCTTCTTTGACACCAAGTTTCTGAATCTGCTGCTTCACAACTGATAAGATGGGATTCTTCCGTCAGGCTGCTCTGTGGGTGGTGTTTACCATTAATTTGAGACAACCTTTTCGAGTTGGGATCCCCCAGCCTGAATTTTCTCTCCCCTAAACCAGCGTTCTCTGTTGGAAATAGAAGACACATTTGTAGAGATGGGATTGTGGAGGGTGGTGTGTAGTGGGGTGATGATAGGACACAGTTTTTAACCTTGAACATTTCTATAAAATGAGCCCCCCACCCTGAATTTTCACAACAACCATAAACCCATTTTGAGATAAAGGCAGCAGAATTTTCACCCACAATCAGATTTTCCATCAGCATTGGCCCCAGCAGTTTCTTTCGTATGTTTTATTTTAGTCTGGAGCTTCTCAGATTTGTATCCTATCTAACCAGGGCACCTGGGAGCTAGTGTTTGACAAGTAATAGGGTTTGTGACATAGTAACATTTTAGTGACTGTAGAGGTAAGCATTTATAAGTAAAATTACTACCATATTCCATGAAGTCTGAGGCCCGGAAGAGAGCAGGCTGGTCACAGTTCGGGGCTGAACTCCACATAACTGACAGGTTGGCAGCTTTGAGAGAGGAAGGATTCCTGGGCTGGGAGAGGTGGTCCAGGGAAGATGCTTAGGCTTAGAAAAGGTTTGGGAGTTTGGTGAAAAGGATGAAGGAAGAAAAAGTGGCTGTTTTCCCTCAGCTCTTCCACCACTCAGTTTTCAGAGGCCCTAAGTTCTTGGCTACAGTGATAATCCTTTTATCTAAGTTCTGCATGGAGGCTGAATTGGTTGTCCTCTGTCACTCAAAGTCACTGGCATTGCCCAATTAGCAGAATTTATACCTCTGGGTGAAGCCTGATAGGGTGATTGCAATGCAACATCAAAAGAAGTTTCTGGCAATTAGACCTTCCTAGCACTGGCTCGGGCTGCCTGCAGGATAATGAGCTCCCTATCAAGGCTGGATAGGAAGATATGGGACCCATAGAATGCTGGACTGTGCATAACATGAAGAGAGGCATCTGGCCCTGGGACTTGGGAATGATTGGCATTCAGTTGTGTGGTTTCTTAGGGCACATTGGCCTGACAGATGAGAGAATGGAGGTTGGGATCAGGGGTTTCTGAAGCATCTGTCTTCTCAGCCACAGCCTCACACCAGCAGTCTCTGGCACCGTGTCTTTTCCACACGGTGGACTTAGGTCCACGAGATCGGTCAGATCCATAGCTTGGAATGTTCTAGAGAATTTCTAGTTACTTCAAGATACCACCAGAAAATAATTTTTATTTCTGTCCTTTATAAAGATTTTTTTCTAAAATCAGTAAGTGCAGTTTTGGACCAGGTGTTCTATTTGTATATTTCTGGGATGAAAGCAGCCTTCTGAAAGGTACTAGAGTCACATTCGGACTGGAATCTTTTATGGAGAGCTCTCCTAGGAGGCATATGTATGGCTGAGAATGGACTGAAGAAAACACAACTCACTTAAGGGCTGGAAGAAATCTGGTCATTTGAGGCTTTCAGTTGTTTAGGGGTCTGGTTAGCTGACATTTCCCTTTCTACTAGAACACCTCGAGGGATCTGTTTCATCTCCTTCAAGTGGCAGATTCCCGGACCCTCGGTTTGTAAAAGTGTTAGCAGTTCCTTCTGACGCACCACGCGTTCGGATGGATGAAGGTTTTGGATACATTTTTTTTTTTGTCCTGATAGACGGAATCTGATGTATGCAGCCAGATAATCACTTCCTTTTTAATATGTTTCCAGGAGATTCTCAAGCAGCTTCCTGCCATGCCTTTTTCAAAAACTCTGATCTTTGATCTAAAAATTCTCTGGACTCTCCTTTTAGCATTTCAAGTGCCTTTGTGCATGTAAGCATGGTTTTACCACCATCCTTGACGTGGGCAGACACACACGGATGTGATTTTTGTGAGCGGCTCACTTTCCTTCTTACTCTGCAGATACCACCTTTTATCACATTCTTCGACTCTTTCTTACTATATAGAGAGGTGGTTTGTAATCTAAAGGTGTTTAAATATTTCCTTCAAGAAACTTTCAATGGTTTGCCTTTGGTAGGTTTTATCTCAAAATCATTTTTTAGCAGCTTGGGATATGCTATGGCTGTGGATGAGTGTGCCTGTTTTTCTTGAAGGCAAGCTTGTCAGATGCCTACTAGAAGTAAACACGAGGCAAGGAGTTAGCCAGTCCTCACCCTCAGAGAAATTCTGGGCTCGTGCACAGGGTCAAGAGCACGGGGCAGAGCCAGCATTGCCGACAGGTGGAGGGACGGAGGCGGCAGGATGCTGGGGAGATGGTGTGGAGCGGACCCAGTAACCCCAGGCTCTGAACAGTGTCTCTTGAGCCCTCTTCCTGCTCCATGATAATCAGCTTATTGCCTTGGAGGTCTTGGAGTTGACCACGACCCAATGGGGAAAAGTAAGAGAGAGCATCAGAAATGAGAGGCGTTTTACATTGTATTTACCTACGTGTGCCACCCAACCGTATGAACTCAGCAGCCTTATTCTCATTTAACTCCCATGTTACTATCAATGTGAATTAAAAATTAATTCTGGGCTGTGCGTGGTGGCTCACGCCTGTAATCCCAGCTCTTTGGGAGGCTGAGGCGGGTGCATCATGAGGTCAAGAAATCGAGACCATCCTGGCCAACATGGTGAAACCCCATCTCTACTAAAAATACAAAAATTAGCCGGGCGTGGTGGCGGGCGCCTGTAGTCCCAGCTACTCGGGAGGCTGAGGCAGGAGAATTGCTTGAACCTGGAAGGTGGAGGTTGCAATGAGCCAAGATTGCACCACTGCACTCCAGCCTGGGCAACGGAGGGAGACTCTGTCTCAAAAAAAAAAATAAAAAAATTCTGGTAAAGCCTTCTGTTTCCATCTGTAACTACAAAAAGTTTATAAGGGATTTTTAAAAATAATAATGGCCAGCATTCATTAGGTACTTATTATGGTCACTGTTCCACTTATTACCATGACATCATTAAATCTAAGAAGTCTTGATTTTTTTTTTTTTTTTTTTTGAGTCAGCATCTCACTAGGTGGCCTAGGCTGACCTCAAACTCCTGGGCTTCAGGGATCTTCCCGCCTCAGCCTCCCTAGTAGCTGGGATTACAGGCACACACCACTGCGCCCAGCAGGGACTTTTCTTGAGAGAGAGAGAACTGGAACATTATAATATGTTAACTGCACAGCTGACATGTAAATAGTTGACTCTCTCACTTTCCACTAGAGGCTGCAAAGCCAATGTTATAAATGTAATAAACAGACTCACAGAGTTCTATACGAGCATAGTATTTGCTGTTATACTACAATTTTAAACTCTTTAATTTTTTTTTTCCATTTTCATCCCACCCTAAGCTTTGTTTCCTAGGAATTTCCTAGATATTTTTCAAGTGATGGTAAATGACACTCGAAAGGTTTTCTTGCCAAAGCTTGGCTTCTTCTGGGTATATATTCTTCATCTCTCTTTTTAAAAATCCTTGCTGTCTTCTCTAGGGGTGGTCATTACTAACTGGGAAGGTTTTGTTTAGATGAGAAGGAAGGAAGATATTAGTAAGGCAGAGAAGGGGAATGTGGATGTGGGTTTAATCAGCCCTAATAGAAAATTTGGTGGCGAGCCATGGACTGTTTAACACATGAAACAAAGGTAAGACTGCTGCTGCTTGAATACCAGTTTGACTTTATTATTTTCCTTTTTGTGTCAATTGTGTATCCTGCACTTTCTCACCGTGTGCCCCCCCGCCAGTGGACACTCTTGGTAAGTCTACCATCCCAAATCTCTGGTGGCTGCTCACGGTGTGGTCCTTGCTGTGGGCTTTCCGTGGTTGTCCAGACCTCTGCTAGCTGCCCAGGTTTTTCTACCAGCTCAAAACAATCAACTGTGCCTACCTAATTTTCCACAACTTTAAGAAAATTGTGTGTGCGTTGTGTTTTAATTGTTTTCTTTTTTGGATGTTTAGCCATTTACGATGTTAGCACAACACTCTGAGAGCCTTTGAATCATCGTAATTCAATATTAGACTCATGGAAAAAAGAAATACAGAGTGACTTAAACTGTCATTTCCACAGTCAATAAGCATTTTTGCATACATATATACCTGCGTATGTATGTATGTATATATTTATGCCACAAACAGAGCTGCAAGCCTCAAAATAATTCTCAAATCAGATTTGGTTGTGTTAAGCTTGCAAAACATCTTTAACTTTGTCCTGTCTGCAAGACCATATAGTTCTTTCCATAACCAATGATTCATTTTTTAAAAAATAAATCAAAAGTATTTCTTATTTCAGTAGAGTTTGTGAAATGTTTCATTTCAGAAGTATCAGATCTTCCAATTAAGTAATCAGAATGATTCTTCTTGACTGAATGTTGAACTTCACTCTGTGGATGATCATGCTGCCAAAACTTCAAGTTGCTTTTGGAGTCTTGTTGCTGTCCCTCTGTCCTGGGAGGTCTGTCTGCGAGGTGTCTGTGTGGTTTATCTTGCCTGAGTGTGCCCAGGTGTTCCCTGAGCATTTTACTGAACAGCTCCAAAGAGGCTTTTGAAGTGGCTTCTGTCATTTACAGCAAACCCAGTGCACAAAGGTCTCCTTTGATGGTTGGGGCTGACACGGCCTCTATTTCCCCTCATGGCGATGTTGGGCTAGTGGTTCCCCAACTTTAAAAAGGATCATCCTTTCCAGTTCTCAACATTGTGATTATGAAACAGCTTGCACAGTTTCTAGTAAACCTTTGGAAGGAAGGTAAGACACAGTCACTGTTTTGCTTATTGCAGTAAAATTCACATCACAGAATTTATCATTTTAGCCGTTCTGAAGTATAAGTTTCAGTGGCTTTTAGTACATTCATGGTGTTATGCAACCATCGCCACTATCTAATTTCACAACATTTTCATTATCCCCGAAAGACACCTCATGCCCATTAAGCAGTCCCTCCCTGTTTCACAGTCTCCCCACCCACGCTGACCCTGACAACCACTCATCTGCCTTCTGTCTCTGGATTTGCCTATTCTGGACATTTTATACAAATGGAATCATGTAGTACACAGCCTTTTGAGGACACAGTCCCTTGAGTCTTGAGTTTTACTGGAACCTTTGCCGAGAGCCTGACATGAGTCAGTTCATGGAGTAAATAGAGCATTTTATTTATTTGAAATGATGGGAGGTCAGTTTGGAATGAATAAAGAAACTGTATAGCCTTTTGACTTTGTAAGTTCTAAAGATTCTGCTTATCTTTCAAAGAGAAATCTCTGCAACCCCCTTTAATTTTTTCTCTTGTAGGGGCTGGTTCATAGGCAAAGCCACAGTGAATTTGGGTATAAATACACAAGAAAAGCTATATGATTTGTAGCTCTCATAAATGTTTAAAATATTTATACAGAGAGAAAAAAATAATTCTTTAATTATTTTTAACAGTTGGCTTGGCTGGGCGCGTTGGCGTGGTGGCTCATGCCTGTAATCCCAGCACTTTGGGAGGCCTAGGTGGGCAGATCACCTGAAGTCAGGAGTTCGAGACCAGCCTGGCCAACATGGTAAAACCCCATCACGATCAGTGACACGATCTCGGCTCACTGCAACCTCCGTCTCCTGGGTTCAAGCAATTCTCCAGCCTCAGCCTCCCAAGTAGCTGGGATTACAAGTGCCTGCCACCACACCCGGCAAATTTTTCTATTTTTAGTAGAGACGGGGTTTTGCCATGTTAGGCAGGATGGTCTTGAACTCCTGACCTCGGGTGATCCTGTTGCCTTGGCCTCCCAAAGTGCTGGGATTACAGGTGTGAGCCACCCTGCCAGCCAGTGCTGGGATGAATATAAGCAAAAGGTGTAACCTGGGGGCAGAGAGGAAGGAGCCTCACTAAGCCTGGGGGTAGGGTAGTGATAATGAGGAGGAGCATGAGGGGTCAGCTGTTGAAGAATGAGGAGGGGATATTCAAGGTGGAGAGGACAGCGTGCACCAACACATGGCTCTTGTCATTTAGAAAGGAGCATCAGCAACAGTGGTGAAGGGTAGACGTGTCACACTGTGTGTGTGATGCTCCAGGGACAGCCTTGAGGCAGGGCTGTCGTCCCACCAAGGGTGGACTGTGTGCATAGAGAACCATAGTGACCCCTGGCTACTCAGCCTCTGGCTTCCTGGACCGCGTCTCCCCACCCCACACTGACCTGCCTCCAGAATGGTTCAATCACTGGGCCTCGATTCTGATCAGACTCCAAAGTGGACCCCAAATGCCTCTCCACGTCATTCTTCCTTTCTTGGAAAAAGCCTGTGAAATGTGAATCCTTTCCTCTAGGCACAGTGGTTTGCTCATCCCCCAGCCGTATCCAGCCTATGCACTCACCCACAGGAATGTTTCTTGTGTTTACAAAACCAGCAGAAAGCACTCTCAGAATGACCCTGAGACCTGCAGTCAATGGATCAATGGCTCTGCCTCTATGGTAAAAATTGAATCTGTGTAGATTCCCTGCAACCCCACCCCCATTGATTTTTGAGGAGGGATAGTACTAGGAGCTCTCCTTCCCACAGGGATGTCAGTGGAGTGAGGAGGAAGAACAAGGAGCAGAGGGTGGGATGGTTCCAGCCAGTTCTTCGAGGCTAAGCCCAGGGCTTAGAAGGCTGATGAGGAAATACAGAATGTAGGCACAGCCAGACCCCTTCTGTCTGGGTGGAAGCAGGGATGCTAGAATTTTACCCTTAGACCTATTGTGACCATCAGAAAGCTGCCCCTGACCTGAATCCATAGATGTCTGAATTTAACTCAGAAATCTCCTCCAAGGCCGGGCACAGTGGCTCATGCCTGTAATCCCAGCACTTTGGGAGGATCACTTGAGGTCATGAGTCTGAGACCAGCCTGGCCATCATGGCAAAACCCTATCTCTACTAAAAATACAAAAGTTAGCTGGGTGTGGTGGCGTGCACCTGCATTCTCAGCGACTTGGGATGCTGAGGCAGAAGAATCGCTTAAACCTGGGAGGCAGAGGTTGCAGTGAGCCGAGATCGCTCCACTGCACTCCAGTCTGGGTGACAGAGTGAGACCCTGTCTCCAAAATAAAAGAAATTTACTGCAAAGGGATGTTGCATTTCAGGTGAATGTATGTAGCCTTCAGAGGCCGGGCTATTTATTAGATGTATTTTATAACTGAGGATTCTAGGTAAACACAAGCCAAACAGATCCACCAGAAGCCTAGAGCTGTGAACTCTTCCTTTGCAAAGCTTGTCTCCAGTAAAACCTCACGTAGACACAACTCCTTGAGTGCCTTGCCCACTACTCTGGTCTCAGAATGCCCTGGGTGTGCCTGTACACAATAGGACTGTTAAGGTGCAGTGCACCTGACTTCCCTGTGGCTGCATTCAGGGGCAGGGTAGAGGTATATAGAGTATGGAGGCACGCCGGGAGCTGAGTATTTTTCTTAGCGTTAATTTTCGACCAAATACAAAACAGCAGAGAAGGAAACAGACAACTTGCTTGAAATATTTATTCCTTGCATAATATGGTTTTCATCTCCCTAGAGAACACTAACGGGATGGGCAAAGCCTGACGGAATGGCAGGGTGGGGAAGCAGTTGCTGCCTCTCTTGAGTTGCAACCCATCAGCCATTTATGGTTTTTGTAGGACTAATTGATTCACGCCTGGTGCCATTCTTCCATTCATAAACATCCTTGACTGCTGCAGATGAGTCCTGCAAAACACTCCAGCCTCCATTTATTAGTTTGTTCTTTCATTCATTCATTCAGGAAAGGGGTATGACAAGCCTCCTCTGTGCTAGACTCTGTTAGCTGCTAAGGAGGTAAAAGTAGCATCTACACTCAAGCTCTCCCCAGCACGAAGAATGCATTTATGTTCCAACATCAATTCTCTGACTGCAGCTGCTGTCCTATTCAGTTATGACACACCTAGTGTTAGTGTAGACCCCACAAGCTAAGAGTTCAGTCCCATGAGACTGCCCCAAATTCAGTCACCAGCCACAAGTGGGGTCCTCAGATTCCTCACACTTCTGCCCAGCCGACCACAAATTTGGGGTTTTCTATGACCCCCTCGCCCATCAAGTTTAATAATTCTCTAGAAGGACTTGCAGAACACAGGAAAGCACCATATTTACAATGACTGGCTTCTTATAAAGAATGCAGATTGTAGCCTTGTTTACTACATTAAAGGACTCTGCTGAAGCCCTTGAAGCCTTTTTGGCTTCTAGATAATTCCACCGTGACAGTGTGTATTTGGATTAGACTGTGGCTTAACTGGACATCCAGTTAGCAAGTGGTGGTTGTTGTCTAGGTGACAGATGATGGTGGCCTGGGCTCAGGGAAGTGACCACAGAGATAGAGAGGAAGACAGGTGGATTCAAGAGCTACTTAGGAGAAATGCAAATGAAAGAAGGAAGAGTTGAAGGCAATGGTAAATTTCTGGATCCGGTAGTCAGGTTGGCAGATGGTGGAGTATTTCTTTAACCACCAAGGAAGAAGCATTTTGGAGCCGTGAGGATGCTCTGTTGGAGACACTCTGGATGGTGAGCTGCAGGTTGGCCTGGGACGTTTTCTAGTTGTTCTCTGAAATGTCTCTTTTTATCCTTTGCTTTGATAAACAACTGATTGCCCAGGGACCAGTGAAGAATCTTGATGATAAAACTCCTACTTGTAGTGAAAGAATCATGGGATCTTTTGCATTTTCTTACATCAAAAACGACCTTGAACTGAAAGCTCTCTTTAAAAAACAAACAAACAAACAACAACAACAAAAAACCCACCCTACCCTGCATACTATCACCTGCTAAACTACCCAGTGTCAGAAGGACAACTTCAGAGATGCTGTGGTGGCAGCTGATAGTGCCTGACATTTAGTGAGTGCTCAGCACGTGCCGGGCGTTGTTCTGAATGCTTCATGTGGATTAGTTCATTTCCCCTTCCAGCAGCCCTGTGAGCTCAATACTGTTATTATTTACATCCCACAGGTAAAGGGAAACTGGGGCACAGTAGGTTGAAAAATAACGGAAATTGAGTTTGTTTGAAAAATTTTAAGGCTAAAAGCCTTCAGTCTTATCTAATCACATCTATCTTTTGATTTCGGGTTGGATTTTTCTTTTGGGAATCAGTCAAAACCCACTGTGGGTTATTAAGAGTAGAAGATGACTTATAAAGGGATAATGAGGATAGCCTCCTTTTGCTGGGAAGACAGAATTTTTCATTCCAAATTCTAATCTCCAGTGTCACCTTGCATGTCCATTTCTGGATTTATATTTTGTATTTTAGTATTTATATCCCATGTTTCATTTGACTCTGGGATACAAGCAATTGTCAGATGCACCATTATTTTCCAGACCACTAAGAAAGGAAAAAAAAAACCTACCGATTAAACTGTGACACACCATTGATTGTAAGACACACCCTGATTGGTGAGGTGTAAAAATGGGGGAAAGTGGCTCTCTTAGAATGAAATATCTTAGAATGAATTTGTGTGAGTCAGGGGCAGGTGAAAGTCATTTTGCAGGATTCTAATGGCTTCTCCATACACCTCTCTCCGAAGAAAGAAAGGACTTGGGGTGTTTTGCTGACTCCTGGCAGCATTCTTGGCCCAATGTATTCTGGGTTTGCTCTTCCCCGTTGGAGAGCCCTTTGCCAGAGAACAGCCACTGGCTTGTTGAGCCAGGAAGCTTACCATGTGAGTGCAGCTTGTGTCTGAAGAGGCTGGGCCAGTACAGATAATACGAATCACATTTCACTGGCTTTTTGATCGGCTGTTTAGCTCCTGGCAGCTTGTTCCCAGCATTCATGTTTGCTGTGAGTAGGAAACACAAAGAACCTCGTCTTCAGAACGAGAAAGACTTGGGGCTGGATTCTAGCTGTGCCCGTGGCTGGCTTAGTGCTCATGATTGTGGCCCTGTGCAGACCACTTTGCCTCCCTCAGTCTCAGTTTCCCCATCTATCAAAACGGATATTCATTCCTGCCTTGAATGTGTTATGTAATAATGATTAAGGAAAATAAAATGCAAGTGTTGAAGTTGATACAGGATCTTTATTTCATTCCAGAAAACTCTGTAAAGTTTCCTCATTTAAAAATTCCTTCCTTCTGTGGCCGGGTGTGGTGGCTCACACTGTGATCCCAGCAGTTTGGGAGGCCGAGGCAGGCAGATCACTTAAGGTCAGGAGTTCGAGACCAGCCTGGCCAACATAGTAAAACCCTGTCTCTACAAAAAATACAAAAATTAGTCGGACATACTGTCTTGAACCCAGGAGGCAGAGGTTTCAGTGAGCTGAGATTGTGCCGCTGCACTCCAGCCTAGGCAACAGAGCGAGACTCTGTCTCAAAAAAAAAAATTCCTTCCTTCTTTAGGGGTGCTGCCTTGGCCCATGACATGGTGCATTCACAATGCTTTGCCCCAGGAACATTTTCTGCAAAGAGAATCATCATGATATCCCCTGGGGTGGGGGGATAAGGGGCTCCTGGCTGCTGTTCATCAGAATTCCCCAGCGTGAATACACAAGACCTGGAAACTAGCACCAGGAAAAAAACAAAACTCAAGACTGAAGATGCCTAAGATATTACAGAAGAAAGCCGAAAGCAATTCTTTGCTCAAGAATTTTGTCTGGGAAGCCCATCGAAGGCACCCCCTCCCTCCTCCTCTTGGCTGCTTGATGGTCCTGGAATTGGGTGGTTCTGAAGTATTAGGCCATTTAAGGGAATGATGGTTGAGGCCAGTGAGCAAACTTGGTCACGTTGTATCAATGCTTGATTCATTTACAAATATTTGAACACCTGCCGCCTTCCAGGCAAGTGTGCTGACTGAGGAGATACAGTACTGAGCAAAAGCATTCATGGGTTCTGCCCCCGTGGGACTGCCCCCTGACTAGGGGAGACTGACGTCAATCAAATAACTAGAGAAATAAAGATGAAATTCAAACCGGGGGTAGTGCTGTGAATAAGTATAAGGGATTTCAGAGATCAAGTAAGAGAAGCCTAATCTGGGGAGAAAGTTCACAGCAGGATTCCCTGAAGGATCGAGAATTAAGCGAGACCTGTAGGATAAAAGGTGTTAGGAATGTAGCAGAGGGACAGCAGAGTGAAGATGGGAAGGGGCCCAGGCCCTGGAGGATGAGAGGGAGAGGAGAGAGGGAGAGAATGGCCCACAAAGGCTGAGGCTATGAGGTAGACAGGCAATGACCTTTCATGCCTTGCAGGGCAGGCCATGTTAAGGATATTGTTCTTTTCTTGCGAGCAATGGGAGCTGTTGAAAAGCAGTGAGAATATTTGCATTTTGAAAGTAATCCACAGCCGGGTGTGGTGGCTCATGCCTGTAATCCCAGCACTTTGGGAGGCCGAGGCAGGTGGATCACTTGAGGTCAGGGGTTCAAGACCAGCCTGGCCAACATGGTGAAATCCTGTCTCTACTAAAAATACAAAAATTAGCTGGGCATGGTGGTACATGCCTGTAATCCCAGCTACTTGGGTGGCTAAGGCAAGAGAATCTCTTGAACCTGGCAGGCGGAGGTTGCAGTGAGCTGAGATCACGCCACTGCACTCCATCCAGCCTGGGCAACAGAGCGAGACTCTGTCTCAAAAAAAAAAAAAAAAAGAAAAGAAAAGAAAGAAAGTAGCCCAGGGCTGCTCTGGGCGAGCTAGTCCAAGTGCAGTCTGGGGTGAGACATTAGGGGCTGTTGGCATCTGTTCAGGTGAGAGATCGTGATGGCCCAGTGAGGGTAGAGGTAGCAGAGGTGAGACGAGGATGGAGTCAAGTCCGTGGGAGCTGGAATAGCCAGGACCAGCGCTCAAGGAGTCAGTGGTGACTCTCCTAACACTGCCGATGGGAGTGAAGAGAATGGGCTTTTGTATATATTAAATCAGTACCAACACAACTCTCTGAATTTGTGGACCTCAAAAGATCACTCTATCTTAAAACCAGTATATCCAACTGGGACATGAAATAATTTCTTTCACAGTTTTTTTTTATAAATATAATTACATGTTGTATTAGTGAATTTAATAAATAAACATTGTAGTTTTAGCTTATCATCTATCCTGAATGGAAATGTCTTGACTATAATTATAGCAATCTTTACAGAGTATACTTATTTTAGAATGCTACAATTTGAGAGTCCTTTAATTATAATACACATTTAAAATAACTTTGCTATAATCATAGGATAACTTAAATTTATATTTTCCAAATTAGATAACACTGGGTTCAGTGGCCTTTTTTTCTTTCCTATGTAGATACAGTTTTTAAAGTCAGCATTATTAATTATGGATAGACATGTGCCTTATAACTTGTGAAAGGAAGTAAAGATACATTTTTCCAATTTCTGACAATCACAGGCTGTTATTTTTTAATTTTATTTTATCTATTTATTTATTTTAGATGGAGTCTTGCTCTGTCGCCCAGGCTGGAGTGCAGTGGCATGATCTCAGCTCACTGCAACCTCCCCCTCCCAGGTTCAAGCAATTCTTCTGCCTCAGCCTCCCCAGTGGCTGGGACTACAGGCGTGTGCCACCACACCCAGCTAATTTTTGTACTTTTAGTAGAGACGGGGTTTCACCATATTGGCCAGGCTGGTCTTGAACTCCTGACCTCATGATCCGCCCGCCGCGGCCTCCCAAAGTGCTGGGATTAGAAGCATGAGCCACCGTTCCCGGCCTCATAGGCTGTTATTTTTTTAAATTGCTACCATAATCAAAGCCCACCGAGCAAGTTTGGTCAAACACAATGTGTCTCAATCTGGTGTCTCCCGACTTCTGTTCACCATCCTACACGAGAGTTGAGAACATTCTGAGGTGGTCTGCAGCCCTCTGTGTTTTGTTATTAGAACATCATAGAATAGATCGAGAGACTAGAAGTAGCCCTCTAGACCAGCCCTGAGTCATGTGACCCAACAAGGCCCACAATTGGCCATGCTGTTTGGCTGCTTGCAGAGGAAAAGCAAGGGTTTACAGCTTTCCAGAGCTTCCCTGCTGGTGGACTCGTATCATACACACATTAAGTATATCTGGATTAATTTTGCACTAGCCAGCATTTTAAAATAGAAGAGAAAACTCACAGTTTTCATAGTGCTGGTGGCACCCAGCCTTCCCTCTGTAAGCCGTTGGCCACAGGTGGTGGGTCTCTGTGAACAGAGCACCTGCCCTGAGGCAGATTCCAGGAGAGAATGGGAGAATGTTTTTACAGGTTTCTTGTCTACTAAAAACACATGAAACCAGTGGCTCAGGTGGCCAGATTAATGTATGGTGATGATTACTCCTACATCCTTGAGGAAGAAATTGAAGGCATGGTAAAGAATTATTCTGAGGGGTGGAGGTAGTGACTACATGGAAGAATGGGTGAGTGGGTCACCTTGAAAATATGCTGAAACACCCAGGCGCTGTGGCTCATGTCTGTAATCCCAGCACTTTGGGAGGCTGAGGTGGGAGGATCACTTGAGGCCAGGAGTTCAAGACCGTCTGGCCAATAAAGCAAGACCCAATCTTTATAAAAAAAAATTGAAAAACTAGCTGGGCATGGTGGTGCACGCTGGTAGTCCCAGCTGCTTAAGAGGCTGAGGCTGCAATGAGCTATGATCATTCCACTGCACTCCAGCCTGAGTGACAGAGCAAGACTCTGTCTCCAAAAAGGAGAAAATTATGCAGAGACTTCTCAAGCAGCAAATTTCTTATATATAGTAGTTCCCCCTTCTCCTCAGGGGATATGTTCCAAGACCCCCCGTGGATGCCTAAAACTGCAGATAGTACCCGAACCTTACATATACTGTGGTTTTTCCCATGCATACATGTCTATGGTAAAGTTTAATACATAATTTAGGCACAGTAAGAGATTAACAACAATAATAATAGAACAATTATAACAATATACTGTAATAAAAGTCATGCGAATGTAGTCTCTTTCTCTCTTTCAAAATACCGTATTTTACCACACCATGGGTAGCTGAAACTTTGGAAAGCAAAACCACAGAGGAGGGGCCAGTGTAGTATAATCGTTGGGTAGCACCCCTCCGTGGACTTAGATACATACTATCTACACATTTGTACTCACTTGACTGATGAGAGTTATATACACAAAGCTGTCCATACTGTATTTACTGGCCATCTAAGGCATTTTCAAGGGTGATCTTTGACTATAATTTTCTCATAATGTGCTAACTTAGAACTTATTCCCTGTCTGAGAAGTGACTTTTCCTTACTAAAATCTGACTACCTTTTCTATTGGGATGTGCTTTAAGCCTGATTGCCTCTTGCTCCAAATTAAACTTTCTCCTCTGCTTATGAGTGAAAAATACAGAATATGTTCCTACATCCAAGGCAATTTTCCCTGACCCTTTCTTTCTTCAGACCAAATGGTTCATTGCATTTAATGTTCTCTACATCACTAAGAGGGATAGATGGAAACTGCAGGGCCCTTCCTGCGAGGCGGTGGGGCAGAGAATAGGTTCAGTGTTAAGGGAATTAGGCAGTGTGGCTCAACCCTGCCTCTGTACCATTCTTTCTGTGACCTTAGGTGAGTCCCTTGACTTCTCTAGGACTTGGTCTCCATTGAAACATGAGCAGATTGGCCCAATTGGATAACCCCTTCCAGCTCTAACATTTTGTGTTGAAACTATTAAACAGACATTTATCAAGCACCTGCTGTATACACACATGACATTGTACTAGGGGCTGTGCTGGGAAAGACCAAAATCCTGCCCTGAAGAAGTTTAGGAAGTATCTCTCTGGTTTGAGTGATAGGTAAGGCCCCTGCATAGGCAGCCCAAGGTGGAAGCTCATGAGCTGGTGTCCCCTGCTGTCACCCTGCTGTCCCCACCTACAGATCAGATTTGTAGTAGCTGCTCCTTTGGACACAGTGCCTCTTGGTCCATGTTTATCTTTTAGGGCAGCAGGCTTCTTTTGCAAGAGGCCATGGTCTGGGGGCCATACTCTGTGTCACACTACTCTGCCATTGTAGGGAGAACTGGTACAGGCAATATGGTAAATAAATGGATTTGGCTGTGTTCTAATAAAACTTTATTTGCAAAGATGGTTTGCTGACCATGTGTTAGTCATTCAAAAGACTAACACCCTGTCTTAAACTCCAGAAGTGGTTGCCTGCACCTAACTGGGGTCTGTGGACCTGGCCAGATAATTCCTAAACATGGGCCAGGCTCCGCATAGACCCCACTTTCAGTTTTTCATCATCAGAGACCTGTCTGGAGGTCTTGTTATTACTGGGCTTGTTCTACAGCAAGAGCATTCAAGACTCTCCACTAGAGAGTCAAAGGAACTGCCAAGGATTCCCATGGGCCCCCAGAGCCAGGAGAGCGGATGCTTGCCACCTTTGTCTTTAGGAGCAGATCCTTCTATCCAGACAGAGGCTCTTTGATTGAGATTGACCCAACAAAGCCAGCCCGTGCCCGTTTTTGGAAACACCCACAGGCTCTTACCTTGTTTCCACATCTCTTAGCCTCTTCAGAATGTTCTGCAAGGAAAGAATGCTGTCTGGCTCTGTGTTCCAGGGTTGTGTTGGCAGAAGAGTTGGTGGGGGTTGTGCAGTGTGAGAAGGCAAGTCATGAAGAGTTGCCCCAGGACATTTTCCTTGTCAGGAATAAGCCAGGCTAAATGTGCCCTTTGGGCATTGAAAATTGGAAATGGCTGGTCCTAGAAAAACAGCTGCCTTAAATCCTTTTGGGGCATGAATAAATACTTTTTTTACATCCTGGAAAATTGTGGTTTTGACTCCAGCAAGGACCCCAGGGAGGAGGGGCACTTGTTCCAGAAGCTGGTATTTCAGCAAGCCGTGCTTGGGTCTCTGTTTTTTGCAGGGAGAGGTGATATCCAGCCTCAGTTGGACAGTGCTCTCCAAGATGTCAATGATAAGTATCTCTTATTGGAAGAAACAGAAAAGCAGGCTGTCCGGAAGGCTTTGATTGAAGAACGTGGCCGATTCTGTACCTTCATCTCTATGCTGCGGCCAGTGATTGTAAGTTAATGGAAAACTCCAGAAGGTTTAAACTGCTGGTGTAGAGGTGGCTTCCTTCTAATTTTATCCATCCACTGTTGAGTCATGGAGAATCTACTGTCAGGAATCATGATGGTGGTATCTCCTGTACAGACCAGCGATTCAGTGCAAGTTGATGGCCATGTAGCTCACTCCTCATTCACTGTTCTAGTACCACTTGTTCCCCGTTACTTTGTCTCACCAAGTCAAGAAGGCCCAGCAGGGTGGTTCTCAAAGTGAGGTCCCCAGGTCAGCAGCATCACGTGGGAACTGGCTAGAAATGCAAGTTCTTGGGCCCAACCCAGACCCACCAAGTCCAAACCTCTGGGGGTGGGGACCCAGTCGTCTGTGTTTTAAAGGAGCACTCCAGGTGGTTTTGAGACTCACTGTTGTAGCCGAGTACTAAGGGGTGACCATGAGATGAATATCCAAGAGCCTCAATGAATCAATTTAGACTTAATTTTTAAGGAAATCATTTGCATGCCGTAATTGAGAACTTGCACTGCAGGCGTTCTGGAAGCTGATTCGAAGGTACCAGCTCATTTCCCTTAGCCCTAGCAAAATGTCTGAATTTGAGTTGTTCCCCTGAGCACAGAACTTTTCCATGGATCGTTCTAGCCCGGCCCGTGGTCCCAACTTGGCACTTCGATAAAGCACATGGGATGTTTCTTCCATGGTCCCCAGCTCCTGTCTTACTTGTCTTTTACTAAGTTGCTGGAAAAGCACAAGAAAGAAGGGGAAAAGTTAGCTTCTGTTGAACACACAGGCACTGTCACAAAGATCTGGACCAAAATATATCCAAGTCGTGTCATCCATTGAAGCTAAGCAACTTCAGAAAAGGGCCACAGTATGAAGAGGGCTGTGCTGCAGGATCCCGTGGGAACACACAGTCAGACCATCTGAGCAGGCCTGGCAGTCCCCCAGGCCCTGGGAGGGAGGCCTGTGTGTTCCCCACTGTCCCCTGTGCACAGGTCACTCCTCCATTATGGCAGATTTCTTTTTCCATCTCATTTCCCAAAAGAAAAGGCATGTAGTGCCTTCAGCAAAGATTTGCCAGTCCCAACAGTGCCTTTTCTGAAAAACTGAAAGGGTTATACAGAGACCCTAATGAAAACAATTGGACTAGAGCGATGAAGGGAATCACTCATGATAATAACATTTCATGAATGACTTTTCCTTCAGGAAGAAGAAATCTCAATGCTAGGGGAAATAACCCACCTTCAGACCATCTCGGAAGATCTAAAAAGCCTGACCATGGACCCTCACAAACTGCCCTCCTCAAGTGAACAGGTAGGCTTCAGGGGTTAAGCACTTACAGGATCAAACCAAAGAGGTAAAAGCTCAAGGCCCTGAGTGTTCCTGTGGCATGTGTCACGTCTTAAATTGTAGTCATATTCACCACGTCCTTCATGATGTAATATATGAAATCACCACAGCGAGCTGTTACATAGAACCTATTGTGTGTCAGGCACTGTCCCAAGCTCTTTACATAGCCTGACTTCCTCCATTCATCTTCATGATTATGCTTGTTTTATAGAGAATGATGCAGAGGCACTGAGAGATGGAGTCACTTAGCCAGGTTCAGCTAGCTAGCAGGTAGTGGAACTGATATTTGAACCAAGTTGGTCAGGTTCCAGATCCCATGCACTTAATTGCTGTGTTCATCTGCCCTCTAGAAGTCAACCCTCCTAAGAACACGTCGCTGGTGTGTTTTGATTGACACTGTCAACCATTCTCCATTTCTCCCATTCTAATTGAGCAATGCATGGAGAGCTCTCTCATCTTATGAAAAAGATGACATTTTTATGCTTTATTCATTTAATTCACATCACACGCACACTATGGGAAGAGACATATTTGGGGGAACTGATGAATCACATGCTGGCTTTTGTGCTTGGTAACAATCTTTTCGTCTCCTTGGAGAGCTGGCTCAGAGGGCAAATTTGGGAGCTCATGTTTTCTATTCTATCAAATTATATTTATTAGACCAGAGCATGCATGCATTCACTTGACAAATAAACATTTACTGAGTGCTTCTTATGTGAATGAAAGGTGGACCTTATACTCATGTGGTCCTTTGTCAAGCAACGGAGACAGATATAGAAATAATGGTGAAAGAATTGGCTTGTTCTTGATTCTGTCAGGCTTTAAAATTTCTAGTGCTGGTCAAATAGGGCAGAAATGACCACTGAATATCAAGTGGTTAAAATGCGCTACCAACAAGTCTGGGAACCATGATTAACTTTATGGCATTACAAGAGGAAAATCCTGTAAATTCTAGCCTTGGGTATAAATGGCTGTTATAAATTATTAATTGGTCACTGTATTTCTCCCTCTCTCGACTGATATTTCATGATTTTCCTTTTCCCTTCCTTTCCTTCTCCCTATTAATTATAGTTTTACTTTCTCAGTAAAAGGATTATGATATTGATGGATTTGGTACTGTGGCTCTTCAATTTAAAAAAAATTTTTTTAACATGTTTTGCTTTCATTCCCACCCCCACGATGGCAGCGTTTTGATGCTTTGGTGGATGTTAAGCTTTGATGGCTAACGCTTCCCCTCTCAGCACCTCATTCACCCAGCTGGCTCTGTCCCCTTAGGTGATTCTGGACTTGAAAGGTTCTGATTACAGCTGGTCGTATCAGACGCCACCCTCTTCCCCCAGCACCACCATGTCCAGAAAGTCCAGTGTCTGCAGGTGAGTGAAGCCGGGGTCCACTCTTGCTTTCAGGACGGGTCATTTTTCTTTATGCTAATGTGAGCAATGGAGCCAGTCCTTATCTCTTAGAATGGCTCATTCTCAAACAGGAAATGGGATGATGAGCTGAAAGAATGGTAATAATTTTGGTCTTGCTCTTTAGTCTCTGGATTAATTTTGGATCAGAAAGAAAACCCCATTAGCCCTTGACTTGTGGATGTAGCTTATTCTCTCTCACTTGTATGTTGTAGGGATTTTCCTATTCTATGAGATCACATTTGATTTTCCTGTTTAGCAGAGTGAAAACCTTCTAAGGCCTAAAAAATGGTGAACCTGGGTTGATTTTTACACAGGCTGATCTCACTGTTGCCAGAACAAACGAAGGAAGTAACAATGGCTTATGCCCTCATTTCACCCCATATTTTTGTTTCAGGGTTTCATAAAGTAAATAGAGTTCTTGCTCTGTCAGTCACTGCTACTACTACCACCACTACCACGACCACACCTGTATTAATTAGTACTGTTCCCTATTGGAACAAAATCTGTTGGAATAGTTCTGCCATCTGCAAAACTGTTGTCTAGCAATTTTCTGTTAGAAGTCAGTTCTTGGCTTGCCGAGTAGGAAAGTTTCTTTTCCTCTCCTTGAAAGATGGAAGCATGATGTACCATCTATCTCTCTTGGTATAGTAGTCCTGTTACTCTTTTAATTTAACTTTCAAAGCCAAATGAGTTTCCACTTCCTGTGTATTAGCACTGAGAGTAGAGGGCAGGATGTATCTGCTCAATCTGTCTGTGGTGATGTTTTGGTGCACGCTGATGCCTATTTCCTTTCACTGCGGAGCTTGTACACTACACACTTAGCAGGAAGTTCAGACCTAAGACGCTGCATCCTGGACATTCTGCCCCCTGAAGATATTGGTTTGTTTCTTATCTTCTGTCGACTGTGTGTGTGTGTGTGTGTGTGTGTGTGAGTGAAAGAGAGACCTTTTTATTGTTGCCAAGAAAAATCTCTCATTAGTGTAAAACAAAGTTGCGTGGCTGTTTTTTTCTTCCTTATAATTTTAGTTTGAGTAGAAAACCATGTTGCACTGACATCTGCAACTCTGAGGCTGCCGGGGTGGAGTTGCTGTGAGCTTTACTGTCGGTCCCCAACTGCCGCCTTCTGGCTGACTGGAGGGGAAAGTCAAAAATCATGATATTTATTCCTCACTGCAGCGATTTCCTCCAGCACGCTCCCCTATGTCTGTCTGAACATTTGCACCAAGTAATTCTAGTGTAGAACAGTCACGCGGCCCTTGAGTACCTTATTAGCTGCCAGATTTTGCAAGCCAGAGTCTCTTGCAGGCTTAGGAGCAGAAACCATGACTTTTCCTATCCCAGCCCTAGTTATTTACTTCATCCCTGCTGCTGCCTCTACAACTGCTCTTTTTATTTCAGCTCCGTTTGTTTGGACCATGGGAGTCTGTTTTCTGCTTTTTATGATCTAAGTTACTATACAGAGTGTGGAGCATTTTTTTTTTTTTTTTTTTTTTGAGATCGGGTCTCGTTCTGTTGTCCAGGTGGAGTGCAGTGGCATAATCTCAGCTCGCTGCAACTTCTGCCTCCTGGGTTCAAGTGATTCTCCTGCCTTGGCCTCCCAAGTAGCTGCGATTATAGGTGCCTGCCACCATGCCTGGCTAAGTTTTGTATTTTTATCAGAGGCGGGGTTTCACCGTATTGGCCAGGCTAGTCTTGAACTCCTGACTTCAGGTGATCCACCCGCTTTGGCCTTCTGAAGTGTTGGGATTACAGGCGTAAGCCACCGCACCTGGCCAGGAGCATGTTTCTTTTGAGTGGAGATGGAAGGCAGACAGAAATCCAGAGCGGGTGTGTCATTATTTGACATCCTGTTTACTGTGCCATTTCAAGAGCAAACAGCTGAGCATTGATTGCCCTTAGTCGCTGAAAGCTGCCTGCCTCTTGCCAAGTGTGCTATTGTGCCAGACCCACAGATATTTTAACACAGAAACAGCTGGGGTCAGAGTAAAAACATTAATTAAAGCATCACTTTGTTAAAAGGTAAAACATATGCACACCAACATAGTGAGTTGATTTGCTGATGTTCTTGACAGCGGGCTTGACCAGACTCAGCTAGGATGAAATCACCTCAGCAAATCCATCGGCAGTGCTTAGCTGGGTTGGCCTTGGTCATGTGGACCCAGATGGTCCATCCAAGAACATTCCAGTCATGCTGAAGCCCCAGTGGACTTTTGCTGCAGGCTCATGGTTCCTGCAGGCAGATTAACCCTGTCCCTTTTCTTGCTACTGACATCAGCTCCCCTCGTTTTGGTGGTAGGCGAAGCAGCAGAGTTGGGCGCACTTGACGTTTTAGAACCCCAGACCTCCCTCGTAAGAATGCCACATGGTTACCATCGGAGACCTGAGTCCTGGCAGCTGTATTTCCCCCTGGGTCACCTGGAAAAGCATTTTGTTGACTACCTTCATGATTTGGTGTTTTGAAAACGTGTTTTGTGGTTTGCACTGCATCTCCAGGGCAGAGAGCTAATTGCATTATGTTGTGCTTCTCTCTCTTCTGCCTCATCTGTTCCCCTCCTTCCTCCTTCCTCTTACCACTGCTCCCCTTTCTTTACCTTCCGTGCCCACCCCTCACCCCTGCTTGTCCTCCACAGCAGCCTGAACAGTGTCAACAGCAGTGACTCCCGGTCCAGCGGCTCCCACTCGCATTCCCCCAGCTCACATTACCGCTACCGCAGCTCCAACCTGGCCCAGCAGGCTCCTGTGAGGCTGTCCAGCGTGTCCTCCCATGACTCAGGATTCATATCCCAGGATGCCTTCCAGTCCAAGTCACCATCCCCCATGCCGCCAGAGGCCCCCAACCAGGTAAGGGTGCCCTTGGCTCCAGGAGCAGCTGTCACACCTGGTGTCCTGACCACTGTCAGTGGCCAGAACCAAAGAAGCACCTTGGCTTAGACAATCCCCTGCCCACTGACTTGAGAAACCTCTGGTTTAATTTCTCATCTTTAGATGTATTGTTCCCCTAAAGGGAGAGGTGCTATAAGTGGGTTTGAAGCCTGTCTCCATGGTGGTAATGGTTGCATTACCACATCGATTTGGGGAGCTCTCACGTAAGTAGATGGATTGAAAGAGGTTTGACCACTCTCAGGCGTCCCTGTAAGTGCCCAGCTTGGCATAATTAAATGCTATAATTAAAGGGCATTGCACAATGGGGACACCTCCTCCCCCACATCTCAGGTTCTCCCTGAATGGCTGAGATTCTATGGTTGAATAGCGCTTCCGATACCATCCCTTGGCGCTCTCAGGTTCCTTTTATCAATCTGTGTTGAGAATGAGAATGAATCATCAGAGCTTCTGCACATAATTCTGTTGGCACTTAGATTCTGGAAGGGAAGGTGTGGCAGAATCTCTTCAACTACAGCTGGGTTTAATGGTGCTAGGCCCAGCCCAGCCCAGTGGTTCCAGCTGGAGCAGAACGCAGGAGCTGGCCAGGGCATCTGAACACTCTTCATGTGCATCATCAATGTATGTGATCCTCTCTCTGTCCTCTCTCCCTTAGTGTCATTGGGTTGGTGTCGGCCTTGAACTTGGCAAGTAGCTCTACATACAGAATGCTGGGTGCCCCACAGCCCCACCTGCTGGGAAACCCATGTCAGAGCTCTGCGTTCCTCTCCTCACAGCTCAGCGCTCCCATTAGCATTTTTCAGCCATCCTGGGGACTGTGGCCTCTGTCTGCCTTCCTTGGATACACACTCAATTTTAAACGCACTCAGAGCCAAGAGCCACGGCTATAGTTTGAGAGTGCTTGAGAGTGCGTGTCCCACCTGGGGTGCTTGGCTTGGTCTGTAAGGAGCTCCTCTTCCCCGCTGTGTGCTTCACTAAACCATATGTGCTGCTCACAAGCAGAGAGGGCAAAGGGTCGGGAGGAGGGCTGGAATGTGCAGTTCCTCCGGGCTGTTCTAGTGTGCAGCATAATTGTGTGTGTGTGTTTAATTGACAAATTAACATAGTAGTGTGCACTGACGCCCCTTTCTGAAAAGGAGAAGCCACGTGCTGCAGCCTTCCCTTCCAAGACTGTGAGTGTGGATGGGGTAGAACAGAGTGTTTCCCATGGCATGGAGGGAAGCAGAAGAGGGCATATTGGGTTTACTTAAATCTGAAAACCTGTGCCCAAGACATGCGTGGCTAGCAACTCTAGGGTAGCTTTTTGTTTTGTCATGTTATGTTTTTAAGACAGTCTCGCTTTGTCACCCCAGGCTGGAGTGCAGTGGTGCAATGTTGGCTCACTGTAACCTCCACCTCCTGGGTTCAAGCGATTCTCCTGCCTCAGCCTCCCAAGTAGCTGGGATTACAGGCACGCGCCACCATTCCCAGCTAACTTTTGTATTTTTAGTAGAGGTGGGCTTTTGCCAGGCTGGTCAGGCTGACCTCAGGTGATCCGCCCACCTCGGTCTCCCAAAATTCTGGAATTACAGGCATGAGCCACCGCGCCCGGCCACTAGGGTAGTTTTAATGAGCTCAGGGATGCTACAAAACTTAATAGAGAATTCTTATTTTTTAAGAAAGGCATTACGACTGCTTATTATTATAAGGTAAAGGGGAAATTGAAGGTCATTGTACAGATCACATTAGCCAGAGGGTACAATCTCCTGAAGGCAGTAACCTCCCCTTTATTAGGGAGAAAGGGGGCATACATCTAGGAGGCGCAGGAGCCCTTCATTTCTCTACTGAGTAACACAGGTCTGAGATGAAAGCCGAGTGATGGAATTTGTTCAGAATTCTCTGGTTTACCTCCCTCCACTCTTCAAATTGTGCCCTCACCCATCTGTGCCCAGGAGTGGGGCCATGTCTTCAATGAGGGTCTCACCCTAGAGCCATTTATTCCATCTGAGTCAAGAGGTTCTTTATAAAAAATGAGCATAATTCCAAAGAAATCTGAACCTGCAGTCCTGCGGTGGGTTACTGTTTTGTTGTTTTATTTTTGTTCGTTTTTTTTGAGACAGGGTCTCACTCTGTTGCCCAGGATGAAGTGCAGTGGCGGGATCATAGGTCACTGTAACCTTGAACTCCTGGATTCAGGCAATTCTCCTACCTCAGCCTACCAAGTAGCTGGGACTATAGGCATGTGCCACCATGCTTGGCTAATTTTATTTTAGATTTGAGAATACATGTGCCTTGCATACTGGTGAGGATTGGGCTTCTATTTCCATTACCCAAATAGTGAGCATTGTCTCTGATAGGCAATTTTTCAACCCTCACTCCTTTCCTCTTTTACATTTTTTATTTTTTGTAGAGATGAGGTCTTGCTATCTTGCCCAGGCTGTTCTCCAATTCCTAGCCTCAAGCAGTCTTCCTGCCTTGGCCTCCCAAAGTGCCAGGATTACAGGCATGAGCCACCACATCTGGCTGTTTTTTGTTGATAAAGCCCTCTAAACCTCAAATTTTTTAAGTTCAGTTTCTCGACTGGGAATTGGCACAAATGTGACTTAAATCCAAACCTTCCATCTTCAAATCCTGGGCTGCTAACCAGACACTGAGCTCAGAGTGCAGCTGGGATGTCCGTCCACCGTGGAGTCTCTCCTTGCTTTGGGTCCACTGAGCCCCACACATTGTTGAGTGTCTGATTGTCTCCTTGCCCTTACAGGACAGGAAAGCGAAATCTCTGTTCCTTTGTAGGGACCTTTCTTTTGTAGGTGAAAGGGACAGAAATATGATTCTGGCCTCCTTGATGGTGAATACAGGAACACTTTCAGATAAATTACAATAGAGAGGAGTCAGCTTATTTAAACAAACTGAGGTTAAGCCAGAGATTGCAGTTAACAGTGAAAAAATTTAAAGCAAGTACCTGGATGGATGCAAAGCAGTGCCCAGGAGACCCAACTTACGTGACAGAGATGATCATTGTCACTCATTCATTATGTTTTGAGCACCAGCCATGTGCCAGGTCCAGAACTAGAAGAAACTTGGGTGTAGGTGAGATCATAGGAACAGTCCCTGCCCCAGCTGAACATCAGGAAGCCAGACTGGGAGCGCATGCCGTGGCTGACTAGGACTCCAGCAGGGACCTGGGGTTCCATCAGATCAGTGTAAAGCGATGGTTTCCCAAATGAGACCTCTCCAGAGATGGTTCATTCCACCCCACAATGGCCACCAGAAACATTGTGCTGACCAGAGGGCTTCACTGCCCCAAACCCCAAAATCACACTCCAGGATGAGAAACCTAAAAGTCTGTCTTGATGAGGCTTCATAGCTGGAAACCACCCCTCATGGATCCACAGGCTGCATTTGATGAAAGGAGACTCCAGGAAGTCGAGCCATTCCAGGCAGACATGTAGCAAAAGCCCGAGCTGGGGTCCGCCCTCATGCAATAAATAACACCTATGCACATAAGAGAGGTGACAGGCGGGGCCTCCCTGGGGACCTGGGCCTGTGGCACGTGAAGAAACACCCAAGAGAGCACGAAGTCCCAATGCCATGACCAGATATTTCGGTGCCAGGCATGCTTCTGGGTCCCAGCAAAAGACACACAAATCCGTGTCCTTGGGGACCCACAGTCTAGTGACCTAGGGCTGGCCGGGTCGCACGCTTCTTTTCAAGGGCTCGAAAGCCTCTGCATGGATGCAACTTTGGGGGAAAAGTAACCCTAACCCTCTGCTTCTCTCATCCTCCCCTCTTCTGTGTATATGTCTGTCTCTTTCTCTCTGTGTGTGCCCTTCCCCACTCCCATCCCCATTCCTTTTTTTATTTATTATATTTTGGTGGTGTGTGGCTCGGTTTCTGTTGGTCCCCTCGTGTGGCCCCTCCCCTGCTGCAGAACTCGTCCAGCTCGGCCTCCTCCGAAGCCTCGGAAACCTGCCAGTCAGTGAGCGAGTGCAGCTCCCCCACCTCTGTCAGCTCGGGCTCCACCATGGGTGCCTGGGTGTCCACAGAGAAGGTGACCGCCCGGGTGGCAGCCACAGCGGCCCCACTCTCCCTGGTCCCCCTGCCTGCTGCTCAGACAGCCCTCACAGCCGCGGCAACCTGGAAGCTCAGAATCGACACCAAGAGTGGGGCTCCTCTTGGGGACAGAGGGTGGGACAAGGCTGAGGGCATTTTCTAGAATGAGTGCCTGGCTGCTGGACAATGACCACATGGTTGTCTCAAGGGAGAGGAAGGGGTATGGGGAATTTGGAGGTGTGAAGGCTTTCTCCCAGACCAGGTGTTGCGTGCCTGTCCATCCTCCTCCCTCCCTTCCCGAGCCACCCACCAGACCGTTGGATGAGCCATGTCACTGTGTCAGAGGCTGTGTGCTTTTCCGCTTTTTAGTTTGCACCCCCACCCCCCTGCCCTTGATTGAGAATGTGCTCCTGAGCAATGCGATGATTTTGGAAACCTAGAATGAACAGATTCATTTGAAGATGCTTTGGAATTTTTAAATTTGCATAATGAAATGAGCAAATCACTATCACCATTAAATGAGGCTTCATTAGTTACATTATCAAAAACCATTGACAAGGCCACAAATTGAGGGCACTGATCAATTTCCAAACTTCTAAAACGTAGGTCAAACATAGATGCTTATTTGCTGTCAAACTCATGTGCATTCTTTGCACCCCGGCTCTTTTCTCTTGCATCACAGATCATCCGTGAGCAGCAGAGCCCCAATGTTTGTTTTATTTATAAATATTCAGGTTTCCCCTCCCTTGAATGTCAATGCCATTTTGTATCTCCGCACTCATCCTGTTATATTAATTTTTTTTCCTTCCCCCCCCCTTTTTTTGTTTGTTTCCAGTTGTCTAACGGGTTTTCTCACTATAGTTTATCAAGTGAGTCCCACGTGGGGCCCACGGGTGCAGGCCTTTTCCCTCATTGCCTGCCTGCCTCCCGCCTGCTCCCTCGGGTCACCTCTGTCCACCTTCCAGACTACGCTCATTATTACACCATTGGGCCCGGCATGTTCCCGTCATCTCAGATCCCTAGCTGGAAGGTTTGTGTCTCTCCCCCTCCTCCTCTCCCCGTCATTGCCTCTGTGCTCACCCCTCTTCTGTTCCAACCCCCTCACCCCGACTATCCCCTCATCCCCTTCCTTTCACACTCTGCCTTCTTCCCCATAATGCCTCTCCCTCAGGAAACTCCCATTGGGGGAGAAGCAGAAAGCAGCCGGCAGCTCTAAGACAGCAATTTCCACAGGTAGCTGGGGCTGAGGGTCTTCCTTCAGGGGACTTTGGTCAATCCCTGATGGACGGCAGTGCAGTGTGCACCGCAGGCAGCGGCAATTCCAAGTCCAAAGGCCCAGTTTTGCATCAAGTTGAAATCTATGGGTTGGTCCCTCCCGGGGGCCACCTGAGGGTGTCAGCATGATCAGAGCTTCTAGGGGGTTTAGGGGGGACTTTCCTTCTGGCCATGTTTCCCATTTTCCCTAATGAGCTCCCTGCTGGGCTGTGGTAACAGAACCATAACCCAAAGCAGGTTTGGGGTGATCATGTTGAACTTAACAGTACACGCAGACTTTAGTTTTAGTCTTGAGTGTTCAAACATGTTTGCTTTAATATAAAGACGAACTTTGAAAATGATCCCCTAGCAAGTCCGATCAATGCTCCTCCAGGAGGATAATCTGCTCTCTTTTGAGAGGAGGACCCTAATTTGAAAAGTAGGCCCCTTGGCTGCCAGCGTTTTAAGCAGGTTTTGACTTTAGCCCTCACAGGCGGTGTGGGCCTCTCAAGGCTTCTCGGAATCTTTCTACTGCCCCTGGGCGCCTTCCTTTCCTTCTGAGGGCTTGAGAGGGCAGGGAGCCTGCCATGCCCTTTGAGGCTGGTTTCCTGGGAATGGAGGGAGAAGGGCTGATGTTGCTTTAGTGCTCGCTGGTGGCCATTCCCCTAACGGGAAGCCATCTGGGTTGTTAAGGAGCGCTGGTCCCTTCAGACAGGAGAAGCACGATGTACTGCCCACTGGTGGGTCCCCTTAGCTTACACCGGTCACCTGTTAGGTGGCTGCCGGGTCTCCTGCTGCCACCTGGTGGGTGAGGGTTTTTAATCTTTGGGCAGAGACGAGGAAAAGGGAGGTACACAGGGGGCTCCCAAAGGGTTTCCATTCCTTGCCCTTTAGAGCCTGGAGAGGGCATGCAGAGGGCCTGTGGCTTGTCCCAGCCGGAGGTTCCCCTTAAGGGGACCAGCTGCCTTCTCTGGGGAGCTGTCTATGGGGTCCCCGCAGCCCTCCAGTGGAGGCAGAGGCCCTGGCTCCTGACCGCACTTGTTTTGCATAGGACTGGGCTAAGCCTGGGCCCTATGACCAGCCTCTGGTGAACACCCTGCAGCGCCGCAAAGAGAAGCGAGAACCGGACCCCAACGGGGGAGGACCCACTACCGCCAGCGGCCCACCTGCAGCAGCTGAGGAGGCTCAGAGACCACGGAGCATGACTGTATCGGCTGCCACCAGGGTGATGCTCTTGTTCTCAGTAGCTGGTTGGGGCCACCTCAGCCTGGCTGGGGATCACATTCTGGCCAGCAACTGGGGGGCCAAGGCAGCCTTGCAGCTGGAGGGACCTGGGCTCCATTCCCTGACTTCCTGCTCTACAGCAAAGTCCCTGGGAAAAAAACCTTGTGTGGGAATGAGAGAGGCAGAACTTTCTAGGGTCAGAGTGGGACCCAAGCAAGTCAATAGCCCCCTGGCCCCACAGACATGTAGTGCTCACGGGGGCAGAACAGGAGTGCTGTTGAGCCCCCCCCCTAAAGCAACCTGTGTATTTCTCTCCTCCAACCTGCAGCCTGGTGAGGAGATGGAGGCTTGTGAGGAGCTGGCCCTGGCCCTGTCTCGGGGCCTGCAGCTGGACACCCAGAGGAGCAGCCGGGACTCGCTTCAGTGCTCCAGCGGCTACAGCACCCAGACAACCACCCCCTGCTGCTCTGAGGACACCATCCCTTCCCAAGGTACGAGGCAGCCTGGGGTGTGCACTTAGGCTTTCTGAGCAGCACCAGGTGAGGAGATAGAAAACTGCTGGTCCATTTTAACCACAACCCACCACTCGCTAACTAACAGGTGTCAGGATTGTTTTCGTCATCTGGGAATGCTTTGGGGAGCTCATCTGTAGTTGTCAGGTAGCTGCCATATAAGAAAGGGATCTGGGGTCGGGCGCAGTGGCTCACGCCTGTAATCCCAGCACTTTGGGAGGCCAAGGCAGGTGGATCACGAGGTCAGGAGATCGAGACTATCCTGGCTAACATGGTGAAACCCCATCTCTACTAAAAATACAAAAAAATTAGCCGGGCGTGGTGGCAGGCGCCTGTAGTCCCAGCTACTCAGGAGGCTGAGGCAGGAGAATGGCGTGAACCCAGGAGGCAGAGCTTGCAGTGAGCTGAGATCGCGCCACTGCACTCCAGCCCGGGTGACAGAGCAAGACTCTGTCTCAAAAAAAAATAATAATAAATAAAGGGATCTGGACTTTCACAGCTTTTTGCGTTTTGCAGCATCATATACAGCAGTCTCCAATTTGAATGGAGACATGTGCTGTAATAAGAATAGCTTCAGGCCAGGGCAGTGGCTTACGCCTGTAATCTCAACATTTTGGGACTTTGAGGTGAGCAGATTGCTTGAGCTGCAGAAGTTCGAGACCAGTCTGGGAAACATGGCAAAACTCTTGTCTCTACAGAAAATACAAAAATTAGCCAGGTGTAGCAGCACACACCTGTGGTCCCAGCTACTCTGGAGGCTGAGGTGGGAGGACTGCTTGAGCCTGGGAAGTCGAGGCTGCAGTGATCCATGACTGCATCACTGCACTCCAGCCTGGGCAACAAAATGAGACCCTGTCTCAAAGGAATAGCTTCATTTTTGTTTTAGCACTTTGCACTACACACTTTATGGTTATTTTCTCATTTAATCTTTACAGCCACTTATGGGGTAGGTATTTTCACCCCTATTTTACAGAAGTGGAAATTAAGGCTCAATAACTCGCTCATATTCACACAACCAATAAGTAGAACTGGAGTTTGAACCTAAGTGTGTTAGAGTGTAATGCCCAAGTTCTTAACCTATTCCAGCCAAATCCTCTATCAAACCTGCCTCCTTCATCCTCAAGTCCACTGCACACACAAGTCAGGCAAGATGAAAATCTAACAGCTAGAATATATCTATGATAATTGACCAAAAGCTATGCCATTCATCATTCAAAACCTCTAAGACAGTGAGTCTTATTGGAGGGTGATTTTATTCCCCAGGGGACATCTGGCAATGTCTGTAGACATTTCTGGTTGTCACAACTGGAGGGGTACTATTGGCATCTAGTGGGCACAGGGCAGGGATATTGCTTAAACATCCCAGAATACACAGCACGGCCCCTCCCCACCACGTCCTCCATAACAAAGAACTATCCAGCCCAAATTATCAATAGTACGGTGGTTCAGAATCAGGGCTGTGAGCTGTTTAATCTGTAAGCTCCCACATCATCCTGAGATTGGTCTTACAAGGAAGTGAGCACATGACACTGATGGAAACTGTCTTTGTCCCTTATTGTCAGGGACTCACTGTCAGTAGCTTTGTTCTTTGTCTAGCCCTTGCCTCTCCAGTTAATTATCAGGGAGATGTTATAGCCTAGGCTAGTCTATTTGAGGTTTGATCTTCACGTTGAGTTCTGGACTGGAGAATTTGTCTTCTTTCATCCCCCTTATTCCTCCCAGAGACGCTTGCAGGTAGCTTCGCTGCAGCCTAGCAGCTTTACCTTCTTCCCCATTGACGATATTTGAGTGCCTACCGTGTCCAGCACTGTTCTAGGTACTTGGGACACATCAGTGAACAAAGCAAAGATCCCTGCCACGGAGTTCTTAGTTGGTGAGGCTTTCTGAAGATGGTAGAGAAGCCTGGGGGAAGCTTGGGATGAGACTGTGTGTGTACCCTGCCTTGCGTGCCTTTTGTCCTCCCAGCCCAGAAGAATCAAAAAAGCACAGCTGCTGTCTTGAATATGTCTAATCAAATCCTATAATCAGTTTCAGATTATGATTATTTCTCTGTAAGTGGTGACCAGGAGGCAGATCAGCAGGAGTTCGACAAGTCCTCCACCATTCCAAGAAACAGCGACATCAGCCAGTCCTACCGACGGATGTTCCAAGCCAAGCGTCCAGCCTCAACTGCTGGCCTCCCCACCACCCTGGGACCTGCTATGGTCACTCCAGGGGTTGCAACTATCCGACGGACCCCTTCCACCAAGCCTTCTGTCCGCCGGGGAACCATTGGAGCTGGTCCCATCCCCATCAAGACACCCGTGATCCCTGTCAAGACCCCAACCGTCCCAGACCTCCCAGGGGTGTTGCCAGCCCCTCCAGATGGGCCAGAAGAGCGGGGGGAGCACAGCCCTGAGTCGCCATCTGTGGGTGAGGGCCCCCAAGGTGTCACCAGCATGCCCTCCTCAATGTGGAGCGGCCAAGCTTCCGTTAACCCTCCACTTCCAGGCCCGAAGCCCAGTATCCCTGAGGAGCACAGACAGGCAATTCCAGAAAGTGAAGCTGAAGACCAGGAACGGGAACCCCCAAGTGCCACTGTCTCCCCAGGCCAGATTCCAGAGAGTGACCCTGCAGACCTGAGCCCAAGGGATACTCCACAAGGAGAAGACATGCTGAACGCCATCCGAAGGGGCGTGAAACTGAAGAAGACCACGACAAACGATCGCTCAGCCCCTCGCTTTTCTTAGGTTCACAAGAAATGCGCCGGTGGGGAATGAACTGTTTCATTAATAAAACCTAATTTGTCTTGATCCATTCCACTCTATAATAAAACAAAAGATTTTGTAGGCAACTCGGAATATAGCTCTTTTGAAAGTACTCGACACCTTTAGATAAGAATTAAAACCAACCTATGTAACTGACATAATCTTGATCTTTTAATTTGTAAATATTGACAATTTTCTTTCTGCACATTTTAATCTTAGTTTCCCTTTTGATTTTTCTGAAGGTGCCAAATTCCATTTAACTTTTTTACAAGTCTTTGTAAAATTTTAAATGCATAAAGGGGGTTGGGGCAGGGGAACCACGAAGTAGTTAATTTTAGAAAAGGATTTACTATACTTCACTCTTCTTTTTTTTTCCCCACAAGCTTTTGTAGATGCATTGTAGTAGTCTAGCTTAGAAGCAAATGCAAGTTATTTTAATGTACAAACTAAATGGGTAAGAGGTAAAATCTTCATTTAAATATACTATGTTCTGGATGAAAAGAGCAGGAGTAACAATTGATGAGCAATATTCAGAGTGAAGTAAATCTGGAAATGGTAGACTGTGTTGGGATTGGGGGGAGGGCCATGGGAGGGGTACATCGTCAACATAGCCGATCCTGTTACATTTAAGAGTAGCCTCGTAGGTTGAATTTCTTCTGGTAGCTTCATGGTAAATGCATCCGAATAAGCCATACTGGATTGCAGTGTTTGTTTCTGTAGGGTGTTTAAGGACTTGACTTCCTTTCTCCCATGATTCCTCTGGACTGCACACAGCACCCACAACCAGCCCCATGCATGCTGCTGCCTCTGGGCAGTCGTAGAATCTCCCACTTCAGTTTCTCGTTGATTGTACTCACCTTTATGGAATCCAAATACATCCAAAAGGGTAAGGCAGTTTTAAAAATGTGAAAACATTTAAAAATGATAATAGCAGGGAATTCTTAGATTATAGTAAATGCCTTTTACTTAACTGTGCCCAGCAGGCTGGGTGCGTTAAAAAGCCCAAGTATTTTGAAAAAACTCGAACAGATTTGACAAGGGTAGCCAGCTTGGAGTCTAGCAACTTGCCAATGTGTTTACCAATCTGGGGGCTTGTTTTTCTTTTCTTCTTTCAAATAAATGGCAGTTAACTGGCTTTACAGTAAACATTGAAGAGAGGAGGATTTGTTTATTGTCACTGGGAATCTGACCACTATACTGTCCTTTTTTTGTATTCTGGGTAAATGTTTTTTGGAAAAGATTTGTCTTTTCTAAGTGGAAGTTAAATTTGTTATACTGCCCATCCCCTAAAGCCAACAGAGATTTGTAGATTTAAAGGGATCACATTTGAAGACAATAGTGTTTAAGAAAGCAAGCAAGTCCCTTAGCAGTCAGGTCATAACAGGGCACATTTCTGACCGAACCCTCTCAAGGCAGAGGAGGAGTTTGGTGGGTTTCATACACCCTGCAGATTCCTGTTGGCTCTAACCCTCAATTACCTAATCTTATGCTTTAACACATAACTGCATTGGATGTGAGAGTAACGTACCGTATGGTCATTGTTCTATATATTAACATTGAACACTGCTGCGATTGCTCAAGGACATTTTATGTTACGGCTTTAAAGCAAAGGCATGATTATTAGAAACTATTTAAGCTTTTTTCTTTGAAAAACAAGCTCCTTTTACAGAATATAAACAACAGTAGTGCCTGTGGTTTAGCCCACCAATCTTGATGACTAAAAGTAGCTGATGCATTGTGCATATGATGCTTGAGATGGTTTTTGCAAAAGCAGAAATCGCTGCAAGGTAATCACAATAGATAAAAGTGGTATTTTAAACCTTTGAAATAAATGGATGTAACTGTACCTTGGTACAGCTTTTCACTTGTTTAGTTTTTAAACGTTAGTATAATCTGAATAAATAAAATGTTGCCAAATTCAATGTAGAAAGAATGTGACAACACACCTTGGGTAGTTCTGCTTGTGTTTTTGCATATTGTAAAAGCAGTGTCACAGCTAAAAAGAAAGAAATCGTTTCTAACAGTAAATTATTGTGCTTTAGTTGCTAGTTTGTACTGAGAGTTGACCTCTCCCTGTGCAGTTTTTTGTTCTAAACTTGTATAAATAACAATTGTGTAATGTGTCTCCCTCCTACATTGTAACAATTGCTTCAGCCTACGTTATAAATAAAGAACCACTAGATTAAAAAAGTCCTGTATTTCAAGTCTTGTTACAATTCAGTTTGAGGTCTTAGTCAAATGTTAGAAGATGGACTGGGACTCAAATTGAGCTTACGTAGAAAAGTGACAAAATATTTTTGTGATGGCTATAAGATCATTAGTTGCCTGAAACTATTTGAAAACAGTTCTAGCTAATGAGGGATCAAGAACTAAAAGCAGCTGTTTTGGGTTGAAAGTTTTAAAAACTGCTTTATCTTTAAAAAACAAAAACAAAGCTTCTGAAACATTTAAGGAGTTCTGTTATTCCCTTACCTTTGAGTCCGCAGACAATCCAAGCTACGGTAGCAGAAGCAAAGCTGGAAAACTGCTTCTAAAATAAGCGCCACAAAGTTTTATCCCAGATTGGACCATTTAACCCCAACCATCAAACCTCCACCCCTGACAGAACTCCACAAATTCCATGCTTATTTGTTGACTATGTACTTCTTAGGGAGAGTTGTTCTTCTAATAAAAACTAAGTTCCATTAGTGAAATCTTTAGAAAACCAAAAAGGTTATTTTTAAATCCTCAGTATTTCTGTTCTTGGCTTTGTTTATTCCTTCTAGTTACCACAGCTAATTAGGCCTTTGACTTGAGAGTTTGTTCGCCTCAATCTGGTTCTGCCTCAGTTTTTCCTTACTGGTAACATATGCTATCAGTGATTTATTGCAGAGAACACAGCTGACTGACTACATGTCCTGTCATTTTCTTTACATGCACGATTGATAAAACAATGACAGTGGCACAGTCACTTGGCATCACAGTAATTCTTAGAAGAACGTCAGTCATACCAGAGACCATTTCACTGATTTTTTATTAGGGCAAGTGCATGTTCTGTAACATATTTCACTTGCAAGCATGAAAGATGAGGTCTCTCTCTTTCTACATGGGCCGCTCCCGGGGTCTGGTCACAATATACCACCACAGTGGGGGCAAATCACCTTCCTTTCGGGCAGGGGGCAAAGCTTCAGTTAAAGGACCACCAGGTGGCGTTTCCTCCTGCAGCTGCTTAACCTAGAAGGAGGCAAGGAAGGAATCATTACCAAAGGAATCTAATTGACTATAAAAATCTGTCTGCTGCAGTGAAGGGTCAGCTTTATGTCTATGGTGTGTCACTGACATTACACACTATCTGATCACAATATTGAAAAGTGTTTTTTACATATACCTGCTTTATTTTCATATCCACACTTTTAGAAAAGTCTCCTTAAGGGTTTTCCCATTCTTTTAAATAGCAAAGCCTACCCTTCCTATTCTTCCCCCTACCCCTTTTCATCACCTCATTATCTGGACCTCCTCTTATTCTGCAGACAGAAAAATGACAACTATCATTCCAATTCTCCTTGTCACAGCCCCCACCCACTGACCAGAAAAACATTTATTGTTGTGTCTCAGCTAAGTGTTCTCCAAAAGCACCATTAAGAAACCTCAGTTCATAATATGCTGGGGATGTTAATTCTAAGCCCCCTTCCTAGCAACCAAGAACAAAAATAAATCACAAAATTACATGTAAAAATATGCTCAGTTCTGCCAAGTGCTGCCCTACTACCTCCAGTTCTAGTTATGGCCAAGATAAATGTCCTAACAGAAGATCACCCATTCTGGATTGTGGCTGCCCTGGGCCTCCAGTCACACGTGCTGCTTAATAGTGTTGAAGTGATGGGATGTGTAAAGGAGGAATTGTTTGATGTTATCCCAGTGATCAATTGCAGAATGCACCTGCGGCTCACCATGCATATACTTCAAGCTTCTAAACGGTGAGACATTTCTGACAAAACACTGCCCCCTTTGGCCACAGTGCCCTTCCTTCGGGTCCCCCTTGGCCAAACACTTCCAAAGGTCAATATCCTCAGTGTTATCACCAGAACCAGCACAACTTCCAAATCATGAATTCAAATATCCCACTATCCAACCACACTCTCCCTTTCCCACTCATTTGTTTAAATGCCTCCTTGAAACTCAGACTACCAATTCACAGATCCTCCCAACTTGGCCTTCCCTCTCTGCATCTGCCCCCACTGGCTTGACTTTGTTTTTTTTTAAATTCAGCTTAGATTCCATCATGACAACAGCTTCCTTTCGAATAACCTCAAGTCCCTTGTCACTCTCTGAGCAACAGACAAACCGAACCATATACCCTCAGGCCTGTGCTCATACAGCTTAGTATTGCTAAAGAGAAAAAAGATATGGGAGCAAATCGGAGTCATTACCCACTGATTATTCCCAACCTCAAATGGGCCTTTGCCACCTGGCCATCCTACTACTCTCCAGCAAGCTCTTCCTCGCCTCATGACTATCACATCTTGTCCACATTCTCCAAATATGCTGCACCCACTCATTCTGGGCTTTTCCTCTTATTTCACTAAAAAAAGGAAGCTATCACACAAGTCTGTCATCTTCAAAACTTCTAACCCAAATGTATTTATATACAATCTTTTGCCCAATTATAATGCACAAAGAATCCTTTTTCCTTTTCTTTTTTCTCTATACTCTCTCCTAAGGATTCCATACATCTCTCCATGGCTTTTAAAACTGAAAACTCCCACGTTTCTGTTTCTAGGCCAAATCTCTCCTGGGAGTTCCAGATTTCCACATCTGAAGTTGGCTTCTGACATCTGCACTTGATGTCTCACAGGATTCTCAAAACTTCACACTTCCAAAATGAATTCTCGATTGCTGCTCTGACACCTGTGCCCCCTTCCCCAATCTTCCCTATCTCAGTAAACATCACCAAACTCCAGATGTTAAAGCTTAAAACCCAGAAACCATTCTCTCTTTTTTTTTTCTTTTGGGATGGAGTCTTGCTCTGTCGCCCAGGCTGGAATGCAGTGGCGCGATGTCAGCTCATTGCAACCTCCACCTCCTGGGATTCAAGCAATTCTCCTGCCTTAGCCTCCCAAGTAGCTGGGATTACAGGTGCACAGCCCCCACGCCCAGCTAATTATTTGTACTTTTAGTAGAGATGGGGTTTCACCATGTTAGTCAGGCTGGTCGTCATGAACTCCTGACCTCAAGCTATCACCCACTTTGGCCTCCCAAAGTGCTGGGATTATAGGTGTGAGCCACCGCACCCTGCCCCAGAAACCATTCTTGATTCCTCCCCATCCCTCACCCACCCTCAACATCCAGTCAGTCGTCACATCCCTCCAAATGATGTCCTGAGTCAATTTCCTTCCATATCCACTTCATCCACCCTAGTGTTAGTCATGACAACCTTTTGACTAAACTTCTGCAATAATCCTAGAAGGGTCTCTCTGCTTCTCCTCTTCCCCTCTCCAATATATTCTTCACACTACAGCAAGATTGAGCTTTTAAAAATATAACTGACCATCCTAACATGACTGAAAAATGCCTAAGAAAATAGTGGAGAGGCAGGTTGAGGGAAAGTATAGCAAGAAGGCAAAAAAGTCAGACAAAGGACTAAAGAGAAGGAGATCTGAAGCAAAATCAAAGACAAAGCCAAAACGACCAGGGAATGCACTTTAACTTACTTGTAAGGTGATTATAAATGTTAAATTGATACACTTAGATACTAAAGTATATCTGAGAAGCAAGGGCCCAGAGTAACTGTCATGGCTGGAATCTGGACCTCTGCTTGTGGGGAGCAAAACTTCACTCCATCTACATAGCTAAGGAATAACGAAGTACAAGTAGAACGCACCTCTCGTTCCCAGCTTTCCCTCCGCAGTTTCTTCCACTGTTCTCTCTTGGCAAAGTAATCAGGATACATTGCCTTCTCAGAAGGATGCCAGTCATCTAAGCACCATTCTGGGACCTGTCAGGAGAGGAAATCATGGTATCAATCCACAGGACACATTTACCTATCCCTGACAGGGCCTGCTCAGGAGATGTAAGACAAAGATCAAGATATATTTTTATAACCACTGCAACTACCAGACTGTTTCTAACTCTAAGCAAGGAACAGCAGAGGATAAGTAGGAAGCAAAGATAAAGGAAAACACCTTAGAGTCAAAGACTGTGCTGAAAAATAGCACCATCATCAGTCCAAGGAGAACTGGCTTCATTCCTCCCCTACCTGCCTTCTCTAAATATCCAGAGTAGTCTTATCTTACTTGGAACTCTTAATTAGAGTATCTCAGAAATATTAAGCACCAATCCAAGTTGGTTAACTTTAAAGTCCAAAATGAACTTTGTTATAGCAAAAAGTATACTGTACGACCTTAAATCTGAATGTAGAAAGAAAAGTCTTAATGACGTCTCAGAGAGAGAAAACTGACACCTAAGAAACAGTACAGGCACACCTTAGAGATACTGGGGGTTTGGTTCCAGACCGCTGCAATATAGCAAATATCACAATAAAGCAAGTCACAAAATGTTTTTGGTTTCCCAGTGCATATAAAAGTTTTGTTTATACTATACTATAAAGTGTCCAACAGCATTATGATGTCTGTTGAGATGGAGTCCTCCTGGTGAAGATTTTGTGAATATTGATTAACTGATAACAAAGGACTTTGAACAGTACATCAACTTAGTTGATAAAGCAGTGGCAGGGTTTGAGAGGATTGATTCCCATTTTGAAAGAAGTTCTTCTGTGGGTAAAATGCTATCAAAAGGAAAAGTCAATTGATGTGGCAAACCTCACATAATATACATAAAAAATGTACATAATTTAGGCCAGGTGCAGTGGCTCACGCCTGTAATCCCAGCACTTTGGGAAGCTGAGGCAGGCGGATCACCTGAGGTCAGGAGTTCGAGACCAGCCTGACCAACATGGAGAAACGCTGTCTCTACTAAAAATACAAAACTAGCCAGGCATAGTGGTACATGCCTGTAATCCCAGCTACTTGGGAGACTGAGGTAGGAGAATCGCTTGAACCTGGGAGGTGGAGGTTGCGGTGAGCCGAGATTGTGCCATTGCACTCCAGCCTGGGCAAAACTCTGTCCCCCTCCACCAAAAAAAAGACATAATTTAAAAATACATTATTGGTTGGGTGAGGTGGCTCCTGCCTTTAGTCCCAGCCCTTTGAAGGCTGAGGCAGGGAGATTCTATGAGGGTAGGAGTTCCAGACCAGCCTGGACAACATAGCAAGATTCCATCTCTACAAAAAATAAAATAAATTAGCTAGGTGTGGTGTTGTGCCTCTGTTTTCTTAGCTACTTGGTTGGCTAGGACAGGAGGATTGCTTGAGCCCAGGGGATCCAGGCTGCAGTGAGCTATGATCATGCTATTGCACTCCAGCCTGGGCAACAGAGGGAGACCATCTCCCAAACAAAAACAAAAGAAATACGTTATTGATAAAAACTGCCAACAATCATCTGAGCCATCAGAAAACCAATCTTTTTACTGGTGGAGAGTATTATATCAATGTTGATGGCTGGTGACTAATCAGGGTGATGATTGCCAAAGGCTGGAGTGGCTTTGGCAATTTCCTAAAATAACGAGGTTTGCGACATCAACTGACTCTTCCTTACACCAAACACTTCTATAGCATGTGATGCCATTTGATAGCATTTTACCCACAGAAGAACTTCTTGCAAAATTGGAGTCAATCCTCTCAAACCCTGCTACTGCTTAATCAACTAAGTTGATGTGCTATGCGAAGTCCTTTGTTATCATCAATGTTCACAAAAACTTCACCAGGAGACTCCATCTCAAGAAACCACTTTCGTATTCATCCATAAGAAGCAACTCTTCATCTGCTCAAGATTTATCATGAGATTACAGCAATTCAGTCATATTCTCAGGATCAGCTTCTATTCTGGCTCTCTTGCTATTTCCACAACTTCTGCAGTTACTTCTTCTGCTGAAGTCTTGAGCCCTTCAAAATCACCCACAAGGGTTGGAATCAACTTCTTCCAACCCCGTTAAAGCTGATATTTTGATCTCTTCCCATGAATCATAAATATCCTCAATGGCATTTAGAATGGTGAATTCTTTCCAGAAAATTTTACTTTGCCCAAATCCATCAGAGGAATCACTATCTATGGCAACTATAACTATGCAAAATATATTTCTTAAATAATAAAACTTGCAAGTGGAAATTACTCCTTGATCCATGGGCTGCAGAATGGATGTTGTGTTAGCAGACATGGTAGCAGGTCTCAACAATGGGCTTAAAAGATTCAGTAAACCATGTTGTATACAGATTTGCTGTAATTCAGGCTTTGTTATTCCATTTCTAGGGCACAGGCAGAGTAGGTTTAGCATAATTCTTAAGGGCCTCAGGATTTTCAGAATGGCAAATGAACAATGGCTTCAACTTAAAACCACCAACTGCATTAGTCCCTAACAAGAGAGTCAGCCTATCCTTGAAGTTTTGAAGCCAAGCATTGATTTCTCTCAAGGTATGAAAGTTCTACATGGTATCTTATTCCAAAAAAAGGCTACTTCATCTCCACTGAAAATCTGTTGTTAAGTATAGCCACCTTCATCAACTATCTTAGCCAGATTTTGTGTAATAATTTGCTGCAGCTTTTCCATCAGCACTTGTTGCTTCACCTTGCACATCTGTGTTACAGAGATGGCTTTTTTCCTTAAACCTCATGGACCAACCTCTATTAGCTTCCAACTTTTTTTCTGCAGCTTCCTCATCTCTCTCAGCCTTCATAGAAATGAAGAGTTAAAGACTTGCTTTGGATTAGGCTTTGGCTTAAGGGAATGTCGTGGCTGGTTTGATCTTTTGTCCCAACCACTAAAACTTTCTCCATATCAGCAATAAGACAGTTTCACTTATCATTTGTGTGTTTAGTGGAGCAGCACTTTTAATTTCCTTAAAAAAACCTTTAATTTCCTTTGCATTCACAACTTGGCTAACCAGCGGAAAAGGCCTTGCTTTCTACCCACCTTGGCTTTCAACATGCCTTCCTCACTAAGCTTAATCATTTCTAGCTTTTGATTTAAAGGAAGAGACGTGTAACGGATTTAAAGTGAGAGACATGTAACTCTTCCTTTCACTTGAACACTTAGAGGCTATGGTATGGTCGTTAATTGTCCTAATTTCACTGTTGCTGCGTCTTAGGGAATAGGGAACCCTGAGGAGAGGGATAGAGGCGGAGGAACTATTGGTCGGTGAAACAGTCAGCACACGCACATTTATCGATTAAGTCTGCTGTCTTATGTGGGCATGGTTTTTTTGTGCCCCAAAACAATGACAATAGTAACATCAAAGGTGACTGATCACAGTTCACCACAACTGTGTGTAGATAGAGTAATAATAAAAAAAAGTTTGAAATATTGCAAGAATTGCCAAACTGAGAAACAGAGACAGGGAGTGAGCACATGCTGTTGGAAAAATGGTGCCCACAGACTTGCTCAGCACGGGGTTGCCACAAACTTTCAATCTGTGAAAATACAATATCTGCCAAGCACAATAAAACAAAATGCAATAAAATGAGGTAGGCCTGCATCTGACAACTGTCAGGAAATAAGTCTCCTAGCTACCCCTTGAAGGGCAAGTGATTTCTGAGGCTGAGGTGTGGGACTGAAGAAACAAAGTCTATTTCTCAGAAGGCAGTCATCATAATTCTCACCTACCTTGTAGCAATCGTATCTCTCATAGGAGGTGCCCCCAGGAGAGTCAGGGAAGATGTATGGCTGTGGATGCTGACGGTACCAGAATTCTTCCTCGGCCTCCTTCAGCAGCTGGGTGGCCTTCGCCATATCCTTTTCATTCTTATGTTCTTCAAACCGGGCTCTCATCAAACAAGCAAAGTATCGGTATTTGTCTCTTAAACCAAAATGATTTTGAAGATTAGAAATGTTACCTACTCACGTGGTCAGTGTTGCTGTCTGACAGGAGGCTGCACTTCTGATACCTTCTGGATGGGCAGTGGACCTACCCCAACCCTCCCAATGGAGCAGCCGTATCATCATGGCTGCTTCCTCTACAGCCCACCAAACAGCAGCAGCAAAAAAATACTGTATTAAATATATACCCTAACCATTTTTCTCCTCTTACATCCAACAATGGAATGAGGATTTAAACAAAAAAAAAAAAAAAAAAAAAGAAAAGAGCATTCGCAAGAGAAAAGCTATAACCTCTGCAGGATCATTCAACATTCATTGAATGACAACTTCCATTTCCTTCTATCTTGTGCTAGTCACTATGCTAAATTCTGGAGATACAAAGATGAATAAGAAAGGTGTTACTTGGCAGAAACAGTATTGCTTAGCTCATACAGAGCTAGGTTTGTATCCTGACTCTGACACTAGCTGCATAAACTTAGGCAAGTTAAAGTCAAGTTCTAAAGAAACTGGGCAAAGATCAGTTAGGAGGTTTTGACAATAATCTAGGACACAGCTGACGAGGGCCTGAAAGTACGGAGCTGTGATGGTGACAGGAGACAGGGGAGACATTGAGACTTCCAAGTTATGAGAATAGGCTCTCCAGTCAGACTGTATGGGCCTGAATCTTAGCTCTGCCACTACTAGCTGTGTAACTTGGGGTAAGTTACTGTCTTCTGGTCAGGTGCGGTGGCTCACACCTGTAATCCCAGCACGTTGGGAGGCCAAGGCGTGTGGATCACCTGAGGTCTGGAGTTCAAGACAAGCCTGATCAACATGGAGAAACCCCGTCTCTACTAAAAATACAAAAATGAGGCCGGGCATGGTGGCTCACGCCTGTAATCCCAGCACTTTGGGAGGCCAAGGCAGGGGGATCATCTGAGGTGAGGAGTTCTACACCAGCCTGGCCAACATGGTGAAATCCCGTCTCAGCTAAAAATACAAAAACTAGCCGGGCGTGGTGGCAGGCACCTGTAATCCCAGCTACTCTGGGGGCCAAGGCAGGAGAATAGCTTGAACCCGGGAGGCAGAGGTTGCAGTGAGTCGAGATTGTGCCATTTGCACTCCAGCCTGGGGGACAAGAGCGAGACTTCATCTCAAAAAAAAACAACAACAACAACAACAAAAAGGCCAGGCACGGTGGCTCACGCCTGTAATCCCAGCACTTTGGGAGGCTGAGGTGGAGGTCACCTGAGGTCAGGAGTTCAAGACCAGCCTGGCCAACATGGCAAAACCCCGTCTCTACTAAAAATACAAAAATTAGCCAGGCGTGGTGGCGCATGCCTGTAATCCCAGCTACTCGGGAGACTGAGGCAGGAGAATTGCTTGAACCCGGGAGACGGAACTTGCGGTGAGCCAAGATCGCGCCACTGCACTCCAGCCTGGGCAACATAAGCGAAACTCCGTCTAACAAAAAAACAAACAAAAAAAGTCTTCTAGGCCACGGGTTCCTCCTCTGTAAAACAGTGGCAATAACAGTGTGTATATCTTAAGGTTGTCATAAACAGTCAATAAGATAAACACACTTTAAAAAGTGCCTGGTACATCCCAAGTGTTAAATAATGTCAGTTACTAATATCATACTGGAAAGAGAATTTATAAAAACCAGTGTCTAATTATACATGGTGTATGAGTATGTGTGTTATTGGCAAAGGAATAAGGAGCAAATACTTGAGAACAATTCTGAGACTTAAAGCTCAGTAACTGAATTACTAATAATACCATTAGCGGAGGCAGGGAATTTGGGAAAAGAGTCAGAATGGGGAGTGACAGGAAAACAAGTTTGATTTCAAAGAATTTAGATAAATGGAGATTGAGAGAACGGTTGGTGATCTTTTCAATTTTTTTTTTATTATTATTTTTTGAGACAAAGTTTCACTCTTGTCGCCCAGGCTGGAGTGCAATGGGGCTATCTCGGCTCACTGCAGCCTCTGCCTCCCAGGTTCAAGCGGTTCTTCTGCCTCAGCCTCATGAGTAGCTGGGATTACAGGCACCCACCACCACGCCTGGCTAATTTTTGTATTTTTAGTAGAGACGCGGTTTCACATGTAGGCCAGGCTGTTGAACTCCTGGCCTCAGGTGATCCACTCACCTCAGCCTCCCAAAGTACTGGGATTATAGGCGTGAGCCATCATGCCCAGCCAACAGTCGTGATCTAACAAGCAATTCGAACTACAGCTCTAGAGACAAATGAGCGCAGGTGGTGACAGCACTAAATGAGGCTGCCCGAGTACATACAACAACACAGTATGCCTAGGATGGAACCACAGAGAACAGCACAATGAGGGCAAATGGAGGAAGAAATTAAGGCAAGGATTGAGAAAGAATGTCAGATCTAAAAAATGCTGAGCCATAACTGTCATAGTAGCTAGTTTATATCATTTTCCTCTAGAACTATGGACTTTAGTATTCCCAGCTATAGTTCAGTATTGCTTGAATTCTTTTTTTCATGTTTAACTTTTTTTGACACATAATTATTGTACCTATTTATGGGGTACATGTGATATTTTAATACATCCATATAATGTATAATGATCAAATCAGGGTAATTTGGATATTCATCACCTCAAACATTTACCATTTGTGTTGGGATACCTGAATCCCTGATGGCTCAACTTCCTTCATCATCGATTTGTTTACATGTCCATTTTCCCCACTAATCCGTGAGCTGCTGCTGCTCAAAAATGGATTTACTAACATTTATATATTTAGCATAGAGCATAGAATCTGAATTGCAAATTCTGTCAAATCAATAAATAAATAAGGAAAACTCAAGGAAGAAACTAACAATCCCATCACATTGTACTTGGCCATCTTCCTGCCAAATCAAGAGAAGTATGTCAGTGATTTTCTAATAGTCACATATATGCAATCTGGGCTTCGAGGGTACCCTCTGTAATTCTTCCAGGCCTACTCCATTTTCCATAGAGTTTTTTTCCCAGAAGGCCTTCTTATAAAACTACGTTTGGAGAGTCGTAAGACTGGAGTGGAGGCGAGGCACTCACACATCTTGGGTTGTTAGCCCACCCTGCAATGAATTTAGGTGATTAAAATCTACACATTTTAACACTATGTTCTCAGACTAGTCTCAGACGGATAGAGGTCGAAAGAGAATTATGTAAGAGGTGAAAAAGATGTAAAGGTAATGAAAAGGACTAGATGAAGCTAAAAAGAGAAAAGCTAATGGGAGGGGTGGGAGAATGATGATGCTTTGGAGAAAGACCTAAATTTTAACCCTGGCTCAGACACTTAGAAACTCTATCACCTTGCGCAAGTTACCAGCTGTGCTCATCTTCTTATCTGTAAAATAAGCTTAAGATAATTCCTAACTCCTAGAGTTTTGCAGACTGAAGAAAATAATGCATAGTTTATTGCTGTTAATATTGGAAAGGAGAAGATCGTGAAGAAAACGATTGAGCGAGCGCTGGACCCATGACAATTACAATTTTAGGCACTTTCCTTTATTTCACTTAATTTTCCTGCGACCCTCTGCGCTGGTCGTGCGTCCGTTTTACTAAACAAAAAGCTGACGCCCAGACCCGACAAGCAACTCTACAAGGTCTCCCGGCCATAAGTGGCGAAGCCTGGATTTGAACCCGGGTCTACCATAGGATTCTGTGAAGCGAGAGGCCACCTTCCAATTCCGTTCCCGAAGTCCTTGAACCTCCAGGTACCCAGGGGCCTCTCCACCTCCATGGGGCCCCGAGGGTCACCTCCCCGAGTCCTGGGTCCCCATCCCTTACCTCTGGACGCACCACGACTCGAGGTGGCGTAGCGCCCGCTTATAAAGCCGCAACACCTTTTGCTGATGGGTCAGGTAGGGTCCCGACGCCAAGAACGCCATTACGGCGCTGACCTTCCCCGGCCGCGCGGAGAGCCGGGAAACTGCACGCCTGCTGCGGGTGACTGAGCGGGGCCAGCCGGAAGGGCGGAGTTGCCGGCGGCCACTTCCGCTTCCGCTGGGGAGGTCCTCCATGCGCAGTCATGAGTCGCTTCAAGTTTATCGGTAAGAGGAGCGTTTTCCACGCCCTTGGGTCTTTCTGACTTGTCCCGGGCGTCGGTCACCAAGGTCACAGGACCCAGGAATTGCGCCCTCCGGCATTGTAAGGGTTGAAAGGGCCGCTCAGTGGAGGAGGGCGCGGGGAGGTTTCTGGGTGCTGGTAATGCTCTGGTTCTTGATCTAGGTTCTGGATTCACGAGGGTGTATTTATTTGTAAAAATTAACAAGCCGTACAGTTATGATTTTTGTGCTGTTTTCAACATCTGTAATGTATTCAGTTTTTTAAGAAGAAAACTCCAAAAAGGCCAATCACTATGTTTCCATTCATCCCACGTGCACCTCCCGGCCCTTCCCCTCTGCCTTGGCGGAGAGGCTGACCGCTTCTGGGGACCAATTCACTCAAGCATTCATTCGTTCATATCATAGTTAGTGAGCGCCTCAAGTGGGCCTGGCACTGGCCTAGGAACACAGGGCACAAAGCTCCCAGTTGTACTGTCATCACCATCTGGTGGAGAAACTAGAAAACACAAGTAATGGGGAGAAAAACAAACTGTACTTGGCAAGTACAATGATCCAGTCGGCATCAGTAGAACGAGAGGGAGAATGCTGCGGGATTTAAATGGGCATGATCCTCGTTTTGTGGGGTTTCCAGCTACCTGAAGGTGGGAAATGACAGTGATCACACCTCTGCTTTAGCAAGGTAATCCTGATAGCTATTATGTAGGTTTTGTGGGAAATAGGGAGAGGTAGGGAAGCATTTCAAGAGCTTAAACTAGGGTAATGGAAAAGAGAGAGAAATGGAAGAGATGTGTGCAGCATTTAGCAGCTGAGTGTTCATGGCCGGTAGTAGAGAGTGAACAAAGATGACTCAGGGTTTGGAAAAGTACTTAAATATGAAATGGAAGCATGACTAGTTTGGCGGTGAAGAGAGGTACCCAGGTCCATTTGGATTAGGTTAAGTTTGAGATAATTATAGGACATCCAGGTAGAGATATCTGGGCAATTGGGAATGTGGTCTGGCAATCAAGAGATTAGGATTATACATTTAGATCTGAGAGTTATTTAAGCAGTATTTTTTTTTTTCAAAGACGTTGTGCTAAGTCCTGTGGAACTGTAAAATCTAGTGGTGCAGTTTTCAGACTGGAGACCTAAGACCTATGTACTGTACAGTCAAAAGCAAATGCAGGGGAGAATATGTTAAGTGCCAGGAAAAAGGTTTTGAAATTGCTGTGGGAAAGCCTGGAGTAGGGGTTTGGGGAGGGGTTGTCAAATAAGACATTGCCGTGTCTTAGCCTTTCCATCCTAACCTTTGATATAATTGATGAGGGAGATGGAATAAAGAGCCATGAAGTACTCCGTAAAGAAAGGCCACATAACTTTTTAAAAGTGTGTTTATGTTATACAACCAAATTCCTGCCTCAAGTTAATGTCTTAAATCCATCCTCCATGTAGACTCCATTTTGGTGTATCTAAAAATCAAATCAGCTAAATGTTTCTTTTGCTTCAAATCTTTCATTTACGCTCCTCAGGATAGCCTAAATGCTTACACACCATACAAAGCCCTTCTGTGGTCCAGTCCTGCCCACTTTTCTAGCCCATCCCTGGGCTGCTCTATAAACACTTGTGCATGCTGTTTGTTACCTCTGACAAGGTTTTAGAGTGGCAGTTTGGGGCCAAAATATTCCTCTGCCTACCAACTACCCTGTTGCCTGTCTGCCTACTCACTCCTTAAAACTTATACCACATTATTTATAATTAAATATGAGTATGCCTTTCCCACTAGATCAAACTCTTAAGGCAGATACTGGTATGGTATTTATATTTTTTTCCTAGGGGCGTAGTACAATGACTGTTTGGGAAAGTATGAATGAGTGGCTTTAGTGCTAAGGTGATAAGAAAATTAGTAAAGGGATTAGCATCAGATAAAATAAGCAAGAAAAGACTTCTTAAAGAAGGTGACTTTATTGGAATAAATAATTGAAATAAATTTTTTTCTGTATGGTTTCCTTTAGCCCCACTCTCCTAAAGTAACCATATTAAAAGTTTGAAGTATAGCCTTCCCTAATTTTTTAATAGATTGTTATACAGATTCATAAAAATACAACATATCAAGGTTTTTTTTTTTCCTTTTGAAACAGAAATGAGATCATATTATGCATTCTATCCTTGGTATATGACTTACTCTGATATTTAATCTTTCAGTTTGTGTCATTTAAAAAATTCTGCCCATGAATCGCTAGACTAATTTCTTAGCCTAATAATGAGTTCTGAACAATATTTTGAAAAACATCATATTAAATCCCTGGAACAAGCTTCACATGGGACAATTGCATGAAAAATTGAACCCATTTTATGAAAATTACCTTAGATTTTGGTTTAAGACAGCTGACCATTGTAATTCTTTCTACATTTCTCTCTTTTCTACTTGCATAACAAGTGGCTGCCCCTTAGAACTATACCCCAACAGTGGGGGTTTTTGTTTGTTTTGAGACAGGGTCTTGCTCTGTCACCTAGGCTGGAGTACAGTGGCTTAGATCATGGCTCCAGCATTGACCTCCTAGGCTCAAGTGATCTTCCTGCCTCATCCTCCCAAGTAGCTGAGACTAGAGGTGCTCACCACCATACCAGGCTAATTTTTTTTTGTAGACCACTGTGTCCTGCTATGTTGCTCAGGCTGGTCTTGAATTGCTGGCCTTAAGCAGTCCTTCCACCTCCGCCTCCCAAAGTTCTGGGATTACACGTGGAGCCACTGGCCAGCATGAGAATTTCTTTAGCCCAGCTTATACTCTCTTTTCTGTCTCCACAAGTGGAATTCTATTCCCTGGGTGTTATTTACAAACTCTTCCACTCTCAAAAATACTTCTACCTGTAACTATTATATGCCAGAATCTCTACTGCATTGATCTTAGACTACATAGTACACCAAAAAATGAGAAATATCTGTGCAAGAAGAAAATGCAAAATACAAACAACAGTGAAAATAAAAACATCATATTCCATTCCTGATATAGTTTAGATATTTGTCCCCTCCAAATCTCATGTTAAAATTTGCTCTCCAATGTTGAGGTGGTCCAGTGGGAGGTGTTTGGGTCACTTCCCAACATCCATCTCATGGGGGTGGATCCCTCATGAAAGGCTTGATGGCCTCCCTGTGGTAATGAGTTCACACTGGCTCCCCTTCCCTTTCCACCAGGATTGGAAGCTTACTGAGATCCTCCCAAAAGCAGATGTTGGTGTCATGCATCTTGTACAACCTGCAGAACCATGAGCCAAATACACCTCTTTTCTTTATAAATCACCCAGTCTCAGGTATTCCTTTATAGCAATGCAAAAGCAGATTAATACAGTTCCTCCAAATCACACATAACACCACCATGTCTATCTTTCCAGATCTTCTGTAGGCATACCAAACAAAATAAGATCATACTGAGGCTACTCTTTTGTGCTCTGCTTTTTTCAATCACAGTCTCCACCTTTCCATTTCAGGAAATGTTCATCTTAACTAGTACCAAAATCATACTCAAATTTTTCCTGTTGTTCCAAAAATGTCCCTTGGTGGTCATGTCCAAAATGGTATCCCATTTAGAGCCACACATTTGGTTGTTCCTTAAATTTTTGAATCAAGTGCAGAGGTTTGCAAACTTTTTCCTTAAAGGGCCATATAGTAAATATTTTAGACTTTGAGGGCCACGTGATCTCTATTGCAGCTATTCAACTCTGCCCTTTTGTGTACTGTGATGTAATAGTAAATACGTGTGTGTTCTCTGCTCCCATTTCTTTGTGCACAACTCCTGAAACCCTTGGAATCTCCTAAGTGCTAAGTGTCTTTTTGTATGCTGCTAAGATGACTGATGGCTGGGGGCTCCTGGATAGCCTCAGGATGGGGGTTTGCCTAGGAAAACCCATCATGTGATTAGAGAGTTGGAAGTTTCAGTCCCTCCCACCCACTCCCACTTCTGGGGAAGGGGAGAGAAACTGAAGGTTGAGTTGTTCACTAATGGCCAGTGATTTAATCAATCATACCTACATGGTGAAGCCTCTATAAAAACCCATACATGTCTCTATGTGTCTCTTCCACCTGGCCGTTTTTGAATGGCATCTTTTTACAATGAATGGGTAATAAGTAAAGTGCTTTCCTGAGTTCCGTGAGCTGCTCTAGCAAATGATCAAACCTGAGAAGGGGGTTGTGGGAACCTCTTATTGTAGCCAAGTTAGACAAGTTGTGGGTAACCTGGGAACCTACTGCTTGTAATTGGTATCTGAAATGGGGAGAGTCTTGTGGGACTGAGCCCTTGACCTCTGCGGTCTGATGTTATATCCAGGTAGATAGTGTGAGAATTGAGTTAAATTATAGGTCACCCAGCTGGTGTCAGAGAATTGGTTGTTGGGAGAGGAAACCCCACACATACCTGACGTCAGAAGTGAATCCTCACGCCTGTAATCCAAGCACTTTGGGAGGCCAAGGTGGGAGGACTGCTTGAGCCCGGGAGTTCAAGACCAGCCTGGGCAACAAAGTGAGACCCCATCTCTACTTAAAACAAACAAACAAAAAATTCAGAGTATTGTGAGTATGAGAATACTGTAGGAGAAAGCAGTTTGCATTTTTTCCTATCTCACACCTTGTCATTCAAAAGCAGGTGATAGACAGTATGTAAATAGGTGTGGCTATGTTCCAGTAAAACTTACGGTCACTGAAACTTGAAGTTCTTATAATTTTGATGTGTCACAAAATATTCTTTTGATTTTCTTCAACTATTTAAAAATGTAAAGTCATTCTTAGCTTAGAGGCAAACAAAAGTAGGCAGTGGCTTGTGGGCCTTAGTTTACCAATCCCTTGCTCTAGCGCATTTCTTTTTTTTTTTTTTTTTTTTTTTTTTTTTTTTTTGAGACGGAGTCTCGCTCTGTTGCCCAGGCTGGAGTGTAGTGGTGCAGTCTGGGCTCACTGCAAGCTCCGCCTCCCAGGTTCACGCCATTCTCCTGCCTCAGCCTCCCGAGTAGCTGGGACTACAGGCGCCCACTACCACGCCCGGCTAATTTTTTGTATTTTTAGTAGAGACGGGGTTTCACTGTGTTAGCCAGGATGGTCTCGATCTCCTGACCTCGTGATCCTCCTGCCTCAGCCTCCCAAAGTGCTGGGATTATAGGCGTGAGCCATCGCGCCCTGCCACACATTTCTTTTTTTAATGTCACTGACTTACCAAAGCAGCTGTGCTGGTTGTGCCTGTGAAATAAAAATAAAATTCTAAGCCCCCTAAACTGGCTGAACAGAACCCCCCTCGACCAAGTAGACCCCAGAAAAACATGAAAAACTAAGATTCCCAAACATGACAAGATGAGGGGTTGGTCCTGGTCTCCTTCCTTACTAACCAATACCAGACTTTTTTCCTACAAGTTGAACAGAAACCAGCCCTGGAAAAACAAAGATTGGAAGACTTGCTCCTCTGCTGACTTCAGCCAACTGCCTGACATTGGGACCAGCTCCCCTCCTTTTTTGCAGTTTCACCATGACAGCTGACCAGTTTCACAAGGCATTCCTTCCTGTACTGAGGGCAGTTGCCACCCCCTCAGGCCTCATCAAGGCTACCAAAAAATTACTCCTGGGATCCCCTCTCGTTGTATATGTTTCTCATTCAATTTAGGCCCTTTGCACCTGTCCCCTCACTCAGCATCTTTAAGCCAGTTGATTGACCTCCTATGAGATACTTTTCTCCTCTTCTAACCTAACCATAATTTACTGTAACCTCCTTAATGTAGCTACCATTTTGCGTTTTTTTTTTTTGAGACAGAGTCTCACTCTGTCGCCCAGGCTGTAGTGCAGTGGCGCCATCTTGGCTCACTGCAAGCTCCACCTCCCGGATTCACACCATTCTCCTGCCTCAGCCTCCTGAGTAGCTGGGACTACAGGCGCCTGCCACCACGCCCGGCTAATGTTTTGTATTTTTAGTAGAGACGGGGTTTTACCGTGTTAGCCAGGACGGTCTCGATCTCCTGACCTCGTCATCTGCCCACCTCGGCCTCCTAAAGTGCTGGGATTACAGGCATGAGCCACTACACCTGGCCCCGTTTTGCCTTTAATAAGAGATTAACGCACCCAAAGACTGTGTTGTCTTTACAGACACTTTTCTCTCACCTCATATAGACTTAAGGGAGACCCCCTTACCCACTAATGGATCCTTTCTCAAAAATTCTGCTGGCTTCCATTATGCAGCCTATGTGGTGGTCTCTGTGATGGGAATCATTGAATCAGGCCCCCAGCCAACTGCCCGATCTGCCCAACGAGCAGAATTAGCATCCCCTCACTTGGGCCTGCCTACTGGCCTGGGGTGAAACGGTTAATATTTATGCAGACAGCACGTATGTCTTTGGAGTTGCCCATGATTTTGGCATGCTCTAGAAACAAAGAGGATTTTTTACTTCCTCTGGACAACCTATTAAGAACAAAGACTAGGCCAGGTGCAGTGGCTCACGCCTGTAATCCTAGCACTTTGGGAAGCCGAGGCAGGTGGATCACTTGAGGTCAGGAGTTTGAGACCAGCCTGACCAACATGGTGAAACCTCGTCTCTATAAAAAACACAAAAATTAGCCAGACGTGGTGGCATGCACCTGTAATCCCAGCTATGTGGGAGGCTGAGGCAGGAGAATCACTTGAGCCTGGGAGGTGGAGGCTGCAGTGAGCTGAGATTGCACCACTGCACTCCAGCCCGGGCGACAGAGTGAGACTCTGTCTCAGAAAAAAACAAAAACAAAGACTGTTTTGTTTCTCTTAGATGCCATTCAGGCTCATTGAGCCCTAGCCGTTATCATAGTCGAAGGACATTTCTCTGACAAGACAGAAGACAGCGAAGGCAACCACCTAGTGGATGCAGCAGCTAAAGCTGCCACCCAGCATGTGGCTCCTTCCCGAGTTGTACTCAACCCACTCCTCCTCCTCCTCCTCCTCCTCCCCCCCTTGCTCTTCCTTCTTCCTTGCTCCCCTCCCCATCTGAAGACCTTTCCAGACTTATTTTCACAAAAGACAGTCTTGGAGTCTGGAAGAGGGAAATGGATGAAACAAAATTGCGCTTGCAATCCCCAGACAAAATTACAGGAAGGTCCAAATGGACATCCAGTCCTACCCAGCACCCTGCAAAGACAAACAACCTTCATACATAATCTAACCCATTAGAATCCAGACAAAATGATTCAGTGGGGTAGACAGTACTACTGTATGGTGGCTCTCTCCAGCTCTTGCCCCACCGCTATGTAAACTTTGCAATATCTACCCTCAGTATAACCCAGGTGAACTCCTGAAGCTCCCTCCAGGACAATTTCCTCTCCCCTAGGGTCCCTTAACCATGTGACAACTTGATTTCATTTAGTTACCACCATCCCACAGATTAAATTTTGTTCTTCTAATGGTTGACGATGTATTCTCATTGAGGTAGGTCTTTCACCTGTAAACAAGCAACAGCTATGGTGGTGGCCAAAATGCTGCTTGAGAAAAACCATTCCTATCTAGGGTGTTCCCACTGAATTCCACAGCGACAGAGGCACTCATTTTACCTGCCAAATACTAGAACAAGTTTTTTAAATCTGCCCTTTTACAGCACTTTCACTGTGCCTATTACCCCCAGTCCTCTGGGCTAGTTGAACAGTCTAATGGGATCATTGAAAGCGAGCTGGCGAAAGTTACAGAAACTTAACCTGTCCTTGCCTAAAGCTCTCCCATTAGCATTACTGATTCTGCAGTCCATTCCCACCAGTAAATGTCAGCTCTCCCCTTTTGAAATTGTTACTGGTTGGTCTGTGCACTTAGACCAGGAAATATTTTCTCCTGCCAAATGACAGGAGGGAACTTTAGGCTTATTGCCAGGGGCTTGTTAAAGCTATAAAGATCAGTCACTGCAAGTTGTAGAATCTTTTTACAGCTTCCCAACAGGCCATAAACTCCAGTATTACCACCTCCAGCTTGGTGATGACAAGTAGTGGAAGAGACATCAGTTAAAATACTTCATCCAGCCTACTGGATGGGTGCTATTAATTAATCCTTGTGCTGCTAAGTTATAGAGATTGACTCCTGGTCGCACATGTCTCATCTGAAAACAACAACCCTTGCTGAATCTTGGAAGTTGGTGCCAGTCTCTACACGAGACTTCAGTTAACCAGAGCCTCATCTTTAGACCCAGAAAAAGGCAATAGTCAACATAAACTGCTTTCATGAGACCCAGGGCCAGGACTGTATTCAAAGACACTGGGTCTCATTTAATAATTTGCCTCTATCTAAACTAATAGAATTTGTTCCATGCCTTTCTGCTAGATAACTTCGATGTTTAGCTACCTGTGTGCTTCCTCTTCTTGTCTTTATCAGAACTGAGCAGGGCTTATGACCCCCACTCCTGAGGACATCATTGCTTTGTTCCTGTAGTGAGATGTTCTCTTACTTAAGGACAGTCCCTTAAGTTTGTCAGATAATCCCCTTGGATTTGTATGGGATTTATGGTTTTTCCCTTGGTTCAGTTTTCTGAATTGTTAAATGGCTGTTCCCTCCATTCCTTTTACTCATACCTGCACTGTCACCTTTCCCTCTCTTTGCAATTGTCCCTCTGTCTTGTCTCAATGCAGAGAATGGCATGATAACACTTTAGTTAAGCTGTCCCACATGTTGCTAGTAGAAGGAAACCTATTGGATTGCTGGATTTGCCAACAACTTCCTTGATCCATTCATAATAGATATGTGCCATTGGTAATATCTGTCACTGACTGCTCAGATGTCCCTAATGTCACCACTTACCCAGACCAACCCCTTTCCCTGTTGATTTTCCAGGTCCAATTCCTTCAAAGCCCAGATATTGTCACCCCTTGTTTTGATGTGTCCTGTGTTTTTAACATTGGAAACCCATTCTTTACCATGGGACCTTCTTTGTTGTTGTTGTTCTTTGGGTTTTTTATGGTTTTTTTTTGAGACTGAGTCTTGGCCTGTTACCCAGGCTGGAGTGCAGTGGTGAGATCTCAGCTCACTATAACCTCCGCCTCCCGGGTTCAAGCGATTCTCCTGCCTCAGCATCCCAAGAGCTGGGATTACAGGCACCTGCCACCATGCCCAACTAATTTTTGTATTTTTAGTAGAGACTGGATTTCACTGTGTTGGCCAGGCTGGTCTTAAACTCCTGACCTCAAGTAATCCACCTGCCTTGGCCTCCCAGAGTGCTGGGATTACAGACATGAGCCACTGCACCCGGCCTACCATGGGACCTTCTTGACCTATGAACTACTGGATAGACAAGTGTCATCTACATCAGATAAATAAAGTTAAAAATATATCCCTACAGTGCCCACAATATTTACATTTAAAATAAGTGAGTGGATTCTGGAAAGCTTGCAAGAGAAATGGCCCATAGTTTAGTTTGGTGATGTCAGCACTCCGCATGAATACATCTGCTAATTAAGACATCCTCAGGAGTATCACTTGTGCCCCCCATTCAGGCTGTGTGTTTGTATGTGGCATAAGGTCTGATCCACCTGCACAGCTTTGGGCACACTGTTGCCTCGGCAGCCTACAGTTAGAAGGTTCATGCTTGCTGAGATATTTTGTAACCCCCCGTATCCTTACACAAACTTACAGAAGGACCCCCTTTCTCTCCATTATTAAACTAAAAGGTCTGTGTTGGCAGGGTGTGAAGGTGATACAGATCAAAGCATCCTGGGAATATTAATTCCGAGTGTTGGGATTTATGTCAATAAGGATATGATTTGAAAAGTCTTTGCCACTATTAGTCACATTGTTGCGGGATTTAGGAGTATGAGAGACCTCGGGTTGAAACAGGAGAATCTTTTATTGAGTGCACTCAGGCCCAGCAGACTCAGGTCCAAAGACTGAGCCCGAAACAAAGACAGCACTTGACTTTTATACACACTTCACAAAAGGGTGTGGGCTAGCTTGAAGCAAGCTTACAGTGGTGTGAAAGCAGGGATACAGAGGCAGGACAGACTCAGGATTGCTCATGACCATTGCCAAGCAACCCAGGTGTCCGTTATCTAGGTTTGCCTAGGCACGGGCTTATCCCATAACCTTCACTGTGGGGCCCAGGCAGCTGTAGTTCAGGCCTACTCAGGCTTCTCGTGACCTTTGTTGTACTTCTTAGATAAAACAGAATACTTGAAGTTACTAGTTACAGAGAACAAGAATCTATAAACTCATACCATAAAGCAAAGGAAAATTTGTTTTTCTTCTCCTTATGTTGAGGGAGTGCTGGGAGAGTCTCCACAGCACATTAGATACCATTATCAAGACTTTTCCTGGGTCTGGGTTGTGCCTGTTGCCGCCTCTGGGACAAGTCAGTCTAATACAGGAAAACTTATTTCTCTATCTTTTTAATTTTATTTTTCTTTAATTTCCCACCTCAAGATAGCTGCAGACACTGCAAAAAGCCTTGTAGCTCAACAAAAGTCTCTAAACTCCTTGGCTCAAGTAGTACTAGATAATAAAGTTGCCGTAGATTTTCTCCTAGCCAAACAAGGAGTTGTTTGGCCCATACCTCCTGTTACATAAGTACTTCAGGTGAAATAGAAACTGTTAGAGGCCGGGCGCAGTGGCTCACCCCTGTGATCCCAGCACTCTGGGAGGCCGAGGCGGGAGGATCACAAGGTCAGGAGATCGAGACCATCCTGGCTAACATGGTGAAACCCCGTCTCTACTAAAAATACAAAAAATTAGCCGGGTGTGGCGGCAGGCGCCTGTAGTCTCAGCTACTTGGGAGGCCGAGGCAGGGGAATGGCGTGAACCTGGGAGGTGGAGCTTGCAGTGAGCCGAGATGGCACCACTGTACTCCAGCCTGGGTGACAGAGCGAGACTCCATCTCAAAAAAAAAAGACACTGTTAGAGAAAGACTATCCAAACAACCTTAAATGGTTACAAGAGCTATGAACTACTAATCCTCTCAATGATCTATTTAGTTGGCTTCCAACTGGCCTGGGAAATCCCTTTCAAACTGCTAAGTGTTTGTCATATTCATAGTCTCCATCATACTTTCTTTCTTAACATTTAAATTACTTATAATAGGACTGCAAGAAGTCCCCTGTTAAAACCAGAATTATGATGGCTCAGTGCGTAGAACTTACAGGCAAGTTAATTTTGTAGCCATTCCTTTTGGCTCTTATATCTCTTATACCTTACGGGTTAGTGAGGGCCTGCCATCTCTCTATTCCTGGTTGATCTAGGATGTCCAATTGGCTATCGTAGGGATGGATCTGGGACAGATAGCCACACCACCCTGGCAATGACATGGGACAAAATAAAGATTTGGCTATTGGTGCTGCTTGCAGCAGATCGTGGCTAAAATGGGGAAACATGAAATAAAAGTAAATTTCTAAGCACCCCCCTGCCCCACCCGACTGACTGAATGGACACTACCTTGGCCAAGGAGACCCCAGAAAAACTCTGAAAGCTAAGTTTTCCAGCCATGATTAGATGAGAGTTTGGTCACACCTCAGTACACCCCCTTCCTCACTAACCGATACCAGACTTTTTTTGTAAGCGTTAAATAGAAACCAGCCCTGGAACAGAAACAAGACTCACTCCTCTGCTGACTTCAGCCAACCACCTGACACCACAGCCAGACTCCCCTCCTTTTTTGTGGTTTTGACATGACAGCTGACCAGTTTCACCGCGCATTCCTTCCTGACAAGTGACCACCAGTCACAGACTAGTTCTGGCTGGTTTACTCAGGCTGTGCACCTTTTGACATATAAAGCTTAATTTTACTGCATTTTAATGTTAAGTCTCCACCCCAAAGTGAACATGGGGTTTGTGTAACATGTATGTTTGCTTATCATACACGCATGAATCCACCTTTCATGAATATACATAGCTCCTCCTATAACCTGTTAAATATGTACGTTAGCCAGCCCATTTAGTGTAAAACTCCTGTTCCCCACTTCTTCCTTTGAAATGGTTGCTTTTGTTCTCAGCCAAAGGCTCTGCTTCCCAGCCTGCAGGTTGCACGTCAATAAAAGAAATAAAGTTCTTCCCTAATGTATAGATCTCGTGATTTTAAGTCAACACCCTACAGAAAGTCTGTCTCCTGGCTTTGTCTGTTTGCTAAATAGTAGTGTCATTGAGCTTGTTCTCTAATCCCCCGTATTTGCTATAAACTCGGGGTTATATCTAAAGACTAGCAATATCTAAAAAACAAATTGTGCCTTATTTGCTGTCCCTTTGTATTCCTAGATCATAGGTGACAGTGATGTGACACGATTCAGTGAGCCCAATAACTGAGGCTTCAACTTAAGAGTTGTGGTTTTCTCCTGGTTACAAACAGTGCCGTTTTCTACTCTTACTTTGTTTTGAAAACGAAAAGTCAATATTTGAAGAACTCTTAAATAATAAAGTAGGTGCTGCTTTTCAAGCCAGCTATTTGAAGAAAATTAATGAAAAAGAAACATTACTGATCTATATAGGGTGACATGCTACTGAATGTATGAATCCTTCAGTTTTCTCCCCTAATGAGAAGTAGCAATTTTCCACTTTGCCTTGTTTTTGTTCCTATCATTCCCTCCCACCCGTATCTCTTACTTTCTTAGCTTTTCAAGCTACTTACTATCTTTAGCTGGATCTGGCTAGACATTGGTTTTCATACAGTATTTGTCTAGTTTGTTTGAGTTTACATGCCAATAGGCTTATGTCTAATAGAGACTTTTAATTTAAAAGATACTATTGTCAACCTCAAATAACCAAAAAGGTCAGAATCTAGTTTACAGAGTTTATTCAAGCACAACAGTTGAGGACTGCAGCCCAGGACACACTTCCAAGTTGCCTTGGGGAGTGCTCCAGAGAACAAAAGAGAGGCTCAAATTTTTAAAGGACAAATCAAAAGGTGGGGCGCGGTTACAAAAATGGTTAATCAGGGATTCTCATTGGTTTACAGAAATAACATTGGTTAGTGATTGGCTATGTATTGTTGAACTATAGGGTGTATGGCATTTTAGGGCCACTTGGCGTCAGTCTAGAGCCCACATAGCAAGCGGCTTCAAGAAGTAATTATGTAGCTCAAAGGGGAGTGAGCTTGGACTGCTGTGAACATTTTAAATGCCTTTCTGGGCCTGATCATTTAAAGGTGCTTGCATTTCTCAGATCCAAGGTTTTTGTTTCTCACTATCCCTTAACATAGATAAGAACATTTTGAACAAATTAAATAAATAGGATTTTGAGTGGCTTTGTTTTCATGATTACATCATGAGTCTTAATGTTCAAAACATATTGACTCACATTTGGCTATTTGATAATGCATTCTTGGATCGGGAGCCTTAACCACTTAAGGTGGTATGACAGTATGGCTAAAGCTGATTCAAATTCCATTTGTTGTTGGCATGTTACAGTGTTTGTAATAACAGTGTTCCCAATAATTACATGCTAATAAGACTTTTAATTTGCAAAATGCTTTCATATTTGTTTTTGGTTTTGAGCCACATTTTGTTGCTGGAAGGAGAAAGTTTATGTCCACCCTACTAGTGAGAAAACTGAGGCTCAGAAAGACTCACTTATTTGTTGCGGGTGAGCTGTGACTATCTGGGCCAGCAGTGCGAGGGTACAAGAATTTACTAAGACTGGCTGGGCGTGGTGCCTCATGCCTGTAATCCCAGCATTTTGGGAGGCCAAGGTGGGTGGAGCTCCTGAGGTCAGGAGTTCGAGACCAGCCTGTCCAACATGGCAAAACCCTGTCTCTACTAAAAATACAAAAAATTAGCTGGGTGTGGTGGTGGGCGCCTATAATCCCAGCTACTTGGGAGGCTGAGACAGGAGAATTGCTTGAACCCGGGAGGTGGAGGTTGCAGTGAGCTGAGATTGTGCCACTGCACTGTAGCCTGGGCGATAGGGTGAGACTCTGTCTTAAAAAGAAAAATAAAAAAAAGATTAGGATGATGCTAAAGTGTGGAAGGATGGTGGGTGGTCAGCTGTGATTACCACTGTCTACATCTGCATGGCCTTTAAGTGCTTCTCACTGCACTTGGGTCAAGGGACTTTTGAAGGAGTCTTCCTGCATTTCTGTCTGCCCAGATAAACCCAGAGACTATACTGGGACGTAGGACCTGCTTTCCTCATCAGCCAGGACCTATAGACCTTTCTCATCCCTCATTTCCCCCATCCCAGATCTCAAATCCTCAAGCAGAATATCCTGACACTCTGGCCTGCCTTCAGCAAAAATCCATCAAGTTGAGTAAACCCAGAATCTTCCCTCACCTTTGATGTTTCCTCTTAGTAATTTTTCATCTGTTGATCCCCATTCTACTTGGTGGCAATAAATCCTCACTTGTCCTTGTATTCAAAATTGAGCCCAGTCCCTCCCCCTTCTGCAAAACCTTCCCTTCTGTCAGTAGTCTCTCTTGAATAAAGGCTTCCTCAGAGTCTTTGACAAGTGTTATGAATAATTGTTTGCTTAACACTGCACAAAGGGGAAATGGTCTAGAAGAGATACAGACCATTTCTGTTTTCCTAATGATCAGTGATGATCGGTGACCCTAGACTAAACCTCTCTGAAGGATTATTTTAGGCAGAAAGGCCTCTCCCCTCTTCCCTGGGTTTCCTTTCTCAGTCTGCCCCATTTATCTAATTTCCTGTACTTACTTATAAAGAAACTAGATAGTAATTCTTTGGATTGGGCCATTCCACCAAACTTCTATATTGTATGTATAGTATTAGATGATGTTTATATGTTAATAGCCCTTTTAAAGGGTACCACATCCCACCCATCTTTGTTGACATGTTAGTGCCCAAATATCTTTGTAGTTTTCTGCATTTTACTTTTTCCCCTATTGTTTCAAATGCCTGGAATACTCTCTTCACTGTCTCTTAAATTTTCTAAACTCCCATTCACTTTCAAGGTGTGTCTTATTGGTGGAGCAGACACTCCTGGGGACCAACTTGGCAGAAATTAGAATGAGAACATACCAAGAAGCTGAAACTTGGCAGAAATAATGTAGGGAGTCTGTTGGTAATCAGCTGCCTACCACCACCGCAAATTTTGAGATTCTCCTCCTGCTAAAAGCTAAATTATGTGTATTTTCAATAAGGGAGGCATTTTTTTTTCTTGCCTGTGACCAGTCACAGTCTGACTTCATATCTTGTTGTTCCCCATGTTCCCTTATATTCTACAGCAGAACAGAGCTTTCTGTTGCATCCAGTATTTTAAAAACAAGTGTCTGTACCATAACTGAGTCTGGTGTCTTCTGACCTCTCCCTTCCTTACACTGTCTTCCCTCAGTATCGGCAGGAGACTGGTTCCAGAACCTCCTGCAGATACCAAAACCCTTACATAAAATGGCTTGGTGTTTGCCTGTAACCTGTGCATATCCTCATGTATGCTTTAAATCATGTCTAGATTACTTAAAATACCTAATTTGATGTAAATGCTATGTAAATGGTTTTTATACCTTACTGTGCTTTTATTTATATTATTTTTTATTGTTGTGTTGTTATTTTTATTTTCTAATATTTTCAATCGACCTGTGGTTGGCTGAATCTGCAGATCCAGATCCCAGAGATACAGAGGGCCAATTGTTCTTCTCTCCAGCAGCCAGAACAGCCTGTAGCTCTTTACAAGCACTGTGCTCTTTCCCATCTTGAAGGCTTTGCTCCCGCTGCTTCCTCTTTGTGCAGTTACCTCTCTTCCACTGGATAACAGTCACTCATCCTTTAAGATTCAGTTCAATGATGACTTCTTTCTGGAAGCCTCTTCTGAGCCAGCCACCAGACTAGGTTGGGTGTTCCTCTTCTGTGTCCCATAGTACCAGTGTTTACTTCTAATATTTCATAATTGTCTGATAATGGATCTGCCTTACCAGTTCTGCGGTGAGTTTCTTGAAAGCAGGAATTATATCCTATTCATCTTTGTATCCCATGTTTCTAGCACAGTAGTTGACAAGTGGTAGGCACTTGGATATTGTTTGAGTAGATGAGTGTGTGAACAAAAAGTTTAGTAACAGAAGCTTTTTATTTAAGTACAAGTTTCATGTAGAGACTCAATAATTAATCAGTGACTTTTGCTTTCTACAGATATTGGTATCAACTTGACTGACCCTATGTTCAGAGGAATTTATAGGGGGGTTCAAAAGCATCAAGGTAAATATTTCCTTTATTAAGGCGAATAGTTTCCTATGAAGACAAATTTTCTGCCTCAGGAGATCTTGAAAAGCATAATTCAAGCTGAGTCTTGTGGCTCACACCTGTAATCTCAGCACTTTGGGAGTCTGAGGCAGGAGGATTGCCTGAGCTCAGGAGTTCAAGAGCAGCCTGGGCAACATAATCCGCTCTTAAAATTGAAATAATAAAGAACTCCTGGCTGGGCGCAGTGGCTCATGCCTGTAATCCCAGCACTTTGGGAGGCTGAGGCAAGTGGATCACCTGAGGTCAGGAGTTCGAGACCAGCCTGGCCAACATGGTGAAACCCCATCTCTACTAAAAATACAATAAAATTAGCTGGGCATGGTGACATGCACCTGTAATCCCAGCTACTTGGGAGGCTAAGGCACGAGAATCACTTGAACCCAGGAGGTGGAAGTTGCAGTGAGCCGAGACCACACCATTGCACTCCAGCCTGGGCAACAAGAACGAAACTCCGTCTCAAAAAAAAAGAACTCATTATGCATTTTGGATAAACCTGTAAACAAAGTGAAACACATTTATTGATAAACCATGATCATGAACATTTATAATAAAGTTTAATTAAGGTCTTCTTACCTGTAGAAGTTTATAATTTCAAATATAAAACTTCAAATAGCCATTTGCACAGAAGCTAAAAAAAAAAGTCAAATTTTTGTCTGCCAGGTTTTCATAATACAGAGTTTATCTTTTACAGATGACTTACAGGATGTAATAGGGAGAGCTGTCGAGATTGGTGTTAAAAAGGTAACATCCATTTTGTTATTTTTGAGATTTTTAAAATTCATTTTTTAACTAAATTTTAGTTAAAATTTTGCAGAATAGAAAGGAACAAACCAATGCCACAGTTGGGGTACATATTGTCTACTTGTGATATTAGAAAGTTAATTGAAACAAAATATCAAAATACTCTGTTCATAGCAATTTAAGTTACACAAATCTCATGTATTGTTTTTATATATGATAAATGGCAAAAGCTCCTTGAAAAAAAATTTTTTAAACCTATGTGAATTACCAGGCTTAAGAGGCAACTTTTAATCAATTTTATAATATAATTTAGCATTTGTCAGAATTAAGCAATAATCAAAAATACATGTACCTGACACCAAGTGTAGCTATTTATAGTTTGGGCATACCATTTAAATAATGGAGTAAAACTTTCATTTTTACAGTAATAAAATGCCTACGGCTTTTTAGAGAGTTCTACTAAGCAAATGAATAGATATTTCTTTAAATTAGCTTTAAAACAGAGAGCTAGCCCACACATACACTAAGAAATAAGGTTAAATTCCATACTATGCTACCAGGACACTTGGTAGCTGCTACCTCCAAGATGAATAACTTGTTTTGGAAAGTGACACTGCTGACTAAATGAGTTTGCAGACTCCAACTCTAAACTTTTATTTGTTATTATTCACAAATAATATGAAAAGATAAAAGTTACATTAATTTCTCATTATAGTCACTCTGCTTGGTAAATCACTTTAAACAATGCTTTTCTGCAGACTCTGAAATACTAGGCTCCTAAATTTTCATGTGTTAGCCATGAGTAATCTTAATGTTTATTCACACACACACACTTAGGAATGACAGAACTGAAGTGATTTTTACTTGGACATGGTTCCAAACTGAAATTTAATTCAATACCTTGCATTTATAGTGTAGTAGTTAAAAGCATAGTTAGGGCATAACAAACGTGGTATCCAGCCCCTACTTCATTTTTCATAGCTTTATAACCTGGAGTCTTTTATCTCACTAGACTTCAGTTTTCTCATCTGTAAAATGAGAATGATAATAGTACTTAATTAATAGAGTTGTTATGAAGGCTAAATAAAATATTGAGTGTAAAGCATTTGGTATTATACCTGGCATAAACAACCTTCATTATGTGTATGATGGAAGCCACCACCATGAGATCATCATCATCGTTATCTTTTTTTTTTTTTTTTTTTTTTGAGACGGAGTCTCGCTCTGTCACCCAGACTGGAGTGCAGTGGCATGATCTCGGCTCACTGCAAGCTCTGCCTCCCGGGTTCACGCCATTCTCCTGCCTCAGCCTCCCGAGTAGCTGGGACTACAGGCGCCCGCCACCACACCCGGCTAATTTTTTTGTATTTTTAGTAGAGACGGGGTTTCACCACGTTGGCCAGGATGGTCTCGATCTCCTGACTTCGTGATCTGCCAGCCTTGGCTTCCCAAAGTGCTGGGATTACAGGCTTGAGCCACCGCGCCAGGCCCATCATCGTTATTTTATACACTGGGAGAGGAGATGATGCCCTCTTGTCTTGCCGTTTTTTTCAACTATTTAGTAAAGTTGTAGGTAAAATAAAAAGTATACTTGGTTAGTATTTTACGTAATTTAAATACTGGATGTAGGCATCTGTTCTAGTATTAAAGTTTTAGGTATGTTAGTAACAAGAAAGTTTTCCCAATATTTTTATTAGTCTTTTTTTTTTTTTCTGGAGGCGAGTCTCGCTCTGTCCCCCAGGCTGGAGTGCAGTGGCACGATCTCGGCTCACTGCAACCTCTGCCTCCCGGGTTCAAGTGATTCTCCTGCCTCAGCCTCCCAAGTAGCTGGGACTACAGGGGCCTGCCACCACGCCTGGCTAATTTTTGTATTTTCAGTAGAGACGGGGTTTCGCCATGTTGGCCAGGATGGTCTCAAACTCCTGACCACGGGTGATCCATCTGCCTCAGCCTCCCAAAGTGCTGGGATTATAGGCGTGAGCCACTGCGCCCTGCCTTACATCTTCTGCTTTACAGATAGTCAAGGATTTAATTATGGCTATGTTTCCGGAATGGATATGCAATAGCTAATCATATTAAAGATTTAAATAGCTATATGAAAATATCTATTTATCATTTGCAATTCTACCTTCGTTTTGTGTTTTCTCCCTAAGTTGTACCTAGAATGAATTCATTTTAGTGAGACTTTTGAAGTATGCTTTACAAAAATATACATCATTATACTTGAATCACGTCTTCAGAAGAAGGCGCCCCTTACGCAGCACTGCTTCAGTGCTCTCACTATCAACACATAACTCTTTAGTGACATTTTCATTTTAACAGATTAGGAAAGATGGCATTCTAATTACTGAGCGGACTCTAATGGGTCTATGCAGAAGTATGCTTATTTGCCAAAAGCCATACGTTTTCCTACAGAGAATTCATTAGCATGCATTAACTCACTGATTCTCAAACCTTTTGCTCTCAAAACCACTTCACATTCTTTATTATTGAGGACCCCCAAAGAGCTTTTGTTTGTGTGAGTCTTACCTACTGATACATACTATATTAAAAATTAAAACAAAATATTTTAAATATTCCTTTTAAAATAAGAAACTACTGGATAACATAAATAGCATATTTTTATGAAAAATAAGTATATTCCAGAACAAAAAAATTAGCAACATGAGTACAGTTGTATGTTTTTTCAAATCTCTAATGACTGTGTTACTAGAAGCCTGCTGAATTTTCATATCTTTTTCTGTAGTCAGTCTCTGGTGGTGTCAAACATCGTGTAGCTTCTTGAATACCTTGTGGACACTTGCAGTAGAGTGAGAGTGAAAAAGACAGAAAGTGTCTTATTATTGTTAGGAAAATAGTTTTGACTTCACATACCTACTGGGAGTTACCAGACTACACCTGGAGAACTGTTGAATCAATCAACACTATTGAATCATTGATTTCGTTATTCACGCTTTCATAACACCTGATCTCTGTCCTCAAGGAATGCATTGTCTAATAGGAAAGGTGGGTATATAAATACATTTTAACAGAGTCTAGTGATGAATTCTGCACCTCTACATGCACACACACATACATACATCCCTGAGGTGTAGTCAGGCACTACTCTGCATAGGAGGTAATCTCCCAGCTGAATTTTAAAGGGTAGGTGTGTGGCAGTCACAGAGGAAAGAGCATTCTGGAATAAGGAAGTGGTAGGAAGGCATGTTTAGGAAACTGTTATTGCTGCCCTATTAAAGTCAGCTTATTTTATTTTCTTTCTATTTCAGTTTATGATTACAGGTGGAAATCTACAAGACAGTAAAGATGCACTGCATTTGGCACAAACAAATGGTATCCTCATATTTCTTTTACCAAAAAAAAAATGAATTAAGTAATTTTGAAGAAGTCTTTCTGAAAACTGCTTCAGGTACAATACAATGGATCATGACTGGAAACAATAGGAAAATGGACTGATTTAAATGGGACATGATTAAGATGACAAAATTCAAAGTACTCATTGGTATATCAGATGTTTATAAAACTGTTTCATACTGCTCAATGAAGATTATTTTAAGATTTCAGCTAATGAGAATAAAGTTCTCCAGGTACACAGTTTAACCTCAGGTGTGTTTTTTTTTTTTTTTTGAGACGGAGTCTCACTCTGTTACCCAGGCTGAAGTGCAGTGGTGCGATCTCGGCTCACTGCAAACTCCACCTCCCAGGTTCACACCATTCTCCTGCCTCAGCCTCCCGGGTAGCTGGGACTACAGGCGCCCGCCACCACGCCAGGCTAATTTTTTGTATTTTTAGTAGAGACGGGGTTTCACCATGTTAGCCAGGATGGTCTCGATCTCCTGACCTCGTGATCCACCCGCCTCAGCCTCCCAAAGTGCTGGGATTACAGGCGTGAGCCACTGCACCCGGCCTTTTTTTTTTTTTTTTTTTTTTTTTTTTTTTGAGATAGAGTCTCACTCTGTCGCCCAGGCTAGAGTGCAGTGGCGCAATCTCGGCTCACTGCGCGCGCCACCTCCCTGGTTCATGCCATTCTCCTGCCTCAGCCTCCCATGTAGCTGGGACTACAGGTGCCTGCCACCATGCCCAGCTAATTTTTTGTATTTTTAGTAGAGAAGGGGTTTCACTGTGTTAGCCAAGATGGGTCTTGATCTCCTGACCTCGTGATCCGCCTGCCTCGGCCTCCCAAAGCGCTGGGATTACAGGCGTGAGCCACCGTGCCCAGCCAACCTCAGGTGTTTTTGATGTGGAATTCATGTGTGTGTTTTAACGTGTTTAAGATACGAGTTGCTTTTTATTTACTCTTTTTTAACTTAAGCTGTGAAGGGCCATTTTATTAAATTTTTACTAGATGGACCAGATACTGTGCAAGGTACCAGGAATGCAAATAATAACACTATATAATCTCTCATATCCTTGCTTTATGTTCATACATTTTGCATTTGTTTAAAATCTTAAAAGTTTTAAGACTGATTATTAAAGGAATCCTAGTTAGGTAAAACCTCATTTATCTGGCATTCACGAATTTCACTTTTTTTTGCATTATCTTACGTGCTAGACACTGAGGAATTAAACATTCCACATAATTTTTAAATTTTGTATTTTAAAATACTGATGTGTTTCCTTTATGTATGAAAACTTACTAAAAGCTATATTTTTATGGAAATCTCTCTAAAATCCACACTTGTCTTTTAGGATCCATTCACACTTTTTCTTTTTTTTTTTTTTTTTGAGACAGTCTTGTTCTATCACCCAGGCTGGAGTGCAATGGCACGATCTCGGCTCACGGCAACCTCTGCCTCCTGGGTACAAGTGATTCTCCTGCCTCAGCCTCCTGAGTAGCTGGGATTACAGGCGTGTGCCACCACACCCAGCTAATTTTTGTATCTTTAGTAGAGACGGGGTTTCACCATGTTGGTCAGGCTGGTCTTGAACTCCTGACCTCGTGATCTGCCCGGCTTGCCCTCCCAAAGTGCTGGGATTACAGGCGTAAGCCACCTCACCCACCCCATTGACACTTTTTGTTAGTGATTAAAGATAGACTATCTTCCAGGGAGTTTTTGAAATATATAAGAACATTTTATCCTTACTTTTCATCCCCAAACAGCTATGCTTTTTAAAGTTCTCCCACCTCCATTACCAGCCCTCTTCCACTCCTCTCCATGTAACTTCTGTTCTTACAGCTTTAAAAGTGCTGCTTCCTTTTTTTCTAAACATCTACATGAGAGCCTGAGGAAAGCTTGATACCTTTCCCATGGTTCGGGCTCAGCTAAGCCATTCAAAAAGTGTTTTTGACTTCTCATTTGTATTCTATGCAAGTCAAGCTGTCAGAGTCTCCTCCGAATAAGTGAACCTCATTTACTTGCTAGAAAAACAAATCCCCCTTTCCACCACTTTAAATCGCCCCCACTATTAACCTGTTTAAGGGAATACATTTTTATTGCTATATTAAATACATGAATCAATAATGGAGGAATAGGTGTTAAACAAACAAAAATATACCAATCAAGATAGTCACATGAATGGTGAATATAAAAGATAAAATCAGTGCTGGTCATGGTGGCTCAGGCCTGTAATCCCAGCACTTTGGGAGGCCAGGCAGGTGGATCGCTTGAGCTCAGGAGTTCGAGACCAGCCTGGGCAACGTAGCGAAACCCTGTCTCTACCAAAAAAAAAAAAATTAAAAATTAGCCAGGTGTGGTGGCATGCGTATGTAGCCCCAGTTACGTGGGAGGCTGAGGTGGGAGGATCGCTTGAGCCCAGGAGGTCAAGGCTGCAGTAAGCTGTGATAGCACCACTGCACTCCAGCCTGGGTGACACAGTGGCACCCTGTCTCAAAAAAAAAAAAAAATTTCACTTTGCATTCTACAGCCCTAAATGCCAAGCTTTAGAAAAAGTTGAATTATTTTATTAATACATTAAAGCAATTTTCATATTCATCTCCTACTTTGTTTAGGTATTCTAAAAATTGTCATATGATTAACATAATGCAGTTCTTATAATTTGAGTAATTTATTGCCATTGTTGAAAACCAGTTGAAATTACTTGATATCCTCTAAATATCATAATAAATATAAATATGAGAAAATACTTTGAAAATAATCCTAAGACATTATTTTCTGTTAGGTATGTTTTTCAGTACAGTTGGATGTCATCCTACAAGATGTGGTGAATTTGAAAAGAATAACCCTGATCTTTACTTAAAGGAGTTGCTAAATCTTGCTGAAAACAATAAAGGGAAAGTTGTGGCAATAGGAGAATGCGGACTTGGTGAGTGCCAGCCTCGCCTCTTAGAGTGACATTGTTTGAAAATAAGTAATTTGTTCTGTATAAGTTAGGAGTAATTATTCTTCTTTATCTTTTTAAAGATTTTGACCGACTGCAGTTTTGTCCCAAAGATACTCAACTCAAGTAAGGAAATTTGTTGGCTTTACAAATTATTGTAAAATCATGAGTGATTTTTAAAATATCTTGTATCAGGTGAGAGTATAGTTGGATTAAGCATGAGGATATTTTTGTTTTTCCCTTTGTATATCAAAAGTAAGTGAAACAAATTCCATGCATACTTGCATGTAATTCATAAGGGATGGAAGCACATAGTTCCCTGGTTGATTAACCATTTAATTTTATTGTAATGGTAGAAATTAGGGATGAGTTTTACATGATAGAGATTTTACATTTTCTGTTTGCTTGTTTAACAGACGCATTCATACGTGAACAGTTCCAATGGAATGAATTAAATTATTTTGGGGAATGTGATTGTTTTGTTTTGTTTTTTGAGACAGAGTCTCTCTGTCGCCCAGGCTGGAGTGCAGAGGCGTGATCTCAGCTCACCGCAACCTCCACCTCCTGGGTTCAAATGAGTCTCCTGCCTCAGCCTCCCGAGTAGCTGGGATTACAGGCATGTGCCACCATGCCCGGCTAATTTTTATGTTTTTAGTAAAAATTGGGTTTCACCATATTGGTCAAGCTGGTCTCAAACTCCTGACCTCAAATGATCCACCCGCCTCGGCCTCCCAAATTGGGAGATATAATTTAAGAGCAAAGGATATTAAAAGTGTATTACAAGCCAGGCACAGCAGCCTGCGTCTGTAGTCGCAGCTGTTTGAGAGGCAGAGGCAGGAGAATTGCTTGAGCTCAAGAGTTCCAGACCAGCCTGAGCAACATAAGGAGACTCCGTCTCTAAAAAAAACCAGCAAGAAAAAACCCACAAAAGTATTATAGGATCAATCACCAAAGCTAGAAAAGCTTATTTTACTCTTGCTGGGCATTGAATATTGCTAGTTTGGAACTGTGAGATTCCTTTAATAGGAGCCATGTTGAATGGTGGCTTCTGAGAAAACTCCAAAGCTCACGACCCTGCAGGACTTCCTGTAACCCATTGCCTGGAGCTAAATTTGGAGCTCCTGTCATCATACTGGTGGGTGAGTGTTATAGATTGAAAAGAAAATTTAGGTCACAGTCTGAATTTAAAACGTAAGCATTTTGTTGAATTTCAAAAACATCTTAATTATGAAAATGATAAAACATTAGACTGAGCTTCTAAAGGGGGTTAATTTATTCATCCATTGAACAAATATTTATGGAGTACTGTGTGCCAGCCACTGCTGAGAGCTCATAGTATGCAGAAATATGAATAAGGTAGAATATCTGTCCCTAGAGACCTTTAAGAATAAACAATCCTCTGTCCTCCTTAGTTTCTTATACACAAAGAAGAATTAGGATCAGATTCTCTCTTAAGATACCATCCAGCTATATCATAATGTTTAACAATTAATAATTTTGTCATATGGTGATATGATCATATGATTAAGCCAGTGACTTGATGGCCTGAAGGGATTTTTTTAAATTACGCATGAGGAAAGTGTACTTCCTCCCGCTTCCCTCCCTGCTCCCCACAAATGGGATTCTGATATGTACCCCCTGGTTGAAAATCACTTTGGGGAGGAGCAGATCTGCTAGTGGAGTCTGTCATACCCTAGACCTCAAGCTCCAAAGTTCTGAAGTGTGAAGATCTATAACCAAGTAGAATAGGATGGGTTAACGTAATGCTCTGTGGATACCTACTCTCTCTTTTAGGTCGCTCATTTGTACATCCCTTGTAGAACTGTTTAGTTTGTGGTATATTATTTGCTGATTTGCTGTGCCTTTCAGGGACATTCATGTGGTTACTAGCAGGGTTACTGAAGCCCTATACCTCTGTCGAATATTATGTAGGCCAGCTCACTTAACCTTAAAAGTTCTCGTGTTCACATTGAAATAGAAAAACAGTTCTCTTTAATAGTTCTTTAGGTTAAGCCCAGATATCATATTCCTCAACTTTCATGTCTGGTTTTGGTCAGGATAAGCCTTGTAAGTCTAATAGACTGTGTTATGACAAGCAAGGGCAATGGCAGAGTCCCCGTGTTTTTTTGCCCATATGACTTTTCATCCAAAATGAGTTAGAACTGATTCTAAAATGCAACCTCAATACTTTAAACTCACTTTTGGGATTAATCGAAAACATTGACAGTATCAGTTTAATTTAACTGTTCTGAAGATTCTTCACCATCATCAGAATAGCGTCTGATCTTAGAATATGCATATCACAGCTTGTGCTTGAACTCACATGCCAAGCGTTAATTGCTAATAGAGAGGTTCAAACTACATTCAGTAAATGATTACCAAGTGCCTCCTCAGCATGATACAAAGAAGAATAAGACTTTTTCCAAGAGAGGACATAAATAATTAAAATAGGTTGGAAGTGCTTACTAAAGTATGTGAACAGCAGAGGGAAGGACTGACTTTCTGGGGGATGCTCTAAGGTGACAGCATATGACACTGGCTTCTTCCAGAGTGGATAAGCTAATGACAAAGTAGGAGGAAATTTTGATAAGATAGGCAGTTCTACTTGAGATTTTTAAAATTTTAATAATAAAACATCAAATGACTTGGTTAAAAAAACAGCCGGGTGCGGTGGTTCATGCCTATAATTCCAGCACTTTGGGAGGCCAAGGCAGGCCGATCACCTGAGATCAGGAGTTCAAGACCAGCCTTACCAACATGGTGAAACCCCGTCTCTACTAAAAACAAAAACTAGCCAGGCGTGGTGGCGAGCACCTGTAATCCCAGCTACTTGGGAGGCTGAGGCAGGAGAATTGCTTGAACTGGGGAGGAGGAGGTTGCAGTGAGCCAAGATCGTGACATTGGACTCCAGCCCGGGCAACAGAGAAAGATTCCGCTCAAAAGAAAAAAAAAAGACACACTAGTAACAATCACATTTTGATTATTGTTAAGGAAACAAATACCCACATTCTCTGCCCCTCACTCCTTTTCCCCTCGCATATACTCACAGCATGCAATCTGTTTTGTATACACAGCACTCTACTTGTTTCAGCACTTACCATGTTGTACAGAAATGGGTTTTCATTATCCCTTCCTCCCCGCAACAGACAGGTGTCTTTGAGTTCCTCAAAGGCACACACCAAGTCTTACTCATGTGACAGTTCCATAGCACTTAGCACAGTACTCTCAGCACATGGTAGGCACTTAGTAAATGTCTGTTGAATATTTAATACAGAGGGAAGGTTCTTTTCTTTTTTATTCCCTTTGAGCAGCATGGATAAAAAGCCTATAATTCAGCTTTCACTATTGGGTTTATTTTTGGAAGACTTCAGATTTTGGTCTGCACTTTTCTACCATCTGGAACAACCAGTGTATGATTGTGTTTGTTTGTTTGTTTGTTTGTTTTTTGAGATGGAGTCTCACTCTGTCCCCCAGGCTGGAGTGCAGTGGTGCAATCTCAGATCACTGCAACCTCCACCTCCCAGGTTCAAGCAATTCTCCTGCCTCAGCCTCCCAAGTAGCTGGGATTACAGGTGCCCATCAGCATGCCTGGCTAATTTTTTTGTATTTTTAGTAGAGACAGAGTTTCACCATGTTGGCCAGGCTGGTTTCGAACTCCAGACCTCAAGTGATCCGCCCACCACGGCCTCCCAAAGTGCTAGGGTTACAGGCATGAGCCACTGCACCCGGCCATGATTTGTTTTTAAGTAAATATGTAGTCAGGAAAAAGGAGATGTATGAGAAAAGAAAAATAGAAAATTAGGGGGCAAGACAGAAAAATTAATATACAATAGATGTAGTGTCTGAAAAATAATGGTAAGTGAAGGCGGTGTATGACCATGTTAAAAGGATGAGCTTTGGAATCAGCAGATCTTTGGGTGAGATTTACAACTGCCTTTGGTGTCACTTCATCCCTTTGTGCATCCCCTTTAAAATGGGGAGATTGCTGCCTACCTTTCTTAACATAAGGCACATAAAGCCCATAGTGACATGAGTCATGCAGAGTATGTGCACAATCATGGCTGTTGTTACATTCCTCATACTAGAAATAATTACCACCCTAAAGGAAGATGCTAGCTATTGTTTTTGTTTGGAACTTTTAAAAGTTTTTTTTTTTAATACTTTTTTCTTGTTTTAGTACCTAGACCTTTTCTGGAAAAAGTATTTTTTAAAGACTAAGAAAGAGAAGCAAAGAGTGAAAACAAGGAAAGGCCTGATCTACTTATGGAAAGTTTATCCTTTAAGCCATACCCTGTATTTTCAATTTCCTGGCCTTATGCTACACTCCTTTCCTTGTTGCAATTTAGAGCTCTGTTCTCTTGGGTAGGAGGAATTTGCTTTGGGCATTTTTCTTGGGGCTTTAAAATGTTAACACTGTGCAGGTCTTAAAAACTACAACAAGAAGATTTTAAAACAATCCTTTGGGGATTTAGGGGACCCTAGAGATGAGCAATTGAGGCCATGTTGCCATCAAGCAGCTTACAGAGGAGGGATTACTACTTGTGTTGAGGTATACCCATGAAACTCACTGGGCTTTTTGGATTTGCCTTGATCCTAATTAATAACAACTGCTCCTGAAGCTGAACTTTTCCAGCTCTTGTCGTTAGATAGTTAAACCTCAACTGTAAGAAGCAGTAATAAAATCAGAAGCTTCACTAAGATGAGCAAATAACTCAAGTGGAAAATTATTTTCATTTATGAACTTTAAAAAAATAATAAGTGAGTAAAACAGGCAGAGAAGTCTCTTAATAGATGCCAATTCCTACCCTGTAACTTATACAGTTATTTCTAGTTACCATGGCGGGTTTTTCTTCTCTAAAGATAATAGTCGTTTGATGTTCAGTACTAGTTATCCTCAATTTGTATCATTAGGAATAATTTTTTTTACCACATGGCTTCTTTATGATACGTAGCTAGCATGACTTCAGGGACCTTTCTTTTCTTGAATTATGTAAAATTCTGTGGGCCCATTGCTTGGGCTTCTGTTATTTTCTTTTTCTTTTTTCTTTGAGACAGGGTCTCACTCTGTCATCCAAGCTGGAGTGCAGTGGTGTGATCATGGCTCACCGCAGCCTTGACCTCGCCAGGCTCAAGCAATCCTCCCACCTCAGCCTCCCAAGAACTGAGACTGTAGGCATATGCTACCACACCTGGCTAATTCTTGTATTTTTTGTAGAGATGGGGTTTCACCATGTTGCCCAGGTTGGTCTCGAACTCCTGAGCTCAAGCAATCCACCCACCTCAGCCTCCCAAAGTGCTGGGATTACAGGCCTGAACCACACACCCAGCTGGCCTCTGTTATTTTCATAAACTGTACTTTTGCCTACATTCCTATAGGAAGCTAATTTTCCATCCGACCATTAGATACTGTGAATTTGTAGCTTGGTCATGTGGTTTGGTCCATGGAATTGTGTGTGGAAAAAATAACCAGTACAGCGTGGAGCAGTGCACACAATGAAGAGTACCGCCTGCTGTGTGTAGTCAGAGCCAAATATATTAGTAAAGTTGACATAATGACTAGTGCACACTTAACTGCTGACATTTGGTTTACTTTAGAGGTTATGGAAATAGTGACTGGTTATATTATCAAAATCTCTTTTTGTCCAAGTTGTCGTTAATATTTCCTACACTGCAAAATTTCAGCACTTTGTTAATGAAAGGAAAATATTTTTGCTTATTCTAACCCAGCAGAATCTGAAAAGGAGATTTTAAAACCCAAACATTTGGTAATACAGACATAGACGACCTATTTTAGGAAGACTATTTCTATTTTTTTAATTTTTAATTTTTTTTTTTTTTTTTGAGACAGAATGTTGCTCTCTCACCCAGGCTGGAGTGCAGTGGTACAATCTCAGCTCACTGCAACCTCTGACCCTGGGTTCAAGAGATTCTCATGCCTGCCGAATAGCTGGGATTACAGGCATGTGCCAACATGCCGGCTAATTTTTGTATATTTAGTAGAGACGAGGTTTCACCATGCTGGCCAGGCTGGTCTTGAACTCCTGCCCTTGAGTGATCCACCCGCCTTGGCCTCCCAAAGTGCTGGCATTACAGGTGTGAGCCACCACGCCCGGCCTGAAGACTGCTTCTTAAGAAGTACATTTCTATTTCTAATTTTAAAATTTAGCATTTTCAAGAGAGCAAAGGGGGTAAAATAGTCCTGCACATCAGGAAATATGATATAGAAAAATATAGCAAGAGAGGCTTAAGTTAAACAGAGAAATTGTTTCCCCAAATTAAAGTGCTTAGAAGAGGTAAGCACATTTAAGAAAATAATAAGCCACCTGTTATCCTGATTCAGTTGAACCTACCATTTGTGAGAACAAGGGGGAGCACTGTGTTGAAGTGAAAAGACAAACAGAATGAACATTCGTTGTATCCTCTGAATATTGTCATTATACTCCGGGACCAGAAGGAAGCTTCTTGAAAACGTAACAGGTTTTTGTCGTTTAGGCTGGGACTTGGAATTAGAGCAGTGAAGTTCTGTTCCAAGTTGGCCATGCCAGGTATTGTTATCTTGGACAAAGTACTACACCTCTCTGACACCAGCTTTTATACTCAGGTTATTTTGAGGATCAAATGAGACAATGGTATCTGGTACTTGGAAAAACCTTCTTATCAAGTACTCTTTAAGATATTCAGGGCTACCACTTTATCATGTAATTTTCTTTTTTTAATAGCATAATTGAGTTATTTGCTGTTTAGCAAATACTTAGATTTCATTTTTGAGGGAAACCTTGTTCATTTTGCCCAGTGGCAATAACTTCTTTTATAACAGCACATAAAAAACTGGTTGCAAAATGGAATAGATTAGCATGCAGTATGAAGCTCTCCTGGGCTTCTCGCTTGGTGAGTTGACTCCCACTGATGGTGCTCCCAGTGGCAAGGGGCCAGTGGTGTTACTTTCTGAAAATTAAAGGGCCCAGATAATTTTGTAAGCCCAGAAAATGAAGTATTTCTTTCCAGAAGTTGTAAGTTATAAAAGCCCTTTGATAAGCCTGATGTGCTTTAAATATTCATGATTTTTGTCCTGTAATTTCTAGAGAATTAAATACCTTTAATTTAAAAGCTCTTTTGACATCATTACCTTCCTCATGCTAAAATACAATTTGTAATGAGAATTTTTTTTTTTTGCATTATGCAGATATTTTGAAAAACAGTTTGAACTGTCAGAACAAACAAAATTACCAATGTTTCTTCATTGTCGAAACTCACATGCTGAATTTTTGGGTGAGTTAAAACCAAAGTCTCATTCAGAACTTAAGAATTTTGTAGAAATCAAGCTATTTGCTAAAAGTTCTTTGTTTTTAATTCACAGACATAATGAAAAGAAATAGAGATCGGTGTGTAGGGGGAGTGGTAAGTATAAAATAGTCATTTTTAATACAGGTTGAACATCTCTAATCCAAAAATCCAAAATACTCCCAAGTACAAAATGCTCCAAAATCTGAACCTTTTTAAGCACTGGCATGAGATAATGACACCTTTGCTTTCTGATTATTCATTGTACACAAATTTTGTTTCACGCACAAAATTATTTAAAATATTTACCTTCAGGGTGTGGTATAAGGTGTATGTGAAACATAAATGAATTTCATGTTTAGACTTGAGTCCCTTCCCAAAGATTTCTTTTTATGTATATGCAGATATTCCAAAATCTGAAAAAATCTGAAATATGAAACACTTTTGGTCCCACACACTTGGGATAAGGGATACTTAACATTTATGTGACACACAAAGCATCTTGGTTATTAAGGATGGCCCCTAATTCAGATGTCAACATTTAAATTTTTTTTAAAAAGGAATAACAAAGAAAAACATAGGAATTAGATAGAATTCAATAGAATTAGGAGCTTCTTTTCCCATCCTTTGAAAGACATGTAAATTTACTGTTGAATTTATGGACCAGGTGTGGCATAAACACAAATCAGTTTTAATTACAGTTCCTTTGTTCAAAGTACAAGAATGCGTACAGAATTCCATTCACAAGAAAACCCTGTGAAATTTTTTTTGTTTTTTGTGTGTGTTTTTTGTTTTTTTTTTTTTTTGGTTATTAAGAAAGGGTCTGGCTCTGTCATCCAGGCTGAAGTGCAGTGGCACAATCTCAGCTCACTGCAACCTCTGCTTCCCCGGGATCAAGCCATCCTCAGCCTCCCAAGTAGCTGGGACTACAGGCATGTGCCACCATGGCCAGCTAATTTTTTTGTATATTTTGTAGAGATGAAGTTTTACTATGTTGCCTAGGCTGATCTCGAACTCCTAAACTCAAGCAATCTGCCCACCCTGGCTTCCCAAAGTGTTGGGATTACAGGTGTGAGCCACTGTGCCTGGCCCTTGAATTCTACACATCCTAATGCTGTGCATGATATTCTTCGTCTCTTCTGTCAGCTGTTCTTTAATGTTCTTCCATCCAAATTTTGAGCAAATATAAACTAATTTTTATGTTTTGAAATATTTTACCATTTGTTTTAGGTTTGCCTTTCTCATTTCTTGTCCGCTGTATTCACCTACTATTCTGATCTAGAGAGTCATTCTCCTTTCTGTAATTTGCATTCTGCACTAAACACTTCTCTGATATAGCCATTTTAGTCATTATTCTGGAGACATTTCCCATAAATACTATCTGCTAACCACATACCTCCGATATCTATGGCAGTGATTTTTTTTTTTTTGAGATGGAGTCTCGCTCTGTCACCAGGCTGGAGTGGAGTGGCACAATCTCAGCTCACTGCAACCTCCGTCACCTGGGTTCAAGCAATTCTCCTGCCTCAGCCTCCCAAGTACCTGGGACTACAGGTGCACACCACCACGTCCAGCTAATTTTTGTATTTTTAGTAGAGACGGGGTTTCACCATGTTGGCCAGGATGGTCTCGATCTCTTGACCTCATGATCCTCCCCCCATCAGCCTCCCAAAGTGCTAGGATTACAGGCATGAGCCACCTTGCCCAGCCATGATTTTTAGTCTCTTCGATCATGGACTCCTTTGGAAACCTGCCTTAGAAAAATGCTCAGATATACATATATTCATATGCAATTTCAGGAGAGTGACTCAGTGAGTGACTGTGTCTAGCAAAAGAACTGTAATCCAGGTAGATTAAATCACAGTTACACTATGCCTGCTAAGGAAAGAGGAAATAGCACCAAGCACTTGCATTCCCATGCGGCCTGACGTTGACAGTTTTATGCGTATTCTCTAAGTTCAACCTCTGCCTCATCTATACTACTAGTAATATGTATGCATCCTGCATTGCTGTAATGTTAATATTACTGTGCACTTTTTTCCTGTTTGTACTAACTCTGTAATTTTTTCCTGTTTTTACTTACTCTGTAATTTATCCTGTAGGAACTGTACTTAAGAATTGAGAGGGGTTTTAGTTTTAACTAATGCCGTTGGGATTATTAGTGGTATTTATCCTAACCTTCAGACTCTACCTCTCAGCCCATTTGCTTTATTTCTTTTCTTTTTTTCTTTTTCTTTTTTTTTTTTTTTTTTTTTTGAGACAGAGCCTTGCTCTGTCACCCAGGCTGGAGTGCAATAGCACGATCTTGGCTCACCACAACTTCTGTCTTCCAAGTTCAAGCAATTCTTTTGCCTCAGCCTCCCGAGTAGCTGGGGCTACAGGCACGCACCACCACGCCTGGCTAATTTTTGTATTTTCAGTAGAGACAGGGTTTCATCATGTTGGCCAGGTGGGTCTTGAACTCCTGACCTCAAGCGATCCACCTGCCTCGGCCTCCCAAAGTGCTGGGATTACAGATGGGAGCCACTGTGCCCAGCCTATTTCTAAATAAGAATTTACTTGGGTTCTATTAATAGTTTTTAAAATTAACAAAAGCAACAACAAATCCAACCTAAATGTTTGACTTTTACCAAAAAAGAAATTGCCAAATAATTAATAACTAGTTTTCTGAAATGGTTTATGAGGAGTCACTTTTAAAATGATTTCGATATTAATGGAGGGCATCTTTTCTAGTCAGCTGGAAATGGTGAAGGAAAGAATAATGCAGGCAGCTGTGTAATGCAGGCTTCTTTATTGTTGAGAAATATGTTATCCATAGTGTATTCAGGCTCTCTGGACTCAGTAGTAATGTGATGTCACTTGTTTAGGTGAACCTACTTTTTAAAGGAGGGCTGTTGTTATATGTTGTTTTTGATTATATAAATACATCCAAACTATGAAAACTATGTCTTGACCCCTATATCTTTGAAGGAGAGAAATAGCATCTCAATCCCTTCTGCTTGCTAAGCTGATATTATTGATTATATAATGGTTTATGCTTTTTTTTTTTTTTTTGAGACAGTTTCGCTGATCTCCTGACCTTGTGATCTGCCTACCTCGGCCTCCCAAATTGCTGAGATTACAGTTTATGCTTTTTAAGCAACAGTCTCACCCATTTATAAGAATTTCTTCAGCCTTGTCTCTTTTTTTGTTTTGTTTTTGTTTTTGAGACAGAGTTTTACTCTTGTTGCCCAGGCTGGAGTGTAATGATGTGATCTCAGCTCAACGCAACCTCCGCCTTCCAGGTTCAAGCAATTCTCCTGCCTCAGCCTCCCGAGTAGTTGGGATTACAAGCATGCGCCACCATGCCCAGCTAATTTTGTGTTTTTAGTAGAGATGGGTTTTCTCCACATTGGTCAGGCTGGTCTCGAACTCCCAACCTCAGGTGATCCACCAGCCTCAGCCTCCCAAAGTGCTGGGGTTACAGGCGTGAGCCATTGCGCCTGGCCCAGCCTTGCCTCTTAAAAGTAATTTCTCTTCCACAAAAAAGTATCCTCGGCCAGGCGCGGTGGCTCACCTCTGTAATCCCAGCATTTTGGGAGGCCGAGGCGGGCGAATCACCTGAGGTCGGGAGTTCAAGACCAGCCTGACCAACATGGAGAAACCCCATCTCTACTAAAAAAAAAAAAAATACAAAATTAGCCAGGCGTGGTGGCGCATGCTTGTAATCCCAGCTACTCAGGAGGCTGAGGCAGGAGAATCTCTTGAAGCAGGGAGGTGGAGGTTGCAGTGAGCCAAGATCGCGCCATTGCACCCCAGCCTGGGCAACAAGAGCAAAACTCCATCTCAAAAAAAAAAAAAAAAGTATCCTCTAACAGAAAATTCATCAGTATTTTAAAAATTCTTTTAAATAGTGCCATAAAATTACTAAGCTTTCCTCATGTTTTTGCCTAAGAATATATCTATTCCTAAACCCCTTCCTGGAGCTTCTGCACTAATGCTAGTGCAGAGACAGCAACACTGCCACTCTAAAGAGAGAAATTCTCGGCAGCTAACGTTTTGCATCATGTCACTGGAGATGATGACAGGTTGTAATTGTGAAAAATAATATGAAAATAAAAATTATAGCGACTACCACCTTTGAAACCCTGAGGTCCAAAAACTTACAGGGATCTATATTTTTGCCTACAAAGTCTTATTAATGTCACTTAGAATTTTAAAGAGTAATTATTATAATAATAAACTTATACCTGTATGTCCCCAGGTGCATTCATTTGATGGTACCAAGGAAGCAGCAGCTGCTTTGATTGACTTGGATCTTTATATAGGATTTAATGGTTGGTACGTTCTTAGGTTGCTTTGGTTTTTAACTTTTATTTAAGCAGATTTCTTAAATTGTCTTACAGTGAATTGCTGATGAAGATTTATTTTCATTAAAGTTTGTGTGTGTTTGCATTGATCTTTGCTGGGAATTTCAGTAATTATTTATTAAGAAATTAAACAGTACATTACTATTAAAAGTTAAAGCTCGAAAGTTATAGACTACTACATTATGTTCTAATAATGGAAAACAATTTTGTGTTGAGATCTGCAGCTGGCTTTCTCTGGTAATCCAATTTATTCTCAGGTCATTTGATCCCTTGAAAACATGTGTTCACAGCATTATGTATACATATACACGTCATATCTGACTATGGACGAACGGTTTATTCTGTGACAGTCATACATCTCTGCAGTCAAAGAAACCGAGGCTCAAAGAAATTAGGAAACAGGTATAGAGTTTCTCCAAGTATGAGAACCCATGTCCTCTGGCTTCTCACTCTGTGATCTTTCTGCTGTTGTACCACACTAAACTTCACACACTCAGTACAGTCAGCTAGCACAGCTAGGTCTCTGGGTTGGTTTTGTCACATATGTAAGAGCTTCTACCAGTGACTTTTCACAGGATGTCAGTGTAGCCTATTAAATCAGTTGCAAAATAGTATAGGAGTTTCTGTCCTTCTTCATTGTCTCATACCCTTAAAATTATTATGTTTCCAATTGCATTATTTTTGACTAAAATCTAGGGAAATAGAATCATGGAATTATGTATTTGCTCTAGAGTTCAGAGTTTAAATGTCTAAGATGCTTTCATATTTAAATTAATGGTTTAATTAACTTTAAAATTAATTAATATGCAAGGGAATATATGCATAGAGATTAAAAAGTCAAGTAGTACTAACAGATATGAACAAATATCAGAGTCCCCCCAGCATGACCTTACCCCAAGTCAGCTTTTGTAGCAGCAATAATTTTGCTATTTGTCACCATATTTCTAAATAATATCCATATACTATTGTCTCTTGATTCATCCCCTTTGTCTATTCTCATTGGGGTATATGAGCACATTAGTTCTTATATCCCGTACTAATCCCCTACCTCCATTCTCTGCATATCACTCTCAATGTCGTTATTTCAGAATTTTTGGTTATATGCATACTCAATGTTTTCATTATTATGTCTATATAAATGTTGTTTCCTTATTATGCCTATATAAATATATAATTTCACAGTGCTATGCCAAGTATGAGAGGGTTTCAAGTTTTTTGTTTTTTGGTTTCTTTTTAAAGATAGGGACTTGCTTGCTCTGTAGCCCAAGCTGGAATGCAGTGGCGTGATCACAACTCTGCAGCCTTGACCTCCCAGGCTCAAGCAACCCTCCCACCTCAGCCTCCTGAGTAGCTGGTATTACTGGTGCATGCCACCACACCTGGCTATTTTTTAAATTTTTAGTTGAGACAGGGTCTTGCTATGTGCCCAGGCTGGGCTTCAAGTTTAAGAAAGCCAAGTAAATAAAAATATGAGGGAGGTTAATCCAGGAAAACAAAAAGTAGTACAAGAAAAGAAATGTTAAGCACAGTATACCACATGAGCAAACCTATGTAGATAATCTAATAGTTCCGTCAGTTGCAGACCCTTCCATGTGTTTCAATTTGGACTAGTTCCTATTTTTAGATCCCATGTATTCCTTGCGTGTTTGTTTTAGTGGAACACATTCTATAACATCCTCTGAGGATGTTTTCATGGGAATTAAGTTTCTTTTAAATACAAGCCAGTATTTCTATTTAATAAGGTTTCCCATTTAGTGATGAGCAACTACACGATTCTGAAGTCAAGTTTGAAATACATCTTCCCATTTTGAAAATGAATTTTTTTTCTGCTCTTCCTCTTACAAGTTAGCCTGGATAGTTAATGAAAGGGGAGAGAACCCCACTTTTTTTTTTTTTTTTTTGAGAGGGACTCTCACTCAGTCGCCCAGGCTGGAGTGCAGTGGCGCGATCTTGGCTCACTGCAGGCTCCGCCTCCCGGGTTCACGCCATTCTCCTGCCTCAGCTTCCCGAGTAGCTGGGATTACAGGTGCCCGCCACTACACCTGGCTATTTTTTTTGTTTTTGTATTTTTAGTAGAGACAGGGATTCACTGTGTTAGCCGGGATGGTCTCGACCTCCTGACCTCGTGATCTGCCCGTCTCGGCCTCCCAAAGTGCTGGGATTACAGGTGTGAGCCACCACACCCAGCCCCCCACTTTCAATGGATAGTTCTCTTGAATAAAATTCAAGATCAGAAATCATTTTCATTGAGAATTTATACTGTCCCATCAGTAGGTTCCAGTGTTGATGAAAAGTTGCTACTCTGATTCCTAATCCTTTACCTGTGACCTAGTTTTCTTCTCTTGTGAAAGGTTTTAGTTTTTCATCTCTGATGTGAAATTTCACGAAGGTGTGTGTTGATGGTTTTCATCACGCCTGGTGTTGCTTTTTCATTAGCCCTTCCAGTGGGGGGCACATCTTTACCCGTCCTTGGAATTTGATTTTTCTCTTCTGTTCTTTTCTTGGGCATACTAGACTGATAACTCGTATTCTTTTTATTCTATTTCCATTGTTTCCCTCCTTCCAAAAAAAGTGCTATATTTTGTAACCCTTTTTATGAAATTTACTTCAACTTTTGTTTTCAATTTCTGAATACTCTATTTTTATACTGCAGTGTCTTCTCATCTCTCTAAAGACATGAATTATAGTTTAAAGTTACTTTCTGCTTGTCTTCCTGCATTTGTTTCCTCACAGTCACCTTTTCTTCTTTCCTTTGGTCTCTGTGATGATGGAAACTTTCTTCAAATGTCAGGCAGTCCTTCACTGTCTATTTAAAAAAAGAAAAAAAAAAGCCATTTGGAAGCTCTCTAGAAGGCATTCCAGCAACTGGCAGGCTCAGATGGCCAACTGACTTTTTGCTAGGGATTCCCAAATGTCAGTTTGTAGAGATCTTTTTCTGGGTTGGTTCAGTTTCTCCAGAAAGGGATCCTGTGTTCTCTGCTGGAAAAGTGGGGAACAGTGGAGGGAAGGGGTTTGTAAATGTCCCTGACAGTATTTTGGAGCAGGATGGGTTAGAGGATCTCACTGTTTAGTGGGCTGCCCCAGTCTCCATGCTCAGGCCTGTGCCTGACGCCTGTACTCCTCTGTGCTTGTTGTTCTCCAGCTGTTTCTGATGTGGATTGTCTTGAGACCCAGCACCTCTTTCTCTGCACCAAGTCACAGATACATAACCTAGGAACCCCATCTTCTCTTGGAGTTTTCTCAAAGAATCTCCATTTCAGTCCCTGCCTTACTCCACTTTCTAGGGACTGTATCTACTTCTAGGTTTGTTTGTCTTTCTTTCCAGGCACATAGCATTTAAGTTACTTGGCACTTAAACACTGGTCTTTTATCATTTCTCTGTCCACTTTCAGCTATATGTTGTGATTTGGGGTAACATATGTCTCCTAGTTTCATTTAAAAAAATCCTGGTTTTCTCCCTGTAAGTTTGGTTTTGTTTTTTTTTTTTTAAGAGAAGGGGGTAGAAGATCTTTATTTTACCAACTTAAAACCATAATTCTTAGTTGTTGTTTTTTTTTTTTGAGACAGGGTCTCACTCTGCCTCTCAGGCTGGACGACTTACTGTAGCCCCGACCTCCTGGGCTCAGGCGATCCTCCCAAGTATAATAGCTGAGACCACAAGCTCCTATCACCATGCTTGGCTAATGTCTGTACTTTTTGTAGAGATGGGGTTTCACCATGTTGCCCAGGCTGGTCTCAAACTTCTGAGCTCAAGCTATCCACCTGCCTCTGCCTCCCAGAGTGCTTGGATTACAGGCATGAGCCACCGTACCTGGCTCCTGTCTTAGATATTTCTAAATGATCTTGAGTTCATTAGGATGTTAGTTTAAGCTAATCACAAAAGATTCTTTTCTCCTACATTAATATTAGCTTCAGAATTAATAGGTTAGTCATTTATTAAAGTGGATGTTTATATTCTTATTTTCAAATCTAATTCATTATCATCTTAATCTGAGTCTCTGAGGAATGATAACTTAATCCACTTATAGTAGCATATTACATAAAGTCTTTGGTTCCTAAAAGTTAAATTAGAATTTTTCCCCCAAGAAAATGGGAAGATGGCCAGGCATTGTGGCTCACGCCTGTAATCCCAGCACTTTGGGAGGCTAAGGTGGGTGGTTCACAAGGTCAGGAGTTCAAGACCAGCCTGGCCAATATGGTGAAACCCCATCTCTACTAAAAATACAAAAATTAGCTGGGCATGGTGGTGGGCACCTGTAGTCCCAGCTACTCGGGAGGCTGAGGCAGGAGAATCGTTTGAACCCAGGAGGCGGAGGTTTCAGTGAGCCGAAATCATGCCACTGCACTCCAGCCTGGGCAACAGACCAGACTGTGTCTCAAAAAAAAAAAGAACATGGGGGCCGGGCGCAGTGACTCACACCTGTAATCCCAGCACTTTGGGAGGCTGAGGTGGGCGGATCACAATGTCAAGAGATCGAGACCATCCTGGCTGACAAAGTGAAACCCTGTCTCTACTAAAAATACAAAAAAATTAGCCGGGTGTGGTGGCGGGCGCCTGTAGTCCCAGCTACTCGGGAGGCTGAGGCAGGAGAATGGCGTGAACCCGGGAGGCGGAGCTTGCAGAGAGCCGAGATCACCCACTGAACTCCAGCCTGGGCGACAGAGTGAGACTCCATCTCAAAAAAAAAGAAAATGGGAAGATGTATTTCAAACTTGACTTCAGAATCGTGTAGTTGCTCATCACTAAATGGGAAGCCTTATTAAATAGAAATACTGGCTTGTATTTAAAATGTTTATTAGTATATATATTTGGGCAAATTTTACAGTCATAGAATAGACACAGAAGAATATTAAGTTAATCAGACATGATTTAGTGAGATCAAAAATACAAATAATCTGAAAATTTAGTGAAAAGTTCTAAATATACTATCCATACCAAGCACATCAATATATTTTAGAAAATAACTGTATTGACCAAGCTGGCTGAAAATAAGAATTTTGTTTTTCTAGAGAGCACTAATTGCTACTTAATGTCAAACTAATGACATCTCACCCACCCCTCCTAAAATCCTACTAAAATAAAATTATAGATACTGAAAAAGGAAAGAATCTGTAATAGCAAAGAAAAAGGGCCAGAGTTTTGCTAAGAAATGTTCTGTAGTTGGGTGAGCTCAGGAGTTCAAGTGATGGTCCTGCCACAGCATCCTCAGTAGCTAGAGCTATAGGCGTAACCAGTCTGGGCAACATAATGAGACCCCCATCTCTTAAATTAAAAAAAAAAAAAAAAAAAGAGGCCAGGCGCAGTGGCTCATGCCTGTAATCCTAGCACTTCAGGAGGCTGAGGCAGGCAGATGACGAGGTCAGGAGTTCGAGACCAGTCTGGCCAACATAGTGAAGCCCTGTCTCTACTAAAAATAAAAAAAATTAGCTGGGTGTGGTGGTGTGCGCCTGTAATCTCAGCTACTTGGGAGGCTGAGGCAGGAGAATTGTGTGAACCCGGGAGGCAGAGGATGCAGTGAGCCGAGATTGCACCATTGCACTCCAGCCCAGGTGATAGTGAGAGACTCCGTCTGTTCTGTAGATTTCTGAAGACAGGTGAAACTGAAAGAGAAAGCTTAGATTATACCACTAAGGGGCCTCAGAAGAGATGGGAGCAAGTCTAGCAAAATCCAATAGGGGGGCTTTGGGCCTAGAATTAGTGTGAAATCGGACTAGAAATGATGATTAATTGAGGGCCTATATAGAGAAAAGATCTCACTCCCATATCCACTCCTGTGCATAGAGGACAAAAGCAGTAAACATTTACACAGGGGCCGGGGGTGGGGGTTTTCTTAAGAAAATTGAAAAAACTGTATGGTGAGGACTAGGGCTTGGAGTGCTTACATCAATCCCCAAAGAAAAGCATTTAGAGAACCATGAGCCTAACAATTAGCTCCCTATACTCTTACCTTTAAATGAAGTTTCATAATATACCCACTCCCACAAGAAGGTCCCACTAAGAATCCCCACTAGGAGAAGAGAACTGGCAGTAAAACAGGCCTGCTTTCACAAAAGCAAAGGAAACGCAACACTAGCAACCTCCCAAAATATAAATGGATATCCAAGGACCACCAGACGAATGAGGTGAACCAGAAGCATGAAAGAAAAAAGGCCAAGATAAATAGAAAAACTAACCCCAGTGCGACCCAACATAGTGGGATTTGAGATGTTACAGACATGAAATATGAACAGAATGCTAAAAGAACATAAAAGAATAAGAGCTCCTTAAAGATTATAAATAAATGGTGATGTTAAAGTAATAGCACCATTGGACGAAGCTAGGGAATCAACACTTGACAGAAAGATACATATTTTTTTTATACAAACTACATATATTTGAGCAATCAAGTAGTAGACATAGAGAATTTTCTTTTTATGGAAGTACTCTAATAAGTAAAGGGCTGATAGAATTATATCAGCATTTTCTAGCTCCTGGTGAATTATGCATTGGGCATCCATGGCTGCCTTAGATCACAAAAATACCACCAGATATATGCCTGTGGATGAAAGATCACACCACCACCTGTGAAATAGTCTTCCCCACAAAAAATCCAACCCAAATCCTATCCAGCCTGTAGATGGTACTCGAGATCTTCTATAAGAAATAAAGAGAGCAGGCTGGTCACGGTGGATTGTGCCTGTAATCCCAGCACTTTGGGAGGCCAAGGCAGGTGGATCGCCTGAGGTAAGAAGTTCGAGACCAGCCTGGCCAACATGGTGAAACCCCCCTCTCTACTAAAAATACAAAAATGAGCCGGGCGTGGTGGCAGGCACCTGTAGTCCCAGCTACTTGGGAGGCTGAGGCAGGAGAATCGCTTGAACCTGGGAGGTGGATGTTGCAGCTCGCCGGGATTTTGCCAACGCACTCCAGCCTGGGCAACAGAGTGAGACTCCATCTCAAAAAAAAAAAAAAAGAAGAAGAAAGAAGGAAATACAGAGGGCAGAGGAACCTGTTAAACTGCAACGCAGATGAAATCAGCAAAATCAAGACTAGGGCACTCCACAGCGTGAACAGCTTGGTTTCTTCAACAGATAAATTTGAAGGGGGAAAAGATGCAGGAGATTTTAATAAGTTGAGACTTCAGAAGACAATGACCAATTGCAATGTGTGGGCCTCTCATTTGTGTCCTAATTTAATCAAACTTAGAATGTATGCCACTGAGACAACTGGAAATTTGAATACTAGAAGATTTGGGTTTTTCTTAAACAAGAATCCTTATGCTCAGAGATACATGTTGAAACATCCTGAATTAAATGCTGAAATAAATATTAAAACTGTCCATCTGGAATTTCCTTTTAAGATAATACAGGAGAGGAATAGGGGTAAGTGGATGGAACTGGATTGGCCATGTGTTGATTGATGGGGCTGGGTGATAACTATATGAGAGGTCCATATTACCTAATTTAATGTGTATCTTAAATTCTTTGTAATAACAAATGCTGAAATTAAAAATGCTACATAAGGAAGCAACCAAGATGTTCCTCAGTAGGTGAATGGATAAACTGTGGTATGTCCAGTGGAATATTATTCAGTGCCAAAAGAAATGAACTATCAAGCATGAAAAACATGGGATTTTAATGTGTATTTGCAAGTGAAAGAAGGCAGCCTGAAAAAGACTACATACTGTGTAATTCAAACTATGTGACAGTCTGGAAAAGGCAAAACTATGGAGACTGTCAAAAGATAAGGGGTTAGAGGGAAGGAGGGATGAATAGGCGGACCATAGATTTTTAAGACCGTGAAACTATTCAGTATGATACCACAATGGTAGATACGTGTCATTGCATATTTGTCCAGACCCACAGAACACATGAAACCAAGTGAACCCTGATGTAAACTGTGGGTTTTGGGTGACAGTTTTGTGTCAAGGTAGGTTCATCAATGATAAACGTACCTACCACTATGGTGTAGAATTTTGAGAGTGGGAGCATATGGTTGGGGAATCTCTGTACTTTTTATTGCTGTAAACCTAAAACTGCTCTAAAAAGTAATTTAAAATAAATTTGTGATTAGAGAAATTGTGTTTTTAAAGTAATATAAGAACAGTATTAGTTGTCATCACATTATATGCTACACCATCCCAAACCTCACTGCCACATTACAGGAAGCATTTATGTTTGCATTCATGGATCTTTGAGTCAGCTGGGTTTTGGCTGATAGAGGCTGCCACAGGCAGCCATAGCAAGTCTTGAGGCCAACGCCAGATTCAAGGAATAGAGTTCATCCTACAAAGAAACCATGGCAAGGGTGCAGATACATAATTCTGCTAAAGTAGAGTGAAGAATCTGTCTTGGGCTAAAAATGGAAAATTCAGGAAATGAACGTTTACAGCCTTAGAAGCACCTCTAAGTTACGCAAATTACTCAGAAGCAGATGAATTCTTTTAAAAAGTTAAATTTTACTTAGACTGATATAGAACGCTATTGGAAACCAACTAATAAGCATGGAAAATTGCATCCCCGGAAGGCAGATTGGGTTAAAATAGATGTTAATCTGGATTGTTGAAGTATGGAGGTGTGCAAATACTTTCCAAAGTATACTGAAAACAAAGTGTTATAGGGTTTTGGGTTGGTTTTGTAGCATTTTAGACAAGTTGTGATACGAAAAAAGGTATTCGTTAATTGCTGCCTTTTAAAATAAATATACACTTTTTTTTAAGCTCACTGAAAACTGAAGCTAATTTGGAAGTTTTGAAGTCAATTCCTAGTGAAAAATTAATGATTGAGACAGGTAAGTTTGTTTTCAGAACTTTGTTTCATATTAAACCATACCAAACAAAAAGGAAAGCTGGAGAAAGAAATTTGACTTCAAACTTTAAGTGAACAAGTATTTTAAAACAGCATGCTCAACCTCAACAATTATGTTTTCCAGAAGATCTTTGGGGGTTATTAATGGAAAAACATATGCAAATGATTTTTTTCAATTTAGAAGTTTGCTATGTCTAAGCACTTAGAAAATGAGATGCCAGAATATAACTCAGGAGGTTGTAGTTACGAGTACTTAGCTAAACAAGGGGTCTTGACTAAGCACATCACACTTCCAAGTTTCAAAATCTGTTCAGAATTTTGTTTACACAGTGTCTTTATAATGGCTTAATTCTACAGCACTTTGTACAGTGCAACAATTTATATTGGTTTAGTATAAGAATTTTAGAATCCGTTGCCTCTTAAAACAAGGTGAGGCCGGGCGCGGTGGCTCACGCCTGTATTCCCAGCACTTTGGGAGGCCGAGGTGGGCGGATCACCTGAGGTCAGAAGTTCAAGACCAACCTGACCAACATGGAGAAACCACATCTCTACTAAAAATACAAAGTTATCTGGGCATGGTGGCACATGCCTGTAATCCTAGCTACTTAGGAGGCTGTGGCAGGAGAATTGCTTGAACCCAGGAGGCAGAGGTTGCTGTGAGCCAAGATCACGCCATTGCACTCCAGCCTGGGCAACAAGGGCGAAACTCAGTCTCAAAAAAAAAAAAAAAATACAAAAAATTAGCTGGGTGTGGTGGTGGCACTTGCCTGTAGTCCCAGCTACTCAGGAGCCTGAGGCACGAGAATTGTTTGAACCCGGGAGGCAGAGGTTGCAGTGAGCCGAGATTGTGCTACTGTACTCCAGCCTTGGAGACAGAGTGAGACTCCGTCTCAAAAAAATAATAAGGTGAAAAGCTAAAACTTTTATCTAAACCCTGTCAAGGCTCTCCTTATACCATGGACTTTAGGAAAGTCAAGACTGAGCCATTCTGGAGAAATCACATTCATTTCCTTGGGCAGTCAGGAAAACAAAATATTTGATTAAAAGTACGATGTTTGCAAAATGTGTAATTCTTTATTAAAAAATATTCAAAACCAGTTTCACATTCAGTAGAGATAGAAATTTGTTTAACTTATGCAAACCTCACTACATGCATAGCGAAAAAGATTTTGAAAACTGAAAAAAAAACTGTTTAACTTAAATGTTTTCATGTTGTTATACAATTGTATTTAAGGTTTAGGTCTTTTTTTTAAAGCATGCTGCACACCAACAATGTTAGCAGAAAAAAGGAATAGAAGTGAGTCTTAGAAGGTATTTAAGATGCAATTCAAGATTTTATCTTGTGCTTTTCTTAGAACTGTTTTCTGTTGAAATAACTGTGCCATTTTGGAAGCTGAATCACGGTTTATCATTTAGAGGTTATATATTAGATAATGGTCATAAAAAATTTTTAAAAATGTAAACCCCTTACGAGACACTTTCTTTGCTTAACTAGATGCACCTTGGTGTGGAGTCAAAAGTACACATGCTGGATCAAAATATATAAGAACTGCATTTCCTACCAAAAAGAAGTGGGAAAGTGGGCACTGCTTAAAAGACAGAAATGAACCCTGCCATATAATGTGAGTATTTTGCTTTCATGGTCTTCAAAATCATTAGTTAACCACCAGATGCCACTTATAAAATTAACGCAAGGGACAGAATTAAAATTTTGCAAAATCCAAGTGAAGTTCAGGTTCAAGACCACCATATTAATGCAGTGATTTGGAGGAATTTGCATACCTGGTTTAAGTTCCATTCTCACTGCAGCTTCCTGCTACTCTTTGGTAACAAGAAAGCCTTAGCAGAATATTTTGGATTTAAATGATTTGACAGCCTCTATAAATCTAAGAAATAACACATTTCTTTAAGCCTCAGAACAAAAGGATAAGTGATCTTAAGGACAAACCCCTTTTTTCCTACCCCCTTTTTCCAATCAAAGGGGGTGGGACTTTAGCACGTTTTATTTCCTAAAAAAGCAGCAGATCAGAATCATCTTTTAAATGGTGATATATATATAGCACAAGTGAAAAGAGGGGCTATTACCCATCTGTCAAAGAGCTGTAAAGGTAACAAACAGGAGAAGGTGGTTATATCATTTTAATGGGTACATAATCCAATTTCTTTTGTTTGCACAAACAGATAATTTAAATTAATCTAGATTATATCAGTCTTATATGATTTACCAATTCAGACAATTGGGCATACTTATAACACATTCACAAAAACTAATTGGTACTGTGTCTTCATGAGGGGTAAAAAAGAAAACAAAATAGGTTGTTGCTTTTAAGACTATTCATTGCATATGCACCATCTTTTTTTTCAGTAGTTTTTAACAGGAAAAGAGTATTAGAAGATAAGCCAGATAAGAACAGTGAAGAATTATTCTATAAAAATATGTTTGAAAGGTTCTTTTCCTTTATTAACATGCTTGAGCTGACAAAGTCTTTAAAACTGAAGCAGCCAGGCATGGTGGCCTGCGCCTGTATTCCAGCTACTTGGGAAGACTGCTTGAGCTCAGGAGTTCAAGATCAGCTCAGGCAACATAGGGAGACCCCTGTCTCTAAAGAAATAAAGAAAATTTTAAAAAATAAAGAAATGTAAGTACTTGCAAATTCAGTGATGAGACAGTATTTCTAAATCTTTTTTTTTTTTTTTTTTTTTGAGACCATCTTGCTCTGTTGCCCAGGCTGGAGTGCAGTGGAGTGATCTTGGCTCACTGCAATCTCCGCCTCCTGGGTTCAAGCAATTCTCCTGCCTCAGCCTCCCAAGTAGCTGGAACTATAGGCACATGCCACCACACTCAGTTAATTTTTGTATTTTTAGTAGAGATGGGGTTTTGCCATGTTGGCCAGGCTGGTCTCAAACTCCTGACCTCAGCCTCCCAAAGTGCTAGGATTACAGGCGTGAGCTACCACACCCAGCCAATTTTTTGGGGAACTAAAAGGACACTAGAGAAAAGAAACTGGTATTTTGACAGCAGCCAGCTTACAGGAAGTAGTTGCCAACAGTGTATCCAAGTAAGTTTTTTATATTTCCTTAATCTTATGTAAGATTATAGCTGTTGACTTTAGCTATATATTTGCAAGACAAAATTTCAAGGTGTTTTTAAATGTAGACTGTTTAAGAACTATAAAGGCTGGCCAGGCATGGTGGCTCACATCTGTAATCCCAGCACTTTGGGAGGCCAAGGCAGGCGGATCACCTGAGGTCAGGTGCTCGAGACCAGCCTGGCCAACATGGTGAAATCCTGTCTCTACTAAAAATACAAAAATTAGCCAGGCGTCATGGCGGATGCCCGTAATGCCAGCTACTCAGGAGGCTGAGGCAGGAGAATCGCTTGAACCTGGGAGGCGGAGGTTGCAGTGAGCAGAGACCACACCATTGCACTCTAGCCTGGAAGACAAAAGTGAAAATACATCTCAAAAAAAAAAAAAAAAGAACTGTGAAGGCTTCATCAATACTTGTTCTTCAGTTAGTTGCAGAGCTTAGGAAAATCTAGCATCTGCAAGCTGAAAAGATTTAAACCACATTTAAAAAATACACAATCCTCTAATCTACTGCTAATTATGAGTTGGCAAGTTAATTGCTACTTGCAAAGTCATTTTCTCAACCTCCATTCTGTTAACAGTTTTACATTCTAATTATTTTTATAGAGGTCTTTTAGATATACATTGTTTGCAACAGATGTTTTGGAGCCCCTGCCATGTCAGGAAAGGTACAAGTTACTAAGGCTACACAGGAAGAACCAAGACAGTCCCTGTCTTTATCCATCCACCAGATGAATAGGTACACTGTGCCTGGCACTTTAGATAAGGCATTCAGTGAGTCAGGCGAGGACCCCTGCCCTCCTGGAGCACATAAGCAGACAGAGTCCAAGATAGTAGTGCTGTTATACAAGTAGGAATCTATGACCAGGACCATAGGGCACATCAACTGTCTGCTTTGAGGGGAAACAGGAGAGAGTTATACCAAGGTGACATTTCAGTTGTTTACCCATGACTGGGAGTTAGGCCAGAGAAAGACAAACAAACACCTTAAGCAAAGGCAGACTGCAGAAGGGCCTGGCTAATCCAGAGGAACAAGTGTGGCAGAAAGTAGGATGCACAGTGTAAGCAGAAGTCAAGTCTGGGAAGGTAGAGTGAGCCCAGATTGTGAGGGCTCTTATATGCCAGCATTTTGCTTAGATTTTATCACTACCCAAAGGATTTTAAGCAGGAGAGTGGCAATTATTTTTTTTAAAGCTATAACTTGTATCAGTATGGGGAAGGGCTGGAAAGGAGATAGGGTAGGAATCATGTAGATCTTGCAAGACTTTAAAAACCTTTGCCTGGCTGGGCACAGTGGCTCACACCTGTAATCCTACCATTTTGGGAGGCCGAGGCAGGCAGATCAGTTGAGGTCAGGAGTTCAAAACCAGCCTGGCCAACGTGGAGAAACCCTGTCTCTACTAAAAATACAAAAAAATAGCCGGGCATGGTGGTGGGCGCCTGTAATCCCAGCTACTTGGGAGGCTGAGGCAGGAGAATCACTTGAATCTGAGAGGCAGAGGTTGTAGTGAGCCAAGATCACACCACTGTGTGATCACACACAGTGAGCCAAGATCACACCACTGCACTCCAGCTTGGGCCACAGTGTAAGACTCTCTCAAAAAAAAAAAACAAAAACCTGTGCTTACTGTAAAAGTGCCACATTAAACAAAAGCCACTAAATTCTCAGGGACATTAAACAACTTTATATTCATTTTGGAATAACTGCAGCTTTGACCACTGAAGATGTATGGAAATAGCATGGCTTGGCTACAGAAGGGTTATTCGAAGAAAGATTTCCATAAACTGCATTATCAAACAGTAAAATAGGATGTCCTAAGCTCCAATAGATTTTTTTTTCTTTTTTCTTTTTTTTGGAGAGAGAGTCTCGCTCTGTTGCCCAGGCTGGAGCGCAGTGGCACAATCTCAGCTCACTGCAACCTCCACCTCCCAGGTTCAAGCAATTCTCCTGCCTCAGCCTCCCGAGTAGCTGGGACTACAGGCGTCCACCACCATGCCTGGCTAATTTTTTTTGTTTTACTAGAAATAGGGTTTCACCATATTGCCCACACTGGTCTCGAACTCTTGAGTTCAATCTGCCTGCCTCAGCCTCCCAAAGTGCTGTGATTACAGGCATGAGCCACTGGGCCCAGCCCAATAGATTTCTTATAAGCGATTTCAATAAAATGAATTTGCTATGCAATATAATCTTAGCAAAGCTGCTGTGACCTTCAAAACTGTGTCATCAGCAGCATTAATCAAGAGTTCCAATTCTGAGAAGTGCATACAGAGGGACATTCAGTAGTTTCCTAAGAAAAATGGATTTTCACTGTCTTAATTTAAATGTTAATAGATTTGCTTTTAGTGTATCTTGACTGTCAGATAAAATTTTAGTGTAGTGTTTGCTTAGTATAAACATCAAGCAAGGCTTTTGTGTCACATTACAAAACAATTTTTTAAATTCCCATTAATCTTAGATCTCCATCCTTAATTCCTTTAGGTGTTAACATTTAAGATACTAAGGGAACAAAAAGCTTAGGCAAAGAATATTTAAATGTTCAATTTGGACTTTGGAACTTTCTAATTCATGTATTAAAAATCTTCCACTTATATATAATAAGTATGGAGACACTACGGATCATCATTACTGTAAGCACAGAAACTGAAAGATGCGGCCAGGCGCGGTGGCTCACACCTGTAATCCCAGCACTTTGGGAGGCCCAGGTGGGGTGGATCACAAGGTCAGGAGTTCAAGACCACGGCCAGCCAACATAGTGAAACCCCGTCTCTACTAAAAATACAAAAATTAGCTGGGTGTGATGGCAGGTGCCTGTAATCCCAGCTACTCAGGAGGCTGAGGCAGGAGAATCACTTGAACCCAGGCGGCAGAGGTTGCAGTGAGCCGAGATCGTGCCACTGCACTCCAGCCTGAGCAACAGAGTAAGACGCCGTCTCAAAAAAGAAAGAAAAAAGAAAAAAAAAAGAAAGGAAAGAAAAAGAAAGGAAAGGAAGGGAGGGAAGGGAAGGAAGAGAGAGACAGAGAAAGAAAGAAACTGAAGGATGGACACCTGGGCTTATTTCTCTCGCAAGGGTAGAGGTACAGAAAGCCCTCGCCCTCAATAACCACACATTTTTCCAAGTAAATATTACTTTTGCAGCAACCTAATACCTTCATTTGCTGTCTCTCAAGGACTAGTTCTCTAGCAGTAGATTTCCAACTGTGGCTGCTGTCCCACAGTACAAATTACGTTGTGACTTAGGACACACATACATAATAAAACCTAACAAAAAATGGAACAGTACTTACCCTTATTGAGTACAATGTACTTGTCAATGTTTAAAATGCTCATCATGACCCACTAATGAACATGCTATGACTCACAATTGAAAAGGACTCTTCATTTCCACTCAGTTAATGCTATAATTGGTGAACATAATACAGATGGCTGCTTTAATAATTTACTTGAACCTGGTTCTTAGCTCTAGTTATATGCAAGACAGTCCATAAATCTGTTTCCAGTTACTGGCAGTAAGTTTTTCTATTGATATTGCTGAAAAACTTAATAACTGTTAAGCTTTATTATATTAAAGGTGTGCCAATATTTTCCTTTGTGTGGAAAAATATTATATAGCTTTAGAACTAAATGTATACTTGGAGATTTAACCATTTTTGTTTTTGTTTTGTTTTAGTCAAATATTGGAGATAATGTCAGCAGTGAGAGATGAGGATCCACTGGAATTAGCCAATACACTATATAACAATACTATTAAAGTATTTTTTCCTGGAATATAATTGGTATATGTCTTCCACTTTCCATCATGTATGTAAAATTTCATAGTAAAACTTCCTGATAGTTTCAATAAAGAAATTATCTGCAAGTTGTCTAAAGAAATACTATATATCGGTACACACCATTCCCCACCATTCCCCTTCTTTTTCTCGTAAAATCAGATCAGGATGTTTTTATATCATTGAGTATCTTAGTTTAAAACAATTTAAAAAAAACTATTTTTGTTTTGTAATATCTTCAAAAGAATGAAAGGACAATTTTATGACAATACTGCAGACACAGAATGGCTAACAAATATACAATTTTACATAAAAAACATTTAGCACATTCTGGTTTATATCAAAGTTTAGTTGATACAGTTTATTTGTCAACCCTCAGTCTCTCTCTGAATCAGGACTTTCAAACTCAGCTCAATTACACTGCTACTCAAGTTTCAAAAAAGGTCCTCAGTTGCTTCTGGCAGCTAATTTTTTCTTTAGTTTTAAAATACTCTCTCATGTCCTTTATCCTCTGGTCAAATTATTTTATTTCCTTGACTTTAATGTGGTTTCCTGATTTGCATTTTCATTCTCCCACCCATTTCTAAAGAAAAACTGAGGTCCAAAGTTACATTATATAATTTCATTGAAGAATATTTGGCACAGGTGACGCACCATATGATCATTACATCTATTAAAAAGCTATTTGTTCAAATTTTGTCATAAAAATGTGAAAACATTTTATTCTATGTACAATAATGTACACAAATTTAAACAGGTCACCAAAGAGACCAGAAGTAATTAAAGAGGTATATTTACAGTAGCACATCACAGTAAACGGAAAACCATTCACAGATTCAACATTGATACTGTTTTTGTGCTTGGTTACACACTGAAGGTGAAGGATATTACTCCATTTTGGATGAACTGAATTTTAAACAAATACCTCAATCATTAATAAATGCTATTTTCATCAGTCAGTATCATCATTAAATTCTTCAGCTGCTGCGCCTGTGTGCTGAATCACTCCATTTCTTTCTCTTTGAACATCATCATCACAATCTGTACTGTCATCTTCGTTCAATTCCCTGTCAGATTCAGCAGCAGCTTCTCTTACAGCTTCCTCTGGAGTTTCATTGGGTGGAATAAATCCATTGTTGTTAGATACATTTGAATTATCCTTGATATCATCTTCGATGTATACTTTCTGATGGCACATTGGACAAGTATCTTGAATGTACAGCCATTTCCGAAGGCAAAGTGCATGGAAATAATGATTACACGGTGTAATACGAGCAGATGTTGTAAACTCATGATAGCAGATTGCACATACATCATTTATTTCTTGTAAGCGGCTCCCTTTTATTTCAGGAAGTGAATTAATTTTCTTCACAGCAGTCCTACGATTCATAAATGTCTTCCAGCCATTTTTGGCTTGTAAGTAGATGTTAAAATATGCATGTAGGCACATCATAAAAGCCCGAATTTTACTTCCCGACTCAAACATCATAGTGTAAGCCCCATTTCCAAACATTACAACTCCAAATATAAATTCAATAATACTGCCTGTTGAACGAACGTAGTAGACATAATCGTCAAGCTTTTCCCAGAGGACATTATAGTAGCCATCAATCATGAATAACGTATAAACAGTGAGAGAAACAATTACTTTTAAGCACAGTTCCACACAAAATGCTGTAACTGCAAACAACCATGTATTTAGTGCATAGTGATGCCAAAGAACATAACTGAGTAAGACAGGAAGAATAAACAGGCAAGCAGAGACAAACAGCACAGGAAAATGTCTACGAAAAGATGACACATGAGAGGCACTGAGAGACATTAATACAGGGTCTGTCATTCCATGGATAAAATGCAGGACTGCAGTTAATAAAAGGCACATGTTTCTACTTAAGCGAATAAGTCTCTCTTCTGGTCTTAGCCCACTTAACCCAGTCTGAAGAGCCAAAATAAAAAATAAAACAGGTGCAACAAAGCCAAGACGCCTGTCATCTTCCTCAGTTGATCCAATAAAGGCCAATATTCCAAGCCCCAAATAATGGGCTACTGAGGAAATTACAGCACTCATGCCCAGTACAGTTAGTGTAGAATCGCACCCACTAATTATAAGATTGCAAATGAGGTCCCAAAAATCATCCCAAGAAATAAAGAAGGAATCAGTTTCATTTGCCATCCTTAAGATGTACATTAACACTGTAGCCTGAGCTGTAACTCTTGTTAGCCAAAAGACTCGTAGTATGTCTGGGAAACGAATCCTCTTCCATGTGTCCTCCATCAATAACTGTAATCCGTAAATTCGATACATGTGCCTCACCAAAAGATAAACATATCGTGTGGAATAATAAAACCACTTCAGTTTCACTGCCAGGACAAACACTGTATTTAATGTGAGAATCAAGGAAGAAGTAAACAGTAAAGTCTCTCTGATGTGTAATGGTAGCTCTGTGATTAAGCCTATTACAGGAACCAAGAGATCCAAAATAATTAATTGTGAATAGATGGAATGAATCTGGAGTAGTGTAACGTATCCAATTCCAAATGTTAGCTGTAGAACGATAAGTGCCATCCACAGCGAGGGACCTTTTCGAGGAAGCAGCTCAATTCCAAAAGCTGACGTGTTGTAGGCACCATAGAAGTCAATGTGCAAAGAAGCATAATAATTCACCAACACTGAAGTTGCAGCTAACAGAAAGGCTGAGCTGTACGTGTAAAACTTGAAAAGTGATCGTTGTGACAAGATCAGAACAATACTGGATGCAAATACACCTAAAAGAAAGAAAGAAAAAGTCATTTGAATGAAGTATTTGTAAGAATGTTTCCCCACTAAGAGTTATGATATTCTTCCTTTAATTAGGAAATATGAATATTTTCAGTTATGAACATTAAGCCTCAAGACAACTAAGGCTTAAAGGGTAATAAAGGTTTTGTAAAGTCAGAGTTCAGGAGAACAGACCAAACATACTAAATTATTCTTTAAAATTTCATTCCTTACTTTCTAATTTCCAAAGTATTTCAAGTAACACTGTAGCTGTCCAAGGCACCAAATTACTAAATTATTTTCAAGATGAATTTGTAGTGGTACATACATTTTAACAAGTTTTAAAACTCAAAAGAATATGTCTTTTATCATTTCATAATCATTAAAATTAATTTTAAAAATTGGGTTAAAAATAACCCAAATGGAAAACATTTATTCCTATTAAGTTTTAGATTCATTTATTATTGACTGACTGAGACAAGAGTCTCACTCTGTTGCCCAGGATGGAGTGCACTGGTGCAATCTCAGCTCACTGCAAATTCTGCCTCCCAGGCTCAAGCAATTCTCCTGCCCCAGCCTCCCAAGTAACTGGGATTACAGGCACCTGCCACCATGCCCAGCTAATTTTTGTATTTTTAGTAGAGACGGGGTTTCACCATGTTGGCCAGACTGGTCTCTAACTCCTGACGTCAAGTGATCCGCCCGCCTTGCCTCCCAAAGTGCTGGGATTACAGGCGTGAGCCACCGCACCCAGCCAAGTTTTAGATTTTTTTTTAAAGGATTCTTTAGGAAATCAAGTTCAAGTTTTATACTTCCACTTAATTCCTCCTTTTCTTCAAACTGTGAACTCATGCCAGCTCTTATTTCCTACTCCTTAACTCTGAGCATTCTCCAAAGGGTCCAAAATTCCATTTTTTTTCCTCCTAGTTTCCTTCGGACTTAGAAACATCTTCCAAGTTCCCTTTTTCCTGTATAATGCTGAATCTGTTTCTTAAAATAGTCAACTCTTTTTATTGTTCTTCACATTACAAAAGTAACACTCAGAAAACCAAGACATGTTTTTAGAAAATGGTAATTCTCCTTCCCCCACTCCATAGACACCATCTTTCTTTGTACTCTGACAGAAATGCATATTTTAAGTAGGATTACAATAAACACATTATTATCCAAGGTTTCAACAATGGGAATGACATCTGAATACTCACCTACTTTCACTCCTACAACTGCAAATCTCCAAAGTTCTGAAACTCGACTTGCCTTAAACTAGAATCAGCTTTTCCTTGTGATTTGCTATTTCAGTTGAAGGTACCATTATTGTTCTTTTAGAGATACTCCCAACCCAGCCCCACATGCTCAAACTTTGCCAATTAGTTGCCAAATTCTTCTAACACCTCTATCTCCCTTTTCTGTGACACCAATCAATCAGTCTGTCTCAAAAAACCCTCATCTTGTCCAAATCCATTTACAAGCCATCACCAAATTGCCTTTCTTCATTCCCTGCTCAAAATACTTCAGCGGCTCTGAAATTACTATCAACTAAAATCTACATTCTTGCTCCTGGCATTCAAGAACCCAATTTGCTTTACAGTAATATTCCTCCTAACACACACACATCAGTGCTCCAGACTTGGATTCCCCAAACACATTCCTTTCTCCACTATAGCTACAGCAGTGTTTACATTCTTTTTGCTTGGAATGATGTCCCCAACCTCCCAATCCCTGACTATTCAAATCCTACCTATCCTAGAAACCTACTTTCTTTGATAGAAACTGTTCTTTCAGCATACCTGCAGAACTTAGTGAAACATTTAACACTCATATATCACCTGATATTGTAGTCTGCAGTTATCTAAGTATAATCTACCCTATTACACATGTATCTATAACAGAAAGCAAAGATCCTACCCTGTCCATCTATGGATTCTACAATATTTTGTACAAAATAAGTACAATTAGTATTCATTAGGAAATGTCTGTCACATCTGGATGTTTTTAAAGGCAACCACAAAATATAGCCTGCTTGAAAAATAAAATCTATGTTTCAGACAATGAGAAACCATACCCTGGAGTACAGAAAAAGTGACAAACTCCAAATTAAAAATCCATCTTGGCTGGGTGTGGTGGCTCACAATGGTAATCCCAGCACTTTGGGAGGCTGAGGCGGGTGGATCACTTGAGGCCAGGAGTTCAAGACCATGTCAACATGGTGAAACCCTGTCTCTACCAAAAATATAAAAATATGCCAGGGTGGTAGCACGTGCCTGTACTCCCAGCTACTCAGGGGGTTGAGGTGGGAGAATCGCTTGAACCCGGGAGGCATTGCAGTTAGCTGAGATCGCACCACTGCATGCCAGCCTGGGTGACAGTGAGACCCTGTCTCAAAATACATAAATAAATAAATATTAAATAAAATAAAAATCCATCTATCCACCTTATTTCAGCAGGTAATCAAGACATTGCATATTATTACAGTAGACGCATTTCACAATCCACTGCACATATAAGCAAGGGCTAGTTCATTTAAGTGATGACTCTGTCCAGGGATTTAAAATGTATTCTGTGCCAAAATGTCAAGTCATCTGTGAAAAGGAAAACAAAAGGACACAATAAAGTAGAAGACATATAAACCTCTAAATACAAACCACCTGATTCCCCAAGAAAATGGGCCACTAATAATCCCCCAAAGAGTTGTGAGCTCAGAACAGGCTCTTTTAAATATATATATTTTTAATATATATATTTTTAAATATATATATATTTAAATAATATATATATATTTTTAATAGATATATTTTTAAATATATATATATTTAAATATATATATATATTTTTAATATATATATTTTTAAATATATATATATTTAAATAATATATATATATTATATATATATATATTTTTTTTTATATTTTTTTTAATGGAGTTTCGCTCCTGTTGCCCAGGCTGGAGTGCAATGGCGTGATCTTGGCTCACTGCAACCTCTGCCTCCCAGGTTCAAGCGATTCTTCTGCTTCAGCCTCCCAAGAAGCTGGGATTACAGGTATGTACCACCACTCCCAGCTAATTTTGCATTTTCAGTAGAGACAGGGTTTTTCCACGTTGGTCAGGCTGGTCTCAAACTCCTGACCTCAGGTGATCCACCCGCTTCGGCCTCCCAAACTACTGCGATTATAGGCGTGAGCCACTGCGCTCGGCCCTGAAAAGATTTTTTTATTAGAAACTTCTTCCATGGAAGGTAACAAGAAAATGGAATTAATTCAGCCTACCAGATGCCATATGTAATCTTACATTCTCTACATGGAAAACCACCTTATTTTCCTGAGACAAAACTTCAGAAACTTTAAAACAAATCTTCTAAGTTGGGTCAAAACCAAAACAAAATAACTCTAGTTCTACTTTATGCCACTTAGAGGGGAGAAAGTCAAGCAGGAACTGTAAATTATTTTTGTCAACTTGCTATTCACAAAGTAGTAAATTAATCTTCAGTAACTATTCATGAGCTTTGCCATAATTTTATAACTAATTTTTAAAATTCTAATAACTTTTTTCCTGAAGCTTGTTTTTACTACACACAAATGAAGAAATTATTTGGGTTTTAGAAACATTTCTAGTGAAAAAGTGCCATTTTGCTTTATGCAAATGTATCAAAGAAAAAAAGGGGAAGGCATCAGATAGACAAATAATGTAGTAAGACTACAACCTCAAAATTTGGATGTATCCCAGCAAGTAACAATCTGACAATACTCTATCCTGATTAAAATCACACCCCCCAAGATGTAATAGTGAGTTAACATTTCAAGAATAGTATATGTTTGTTTTAATTCCTACCCAAAGTTTGTAGGTATATGGGGTTCATAGATTTTCCTTTTATAGTCACGTTCCTACCTATGGAATTTGGGAAGAATCTGCTCTCATTTTAAAAACCAATATCCTAAGTAACAAGTCTCCAAAGTAATCATCTTTCTCATGGCCTTTGCAGAATAATATCAAAGTTTCACTGCATTTTTACATTAGACATGAAAGCCTTTCTTGGTATTTAAACTGTAGGTCTAAGAAAATATAAAAGTCCAGAGACAGTTTCTCATTAGGATTTGGAAGTGACTTGCACAAGTAATCAAGACTGTATATAAATGCTGCTTTATAAAAAATTTTGAGAACAGAATTTACTGAAATCACAACTCAGAGATCTCAGTCCAATTCTCCAGTGATTAAGAGAGTTCACTAGAGTTTTCAAGGTAGCCAAAAAGAGGCAGGTATCCAAATCAATTCAGGAACTTTGAAACTATATATGAACTCAACTCATGAAAGAGTTCAGGCCTTTTCAATTTGGATTACCAAAAACAGGCAAATAAAAACAAAAGAAAAAATAAAAACTTACTATACATGTTACATAACAAAGTGTTTCACTCTTTTATGTGTAAAGTCTATTCATACCCTTACCCTCTTTTGGAAACTTATGACTAAAAATCAGGGTACAAAACATAATATTTACAATTCTCCAAGTACCCGAAATACCTCTAAAACAAAAAGCAACCTGTGGAAAAACATTTCAATACCTGACAGAATAAATATGGAAAAGCACAGAAATAAATGTTACTACTACCTTACTCCCAAGGGAGCCTTCCGCAATGAAGTTTACAACAAAGTGTCTTGAAATGTTGTTAATCTGTTGGTATACTTGATAAATTATAAAGAAAACATTTCTATTGGATTCTCATTTTAGGTTGAAAAAAAACCTGGTATTCTAAGTATTAACACAAAATTAAACTTTTGCTTTTAAACTAAACTTATAATAAGTATGCTTTTATCAAAAATATATGAACATGGATTTTAAAAAGCCAAACCCTACAGAGAGGTGTTAAATGAAGAGTTAAAGCAAGTTTTTCTAGTTTGTCTTTCCCATCTGTGATATCATAAAAAAAATATTAATATTTGGTCTTTGTCCCATTTTCTGACATAGCTTCTAAAATCCTTGGAATCTCTGGAGTGATGACTGTTTTGTACAATAATCAGATGACTGGTGCCTGGGGGCCCCTAGATAGCTTCAGGATGGGGGCTAGGTAGCCAGGGGAATCAGCCCAGTGATTAAGGGTTATAACTTTGATTCCTACCCCCAGCCGCCACTTCTGGGAAGAAAGAAGCTGAAACTTGAGTCCATAAACCAATGACTAGTGATCTAATCAATCTTGCCTATTTAATGAACTTCCATAGAAGCCCAAAAGGACTGAGTTCTGTGAGCTCTCAGATAGCTGAACACTGAAGCTCCACGCCCCTTCTCCTCTTCTCTCCTTCTTTGTCTCACCTTGTACATCTCCTTCCATCGGGTTAATTCATCTGTGTCCTTTGTAATTGCCTTTATAATAAATGGGTAAATGTAAGTACAGTAGTTCCCCCTTACCCAAGATTTGACTTCCTTTTTTTTTTTTTTTTTTTTTTAGTGATGGAGTCTCGCTCTGTTGCCCAGGCTGGAGTGCAGTGGTGCGATCTTTTGATTAACATAGGTTTTTAACCTCAATATCATTCGGTTTATCAATCTTCATTATGTATTTGCTTTTATATATTTTTAAGGATTTCTTCCTTAATCTAAGATTGGAAAAATAAAATATTCCATATTTTTTTCTAAAAATTTAAAGTTCTGCATTTCATATTTACATATACATCTAGGTAAGAATACACTTAGAAATGACTATTTTTTTTTTTTAAGAGACAGGGTCTTGCTCTGTCACCCAGCCAGGCTGGAGTGCAGTTATGCAATCATAGCTCACTTGCAGCCTTGAACTCCTAGGCCCAAGCGATCTTCTCACCCCAGCCTCCTGAGTAAGATAGGACTACAGGCACCCACCACCAAGTATGGCTATTATTTTAAATATTTATTTTTGCAGAGACAGGGTCTCACTACACTGCTCAACCTAGAAGTGACTGTCTATATATTGACATAAGGTAGACATCTAGTATAATTTATTTCCAAAGGTGTAACAAAATGATCATTAATTCAACAGTCCATATTTACCTCAATGTACTTCAATTCTATCTCTGAAACACATTATTTCTATATATACATTGGTGTCTGTTTCTGGGCTATGTAATTATAAATAAGGCTAAGTACTAATCTATTTGTCTATCCCAATGGTTCTCAACCATGATTTGGCAATATCCAGGGACAGTTTTGGCTGTCACACTGGGGTGTGGGGGTGCAAGGTGCTACTGGCATCTAATGGGCAGGGGATAGTGATGCTGCTAAAAATCTTACAGTGCACAGGAGAGCTCCCATCCGCAAACAAAGAATTATCCTGTCCAAAATGTCAATACTGCCACTGTTGAGAAATCTCTGTCTATTCCTCTGCCAGTGATAATTACTTCGGCTTTGTTTTTTCACTTCAGAGGTTTTCTGAAGTCTTTTTCGGCACCAAAAATAGCTATCTCATTTCTTTCAAGAACTTTATTGCATGGCTAGACCTAATACAATGAACAGATTTGTATCAATACATATTTAGATTAAGTTTGTTGCTTTGTTATTTCCAGTAATGCTTGCCCATAGTCCTTAAGCAAACTATCTCTCTAGGCCAATTCCCTAGAATTGAAATTGTGAGTCAAAAGTTGTACGAGCCAGGCATCCCAGCTACTTGGGAGGCTGAGGCAGGAGAATCGCTTGAACCTGGGAGGTGGAGGTTGCAGTGTGCTGAGATCACGCCACTGCACTCCAGCCTTGGTGACAGAGTGAGACTGTCTCAAAAACAAAACAAAACACTGAGAAGTCAGTTGTAAATGACAGTTGATACTGCCAAATGGTTTTACACTGAAATTAAGAGTCTTCCGGGCCAGGCACGGTGGCTCACGCCTGTAATCCCAGCACTCTGGGAGGACGATGTGGGCAGATCACCTGAGGTCGGGAGTTGGAGAACAGCCTGACCAACATGGAGAAAACCTGTCTCTACTAAAAATAGAAAAAAATTTGCCGGGGGTGGTGGCGCTTGCCTGTAATCATCCTAGCTACTCGGGAGGCTGAGGCCGGAGAATCGCCCGAACCTGGGAGGTGGAAGTTGTGGTGAGCCGAGATCACGCCATTGCACTCCGGCCTGGGCAACAAGAGCAAACTCCGTCTCAAAAAAAAAAAAAAGTCTTCCAAAATTGTATAAATTTACCTATTTCAAAAAGGTAAATACCTTTGCAAAACTAATAAAACTTTGAACTCTTCACCAATCTGATAAATTTTTTTTGACTTTTTTTTTTTTTTTGAGACAGTCTCGCTCTATCGCCCAGGCTGGAGTGCAGTGGCGCGATCTTGGCTCACTGCAACCTCCACCTCCCCGATTCGAGAGATTCTCGTGCCTCAGCCTCCACAGTAGCTGGGACTATGGGCAGGAGTCACTGCACCCGGCTAATTTTTTGGTAGACACGGGTTGTGCCATTTGGCCAAGCTGGTGTCAAACTCCTGGCCTCAAGCAATCTGCCTGCCTCAGCCTCCCAAAGTGCTGGGATTATAGGCGTGAGCCACCGTAAGCGGTCTTGACAGTATTTAATTATAAACAAGGCTAGGTACTTTTTTTTTTCCCCCATAAAATCAAGCTACTGCAGGAAGGGCTAAATACTTTTTCTCTTGCTTATTGAACATCTGCATTTTGTTTATTGTGAATTGCTTGTCTTAGGCATTTTCCTAAGGGAGTATAAGTTTTTTCTTGTTTTGTTTTGTTTTTTTTTTTAGACAGAGTCTCACTCTATCCCCAGGCTGGAGTGCAGTGGAGCGATCTCGGCTCACTGCAACCTGCAACTCCCTGGTTCAAGCGATTCTCCTGCCTCAGCTTCCCTGGCAGGGTAAAACTCTTACTGGAACGTGAATCACTTATGATAGAAGTATTTTATCTCAGTTTGTCATTTAAGGATTCTTTTTTAAGCTTTGCCATAAAAAAGCTTTTTATTTTTATGTACTGAAATTTTTCAGATTTTTCCTTGGAACTTCTGGGTCTTCTGTTATGTTTAAAGCCTTTTCCCACCTCAATGAATTATCACCATATTAGTAATACTATTAAAACAAACTCCTAGGCTTGCATTTTCTGCCTTGGATTTAAATTTGCTAACTCAGCATTATGCTGCTCTGGGTTGAGTTTCGTTTAGTATTTAACATCCCTTAAAACACAGCTTTATGTTCTTCAATATTCCATATATTGTCATAGAATTTTATTTGGATCTCCAAAATGAGTTGCTTTATTTTCTAACCGGTTGAAATCTCAAATTAGTTTGATATCAAATGAAGGTACAGTTGTAGCACCATTTTGTAGGTAGAGGGGAGTAAATACTTCTACCACCACACATAAAACTGGTAATGCTTTTTACTTAGAGATTTCCATTTTTACACATTAATTTTAAAGAAAAAAGTGAGGTTGACAAGTGGTAAGACTTATACACAGTAGTACTGAGAAGTCTACAACTACAAAAAAACTAACAAGGCAGAACGATTAATTTCAACTATCCATTGGCATATTTACACACAAACCTGTGTCTTTTAGTAACATAATTTTTTAGCACCGAAATCAGTTTTTTTCATTCTTATCATCCTTACAAATGTGAAAAATTAGCATAATTACATGACACAGTAAGAAGAGTCGGATGATAGATTTGAAGAGTATTTCGTATTTCTCAAAGTCTGATCCAGAGATTCCAGGGATCAAAATTTTCAAATAAACAACACCAATATTTTGCCGATGATTTCAAAAGACCAAAATATCTAACAAAATATGGTATTAAATGAAGCATTAAAATAGATTTATTGTCTTTAACACCCTATGAAACAGATAACCTCACTCTCCATCTTTTAAAAGGTAAAAATAAGAAACCAAAGCACTGAGCAGTTGCCTTAAGTCATGTTGTTCTTTGTCAAACACAAACTTCCAAGATTTATTACAAAAGAAACATGCCTAGTACAAGGAAAATATCAGATTGCTTTGTTCAATGTTCTTACACTACAAATTATTTAATTAAAGAAAATACTTCTTTTCCTTGAAGCTGCCTAACCTGAAGCTCAACAGACTACTGCATTAAAGCACCAGGTCCCAAAGGGATTCTCACAGAATCTGCAGTTATCATGCTGTAAGAATATTCAAAGCAGTCACTACACTGTTTCTGGGATGAACATGCAGAATCCTCTCAAACAGAGCCCAGTTTTTAACACAAATTATGGTGGTGGTATACGTTAGCAGTGGCAAGTAGGAAAGGCTGGAATTAGGTAGCAGGTGGGTTACTGAAGCAGCTTGGGCTGAACATCACGTTTACATCTTTAGTTTTAAGATCTAGCATATGATCATTACTACTGCATTCTGTATCTGGATTGCAGCTGTTAGGGAGGAAAGTAAACCATATTTAATGTCAAAAGATTTTTAAGCTCAGGCTCTGGCAACCACTTAGCGGCAGCCTACCAAGAGCAAAACACTTAACCTCTATGACCCTGTTTCCTGGTTTGTAAAATGACAATACCACCACCCACCTCTGGGGGATGTTTGAAGGTTAGGTTAGATAATACCTACCAGTGAAAATGCTTTGCAAAAGGAAAATACCAGATAAATGTAAAATATGGCTATTTATTGCTAAGAACAAAATTCGGCCTTTATTGCCACTCCTCTTTTGAAGGAATAAAGCAACAGATGGCTTGTAATTCAGAAAGGCTTGGTAAAGACCTCACCATCAGTCTGCCCTCAGCAACACTTCAAAAGCACTAGCCTACTTAAGACCGATCACCAGAATTACCTCATCAACAAAATTTGCCAAGTTACAATTACTTAAAAAATTATTTTACGCATAAATGCATCTCCCTCTGATGATGTAAGTGAAGATGGAAAGGAAGAAATGAAATATAAGATACTTTTAACACTCCATCCATACGAAACAAAGACAATGATTTTCAGAAGTCTCTTTGGCAAATGTCTCATCACTTTTTACAGTCACTTTCAATACCTTCTCGTTTATTCATGGAAAATTTTAGGACTCGATTTAAGCATCGCCGCTTTCATGAGAATTTTTGGTAATGGTTTCAAGGTCTGACATTCAAAACCCTGTCTCCTTCGCTTGGATGTCATTTACTGCAGACACTTCACGATCCTGTGGACCCTCGGGTGCAGCAGAAGTGACAACATACAAGTACTCGGCATTTGGTAATAAAGGGAAACTGAGGCCCACGCCTTGGCAGAAGTCCAAGGTCACACACGACGAGACTGGGATAGCAGAGTTGTTTTTCGAAGGCTGTCGCATAGGACGCGGTAAGCCAGTACTCATTTCCCAAGGCAAACGGGCAAAGAGCTGCATGCTCACACATCCTTACTTTCTCCCCACCTCACTCAGGTACAACACTGAATCCTCGCTAGGGGGACTGCTCCGCTGTCAACTCAGACAAGTATCATCTCCTTCCCCCTCCCAACCCGTAAAGACGACCCTTTGAGGGATGAAACTGTAGTTCCCAAAGACACATACTCGACCCATGGCCTCTGCGCGCCTGCCCGCTCCCCGGGGAACGTCTCGGCCCGCATAGCCGTCCCGGGACGTACGGTACCCTGTTCCCTTACCAAAGAGCCGGAGGAAGATCTGGAGCACGATGCAGAACCGGCTTTGGCTGGAATCCGGGTAGGAGTTGAAGATGGCGTCGATGATGTAAAGGCAGGGCACCCGGAGCGCCACTTCGAGCGCCGCCCAGACCTGCTGATGGGCCATCCGCACCTGCTGCTGCGGGGGCCCCACGGCCGCCATGAGCCGCTGCCACACCAGGGCTCGGTGGGCCGGGCAGGGCCGCGCGGGGCAGGGCCCGGGGCCGCGGCCGGGGGCGGGGGCTAAGGCGGGCAACTCCGCCCCTGCCCTCCTTCCTCTCCTGTCTCTCTCACGGCCAGCCCCGCCGCCCGCTCGCGTCCCTCGAGGTGGAGCAGGCGGCGGAGGCAGCGATGGCCGAGAGGGCGGCGGCGGCGGCTCCCCAGGAGGTCTCTGGGTTTCGGTGTTTCCGGCTGGCTAAGGTCTGACTCCTCCTCCCTCCACTGCCTCCCCCGCCCGCGGAGCCACCATCTTGACCTCGCCCGCTGGCCTCTGCCGTTGCTGCTGTGGCTAGGCCCGGAGGCTGCGCCGTCAGTCAAGCGAACCGCAGAGTCCGCGCCCACTGCCTGCGTCATAATCCAGCGTCATAATCCAGCGCTAGAGACGCTCCCCATGTCGTCATCACCCATGGTTGCCATGGTTTCCGCCCACCTCCTCAGCTTACTCTAGCTTCGTGCCACCCCGTGGCGCATGCGCTTTTCGGTAGCCGCGCTTTCCGGCGTTGGAGTTGCAGCTTCACCCTCGCAGATTCGGCTTAGCGAGCGAGTCGGTGCTTCCGCGGATCAAAATTATTAGCCGTTTTATTAGAGCCCATTAAACGTTGCATAAACATGGTTCAGAGCTGCCTGGGAGAAGAAAAGCCAAAGGATGCCACCCTCTCGATTTATCCCACCCTCGGGAGTCTGAAAGCCGACGCCAGGAGAAATCCCGCGAAGGCCGCCCGGGATCCTGGTAGAGGCGACGCTGTGTGCGTTTATGGAGCGCTTGCGGTGCGTGGCACTAGGCTGGGTGTGGTGGGTGCTGCCGAAAAAAGGGTTCCTCCCATCCATTTGCACGTCACCCTTCCCACCTCCTGCCCAGATGGACAGAAGTGAGGACATTCATCGGCCGCATTTTACTAATGGCAAGGAGATAGCGACTGAAGGGCAAGAACCTAGGGTTTCCTGTCTTTGATATTTCTCATCTTTGAGGTAAGTACACCTGGACAGTCCCTTCCTTCCTCCTCAGGGCTCATGCTTTCTTGCCTATCCGTGTAATTAATATGATCTGGCTATCTTTGTCTTTGTTCCGAAACTTCAGCTGCAAATGAAAGTGTAAGTTAGGTCTGAGTCTGCACTATAGACCTAGCTATCCTAGGTTAAAGGGGATAAAATAGGAATCAAGAAGCCTGGCCCGCTTGGGCTCCCAGCTCAAGTGCATTCTGCAATCCAGTTTATATTAGGCCTCCATGTGGGTGGCTATCCTTTATCAAGATCCCCCCCAGGGGGAGGAGGATTATTAGTCACATTATCAAACTCCCCTCCAACCCCTTTCTCTGCTTAGAGGTATGTGTAATGTGTAGTAGAAAGACCGAATCCCCACCCAAAAGTCCTTACTGCTACTCATGTTTTTAACCTTCTGTTCTTTACCCTACTCCCTAATAATGACCGCCATCATTTATCTACTGCTTAATGGATACTAGGCACTGTGCTAAGGGTTTTATGTTTTACTTCAATCTTTTCATCGGCTTTATTTTGATAGTTTGTTTTATAGAGGAGGAAACAGACTTAGGTAAGTTACAAGATGACAAGGTTACTACCTTGTTCAGTTAGTAGTCAGCAGCTAGTATATCCAAAGATAGTACGAGTCAGAACTAGGATTATAAACTCAGGGCTACCTGAAACTCACAACTTCAGGCATCTTTGATTTCTTCTTTTCACCCACAGCCAATTCTTCAACTAAATTGTATCCATTCTGTTTTCACCGTCTCTTGTACTGGTCTCCTTTCTATTGTAACTGTCATCATCCTAACTCAAGATCCTTCTGTAGCTTTCCCCGGTTATTGGAATATCCTTATTACGACTGCCACCTTTTCTAATCCAGTCTGTTTACTACTGCCGGGTTAATTTCCCCAAACTGCATGTCTGGGGAATAACCTTGTGGTTATGACAGAATTCCCAAAGGAAAGCAAACTTGGCAAGGTGCAAAGACTATGAAGACTTAGAACTTAAGAGTTCTATGGAGATCTTCAGAAATATAAATTAGCTACTCAACATATCTGTTATTCTGCCCTGATTGCACTGTAAAGCAAAAGGAGAGAGGCCATTATGGGGAAAAAGATCCAAAAGGACTCATCTAAAACACAAGTTGGGTAGAGGAGATAGGTGAGTACTATTATATTATGTTCATGGAAAATGAGTTCATGGGCTTTCCTCTAATTTTTATTTTAAAAATAAATGTAAATATTAAATAAAATTTTTTAAATGAACAAATGCTTCAGTCTTTATTAATGTTTTAACTGTCCCTGATCTTAATTTGATGTACAAATTTTATTAGTGTAAGAGTTTCTTTGACTAAATTCCATCTTGGGCCGAGAACTTTCAGGAGCGGTGGCAGTCTTTTTTTTTTTTCACACAGCTTCTCCAAGCAGGCTCTCTGCCAAACTTGTCCAACCCACCTTATTTTGTTACTGTTGTTGTTCTGTTTTGTTTTAGGCTGTTAACAGCCTGAAGCCATGGTTTTTAGTTTCTGTTTCTAGTGATAAGCGGAAAAGAGAGATGAGGAGGTATTTACTGACCCAACCAGAAGCGGAAACTAAGAACCCATGACTGTATTATCTCCCTTGGACACCCCTGTGTGAGCTCTCTTTCTCCATCTATAAAATGAAGGTTTGAATGAGGTCCTGGCAACTGTGTTAAAATACTACGTTAAAATTAAATTTATAGTAATGAGGTAATTTATAGGATGCTTAGGAATTTTTAAGATAAAAGATGTTTCCAGCTGGGTGTGGTGGCTTATGCCTGAAATCCCGGCACTTTGGGAGGCCAAGGAGGGTGGATTGCTTGAGCCAGAAGTTCAAGACGAGCCTGTCCAACAAGGCAAAACTATATCTTTACAAAAAAATTGTAAAAATAGCTGGATGTGGGCTGGGCGCGGTGGCTCACACCTGTAATTCCAGCACTTTGAGAGGCCGAGGCGGGCGGATCACAAGGTCAGGAGTTCGAGATCAGCCTGGCCGACATGGTAAAACCCCCATGTCTATTAAATATACAAAAATTAGCCGGGTGTGATGGTGGGCACCTGTAATCCCAACTACTTGGGAGGCTGAGGCAGGAGAATTGCTTAAACCCGAGAGGCGGAGGTTGCAGTGAGCCAGGATGGCGCCACTGCACTGCAGCCTGGGTGACAGAGTGAGACTCTGTCTTGGGGGAAAAAAAAATAGCTGGGCATGGTGGCATAGGCCTGTGGTACCAGCTGCTCAGGAGGCTGAGGTGGGAGGATCACTTGAGCCTGCCTTGAGCCTGGGTAGCAGAGGTTGCAGTGAGCCAAGATCACGCCACTGTACTCTAGCCTGGGTGACAGAGTGAGACCCTGTCTCAAAAAAAAGGTAATGTTTCCAAGAAATAGCTACAATTCACTGAATCTAATCTTTGCTTGATTTCTGCATTGATTTGAATGTTGCACAACTCAGGTGTACATTTATATTGAGTCTGCACAGTGTGGTTCATGAGTGTGTGTGTGTGTGTGTGTGAATACACACACACACAAACTGTATACATAGAATACTCGTGTTTGAAAATAACAATCTGTTATAAATCCTTCAGATTTAACAGCTCAGAAAGCCTTTTAGTAGCTTTCAAAACTTTTACAGGTAGGATGTGTAAAAACTAGTTTGAATTTTCTCTTGACATTTGCATTAATGAAGTCTTTGTTTCCTACAACAGAAACTGATTCTTCTGGGTTATCTTAAGCAAAAAGGGAATTTATTAAGGGGTTATTTTCATTATTCCTCAAGATTTCAAGTCCCAGGAGAGACCACCTATATTAGGCCATTCTTGCATTGCTATAAGTACCTGAGGCTGAGTAATTTATAAGAAAAGAAGTTTAATTGGCTCACGGTTCTACAGGCTGTACAGGAAACCTAGTGCCTGCATCTGCTTCTGGGGAGGCCTCAGGAAGCTTTTGCTCATGGTGGAAGGTGAAGTAGGATCAGGCACTTCACATGGCAAAAACAGGAGCGAGGGGGTGGGGATAGGTGTCACACACTTTTAAACAATCAGATCTCATGAGAACTCACTATGGTGAGGACAACACCAAGCCATCAGGGATCAGTCCCCATGACCCAAACACCACCAGGCCCTACCTCTAACTGGGAATTACATCTCAACATGAGATTTGCAGGGGAGATCCAAATTACATCACCATCCAATTGGTCAAGCTTATTGGATCATGTATCTGCACCCTAGCTTCTGTAGTGGGAGGAGGCAGTAGGAAACATGCACTTGGATTTAACCCCTTCACTCCCCACTTCTACTAATATGTATTTTCTTCAAGTGGAAGATAGGGATACTGGTAGGAAGGGTAGTGTCCTAGTCTGTATTCTGTGGTTTATAACAGAATGCCTGAAACTGGGTAATTTATAAAGAAAAGGAATTCATTTCTGGCAGTTAGGGAGGAGGCTGAGAATTTCAAGGTGGAGGGACCACATCTGGGGAGAATCTTGTTGCTGGTGGGGACTGCAGGGATCAGGGGGGCTGAGCATGCCCACTCAGGCCTTTCTTCCTCTTTTTATGAAGCCACCAGTCCCAGGCCAGGCACGGTGGCTCACGCCTGTAATCCCAGCACTTTGGGAGGCCGAGGTGGGTGGATCACCTAAGGTCAGGAGTTTGAGACAAGCCTGGCCAACGTGGTGAAACCCCATCTCTACTAAAAATACAAAAAATTAGCCTGGCGTGGTGGGAGGCTGAGGCAGGAGAATCGCTTGAACCAGGGAGGCAGAGGTTGCAGTAAGCCGAGATCACACCACTGCACTCCAGCCTGGGCAACAGAGCAAGAGTCTGTCTCAAAAAAAAAAAAAAAAAAAAAAAGCCACCAATCCCACTCTTATAGTAACCCATTAATCTATCAACCCATTAGTCCATGAATGGATCACCAGCCCTCATGACCCAATCACTTCTTAAAGGCCCCACCTTTCAGTACTGCCATATTGGGGATTAAGTTTCCAATGCATGCAATTTGGGGGACACATTCCAACCAAAGCAAGTAGGATTGATGGTGAAAATATATGCCATAACTTTTTCTCAGACCCTGGGAATTACTGCAATTGATCTCTTATCCTAAATTACTTTATGGTTTTTCTCTTCTCATTAAAGTAAATTCAGATGTGCCCATCAAAATTCTATTTGAATTTTCTGGTTTTGTAGATGCCAAATAAATAGTAAGAGTTTGTTTTTGCTACTTCTACACTGCTGTGTATGTAGAAGTGGGAATGTAAACTAGTACAACCACTATGGAAAACAGTGTGGAGACTCCTTAAAGAACTAAAACTAGAATTACCATTTGATCCAGGATTCCCACTACTGGGTTATCTACCCAGAGGAAAAGAAGTCATTACATGAAAAAGATACTTGGACATGCATGTTTATAGCAGCACACTTCGTAATTGCAAAAATGTGGAACCAACCCAAATGCCTATCAATCAATGAGTGGATAAAGAAACTGTGGTATAAATATATGACAGAATACTACTCAGCCATAAAAAGGAATGAATTAATGGCATTCGCAGCGACCTGAATGAGATAGGAGACTATTATTCTAGGTGAAGTAACTCAGGAATGGAAAACCAAATATCATATGTTCTCATAAGTGGGAGCTAAGCTATGAAAATGCAAAGGCATAAGAATGACATGATAGAATTTGGGGACTCGGGGAAAGGGTGGGAAGAGGGTAAGGGATAAAAGACTACAAATTGGGTTCAGTGTATACTGCTTGGGTGATGGGTAGACCAAAATCTCACAAATCACCACTAAAGAACTTACCTGTGAAACCAAATACTACCTGTTCCCCAAAAACCTATGGAAATAAAAAATATTTTAAGTTTGTTGCATAAGTTAAAGGAAACAACAGAGAATATAGTGGTATTTGAAGTAAATGTTGAGTATATACTGACTGTGGTTTGTTCATTCAGCAGACATTTACTGAATACTTTCTATGTGCTTGGCAGTATGCTAGCCCTCTTCTGCCTCTTTCTAGTTCTGTGTCTTGAGGCAAAGTATTTAAGCTGTCTAATCTTTAGTATCATTTGGGGAAAAGAATATTGCCACATAAGATATGAAATACATGACATGCACTATCCAATTTAGCCCTCACCAAACTTGTCCAAGGACACAGAACTAATCAGTCAATAGTAGTGGCAGAGCCAGGTTTCTGATTCATATTTTTCTGATTCCAGAGCCTAAGATCTGATCCTCTGCAAGTATGTTCTCTTGCTTTTTTACAAGAATTAAAGCAATACATCTTAAATACCTAGTATAGCATGTAGTAAACCAATTGTAGGAGATACACTCATTGGAACCCCTGTTACTACACACAGCACTTTGCAGTGCACAGCACTTTGCAGTGACTCCATTTATGACTCAGGAGTGCTGTGAAGATATTAGTTCGAATTATTGTATGAAATAAGTAGGACTTAATTTACATTAGAATATGAGTGAATGATAAAATATGTTCATCTTCGGTGACGGTCAAGCATAATCTGAGGACTGAGATACTGCTGAGAGGAAGAATACAGGTAATACTTAAGTTGAAAACATCTGTCAAAGCAGAGAGCCCAGAGAAGATGGCTATAGTATCCCACTGATGGGAAGTATAGGACCTTTCACCTTAGGTGGGATCCTGTAATCCGGGTTTCTGATAATTGCTTCTCATTTCACAGTTACACCCAACTGGATATAATAAAACTTCAAGATGGAAGATTCAGTATTGTAAAGATGTTGACCTATATATTCTATGTAATCTCAATTAAAAAAAAATCTCAGCAGGTTCTTTTTTCCAAAAATCAAAAAGCCAATTTTAAAATTCCTAAGAAACTGGAAAAGGTCAAGAATACCTAAGGCAGTCTTAAAAAACAAAGTTGAAGGATTTATACTGTGAGACATCAGGACCTATTCTAAGCTATAGTAATGAAGACGAGATAGTATTGGTGCATGGATAGAAAAACTGACCCATGGAACAGAACAGAACAGAAAGTCTAGAAAAACTCCACACATATAGGGTCACTTGATTCATTAGAAAAGTGACACTAGAGTGCAGTGGGAAACATGATAAGCCAACAATATAATAGGACTCTGGATACTGCTTAACAAAGGACAGCATATCACTTAATGGTGAAACATGCTGGAAGCATTCTCCCTAAAGTTAAGAGTAAGAAGGTTGCTCACTGTCACCATTACTATTTATCATTGTATTAAGAGGTGGGGGCTGGGAATAAGGCAAGTTAAAATGCTTCCCTGTTTACCAAGATTTAGCTGTTTTTCTCAAATAGAGGCACCTCAGATTATTTCAAGCTTTTAGTTACTTTCTAGAGTTCTGAAAAAGTTGACTGACCATTTTTGCCTGTGTTCTCATTGCTTTTATAGAGAAGCCAGTATTTGGAGATGTTTACCCTGCTGTTTTGGAAGTTGTCCACTTTACTTGATATTGGGACATATCAAGAGACCACTATATGGTCTTGAGTGTAAACTACAGGTATATTCCTTCCTGCCATCATCGTGTAGCAATAACGCTATTTCCTCCTGATGATTGGATTCATTTACCCCAACTAACATGGTGACTCTTCCTTGCCTGCTGGTCTCCTAGCACAAGGACCTTGAACCGGGAAACCTCAGCAAGTTAAAGTTTAAAGGATCTATTATTGTGTCTCTTGATGAAAAGGTTCCTCTCTTGGGAATCAGGACTTCTAATTCACAAAGTTGCGGGGATGAGAAGTCCAAACTCCCCACTTGGGTCACTGGGAGTGAGAGTATGTGGTTATATTAATTTCCTATCACTGCTATGACACTACGAACTTAGTGGTTTCAAACAACACAAATTTATTTTCTTACAGTTCTGGAAGCCTAAAATCAAGATATCAACTGGACTGTTTTTCCTGAAGTCTTCAAGAAAAAGTCTGTTTCCTTGCCTTTTTCAATTTCTAGAGGCTACCTACATTTCTTGGCTCATGGCCCCTTACTCATATCACCCCATCCTCCTGCTTAAGTCATTGCATCTACTAGGCAAATCTGCCTCTCTCTTGTAAGAATCTTTATGATTATATTGGGCCTATTGGATAGTCCAGGATAATCTCTGTATCTTGAGATCATTAACTTAGTCATATCCACAAAGTCTCTTTTATCTTGAAGGTAAAATATTCATAGAATCCAGGATTAGGATCTGAACATATTTGGGGGCCATTATTCAGCCTACTACACAGTAGGAATTCTATTTATATCCTTTCATTCCCAAACATGCATGTTATGTATATATGAGACACAGCACCATAAAATGAGTGTTGATTTAGAGTATATACTGTACCCTGGTGGACAAGGTCATTCCATTTTCACAGGCTATTATCTTCAAGCTTTTGCTTCAGTTTCACCTTCAAAAGGGTTTTTCATCATTCCATCAGACCCGCATTTTCTCGGTTATATAGTATGTGATAGGACTAGTGGATCTCATGGTTATGTACCTGCTGATACACCTCCTTTGCTGTAAAGTGCATCCCTAAATCAAAGGCAATATTACACAGGATACATGTTGATGGATCAAATACCTGTAAACCTGTGAGTAGTAGAGCTGGCCAACAACTTATAGGCAAGGAAGTCAAACTCATACATGCAGATGGGCAGTTTCTAGTCAAGGAGAATCACTGCCCATTCTAGGATGGAAGGAATCCAACATAAATCAATTTGCTGCCCAAGTAGCTGTTTGGTATCCTTGAGGGTTGGTGCTGTATCAGGAACTTGGTGTTTAACACTGGGGAGTGGCTATTTTGTTGTTGTTGTTGTTGTTGTTTTGTTTTGTTTGAGACGGAGTTTCACTGGTTGCCCAGGCTGGAGTGCCGTGGCGCCATCTCGGCTCACTGCAACCTCTGCCTCCTGGGTTCAAGGGATTCTCCTGCCTCAGCCTCGTGAGTAGCTGGGATTACAGGCATGCGCCACCACGGCCAGCTAATTTTGTATTTTTAGTAGAGACGGGGTTTCTCCATGTTGGTCAGGCTGGTCTCAAACTCCAGACCTCAGGTGATCCGCCCACCTCAGCCTCCCAAAGTGCTGGGATTACAGACAGGAGCCACCGCGCCCAGCCTGGGGAGTGGCTATTGGATAAGTGGAGGCTATCTATTGGCTTCTTGCTCACTTGCATTCCTGCAAGATGACTACTTTGTCATAAGCCCCCTGTGCCATTCCTGGGGGCGGAGGGAGGGGGCGGTGGAGCCGATGGTTGTAGCTGCTGAAGTTTACTGGCTAAATCTGTCTACTTGGTTATTTAATGCTGCTTACATGTTGGATTGTCTCTGGCAGATAAAGATTGTGTTATACAATACAAAAAGCCCTCCTTATGTGCCATATCTGATATATTTCTCCTCTGCTTCTCCAGACTTCTTGTCCCTGATATACCAGTCTTATTCCAGACCCCTGATCAACTAGCCAACTTATTTGCCATGAAAATATGTTCTTAGTTCAAGACACTTTCTTTCCACACACAGTTGATGACCAGGAATACTGCCCCACATTATGCCTTTTGGGAGGGTTCTCCTTACTGCTGTCTTTTAAGGCCAGTCCTGTGTGGGGCTGTAGGGCAGTAGCAGTCCATTTTTGTTTTGAACCTATATTCCAAGAAACCTCAGTGAATTCAGCTCAGGCTTTTTTGTCCTCCATAAGCTAGACATGAGAGCCTCCCAAGTGGCCATAATTGTGAGCTGAGGAAGGGACATTGGTAAAGAATCAGATATGACATGGGAGCCTGACCACCTGCCTTTGCCCAGCTCATGATGGGCCTCTCTGGCTACATGGTCACTTGATGTCCATAATCAGTTCTTACCAAGGCACATTAGCATGGATAGAGTTGTTTTTGGGATTTTGCACTGCAGATGGCCCAGCCTTGCCACAGAATGCCAGGAGTCGACCTTGTGATTCTCCCATTGGAGCTTGCCTTCAACTTTCATGGCTTCTTATCACATTTACTCTTGTCCCATAGAATATCCTGAATTGGTCCATGCAACAGGGCTAAATACACCATACCTGCTAGAGAACTTTTACATGCTATGGATCCCACTGAAAACTGGCAGATTTCTATCTCACCCAGTTTACGAGTCAGAACAGTACTGCCAACTTCTGAATTCCCACAGAAGCCTACACAGCTTGGTGTGCTTCCCTGGTGGCAGAATAATTTTGGTGAAATGAGTGGGTGAGATGCAATAATTTGTCCTTTACTGTGAAGGGGATATCTTGGCATTCAAGCAGCCTACTGGGCCCTAAAAGTTTCACTGAGGTAACAGCTTGCTGGGTCTTAAGGATTATTTCCCATCCTCCAGTGTACAGTATGCTAGCTGCTTATTATTCACCTTATCCAGCTAGCATGATGTCATCAATGTGGTAGGTCATTGTGACATTATGTGGGATGTTTAGATGGTCTAGATCTCTTCGGATTATGACGCAGTGTGGAAGAGTTAACATAACCCTAAGCCAATACTATAAATGGGTACTGCTGTCCTATATAAACACAAACTTAATTCTTGTCCAGCACTCTCAGGACCCAGTTCCATACACATGCTCATGGTTCCTGTTGGTACATGTTGGTTAGATCCTGCATCTCTTTGGTCATATAAGCCCATTTGGAATTGAAAGTAGACACACAGAATGAGGGCAAAACACCTGCAGAACAGCTGCTTCATCATGGTGGGCTTTTTTCATATTAGGTTTTGTTACCTTTGAGTTTTTAAATTATGTGTAAAGCTTCGATTAAAAAAATAAAAATTATTAAAAAGAAACTGAGACAGTCTATCCACCTATCTCTATTTACCCAGTGCTGTTGTTG